>NC_000002.12:161239618-162489618 GCF_000001405.40 Homo sapiens
CCTCGAAAGACCGTCGCGGGGAGAGAAGGGCCTGGAAAGAAGCGGGCCGCGCTCCCCCCTGCCGCGAAGACTGTGGGGCAGATGGGGGCAGGACCTGATCTGGAGGCCCAGCTCCCCGCCTGGCCGCTCTGTTCTATACTCTGGCCCGAGACAAGCTAGTCAAAAACAGCAGCGCCCTGGCCGCCCCTCCGACAAAGAGCCCATCGGAACCCGAGTCTGCTGAAAAAAGCCTTTCATACCTGTTGATGCAGGCGGGGACCTGAGATTTCATACAACCTCCTGTTACTTTTTGACCGTAAAAGCTGATTGTTGCACTTAAAAGGCACTTTTATTCCTACCATTAAAATATTTTTACTGTTACGGGTTTACATAAACTACCCTTATAAACATCATAAAACTTCCTTCCCCGTAAGCCATAGATGGACCTCCAGAGTAACTAAAAACCTGTGCAGTGTAATTGTTTCTTCTGCTGACCCCTACCTTTGCATAACTTTATACACACCATTGTTCCTTTTTAAAAAATCAATTTAAAATAAGGTTTGCTAAAGCTCAGTCATATATACACAAAGGTTTCATTTATATTATTCTGCTTTGTAATATTTCATGATAAAAGTACACAAAAATGAAATTAAAATGAGTAAATTTTGGTATTTTTATACCATCCTCATTGATCCTAGTCATGTGAAAAACTACACAAGTGCAGAGTGAATCATTTTTCCTTTTAGAATATGCCCAGGCATACCAATAGAATAGCTGAATGCAAACTTCAGATCTACTAAAATCATACAGAACGTTTTAAAGTTTTTAAGTTGAAAAATCTTAGAAGAGTTACATAAAGGATTTTGTGTAAGTAAATGTTAATGCTTTCTGCTTTCCACTCTTTGGAAAACCACTAAGCAGGCCTCTGCCCTTGGCATATACAGACTTCTTGATGCTACAGTATTAGCTGGCATTTGGAAAATTCCCTTGTGTCTGAATCTGTTAAAATAGCAACCTATCTAACAGCAAAACAAATTTTAACTTTATATTTATTCATGTAAACGTGGAGATTCAGATGTTCCATCAGCATCAAAATTAAGCAATTTATTAACTATTCACCAGCCTTTGCTTCATTAACCAATTCTGTAGAAGCAATGTCTCTCTAAAGCTGTGAATCTACAGAGCTCAAACAAATTTAGTTCAATCCCATGTTGTTATGTATCTCACCAAATTATTTATCTTCCAATAACTTGGTTTATACAGGCTTAGTGTAATTTCCTCTCAGTATACAGACCTCACAAATTTGCATGACTGTTTTAACGGTGTATTTACAGATAAGTTTTTATTTGCACATAAGGACAAAAAGGTGAAGTGAAATTTGGTCCCAATGGAAACCTGTTAGGTTCCCTGAACATATGGCTCATTGGGCTGTTACTTCCTTTTTGAGATCATTTTCCAAGATTTTTTAATATATACATCAATTTGACACCAGTTATAAAGAAAATATATTGGCTTTGAAGATTCCTCCACCTGGGGCATATCTCTTAATAACACACCATGTAGTCAGGTGTACCTCTGAATATACAGGTTTCCAGTCTCTGAAAACGGCATATTTTGAAATCAGTCAGAGCTGCCAGTTGATTTACACTGTCTTTGAAATTAAGTAGTTCTTTGGATTCTTAGAATGCCACATTGATTTGATTAATACAGTTTAGGGGTGACTAAAACTCTTTTTTGGAAGGCTGTGCATTTGGAATCCACAGTATTACAATGATTTCTCTCAGCAGATACAAGTGATGTAAGTCTCATTTGTTGAAAGTGTGTGGTGCCAGCTTAAGACTTAAGGGGAAAATCACAGCACTTTGAAAAAGATGTAAATGTTCAATTGGTAAAAAAGGGGAAAAAACCGTGCTAAAACATGTGCCTATTTCCATTATGCTTAATTTACTATTCAAAACAAGTTTTTCCTAATAAGCTCTATTGTTTCTTTCTGTTTTGTAAAATTTAATATGTGTGAGACAAAAACCAGATTCAGAATGTGAATGAAGTCTGTTTAGCGAAAGATTGTGGGAGCTTACAGTTCAAGAAGGCCTCAAATTAAAAGAAACATCATCTTCTATCACCAAAAAGATACAAAGAAGCAAGTTTCTTGGGTCATTTCTAGGACCAGTTCCTAGATTGCCAACTTCCTCCATCCTCAGAGCTCCTCATGGATGAATTCACACACTTTAAAGTGCACCAAGCACTAGAATATTCAGAATGATTATGCCACGTTTATTTACTGCATAGCTGTAGCTTTCATCTTATTGTAGTCCTCTTTTCTCTGAAGCATCAATCCCCTAATAGGACTGAAGTAAGTTCTCAAACATGTTATCCCCTTGTCCTGACTATAGAGGGTTATGTCTATCTCAAAATCACTCACACATTTTCAGAGAATCTGTACCTGATTATGCAACCCTTTGACGTTTAACCCATCTCCCATGGTTGAATGTCCCCTTGGAATCCAGAAGGCCTGGATATCCTGGCACTTGCCCATGTGTCCTTTGTTGTTTAGGGCTATACCATGAATACATTCAAAAACTATCTTGTTAATATCCTTTGGAAGGACTGTAAAAATAATGACTTTTCACTTTAAAATAATTCAAGGAATAGTTGTTTTTAAAAGAAAATGTTAAAGACTGCCTAATTCAACTTTCTTTTTGTGTGGACAAAACAAACAATAAAGAAACAAACAAAAAAACCCCACTGTATCTAAAGAGAATAAATGAGTCCCTCACACCTACTCAAATAGTTGGAACTCAACTCAAGCTCTCCTGTCTTTTTCAAACTATTGTTTTTTCCATAACCAGCCCTTACCTCAAATAAAATACAGTGTTTCACTGACTTTGTACTTTGTTTCAGAGGAAGCCTAAGTCCTATCCAAAGTCTTTTTACACAAAAGAATAAACCACAGAGAGAGTAGGGGGCCTGACATTACCTGACACTGGAGTGGGGTTTATTATTTAAAGTTGTCGGCCAGGTGAGGTGGCTCACGCCTGTAATCCAAGCACTTTGGGAGGCCGAGGCAGGCAGATCACCTGAGGTCAGGAGTTCGAAACCAGCCTGGCCAACATGGTGAAACCCCATCTCCACTAAAAATACAAAAATTAGCTGGGCGTGGTGGTGCATGCTTGTAGTCTCAACTACTCTGGAGGCCGAGGCAGGAGAATCGCTTGAACCTGGGAGGCAGAGGTTGCAGTGAGCCGAGATCGCACCACTGCACTCCAGCCTAGGGGACAGAGCCAGACTCCATCTTAATCAATCAATCTATCAATCAATCAATGTTGTCAGTTTATCACCACTCTAACAAGGGCCCCAGTCCATTTCTGCTTGGAAAAGAGGCACCTTAACCCACTGGGTGTTGAGCATCTCTCTGGCCTGCTCCAATGAGGGAAGAGCAAGTCATGGAACATATTTTTGTAGACACAAACTAACATGAGAGAAGATAAAAAATGATTTGTACCTCTAGAGTATGGAGTTAAACCATACCATAACTGCCAAACCACAGTGCTAAGTTTTTTAACAGTCTGAATTCTAGGTTAGAGTTTGTCTGGGGGAAACAAAATAGCTAACCAGCACGAACTGGAAGTGAGCTTATGTATTTTCTAAAACTATTGATCTGGAACTAAAACATTATCTAAACCAACCAAATACTTCATTTGGTTCCAGACCTGGCCTTCACTGTCTGGAGATGGCTGTGCAGCTCAGAAGGAAGTCTCGGCCTTATATTATCTTCCCCTGAGAGTATTGGTGAATCAACTCTGAAAACAGCACTCATTAGACAAATAGTTTCTCCATTTGCAGCTGTTAAATAGCTCTACCCGCCAGTGATAAAGGGGCATCCTGTGTGGGTGTACTCAGACCTCTTCAAGCAACTGGCTTAAAAGGAAGGCTAGCTCACTGGGGATCCAAAGTATCAGTAAGGGTGATAAAGCTTGCTTGAAAAAGCTCTCTCTAACTGGGGCTGGGGAAGCAATGCAAGCAGCAGGCTTTCTCCAGAAAGCAGCTTTCTAACTCCTCACCCTCTCACACACACTTCAATATACAAAGACCCACTGTTTTGTTGCGTTTTTCCTGAGGTTTTACCTTTGGCACTGCAAAAGCCTTTTCTTTCAGCATCTGCAAGACCCTATTGGATGAGATCTATTTCTAGGTTAAAGCCTTTGATACATTTCAAAGCAGACTTTGCCTTTAAAGTTCTCAACTCAACTCTTTTTTTTTTTTCAAAATATACTAAATACCAATGGGTAACGTGGCTCTATAGTCAAGGTTTAGAAAAAATATATGCACTAATGCCGACATGGGAACCACTGTAACTGACATTCCACTTGCAGACATGCTAGGGTACGCTCTACCGGCTAGGGAGGGAGGGTTTCTGTGGGCCAGACCCAGTCAGCCAACCTTAGGAAAGGAACCCGGCTCCATTTCCTAGTGAAGTGGCAACAATGACTGTCATTTCCTCCTCAAATATAATGTAAGGACATTTCCAAGTCGCTTCAGTCATTTCTTCCTCCTCCACCCTACCATGTGCTTACAAAAGTATGCTGTAGGAGAAACTCAATTTCTTTTTCCAGGCAAGGTTCCATTAAACATGTCCCCAATAACCTGATTACATCAGACAATGAGCCTTCCTTCTTATATGATTTCTTCAGCAGAATGTTTTTTAGTTAGAATTGCCAGATTTAGCCAATAAAAATACAGGATGCCCAGTTAAATTTTTTGAATTTCAGGTAGATAACAATTTTTTACTCTAAGAATGCCCCATGCAATATTTGGCAACCCTATTTTTAACATCACATAGACTATATAAATATGAAGCTGAATCTTAGCAGATTCTCTCCTAGTTTGGGGCTGGGGAAGTGGTTAGGTGTGGAGCTAATATTTACTCTTTTTCCGCCCGTAATTTTCTTTCTTCCGTTCTCCTTCCGCAAGGAACGTCTTGGGGCTTCTCGAACATCTCTCAGCATTTACTGTACGCCCCCCTCCCCTCGCTTTTGCTGATAAAATGGTTGGTGTTGTGTTTAAAGTGTTTATAAAGTCTCCTCCGTGATAACGCGAGCGTTTAAGAGAGAGAATTCTAGGCACACCTCTTCCTCCCCTCCAGAGTGCCCCGGCGTCTTTCTAGCCTCCGCCTCCAGGCGGGTGAGGAGGTGACACCTGAGAATTCCTCCCTCTCACCCCTGACCCTGCCGGAAAGCGAAACTGAGATGCGGGCATTGGGCCCTGGGAAGCGTGGGGAAGGGGAAAGGAGAAAGCCAGGTGGGTTTTTAGGTCCCTTCCAGTGCCACACTGCGGGGCGTTGAGGGGCCGCTCGAGGCAGGCCCTTCCATGAGGCCTGGACTGGAGGCCTTCTCTAGCCGCCGGCGCTGGCCTGGGCCGCCTGCCGCCACGCAGGGGCCGCGCGCCTGGGCCCCAGGGCCCCTTTGCCGGCGGGAGGCCGGGGGGACCGACTGCTCTTGGCGCCCGGGGTCGGGGGAGGCCGGGAAACCTCGGCTCCCGGGCGACAGGCACCCAGGCCCTTCTCAGCCCCCCGGCCGCGGCCGCGCCGGGCCTCGCTTCAGCCGGGCGATTCTTCCCCTCATTTGTTGCATTGTTTGCATTAATATGAATATCTTGTTCTGTTTGTTTTGTCTCCTGAGAGCCAATAAAGCTGTGAGTTTTTTCATTACACCAAATGCAGCTCTACGGGCGATCAATCAATGGGTAGTCTTCGGATAATCTGTGAGAGTGAGAAATCTAATAAAGCTAGCGACTAAAAAAGGAAAACAAAATCTATTTTTCTCTTAGGTTAACTACGTCAGGATTAATGTGTTCCACTTCTGCTGCCTGAGGTGGGTTTAACTCTTGTTCTTTCCCCCCCACCCACCCCAACAAATTGATTTAAATGTCAAGATGGGAGGGGAAGAGGGCTGAGGAAAGAAAGAGAAAAGAAAAGGGATGTTTAGGAGCTTCTTAAATTTTCTGATGGTTGGCCGATTCTTTCAAGAAGAGGAAAGACAATACTTTCTAACGTCCCAGAAAATCAGAGAAATGGAGGATTCTAACAAAATGTAGTTTGGCAAAGAGGCCCTTCCTCAGTTTTCCGAACAGACAGGAAATGTAAATTGATAATGACGTAAATAAGTGATGATAATAAATCAAGTTATTATTAGTGCCCCCTGCCCCATCACTTGTTTGCTTTTGCTAGATGCTAAACTTAACTCCTCAAATGCATTTTTTGGAAGGCCCCTCAACCATCCTGAGCAATGCAGGAAATAAGAGAAAGATCATCTGCCTGGGCTGCTGCAGTTCTCCTCACAGCACAATGCAACCAAAATCATTTATAAACAGACAAAAATAACAATCTGAATTATCTAACATTAGCAGTTGAACTGAAGAGCCCAAGATTATGTGATGAATTGTTAAATTGCAGTAGCATTGTTTTGGATTGCTAATTAAAAAAAATAAGCAAACCCCATGACTCTAGATATGACAACTGAAAATACCCACAAATTATTTAATAAATGAAGTGTCTAACAACTTTAACACTTCCTGGTCGCCCTGTTAATAAATGTAATTTGAGGTAGATTTTTAAAATCTTCAATCTAAACAGTGAATTCATTACGCGCCATTCAGATCTCTAGATGCCTATGGACTTCTTGGAATTAGGTGTTAAATAGACAAAAGTGAACCAAACTGCCTTTAAAAGCACAGCATGACCATGTAATTCTTTTTCCAGTTTGTGGTAAAAAATGATGAAACTTCTTTCCAAGTAGCTATCACCCAGATTTAGTGTGAAAAGTAGTGTAATTGTAATTCACGCCATCAGGGTCTATCGCTGATAGACGATCAGCTGTTCTGTAGAGGGGAGAGGCTTTCTTTTCAAATAGGAAAGCTGCCAAGTGCTCTGCGATACCTCCAGCAAGCTTATCGGATTGAGTTCAGAGCCAAAACAGCAGCTGCACACATATGCAAATTGGCAATTAATAGTATAACATTCTGTAAAAAAAAAAAAATGTTTAAAAAAATTTTTAAAGAAAGTAGAAAGAAGCTACCTGAACATTAACCTTAACTGTAACTGGGACTTCTAAGATGAATGACTAAGGATTAATTACCCTCTGGAGAGGACTTGCTGTTTAATACCTTCTCTTACAGATCAAGTCTTTGTTGTCTTGCTGAGTTTTGTCTGTTTCATGGAACACAACAATACACTCTACAGGAAGAACTTTAACTAAAAAGCCCTTATATTTCGATTCCAGAAAATGGAGAAATTAAGTCCTTTCCATGGATCATTCCTTCTGTAAACAGAGATCACAAAGCAAGAGCTTCAGCATCCTCGTGAAAAAGACATTTTGTTCTGGGTGTCATCATCTCCTTCCACTACAGCTTGCAATTGGAACAAGCTTCACATCCTGGGGGTGCTGCCTATCTCTGTCTTGATTTCTGTCTGTCTATTCCTCCCATTGACAGGAATGTCGTTTGTATCCTCCACGCAGCAGTTTGCAGAAATCCAGCAAGGTTTATGGTTTATGTTGCCCAGCATGTATAAACACAACGCTCTCAAATGCTTTTTAAAAATCTATGAATTTGTTAGATGTCTTCACATCCTGGTCCTCCTACCCCAATTCTCAAACACAAAGTACTCTGTTGCCCTATTATAGTCCTGCGATAGTTCTGGCTAGGATTAGGTTGACGGTCTAAGCCCCAAGAAAGGCCTGGCATTTTCATAGCAGGCTTTCCCCAGTGCTTTGAGTCTTCCTCTCTCACTCCCTTTTTCTTTTTCCCTCGGAGGAGGGGGTGTTGGGGGTGGGAGGTGATTAGTAAATGTTTCAGGTAATCTGTGAATTCTTAATAGTCATATTTCCGTGGTGGAAGATCTCCCTATTTCTCTGATGTGACAGGTTACAGAAACCTTGGTGTTGGGGGTTTTACAGATATTTACAAGTTCTAGGAGTTTGAACTTTGGGTCAAGATGTTGATTCCTTTTAATGTGCGAGGGTGAAGGAGGTTTTATTTTGCTTTATTCTTTTGGATATTATGAGATGAGATTGTATCCAGTCTTGGCTGTAACCTATACCATAAATGCAGAGCTGCAACCATTATTTCTGTCTCTTTCTCCTTTTATCACCTACACTTCTAGAGATATTACTTTCAGTTTTATTGCAAATCATCTGTGTCTTTAGTTTAAACCATTATTTTTCATATACCCCAGGCACATTTCCCTTATAATGAGACAAATTTTAGATTATTAATGTTCCACCTAAAAGGATACTGTACACTTTTCATTGCCAATATGGGCTTTGAAGCTTAAATATCAACATTTTTATAGGAAATTTACCCATGTCAAATTTAAATATATTTGCTTATATTTCTTGGAAAAAAGATTTTGGATAACTATCAATTAAGCAGCCAATTCCATTTGGGGTGCAGAAAATTTTGAGCCCCTTGATAAGAAGGAACAAAATTTTTCCTCTAAATAACCAACTCTGGATCAGAAAAACTGAACTTTTCTAAATATTTATTATTAACAAAACTTTTTTTTGTCTGATTCCACTAGAAGCATTCTATGTTGTGAACACTATAAAGTTATCCTATGTTGTGAACACCATAAAGTTATGAGGGAAAAAATGTCAAATCTAAATTTTATTTAGAAGTAACATATTGTTTTTCTGGACTTGCAATCCAATTCGAATGCATCGTTAGACTTTTCTGTTTTCTTATGATTAAACAACAATGGCTTAAAATGATAGCAAGTCAACTGAAAAGTTGCTTTGGAATAAAACAAAAGTGGGAATGCCAACTTTCTTTTCTTCTCTATAACTTCATTAACATGGTTGTATAGACATTTGCATGTAAAATGTAGCTAACAAAAATTACACAGAAGTAAATTTAGTCCTCTAGTGCCTACCTCTATGGTGAAATCAGACCATTTGGCATAGTTTGAAGTCTTCCAAGAAGCCTGGTTTCCACCTGGAAAATAAATTACTAAATTTGAATGTGTTACTTATACTATGGTGAGTTGTCTATCTGTTACATTTTATTTTAGTGCATATACTAGAAATTGTATTTAGGGTGTTCTAAAATTGTCATCTGTCAAGGTAGAGAATTATAATAATATAATTATACTCAGAAAGCGTTCTGATTTTAGATTATTTTGGCACTGTTACAAATATGATGAATTTTAAAAAAATGCAGAATGTTTATTACAAATTCATATGTTTAATTGTCAAATTCTGAGATTAATTTAGATAAGCTATAACCAAAGTTTATTTTCTTTGCATTTATTGGTACATAGTTAATGCTTATACACAGGCTTCAGTGTAACACCTATACACTATTACAATATTTAGCTGTACTTATTTGCTTTATCTTTAAATGGTACTTTGTCCCAAAATTTTCTGAGTTTGATAAATTATTAAACATTTATCAAATCACTGTTGCATTCTCTATTCATCAATACATTCTGTTTTAAATCATAAACAGTTTGATTCTGAGTTATAAGAAATATTTTGAGTAATCAAAGATTCTATGTTGTATGACATAAAGCATAATAATGAGATTATTGATGAGATGTCATGATCAGTGAAGACCATACTCAGTGAATTTACCCAGATAAAACTATGTGTTATAATGCCGCAAGTGTACACAGAAGTAGGAGATAAAGATGTGCTATCATGGCTCAGTAAAAACTCCTCACCACAGCTAGTGACAAGAACAAACAATGTTTTGTTAAAATCTGTAGGTTTTTCTTCATCTCAAAGGATAGTGCATTAATCTCCTAAAGAAAGTAATTGTTCTCTCTGAAATGTACAGTAAGTTGAGTTAAACAACTAGAGCAAGTATGGTTATGGAATTTTATTTTCTCAAGCTCAGAAACTTTTAAATTTACTACAATATACCCAAATATGTCTAATTACTATACTACCCTTGCAGTGATTACAATTTTGATGTTTGTCATTTTTTACATGCTAAAGTGCTTTGTGAATCCAGGTGATTATATAATGGATACCATCTTCTGTGGGAGTGAAAAGAAGAAAAACTTGATTCATACTTAAAGGTGCTATATTTGAGGAATGTGATGTTAAAATATTTTCTCTTAGCACAAGGCATTTGTTTTAAAGAATTTATCTGGAGGACTCAGGACATTTTCTATATAGTAAACTGAATGATGAACATTATTTAAGGTGATAAATGGGAATAAATTTTAGAAAGTCATATCTCTAGAAAAATTTACTTGACCATTGGATTAATAGTCTAAGAAGTGATGGTGATAGAATAACAGTAGCGTCTTGGTGAAGCCCTTTCTCTTTGCTAGACACTTCACGTACATTCCCTCATTCAGTCGTTAATAATCACCTAATGAACCCAACGTGATTTTGTTTTACTGATGAGAAAAATGAGGCTAAGTTTAAGTCACATAGCTTGTAATGGATGAGGCTTTATAGCTGTGGGACTCTAGAGTCCATCTGATCATGTGATGTAGTTCCATTCTGGTTTCTGAAGGACAGAGACATGGAGGAGGTTTGAAAACTGTCTCTTTCCCCTCTTAAAATTCAGTTTTTCCTTTACTAAATCCAAAAGAGTAAGTGAAGTGGTCCAAGAATTTAGCAATGTAGTCAAGGTCCATTTGATTAGGAAGTCTTTATATGACTAGAAACAGGATTGCTTTGGCACATACATAAAGACTCTACACATCCATCCTCAAATTTAGCAATTTGAAGCAGTTAGCTACACGGACAGTTTTGTATGCATTGCTAAATGCAGACACAAAAACTGCATTTGCAAAAAGAGGAAACCCAGTTAAACTAGGTTGCAAATTTGGCCCTAATTTAGCGTAGCATTTGTGATACATATAGGTTAGAGTGACATTTATATAATGGTGTGAAATATGAGAAAGTTCCAATGCTAGACACAAAGACTTTTAAAAATTGCTTTTGCCTACTTTGGTTAGTTTAAGAAACAGGAGGAAGAATTTGGTTTTTCAAGTGATGGGAAGCCTTTAAGGATGTTGGAACACTGTTCAGTCCCCTGGGGTTCTGCCTGCTGTACAATTTTAAATGTCTTTTAGCTAAAAAATTGGCCAACAAGGGAAACACAGAGATGAAATATCTTCTTTCTTATCTGGAAAGTGAGAAACTATAGGTGGCTAACATAATCCAATTTTGATAGTCGAATAAATGGTCAGCTTTTGGGGTTAGAAAGTCATAATCCTCCTTGTTAATATGTCTATCTAACTGGAGTAACTACCTACCTATTAGAATTTATCTTGGAAATTTTGTCCTTATGCTCAGTTGTAGACGTGTTTCAGCTTAAGAAATACAGCCAAAAATGAGACTAGATAAATATACCATGTTTCATGTAAATGCTGCTATCATGGTACCTGAAACTATTTCCATTTCTTCATTGAAGACCACTGGAGGGCAGTGTTTTCTCCTTTGGGAACAGCACCTGGTTTCACATGGAGACTGCATAGATGTGTTAAAAAGGCATCTAGGTTACAGGAAATGAGTTGTACTTCTCATTCAGGCTGTGCTTGGAATTTACCCCCTCCTGTTTACGTGTCATTCAGATTGTTCCTTATCATACTGCCTGTCAAATTAGTTGTACCTGAAATCAGATTCCAAAAGATCATGTACAATACATATTTACTGTTTTAAAGCTTTATATTCATTAACTATTTGAGGCATTATGTTAAGTTCATTTTGCTAATATAAATAGCAAATAAAAAAGGATATATAAGCAAGAGTAGGCAGTTTTAACCAGATGCTTTGCACTTAAAATTTCAATATTTCATTGATTTTATTTTCAGTATAATTTTATTACATATAATATGTATACATATATTTGTCACCAAATTAGCAAATTCACATTTTCTGGAAAGAACAAATGAAGACTTTTCCTAGAAGCTTATTTGTCATATCTTATGATATGCCTTGTTCCCTAAGGATGGTATGTGGAAAAATGTTTAATTTCTTCTATTTTAAAAAATGATCTATTGCTGAGTATTAAATTATAAAATTATACTAATTTGTGTTTCCATTAGTTAAAAAATGAAACTGGATTACATATTAATTTGGTGTGTCAGGGGTCCATTTAATCTTTATTTAAAGGCATATAATGCAAACTGAATTCTTTTAATTATAATAGTCGTTTCATTGTTAAAAATGAAAATATCATATATTTTAGCTCTGTGACTTTGTCCAGCAAAATACTGCTACTTTTGCAAAATCAATATATAATTTTAGTCTAATGATTTACTTGATTTATTTTTTTCAATAAAGTGCCCAGAAGCTTACCTGGAACTTGGCCAAAATAAGGCAGAGCAACTAATCACTTGAGGAAAAACATAAATAACAATATCTGTATCATAAATGCTTTTTAAAAGTATTTCATTTTTATAACATTATTTCCGATTACAAAAGTAATACATGTTCATTGTGTACAGCCGCGTGCCACCACGCCCGGCTAATTTTTTGTATTTTTAGTAGAGACGGGGTTTCACTATGTTAGGAAGGATGGTCTCAATCTCCTGACCTCGTGATGCGCCCGCCTCGGCCTCCAAAAGGGCTGGGATTACAGGCGTGAGCCACTGTGCCTGGCCTCTTATACATATTTTTATGCACTAGTAAGTATTAAAAATAATTAGGATATATGACATTACTCATTGATGAGTGACACTTCCCTTAAAATATATCACATTTTCCCATGTCATTAAATACTAACTATAGTATTCCATAGTATAAATGCACCATAGTTTGTCTAACAAGTTCTCTAACACTATGTATTTGGTAATTGCTAATTTTTCCTTTTTTTGAGATAGAGTCTCACTCTGTCACCCAGGCTGGAGTGCAGTGGTACAATCTCGTCTCACTGCAGCTTCCACCTCCTGGGTTCAAGCGATTCTCCTGCCTCAACCTCCTGAGTAGCTGGGACTATAGGCATGTGCCACCATGCCCGGCTAATTTTTGTATATTTTAGTAGAGATGGGGTTTCACTATGTTGGCCAGGGTGGTCTCGAACTCTTGACCTCAAATGATCCACCCACCTAGGCCTCCCAAAGTGCTGGGATTACAGGCGTGAGCCACCATGCCCGGCCAATAATTGCTAATTTTTCTATATCATAAACAATGTTATGTGAACATCTCTGTGGACAAATATTTGCATACATTTATAATTACTTCCTCCAGATAAATTTCTAAAAGGGGAATTTTAGGGTCAAAAAGGATTTTTTTATGAGTTTTGATACGTAGACTAAAGTGCCTTCCAAAATGGAAGTACATGAGAATGTCTGTTTATCCTAATCTTCACCAACACTAAATGTTAACAGGTTTTTAATGGTCTCGAATTTGATGTTTGAAAAAATAATTGTTTTTACTTTTAGTTATTTTGCTTACTTGAAAAATTTTAAATTTCATATATTGTTTGCCATTTATAATATTGCTTTATAGTGTACTTATTCCTATACAACACCCATTTTTTCTGTTGGGGTGTTTGTATTTTTTTTATTTTTTATAAAGAAAGGTGTTTATGTAAAATTGCCATAGTAACACTATGCCATACATTTTACAAGGATCTTTCTAAGCTAAACTTTATCATATTTTGTTATTGACTTTTTCACTTTTAAATTGTCAATTTCTCAAGTGTTTTCATTAACATTTCTACCTTTACTTGTAGAAAATCTTCCTCATGGCCGGGCGCGGTGGCTCATGCCTGTGATCCCAGCACTTTGGGAAGCTGGGGTGGGTGGATCACGAGGTCAGGAGTTCGAGACCAGCCTGGCCAGCATGGTGAAACCCCGTCTCTAATAAAAAATACAAAAATTAGCCAGGCATGGTGGCACATGCCTATAGTCTCAGCTACTTAGGAGGCTGAGGCAGGAGAATCACTTGAACCCAGGAGGCGGAGGCCTGGGCGACAGAGTGAGACTCCATCTCTGAAGAAAAAAAGGAAAATCTTCCTCACAAAAGGTTAGATAAATATTCACTTTTATTATTTTTTATTGACTTCTTTATTTTTTTATTCAGACAGGATCTTGCTCTATCGCCCAGGCTGCAGTGCAGTGGGACGATCATGGCTCACTGGAGCCTCAACCTCTTGGGCTCAAGTGATCCTCCAGCCTCAGCCTTCAGAGGAGCTGGGACTACAGGCACGCATGACCACCTGCTAAAATATTCACTTTTGTTTTCTCCTACATATTTGATGATTTTTTTTTGTTTTCATTTTATGCATTTAGTGCTTTAATATGTCTGCAATTTATTTTGGTTTATCATGTGAGGAGAGGATTGGATTCTTGTTTTTCAGCTTGTCCCTGCAAGTTTATTGAATAATATAGTTTTTTCCTACTGATTTTAAGATTTTTGAATTTAGCTGAAAGGTTTTATCTTCTAGAGACCTCTCTTGAGATTAATTTCCACTCCACTGATTTCTCTATTTTTCTACCTTTATCACAATATTTAAATAATACAGTCTTATATCTAGTATTGCAAGTCCTTCAGTAGTTTTCCTTTCCAAAATTTTCTTTGTCATTCTTGACTATTCGTTCATATTATTCTGAATTACATTATTAAGTTAAAAAAAGATTCACTTAAGAACATATGTTTTGCTGTGAAAAAATACTCAAGATATATTAAGTGAAGAAAGCAAATTGTACAACAATATATATATTAGCCTTCTTAAAATTAAAAAAGTCAGAAAAAGCATAGAAGTGTGTGTGCAGGCCCATGTGTATGTGAGGCTGTTCCTTATTGATACATATAAACATTCTGGAAGATTGGCCAAAAAAAGTATTAACAATGGTTAGCTTTGGTTAATGGGAATGGACATTGTGGAGAAGAGGAAATTTTGCTCTTTACTATAAAGAAACTTCTTAGGTAGTTTGGATTTTCTACTATGAACAAGCATTAGTCATAAAATTTTGGTAAATGTCTTTGAAAAAAATATTTGAAAAAGATTATTAAAAAGCTACTTACACACAAAAGGACAAATACTGCATAATTCCACTCATCTGAGGTACCTAGAGTAGTCAGATTCATAGAGGCATCAAGTAGAATGGTGGTTGCCAGGAGCTGAGGGAAGGGGACAATGGGGGTTGTTGTTAAAGGTGTACAGGGGAGTCTCAGTTTTGCAAGATGCAAACAGTCTGGAGATGGATGGTGGTGATAGTTGCACAACAATGTGAATGTACCTAATGCTACTGAACTGTACACTTAAAAATGTTTAAAACAATATGTTTTATTTACCACAATTGTTTTTTTTGACGCAGAGTCTCGCTCTGTCACCCAGGCTGGAGTGCAGTGGCGCAATCTCGGCTCACTGCAACCTCTGCCTCCTGGGTTCAAGCGATTCTCCTGCCTCAGCCTCCTGAGTAGCTGGGATTACATGCACACGCCACCATGCCCGGCTGATTTTTTTATTTTTAGTAGAGACGGGGTTTCACCATGTTGGTCAGGCTCGTCTCTAACTCCTGACCTCGTGATCTGCCCGCCTCGACCTCCCAAAGTGCTGGGATTACAAGCGTGAGCCACCTTGCCTGGCCCTACCACAATTTTTTTAAAGCTATTTACAATGATTTACCCCTGGGGAGTTGGATTGAGGAGTTAGGATGTAGGCCAAGGACAATATTTTTCATTTAACACCTTCTGCATGGCCTGAATTTTTCAGGAGAAGCCCATATTATTTTCATAATAAAAAAATTTTAGGACTCTCTCTAGACCTATTCTGATTCAGAGGCTGCCCAATTAAAAGAAATTTAATGTCATAGCTAATTTTAAAAATTTATTGGAAATCCTACGCTGAATTACATTAAATTTATAAATGATGGGACAGCTTTAAAATATTTACTCACATAGAAAGTTTTCAAAAATTTTAATGATCCTTTGAAAATTTTGTAATTTCTTCATATGGGTCCTACACAAGTTCTGTAGTTTATTAGTGTATCCCTGGGTTTTTTATATCTGTATCTCTATCTACAGATTGATAGATATATATAATATTATATCAATTGCCTAATTGCTATTTTTTGTAAAATTAATTTGTCTCATTGAAGACTTTTTTGTAATTATTTTTTCCTCTAAATAACTGAAGGAAACTGTTGATTTTCATAATTTTCTTTACTTTAATCTTAAAAATAATCCTAAAGTAATTGGTCCATTCAAGTTGGTCAGTTCAAGTTCAAGCTAAAATTATTGGTTTGTGTAGAAATACTCTAATTTAGCCAATGTAACTGTTTTTTATTTATGTGATTTTTTTTGAATCATGTAAACATGGCTTAAGAAAATATCTATTATAAAGAATACTCTATAATATAAATGCCTGCAGAGTATAATACCTGTCACTCTCTGAAAAGGAATGCAAAGGAGTAATGAAGGAAAAATAATTATTAGTACGATAGGATTTCCATGAATAATTTATGAGAACCTAGACAAGGAGTAAACAATAGATATCACCCATTTTGAGTCCTATAGACTTTTTCCATATTTGCAGAAGATATTGCTTGTATTTTTTTCATTTCTAAAAGGAAAGTGTTTTGCTTTTATTTCTGACTATATATTATCATTGTAGAAAGCATTCAATACTATAGACAAAAAGTATTTTCTTATATGAAGATCAACCATAAACCTATCATCCAGATAAAACTACCATAAATAGTATTTTGCCTATTCATCAAGAATTAATTACATTAACATATATTTCACATATTTATAAAAGTGATCACACTGTACATACAGTTTTATAGCCTCCTTTTTTTCTCTTAATATATAATCACTGCTGTCTTTTAATGTCCATACAGATCTTCATAATTCTTAATGGCTATTGTTGAAACGTACATTTTATTTTATGGATGTTCCATAATTTATTTGATCAATCCCCTGTTGATTAACATTTAGGTAGTTTCAACTTTTTTTACTTTGAATATTGTAATACATCTTTTCACATTTGACAAGATTATTCCTTAAGAAATGTAAATGCTCAATGAGTCTGCATAATTTTAAGACTTTCGTGTTAAAATTAAATATTTTTTCTTAAAATTAAAATATGTGTTATTGCTGAACTGTCCTCCAAAAGAGGTCACAGTCATTTTGCTCTCAAGACATTTCTACATTGGTTTTTCTTCTCTCTCTCTTTTTTTTAATTTTCAAACTCCGCAAAGTCTCAGAATATATCAGGTGTTAATATAATCTTAAAAATCATTTACATTCCAATAGATGGGAAATTTTATTTTATTGTTTCTTTTAATTTCCAGAATTTGATAAGTAATGAGGTTTATCTTGTTTCCATGCGTCTATGGCCTATTATCTTATTCCTGCTGTTCTTCTGGAGTATACCTCTTATTATTATTGACTTGTAAGCACCTCTCTAGGATTACAAATATTAATTTTTTGTTTGTGATGTGTATTTTTTTAGTATGTCTTTAGTCTTTTTACCTTGTTTATGCCATTTTTGTCATACAAAGTTTTTATGTATTCCAATTAATGACTTTGGTATCACTCTTAGACATTCTTTACAAGATTAGTAAGAAAAAATTCAGTATTTTATTCTAATTATATTATCTTTATCTTTTCATATTTTTCATTTATATCTCTTACCAACTTAGAGTTTCTTTTTTTAAAGTATACATTAGAGATTTAATATTTCTTCCAAGGGCTTAGTTACTATCCCCACACCACTTTTGAGCAATCCATTATTTTCTCCACTACATTCTTGGATATGCTGTTATCTAGTTCCGGATTTTTGCCTCTATTTCGTTGACATTTTTTAGCTGTGTGATTCCGAGGTATTGTTCAGGTTTTTCTGCAATAATGCTGTGTGACAAACACTTCCCCAAATCTCAGTGGCGTACAACAAAAAATATTTATTTCTCTTTCGTGGGTATCTGGGTCAGCTGTGACACTGCAGTGTTCTTCTGGACACAAATGGACTTTGCTCCAAGCTACAGGTCAGATTTGAGTGCTACACATTTCTGTTTTTTCAGGCTGTGATAACAACAGCTCCCTGGAATAAATTCTTCTTATAATGGATGGTAAGAGTACAAGAAGGCTGGCTGAAACTTGCCACACTCTTAAACCTCAACTCCAACACATTGTTTTTTCCACGTACACTGCATTGGTCTGAAGATCACACAATCAACCCTAAGTGAATGCGAAAGGAAAATGCATTGTCTCCACGGGGAAGGCATGTCAGGGACTTAGAGAAAATGAAGAACTGTAAGCAAATAATAATATCTACCACACTGAGCTAGTTATATTTTCTAAGTCTCAGTTTCCTCAGTGTCAAATACAATAATTGTGAAGACTCAATTATATAGATGATAAGGCAGATTAGCTCCTACCCCTATCATTCTTTCTTTTAAAGGATTTTCTGACTATTCTCTACCATTTTTTCCTCCAGATGAATGGATTTTAGATTCCATCACATATGTTCATCTTTTTAATAAGTGAGGAAAATATCTTCTCAGTCATACTACTTTTAGACTGATGAGCAAGTTGTTCCAGAGCCTTACCAAGAGGAGGTTCAGGAATGACTTGGAACCTGTAATAATCAACATATTTTTTGTTTATTCAAAAAATTCAAAACTATGCTGCACCAATTTGCAAATGATATTGAATAAATTGGGGTGGTTAGTATCCTGGAAAAATAAACTAAAATTTAAATTAGGATAATGATCATATTTTTAAAATGAGGCTCAAAAGAAGCAAATGTGAGGTGTACACATAAACAATAACATATAGAATTGTGCAGGAATGTCTAGGCAAAAAGCACAGAGAAAAAAGACTTGAGGGTCTATCTAGAGTACACGAACGGTCCCCAATGCGGATGAAAAAGAGTTTTCATGATTTATGAAATATCCCAAACAGGCAGGAAACCATTTTTCCTCTGTTTCATGTATAAATTATACTTTTATATATATATATAAAAGTATATATATATATATTTTTTTATTTTTATTTTTTTGAGATGGAGTCTGGCTTTGTTGCCCAGGCTGGAGTGCAGTGCCGTGATCTCAGTGCACTGCAACCTCTGCCTCCCGGGTTCAAGTGATTCTCCTGCTTCAGCCTCCTGAGTAGCTGGGATTACAGTTGCGCACCACTATGCCCGGCTAATTTTTGTATTTTTAGTAGAGACGGGTTTTCACCATGTTGGCCAGGCTGGTATCAAACTCCTGACTTCAAGTGATCCTCCCACCTCAGCTTCCCAAAGTGCTGGGATTACAAGCGTGAGCCACCGCACCTGGCCCTAATTATACTTTCATTTGAAAATTATTTCCTGCTTTGAACCACATTTTTAAAGGATGTGTAGAAATTGATGAGAGTTCAAAGAATAAAAAAGTAGCTAAAAAGATCTAATTTAGGTCCTTGAGACAAGCTAAGGGAATTGGCATTTTTAGTCTTAAAAGGCTAAGGTACTGACTTGATTAGTATTCACTTGTAAAATTTATTTCCAGAGAAAAAATAATGAGCATTGTTCCTCTATGTCTAAATAAGAACAAAAAAATTTTCATGAAAACAATTTATGACTATAAGGAGCAATGATTGTTGTTAAGTCATGGAAATACTAAAGATAAATATCAAGAAAGATTTAACATTTTCTATGTCTGGAAAGTGAAATAATTCTATGTTATAAGCAAGAGAATAGACAATTATGAATCTGGTTAAAACTGTCATTTGAAGGCCAGAGATAGACAGATACTCTTCTAACACTATGAGCTTATAAATTAATCTCAAGATAAATTGCCTAACATGTTAATCTGTAGTATTCATTAATAAATTAACTTGTGTATTTATTATGTAGTTCATCATAGCAAAATATCTGACATATTTATGTACATTTTTAATGTAAAATAAAATAGCATAGTTGTCCAATTTACTGCTTCTTGATAAATAGCAACAGATATATTAGGAATTCATTTGGTCAGTTTTGTTCTGTGGATCATTTTAGGCTATTAGGCAAAAGCATCCAATAAAATGTGACTCAAACTATGCCCATTCATTATTGATTATAATACAGAAATATGGGGTTTTAAATGTATTTTTAAACACTACTTTGAGCCTTAATTTTAAAGCCATATATTTTAAGTTATCCTCCAAAGACTCAAGTTTTGGAATGAAAATCCCCTTTTAAATATTATTTGTTAGTTCTAAAAAACTGAATTTTGAAAGGGGCATCTTCCATGCATTTTAAAAGGAGTCTGTAATAATTAAAAAAAAAACATGCGAAATTCTCAGTAAAAAGGCAACTGGGAGGAGCAACATCCTTTGCTTTCAGTCTTATGAGGAACTAACTGTTCCATGTATGTGTGTGTGTGTATGTGTATGGGTGCATGCGTGTGTGTATATATATGTGTGAGATAAGAATTTTTAAGTGAGGATAAATGTCAGTTCTCAAAAATATAGACCTGTTGATTAATTTATCTTTTTTTTTTTTTTTTGAGACAGGATCTCGCTCTGTTGCCCAGGCTGGAGCGCAATGGTGCAATCATAGCTCACTGCAGCCATAGCCTTCTGGGCTCAAGAGATCCTCCTACCTTAGCTTCCTGAGGAGCTGAGATTACAGGCACATGCCGCTGCACCTGACTAATTTTTAATTTTTTTACAGAGATTGGGTTTCACTATGCTGTCCAGGCTGGTCTCAAACTGGTGGCCTCAAAAGATCCTCCCACCTCGGCCTCCCAGAGTGCTGGGATTACAGGCATGAGCCACCACATCCAGGCCTCAGTTAATTTAGATCCAATAATAAGAAATGTGTTTTGGTAGAAAGCAAGAATGAAGTAAAGTTGTTTTGTTTTTATTTAAACATCTGTCTATAGTTCTGTGAAATGTGTGTATATATATGGAAAGCACAAATAGTTTATTCCCTACTCAACCCACTGGTATAAACTTTGTATAAGAAAGCAGTACATTTACAGATTACAAATGGGTCAATCCTGTCCCCAGATTTTTAGAATATTTCCAAACCACTGATATTATTGACTCTGATTTCATTTTGCCCCAAATGAAGGTCTGTTCTAACTTCTCTCTGCTTTGTTAGTTTTACATAATTAAATGGCCTTCACTGCTTGAAAGCCTTCCAATGGGTTCCACTTTTTTATTGTGTTATCTCAACTATTGATAAATTCATATTTGCAAGACTAATAGGCTGTCAAACTGTGTTGATGTCTGTGTTAGTTGTGAATATCCCTTAAAGTATTCTTTGCATTGCAGCAAGAGAGATCAACCCATTTAGAGGAGAGTGTGACCAAAAGTGACAGCCTTGCTTTCTTAGCTATAGAATCATCAATGCATGGAAATATGCACAAGGTGGAAATAATGTAGGATGTCTATTTCAATTTCTAAAATTAATTTTTAATAATATTTTGTGTTTTATTTAAAACACTTTTTTTTGTAAGATAAAAAACTGTATCACAGGACCCCACTGTCAGAACTGACTATGGTCGTAAAGGTGAAAATAGTGTTTATTCTGCCTTCTAGTTTACTTTTCCACCACTAAACAGCACCAGAGGCATGGCAACACTCAATATTTATTTGTTGTTTTGATTAACTGACAATGTAATATAATGGTAACACAATTGACCCTTCTTTGGTTTTTTTAACTTCTCCATAACTTTGCTGTTTTTAAAGCCACAGTTTAAAAGTATTTAGCTATTCTCAGGTGATATGGTTTGGATGTTTTGTCCCCTCCAAATATCATGTTGAAATGTAATCTCTGATACTGGAGGTGGGCCTAGTGGGAGGTGTTTGGGTCATTGGGGCAGATCTCTCATGAATGGCCTGGTGTTGTCCTCAAGGTAATGAATGAGTTGTTGCTCTATGGGTTCACACAAGATCTGGTTGTTTAAAAAAGACTGGCACCTCCTCCCTCTGTCTTGCTCCCTCTCTCACCATGTGACATGCTGGCTCCCCTTCACCTTCTGCCATGATTAAAAGCTTCTGAGGCCCTCACCAGAGGCTGATGCAAGCACTATGCTTTGTGTACAGCCTTCAGAATGTTGAGTCAAATAAATCTATTTTCTTTATAAATCACCCTGTCTCAGGTATTTCTTTATATCAAGGTAAAGGACTAACATATCAGGTGAGAAGTAATTTGACACACACACAAAAAAGTTTAGTTGGCATTTTCATTCACTGTAGTTGGAAATTTGGCAGTGTTCATCAAAATACAGTACACATGCATTTGACTCAGTAATTCCATTTCTTTAAGACTATACTATAAAATACTCAAATGTACCCACAAAGGCTACACGTGCAAGGCTACATGTGGCATCATTGTTTTCAATAGAAAACACTTGAAAGAACCTAAATATTCATCATAGATAGTTTAATAAAGTAAGGTATATCTTCACTTTGAAACACTATGCAACAATTTTAAAAGAAGGAGGTATATCTATGTATATAGACATGAAAAGATCTTCAAGATGTGTTGCTTAGAGTTTAAACAAGCAAACCTCTCCAAACAATGTATGTGATGTAAATGCTTAAGGATATATGCTGAAATAATAGACATGGTCTTAGTCTGCTTGGGCAGCTATAACAAAATACCTTAGCCTGGGAAAATTATAAATAATAAAATTTTATTTCTAATAGTTCTGGAGGCTGGGAAGTCCAAGATCAAGGCTCCAACAGATTCAATGTCTGGCGAGGGCTTATTCTCTGCTTCCAATATGATGCCTTCACGCTGCATCCTCACATAGCAGAAGAGGACAGAGGGCACTCTTCCCAACCTCATCTATAAGGGCATTAATCTCATTCATGAGAGTGGAGCCCTCATGACTCAATCACTTCAAAAAAGACCCTACCTCTTAATACTATGAATTGGTGGGAGGTGAGAACACTAACATTCAGGCCATCACAGATGTCAAACTTTTAATCATATTAACCTCTGATGATAAAATGATGTGTTTTAAGATGTGGGGAAGAGCTTTCACTTTTTACTCTAATATATTGGTGTGTTGTTTTAATTTTTAATGATGAGCATGCATTTAAGTATGAAATAATTAAACAAATCTTTGATTTTTAAAAGCAATTTTTACACAGAGAACCATTTCTCTGATAAACAATTTTTGAGTATAACATGAAATACTTATTCTCTAATTATTCTCTATTAATGTTTTTCTTTATGTACAACTTATGTTACTTGAATCCCAGTAGATATTAATATGTATTCATGTATGTTCTGTTTTGACATTTTATTTTCTATTTATCTGCTTACCTCACACAAGACATTATTTATTGCTGAGATTAAGTCTTGTCCATATAGACCTTTGTAATTCAAATATTAAAATTACAAAAAACATTACTTACCTCTTGTCATTTCTTAGACTCTACTTTTGTATATACTTGTTTACAATCTAAAACTTAGGTACATAATTATTTTTTGTTTTTACCTGTTTTATCATGAGAAATATTTTAAATAATGAATAAGGAAGAGATATGCTGACATATATTGAGAAATTGCCTTCCAAAAAAAGTAAATTTTTAAAATGTTACAAATGCTTAAACTTACTTGTTCACTCTCACTAGATTTCAGCTACAGGTTTTGATCTCCACTTTATAAAATCCTGAATATCTAAACCAAGTCTTTCATTATTTTCTCTGAAGCATAACTTAGTCTTAACAGAGGTCTTTCCTGAAAAGAGGAAATTTTTTTTTATGGTTGAAGCCTGTCTCATTTAAGGCCATTTTAAGCTGACTTCTAATATTAAGATTATTAAGGAGAAAATGTAGGCATCCCTTATCGCATACGGCCTCTACAGAATCTGATCTGGTCAGCAGAAGAACTGCAAATAAAAGCATGATTTCCTAAAGTTTACTGCTATTTTCTCCCCCACCCTCCCCTCTGGCTTTTTTTTTTTTTTTTTTTTAGACAGAGTTTCATTCTGTTGCCCAGGCTGGAATGGAGTGGTGCAATCTTAGCTCACTACAACCTCCACCTCCTAGGTTCAAGCGATTCTCCTGCCTCAGCCTCCTGGTAGCTGGGATTACAGGTGTGTGTCACCACGCCCAGCTGATTTTTGTATTTTTAGTAGAGACAGGGTTTCACCATGTTGCCCAGTCTGGTCTTGAACTCCTGACCTCAAGTGACCCACCCGCCTCGGCCTCCCAAAGTGCTGGGATTACAGGCATGAGCCACTGCACCCGGCCAAATTTATTGCTATTTTCTAAATGAAAAGGTATTATACTAATAAGATGGAACAAAATCTAGTGATAGTTACTGCTTTAACGATTCAGATTCAGAAATAGCCACTCATCTTCCCAGGAAGAAAAGTTTTTAATTCAACAAGTAGAAAATAAAGCTGCTTTCATACATTTTTCTATAAACGCATTCCAAGAAAGAAATAGGCAGGTAAAAACCTTAAAGCAGGAAAATTCAGCAATAAATAATGCGGCTTTTTGTTTGGTTTTAATCATTCATATTATTTTCTTTGTTCTTTAAATCTACTTCCCTTTTCCTTTTATAGTAGTATTTCTAAAGTCAATGGAGAAAGGATACGTTGTTGAAGAACAAGCAACAAAAGACATGTTAATGATATGATACAAAAAAATGTTAAAAATCTTACTTAGGTCTTAACAGTCTTGCGAGACATTAGCTTCTCTTTATATTCTGTTTTGTTTATGTTTTTTTTCTTTTAGAGATTAGGTCTTCCTAGGTTGCCCGGACTGGGCTTTAACTCCTGGGCTCAAAAGGTCCTCCTGCCTCAGTCTCCCGAGTAGCTGGGACTACAGGTGCACACCAGTGCACCCAGCTACCTTCTGTTTTCTTCTCACTTCTCACCACCTCCATTTTTCATAAGCACTGTCATCTTAATTGAATATCAACAGAACGAATGATGCTATTGGGAGCTACAACTTTCATTTAAATGTACAAACTTTTAAATAGTTGATGATCTAACAGAAGAGACAAGATAACCCTGAAAAGAATTCACTTAAACTAATATGGATTGTTTAGTATTCTAGATATTTACTTGTAGGTTTGCTCATTATATAGATATTTGTATGCATCTATTACATAAATTATTACATATAAATACATGTACATGAAGGGGAAGAAGTCATTAATTGTTCTGTATTAGTCCAGAGATGGTTTCTGCAAGAAAATATTGATGGCTGATAATTCCATGCTTTTAGAAAGCTTTAAGATTATAATGGACCAAAGGAGCATATGAACTTTTTACTTCTAGAAACTGCAATATTGTCACGAAAATGATTGGTCTCTACTGGACAACTAAAAATACACATATATAATATCCAACACATATATACACACTCATTACTATTAGTCTGTTCACCTCAAGGTGAAAAAAATTTCTGTCTTTCAAACTTTGTTTCGAACTGAATTTGGATGAACTGGAAATAAATTCATATACGAAGAAAAAAATTTGTTTTCCATTTCTATATGCAGTTTGATAACTGACTTCTATTTTAGAACTATTTTTTACACAAATATAAATAATACACATCGAAAGAAATGTCCATATTGTCAGCAGGAATGAAATTTAAAATCGCTTTGCTGGAAACATAACCAGTCCTCATGTAACCTTCACTCAAAAGAGCTAATAGTAGTATAAATGCATCCCGTTTACCGAAACCTCCATTTATCTAACTTGGATGACTTTAGTAATGTTATACTTTCTTAAAATTAATGAAAGTATTATACTTACCTGTATCTCTATGAAGGAATAAATGAGGCCATACAACTAATTTTATGTATTTGTTAGCTATCCTATGTTTTTACAGGGCCAAGCTCCAATATATCTGTTCCTAATGATCTGCTTCTTGTCCTTGGTAGGGTGAGTTGGAATGCCATTTCTGGTATTTTTCTACTGAGGATATTTTCTTAGTACATCAAAATCCAAATAACCTTGAAGACCCCATCTAGCACAACTTTGGTTAAAGATATATTGCCTACCTGTAACTAAACAACAAAGATAATTTTTTCCTCAACAGCAAAGTGGGAGAAGTATTCCGAGTTCTGTCTGAAACTTGGTTCATTTCTTTTTAGGGTACACTGGACAGTTAAATAAACTATTTTCCATTTTTTTGTTAAGTGAACTTCTAATAATAAAACAAGCCACCTAAATGGTTTTCCATTGAGATGAGAAGTTTTATAAAGACCTTGGGTTGTTTTACCCAACACTTTATGCTGTGAACAACTCATGGTTATGTTGAGAACGAGGCTGTTACATGCCTTTCATGGTCTAATTTTAAAGGTTCTGCAGAATGGAGCCTCCACTACTTTCCTGGGAAGACACTTCTCCAGTGTAGCCCCTCTAATTATTTAAGGTAGGTCTCCATTGCTTTAAAATAGCTGAGTTATTCAAGTTTGAAAAGCAGCTACTCGCAAGCAGCCTGACTTAAACTGACAAAAGCAAGGAAATTCTGGATCCATAATTCACCTTCCACCCCTTGACCTCACAAACCGCCATATTAGCGTGATCACACCAAAATACCAGCTTGTGTTTACAGTTTCAGTCCTCCTGATGGCGGATGGGCGCGTGTACACGAGCACTCGCTCTGTGTGCACTGAATAGGATCACGATCCGGAGAGCTGAAAATGTAAACACAAGCTGGTATTATGGTGTGACTGGCGGTTTGTGGTTCTTTGTTTGAATACTTTAAAAATGGGCACCCTGGTAAGAACAAAAGAGGCAGAAAGCAGAACTGCTCTTAAATGGCTCCTCTCATCTTTGTCCCTCCTCAGGTAGACCCGAAATAACTTATCCGCTTGACGGGGTCCCCAGGAACCATGTGTTTTTGCCTAGTTGGCTAAGCTTCAATGCAACAGTTTTGTTTTCAAATGCAGGCCGTTAATACTTTGCCTTTGGTAGTTTTAAATTATTTTCCGAGTATTTGCAAGCATTGTACTTCTCCAGTTATTATTTGTACCAAAATCTTCCACCTTGCAAATTCATTGCAATTTGATATGTTTAAGTAAGAACCTAAATGTCTTATATGGCCTTTTTAAAAAATTTGCAAGTTAACAATGGTTCTCTCACCCCAAATGAAGATTGGCACCAATCTAACTCTATTAGACAACATATCTACCTACCACTCTTGCTTATGCAATTTTAGTCATTGATTTTGAAGTGCAGAAGTTGATCTCAAGAGAAATGTAAAGAGTAAAAAATTTAAAATTATAAGCTTTATTTTAGCGTAGCACCTGCTAGCATAGTTGGTCCATCCGTTTCCTCTGCAGCCGTTGTCATTTCTCCATTTATTTTTCTTTTTTTTTTTGAGATGGAGTTTTCACTCTTGTTGCCCAGGCTGGAGTGCAATGGCATGATCTTGGCTCACTGCAACCTCCACCTCCTGGGTTCAAGCGATTCTCCTGCCTCAGCCTCCTAAGTAGCGTGTGCCACCACGCCCGGCTAATTTTTTGTATTTTTAGTAGAGACAGGTTTCACCATGTTGGCCAGGCCAGTCTCGAACTCCTGACATCAAGTGATCCACCCACCTTGGCCTCCCAAAATGCTGGGATTATAGGTGTGAGCCACTGCGCCCAGCCCATTCCTCCATCTTAACACTACATGAGTTTGATCATTGGCCCCTTCACTGTAAACTTTGATTCTTAAATAGATTGACTTGTAGAGTGAAGAGATTACCATATCATTGCAAGGAGAAAATACAGACATATAAAGAAGAAAGTTTGAAAAAAACTTATTTCCTCAAAAATGTCAATACAGCACATGATATGCTTGACTTGGTGGTAAAGTACGCTGTTTTGATTTTTAAAGAACAACATTCTCCCTTTGGAATTAGTTATATCATTGTTGCCAAAAAAAGGTAACTAAAGGAACAGTGGATAGTTTGGCAGATCCCTTTTCTTAAATAAAAGTTACAAATTGATTTTACACCTATTGAAGCAGCCATTCGCCACTGTAAACTTATTTCTGACAACTGTTTCTTTTAGAATCCAGTAAGTAATTGAAAAACAAAAGTGATTTTCTCAATACAGTTGAAAAGTAGTTAATGTAAAGACATAAATACAAACAGCTCCTGGTTGTAGACAGTTTTGATGTAGACTGCAGTTCTTAATAAAGGAATAAAGAGGGATCTTAGCTTGGGATGTTTTAATGAAATGCCACTCAAATGGAAGCAAGTGATTTCAGAAGTGTTGTCAGTCACTTTAGACTGAAGAGAAATAACAAGAAATAACTTTTAAAATATCAAATAATTTGCACTAAAATGTTATACCGTAGCACCTCACCTTTGAATAGGCCAACAATTTACCTTGTTTAAAACATACTGTACTTGATCACTTCACGAAACTGCACAACTTGACTGACCTTTGTCATCTTGTATCTTGATTATCTCTCTCCATGTGAGATCCCCCACCAAGACAGCTTGCAAGCATTTCACAAATTATAATAAAAGAACCACCTATATGTACGTCAATACTGACATATCTGGATCTTGTTATTTTCACCTGGGGTATGGTTAGGCTCAATTGAAAACCAAATTATGGAATGAATAGATTTCCTGGAAGAGTGAGTTTGGTCTTATTTTACATACACATTTTCAGAACAACCATATGAAGCTGTTTTGGAGATTCATTATCTACGGTAATATGTTCAGATATATAAATAATTAATATACAAAGAATTGAATTTTCACAAGTTTTTAGCCCCAATATAACATAAACTCCTATCTTGTGTGCCATATTTCGTATTCTGGAGAAAAAAAAATTCTATGCTATAGGAATTCATAACTTTAGCTTTTCATTTTAGTGGTTTTAAAAAGTTTTTATTTCAAATATATGATTATAATTTTACAGATAGTTCAAAACATCTATGAGCTTGCAGACATCCTTATTACTCCTCATAATTTGCATTGGCCCATCCACTTTTTGATGTCATGATTTTACTTAGCTACCTCATCCTATTAGCATTTACAGATAAATGCGGCCTTTCAGATTAGAAGGTCTTTGGCAAATTTATCTTGTGGAAACTAGCTAAGAAAGGTAGAGTGGGTGTCACAAAATGCTGCAACAATTTCCCACTTCTACATCTAACAATGAGGGTTTTTAAGAAAGTCAAAAAAGTTCTAGAGATGGACGGCAGTGATGATTGCACAGCAATGTGAATAGTTAAAATGGTTTCATATTAAATATATTTTACAGCAATACAAAATAGAGTTAAGATTAATCTGAATGAGAAATTAGGGACTGACTCTAAGAAACTACTTGCCTCACAAAATGCAACTATACTACAGAAAAGATGCGAAAATATCTGAGAGATTAAGCAGAAAAACCAAACATTCTTCCCAACTCATTGGAGCAAACACTTAGGAGTTCTTTGCCATTGGAGTTCATTCAAATTCAAATTAATCATGTAAAGTAGCCAAAAGATAATATTAAAGTAAGGCAAAATTTATTAAATATTCTTTATTCTCTCCTCTATATTTTTTAACTGGCCATTTTTATTTGTCCAGGTTGTTATTTTTTTAAGTCCATGCACATGAGCATATAAGTTATCTGTATGACTACTTCTAAAAATGAAAATGAATAAAGTAAAAAGAAGTGAAAAATAACACTGCCTTAAATACTAGTGAATTTTAAGTAGTTGAATTTTTTAAAGTAAACTCTAAGTCATACTTTAGGGCCTACTTTCCCACTTTTTAATAGCTTTCTAAAAAAATTCAAACCTTGAAGTGCATGCAATTAGAAACATGCAACAGTGAGGCTAGGCTTAGTCACAGTACTATTTCAATGCAAGCGGCTTCTATTTTTGTGTCCTACGGAAAAATAGGATTAGAATGTTCTAACCTCTGCTCATTCTGTAGGTGAGAGTATTAAGTTGGCTGTTTAAAAAATTGGGGGATTGGTTCCTTTTTAGTCAGTTCTTTCTCATGTTTAAGTTACTAGGCGATTATTTTACTAAGATTTGGAGCATTAAGGGCATACAATTAATTTTATATTAATAATCAGCTCCAAACTTTCCTGAATAGACTGCTATGGATGTGGCTTATCTATGAGTATCGGGACATGGTTTCTGCCTCATACTCATATTGTCCTACTGGTTTTGTGCCCTAGCTGCATGGTTTCTAAGGCACTCCATTATCTAAATCAGCACACTGTTATATAAATTTATAGAACCTCAGAGCTGGATGAATTTTGAACACATCTAGTTCAAGCACCCATCTGATGATGTTTGTACTTACACGGCCTTAGTATTAATAATTCTAGGGGTGGTAATACTTACTATTACTGGGGCATATATAATTGAGAACAGGAAAACTAATAAGCCAGGAACAAGTTACTATTTCCTCATCTGCAAAAGATGTATAGGATTGAAGATTAAACGAAATAACCTATATAAGCATACCTAGCACAGTGCTAGAAATATAACACATACTAAAAATAGTTATACTTAAATCCATTTGCATCACACTTATTACTCTTTTTGTTCCCAAGTATCGAGTCCTATTTAATGTCACATAGTTTTTTTTGGTACTTGGTTGTCTATTATGATGTTAAGGTTGAAGTTGTTGAAGTGTCATTAACCTAATATTATGATATAGAACCAGTTCACAGTTTTTTTAAATGAAAGAAAAATGAAGATACTTCTATTACATACTATATTCTTGTGACATTAGGGCTTTGGATATGTCAAGATAAATTTACATAAATATTTACTTGTTCATTTAATTCACTTTCCTATTCACTCACTCTAATGCTAAAAGCTTTGTAAACATCACTAGAAATTTTGGAGTCTTTTGACAGCCTCAATGAATGCTTGTTTTTACAAATCCAAAGCTCCTCTTCTACTTCATTCTACATTTTGGTTGACTAGATAACAGAGGAGTATGAAAACCTATTAACTTCTAAATCTAAAATACCTCACATGTCTATTTCTTAATTTTATATGTAGATATAAGAAAACTGGTAAAAATTCAGATACCTACCTTCAGCTGAGTATTATGGTCTTTGAGCCATATTTTCAAATGTTCTTAGATATTTCTAGTTCTATGATTATTATTACAGCAATCTGATTATAAGCAGTTTTGGTAAAGGTAAATTAATTTAAATTATGAAGATGTGACTTAAAAAACCTTAAAGTAATTAGCAGCTCTGGTTTACCTGAAAGACACAGTTATTAGAAGCATGTAATTTAGTATCAGCACATCTCTAATATCAGTGTTATTTAAAGCTATACATTAAGAGTCATAAGCATCTGTAGTGACAGAAGAAGCATGCAGCAAAGTACTGAAAAACTGGAATAGAATTAATTGCTTTTGGTCTACCCACTTCAAATTAGAAAATAGCAACAGAAAAAAAATTAAACACTAAATGTATTCGTTAGGCAGGATCAGCAATCATGCTGCCCACACATGATCTGCAATGAATTTGTAAATAAGATTCATCACCTGGAGGATAATAAACTCTAGTTTAATGGTCCAAAAGACTAGAAAAGTAAAAACTACTAATGACTGTACTGTATAAACACAGGAGTAAGAATGTACATTGGTTGAGCAAATAGGATAACAAGGAGAGTCCGTTTTGTTGTTAAAGTAGACCAAAAGATACACGACATTTATCTGGAAGTTTTTCTAAGGTGTTAACACTGCTCAAAACAGGGTCACTGAAAGGGAATGGAAAAGTGTTACTACCAGGTAAAGACAGCAAAAGTTGATTTTTAGAAAGAGTTGGTATTTTAAAAAATAAGGATCATTGTAAAAAAAGCTGATATAGTTACCTTAATTTTAGTTAATTTTTCATAATTGCATATTAGAAAGTTTTACTAATAATAATCTGAAATGATTTTAGTACACTATCTTCAGATGTCATTCTGACAATGAAGAGATATCTTCAAGTATTATTTATTAAGTATTAAATAAAATTTTAAGTATTACTTTAGTAGAGTCTTTGATGTGAACTACATTTCCTCTTGTAAGTTATAGCTCTATAACACATCTTAATTTTGAATCCAAAACAAAACACTCAACTTCACATCCATCAAGTGAGAATTTCTTCCTAACGGCAAGCTAAGAACCTTGACAAGCACAGAGGTAAAAGAATTAGTTGCAGTGTTTATTTAAAATTCACAGTTCTGGTCTCTACCTCATACCAACTGAAACAGTCTCTGGCGTTGTAACCCTGGAATCTGTATACAATTGTAACAAGATCTCTACTTGATTCTTATGCATACTAAAGCTTGAGAATGACTTTACTGGTTAATATTCATGCTTGTCCTAAGTTTCTTTAAATATTTCCCTTTTATAAACAAAATTATTATTTTTTCAGTAGTCACAGAAATACATTTACAGGCCAGGCATGGTGGCTCAAGCCTGTAATCCCAGCACTTTGGGAGGCAGAGGTGGGCGGATCACCTGAGGTCTGGAATTTGAGATCAGCCTGGCCCACATGATGATACCCTGTCTCTACTAAAAAATACAAAAATTAGCTGGGTGTGGTGGCATGCACCTGTAATCCCAGTTGCTTAGGAGGCTGAGGCAGGAGAATCTCTTGAACCCGGGAGGCAGAGGTTGCAGTGAGCCAAGATCATGCGACTGCACTGCACTCCAGCCTGGGTGACACAGCGAGACTCAGTCTCAGACCAAAAAAAAAGACTTAAGATTACTTATATAAAGTAAGTAAGTTATCAGACCTGCAGTCACTTTAATGGAATCAATAATATTATTAATGCTAAAATTAAAAGGGAACAGAAGTCAAAGGGGAATCTTAATATAGGAAATAACATTCAAGTTTTTGAATGCTCTAGAACTCAGTTATTAATTAGAAATATAATCAATATTTAAAATATACCACTTTTAAGCAACTTTAACTATCAAAACATCTCAGTACTTCAAATGATCTAGATGTCATAGATCACACAAAACAGATTCCATAAAATATTGTAAAGCCCATGTAATTCACAAATAAGACTTGTATTAGACCCAATTCTAATAACTTCATTTATCTGGTTTATTTGAACACAGTACATGAAAGGTGGCAATATTTATAAATGAAAGTTGGGGAAAGAAGACACTTGTTATTAGTAGTTGCTTTTAAAAAGTACTATCTGGAAAAAAGGAAAAACATGCTTATTTAAAAACAAGCCTCAAATTACAATTCTACTAAAATACTGTAAAGAGTTATCTCAAAATGTATAATTATCTGGGGCCATTTAATGTAGGGTCAAATACTTCAGAATAATTTGTATGTCATTGTGTAGTATCATGATTGATGATCACTATTAATTATCAGGAAACAGGTTTATAAACCCTAGTTTAGGAAGGGAGAGAAATGTGTCACCACTTTTAGATGGATTGCTTAAAAGTAACAATTCTTAAGGAATAATTCTTTTTTTTTTTCTTGAGTCAGAGTCTGACTCTGTCACCCAAGTTGGAATGCAGTGGCCTGATCTCAACTCACTGCAATCTCTGTCTCCCAAGTTCAAGTGATTCTCCTGCCTCTGTCTCCCAAGTAACTGGGATCTCAGGTGCCCACCACTGTGCCCAGCTAATTTTTGTATTTTCAGTAGGGATGGGGTTTCACCATGTTGGCCAGGCTTGTCTCAAACTTCTGACCTCAAGTGATCTGCCCACCTCGGCCTCCCAAAATGCTGGGATTACAGGCGTGCACCAGCATGCTTGGCCTCTTTAATTCTTAAAGAGGTACATTTCACCTATCATGAAAAGTCACCAGTTGGATTTACCTCAAAGGAAGACAAGGTTTTTCCCCAAATAGTTTAACTTAAAGAATAGGGATTGTTACTTAGACATAGGCGCCATCTAGTGGCAAAAGGTAATATGAAACTGGCTTTCATATGGTACGTTGTCAATAAGCATTAGTTCCTTTAATTCTTTCACCCTTTTATTAATATAGATGAGCAAGCAAGACTAGTCAATAGTAAAAACTGAACAGGTACTGAAAGAAAATATTGTAGATGAAATATGATTAGACAAGAAAGGATTTAAGATGTTTTGAGTAAGAGCTGGAAGCGTGACAGATATAAAACAACAAAGAAGGAGCAAAAGGCATATAAGCTGGGAGCATAATAACTAGAGGACTTGCTAAAATCTTTTTTAAAATTGTCTATTTTAAATTGCACAGATTGAACTGAAGATTGTTTATTGAAGTTGAAAGGAATAGAGATGGCTGAAGATAACAAAGTGAGGAAGAAGTCAAAGATGATGAAGATACTGTTAATGTAAATAGGGAAGATACAGAGCATACAAAATGAAAGTCAATACCAATAGAGTTTAAGAAAAAACTTCATTGGAGATTGATTATAGATATGTTTATTATGTACAGGCATCTTATGGGGAATAGTTTTCTTACATTTTATTATTTCCTTGTATTTTATTAATATGGAGTAGAATCCTCTCTTTGATGAGGGTGGTTACATGGGACATTATTATACATTCAGAAATTAGCTGGTCATAAGGCAAACTGGGTTTTCTGATTATAGTTAACCCACAAGTGTGTATTAAATAACTACTCTATATAACTAGACAAATTCTAGGGAATAGGTAACATTGAAAGAAAAAATAATCTTTGCTCATAATCTAACAAAATAAGCTAATAATCTAACAAACAAAATGACAAGGGGTTAATTACAACTGATAATATTTCATAGAAAAAATAATATAAAAGGCATTCCAAACTTATGACTACCATCTAATCAAAGCTCAAGAAAGGGGGTTCCTGCTTATCCTGGTGCTTTGTGCCAGCCTAAGAGAAAGTAACTCTATTAAATTTTATATTGTGGGCTTATTATTTGGTTTGACATATATTTCTATACTTTTGGATACTGCTATGTTCAAACATAAATACAAAATACATTTTTTCCAAAGTTAAAATTGGAATTCTTTTTTTAATCAGCCACCATTTTGGATTAGGAGGCAGTATATGAGATGAAGAGTAGATAGGGTTTAGAAATAGATGGCCATGGATTGAACCCCAGTTCTGCCAATTTTTAGTTTTTAGCCTGTTTGCAAAGTATTCAAATTCTCTGAGCCAACCTTTTGTTCCATAAAGAATTAATAATGTCGATTATGTAAAACCATAAGTGGCATTGCCTGGCTATGGTAAGTTTTCAATAAGCTTTAGTTCCTTTAATTCGTTGACCCTTTTGTTACTATAGATATGCAAGTCTAGTCAATAGTAAAAACTGAACGGAAATATGTTAGATGGAATATGATTAGACAAGGAAGGATTTAAGATGTTTTGAGTAAGAGCTAGAAGAGAGTGACAGATATAAAATGACAAAGAAGGAGCAAAATGCATATAAGCTAGGAGTATAAGCCAGTTGCGGTGGCTCACGCCTGTAATCCCAGCACCTTGGGAGGCCGAGGCAGGTGGATCACCTGAGGTCAGGAGTTCGAGACCAGCATGGTGAAACCCCCATCTCTACTAAAAAATACAAAAATTAGCCGGGCGTGGTAGTGGGCACCTGTAATCCCAGCTACTCAGGAGGCTGAGGCAGGAGAATCGTTTGAACCCGGGAGGCAGAGGCTGCAGTGAGCCGAGATCACGCCATTGCACTCCAGCCTGGGTGACAGAGCAAGACTCCGTCTCAAAAAAAAAAAAAAAAAGATAGGAGCATAAAATTGAAATTAACATGCAATATTGATGCAGAGGCCAAGGTGGAGAGTAAAAAGAAGTAGCACGAGAATGGCATTAGGATTATGTAAGAAATCATTCCTTAAAGATCTATTTTATATGATAGACAATAGGGAACCACAGTATTTTCTTGAAAAATAGTGAAATACATTGAAAATTAGCTGGTTTTCCACCTTATGTTGCCATTGAACTGACTCAATCTAAATGCACAGTGATATGTGAGTCTAAGGAAGAAAGAAAAGAGGGTCAAATACCTCATGTCTGTATCTGGTCAGAAACCCTAAAGGAAAGTCTAAAAGAGTTGTTAAAATAGTTATTTTTTTCCTAGACTCCTGCAGTGCTCAATATGTATTTGTAGCATTTTCTGTTTCTATCTTTATGTTTTTTCTTTTTGTCTTTCTTATTCATCATTTTTATTGTTTTAATAGTTTTTAAAACATTCATTTCTTTCTCATTCATCATTTTTATTGTTTTAACAGTTTTTAAAAAGGCAAAGCATAATAACATTTTAATTTTTATTAACAAGTATATCAAAATTCTTAGGGAAAAAATGAATAAGCAGTCATTCAGCTTTGTTTTTGTTTTTGCTTTTTTGAGATGGAGTATCACTCTGTCACCCAGGCTGGAGTACAGTGGCACAATCTCAGCTCACTGCAACCTCCGCCCCCCAGGTTCAAGCAATTCTGCCTCAGACTCCCGAGTAGCTGGGATTACAGGCGCCTGCCACTGCGCCTGGCTAATTTTTGTATTTTTAGTAGAGACGGGGTTTCACCATCTTGGTCAGGCTGGTCTTGAACTCTTGACCTCGTGATCCACCTGCCTCGGCCTCCCAAAGTGCTGGGATTACAGGCGTGAGCCACCGTGCCCGGCCCGCAACAGTTATTCAGCTTTACCTCCAGTATCTGGAAACAAAATATTTAGATATGTTAATTTTCCCTCAGCTATCAAAACTACTAATCCAGGCCAGGCACAGTGGCTCATACCAGTAATCCCAGCACTTTGGAAGGCTGAGGTGGGAGGATCACTTGAGCCCAGGGGTTCGAGACCAGCCTGGTCAAAAAACTGAGATCCCGTCTCCACAAAAAATACAAAAATTAGCTGGTCATGGTGGCATGGGCCAGTACTCCCAGCTACTTGAGAGGCTGAGGTGGGAGGATTGCTTGAGCCTGGGAGATCGAGGCTGCAGTGAGCTATGATTGCACCACTGAACTTCAGCCTGGGTGACAGAGTAAGACGTTGTCTCAAAAACAAAACCTATGAATCCATTCATATATTTCTAAGCTACACTATTTAAATTTTCTATATCAAATAATATCTATCATCATAAAATTCATTTTATAATTTTAATTTTTAACTTGTATGGCTACATAATAGTTGTACATATTTACAGGGTACATGTATTTTTATACAAACATACAATGTGTAATGATCAAATCAGGGTAACTGGGATATCCATCACCTCAACATTGTTATTTATTTGGGAACATTCAACATCCATTCCTCTAGTTATTTTGAAATATATAATAAATTATTGCTAACCAAAGTAATGATTGTTAACTATGGCTACTATAGTTAACAATAACAATCTAGTGTGCCACCTAACACTAGATCTCATTTCTAGTACGTAACTGCATTTTTTGCACCCATTAACCAATCCCTCTTTATCCACCCTTAAAAGTATTTAAAGTAAGTAATTCTACCTGAATATGGCCCTTGTCTTAGAAAAATAAAATAAAACGAGAAAAAAAACTATCTCTAGGTAAATGTTTTATAAATAGATTCTTATCATAAATGACAGTAGGTCCTGTCACAAGAATTAGATTATAGTTTTCTTCAGCAGAACACAGACATAACTGATCATTCAAAATCTTTTCCTACGTCTTATAAACTAAGCACATGGGCTCTCATGTTTGCATACTTCACACTTAATATTTTAACAATGTAAATTATGTAAGCCGCAGAGCTGTTGTTCTCTTTCTTTCCCTTTCTTCTTTCTTTCTCTCTCTCTCTTCTCTTTCTTTCTTCTTTCTTTCCCTCCCTCCCTCTCTCTCTTTCCCTCCCTCCCTCTCTTTCTCTTTCTTTCTTTTCTTTTTTTTTTTTGAGACAGGGTGTTGCTCTGCTGCCCAGGCTGGAGTGCAGTGGTGTGATCACAGCTCACTGCAGCCTCGATCTCCTGCCTCAGCCTCCTGAACAGCTGGGACTGCAGGTATAGGCCACCACACTGGCTATTTATTTATTTGTTGTGAGACAGCGTGTGATTCTATCACTCAGGCTGGAGTGCAGTAGCACCATCTCAGCTCACTGCAACCTCTGCCTCCTTGGCTCAAGCCATCCTCTCACCTCAGCCTCCAGGGTGGCTAAGACTACAGACATGTGCTACCACATCCAGCTAATTTTTGTATTTTTGGTAGGGACAGGGTTTTGCCATGTTGCCCAGGCTGGCCTCAAACTCCTGGGCTCAAGTGATCCTCCCACCTTGGCCTCCCAATGTGCTGGGATTACAGATGTGAGCCACTGCTCCTTGCTTTTTTTTTTTTTTTTAAGTCAGAGACAAGATCTGGCTATGTGCCCAAGCTGGAGAGCAGTTGTTCTTAACCTCCATGTTGAAATTGATTGGTTGGTGTTCCATGGTTGTGAGATTTGCCAAAAGTAGTATGTTACTAATAGAGAATAAACAGTATTTGATCTTAAATCTTCACTGGTTAAAGATATAAAAGAGGCCAAGAAGTGGATGGGCCTGTGGCTTAGGCCTGTAATCCCAGCACTTTGGGAGGCTGAGGAGGGTGGATCACTTAAGTCCAGGAGTTCAAGAGCAGCCTGAGCTACATAGAGAGAACTCATCTCTGTAAAACATAAACAAAAAATTAGCCAGGTGTGGTGGCACACGCCTGTAGTCCCAGCTACTCTGGAGGGTGAGGTGGGATTGTTTGAGCCCAGGAGTTTGAGGCCGCAGTGAATCGTGATCCCGCGACTGCACTCCAGCCTGGGTGACAGTGTAAGGCTTTGTCTCAAAATAATAATAATAAAATATAAGAGGCCAGGAATGGTGGCTCATGCCTGTAATCCCAACAATTTAGGAGACTGAGGCTACAGGATCGCTTGAGGCCAGGAGTTCGAGACCAGCCTAGGAAACATAGTGAGACCCTATCTCTACAAAATAAAAACAAAAATAAAAAATTTGCAAGGGGTGGTGGTGCACACCTGTAGTCCTAGCTACAGAATTGCAGCTAGGATGAGTCAGGGGAGTTGCTTGAGCTCAGGAGTTCAAAGCTGCAGTGAGCTATGATCCCGCCCATGCCACTGCACTCCAGCCTGGGCAACACAGATCTCATCTCTAAAAAACAAACAAAAATAAAAGAGAAGAAAGGGCTTTTACTATGCTTGTGGTTGTGCACATTCAATTTTAATTCACAATCCATTTTAGAACGTTTTATCACCCCCGACCAGAGAAAAACCCTGTGAACATTAGTCACTCCTCATTCTGTCTCAAACCCTCTCCCTGACCCTCAGCCCTAGGTAACAACTGCATAGAGCGATCAACCCCATATGCATAGATTTCCATATTGTGGACATTTCCTATAAACGGAATTGCATAATACGTGAGCTTTGATGACTGACATAACACTTTTAGCACAATATTTTCAAGATTCATCCACATTGCAGCCTTACCCACAGGGGGAAACCATTTTTTTGGGGTTTTAGTAACACTGGGTGTTTTCTCCTTCCTTCCTTCCTTCCTTCCTTCCTTCCTTCCTTCCTTCCTTCCTTCCTTCCTTCCTATTTCTCTCTTACTCCTTCTGCCCTCTCTCTTTCATGTGCCTTAGGTGCATCCTACGTTCTGCGTCTTTTTGGGGAATCCTCGACAGGTGCTGGAAAATTGTGTTATTGTAATTATTTACCGCTATCTCTCTTTCATGGTTCTCCATCAGTTGTAAGCATCTATTGGTTTATCCCAGGTCACTAAGTATATTTTAATTAGGCACACCTGTTTTTCTTTATACAGCTGTTTCTGGAGTATAGGGTCGCATGCTCATAAACCCAGTGTAACTCAGAAACGCATCTAATATTCCAATAAACCCATCATAACGTTGAAAAATCATAAACCAAACCATCATAAGTCACGGTTTGTCCGTGGATATGGGCTTCATCAATTCCATTGTATTCAATAATGCTGTACACCATTAACAATGGCAGACTGATAGGGCGTGGATATTGATAGCATTATAAAAATCAGTTATTAGAGGGATACTTTAACCTGACTGAAGAACTGATCTAATGGTATTAGTACAGTGCATGATTATGTGAAATGTTTTGAGACAGAGTAGTACATTTGTGAATGAAATTTTATGGCTTTTTTCACTTAGTAGGAACCTTTGTGTGTGGAAAACTGAGAAAATTGCTTTCTGCTGTAGAGTCTGGCATTCATTGTAGATTAAAGCTTATTTTTCTGTGAGTAAATCTTATTCAATAAAATACTACTCTTTATAATAAAAAACAAAAACACTGGTGATGTGAAGTCATTATCCTCAGCAAACTAATCCAGGAAAACAAAACCAAACGCCACATTCTCACTTATAATGGGAGCTGAAAAATGGGATCACATGGACACAGGAAGGGGAACAACACATACTGGGGCCTTTTGGGAGGCAGAGCGTTAAGAAAAACAGCTACTGCATGCTGGGCTTAATACCTAGGTGTTGGGTTGACAGGTGCAGCAAACCACCATGGCACACGTTTACCTTAGTAACAAATCTGCACATCCTGCACATATACCCCAGAACTTAGAAACAAAACGAAACAAAAGAAAACGAGAAAGCAATAGCAAAACGCTAACGGCAAAACAAAGTTTCAAACTCAGAAAGTGACAGACCAATTTTTGGTTCAAATCATGGTTCTCAACCCAGGTGCCATAAGGTCAGGATAAAGAATTTGATTACGTATTGTAAATAAGACATGCAGCAAATGACCAGAAAAATTATTCCCAACATATGTGTGTCTTCGAATTCAACGGTGACGCTATCTACCGGGACACAGCATTAGATTCCAAAGGGCCGAGTCCCGCAAGACTGGCCTCCCACACTAATAACAATGGGAAGCCCTACGTTGTTTTACCTGTGCTTCTCAGCAACTGGCTATAAATCAGGTTTCCACCACTCCCAGTTTTAGTTGCATTCATTTGCTGGAAGAGCTCACAGCACGCAGGGAAACACTGACATTTCCCATTGTATTTTTCTGAAAAAAATTCAGAAAAAAATTTTGGGCCCGGCACGTGGGGAGGGGCGCACTGCCTTCCAGGAAGTGTTATCCAGAAGCTCTCTAAACCCAGTCCTTTTGGGTTTTTATGGAGACCTCATTCTATAGGCATGATGGGTTAAACCATAGGCTATTGGTGATCAGCTCAACCTGAGGCTCTCAACTCTCCCTGGAAATTGGGGTTGAGGCTTTGCCATTCTCAGTCTGAGTAAAAGAATTTACACAAACGGAATTTTAAAACAGATTAGCATAACAGGAAACTTAATTAGATGATTGAATTATCTGGAGCCACACCTTGATATTCCTAACCTGAGCACCCTCATCCAACGAATGCTCCACCCAACTGGCTCCCAAGTCTCTACGGGGTTCCAGAGCAAAAGAATGTTTATACAACGCATATCTCCACCTCTTCTTCAAAGTCTTTTCGCTTACACGGGTAATTCTTAAACTGCCATGCATCAGGGTCAGGGGGAGGGCTTGTTACAACACAGATCTGTGGATCTCCGGGGTTTGAGGGTTGCAAGGATGCTGCTGGTGTCAAAACCACAACGTGGGAACCACAGAACCACTAGTTGGTTTTCAGTGTTTCAGTGCATTTAATTCATAATATATTTGGCCAAGAAAACTTGTAAGGTCTTAGATTGTCCCAAAGGTGGCGCATGAAATCCAATCAGGAGAACAGTTTCCTACGAGGTGTAGCCTGGGAAAGTTGGGGGTGACTGGTGGAAAGGAGGAGTGAAGCTCCGCCCTTTCTGCTGCGAGGCTGCGCCCGAGGCTATTTAAACCCACCCTGGCAGGCCTGTACTCAGATCTTCGCAGAGCGGAGCAGCGGCCGGAGCGTTTGGCGGACTCTGCGTGGACTTGGAGCTCACAGCGTCTTGCGACTTGGAAGCGGATTCAGAGGACAGGACAGAACACTTGGGCAAGTGAATCTCTGTCTGTCTGTCTGTCTGTCTCATTGGTTGGCTTATTTCCATTTTCTTAAGGAGCACATACCTCACACCACACACACAAACACACACACACACACACACACACACACACACACACACACACTCCTTCATTCTGCGGGTTAGAAAATTAGTGGGGGTCCCTGGGAGCTGCAGGTTTCCTAATCATGTCTGCACCTAAGAACAGTAGGGTCTTGTCTGGCTCTTCTTATGAACGGTCCCCCAGCCCGGACTCCCCAAGATCCATGCTAGCCTCACCCAGCTTCTCCCTCTCCCCTCTCAGATACTCAGACTTAAGAGGAAGCTCCTCACCAGGGATCCGGAGCTACCATTCACCATCCCCTAGGGCTTCACCACACTCACCTCTGTCATCACCAGTATCCCACAAGCTCCCATTTCCCTGTCCTCTCCGTGATGGGCAATCAATGAAGCCATTGGGCTCTCCCGTGTCCTCCTCTGAGGATTCTTCAGAGTCACCACGTTCATCAATAATATACCACATGTTCCTACTGCCATCACCCAGCAGCTCACCCCCAGCTCTCGGGGAGTCTCCTGTGTCTCCCAGCTACTCTCCAAACAACCCCAGATTTCAGCTGGAGTCAGCCCTCCACACCCAGGAATCACCTACAAACTCACGAGCCTCACGGTGCTCCTCCCCTATGTCTTTCAACTCTTCACCCCCAGGCCTCAGGGACTCTCCTGTGTCTCCCAGCTTCTCTCCAGCCTTCCCCAGATTTCTGCCACAGTCAGCCCCAGGCACACAGGGGAACCCTGGACACTCACAGGCCTCACGAGACTATCTCCCTATGACCTGTATCTATACAGGGATGGCTCCCACGCATCCCTCAGTGACCCCAAACCCATCTCCACTTACACTCAGACACTCCCAGGGCCTGACAGCTACTCCCCGTTATTGTCCTTCAGTTCGAAGCCCTGGCCAATCTACCAGCCAACATGATGCAGCTACCTGGCCATTTCTCCACATTTCTGGTGAGGGCCCCACACCCAGCCGCAGAAAAGCCCCTCCTGCATTCCATCCTCACACACAGGCCTGTCCATCCACTTGCTACTGTCACACTCTTGCCAGCAGAAGAGGCCCCTGTAATGGCCGATATCACCGCCCAGTCTATCCTCACCCCACAGCTATGCAGCGGGACCCTCCTGCTGGCCCACGTGGCTGCCAGAGCCCATGCTGGCACTACACTCCAGCATGTCGGCGTCCCTGCGGGCCACACTACCGGTGACATGGCTAGCATGACCCTCCTTCCTGGCAGTGACACTGCTGATGTGAACCCCATCTCTACTAAAAATACAAAAATTAGCTGGGTGTGGTGGCGGGCGTCTGTACTGTAGTCCCAGCTACGCGGGAGGCTGACACAAGAGAATTGCTTGAACCCGGGAGGTGGAAGATGCAGTGAGCTGAGATCATGCCACTGCACTCTAACCTGGGTGACAGTGAGACTCTGTCAAAAAAAAAAAAAAAGAAAGAAAGAAACGAAAAGAGCAGCAAAGTTTGCAAATAATTTTTCAAAAACTTATAGCAGAAATAAATTTACCTCTATAATGACATAACTCACTCATTTGAGTTCACCGATTATTCTTAAAAGAAAAACAAAAACAACAAGGGGAGGGGGGCACGCTAGAATAAACTTCTGTTCCCGCTTCCAACAATTGTGTGCATCCTTCAAAACAGGGCTGCGTTGTTACAGCACAGATATAAACTCTGTTCAAGTAACCTATGAAATAAATTCCTTCACTATCCATCCTGCAGAATCTTTTTGTGGTTAACATTCATTCATTCATTTACTCTACTTCTTGAGAACCGAGCAAGATACTAGGGTTTTAAGATTAGGTTTCTGTACTGAAAGAGCTCACAATAAACTAGAGTGGGAAGTTTGCTGGATGTCCAAAATTACAACTTACGGCGACGGTAGGAACACGATTTTAAAGATAAAATGCATTGATCATCTTATTTTTAAATTTTATTCAGTTCAGATGTAAACATACCCATTTCCTGTTTTTATTTTTAAAGTTTTAATTTTAACTAATTCTAAAGTAATTTTTAACTAATCTTAGGGAAGACACACATGGTCCCCTAAATTGATTTAATATCCCAGCATGGTCCCCTAAAATCAGTGCATTTTTCCTAATCCTTATAACTTTCAAAGTGATTGTCAAGTGTGGTTGGGCCATGAAATTCCTCCTTAGATGTCATTTGTTGAGTTAATTTTCTAGAGCATGATATGTCAAGACTTGATGAGGCTTGCACTGGATGTTTTTTCTGTTGGCCCCTCTACATTTGTTCTTCACCTTCCCCACTCTGCTCTCTACCCAGAAAGGCTGGCCTCTAAAGACTTCCTTGCCTTCTGGCTTCTGGTTGGCTTTGGCTAATTGCAGGAAGTAAGGGAGCAGGAAAAGAAGGAAATTAGCACAGGGGTGTCCAATTTTTTGGCTTCTCTGGGCCACACTGGAAGAAGAATTGTCTTGGGCCACATATAAAATACACTAAAACTAATGATAGCTAATGAGCTAAAAAAAAAAAAAAATCACAAAAGTTTTAAGAAAGTTTGTGAGTTTGTGTTGGGCTACATTCAAAGCTGCCATGGGCTGTGTGCAGCCCTCCTGGCTGCAGATTGGACAAGCTTGAATTAGTGTATTCATTTTTCTGGCTCTCTCCCTGCCAGGTCTCAGCTTGAGAATGTCTGGATTCCACTAAGGCCATAGTTTCTGTCAGATGGCCCAGAGCCTGTGGCTATGGATTTCCTCTCAGGTCCTGGTAACAACTACTTCCTTTGCCCTTTTAAGTCTACGGGTAGTAATGGCTTCCTACCATTCAAGGAACCTAATTCCTTCCTAACACTTTCCCTTGTTGAGTTCCTTTAAACTTTCCCACATCTCTTAATGAAGTCTTCATTAAACTGTCTTTTAAATACATATCTATTTCCTACAGGGATTCTGAGGGATAGAAGGCTCCCAGTCAGAGTCCCAGCAAGAATATTTTAGAAAAGGGGGATACTAAGCAATATTTTAGAAAAGGGGGACACTAAGCAAGCCTTGGAGAGGCTAGGCTTATGTTGCATAACAAACAACTCAAAAATCTTAGCAGTTTAACAAACAAAAGATTATTTATCAACTGGGTAAGGTGGCTTGCGACTTTAGTTCCAGCTTCTCAGGAGACTGAGGCAGGAAGATTGCTAAGGCCAGAAGTTCAAGGCTGCAGTGAAGTATGATCACACCACTGCACTACAGCCTGAATGAAAGAGCAAAACTCCATCTTTAAAAAAATACATATGACATACAAAATATGTGTTAATTGACTGTTTATGTTATAGGTAAGGCTTCTGGTCAAGAACAGGCTATTAATAGCTAAATTTGGGGAGAGTCAAAAGCTATACACAGATTTTAGACTGCACAGGGCTCAGTACTCCTAATCCTTTCCACTCCCACTGAGCAAGGGCCAACCGTGTATCTCTAATACTAGTTACAGATGAAAGGAGTGGAGAGAAGTGGGGGGAAGCAAAGAAAAGAAGATGGCTGAGAATTTTTTTTTTTTTTTTTTTGAAATTGATGAAATACTTGAATTCCTCAAACTGAAGAAGGGCACCGAAATCTGAAAAATTAAATTAAAATGAATATATTGCTAGATATACCTATATCAAAATGAAACTCCAAATACTAAATTCAAAGGCAAAAATCTCAAAAGTAAAAACAAACAAAAAAACTACCATGAAATCAACAACCAAAAAAAATGGAGTACCTACAAAAAAAATAGCAAAAATAAATGACTGAAAACAACAGAACAATATTTTTAATATTCTGAGGGAAAATAACCAATAACCTAGAATGTAGTAGCTAGTTAAATTATCATACAAGAGTGAGAGAAAATATATTTTCAAAGTCAACAGAAGTTTACTATTCACTGATTTTCACTGAAAGCACTAATAAATGACGTATTTCAATAAGAAGGCAATAAAGTCCATATGCAAGAAACAATGGTGAGCAAAGAAATCAGTAATCATGTGTGTAAGTCTAACATTGACTGAAAAAATCAATATAATGGCCGGGAGTGGTAGCTCACGCCTGCAATCCCAGCACTCTGGGAGGCCAAGGCGGGCGGATCACGAGGTCAGGAGATTGAGACCATCCTGGCTAACACGGTGAAATGCCATCTCTACTAAAAATACAAAAATTAGCTGGGCGTGGTGGCGTGTGCCTGTAGTCCCAGCTACCCAGGAGGCTGAGGCAGGAGAATCACTTGAACCCAAGAGGTGGAGGTTGCAGTGAGCCGAGATCATGCCACTGCACTCCAGGCTGGAGACAGAGCAAGACCCATCTCAAAAAACAAACAAAAAATAAATATAATGATTAACCATGAGAGTTTCAAAAGCAAGATGGAACTGGAGAACAATAATATGGAAGATAGAAGAGAAGTTTATTGGAGTTTTTAGCATCTTAAGTTTCCTGCTTAGGCAGAAATGAGAGAGATACTGATTAAATTTAGACATTGATACATTAAATATGCATATTAAAAATTCAAGTGCAAGCCAGGTTGAGGTGGGAGGATTGCTTGAGCCCAGGCGTTTGAGACTATCCTGGGCAACATAGCATGACCCCAGTCTTTACCAAAAAATACCAAAAACAAACAAACAAACAAAATTAGCCAGGCATGGTGGAGCACACCTGCAGTCTCAGCTACTCCGGAAGCTGAAGTGGAATGATCACTTGAGCCCAGGAGACCAAGGCTGCAGTGAGCTATGATTGCACCACTGCACTCCAGCCTGGGTGAGAGAGTGGGACCTTGTATCTAGGATAAAATAAAGTGGAGGAGGTTCCAAGATGGCTGAATAGGAACAGCTCCAGTCTACAGCTCCCAGCTTGAGTGACGCAGAAGATGGGTGATTTCTGCATTTCTAGCTGAGGCACCGGGTTCACCTCACTGGGGCTTGTTGGACAGTGGGTGCAGCCCACGGAGAAGGGCAGGGCATCGCCTCACCAGGGAAGTGCAAAGGGTTGGGGAATTCCCTTTCCTAGCCAAGGGAAGCCGTGACAGATGTTACCTGGAAAATCGGGACACTCCCACCCTAATACCCTGCTTTTCCAACGGTCCTAACAGCACACCAGGAGATTATATCCCACGCATGGCTTGGAGGGTCCTATGCCCAAGGAGCCTCACTCACTGCTAGCACAGCAGTCTGAGATCCAACTGCTAGGAGGCAGCGAGGCTGGGGGAGGGGCATCTGCCATTGCTGAGGCTTGAGTAGGTAAACAAAGTGGCCCAGAAGCTCGAACTGGGTGGAGCCCACCGCAGCTCAAGGAGGCCTGCCTGCCTCTGTAAACTCCACCTCTGGGGACAGGGCATAGCTGAACAAAAGGTAGCAGAAACTTCTGCAGACTTAAATGTCCCTGTCTGACAGCTTTGAAGAGAGTAGTGGTTCTCCCAGAACAGAGTCTGAGATCTGAGAATAGACAGACTGCCTCCTCAAGTGCGTCCCTGACCCCTGAGTAGCCTAACTGGGAGACACCTCCAAGTAGGGGCCGACTGACACCTCATACAGCTGGGTGCCCCTCTGAGACTAAGCTTCCAGAGGAAGGATAAGGCAGCAACATTTGCTGTTCTGCAATATTTGCTGTTCTGCAGCCTCTGCTGGTGATACCCAGGCAAACAGGGTCTGGAGTGGACCTCCAGCAAACTCCAACAGGCTTGCAGCTGAGGGTCCTGACTGTTAGAAGGAAAACTAACAAACAGAAAGAACATCCACACCAAAACCCCATCTGTACATTACCATCATCAAAGACCAAAGGTAGATAAAACCACAAAGATGGGGAGAAACCAGAGCAGAAAAGCTGAAAATTCTAAAATCAGAGCGCCTCTTCTCCTCCAAAGGAATGCAGTTCCTCGCCAGCAACGGAACAAAGCTGGATGGAGAATGACTTTGACAAGTTGAGAGAAGAAGGCTTCAGATGACTGGTAATAACAAACTTCTCTGAGCTAAAGGAGAATGTTCGAACCCATCGCAAAGCAGCTAAAAACCTTGAAAAAAGTTAGATGAATGGCTAGCTAGAATAACCAATGCAGAGAAGTCCTTAAATGACCTGATGGAGCTGAAAACCATGGCACGAGAACTACGTGATGAATGCACAAGCTTCAGTAGCCGATTCGATCAAGTGGAAGAATGGGTATCAGTGATTGAAGATCAAAGGAATGAAATGAAGCGAGAAGAGAAGTTTAGAGAAAAAAGAGTAAAAATAAACTAACAAAGCCTCCAAGAAATATGGAACTATGTGAAAAGACCAAATCTACGTCTGATTGGAGTACCTGAAAGTGACGGGGAAAATGGAACCAAGTTGGAAAACACTCTTCAGGATATTATCCAGGAGAACTTCCCCAACCTAGCAAGGCAGGCCAACATTCAAATTCATGGAATACAGAGAATGCCATAAAGATACTCCTCGAGGAGAGCAACTCCAAGACACATAACTGTCAGATTCACCAAAGTTGAAACAAAGGAAAAAATATTAAGGGCAGTCAGAGAGAATGGTCGGGTTACCCACAAAGGGAAGCTCATCAGACTAACAGCTGATCTCTCAGCAGAAACTCTACAAGCCAGAAGAGAGTGGGGGTCAATATTCAACATTCTTAAAGAAAAGAACTCTCAACCCAGAATTTCATATCCAGCCAAACTAAGCTTCATAAGTGAAGGAGAAATAAAATCCTCTACAGACAAGCAAATGCTGAGAGATTTTGTCACCACCAGGCCTGCCTTACAAGAGCTCCTGAAGGAAGCACTAAATATGGAAAGGAACAACTGGTACCAGCCACTGCAAAAACATGCCAAATTGTAAAGACCACCGATGCTAGGAAGAAATTGCATCAACTAACGAGCAAAATAACCAGCTAACATCATAATGACAGGATCAAATTCACGTATAACAATATTAACCTTAAATGTAAATGGACCAAATGCTCCAATTAAAAGACACAGACTGGCAAATCGGATAAAGACTCAAGACCCATCAGTGTGCTGCATTCAGGAAACCCATCTCACGGGCAGAGACACACATAGGCTCAAAATAAAGGGATGGAGGAAGATCTACCAAGCAAATGGAAAACAAAACAAAACAAAACAACAAAAAAAGCAGGGGTTGCAAATCCTAGTCTCTGATAAAAGAGACTTTAAACCAACAAAGATCAAAAGAGACAAAGAAGGCCATTACATAATGGTAAAGGGACCAATTCAACAAGAAGAGCAAACTATCCTAAATATACATGCACCCAATACAGGAGAACCCAGATTCATAAAGAAAGTCCTTAGAGACCTACAAAGAGACTTAGACTCCCACACAATAATAATGGGAGACTTTAACATGCCACTGTCAACATTAGACAGATCAACGAGACATAAAGTTAACAAGGATATCCAGGAATTGAACTCAGCTCTGCACCAAGTGGACCTAATAGACATCTACAGAACTCTCCACCCCAAATCAACAGCATATACATTCTTCTCAGCACCACATTGCACTTATTCCAAAATTGACCACAGAGTTGGAAGTAAAGCTCTCCTCAGCAAATGTAAAAGAACAGAAATTATAACGAACTGTCTCTCAGACCACAGTGCAATCAAACTAGAACTCAGGATTAAGAAACTCACTCAAAACCGCTCAACTACATGGAAACTGAACAACCTGCTTCTGAATAACTACTGGGTACATAAAGAAATGAAGGCAGAAATAAAGATGTTCTTTGAAATCAATGAGGACAAGGACAAAACATACCAGAATCTCTGGGACACATTTAAAGCAGTGTGTAGAGGGAAATTTATAGCACTAAATGCCCACAAGAGAAGGCAGGAAAGATCTAAAATTGACACCCTAACATTACAGTTAAAAGAACTAGAGAAGCAAGAGCAAACACATTCAAAAGCTAGCAGAAGGCAAGAAATTACTAAGATCAGAGCAGAACTGAAGGAGACAGAGACACAAAAAACCCTTCAAAAACCCAATGAATCCAGGAGCTGGTTTTTTGAAAAGATCAACAAAATTGATAGACCGCTAGCAAGACTAATAAAGAAGAAAAGAGAGAAGAATCAAATAGACGCAATAAAAAATGATAAAGGGGATATCACCACTGATCCCACAGAAATACAAACTACCATCAGAGACTACTATAAACACCTCTACACAAATAAACTAGAAAATCTAGAAGAAATGGATAAATTCCTGGACACATACACCCTCCCAAGATTAAACCAGGAAGAAGTTGAACCCCTGAATAGACTAATAATAGGCTCTGAAATTGAGGCAATAATTAATAGCCTACCAACCAAAAAAGTCCAGGACCAGACGGATTCACAGCCGAATTTTACCAGAGGTACAAAAAGGAGCTAGTACCATTCCTTCTGAAACTATTCCAATCAACAGAAAAAGAGGGAATCCTCCCTAACTCATTTTATGAGGCCAGCATCATCCTGATACCAAAGCCTGGCAGAGACACAACAAAAAAAAGAGAATTTTAGACCAGTATCCCTGACGAACATCGATGCAAAAATCCTCAATAAAATACTGGCAAACTGAATCCAGCAGCACATCAAAAAGCTTATCCACCATGATCAAGTTGGCTTCATCCCTGGGATGCAAGGCTGGTCCAACATAGGCAAATCAATAAACGTAATCAATCCATCATATAAACAGAACCAAAGACAAAAACCACATGATTATCTCAATAGATGCAGAAAAGGCCTTTGACAAAATTCAACAGCCCTTCAGGCTAAAACCTCTCAATAAACTAAGTATTGATGGGACGTATCTCAAAATAATAAGAGCTATTTATGACAAATCCACAGCCAATATCATACTGAATGGGCAAAAACTGCAAGCATTCCCTCTGAAAACTGGCACAAGACAGGGATGCCCTCTCTCACCACTCCTATTCAACATAGCGTTGGAAGTTCTGGCCAGGGCAATCAGGCAGGAGAAGGAAATAAAGGGTATTCAATTAGGAAAAGAGGAAGTCAAATTGTCCCTGTTTGCAGATGACATGACTGTATATTTAGAAAACCCCATCGTCTCAGCCCAAAATCTCCTTAAGCTGATAAGCAACTTCAGCAAAGTCTCAGGATACAAAATCAATGTGCAAAAATCACAAGCATTGCTCTACACCAATAACAGACAAACAGAGAGCCAAATCATGAGTGAACTCCCATTCACAACTGCTTCAAAGAGAATAAAATACCTAGGAATCCAACTTACAAGGGATGTCAAGGACCTCTTCAAAGAGAACTACAAACCACTGCTCAATGATATAAAAGAGGACACAAACAAATGGAAGAACATTCATGCTCACGGATAGGAAGAATCAATATTGTGAAAATGGCCATACTGCCCAAGGTAGTTTATAGATTCAATGCCATCCCCATCAACCTACCAATGACTTTCTTCATGGAATTGGAAAAAACTACTTTAAAGTTCATATGGAACCAAAAAAGAGCCCACATTGCCAAGACAATCCTAAGCCAAAAGAACAAAGCTGGAGGCATCATGCTGCCTGACTTCAAACTATACTACAAGGCTACAGTAACCAAAACAGCATGGTACTGGTACCAAAACAGAGATATAGACCAATGGAACAGACCAGAGGCCTCAGAAATAACACCACACATCTACAACCATCTGATCTTCGACAAACCTGACAAAAACAAGAAATGGGGAAAGGATTCCCTATTTAATAAATGGCGTTGGGAAAACTAGCTAGCCATATGTAGAAAGCTGCAACAGGATCCCTTCCTTACACCTTACACAAAAATTAATTCAAGATGGATTAAAGACTTAAATGTTAGACCTAAAACCATAAAAACCCTAGAAGAAAACCTAGACTATTCAGGACATAGGCATGGGCAAGGACTTCATGACTAAAACATCAAAAGCAATGGCAACAAAAGCCAAAATAGACAAATGGGATCTAACTAAGCTAAAGAGCTTCTGCACAGCAAAAGAAACTACCATCAGAGTGAACAGGCAACCTACAGAATGGGAGAAAATTTTTGCAATCTACCCATCTGACAAAGGGCTAATATCCACAAATTATAAAGAAGTTAAAGAAATTTACAAGAAAAAAATCAACCCCATCAAAAAGTGGGCAAAGGATATGAACAGACACTTCTCAAAAGAAGACATTTATGCAGCCAACAGACACATGAAAAAATGCTCATCATCACTGGCCATCAGAGAAATGCAAATCAAAACCACAATGAGATACCAACTTACACCAGTTAGAATGGCGATCATTAAAAAGTCAGGAAACAACAGGTGCTGAAGAGGATGTGGAGAAACAGGAACACTTTTACACTGTTGGTGGGACTGTAAACTAGTTCAACCATTGTGGAAGACAGTGTCGCAATTCCTTAAGCATCTAGAACTAGAAATACCATTTGACCCAGCCATCCCATTACTGGGTATATACCCAAAGGATTAGAAATCATGCTGCTATAAAGACACATGCACACGTATGTTTATTGCAGCACTATTCACAATAGCAAAGACTTGGAACTAACCCAAATGTCCATCAATGATAGACTGGATTAAGAAAATGTGGCACATATACACCATGGAATACTATGCAGCCATAAAAAAGGATGAGTTCATGTTCTTTGTAGGGACATGGATGAAGGTGGAAGCCATCATTCTGAGCAAACTTTTGCAAGGACAGAAAACCAAACACAGCATTTTCTCACTCATAGGTGGGAACTGAACAATGAGAACACTTGGACACAGGGGCCTGTTGTGGGGTGAGGGAGGGGGGAGGGATAGCATCAGGAGATATACCTAATGTAAATGATGAGTTAAAGGGTAAGGCACACCAACATGGCACATGTATACATATGTAAGAAACCTGCACGTTGTGCACATGTATCTAGAACTTAAAGTATAATAAAAAAAGCATAAAATAAAATAAAATATTTAAGGGTAGCAACTTTAAAAAGATAAAATGTATCACTTACAAACTACATAAACTGATCTATAGATTATATGCAACAATAATGACATAATGCTTATTAAGTATCTTACAAATATTAAGTCATTTAATCCTCACAACAACCCTACTATTATAACTGTCCCCATTCTGGCTCCAGAATTCAAGCTCTTAGTACCCTGGTAATAATTTATACATAGTAGTCCTCACTTATTGGCAATTTTGTGACTAACCATGGTCTGAAAATATTAAGTGAAAATTTTCAGAAATAATTCTTAAGTTGGAAATCGTGTACCATTCTGAGTGGTGTGATGAAATCTCACACTGTCCCACTCAGTCTTACCCAGACAGGAATCACCCGTGTCCAGCGTCACCATGCTGTAAGCTGTTCATCACCTGTTCATTAGTCACTCAGCAGCCATACTGGCTATAGATGGACTGTTGTGGTATCACAGTGCTTATGTTCAAATAACTTTTATTTTATTTAATAATGGCCCCAAGATGCAAGAGTAGTGATGCTGGCAATTTGGCTATGCCAAGCAGAAGCCATCAAGTGCTCCTTTTAAGTGAAAAGATGAAAGTTCTCAACTTAACAAGGAAAGAAAGAAAATCATATGCTGAGGTTGCTGAGATCTACAATAAGAATGTATCTTCTATCTGTGATATTGTGAAGAAGAAGAATGAAATTTGTGCATCATAGATGCACAAATATATATATATATGGCTTGGTATTATCTGAGGTTTCAGATATCCACTGGAACATATCCCCCTTGGATAAGGTGGGGGGACCACTGTATGTCTTATGTGATTGCAAATGTAATAGATGACAATTTTTTTACACAGTTGGCAATAAAGAATGGTAAATGTGACATGCAAAGTTAAACAAAAAGCTAACCATTTGTGTACATAACGGAAAGTCTTCACATTAAAAAAAAAAAAAACAGGACTACAAGATGTTTGTACTTCTTGGTCATTGGTGAATGGCAGAATGGGGAGAGAGCAGAATGGGGAGAGGTAATGCATTCCTAAAACTTAAGTACCAGAAACTAGAAACAGATTCCATAATATGGACAATTTTTTTTTTAATTTTTTATTTTTTTCTGAGACGGAGTCTCACTCTGCCACCCAGGCTGGAGTGCAGTGGTGCAATCTAGGTTCATTCCAACCTCTGCCTCCCAGGTTCAAGCGATTCTTCTGCCTCAGCCTCCCGAGTAGGTGGGATTACAGGTGCGCACCACCATGCCCAGCTAATTTTTGTATTTTTAGTAGAGACAGGGTTTCACCATATTGGCCGGGCTGGTCTCAAATGCCTGACCTCACGATCAGCCTGACTTGGCCTCCCAAAGTGCTGGGATTACAGGTGTGAGCCACCACGGCCGGCTGATATGGACAATTTATTACATGAGAAAGGTGACATTGCAAATCAACAGGATAAAGACAAATTGCTTAATAAATGGAGGAACAGCTAGGTAGAAACCTCGAAAAATGTGAAGTTGGAGCCCTTATACTAAAATAAATTCTAGATCGCTGAAGGATTTAAATATGAAAGTCTTTGAAGAAGGAAGAGATGTTTTAAAAGTTTTACACTATAAAATGTTTTTCTGAATATACACAACCCAGAAGCAAAAGCAAAGCCATTAAATGTTTTTTGAAACTTTTATACAGCAAAAAATAGCACAAACAAATCTGGAGAGGGCTCCAGGTTTTCCCACCCACCACCTTAGCAGAGCAGCTCTGCATTTATCTGTTTTATATATTGGTGCCCTATGTAAGATTCCATTTGACAAAATGTTCCATTGCTAGAATAAGAGTGAGAATAAGAATAAGAAGTTAAACAGCGTTCTCTCTGTACACTGAGGACCAAAGTAGTAAATGACTTAAAGTCACAAAGGTAGCAGCATAAGGTTTCCAGACTTTTTGTGCTGCTTTTTTTTTTCTTTTTACTACCCTTTTGGGAAGATTAAATGAAACATTGGACTAGCCATTGAAATAAATCCTTTTTTACACTAACCAAATTAACAGCATATTGGGTTTTTGTTTTGTTTTGTTTTGAGACGGAGTCTCACTCTGTCTGCAGGCTGGAGTGCAGTGGCGTGATCTCGGCTCACTGCAACCTCTGCCTCTTGGATTCAAGTGATTCTCCTGCCTCAGCCTCCCGAGTAGCTGGGATTACAGGCACGCACCACCATGCCGGACTAATTTTTGTATTTTTAGTAGAGACGGGGTTTCACCATGTTGGCCAGGATGGTCTCCATCTCTTCACCTCATGATTCACCCACCTTGGCCTCCCAAAGTGCTGGGATTACAGGTGTGAACCACTGCACCCTGCTGGGGTTTTTAGTTTGTATAGTTCTTGGTAGTTTTGATTGGTTTTAAATCTTTCTCATGTGTCCCATTATTATTTAATTACTTATTACAGCACTACAGAGTCCATATGCATGCAGGTTAGAAAAAAACTGAATAGATTTAAAAATGTATATATAATATACATGATTTTTTAGAGTTATTTTTAAATTCCTCCAAGCATTTCAAAATTCATTAGAAACATTTTACCTACTAGTGAAATCTGGCATAATGCATTGATGTCATCCAAATTTCCAAAGCATTTTATTATAAAGTGTCACCTTTGAAGCAATTCCATAGCATAGATACCATGGTTAGTATTATAACTCAAGCAAGCCTTTTTGCATTCTAGTCTCATTAAAGTTGCTTTATGAAAAAATATATAAATGTATATATAAGATTTGATGTTGTATTATTATATTTAAATGTTTTTCAGTCGGAACAACTAATAGCTCAATTGCTCTTGTTAAGCATTCATGGCCCAATTATGTTTTTTTGTTTTTTGTGTTTTGTTTTGTTTTGTTTTGTTTTTGAGATGGACTCTCACTCTATCACCTAGGCTGGAGTCCAGTGGTGCAGTGGTGCCATCTCGGCTTACTGCAACCTCTTTCTCCCGGTTTCAAGCTATTCTCCTGCCTCAGCCTCCAGAGTAGCTGGGATTACAGGCATGTGCCACCATGACTGGCTAATTTTTGTATTTTTAGTAGAAATGGGGTTTCACCATGTTGGCCAGGCTGGTCTTGAACTCCTGATCTCAAGTGATTCACCCACCTTGGCCTCCCAAAGTGCTGGAATTACAGGTGTGAGCCACCACACCCAGCCCAATTATGTTTTGAAGCACAAAATAAAAAGTTATCTCTCATTAAAAAAAAATCTTCCCTTTACTTATTAATCAAGTTTTTTGTAGTCTCAGAATTACCACTTTCACTCCTTTTGATTCAACAGCTGAGATTTTAAAAGCTACCATTTATCTGTAAAAAATTATTGTCATTTTGTGAATAAATACCAAATTGTCTCTATGAATAGGTTCATTTTCACTCAATTGTTAGGAAATGACTGTTCTACAATAGCATCTTAAAGCATTAAGATTATTGCTTAATTTATTAAATTCACAATAATTACATAAAGAAATCACAAAATGCTCAGAAAACTAATACAAAGATTAGAAAAGGTTTATAGTGAACTAGTCTACAAATTAAATAAGTTCATTATAAAAATAGTCATACTCTAAAAATATGACTCTTTATAGACTCAGTATCATCCAACAAAGATGATCTTGTTGAAACTACCTCATTAGGGGCTAAGAAGCTTTTGAAGTTTAACTAGAGCAATATTCTCTGACACCTAACAAATTTCTGTTTAATCTTCATGTTTGTAAGTGGATCAAGTTTATTTTATAAAAAGTTTAGAAACTTTATGTAAGTCCTAACCAATAAGTCACAAATATTTTGCTCTTAAAATGTGCTTAAAAGTATACTTAAACCAGGTGTGGTGGCTCACACCTGTAATCCCAGCACTTTGGGAGTCTGAGGTGGGTGGATCACCTGAGGTCAGGAGTTCGAGGCCAGCCTGGGTAACATGGTGAAACGCTGTTTCTACTAAAAATAGAAAAAATTAGCCGGGCATGGTGGCACGCACCTGTAATCCCAGCTACACAGGAGGCTGAGGCAGGAGAATTGCTTGAACCCGGGAGGCAGAGGTTGCAGTGAGCCGAGATCGCGCCACTGTACTCCAGCTTGGGCAACAAGAGTGAAACTCCATCTCAAAAAAAAATACACTTTGTTTTTTTTTTTTTTTTGAGATGGAGTCTCGCTCTGTCACCCAGGCTGGAGTACAGTGGTGCGATCTTGGTTCACTGCAACCTCTGCCTCCTGGGTTCGAGGAATTCTCCTGCCTCAGCCTACCGAGTAGCTGGGATTACAGGCATGTACCACCAGGCTCAGCTAATTTTTGTATTTTTTTTTTTTAGTAAAGATGAGGCTTCACCATGTTGGCCAGGCTGGTCTCAAACTCCTGATCTCAAATGATCCACCCCCCTCGGCCCTCCCAAAGTGCTGGGATTACAGGCGTGAGCCACTGCGCCCGGCCTCACTTAAAGTATTTTTAAGAGTAAAAATCCAGTTTGAGGATTTTATTTATTTATTTTTTGTTTTTTGGCTTTAAAGTATTTATTTTTAGTTTTGTAAATTATTTTTTTTTCTAACTTTTATTTTAGGTTCAAGGTGTACATGTGCAGATTTGTTACATGGGTAAATTGGGTGTTGAGAGAATTTGGTGTACTGATAATTTTGTCACCCAGATTATCAGCATAATACCCAATAGGTAGTTTTTCAATCTCACCCTCCTTCCATCTTCAACACTCAAATTGGCCCCAGTTTGAGGATTTCATGGAATTAAGAAAAATATTTTTTACTCCAATTCTTAATGAGTGCAAAATTTTATGCAAACAGTAATTGAGCATGTTGAAGCAAAACCAAATGACAATACCATACTTATCTGAATCCTGGAATAAAAACCAGTTTGTTAAGTCATTCAGTAGTGATTTGATGTAGTTGTCTTAAGCAATAAGGCACATAAACAGTGTATCCAAGTGATCACTGATGTTAGTTCAAAAAAAGGTCTCCACGATGTATATGTGCCACATTTTCTTTATCCAGTCTTATCATTGATGGGCATTTGGATTGGTTCCAAGTCTTTGCTATTGTGACTAGTGCTGCAATAAACATACATGTGCATGTGTCTTTATAGTAGAATGATTTATAATCCTTTGGGTATATACCCAGTAATGGGATTGCTGGGTCAAATGGTATTTCTGGTTCTAGATCCATGAGGAATCGCCACACTGTCTTCCACAATGATTGAACTAATTTACACTCCCACCAACAGTGTAAAACTGTTCCTATTTCTCCACATCTTCTCCAGAACCTGTTGTTTCCTGACTTTTTAATGATTGCCATTCTAACTGGCATGAGATGGTATCTCATTGTGGTTTTGATTTGCATTTCTCTAATGACCAGTGATGATGTATAACTATGTAACAAACCTGCATGTTCAGCACATATATCCCAGAACTGAAAGTAAAATTTAAAAAAATATATATATATTTTTAAAAAAGGTCTCATGGTGGTGCGCTTCTGTAATCCCAGCTACTTGGGAGGCTGAGGCAGGAGGGTCACTTGAGACCAAGAGTTTAAGGCCAGAAGGGTAATATAACGAGTCCACCATCTCAAAATTTAAAAAAAAAGAAAAGTCATAGTCCTGAGATACTGGGCTGTAAGGTCTCTCCCCTCTTCTACTTTCTTTGGCTGCCCTGCATCCTAATAATTTTAGGGGAGGTACTTTAGCTTCTTTCATCTATACAACTTCTTGAGTAATAAATGGAAGATAGGACATTATTATTAAAAAATTGGTTACCTCCTCATTCATCTTTTTTCAAAGCTCTTAAGAACGAAAACACTTTTTTTTTTTTTTTTTTTTTTTGGTGACAGGTCTCACTCTGTCACTCAGGCTGGAGTGCAATGGCATAATCATGGCTCACTGAAGCCTCAATCTTCCAGGCTCAAGCGATCCTCCCACTTCAGCCTCCCAAGTAGCTGGGACTACAGGCATGCACCACCATGCCTGGCTAATTACTGCATTTTTGTGTAGAGACAGGGTTTCACCATGTTGCCCAGGCTGGTCTCAACTCCTGAGCTCAAGCGATTGGCCCACCTGGGTCTCTCAAAGTGCTGGGATTAGAAGCATGTGCCACTGTGCCCAGCCCTGAAATACTATATTTTATCCTTATAGTTGATAAAGCCTTCTTTATTTATAATTAATAAAGCTCTTCATAATTATCATTCTGTGTCTTCTATGGAATAGAGGACATTCAGTATTTTTCTTGAAATAATTTAGCATTCATTTGAATTCATCCCTTAGTCTTATTTTCTAGGTTAAAAACCCCAAATTATTTTCATCTTTATTCATGTGTTCTATTATTAAAATAATTATTATTGTGGCTTTTTCTTTGTGATAAAGTGTGGTGATAAAAGTTAGATATAAAATTCTAAAAGAAGCCAGTGTGGTGGCTCGTGCCTGTAGTCTCAGCAATTTGGGATGCTGAAGTGGGAGGACCACTTCAGCCTGGGAGATCAAGGCTGCAGCGAGTCGTGATCACCCACTGCACTCCAGCCTGGACGACAGAGTGAAACCCTCTTTCAAAAATTTTAAAAAGAAAAAAAAAGAAATCATATCACAGGTCTGATATGTTCTTTTTGTATTTTTCTATTATACATCAAAATAAGTATATTCCCATTAATACAGAAAATGTTCATGAATCATCTGAAATTATCTTATGTACCGCCTGTGGTACTCATGACAGACAATAAGAAATTCACTTTATTTTGGTTTTGTGTCTCAATCACTTTAGACAATGAGTAGATACATCCAAAATAATGGACAGATCAGACTCATATGGGCATCTTTATTACACTACACAGTTCCACACTCCATCCCCCAAATATGAGTTTCCAGGATTGGTGGAAAGTTTGTTTGGAAAATTTCCTTAGTTATTTGCCAATATAATGAACAGACCTGTGACTTCTCAAGACTCACTCTGAGTGTAGCATCCCTGGAATAGCATTCCAATCTCATTGGCCTGCAAAGCCCATGTCTGTCTGGCTCAGAAAGGAGGTGATCATATGCAATCTTAAGTGTCAAACACAATCTTTCTTTTTTTTTTGAGACAAGGTCTTACTTTGTCACTCAGGCTGGAGTACAGTGACACAATGATGGCTCACTACAGCTTCAAACTCCCTGGGCTCAGATGATCCTCCTGCCTCAGCCCCCCAAGTAGCTGGGACTACAGGCATGTGCCCCACACCCGGCTAATTTTTGGGTTTCTTTTTCTTATTTTTTGTTTTTGTAGAGAGAGGGTTTCATCATGTTGCCTGGGCTAGCCTAGAACTCCTGGGCTCAAGCGATCTGCCTGCCTTGGTCTCCTTTGCTGATTACAGGCGTGAGCCACCATGCCTGGCAACACAATCTTAAGTGTCACTGAAACTTAATATTTCACTTGTGTTCACTTTAGAAAAAAATATGTAACACACAAGGAAATGATATTAGTTGCATATAAATTGCTTCCCTCCCCCAAATCCCACATACTGGTTACTATGAATTTTGAGTTCTGCTACTAACTACATTACCTTTCCCATGTAACATATCCTCATTGAGTTTCATTTTACTAAGCGTGAATGAAGAGTTTGAAAGCATGCAAAAAAGGATAGCTAACTCTAGAGGAAAAAATGTGCCCAAGTCATGAATTGGCATATCAGAAAAGAAAAAATATAAATGGCCAACAAATATGAAACACATTCAATCTTATTAGTAATTAGAAATATGCAAATTAAAACAATATATCACTCTATTTTCATTAGATTATCAAAAATAAACAAGTCTAACAACACTGTTAGTGATGGCACAAAGTAATCAGATATTTTGAACATCACATTGGAATACAATTTGGTACTATCTAGTAAAATTGACATGTCTGTCTTAGAATCTAGCCATTTTACTTCTAGGTATATATTCTTGAGAATCTCTTGATCTGACACACCAGGGGACACACAGAATATTCATAGCAGCATTGTTCATAATAGCAAAAAATTGGAAACAACCCAAATGTCCATCAACTGGAGAATAGATAAATAGTGACAGCCATGTAACAATGAAAAGTCTGGAGAAGAGAGATGCACAGACAATAGAAATCTGCAAGTCTTCAGCACGTAGATGGTAATTCAGACTTTAAGCCTGAAAGAAATAATCCATGGAGCCCTGTAGCGTGAGAAGAGAAATGGGTGAAGAGTGACAGAGGAAGAGGGGCTGAGATATTCTTCTCAAAAAAGTAGAGTAGAGGAAATAAAGGCACATAAAATCTTTGTTTTAATAATAATCTGATACCAGTTTCCTTTTTCTATTGTAGATTGAATGCTATTTTCTGTGTCTTCCTTAATGTTTTTTTCATTCAACATCTTTTTGTAAAGAGGAAAATTGTTTTGTAATATAGTCACCCTCTTTTTTTTTTTTCTTAATAATATACTGGGCCAGGTGCGGTAGCTCATGCCTGCAATCCTAGCCTTTTGGGCGGCTGAGGCGAGTGGATCACTTGAGGTCAGGAGCTCAAGACCAGCCTGGCCAATATGGTGAAACCCCATCTTTACTAAAAATACAATACTTAGCCAGGTGTGGTGGTGTGCGCCAGTAATCCCAGCTACTTGGGAGGCTGAGGCACAAGAATCACTTGAACCCAGGAGGCAGAGGTTGCAGTGAGCCAAGATGGTGCCACTGCACTCTAGCCTGGGCAACAGAGTGAGATTCTGTCTCAAAAACACAACAAATAAAGAATATACTGGTTTCTGAACTTTAAGGCAAACCAATTTGTGATCATTTGATTTACTCTATATATTTTATTCACTTTACTAGAATATAGTAAATTAAATTCTAGAGCCTTCTTGAAAACAGAGGTTATGCTTCTTGCCCAGTAGTAACTTGAATATATACTCTGGATTCTGATTTACCCACTATATGGTGTTCTTTCCTTGTAGATGCTAAGGCAATTCTTCATTGAATTATTGGATCAAACAGTTGAAGAAAACTAAGGAAACTACTTGAAGAGATTACATTTTATTGACACCAGGGACAGATTACATCACCAAAAAAAAAAAAAAAATTTTATGGCAATATCAGTAGTGCCTTTTAAATTAAATGACAAATTGGAAGTGTTTAACAACATATGGTTGCTTTTCCTTGACATATATGATTAAGAATATATCTCTTTATCAAAATGTAAAATACCATCTGGCAGAAGTAACAATTATTCTATTGGCCTTATACATTAACTTAATTCACTGTACTTTAATATGTAAATATTTTCCTATTTTTTCTTTTTCTTTTGCTGGATCTATATTTATTTATAATACTCAAAAACTATGTAACTCAAAAAACATAATTAAATATGACAAAGCTGATTTTAATTTTTGAACAGAAAACAATGCATTTCTTAAACATTCAGTTTCTTAAACATTTCTTAAAAATTCAAATGGCAACAGCCCTTTTTGATATTCATAATTGTAAATCTGGGTAATCTGAAAATTTACTCTTACAATTTCTTACTAGACATTTAGTCATACTTTGTATATGAAAGGAGCTGTCCTTAGAGCTCTTTATAAATAGGAAGAAATATTTACAGTAAGGTTGATGGATTTTAAGGTTTGTAACATGTATGTAGTAACGCCACTAGTCAGTCCTTCATTTAATAAACTTGCCAGATTCAGTGGATACCAAATGAGCAGGAAGGCTTCTCTTTGACACAACACAACGTACATTACATATTTAATAATGTGAACTCTTGTCATTTTATGATTTTAGAAAACTAAATATTTTAGAAAATTAAATATTTCACAATTCTGTGCACTGAGGTGGTTTCCAAAGCTATCTTGGGTCTAACCCAAACAATAATTGCTTTAAGCATTAGCATGTGGGCTGGGAGCTGTGGCTCACACCTGTAATCCCAGCACTTTGGGAGGCTGAAGTGGGAGGGTCACTTGAGCCCAGAGTTCGAAACCAGCCTGGGCAACATGGCAAAACCCTGTCTCTACTAGAAATATAAAAAAATTAGCTGGCATGGTGGTGCACACCTCTAATTTCTGCTACGTGGTAGGCTGAGGCACGAGAATCGCTTGAACTGGGGAGACAGAGGTTGCAGTGAGTCAAGATCGTGCTACTGCACCCTAGCCTGGGTGACGGTGTGAGACTGTCTCAAGAAAAAAAAAAGCATTGGCATGTAATATTCGTATCAGTTATGTAGCTATATGAATTGCATAAATTTGCTTGTTTTTTTGTTTTTAAGGAATTGATTATTTCAAGAGGAGTTATATCTGGATTTAAAATGTTCCTGATCTTTTAAAGTATTCTTAGCAAGCAAAGTATCTGGACAAGTACCTTCAATATCCAACATTAATTGTAAATATCTACTATGACCAGGCCATGCTCCCCGCTGTTAAGAATTTTAAAGTTTAGATGGTAAGGCAGACAAGTAAATCAAGGATTACAGAGTAGGGCTATAGGGCAGGATTATATGAGAGGGTATTGACTGATCAACACCCTCCAGCAAAATGTGGGAAAGAGTGTGGTGATAGCAGATGGGAGAAAAGACATTCAGAGTGGAGAAACAGTAGGTCTGAAGATTCTAAGGCATATGACAGCATGATTTAATAGCAAATACTTTGGTATGGCTAAAAGAATGGGGGAAAATAACAACTTTGAGGTTTTTTCTTTTAAATCAACTTTATGGAGGCATAAATAATCAACCATAAATGCACCCATTTTTAGTGTACAATTTGGTGAGTTTTGACAAACTATCACCACGATAAAAATATAGAACATTTTTAACAAACCAAAAAGTTCCCTCATGCCCCTGTGCAGTTAATCCTCCCACCTAACTCTACTATGAACCACAAAGACAACAACTGATTTGCTTTCTGTCACTGCCTATTTGACTTGATTTGTTTACAGTCCTTTTAAGGGGTATTGTACAGTATGCACTTTCACATCTTACTTTTCCGCAGCGTGATGTTTTTGAAATTCATCCTTGTTCTTGCATATATTAGTAGTTTCCTTTTTATTGTTAATATTGCATTGTAAAGACATACCAGACGTTATTTATTCACCAGCTGGCAAACATTTAGATTGTGTCCAGTTTAGGGCTTTTATTAGTAAAGTTGCTATGAACTGTTGCGGTCAAGAGTCTTGGTGTGGGCACATGTTTGTATTTATTTTTGGTAAATATAAAGTGGGACTGCTAGGTCAAATGATAATTGCATTTTTATTTTTTAAATATCAGGACAATTTCTAAAGTGGTTGTGCTATTTTAGTGACTATTTAGATCGTACTTTTTTTCATCCTTTTACTTTCAACCTGTGTCACTGAATCTAAAGTGTAACTCTGTGGATAGATATAGCTAGATATTTTTTTTTAAGTGTATTCTGTCAATCTCTACCTTTTAATTGGAGTTTTTATTCCATTTATATTTAATATACTGACTGATGTGAATCCTGAAAGAGCTAATCTTTCAAGATGGATCCTGAGTGGCTAACTGGTCCTAAATTCAAAATGGAGCCAAGCAGCCATTTGCTGACTGGAGGTCACACATGTACTCTGTATTCTGAAGAGAACCAACAAGCTTATGAGACTTTGGGTCATTCATGGCTGTCTGTTCCTGTTTACACTGCCTCAATCAACAACTGCTAGAAAGTCTCTTTTCACCACCTGGACCTAACTGATACACTGTGACCTGCATCAACCAATCAAAACTAAACAAGCTTTTATTCCTCATTTGCATAGCAAAGCAGAGGGGGAACCTGGGTGCGAACTTTCTCTAAAGAAGACAATCCTTTTTGTTTTCTTGAATAACACCTTTGTTTGGTACAAAAGACTACAAACTATTCACTGGAATAAAGTCTCTCTTTTTTTTTTTTTTTTGTGACAGGGTCTCACTGTGTCACCAAGGCTGGAGTGTAGTGGCATGATCGGGGCTCACTTCGGACTTGATTTCCTGGACTCAAGCGATCCTCCTACCTCAGCTGCCTAAGCAGTTGGGACTACAGGCATGTGCCACCACACCTGGCTAATTTTTTGTATTTTTTAGTGGAGATGGGGTTTTAGAATGTTGCCCAGGCTCGTCTCAAACTCCTGTACTCAAGCAATCTTCCAGCCTTGGCCTCTCAAAGTGCTGTGATTACAGGTGTGAGCCACTGCGCCCAGCCTCTTTCCTTTTTAAGGAAAATCCTTTGGATTGTTGACATCGACAAGGTAGAATTTACATTTGTCATTTTGCGATGTTTTCTTTATGTCCTGTGTCTTTTTTATTCCTCTATTTCTTAATTCCTGCTGCCTTTTGTTGTGTTAAATATATATTTTCAAGTATGCCATTTTAATTTCCTTGTCCTTTATTCATATATTTTAAAAGTATTTTCTTAGCAGTTGCTCTGGGGATTATAATTAACAAGTTATAACAATCTAGTTTGGATTAATAACAACTTTATTTCAATAGTACACAAAGACTTGCTACTATATGGCTTCGTTCCTCCATTATTCTTTCCCTCCTTCCTCTCCCTTCTGTTACTGTCATATTAATATCTTACAATAAGCCCATACAGACTTATAATTATTGCTTCACGCAATTGTCTTTTAAATAAAATAGAAAAATGAGTCACAAATAAAAAATTATACTTTTATATTTACTTATGTAGTTAGTTTTACAAGTGTTCTTTATTCCTTCATGTGGATTTGAATTACTGTCTAGTGTCAATTTAATTCTGAAGGACTCCCTTTAGTATTTCTTGCAAGGAAAATGTCCTAGTGACAAATTCTATCTTTGTATATACATACATTTTGGGAAAGTATTAATACCGCCTTCATTTTTGAAGGATAGTTTTGCTGGAGGTAAAATTCTTACTTGATGATCTTTTTCTTTCAGCATGTTGAGTATGTCATCCCCTGCCTTTTGGCTTTCATGGCATCAACTGTAAATCTTATGGAGGATTATGTGATGAGTGGCTTCTCTCTTTGTGGCTTTTCTTCTTGAAAGTGGCCACTTTCAAGAGTCTCTCTTTGCCCTTGACTTTTAATCGGTTAATTACAATGTGTTGAGGTGTGGATTTGTTTATGTCACTTGGCATTTGTTAAGCTTCTTGGATGTGTCGATAAATATTTCTCATTAAATTTAGGAAGTTTTTGGCCATTCTTTTATTCAAGTATTATGCCTGCCCTTTTCTTTTTCTCCTCTCCTTCTGAAACTCCCATTACGCGCACGTTGGTGTGCTTGATTGTGTCCCACAGGACTTTGAGGCCTGTTGATGTTTCTTCTTTCTCTTTTCAATCTGTTGCCCAGACTAGATCATCTCAACTGACCTATATTGAAGTTTGCTGATTTTTTTTTTCTCCCTGCTCAAATCTGGGGTTGAGCCCCTCTAGTAAACTTTTCACTTTATTATACCTTTTTGTTATTTTATTTTTTTTTAAAAATTTAAAATTTGTCTCCGTCATGGCATATTATACTTTTTAACTCCAGAATTATTTGGGTTTTAAAAAATGATTTGTCTTTATCATCTATTTGATGAAACATCTCATACTTTCCTCTAGTTCTTTAGACATGGTTTCCTTTAGCTTTGTAACATATTGAAAATATCTGATTTAAAGCCTTTTTATCTAGTAAGTCCAGCATGTAGGCTTCCTCGGGTGAGTTTCTATTGATTAATTTTTATCCTGTGTATGAGCCATACATTCTTGTTTCTTTGCATGTATCTTAACTATTTTGAAAACTGAACATTTTAAATAATATAATGTGCAACACTGGAAATCAGATTCTACCCGCTCCCCAAGCTTCACTGTTATTTCTGTTTGTTGTAGCAGTTGTTGATTTAGTGACTTTTCTGAACTCATTCTTTTTTTTTTTTTTTAGAGATAGGGTCTGAGTTGGTGACTCAAGGGATCCTCTGGCCTTAGTTTACCGAGTAGCTGGGACTACACGTGTGCCACCGCACCTAGCTTATGAATGAATTCTTTAAAGTCTGCATTGTTTATTGTGTGTGACCACTCAGGTTTCTGCTCAGTTAGCTTAGTGGTCAACTAATGATTAGAGAGACAGGTTTTCTTAAACACCTTCAACCAAAAAATCTCCCAGTCTTTCCTGAGGGGTTTAGTACTTACGTTGGGACAAGCCTTCAACAATCAGCCAAGCACTTTACATTAGGTTGGTACCAAAGTAATTTCGTTGAAATGACAAAACCGCAATTTTTTGCACCAACCAACCAAATAATTCTGCCTTAGCCTTCACTTCTTGCTTCTGTAGTGCCTCAAGGTCACCCAGAGGTTAGAGCTCAGGGCCTTCTCAGGCCTATCTTGAGTGTTCACATAACCCTAGACATATGCACACCCTAAGCACCTTCTACAGTCTCAGGAATATGTTAGCGTTTTTCAAAGCCCTATGGACATCTTATTCCCCAGCTAAATACTTTAGTATGGCTGGAGCAAAAGGTGCTCCAAACAAAGTTTAAGGGTTTTTTTTTTTTTTGACCTTTATAATGAATGTTATGGGGAGCCACTAGTGGAATTTTAAATAAAGAAGGAGCATGACTACATATAGCACAAAAATTTTTACCAGTGAGGTGGAGAATGGATTAAAAGGAATCAGACCGAAGGCGGAAAGATCAAAGAGCATTCTAAAAAAGTAGCCTGGGGAACATGGTGAAATCCTGTCTCTACTAAAAAAATAAAATAAATAAAAACATAAATAAAAATTAACTGGGCATGGTGGCAAGCGCCTGTAGCCCTAGCTACCTAGGAGGCTGAAGTGGGAGGGTTGCCTGAGCCCGGGGACGGGATGTTGCAGTGAGCCCAGATGGCGCCACTGCACTCCAGCCTGCGTGACAAAGCAAGACCCTAACTCAAAAATGCATTAATAAATAAATACATATAAAATAAAATAAAATAAAAAAGAAGTGAGGAAGGTCTGAGTTAAGGCCAAAGTGGGGAGTATTTAGAAGGGGAAGTGGTGGATTGGAAAAGCTGTTATGGAGATTACACATTTCATGGTTTCTACAGTGGGGAGAGATGAAAAAGAGGCAAGTGTTCATACTCTTAAGTTTCTGATTAGGAAAATTATTTGGAGGACGGGGCTACTCACCCCCTCCTCCCATAAAAAATGAATAGAGAGGCATAGGTTTGGGGGGGAAGCATAAAGATGTGGATCCAAATATTACCTATGAGTAAAATAATCTTTGTGTTTTTAAAGGTATTAATATCTTAAAGCAATTGTGCTACTCAAATCACAGTTTGGATCCAGGCGCTGTAATCTTTCCTCACCCTCTGTCCAGTAGATTCATCACCATTCTCGATTTAGGAATGCTTTAAAGATGCTTGTTATTTGGAACATATTTGAGAAAGTGACAGGAACGTGGCAAACAAGCTGCCTTAAACAGAGACTGTACCTAGACCTAGAGTGTAATATCAACTTGTCAAGTATATCTTCTGCAACTTTGCTTTTTGAAAGCCTAGCACAAAGTAGATCATGAGTAAAATGTGATTGCCGATAATTACATGGAGAAATGTGAATAAATGACTCTTTAAACCCTGTAAACTAAACTCGGCTTAAAATAGGTGGTTTGAACATTTGGGAAACCTTAGTTTTCCCTGAAATCCAATCCTTGCAAAGCAATAATGACAAGAGGTGGATAAAGCGGACTTACAGAAAAGGGCGTCTTACCGGTCCCCTCTAATCACACCATCCCCCCTCTTTTAAAAAAATTTTCTTCTCAGATAACCAAGTTAAATCTAGCTCAAATGAACCTTTTAGTTTTTGAGGAGGGCAATAATAGTAGTGAACACCAAAACGAAAGGGGATCTGGGCTTCAAAATACTAACAGTTCTATTTCCTAGCCAGTCGTCTCCCGGGCTGGATGTGCCGCCGTCCCAGATCTCAGCGGCGGCCGCAGAGCGCAGAGGTAGGGAGAGAAAAAGGAGGCGTCGGCGGGGCGCGAGCGACCAGGGCGCTAAGTGCCGCCTCACAGTCCTGCCAGAGACAGGAGACGCCGGGCCGCCCGCGCCGTCTGTCCCAAGAGCTCCTCCTGGACATCCGCTTGACTCTCCGTCGTCTCCAATTGGCCGTCGGGGAACGGAAGCCGAAGCAAACTAGTGAACCCGGAAGTGCTTCGCGGCGGAGGCCCGGGCAACTCTTTTGAATGGAATCGGGCTGATTCATCGCCGGTTTGCAGACAGAGCCGCGTCGGGTGTGCGCCGCTGCTGCTGTTGCCTCTGTCTTCGCGTCACCACAGAGGCAAGACAAGGGTCCATATCGCGGCATCCGGCTCCCGCCCGTCTTCAGGTAAGACCCAGAAGGCAGGCCTGGGAGGTCTGGGGAGGCAGCCGTGCTAGGCCGCCGCCAGCCCCGTGCTTTCCTGAGTCACGTTGCCCAGCTGAGTTGCCACAGGAGGCCTGGGCCGCGAGGGAGGAGCCCGGCCTCCTTCATTCTCTTCGCCTGCTCTCAGGGCTCTCTGGCAGGGTCAGGTCTGGATGTCGCCTCCTTTCTCCATTCTTTTCTGTTTGGCCGAATTCACATCATGGGAACCTCTTCCATCTATATAGAGAGAATCCTTGTTTATGGCCTGTTTGTCTGTGCTCTATCCATAGTTGTTAACCGGTCTGCTTTGAAGTTTTTCAAAGCAGACCGGGAAAACAAGGGAGAGAGAGTAGAATTAACTTTCCCATTGAATACGTTTGTTTTATCTCTTGTCCTTCCTGTAAGCCTTAACCCTTTTTCTGTTAGTGTTAGGTTTTCAGCTCCCTCCAAAAAGTAAACAAAAGTCCTGCAGATACACTGCTTTTGGACCTTGAATATCTTAAAAACAAAGTGTGCTACTATGGCTGTTAACTTACTTTCAATATCATACTAATTGAGTAATTGTTGGTAAATTGATTACATTTCTCGTTTTAAGTAAAGTAGAAATCTGCTACCGTATGTTACATCTTGCAACTTAATTTTCCTGGGGATGTAGCTCTGTGTCTGTCAAAAGAAAAAGAATGTAAACTTTTGAGTCTATAAACCTAGTGACTGAAGGAAAAATTCTCGAGAAAATAAATGGTAATATAAGTTGATAAAATATTATGGAAAGGCAGGGGAAAGGGTTTAAAAATGAGCATAAAATAGAGTTATAGTGTGAAAGTGATTTTGTTCCACTGGTCACAAGTGTTTTTTTAGTGCTTCTGACTTAATGTGTTTGAGAAAAGCAGCAAGACATGCACTGATACTGTAGAAATAACAAAAACATGAACACAGTTTTAGTGGAGATGATTAATATAATGGTGGCCTTCCTGTCACGTAAGGCTACCTACCAGCTGACTCATTTGAAGTTTAGAGGTTAAGATATATAGTGGTTCTGAATTAACTACAGTTAAGGTGTGTTTAGTGAAGTGCTATTTAGTGAAAAAGGCTAAATGTTGTCTTGAATTTGTCCCTAAATCTTGCCAAGGGAAGAAAGTTTTCAAGTGATGATCTTTTATTGATGCTTCACCTGTTGACTTTGGGAGTTTTTGGTTTTTTGTTTTTTTTTCAGCCTAAAGTGCTTGGTAAATAATACATTGCCATTTTAATTTAGGCCGGGTGCGGTGGCTCACACCTGTAATCCCAGCACTTTGGGAGGCTGAGGTGGGCAGATCATGAGATGATCCAGCCTGGCCAAGACTAGCCTGGCTAACATAGTGAAAACCCGTCTCTACTAAAAGTATAAAAAAATCAGCCGGGCATGGTGGCACGTGCCTGTATTCCCAGCTACCTCAGGAGGCTGGAGGTGGAACCTGGGAGGTGGAGGTTGCAGTGAGCCAAGATCGCGCAACTGCACTCCAGCTTGGGCAACAGAGTGAGACTTTGTCTCAAAAAAAAGAGAAAAAGCTGAATTTTAATCTGTTTGACATGGGTTCATCTTATTTTCATACTGGCCATGTAAACCATGTGCTTGTTAATATATAGTTTGTGAACCATATGTATGAAAGTCAATAAATATTATTGCTGTTGTTATTGTTATTATCTTAGAAGTGGAAGAGATTAATCTAGTCCTCTTATTTCAGTAACAAGAAGCAACTGTGCTTTTTTAATTTTCAATTTTGTAGTAACGTTCATTTAATAATTCAGTGTCCACCTGTGAAAGCCTTGCCTGAATATCCATGTGATTTCTTGCTCAGGAACTTGTCATATTCCCTGTTTGTTGCAGTCATTTTGACATTTCGTATTCTGCTTTGTGTGTGATACTTTGGTGACCTTATTTGTGAAATGGGAGAACTTGATTAAATAATCTCTTCTAGTTCTAAAATGATAATAATAACAATTATAACAAGAATAGCAACGACAACATTTATTGAGTACCTTGGATGTTCCAGGCACTATAAATTGCTTTGGACGTATTTTTACAACAGACTTGCAAAGTAGATGTTATCCCCACTTTATAAATGAGGTCTAGAGTCTAGAAGAGGGTAAAAATTAGTGTCATATAGTGAGTAGGTGGTGACGCCGGATTCAAATTGAGGTCAACTGGTTCAAGAGCCTTTTTCACTCTACACTGCTGTCCTTTCCCTTTACATATTTTTTATGGGTTTGTGTCAAGCTGCTTCTACCCACCTGCCCCGATAGATTATAAATTCTCTCAGTGCATGCCACTAAATTTCTTGAGTCAGCCCTCCATATCTTTGGGTTCCGCATCTGTAGATTCAACCAACTACAAATTGAAAATATTTGGAAAAAAGTTGCATCTAGGCCAGGCGTGGTGGCTCACGCCTGTAATCCCAGCACTTTGGGAGGCTGAGGCTCAGGATCACCTGAGGTCAGGAGTTCCAGTCTGGCCAACATGGCGAAACCCCTTCTCTACTAAAAATACAAAAATACAAAAATTAGCCGGGCATGGGGGCGTGTGCCTGTAATCCCAGCTACTGGACAGGCTGAGGAAGGAGAATCGTTTGAACCTTGGAGGCAGAGGTTTCAGTGAGCTGAGATTGCGACACTACACTCCAGCCTGGGCAACAGAGCGAGACTCTGTCTCAAAAAAGGAAAAAAAAAATTGCATCTATATTGAACATGTATAGACATTTTTTTTCATTATTCCCTAAGCAATATAGTATAACTATTTGTATTGTATTTAATTGTATTAGTTATTATGAGTAATCTAAAAATGATTTTAAAGTATATAGGAGGATGTGCATAGGTTATATGCAAATAGGGTACTATGCCATTTTATATGAGAGACTTGTGTATCCATGATTTTGGTATCCTGGAACCAATTCCCCACAGATACAGATGGATGCTGAAATTAGGAGACTCCATAATAGATTATTATGATGAGTCTGTTCTCACTCTTCCTTTTTTTTTTTTTTTTTTTTTTTTGAGATGAAACCTTGCTCTGTTGCCCAGGCTGGAGTGCAGTGGCGTGATCTTGGCTCACTGCAGCCTCCACCTCCCAGGCTGCCTCAGCCTGCCTAGCTGGGATTACAGGTGCCTGCCATCACGCCCGGCTAGTTTTTATATTTTTAGTAGAGACCAGGTTTCGCCATGTTGGCCAGGCTGGTCTCAAACTCCTGACCTCAGGTGATCCAACCGCCTCGGCCTCCCAAAGAGCTGGGATTACAGGTGTGAGCCACCGTGCCCAGCCACCATTCTCACTCTTCTAAGTTGCGGAAATCTTGCTTTCAAAATCCTATTTATATAATTAAATTTAATGTTGACTCACTCACGATCTTCCACTGGAAAAAAGTCCTTAAGAAAGTGAGAATATGAAGTTTTAACTACTTTGCACAAATAAGAAAACAGAGGAATTAGAAATACAGTAAGATAACAAATACGGAGTAGCTTGAAAAGGATTGAGCATCAGTCTGAAAAGTAATTTTTTTTTTTTTTTTGAGATGGAGTATCGTTCTGTCACCCAGGCTGGAGTGCGGTGGCGCGATCTCGGCTCACTGTAACTTCCACCTTCTGGGTTCAAGTGATTCTCCTGCCTCAGCCTCCTGAGTAGCTGGGATTATAAGCACCCGTCACCACGCCCAGCTAATTTTTGTGTTTTCAGTAGAGACGGGGTTTTGCCATGTTGGCCAGGCTGGTCTTGAACCCCTGACCTCAAGTGATCTGCCCCCCTCGGCCTCCCAGAGTGCTGGGATTACAGGCATGAGCCACTGCACCTGGCCAAAAATTGATTTATTTTAAATCCAGCATGGACATGATCTAGCAATATCAGGTTCTAATCAGACATAAAGTGAGAAAGAAAAAGTGGAAAGTAATCAACTTTTGAAAGTACTGATACCTTTTTTGTACTATTTTTACCAGTTAGGATTCTAAATATTATTGTATGTATGACATTATGTTAGGTATAAACACTTTATTCATATTGTCTGATAATATTTTCCATAAAGTTAATTATATCATGAATGAGCTTTTGAGTCTTCTACTTTTTGATAGCTGTAAAAACTTGGTTTAGATCCATCGACCTTTTTATTGCTTTTATTTCTAAGAATTGAAAGTGTTCCCTTTTATGTTAAGTATAACACATTCACTTTGTGAGTCTTTCTGCTAAATTCTGCGAAATGCAAGTCCCTATCTCCAGTGTGATTTAGTAATGTGAAATATGCCCAGCATTTTGAAACCCAGTAAGTGGCAAACTATGTGAGGAAGAAGGATCTGTGTTGGTAGCCATGCTCAGGATGGGGTTGCCAATGACAGTAGCTAGTGTTTATTATATGCTTACTATATGATAAGCATTGTGTTAAATGTTTTTTTTTGTGTCCATTGTTTTTGTTAATCTAAACGGCTCTGTGAGATAGATCTCCATTTTGCAGATGAGGAAACTGAGGAGGAGAGAGGTAATTTACTCAAGGACAGGGAACTTGTAAGTGTCAGAGCCAGTATTTGAATCTGGCACTCTGACTGTAGAGTCATAGTACTTGACTCTCATGTACCAGGCAAAATAGTCATTAGTCATCGCCATTTACCATCTAGGTCCAGTAGACCATAAAAGGATAGTGAAAAAACAACTGTATTAGAAATGTTAGTAAAGCTTAAACATAGCAAATACAAATTTTTATTTTAATTAATTAATTAATTTATTTATTTTTGAGATGGAGTCTTGCTGTGTCGCCCAGGCTGGAGTGCAGTGGTACCACCTTGGCTCACTGCAACCTCCACCTCCTGGGTTCAAGTGGTCCTCCTACCTCAGCCTCCCCAGTAGCTGGGATTACAGGCGTATGCCACTATGTCTGGCTAATTTTTGTATTTTTAGTAGAGACAGGGTTTTGCCATGTTGGCCAGGCTGGTCTCGAGCTTCTGACCTCAAGTGATCTGCCTGCGTTGGCCTCCCAAATTGCTGGGATTACAGGCATGAGCCACCACGCCCAGCCTAAATACAAGTGTTTATTCTGTATTTTCTTGGTTTTGAAGGTACATATATCTTCATATATCATCCTTTGAATGGGCATCATGGTTTGAATGAACTGCTCATCAGCCATCATGCATGAACCTAGAACATACTTGTCTTGTGTAGATCAGTTCTGTATTTCAAATACATTTCTAGTAGGCGCTAGCTGATTACTTCTGGTTCTTGTATTTGTCATCCTGTGTGTGTGTGTATGTGAAAATATGCATCACATAAAATTTACTATTCTAACTTTCTGGTGTACAGTTTAGTGGCATTAAGTATATTCACAGTGTTATGTAACTGTCACCACCATCCATATCCAGAATTTTTTCATCCTCCCAATTGCAATATTTTTGAAAACATTGAGAGCTCATAATTTTGTTGAAGATAGGATGGCCATCTTTCCTTCATAATTGCAAAACATTTATATTTTTAGATTTATAGGCACCATTTAGAATTAGTCCAATGATTTTTAAAATTTCTACATTATCCATTTCCTTTTATTCACATTTGTGTACACTTTAGCATTTTTCCATGTGTGAACTGCATCAACATCATAAAACATCAAAAAATACGTGACACATCTCTTTAGAAAACAGGTTATTGCAAAATTTTGTGTGAAGTCCTTTCTTGTTGAATAAGTAACTGAGTAAGAATGTCACTTTTTTGGTTTTAGAAATATATTGTTCACTCATTGACACTTTAAAAAATAATCTATTAAGGGGAAATTCACATAATATAAAACTAACCATTTTAAAGTGAACAGTTTAGTATCATTTTGTCCATTCGCAGTGTGCCATTACCACCTCAGTTTAGTTCCAGAACATTTCTGTCATTCCAAGGTAAAAAAATATCTTAGCAATTTAGCACTTTCTCCATTTTCCTCCCTTCCCCACCCACTGATAACCACCAGTCTGCATTCTGTCTCTATGGATTTATTGGATATTTCATATACATGGAATCACATAACATGTGAGCTTTTGTGCCTGGCTTCTTTTACATAGTGTGATGTTTTGAGGTTCAGCTAACTTGTAACATGTACCAGTAAGTAGTACTTCATTCCTTTTTATAGCTGAACAGTATTTCATATTACAATATTCCTATATGTGTTTATAGTAGAATTTGTTTATCCATTCATTTTTTGGTGGACATTTGGACTGTTTCCACCTTTTGGCTATTGTGAATAGTGATGGTGTAAACATGCATGTACATGAACTTATTTTGAGTATTTGTTTTCAGTTTTATGGGGCATATACCAATGAGTGGAGTTGCTGGATCGAGTGGTAATTCTATGTTTAACTTTTTGAGGAACTGCCAAACTGTTCCCAGCACTCATTGGTTCTTAAGTTTGAGAAAATTAATCTAGGGTATTATCATCTCAAGATACATAGTCTGAAATTTTGTTTATATCAGTGGTTCTCAATTGAGAGTGATTTTTGAGACAATCAAGAATGGCTTCAAACATTTATCCCCCGGGGACGTTTGGTAAAGCTTGGAGACATTTTTGATTGTCACAGCTGGATAGGTGCTGCTGTTGTCTAGTGGAGCTAGGGATGATGTTAAACATCCTATGATGCGCAAGACAGCCCCACGAACAACAAAAAATTATCTGGTCCTGAATATCAGTAGTACTGAAGTTAGTAAATCCTGGCTAATTTTATTGTCATCATTAGAGACTAGAGTGCTATAATCTGTCTCCTTCCCATTCATCTTTGATTTTGTAGTAATGTGAAACATTTTCTTTGTTGCTTTTTTTCCTTTTGCCATTATTAAAATGAAAAATTCTGATTTCTTAACTGTGCTAAATGAAAACTGAAAAAAAGACTACAGAGATGAAGTCTCTAGTGTTCTATATCTTTTTGAAAGATGGGTCAGTGCTTTCTACAACACAATAAAAATGGAAGGATGATGTAATAACTATAATTTTTTTCACTATTGCATTATTTTCCATATTCTTGTCATTTTAGTGTTTTTGGAATAGTTGATTAAGAAATGATGGACTACTAATGCCTCCTAGTATGATAAAATAGCAAATTTTCAGGGTATAAGAAAAATAACCACTAATATTCCATACTATTTGATAGATTTGTAATAATGTACAATTAACCTACACAGTAATGACATGATAGAATGAATTGTCTTATTTAAAAATATAAGTAAATTTTTATTTTATTCTTTTTTTTTTTTTTTTTTTGAGACCGAGTTTCACTCTTGTTGCCCAGGCTGGAGTGCAATGGCGCGTTCTCGGCTCATTGCAATCCACCTCTGGGGTTCAAGCGATTCTCCTGCCTCAGCCACCTGAGTAGCTGGGATTACAGGTGCCTGCCACCACGCCTGGCTAATTTTTTTGTATTTTTAGTAGACACAGTGTTTCACCATGTTAGCCAGGCTGGTCTCCAACTCCTGACCTCAGGTGATCCGCCCGCGTTGGCCTCCCAAAGTGCTGGGATTACAGGCGTGAGCCACTGCGCCCAGCCTGTTTTGTTCTTGGAAAGATGTCTGGAAAGACTAAAAGTTTTGAAATGTCTGTCTTCAAAGTTAGTGTTCATGAGAGAAACATACAGATAAAATTTGGATACAGGGTTAATCACTGTGCTCTGTAGCTCCCTGTAAGGGAGATCATTCTATACTCTCAGAAAAAGATTATTAAAAAACAGTTTTGATTTCTACTTCATTTTTATGAATTTTGATTCTTTTAAAGATTTTGGTATAAAGTTTTCCTCCTTAAATTATCAAAATAATTATATTTTATTTTGTTTACTTTTTTTAGGAGAGAAAGAAAAAATAAAATATACTTGGGGAAGTTGTACCTGCCAGAATTAGCAAGAGCTTTCTTTAAGAAGACATTTGTCAAACTCAACAAATTGAAGGTTAACACCTTAAGAGTTGTAGTTACTGACCAGGTAAGGTTTAAAAATGTATTTTACTTTTAATTATTATTTTACGGATGGATAGAGAGATAGTATGAAAATGTATTATTTTTAACAGATGTCAAATTATGAATGTGATTGATAACCAGATTTTGAAAAGTGGTGTGATTTAGAATATGTATCAATATACTTCATTACCAAATGTTAGTATTTTTATTAAACCTGGTTATCTCAGCTTAAAGTTTTAATTTGTTAAATATGTTTCCTCTTTGCTGTGATATCTAATTTTGCTACAGAAACAAATTTGACCTGCCAGATTTTCTTTCTCTCTGCTTCTTGCATCACTCATATATATTCACAGCATCTGGAGTCTGTGTAAAGTCATCAGAAACAACACAGAGGGATAGATAAACTGAACACAGCTGGGAATCAGTTTTGGCCTAGAATATATATATTCTAATGTATACTGTATGTTGTTTGTTTTTTCTGTTGGTTCTTTAAGTTTGTAAGGTTGAAATGGTCCAAAAGAAATTTTTTTCTTCTTTGGTAATATATTCTAGAGAATTGCTTTAATATTATAAAATATACAGGATTCCCCCCGCCCCGTTTTTAGCCTTTAAAAAGTGCTGTGTGTTGAATGCCATATTTGATTTGAGGAATTTCAATGAGTATTTGATGGAGATTTTATTTGTAAATGTTGCTATTAGGAGGATGAGTTAAGATCGTGAAGTGGAAATTTTGTCTGTATTACCACGTTTTCTTATATGCCTTTTCATTTTAAAAAAGGAATTTTTAAAATTGTGAGTCTTATAAACATGTTACATGAAACAAGCCAGATACGAAAAATATATGATTCCGTTTATGTAAAATTCAAAAGCAGCCAAACTAATCTGTGCTGTTGAAAGTTGAATTTTACCTTTGCAGGGTGGAATAGACTGGAAGCGGGGCTTGGGTGGCGTTTCTGAGGTGCCAATAATGTTCTGTTTCTTGAACTAGGTGATGGTTACATGGATGTGTTCACTTTTGAAGATTCCATGGCCATATCGTTTGTTTTCTTTTCTGTATGTGCACTTGAGTGAAGTTCTTTTCTGTATGTGGACTTGAATAAAGTTTGCGATATTAACATTGTTAAATTGTTACCAGGATTCAACAAAGGTGATTGGTGGGGGATAATATATAAGTACATTATTGAGTTTTAGTTTATATAGCAATTTGAACTCGTAAAACAACATGGACGAAGGATGAAATGAATCTTAGCATTTAATTTAGAATATAATTTGTAATAATACCATTTTCTTAAGCATACACTTAGGAAGAAGAGGAATTTCATTTAGGACATAGCGATTTTCAAGTAGAAAAAATTGCTTTGTTGTCATTTTTAAATTACTTAGTTGTACTGTTATTAACTTTTAAAATTTGATTACTTCTTTTTGTTATTTAAGGCCATATAAGTACACTTGATATTTCTTAACTTCTTCTGTGAGGTTTTCAAGCTTGTAAGAGTATCTTCTGTAGTTACTCTAAACGTTAAAACTAAATCAGATTGATATAGTAAATCCACTTTGTATTGGTTAACTCTGAAGTTATAATTGAGAAGCACAGTTGAATTTCCTTAGTGAAAAAGGTGTATATATCTCTACAACATCTGAAACAACACAAAATATCTGTGTAGGTTCTAGAACACTATCTTAATATGTTTAATGTTTATGCTATAGTATTTCTTTTAGTATAATGAGTTCAGTTTTTAAAAGCCTTTGATGCTAATTCAGAGATCCATAATCTGCTCACAATGTCTTTCACATGTAGTTTTGATGGTAACTGACAAGCTGTAAGTTAATTAGCACAGAACTTACTAATGAGGATGTTAAAATTTAATTTAAAAGTGAGGATTTTTATTTGTACACTCTGGACCAATTGAAGGAAATTCAATCATACATATGATAAGCATTTCAGGCACTTTTTCTACATTCAGGTACTTTATTAGATAACAATAAGAAAATATAATTAACTTAATGATAGCAAAGTTTTGAAAGTATGCTAAGATTGCTTGTCTTTAAAACTGGGGATAACCCAAAACCAAAGCAGTAAAATAAGGTCTGTTAATTAGCATGGAAGACAGCTTCTTGAATTAATATGTGGTGTTAATTAACAGGAAGTCTGATGTTGTGTTGTAATTACCACCAATATTTTTGACATACTGAGTGACTGAAGGTGAATTATATAGATAGCAATTGAATAAACATTTTTGTGCTTAGGAACGTTTTTTCTTTGTTTCTGTTTTCTAGAAATATGGACAGACTTCTTAGACTTGGAGGAGGTATGCCTGGACTGGGCCAGGTTAGTATATAGTCTCTTGAGCATTTCCTTGTGTGTAAACTACAAGCCTTTTTGTAGTTAGCCAAAGAGAAAGAAATTATCCCCAAGAAAATCACCTAACAGATAACTCTATGGTAAGAATCTTACCTTATTGATGTTTGTTATCTTGCAACACTAGATAACATGTGGAAAACATTTATTGTCTTAGTTTACTTTTCTCCTGGGAATAAGAATTTTCTGTTATTTGCTTTGTTTAAAATTTTGAGATATGTAGGATTATCAAAGTTGGCTTTTAGGAAAAAAAAACCCTCAAAATAGCTTACTTCCTGAATTTACAGTGTAAACTTTAGATGTAACACAAGAAAAAGTAAGCATGTCATCCTGCTTGCCAGATCCAGAAAACTGACCCATAGAATGTTTATATGTACAGTCTTAACACTGGTAAATTTCTGCTAGTAATTATGATATATAGATGGATTAATAAGTAATCTCTCTCCTTTAAATTTGGTATAAATGGTTTCTTTTATAATCTTTTTAAAAAATAAATAAGCTTTCAGTTGTTTTAATATTGTTTATCTTGTTCCATTTGCTGTTGGGCAAATGACCTCTAGATTTCTGCCTCAGGATAGTCTATCTGCTTTCAGATCAAGAATTTGTGCCTCTTGTGAGTTCGACACTTTCGATCTGTGCAGTCATACATTGAGTTAATACTAATTAACAAAAGAAATGACTATGTGTATTTCTCTTCCTAAGACTTTTATATATGCAATGTATTGTTTTATGACCAAATATTAGAAATATTTTTATAGTCCCTTTTAAAATCTCTTTAGTTTCCAGCTTTCCCACATTTCCTTACTGCTATCAGTGACTTCATCTTTCTTCAAAGTAATCTGTGTTTACTATAAGAAGCAGTTTTTGTTTCAGACTTCATGAAATTTTCAGTGTTTTAGAAGAACTTTCATAAGAACTGTTTGATTAGGTCTATCATGGTTTATGACTTTTATAAAGTTGAAATCTTTTTGTGATTCTGTATTGCATTCTTGGATGGATTTCAGTTGTTTTTCGTTTACTTTTGTTAGTTTTGATGATTTCTCATGTTTCTTTGTTGTCAGCCTATTTCTTCATGATTCTTCATTTTTATAACACCTGTATAACTCATTCTCTCAAGAGGCCTAAGCCTCTTTGAACTTGATCCTGAACCTGTTTCCATTCTTTTGTAAACATTCTAGAGAGCTTCTAGAATTTCTCTAATTTATTCTGAAATTAGTAGTAATAGTGTTCAGGCATGTGAAAATGTGAGAAGTGAGCAGAGGTGGTATGTAGATAGTGCAGATTTACCTGCAAATTATAGGTGAAGATGTTGCCTTAGAATTCTTAAGGAAAGTTGTATCAAATTTAAATATAAAAATAACTTTCCTTAAGCATAGATACAATAAATTACCCATCTTGGAAATCCATGCTGGAAAACCCCTGGACATGAAATAATGGTTTTACTGACCACAAATTGAGCTACATTATATGTCAATGGCGACTTCAAAGCTTTATATCAAGTGAAAAACTTAATGTTTTTTCAGTAACCTTATTGGTTTCTGATTAATCAGCCATTGTGTCCTTAGTTTGTACTCTTTTTTGAAGTTAAAAATCTGCTTAAGAATCATTTCATCTCAATTAGATGATAAACTCTAATTTGTGGAACTCTTATTTTTATGGTATCTCCCTTATCCTATACTAGGTGTAATTTTCTTTTTCTCTAAAATTTTATTTTATCTTGTTATAGGAATAATTTGACAAATACTTATGATGTTACTTTTGTAACATGAAACGTTAAGTGTATTTTTTTGCCTAATAAGAATGTTGTTTATTATTTATTTATTTATTATAATTTTTTTTTGAGATGGAGTCTCACTCTGTCGCCCAGGCTGGAATGCAATGGCATGATCTCGGTTCACTGTACCCTCTGCCTCCTGGGTTCAAGTGATTCTTCTGCCTCAGCCTCCCAAGTAGCTGGGATTACAGGCGTTCACCACCACGCCCAGCCGATTTTTGAATTTATAGTAGAGACTATGTTTCACCATGTTGGCCATGCTGGTCTTGAACTCCTGACCTCAAGTGATCCACCTGCCTCGGCCTCCCAAAGTGCTGGGATTACAGGCGTGAGCCACTGTGCCCAGACTATTATTTATTTTTAATAAGAAGTCAAAGATCTTTGGATTGATAATAGCTATCTTTTCATTAGATAAGGCATAGGCACCAATAGTAGTAAAAAAGGAGACACAAATTGGCCCTTCTCTCCAAAAATCAGTGGGAAATGTTATCTTACCATTTAATGGAAAAGGCAGAATTCCCTCCCAAATAGGAGCAGGTCACTTGCTGGTAAGTTTGTAGATGGCCCTCTTAAAATGTGGCAGTAGACAGGAGCAGAACAGGTAAAGGCCTCATATGATTGAGAGTTCCTTAAGGTTATTTTATTTCCTTGATTGAAGAACAAGAACCATGGACATTTTATGAGTGAATAGGCCACCTTAAATCATGATCTATACGAATAACCCAATTTTGATGAACGAAATGTCCAAGACATATTTTTTTTTATATCAGTGTCCAAACAGTTGCTACTTTACTGGCTTGAAGACATTTTGTTTCACTCCCAATTGACACAAACCTGGCGGTTACTGTCAGACTCTGCAAGTTAAAGGCTCACTTCTCCACAGAACTACCCTTACTTCAGATGCCAGCTATACTTCATGTGTCCCCAAGCCATCCACACTTTGGACTGACACTTTAACCTGAGTATAAATTTGGAGGTCCTCACAACCTCCTCAGGTTTGATAATTCACTAGAACAACTGACAAAACTCAAGAAAGTGCTGTGCTTATTATTACAATTTTGTTATCCAGAAATACAGATTAGGAGGACCAGTGAAATGAAGACACACAGGATGGGGTCTGGGAGGAGATGCAGAGCTCCTGTGCCCTCTCTTCATGGAATTAGGGCATGTCACCCTCCCTGCACATCAGTGAGTTTACCAGCCAGGGAACTCCACCTGGTGTAGCTTTGGTTTCCGAGTTTTTATTGGGACTCGGCATACATGAGCTTGATTGATTAAATCATTGGGTGATCAAACTCAAAATTCAAATCTCCATCCTCCCTTCCCAAATGGGCCTGGCTCAAAGTCTTAGCCCTCTAATTACCGTGTTGGTCTTTATGTTGATCAGCCCTCATCTGCAAGCTATCTAGGGGTGTGCACTAAGTCACAGTGTTAGCATAACAAAAGAAACTCCAAGGGTTTTTGAGGCTCTGTGCCAGAAACTCAGGATAAAGACCAGATTATTACGCAACAAAGACTTGTTTTCAGCCTTGACTTCATTATTTGTAGAAACAATTCAGTATTTCATTTGAATTTTTCTTGTACTATGATACTGATTTTTATGTTGTTTCCAAGAGACATGACCCCACCTTGAGTCCCAGTGCCTTTAATATAACCCAGTAGTAGTAAAAAGGTCTTTGGGCTTTGCTCTATATGCTAATTGGTCATGTTATTGTTATTATTATTATTTTGAGTCAGAGACTTGCTTTGTTGCCCAGTCTGGAGTACAGTGGTATGATCTCAGCTCACTGCAGTCTCGCCCTCCTGGATTCAAGTGATTCTCCTGCCTCAGCCTCGCAAGTAGCTGGGATTACAGGCATGAGCCTCCACGCCCAGCTAATTTTTTTATTTTTAGTAGAGGTGGGGTTTCACCAAGTTGGCCGGGCTGGTCTTGAACTCCTGACCTCAAGTGATCTGCCCACTGCAGCCTCCCAAAGTGCTTGGATTACAGATGTGAACCATTGCGCCCGGCCTGGTCATGTTTTTTTAATGGAGGAATTCACAGTAATAATATAGGAATATCAGTATTATAATCACAGTTGATACTGATATTTCATTGTTTTTGAGGCCACTTGGTCTTAGTTGTTTTATTTGGGAGTTGTAGTAGGGCTAGTAGGTAAAAAAGGAACTTGTAAATAATCAAAGTCCCCATTCATTCTAGTTTCTTAATTTTCTCTAAATAGGAGGTGACTTTTCTCTTTTCCAAGGCTATTCCTTCCTTGTTCTTGGATCTCGTTCTCTTGACACACTGCAGATCTCCATTGACCCCTTTCTCTGCCTACAAAGATGTTTAAGTCTCCTGTATCCAAAAACCAAAACTCTACTGCATACTGCCATTAAACCTTTTCTTCTATTTATTTCTAGAATTCCTGAAATAATAGCTTAAACTCCATAATCTACTTAATTACCTCTGTTCACTCACATGAGAATGCATTCTGGCCAACTCCTGTATTACTGTACTGGAATTTTTTAAACTGCCAAGTCTATTGGCCTATTTTTAGTTCTCTTTTAACTAAACTTCAATATTCCACACTTACTATCTTAAACCTTTCTTTTCCATTAGTTTTTATCATGCTGTCTTTTCCTGTTTCTCATTACGGTGTCCATTCCTACAAAACAACTAAGTTTTATTTTTTTTAATATCACATTTTAAAATGTTAATATTGGCCAGGCCTGGTGGCTCATGCCTGCAATCTCAGCCCTTTGGGAGACCGAGGGGGCAGATGACATAAGGCTAGGAGTTCAGGACCAGCCTGGCCAACATGGGGAAACCCCATCTCTACTAAAAGTACAAAAATCACCTGGGTGTCGTGGTGCACATCTGTAATCCCAGCTACTCAGGAGGCTGAAGCAGGAGAATCACTTGAACCCAGGAGGTGGAGGTTGCAGTGAGCCAAGGTAGTACCACTGCACTCCAGCCTGGGTGACAGAGTGAGACTATGTCTCAAAAAAAAAAAAAGTTAATATTTGAATAGTGATAGGCTACAATAATTAAATTTGTCCTCAGTCCTCCACTTCAGTTTAACTTACCAGTAGTTTGAAGCAGAAATAAAGATGTTTTATTAGTACTATTAAAATTTATAAGGTAACAGCTTTAAATTTTAAATGTATTTTTAGATTTTCTTTGTTAAAATGCTTACAAACTTGAAATTACTAAAAGGTATGAGATTATTGTATTAAAAACATATGTTGCCATAATTTGGCTACTTCGTTGTCTTTATAACAACTCCACCTAGGTCTTGGCATCTAAACGATTTCCAAAAGCAGTGGAAACAGAGCCCAAGAGATGAGAATAGCCAAAGCATATTCTGTACTTTTTAAAAATTTTGATTTCTCCCTGGGTTCATTTTAGCTTTGGAAATAGTCAATATAAGCTTGAAAGTAGATGGAACTTAAGCAAAATGTCAGTGGCATTTAGTAACTTGTCTTCAGTTTTAATTTGTTAAGTCAATATTTTGAGTTTCTGTGTATCAGGTATTATATACTATAACGAATTCCAAGACGAACAAGAATATCAATGCCTAATCCAGAGCCTTACATTATAATAGACACACAAGCAATCATGTTTTAAGTGCCTAGTACACATTAACTACTTTGAATCAGTGAAAGCTAATGCTCATTGTAAATAACGTGATTTGTAAGTACAGTGGAGGTTAGTTTAACTTCTTTTGGGAAAAATTAGACCAACTTGGGAAAAATGGGAAAAATGAGACTAAGGAGATGATGTTTGAGCTGAGTTTTGAAATATGTGTCAAGGCATATTCAAAAGGCTAGAGAATAGATACATAAGAAAATACTGGGAAAAGAAGTTGGTAAAGGAGTCTGAAGTTGGTTATGAAAGGTGTTGAATGCCATACTTGGTGATTTTTACTTTTTTCCCCTAGGTGTTGTAGTTTCATGAAGATTTTCTTTCTTTCTTTTTTTTTTTTTTGAAGTATGAAGATTTTTTTTTTCTTTCCAGTAGACTTGTGAGGTAATTTGATCTGTGTTTTTGAAAAGTAATTCTAGTGGTAGTTTGGAGAACAGGTAAAGGGGAAGAGATTAAAGGCAAAGTCATCAATTACATGAATATTTGTGACTTTCAACCTTCCAGGCATATAACAGGATTATATTTTTCTGTCATCTTTGAAGTTAGCCTTGCCATGATTTTGCTTTGACCAATGGAATGTGATTGGTTAATAGGTCACTTTTAGGTGAAAGCTTTAAGAATCAGTGTGTGATTTGTCTGCCCTGGTAATAAACAACATCATGATGATTGAGCCTCTTTTAGCCAGGTCCATTATTGAGAATGACATACAACCTGCAAGTTTTAAAGCAAAGTTAGAAATCACATGATTTCACACTGTGAAATTCTGTGTAAAATTAGGGTATTTTACACAGAAATCACATGATTTCACAATGTGTAGGCCAAACTAAGGACATATGCAGCAGGGTATATAATGCCTGTAAGTTGTCACTTTGTATCTCTGGTACAGACCTCATTAATTTCAGGATGCAAAAATAAGGGAAAAATACTGTGGGTTAGTGATCCCAGAAGGCTTCCTGAATGTGGTGAGATATAGTGTACATTTTGAAGAATTATTTCCGGTGGCTAGATAAAAAAAAATTCATGAATTGAATAGGATGTATTTTGTTATAACTCCCAAATCCTCACAGTGTATGGATTTTTTGTATATTCACTAATAACTTTTTCTGGTTTCTTATTGTGGTGGTTGGGACAGAAATGTTGTTTCAATTGTTTGTCTCAGGTTTTGGTCTAATGTTTGGTAGAGAAGTTTAATTTAACATAGCAATGGAAAAAATGACTGGAATAAATGAAAAAATAATACTGTTTTCATGGATGAGGACTCTATATCACCACATGCCAATTCTTTCCAATTAATCATACATTCAACCCAGTTTCAATAAAAATATCAACCAGAATGTTCATGGAAATAGGCAAACTGACTCTAGAATTCATATAGGAAAAAATAGTTCAAGAATAGCAAAGAAATTCCTAAAAAGGAAAAAGAAATTTGCTCTACCAGATTTCGAAACATATTTTAATGCTATATGACTGAAGTAGTAATATATTGTTGCAGAGATAATCAGGTAGACCAGTATAATCAAAAACCCAGAAATACATCCATCAATATATGGGAACTTGGTTTGTAATATAAGTGACATTAAAACAGTGGAGAAGGAGAGGCCTGTTCATTAGATGATGCTGAAGCAGTGGTAGCCAGTAAGGGGGAAAACTAAAATTAGATTCCTGCCTTATTCTATACAAAAAAAAATTTGTACCAAATGGATTGAATATCTAAATATGAAATCAAACTTTATAATTTTTTTTGTTTTTTAAGATGGAGTCTTGCTCTGTCACCCAGGCTAGAGTGCAGTGGCATGATCTTGGCTCATTGCAACCTCCACCTCCTGGACTCAAGAGATTCTTCTGCCTCAGCCTCCTGAGTATCACAGGTGCCCACCACCACGCCCGGCTAATTTTTGTAGTTTTAGTAGAGACAGGGTTTCACCATGTTGGCCGGGCTGGTCTCGAACTTCTGACCTCAATTGATCCGCCCACCTCGGCCTCCGAAAGTGCTGGGATTATAGGCAAGAGCCACCATGCCCAGTCCAAACTTCATAATTTTTGCAGGTACACCCATTTGAATGGCTATTATCCAAATTAAACAACAACAACAACAACAAAATAAGTATTGGTGAGGATTGGAGAAATTAGAACTCTTGTACATTGATGGTAGAAATGTAAAATGGTACAGATAATATGGAAAACATTATTATTCCTTAAATGATTAAACATAGGATTACCGTATAATCCAGCAATTCAGCTTCTGGGTATGTGCCCAAAATAATTGAAAGCAGAGACTCCAACAGATGTTTGTACACCAATATTCTTAGCAGCATTATTTATAATAGCCAAGGGGTGGAAACAACTCAGATGTCCCTCAACAAATGAATGGATAAATAAAATGCATATACACTCATTCCTTAGTATCCTCGGGGGATTGATTCTCGGACCTCTGATGATACCAAAATCTATGGCTGCTCAAGTCCCTTAGATAAAATGGCATAGTATTTGCGCATAACCTAGACACAGTCTCTCGCATACATTAAACCATCTATAAATTACTTATAATGCTTAATACAGTGTAAATGCTATGTAAATATATATAAAACATTTTTATTTTTTATTGTTGTATTGTTATTTTTTATTGTTTTTTCCCTCCGATATTTTCTATCTATGGTTGGTTGAATCTGTGGATGAGAAACCTGTTGATATGGAGGGCTGATTGTACATACAATGGAATATTATTAAACTTTAAAGGAATGAAATTCTGACATATGCTACAACATGAGTGAACCTAAAAGATATTTTGCTAAGTAAAATAAGCCAGACACAAAAGACAAATGTTATATGATTCCACTTACATGAGGTACCTAGAGTATCAGATTCATAATGATAGAAAGCAGAATGGTAGTTGCCAGGAGCTGGGAAGAGGAGAGAATAGGGAGTTATTGTTTAATGGGTACGGAGTTTCAGTTTAGGATGATGAAAAAAGTTCTGGAACTGGTGTTGGAGATGGTGGTATTGGTTGTGCGACAGTGTTAATGTGCCTAATGCCACTGAATTGTTACTTAAAAACAGTTAAAGTGGCAAATTTTATATATTTACTACAAAAAAGACATTTAAAAGTTCAGTTACCGTATCTTTAAAATAAGGTTGATAATACCAACCAGATGGTTCTTTATAAGGATTAAATAAACTCACATGTGAACTAGTCAGGTGCATAGCAGATACCCTTCCCCAATCCCCCCATTTTTTGGGGCAGAAATTTTTATGTCTTTATGACCTCAAGATAGGAAAGCACAACTCAAAAGATTCATAATTTGACTACCTCAAGACAATATTACTAATTATTATCCCCAAAAGACTACAGAAACAAACTTATAAGACAAGCAAAGATGAAGACAGGATACTGGCAACACATTAATCTGCAACACCACGTAGTTCATTCAGCAGAACCATAGATAAGTAAGACAAAAAGATGACCTCATTTAACAAAAGAATGTGAAATAAGAATGGCCAAAAAAAGTTATGAAAAGATAGTCAGTGTCACTGTATATCAGGGAAATGAAAACTAAAACAACTATTAGATTAGTTAAAAAACAAACAAACCTGTGGAATTAAGTGTTAATGAAAATTGGGGAAGCAGGAATTCTCATGTAAGCTGTGTGTGTGTGTGTGTGTGTGTGTGTGTGTGTGTGTGAGATGTTGGTTAGGAATTATAGCTCAGTGCTTAGATCTTTACCCGGCAAATAACAGACAATAAATATATGTTAAATGGACACACCATATGTGGTAAATGGTTAAAGTCACTTCGGAGAGCAATTTGACAATATCTAGTAAAGTTGAAAATGACCAAAATTCTGTTACTAAACAATTCCATTTATTCACTTTAGGGAAACTTTTATATGTCTATATCAGGAGACATGTTGAAGAATATTGTTAAAGCATTGTTTGTATATTAAAAATTGCAAAATATTTAAATGTCTAAATGTGTTATGATGAAATTAATGCAGCAGCTAAAATGAATGAACTAGGTTCTATATACCAATATGCATAATAGACCTTACAAACATAGTAAGAGAAAAATTCAGTTGTAAAAAGATACATACAACATGGAAGCATGTAAATTTAAAAAACATAAAGTAACACCTTTTTTTAGAGTTATATAACTCCTGAGTAAAAATATTACAAGTTGTTCTACAGAAGCAGTATCTAGTACAACTTTCTACAGTGATGGAAGTGTCCATATCTGCACCATTCAATACGGTAGCCACTAGTCACATGTTTGTTAAGTACTGGAAATGTGACTGGAGCAGCTGGAGAACTGAATTCTAAGTGTTATATTACTTAAATTTAAAGAGTCACATGTACCTGTTGAGTCCATGAGATGTATCTTGTCTAACTGAATAACTGAATTTCTAATTTTATTTAAATTTATATGGTTATATCTAGCTAGTGGCTACCATATTGTACAGCGCAGGTCTAGATAACTCACAACAAATTCATGAAAAAAGGAGGGAGGCAAAAGGAACTTCAACTTTATAATGTTCTCTCTTTAGTACACAAACATAAAACTAAAGCAAAAGAACAAGTCATGGAATAACACTAAATAACATTAAATAACATTAAATAACATTTTTCTTTAGTACTTTTTAGAAGAGCCACCAAATAAAGTCAGAAATTCATTTGAATTTATTTTTTAGTAGTTTTTTAATGCCTTACCTAGGTATTCCATTTTCTCTCCCAGTCTTTAATTTGAAGGCGATAATACTAGAGAGGTTACCACAGTATAGATCTTGCAGGGCCCTGTAGAAAATTCTCTTCTGAGTGAGTTGGGAAGCTATTAGAGATGCTGAGCAAAGGAGTTATGCTTATCAGACTTACATTTTTAAAGAACTTGGACACTCTGAAGATGAAGCTACCACAATAATGTTTTAAAATAAATTACAGATTATTGTTCTATTTTTATTCTATATCTGCTAGAGCAATCCTGCCATGTAATGAACCATCATAGATCATTGTGTACAATTAGTCTTTTTTTATATCTGTCACATCTGTCATAAATACAAGCTTTAATTTTTGCTATAAGCACTGGCATAGTAGTATGCAAATGAGCAGACCTTTACAAAATGTTTTCATAGGTTTTCTTTATATTCTTTGAATTATTTAGCTTAGCTGTATTGACAGTATTTATATGCTCATGAATATTCTGGTTACCTTTTTTTTCTTTGAGTATCTGATGTAATCCTTTATACATTTATGAAGGTCCTTTCTAAACATTAGTAGATTAATTTGGGCATTTTCTCTTAAGAAGTAGAGAAGGGTCGAAAAATTTTAATTGTTTTATTTCTTAGCTTAACTACAAATAATGGTGATTTTGCTTTAGAAACAAAGCAGAATTACAAGATGCCTTTAACGTTTTTCTTATTTGCTGCTCTTGTGAGGTTATAATTTTATTAAATATAGGTCCTAATCATTCTATTCATATACTCTGATATTTATACGATAGAAAATTAAGAAAGGGGTCAGGTCAAAAGCAAGCTAATTAGAGCATATTCTTTCTAGTCGTCATTGTAGTGTGATTATTCTGAATACGTATTAAACTCTGTGAAAAATAGGGTGTTCCTGAGAGGCCTCAAATCTAGTCTTGAGGGTTCTCAGATAAGTAAAAGGGACATAAATTTTCCATAGGTACATGATAGTTAACCTGTGTCAGTTTGTTTGAATATTTTAATTGTGATAGGTCTTTTGAGAGGAAAGGTCTTTGACACCTGTGAATGCTAAATTTCTATTTTGATATGCAATTATGATAAATAAATTTGTTCAAGTTCTTAGAATGGAAGGGGATTGGTGATAAATTTTCAGTTACAGTGAAACTGTCCTTCAAATTAGTGACATTCTGATGAAATAAGAAAAAATAAAAATTGTGAAAAGTAATGAAATGTTTAAAGTTTTAAATATAAAGTCAAGGATATGATGGATTTATGACATCTGATACCATTTTTGGTAGAAAGTATATGGGAAAGAAGACAGAAGAAGATATCTCTGTCTAATATGGGAAATTAAGACATTGCAACATAATCTCAATATTCCAAATGTATGGGACGTTATGATCAAAGATACAATCTGTGTTTTCTTTCCCTACCTTCAACATTGTTTTACACATTTGATTTACTGGTTACATTGCTATTTGGCACATTGATCTTCGGGTTTCCTATCTTAAACTTGCATAATTTAATTTGTAATTTTTCAGTTCATGTTATCATTTGGGAAGTTCTCTAATTATCAGATTCATTTAAAACCCAAGCAGGTAGGACTGATTCTCTTACAACACAGACTCAAGGTGGTTCTCTGTGGGATGTTGTCTGGGTTGAGTGCCCTGAAAGTATGCCACCAGAGCAGGGCAGTGGTCTCCACTGGGCAGCCTCTCAGTGCTGCTTTTTAAGCTGTTGCCCGTGATTGCACAGGCTCTTCCCTTCAGCAGACTGAATGCCTGTGAAGGGCATAATGGCTTAGGGACAATAGAGTAAATAATAAAAATAATAAAAATTATGATAGTTGTACTTTTCTCTTACTCATTGTACATTTTCCCCTCTTTTTACTCAGTTACATTCTTACCTGCCTGTGGTAATTTTCTATTCCCTAGTGTTGTAAACGGAGCCTGAGTTATTAGAAGGAAAATGCTTATCAAAAGTAGACAGTAGAATGACAAAACCTAGTTTTTGAAAAGTTCACCATTCTGTTTTATAGAAAAGGAAAACTTTCACTTCATAGGAAACAACATATTTCACTACCTAGTAGAATACATTTTTGTTGTCATTGTATAGCTATATCACTATAGGGAGATGATTTTGATTTTGCTTTAATTTGTACCTGGTTTCACGGTTTCTGGTTATTTCTCTCCCATTTGTGATTTCTGGTTATTGTATTCATTTCCTGATTTCTACTGTATAGACTAGATGATGTCTTTGGAATTTTTTTTTTTTTTTTATTTTTAAGACGGAGTCTCACTCTGTTGCTCGGGCTAGAGTGCGGTGGTGCGATCTCGGCTCAGTGCAACCTCCGCCTCCCAGGTTCAAGCGGTTCTCCTGCCTCAGCCTCCTGAGTAGCTGGGACTACAGGCACATGCCACCAGGGCTAATTTTTTGTATTTTTAGTAGAGACGGGGTTTCACCATGCTGACCAGGCTGGTCTCGAACTCCTGACCTGGTGATCTGCCTGCCTCGGCCTACCAAAGTGCTGGGATTACAGGCGTGAGCCACCGCGCCTGGCCTCTTTGGATATTTTATAGCTCAGCCATTCTATAAGGCTTTTGCCTTGGGAGCTTTCAACTTGAAATGGTATGAAAATTGTAGTAATATAGGGAGACAGTCAGATACTGTGAATAGGGAATGTCATTGTAACATCTAGAACAAATGTATGGATCTATAAAGAGAACCCACATATTTTGAAATGTGTATTAAAATTTTCCTCTGGAATTTAAAAAAAATGGGGTGGGGGAGCAGAGGAGAGCCAAAAGGACTGATGCTGAGTACCTTCCTTATTCTGATATGAAGTATTTATGCACTTAATTTTTTAATCCTCACAATGATCCTACATGGGTAGGGATAATTATTTTCATATTATAGGGTCGAGTCACAGAACTAACAAGAAGTGGAGCTAGAGCTGGAACACAACTTTTTCTGATGTCCCAGCCTATTTATATCAACATTTCTTTAGGTAGATAAAATGAATAGAGTTGTCATGGCTACTTGTTTCATAAATTAATACAACTTAAATAGTCTTGTAATTTTTATTGTAGATCGAAAGTAAGATGCTTGCTTTTTAAAATTTTTGGGAAATTAAAATATTTAGGAGGGATTTTCTTTATCCTGACATGTAATACTTGGCCCATGTTTTAAGACTATTTAAGGAATTTGTGAATATTTCATTTTATTCCCTATGATAATGTGAATCTTCACACATTGGTAAAGGTAGAGGTTACAAATAGTACAACTTTTAAAAGAAGGTTTACATTTCTTACTTTTTTACGTCTTTAAAACGTTTTCCTTACAGTCCAGAAACTGATTAGTGCTTCTAATTGCCAAAATATGTTGTTTTATTTAAAAAAATTATTTTGGGAAAAAGGCTTCTCTTGTTAAGCTAATTTCAATGACCAATCTTGTTGTACCTTGACTTGTAATAATGAAAAAAGAGGTACAGAGAGCTGTTTTATTTGAATAATAGACTTGCCAATTAGCCATCAAGTGCTTCCATCTGTGAAATTGTTGATCAGATGGGTTAGCTGGGATGTTTCCAGACTAGGGCATCATAAATGGCACTTGAAAACTCTCACTTTAATGATGAGGTTTCAAGTATTACACTGCTTAATGCTGTGGAACCTTTTTCTCCTTTTGCAGTACCATGTTTTTTTAGAACATACTGATCCCATTTATGAATTCTGTGGCATCAAGAGAATTTGGGAGACCTGCCACTGATGAAAAGTTCTGCCTAATCTGCTGCTCTGGCCTGTGCTGGGATTACACCAGAGTGCTAACAGCTTCTTTCATAGCCTTTCCAGTAATTTTGGTTGGGGATCTGACTGGCACAGGCAGGTGATGCTCATTGCTTATGGGCCATGGAGCTGGCACACTTTGGCAAGTTTCTTTGCACTTTCCCATTAATGTAAACTCATTTTCAAATATCTCACCCCCTTAAATAAGTGTATAAGAGCATAGTAGCCTAAGGCCACATTAGTGTTGAGATTTCTACGTGTACCCCTTGTGTGAAATGACTTTAGCATCTGTCTTGTACATTTTTGAAGGATTTAAATTGCTTATTGGTAATTATTACATTTTAAAATTTGTTTAATAATAGCATAGAAATATAAATTTCTGGAAATAATTGTTGTATGTCTTTCCTTACTGTTCCATATCTTCATTGCTCATCCTTATATTTTATAGGAAGTTTCCTTTTTTAGTAAGTTGACTTCCTCAAATGCCTGTGCATGTGATTAGATGTTAGAGTCTCTGAGTGACATTTTCCCTTGGTAGGACTGTACTGTGCTTTTCTTTTCCTGTAAATCCAAATTCCTGAAATTTGGCCAGACTTCTGGGTTACCAGTCTGTGTGGGGTCAAATTCATGGCCCATGTCACTTTTTGGACAGTAGCATGGCCTTCTGCCTGTCCTGGCACAGGTTTCGGACCTACCAACTCACTATGAAAGGCAGTATATATTGGGCAGTGGTAAAAACCCAGGGCTCTGGAGTTAGGCCAGATCTAGACACTAGCTGAGATCCATGGAAGAGGAAGAGAGAATGAGAATGCAGTGTAAATGTTCAAGAAAGCAGATAGTTTAGGATCTTGTTCCTATTCTTCTTCCAGAGTAGATCACAATTTAGCATCATTCCCAGACCCTTCAACCTCCTCAAGTGGACAAGCTCCCAATGAGAGAAAGGTATCAATTTTTAAAAAGATTATGTTATTTTGCCAGGTGTGGTGGCTCACGCCTGTAATCCCAGCACTTTGGGAGGCCAAGGCAGGCGGATCACCAGGTCAGGAGTTCGAGACCAGCCTGGTCAGCATGGTGAAACCCCATCTCTACTAAAAATACAAAAATTAGCCAGGCATGGTGGCATGCACCTGTAATCACAGCTACTTGGTAGGCTGAGGCAGGAGAATGGCCTGCACCTGGGAGGTGGAGGTTGCAGTGAGCTGAGATGGCGCCACTGCACTCCAGCCTGGGACAGAGCAAGACTCCATCTCAAAAAGAAACAAAAAACAAAAAGGCCAGGCCTGGTGGCTCACACCTGTAATCCTAGCACTTTGGGAGGCTGAGGTGGGCGGATCATCTGAGGTTGGGGGTTCGAGACCAGCTTGACCAACATGGAGAAAGAAACCCTATCTCTACTAAAAATACAAAATTAAGTGGGTATGGTGTTGCATGCCTGTAATCCCAACTACTCAGGAGGCTGAGGCAGGAGAATCACTTTAACCCAGGAGGTGGAGGTTGTGTTGAGCCAAGATGGCACCATTGCACTCCAGCCTAAGCAACAAGAGTGAAACTCCATTTCAATTAAAATTTTAAAAATTATGTAATTTTTTTTGACTGCCTGGCCACAGTGTCTTTTTTGTTCGCTAAGGTTTGTGTGTTGTTCTCTCTCCACAGCAAAAATGTCCAGTAGTTAATAGATAACCTTGATTAATCAATAGGTTTCCCTTTACAGGTGAGGAAATTGAGGCATGTAGAAATTAAGTAAATTATTCAGTATATTAAGACATTTTTTAAAAAGTGCCTTCAGAGCAGAACTGGAAGACTGTCTTTTTAAAGTGCTCCTCTGTAGAGCATTAAAGGAAGTATAAGAAAGAGAAAATGGGAACAGATGTGACCATGTTGATGGAAGAATAGAATTTTCCCTTCTTTGACCACTGCCACTTTTTCATGCTCTTTAAGTATTTTTCTTCTGATGTGTTTTCTTTTTTTGAAAATAGAGACAGGGTCTCACTATATCGCCCAGGCGAACTCCTGAGCTCAAGTGATTCTCCCTCCTCAGCCTCCCAAAGTGCTGGGATTATACAGGCATGAGCCATCACGCCTGCCGTTTGATGTGTGTTTTTCTATCTGTTCCCTTAATTCCTCAGAAACAGGCACTGTGTCATCTTTTGTGTGGTATCTCAAATAGCATTGTGAATAGATGAATGCTTAGTGAAATTAGGGTAGTGGTCAGCAGTATTTCTAGGAAGCCTCAGAGATTACTTCTGTCCCTTAACCTCTACCATGCCTCAGAACTTCTGAGCCTTTTATGCTTCTAATTAACAGAATTCAGGGAGTTTTTATGAGAAACAAGGTATTTTTAAATAGGTAAATAGTTATTTTTAAATAGGTACCAGTATATGACATGTTACTTCAGAATACAAATGGGCACATGTTGAATACTAAGTTTCCCTGTTGTCTCTGTTCCCTTCTTTAGAGACAACCTCTGTTACCAGTTTCTTTATGTCCTTCCAAAGATAATTCTATGTTAGTATTGTCCAGTGGAACTTTCTGTGGGTTGGAAATATATTATATTTAGCTGCCCAGTATGGCAGCCATTAGCCACATAGTGCTACCGAGTCCTTGAAATGTAGCTGTTATGACTGAAGAACTAAATGTTTAAATTCTGTTTAATTTAAAATAGTTTAAATTACATAGCTGCATGTGGCCAGTGGCCACTATATTGGACAGTGCAGTGTACACAAAACTGGATTCTAGAGATTGTCTCATCCCATATCCATAGATATAAAGCTGCATGTTTTTTCTTAAAGGATGGCTTGCTTTCCCATTTTTTTAGACAAACCATGATTTACTTAATTAGTGCTCTACTGATATACACTTAGGTTGTTTCTTATCTTTTGATTTACAAACCGTGTTGTAGTAAATATCTCATTGAAGACGTTATTTCACATGCATTTTCCCAGAGGATAAATTCCTAGGAGTGGAATTACTGTGTTTAATCAGTGTAGTTAGCCTGATATGGTAGAAAGAATACAGGATTTGGCTTTGAATTTAGGCTTTACTACTTAGTCACTTTTTAGACATTGATTAACTTCTTTGAACTTCAGCTTCCCCATTTATAAAATAGGCACAGTAGAATCCACTTTGCCAGGGTTATGTTATTATTAGAAGTAATATATGTAATGGTCTTCTCAACTGGTATTAGGAGCTTAAATTAGGAATGGTAGATAATGAAAGCCCTACTACTATTACTTGTTTTATTAATAAAGAGATCATTATAAGCCTAGAGGCGTATGTTTAATGCTGAATTGTGGCAGAATAGCTTTGCTTCGCCCATTTTAGGTTTGTAAATATGGTCTCCACCTTTTATTCATTTGGTCTCCACCTTTTATTCATTTGGTCTCCACCTTTTATTCATTTAACTTACTTGAATTATATGTATATATATAGCCATCTATAAATTACTTTTCATGTGCTAATTTATAACTTTTATATCAACTGGCAAAATTGTGGTGCCTTGCCTGTCAGCTGATAGTTAAATTTAAGCAGAGTCACCATATTAATAAAACACTGCTTGTATTTGAATATTTTATGGCATATTGGTCGGAAACAAGGAAATGAAGATGCTGATACTATTTACGAGCAGCTGTAGGTTCTAAAACCGGATGAATTATGGAAGCATATTATGAGTTTGGATATCAATTTTTTCTTTAGTATTTTCAGTGATGTTACTTATTTGAAACCCTTAGAATTACATTGAAGAAGTAAACTTTGCAACTTGATTCCTTGACCACAGTTATATTTATTATTTATTTATTTATTTATTCATTTATTTTGAGACGGAATCTTGCTCTGTTGCCCAGACTGGAGTGCAGTGGCGTGATCTTGGCTCACTGCAACCTCTGCCTCCTAGGTTCAAGTGATTCTCCTGCCTCAGCCTCCTGAGTAGCTGGGACTACAGGTGTGCGCCACCATGCCTGGCTAATTTTTATATTTTTAATAGAGATGGAGTTTCACCATGTTGGCCAGTCTGGTCTCAAACTCCTGGCCTCAGGTGATCCACTGCCTCAGCCATCCAAAGTGCTGGGATTATAGGCGTGAGCCACCGTGCTCAGCCTATGTGTTATTTTTATATTCTTAATACACTGGCAATTATTAATAAGCTCATTTTAAGTTTTCCTTGACTTCATTTTTTATAAACATTAAGGAAGTTCTTTTTTCAAAAATTTACACTTTCATATGAATCATTTACTTTGGAAGTAACTTATTCAAAGTCATTTAAAGAAAAATTAATCTTTTAAAAACCATTAACCAAGATGTTTACAAGTATGCTGATTAAGAATCAATTTCAGGAATGCTCTGTATCTGTATGAGCAAGAGGGAAACGTGCTTTGTTTTGTTTGTTTGTTTGTTTTTGGTAAATCTGAGTACCTAAAAGTCTCGTTTGGGAGTGAAACTCAAGGGGAAAAACAGTGTTAAATTTTATTCCTAAATTTAGTATTTGTTTCTAAATCATATATATTTTGTTGAAATTAGAATTGCTCTTTTTTGGTATCAGTAAACTAAATATTAAAAGATGTTTATTGTTAGGAGTAGTAGTAGCAGCAGCTGTGTGCCAGACACTATACCAAATGCCTTACATATGTTATCTCATTTAATCTTTACATTAACCAGTACCACGTGGTATGATTAGCACCATTCACAAGGGAAAATGGGTCATAGCTTTAAGTGGTTAAGATAGGATTAAACCTCAGACTTGGTCTTTCTAATTCTAAAGTATCTCTGCACCTAATCAATATTTTAGTTTGGGAGAGTATCATTCAGATTGTTAATAGGCATTGCTATCTTTGTATACTGAACTTATAGGAATTAACCAGTGCAGAAATGATTGTTCTTAGTTTATGGTGACGGTCCCATGGCTGCCAGTGCACATGACTGTGAACAGTAAGTAGTATATTTTTCAAAGTGTATAAACAGGTACATTTGCAGTAATTGAGATGATGTGCTGTAGCAGGAAGGGGATTAGACTATGGATCAGGAGATAAGGGTTCTGGTTCTCAGTGTATGTCTTGACCTGTAGCCTGCACAAGTTATTTAATTTATATACATTTATTTTCCTATCTGTATGCCTTTAAAAAGTATGATTATACTCTCTGACTACTTAATTGTTACAAGAATTATACTCTCTGACTACTTAATTGTTACAAGAATAAAAAGGGATGAGAAAAATCTAAAAACATTTTGTAACTCTCTGACTACTTAATTGTTACAAGAATAAAAAATGATGAGAAAATCTAAAAACATTTTGTAAAACCATCTAGTACTCAATAAGTAATTTAACCTCAAAGATGAAGGTCTCCAAGCACATAGCCTTGTGGTGAGTTGTAGAGCCCTTGATGAAGCATCCCTAAGGTAGTTTTTTCTTTTTTGCCTAGAATTTCTCTCCAAGAATCCTTGGAACTATATTTAGAGCTATAAATTACGAGAAATGAAGTTCTGAAACTGCGTTTGTGTGTGCACATGTGCGTGAGCATGTATTCACAGGCCCTATAACGCAGTTATATTGTAGGTAGGGTTAGGAGAGTTTTTTTTTTTTTTTTTGGAAAGAAAAACTTCTCTTAAAATTTTTTTATTTGGGCCTTTCTGAATGAGTACTATTTTTGCCATTGATAACCTGTATTTGTTGAGCTGCTGTACTCATATTATCTACTCTGTAAGCCTTTTTTCTACTCTTTTAGACTTGGAAAAGCATTTTACTTTGTAATCACTGTGTATGAGAATGATCACAAGAGGAAGTACTAAAAAAGGCATTCAATAACTTTATAATACTTTTTGAATTTTGAGAATTTCAGTATAGGAGTATTTATAGGCCTTTTGTATGTTTTTAATAGCTTAATTGAGATATAATTGACATACAGTAAACGATAATATTTAAAGTGTATAATTTGTTAAGTTTTGACTGTATTTACTCAGGAAACCATCACTGCAATCAAGATGGTGAACATCCATCATTCTCAGAATTTACATATGCCCCCAGTGTAGTCCCTTTCCTTGCACTTCTCTCCCCACCCCCAGACTACCACTGATTTGCTGTCACTATACATTAGTTTGCATTTTCTAGCATGTTAATCAGTGGGATCATATAATAGGAACTCTTCTTTTTGTCTAGCTTTCATTACTGTAATTGTTTTGAGATTCTTCAGAGTGTGTATTCATATTTCATTTTTTTTGCTGAGTAGTATTTCATTGGATGGATATATAACACTTTGTTTATCCATTAACTTGTTCATGGATAATTTGGTGTGTTTTGGTTTTTGGCTGTTACAGATAAAACTGCTGTAAACATTATGTACATGACATTGTATGGACAGGTGTTTTTATTTCTCTTGCTTAAATACCTAGGATTAGATTGGCTGGACCATATGGTAGGTATATGTTTAACTTCTTCAAAAACTGCCAAATTGTTTTTCAGATTGGTTGTATCATTTATATTCCCACCAGCAGTGTGTGAGAGTTCCCGTTCTTCCACATCCTTGCCAGTACTTGATATGGTTAATTTTTTTAATTTAGCCATTTTCTAGTGGTTAATAGTATCTGATTGTGGTTTTAATTTGCATTTTCTGGATGACTGATGATGGTGAGCATCTTTTTATGTGCTTATTTGCCATTCATCTATATATTTTAGGGATATATTCATGTGTTGCCTGGTTTTTACTGGGTGGGTTATTTTGTTAATGAATTTTTTTTTTTTTTTTTTTTTGAGATCATCTACTCAAAGTTTATTGGACTGAACAAAGGCTGAATACAGAGATCCAAGCCATGAGGAGTACATGAGGTGTGGTGCCTATAAGCCAGGGTCGGAAACTTTCCAGACAAACCTAGATAGCTCTACTAGGAGGGAGTCAACGACCTATTGTATCAATTAGATCCCAGCCTGGACAAGGGCATGACTATTGCTGTTTGGGGACACGTGGCTCTGTGTTGAAGGCAATGACTGTGTGGCTGTTGCCATGTGGCCTGTTCTCCCCTAAGCCCTGAACCAAAGGTTCCAGGCCCAGATGAGAAGGCCACTGGGAATGCATGCCATAGGGGTTGATGCTGGACATTCCCCAGCCTTCCATTAAATGAAAACATTTTCTATAAACTTACTGCTTTAAAAAAATGTTTTAACCAACAAACCTAAGAACTGCAAATGAGTTTGGTATAGTATAAATATTGTCAAATATAAAATTCCAAGAAACGCATTTGAGACTGATCTGATGATCTGAAGTTCTAACTAATCTATCAAACTTTCTAAGAAAAGGCATAGGTCAAGAAATCTTTTTAAAGCAAACATTATTGCTTCTGCTATAGCAGAGTGGAGATTTGGCTGAGCTGGTAAGAACCTCAGTGAAAAGGTGTCTTAGCAATGAAAGGGCTGAATCCGAGATTCCTCTAGATGAAAAATAAGGGGAATGGTCAAGTAAATTCCTGGTACTGGTTCTTTGCTGCCCTGTAATCAATATGGCATCTCACCCCCGACAACCAAGCCAGCCAGAGAGAGAAGTGGGGTTCCCAGGGAAAAGGGTCGGCTGACCACCCTGACGGAGCTGGTGAGCACAGGTGAGCTCTACCTCATTTGTCTCTCATTCCTCAAAGTCTTCTGTGGTTTGGCTTCAGTGAGGGCAAAAGAGGGGGGACTGGAGTGAAAGTGAACTCTGCTTTTAAAATGTTCGTTTTATCTAAGGTGTGCAGGGTGTGTGGATAGCAAGTTTGAGTGGTAAGAAAAATCCCAGTCCAGGGTCTGAGCTCTAACTCTTAAAACTCTTCAGCTTAACAAAGTGACCCACAGGAACAGACATGAACATCTCTACACAGGGCAGGGCCAAAGGTGTTCTCAGGATCCTGCTAGCCAAGGGACAAGTCCTGATTGAGGGTCTAGAGCTCAGCAGATTTATGGAGGCAGCATGCACCCTGGGCGCCTGCCCAGACTCCTCTCTGGGGTTTCCATTTTATCTCTCAAGCTTTTAAGATGCCAAAAGGAAAAGCCTTTAGGAGGACGCTAAGGATAACTTCGTTATTCTTCAGTTCTCTGCTCCTCCTCCAGCTCCTCTTTGGTCATCATCTTCTCGTACTGGTTTCCCCTCAGCTTCCCGGGGCTGTATTTGAAGGAGAAGCCTTCTCCGTCCTCCTCCTCAGGCCCTTCCGATGATGGCCCCTTCTCACCATCCAAGTCCTGCTCCTCTTCCTGCCTCGCCTCCACCGCCTGCTCCTCCGCCTCCGCTGGCGCCGCCGCGGGATCCCCTGGCCCTTCGGGCTCCCCCGGTCCCGCAGGCTCCCCGAGCTCCCCCAGCCCCGCGGGCTCTCCAGGCTCCTCCGGCCCCGCGGGCGAGGCCGCCGGCTCGGGGGCGCAGGGGCGGGACGGCGCCGGGGCCCCGGTGGCCTCGGCCGGGGGCGCGGGTTCCGGGGGCGCGCGGGCAGGCTCCGGGCTCGCGGCCGCCCCACGCCGCACCAGTAGCCAGGCGAGCAGAAGGGCCAGCGCGGTGGCCAGCGCAGGCAGCGCGGCCAGCAGCTCGGCCGGCGCCTCCATCGCGCCGCGGCCGCCGAGTGCCGGCCAGCTGCGACCCCGAGGGATCCCGCCGCGCCCCGTCCTTTGTTAATGAATTTTATGAGTTCTTTATATGTTCTGAATAGAAGTTCTTTATCAAATATATAATTCGCAGATATTTTCTCCCAGTACATGGGCTTGTCTTTTTATCTTCTTAACACTTTTTTGAAGACCAGAGTTTTTAATTTTGATAGTTTAATTTATAAAAATTTGGGCCGGGCACGGTGGCTCACGCCTGTAATCCCATCATGTTGGGAGGCCGAGGTGGGTGGATAACGAGGGCAGGAGATTGAGACCATTCTGACTAACACGGTGAAACCCCATCTCTACTAAAAATACAAAAAATGAGCCGGGCGTGGTGGCATCTGCCTGTAGTCCCAGCTACTCAGGAGGCTGAGGCAGGAGAATCGCTTGAACCCGGGAGGCAAAGGTTGCAGTGAGCCGAGATCAGCCACTGCACTCCAGCCTGGGAGACAGAACAAGTCTCCTTCTCCAAAAAAAAAAAAAAAATTAAAATTAAAAAAAATATATATGTATATATAAATTTGTGTTATAAATTATATTTTGATATGATAATTAAGAAATCTCTCCTAACCCAATGTCACAAACATATTCTCTTTTCTTCCAGAAGTTTTATAATTTTTAAATGTCGCATTTTTGTTTGTGATCCATTTTGAATTGTGTTTTATATGTGGTGCAATATATGGGTTATGCTTAGTTTAACAAAATATGTTTTGCATGTGGATATCCAGTTACTACAGCACCACTTGTTTAAATCCTGATGGCCCTTTATTTCTTGCCTTACTGATCTGACTAGAACCTTTAATAAAATGTTAATAGAAGTGGTGAAATGAGCATTCCTGTCTTGTCCTGATCGTAGGGGGAAACATTCATTATCTGACCATCAAACATGATATTAGCTGTACATTTGTTATAGATACTCTTTATCAGGTTGAAGAAGTTCCCTGCTATTCCTACTTTGTTGAGACTTTTTTTTTTTATCAGAAGTGGATCTTGGATTTAGTCAAACACCTTTTCTGCATGTATCGAGATGATTATATGACTCCTTTGTTGTAATAAGATGATCTTTTTTATTCCTTGTAACAATTCTTTGCTCTGAAATTGGTTGATATAATATAGGCGTTCAGCTTTCTTTTCATTAGTGCTAATGTGGTATATCTTTTACTGTCTACCTATTTGGATCTTTATTTAACCTATTTGAAATAAGTTTCTTGTAGGCAGCGTGTAGTTAGATTTTGAGATGTTGTGTTTTGCTTTTTTTTTTTAAAATCCAGTCATAGTCTCAGCTTTTTAATTCAGATATTTAAGTAATTTACATTTCACAAAATTATTGAATGTCGTTAAGTTTAAATCTTTCATTTTGCTGTTTGCTTAATAATTTTCTCATTTGTTCTTTTGTCATTTTTTTCCTTTCTCTGACTCCTTTGAGATTAATTGGATATTGTAATGATTCCATTATATCCCCTTTGTTGAATTTCTAGCTATAACTTGTTTTGTTAGTTTATTTTTTGCTTTAGGGTTTATAGTATACATCTTTAACTTACCATAGTCTACCTTCAAGTGATATACTACTTTATTTATAGCATGTGAATGTTATAATAATATACTCCATATATGCTCTCTGGACCTTTGTGCTATATGTTGAAAATCCATGATTTATGTTCATTATTTTTGTCTAAATAGTTGTCTTTTTTTAATTGTGATCATACATATGTAACATAAAGCTTACCATTTTAATCATTTTTAAGTGATCAGTTCAGGTATGTTCACATTTTTGTGCAACCATCACTGCCATCTGTCAGAACTTTTTCATCGTCCCAAACTGAAACTCTGTACCCATTAGACCATAATACTTCATCTTCCACCCCCTCATCCCTTGCAGCCAGCATTCCACTTTCTGTTTGTTACGAATCTCACTATTCAAAGGACCTCACATATATGGAATCATTCAATATTTGTCATTTTGTGACTGGCCTAGCATAATGTCATTAAGGTTCATCCATGTTGTAGTATGTGTCAGAATTGTATTCCTTTTTATGGTTGAATAATATTCCATTGTATGTATGCATACCATATTTTGTTTGTCCATTCATCTATTGATGAGCAGTTGGGTTGATTTCACCTTTTGGCTATTGTGAATATTGCTGCTATGAACATTGGTGTAGAAATATCTGTTTGAGGATCGGGTACAGTGGCTCACGCCTGTAAACCCTGCACTTTGGGAGGCCAAGGTGGGCAGATCACCTGAGGTCAGGAGTTTGAGACCAGCCTGCCCAACATGGTGAAACCCTGTCTATTCTAAAAATACAAAAGCTAGCCATGCATGGTGTCCCACCCCTGTAATTTTAGCTCCTCGGGAGCCTAAGGCTGGAGAATCGCTTGAGCCTGGGAAGTGGGGGTTGCAGTGAGCCAAGACTGCGCCACTGCACTCCAGCCTAGGGGATGGAGTGATACTCTGTCTCAAAAAAAAAAAAAAATGTCTTTGAGTCTCTGCTTTTAGTTCTTTTGGGTATATAGGTAGCCCTCCTTATCCATGGGTTCTGCATCCATGGATTCAACCAACGTTTACATCTGTACTGAACATGTACACTTTTTCTTGTCATTATTCCCAAAACAATATAATAGCTATTTGAATAGCATTTACATTGTATTAGGTATTATAAGTAATCTAGAGATTATTTAAAGTGTATGGAGGATGGGCATTGGTTATATGCAAATACTAGGCTATTTTACATTAGAGACTTGGTGCGGGGGGGTGGGGAGCGGTGGGGGGAGGTCCTGAAACCACTGCCCCAAGGGTACTGAGGGATGACTATACTCAGAAGTGAAGTTGACAGATCATTTAGTGTCTTACTTAGTTGGGGGTGTTCTAACAAATTACCATAGATTGAGTGGCTTAAATAACAGATATTCATTTCTCATAGTTCTGGAGGCTGGAAGTTGGAGATCAGGGTGCCAGTGTGATTGGGTTCTGGTTAGGGCCTGGTTCTGTGTTGTAGACTGCTGGCTTCTTGTTGTATCCTCGCATAGCAGAAAGAAAGCTAAGAGTTTTCTGGAGACCCTTTGTAATAAGGGCACTAATCTCATTCATGAGGCTTCCACCCTGGATGTCAACATATGAATAGGAAGGAGGGGGCACAAATATTCAGTCCATAATAAAAATTACTTTTTTGAGAAAGTGTCATATTGTTTTTCACAGCGAATGATTATCTTTTAAAGAGAGTTAAATAAGAAATAATATTTAATGATGTAGTTAACATTTCTGGTGTTCTTCTTTTTATTGTATAGATCCATATTTTTATCTGGTATCATTTTCCTCCTGCTGGAAGGATAAAACATTTTTGTAAGCAGGTCTGCTGCCCATTTAAAAAATTAAGTTATTTTTCTTTTTATCATTGAGTCATAAGAGTTCTTTTTATCTGTGGACACAAGCCTGCTCATATGATTTTCAGATATTATCTCTCAGTCTATGGCTTATCTTTTCACTTTCTTGAGGGCGACCTTTGAAAAGGTTTTAATTTTGATGAAGTCCAATGAATCAGTCTTCTTCTCTTTTTTGACTTCTGCTTTTGATATCATGCTAAGAAATGCTTGTCTAACCCAAGTTCATGAGGATCTACTCTTGTTTGCTTCAAGAGTTTTATTGTTTTATCTCTTATATTGAGTTCCGTGATCCATTTTGTACATATTTTGAGGTGGGAGTCCAAATTTATGCTTCTGGATGTAGATACTCAGTTGTCTCACACCATTTGTTGAAAAGACTATTCTTTCCTCATTTAATTGTCTTGGTCCCTTTGTTAAAGATCAATGGACTATTAAATGTTAAAATTTATTTCTGAAATTTCAATTCTGTTCTCTTGATCTCTGTGTCTTTTTTTTTTTTTTTTTTTTTTTTGAGACAGGGTCTTGCTCTGTCACCCAGGCTGGAGTGCAGTGCCGTGATCTCAGCTCACTGCAACCTCTGTCTCCTGGGCTCAAGCGATCCTCCCACCTCACCCTCCTGAGTAGCTGGGACCACAGGTGCATGCCACTATGCCCGGCTAATTTTTCTATTTTTTGTACAGACAGGGTTTCACTATGTTGCCCAGGCTGGTCTCAAACTCCTGACCTCAAGCAATCTGCCGACCTCAAGCAATCCGCCCACCTCTGCCTCCCAAAGTGCTGGGATTATAGGCATGTGCCACTGTGCCTGGCCTCTATTCATATTGTTGTATAATACATTTAAGATTTTTTTCTTTATCACTGATTTTGGGTTATGATATTCATTGATGTAGTTTTCTTCATGTTTCTTGTGCTTTGGTTTATTGAACTTCATGTGTCCGAAGGCCTGTTATTTTAATCACATTTGGACAAATTTTGGTCACTGTTTCTTAAATATTTTTTTCTATTCTCCTACCACCCTTCCCAGGAATCCCAAAGATATTTATATTTTTTCTGCTTATAATTGTAGATGGCTTTATTTTTTTCCCCAATCATTTTGCCCTGTGTTTCATTTTTCTGTTGCTACATCTTCAAGTTCATTCTTTTTATTTTTATTTTTTCTGAGACAGGGCCTCACTTCTGTCACCCAGGCTGGAGTACAGTGGCATGATCACAGCTCACTGCAGCCTTGACTTCCCAGGCTTAGGCGATCCTCCCACCTCAGTCTCCCGACTACAGTCATGTGCCACCACTCTCAGCTAATTTTTTGTATTTTTAGAAGACAGAGGGTTTTGCCATGTTGCCCAGGCAGTTCTTGAACTCCTGGGCTCCGGTGATCTGTCCACCTTGGCCTCCCGAAGTGCTGGGATTATAGGCGTGAGCCACCGTGCTCGGCCATTTAATTTTTTTGTTAAATCTTCTATTAACCCCATCTAGTGTATTTTTTATTTTGCATTGTTTTTTCTTCTGGACAACTTATTGACAGCCTAGAGATAAAGTTTTGTCATGCCTCTCTGAACTCACCCCCTGCTTTATCCTATTGCTAGTGGTACATTGTCATTTTCATCCCAAGAAGTTTTATTTGGGTCATTTTTATGTTTTCCATGTGTCTCCTTAACTTTTTGACAGTTTTAAAAACTTCTAAATGTCTTTGCTAATTTTAACATCTTTGTCAGTGCTCAGTTTCAGTTGACTGACTTATCTCCTTACTGTGGGCCATATTTTTTTTGCTGCTTTGTATGTCTGATAGTTTTTACTAGATGTTTCACATTGTGAGTCTTATCTCGTGTGCTGGCTACTTTTTATTCTTAGAAATATTCTTGATATTTGTTATGGGATGCAGTTGAATTACTTGGAAACTGTTTGATTCTTTCTAGTTTTGCTTTTAACCCTTGCTAGTTAAGACTGGGGCAGTACCTTGTTTAGGAGTCATTATTTTCTACTATTGAGGCTAGACCTTTCTGTCTCTTCTAATTTTGTGAATTCTGAAATTTTCTAGTTTGGCTGGTGGGAACAGGAACTCTTTCCAGTGCTGTGTGGGAGGTAGGTGTACTCTTCCCTGTAATCCTTTTGAGTGATTCTTTCCCCAGACCATGCATTGATTCCTCACACACATGCATTGATCATTATTAAGCTGAATACTCAAAGAGGACCCTGTGAAGATCTCTAGGGTTTTCTCTCTTTGCAGCTATTTTTTCTGTGGTACTCTGTCCAGATTACGAGTTGTTTTGGTCTCAGTAATCTCAGCTCTGTCATCTCAACTCAGAGAGTCTACTGTCCTCTGCCTGGGTTTCTTCCCCTCTGCACTGCAGTCCAAAAAGTATCTCAAGGCAGTAAGCTAGGGTAAGGCTCACCTCATTTGTTTCCCAAATTTTGGAGATCGTTGTTCTTTGTTGCTTGATCAGGGTCTTACAAACTATTGTTTCATAGAGTTTTGTCTGTTTTTTCTTTGCTTTAGGTGGGAATGTAGATTTAGTTTCTGTTACTCTATCTGTCTTGGACATAAGCAGATGTCCCTTTTGTCTACTTTTATTTATTTATTTTTTGGGAGAGGAGGTCTTGCTATATCAACAGGCTGGTCTCGAACTACTCAAGGAATCCTCCTGCTCCAGTCTCCTGAGTACCTGGGACTACAGGCATGAGCCCACTGCACCTTATTTACTTTTTAATGGGAAAAATTTGTGTTGGAATATTCTAGATGGAATTCTCTCTCTACTCAGACGTTAGATCATATTAAGATAGTGCTGAGATTTTAAGAAAATCTGTTCAAATTAAATAGTTAATTGAAACCAGATTAACAGAAAGTACTATTCTTAGCATTCAGAGATAGTGAATAAATAAGATGAGGCTGAGATTTATATTGCTTTATGGATACTTAAAATTGAATATGTAGGACAGGATTTCTTAAACAAGATAGCACAAATAATAAAGGGACGATTGATTCATTTTCATCTAAAAACACTAAAAAATAAACAGTTAATATTTGTGGAGCACTCACTGTGTGCCGGGTACTCTTCTAAGTACTTTAAATATATTAGGTCATGTAATCTTTACAACTCTTTGCAGTTTGGTTATTGTCACAGTGCTCATTTTTCAGATGCAGCTGAGGCATGAAGCATAAAAAGCAAACAGTGAGCTACGGCTTGGGAAAGTTTTATCTAACATATAATTGACAAGGTATTAGTCAATTATGTGAGCTTTGACAAATCAATAAGAAAAAGATATCCATTTAAAAATGGGCAAAAGATACAAACATTAGTAGAAGCAGAAATGTACCATAAACATGTATATGCTAGTGAGAGTATACAACCCTCTTGGAAAAACTTTTGGCAGAATCTGTTAACAATGAAGATTTGACTAACCTACAACCCAGCAAATCTTCTCCTAATTACATTCCCTAGAGAACGTCTCCCACATGGATACTGGGACATTCATAACAGCATTGCTTATAACAGGGTTTGATAATCTTTTCTTTAAAGGGCTAGATAGTAAATATTTTAGGCTCATGGACCATATGATATCTGTCACAACTACTCATTCTGCCATTGTAGTGCTAAAGCAGCCATATATTACAAAAATGAATGGGCCTGGCCATGTTCCAATAAAATTTCACTTTAAAAAACAGTCAGCTGGTTTGCCGATAGGTTGTAGTTTGGAGATCCCTAGTTTATAATTTCAGGAAATTGAAAATGGCCCAACTATCCATCAGTAGGAGAATGTGTACATAATTGTACTTAATAGTGGAAGTTTGTAAAGTATTGAAAAATGAATAATCCTCACATAGTTCATACTAATGAAAAAGCACATGGAGGAATAATTCTATACGATTGTTTTTATGTACAATTTTAAGATACCCAAAATGATACTGCATGTTATTTGTGTATACTTATGTAGTAAAGGTATAAAGAAATGCACGATCACTAAGATGAGAATAGCGGTGACATCTGAGGATATGGAGTAAGGATGCAGTTAGTCAGGGAAAAGGACACAGGAGCTTCAACCCAGCTGCTTTAGTGATGTTTTATTTCATAGGCTGGGTGTAGTGAACTATTGTATTATTCATTAGACCTTTTTGTATTTCCTAAATATTTCATAATAAATTTTAAAAGAAATAAAGTAAATAACAGTGGTTAGAAAAAACATTTGTTCCTACTCCAGGTAGTTGTCACGTGGCTCTTTCTTCCTCTCTGCTGCTCACATACCTGGTTCATTGGCCTCTCACTCCCAGAGAGGCATCTTTCTATCTTAGGCCGAAGACAGATCAGCTTTCTAGGTAAATGACCCTTTTGCTCAGTCCGCTGCCGAATTGGCTTACTATAGGTTGGTGCAAAATTCACTGCAAATTTTGCTATTGAAAGTAATGGCAAAAACTGCAATTACTTTTGCATCAACATAGTATCTACAGTCTGTTGTTTTATAAGTATGCGTCAAATCCTAATAGTTCCCCTTTCTCTAGCCTCTCATTTGTTATGCCTTTTGGATATACTTACTCTTCCTAGAGAAAGGATCTAAATTTCTTAATGGAGACCACACAGGCAAAGGATTGCCTTTGGCATTTTCATGTATGCCTGGCTCACAGAGGCATCAGAATGCCTGCTTGGCATGTTTGTGGGTGAGATAGTGAGTCAAAAATAAAAGCTAAAACTGCATTTATTTATAAAGAGATTGAAGAGTTATTTATTGAGCATCTTTTTTGTGTGTGTTTGGTAGTCTTTCCTAGTGTGGAGTTCTTTCAATTATTTCAGTACACTTCTCTAAACTTTTTGACTTTTCTATTTAAGATGTTCGATCAGGTAACAGATGTAGTCTGTGGAGCACTGACCTAGATCCTATGTGAAGTTACAAACAAGTGAATGCCAAACCCTTACAGAGTGTTTGAATTAATGGAGACTTAATTACATGATGAGGAGAAGAGTTGTAGCAGAGAATATGTAGGGCAGCTGAGGTGTGCTCCTCAGAGGAGGGAGGAGAGTCTGCTGTGAGCCAGACGAGCAGGGTGGGGTTGGAGAGACCAGCAGGGCTTGCAAGGTATGGTCTAAACTGTGAATGTTTTCTTGCCTAAAGTAAAAGATGTATTTGTTGATTAATGAATAATTATGTTAGCATTTGGAGAGAGAAGATACTTCAAAGTTGATATTGATTTCCAACAAGATTAAAAATATGATATGTATAACATTGAGATGTAGATTTAATTTGTATTCTTTTCATAAGAGGGAACTGGGAATGTCCATTTGGTGAGGGTACTTAAGTCTTAAAAGTATGCTTATTTAAAGACAAATACGTGGTAACATTTTTAAAGAAATGTTGGTATGTTTAGTAATATAAAGTTGCCTTTGGCTTAAGCTAGGCAGAACAAATAAAATGTGTAAGGAACTTAGAATAGAAAGTACTTGTAGTTACTTGGGGATAGGGTTGCCAGATTTGGCAAATGAAAATACTGGATGCCCAGTTAAATTTGAATTTCAGATAAGTAACCATTAATTTTTAGTATAAGTATGTCCCAAATACAGCCTGGGATGTACTTAGTAAAAATACTTATTTATCTGAAATTCAAATTTAACTTAGTATCATGTATCTGGCAATCCTATTTGAGGATGAAGAACTTCAGTAATTTATACCAAGAAGGAAGTTAACTAGTCCTAAAACTAGATGTGATAATGTTTAATTTTGAGTGAATAACTGACTGTTGTAATGGTTTTGAATAGTCTTAAACTGTTCCATTTTGGGCAGGGCCTAACCAGCCATTTGCAGACAGACAGATAAAATGTTATTATAGTTGTGTTGACTTAACTTTGAACCTTGTAATGTTGTGTCTTGATTAATCAAAGTAGCAGGAAGGAGAGGAGATCTCAGATCATTTCCAATAAGAGTAAAAACAAAATTAACTAAATTGAGGAATAAGTGGATTTCATGTTCACATAAATACATTTATAGTTAATCACTAGATTGCTGTAATGCAGGTATAGTTAGAAGCAGTTAGATTTTGGAGATTTTGGATATGGTCTGAAGGTATTCCATATCTTGATTAATGGTATTGATAGTTACTCTGCTGCCTAAGGCAAAACCTGCAATCATATTGTACTTCTCCATTTCCCCCAAGTGTAATTAGTCTCCAAGTATTATACTGTGGAGTGTGCTTCAAATGTTTCTTCTCATCATTGCCTCTGCTTATTTCAGCCTTCCTATAATCCTGTCTGTGTCCTCCTTTGTCCAATCTCCCTTAGTAAATCTTCCCACCACCAGAAATTCTGTAGTTCTTTTTAAAATGTGGAATTTATTACTCTATTCATTTGTTTGAATATCCTTAATGAGGCCTCAGTCATTTTCAGTTTAAGATAAAAATTATGTTCTTCAGGCCAAAGTGTAGTGACTCAAGGGGATGGGAAAGAGAAGTCCACCTATACCTTTTTGGCATGATCAGGATCATCTGGGAGCTTTCTAAAATGATTGGTATGGTAGTGTGTCATTGTTGCTGGTGAAGGTGGTCTTATCACTTAGCTTATACTAGGGCAGAAAGAAGGTTGCAGAGTAGTATCACAGAATGGCCCCTTTGGCCCTTTTATGAGTTGTTCTAGAATTTCTATCCTTCATGATTTGTCTCTGTCTACATTCATCTTTTGCTCTGACCTTCTCATATCTCAAAGTAGCCATATTATACTCTGTAAGTCCTCAAGTTTCCCATACCATTCTGCTCATCCATTATATTACTTTTTGTAGGGTGTTCTCTGTAAAGGAAAGCCCTTTGCCCCCATTGTGTATTAATGAATTTACTACTTTCTTTCTAGACTGCTTAAATGATCCCTTACCCTCCTCTTTCCCCTGGAAGTCTTCTATGGTGTGCTAGTCAGGAAAGGTTGATTATGTTTCAGGAATAACCTCCAAATCTCAATGGTTTAAAACCAGAAAGCTTTCTTTTTCACTCATACTGTATGTCTACATGGGTCGTCTGGGTGCTCTGTTCCGTGGTATCATTACTGTGGGACTCAAGCTGATACAGCGCTATCATTGAACACTGACTCCTTAAAAAGCTTTGATTGAAAGTGACATGGCCACTCTGCTTACATTTTATTGGCTGAAGAGGGTCACATGTTCATACCTAACCTCAAGAGGTTAGGGAAGTGCAGTCGTACTATGTGCCTGAGAGAGCGGAACCAGAAATATTTCAGGGAGAGCAGCAATTAGTGTCTCTAGCCTGATTAGTCTCTCTACTTCATATATCTATGATAATTTGTAAACCTCTGTATCTCACTAAATTGAAATTATAATAAACGCTGTAGTAATTCAGAATTTGATGCATTTGGTGATTGGCTCAAGACCTCTGAAATTCCTAGACAACTGGCTGGACAAACTAACCATAGCCATTTCATTAACCTCACAATAATGAAATCCTTGTTTTATAAGTTTATATCAGTGATTTTCAACCTTGGCTGTACTTTAGAATAACTTGGGGAGCTAAATAAAAAAAGATTCCTGAGCCTCAATCCAGAGCAATTAAATCAGAGTCTCTGAGGGTGGGCCCAGGCATCAGAATTTTTTAAGCTCTCCTTGTAATTCTGAGCTATAAATACAGTTAAGAACCTCTGGCTTACATTCATTGCTTATTTACTTTCTGGGGAGGCGCTTTGAAATAGGGCCTTGCTTTTATTATATTACCAAGACTTACTCTCTTTCCTTTTATTTTGCCACTAGAATAATAAACTACACCAAGTTACAATCAAGTATTGATTTTTATATATACTGTGTATTTTCTGTCTCCTATATTACATTTTAAGGACTAGGACCACATCTAACTGGTTTGTCATATACCCAGTGCATGTCATACTATCTGCCATCCAGTTTCCCAAGTCTATTTTTTCTTCCTTTTTTTCAAATAGTCGTGCCCACATTCACCCATTTTTTTGGATTCCCTCTCCTCTGTGTGGTGCTTTCTTTTTCTTGTATTGTTCCTTTGTCTTTCTCTTCTTTCATTAGATGAGGTAAATAACATTTGAGAAATAAAGCAAAATGTAATTATATTTGAAAAATGTAAAGCAAGATACACACAAACAGGAAGGTTATTTGTATTCTGTGTTAACACCTCCAGGGCCCAGCTTTTATGACTGCTTAGTGGCTCTAACAGCTGATCACAGTAGCATCCACTTAACCTTCAGCTCCTTTGATCAGTGATCCAGCTAATCCCAGACTTGAACTCTGTGTCTTCTCATCCAGTGGTGTCCATTGCTTGGATGTCAGATAATCAGCTCTTTATAATTTTATTAAAAGAATATTTTGTTCTGAGAACTGTATATTAAAGAGAAAATAATCTGGCTTTAAGACTATGAGTCAGATGTAAAATTTATACAAATTCTATAAACTGAAAAGATACTCTATATCATAATAGTGAAATCTTGGGTCCTTAAGACTTAATATTTTATGTGGAAAAATATGTCATCTTATCCTTCAAATATTGTCTTTATAACTGTGTATTTATTTTAGGCATGTCAGGGAATTCCAAAATGATTTATATTCTTAAGTGCTGAATATTTTTCATAAAGCCAAAAGTATGGATAAGGAAGAGCATGTCTACTTTAAAGATGACCTTGCTTATTTGAAAAGTCACATCCTCAGAAAAACAACCATTGAAATTTAAACAGTATTCACTCATGTTTGACTAATTAGGAATCCACGCTTTAGTTAGCTCATTTTATTGTTTAAAAAGCTTTGAGTGGTAATGTGTTTTATGTCTCTCTGCCTTTCAGTGTGTCATTTTTATCTTCCCAGAATGCCTTTTCCCTCCCTCCCCCTTTTCTTACTTGGAAAAGGTCTATGTATTCCCTAATTCTTAGCATAAAGGAAGATTTTACCCAATAGATTGCTGTCACTTATGTGTGTGTTCCCTATTTATGCATCTATTTTTGTACTTATTCTATATTGCAGTTATGGTTCTTCTCTTTCTTCCCTGCCTTCTACTTTGTAAACATTTTCAGGGCAGGGACTTTCCTACTTGTGTGTAGCTAGTACATGGTATGTGGGCTGTCAAGTCTAGTTGTTGAGTGAATAAATAAAAACGTAGATTATTTGTATGTCTCTCTGTGTGTAATATTTCATACATGGCTTTGCATATTATAATTTAGAAGATGGGCTAGTTAATGAATTATGAATTATGGGTGCTTCCCAAAATAACCAGTTAATTTATTTTTTATTTATTTTTACATGTTTTGTGATTTAAATACATAAATAAATAGTACCATAGCTGAACAGTATTTTCAAAAGGGCCACTGGCACTATAAGAACTCTAAAGCCAGTTGCAGTCTTTTGTGGAACAATTCTGATACCTCAGTGTTCTGTTATGAGACGTTCAGGTTCTGCTTGATTCTGGGCCCCTCTTTCCAGTTATGTTTTTGCCAATCTTAAATGTTTATATTTTCTGGTTTCTGAAGTTTGAACTGATCTCCGTGAATGATGCTGTGTGTATGTGTGTCAGATGGTGGGGGGTTGGTGGAGACAGAGTCTCACTCTTGCCCAGGCTAGAGTACAGTGGCACTGTGTTGGCTTACTGCAGCCTCCACTTCCCAGGCTCAAATGATCCTCCCACCTGAGCCCTCCAAGTGGCTGAGACTACAGATTTGAGCCACCACACCTGGCTAATTTTTGTAGTTTTTTGTAGAGACGGTTTCGTCATGTTGCCCAGGCTGCTGAATGATGTTTTTTTATAACAAAGGTAGTCGAGCATTGTGCTTGGTCCTTGTTGCAGTGGAGCACGGTGATTGTTACCCAAAGTGGGAGACAGCCATTTCCTATTCTGATGAGACAGATTTCATAGATATCTAAAGTGATTGGTGCTCATGGTATATTTCACACACACATAGAAACTTTGTTTTTAGTTTTTGTGGGTTGATAGTGGGTATATATATTTATGAAGTATACACACACATTTTTTAAATAGGTGAAAATTGTTTCAAAGTGAGTACCAAGGGTGGTCTTAAAGGGAAAGAAATGTCATAGTTAGGCATTGTGCACTGGGCTGCCAGCCCCTATGTTACTTTGATAGGGTCTCTTTATAACCAGATAATGGTGTCATTTCCCCCTCTCCCCTGCTATTACATCGCTTCACCCCACTGCCTGTTTCTTGCTGCAGTTTTTATATTCTCAAAATACTGGCTGTAGGGCCACCAAACTTAGGTGTGCTATATTGGAGGAACTCAGTAGGCCTAGGAAAAGAAACTTTTCAGAGAGGCAGGAACCGAATTTGTTAAATAATTAGAAAATTTCAGAGGAGGTGGGTGAGGTAGGAAAGGGATATAGAGTATGGTATAGGAATATAGTATAATTCTCATTGTTTGACATCCTTGAACCATTATATTTCCCATTGTTTTCTTGTCTCTTGCTAATCAAATTTTTAATAAAGAAATATATCGTTGGTTAAACTTACTCAAGAACCTAGGTATATTTCAGCAGTGGGTGAAATTATGTCTTTATTGTCATGTTGGCAATTATTTATTGATTTATTATGCAAGGTACATAGTGTTAGGTATGTTTTCTAATGTTTAATTCTTACTCTGATATTATGAGTTTTTACTAAAGTCAGTACTTTCAGGATTACTCAGAGATGAAAGATGCAGTATATGTATATTTTTATTTGTAGTATTTGTAATATTATATAATTGCATTTTATTTTAAATTTCTATAATGCTTAAAATTGGCAATATTAGTATTTATAAATGTAGCATTTGAAAAGCAATGCATCATTATTTTGACATTTCCATTCTTATTTTCTTTCTTTCTTTTTGTCTTTCTTTTTTTCTTTTAAAGAATTAATGCACCATCTGGAAACCTCTGAGATCATGCCATAAAAGGAATTTGGACTTTTTTGGCAACCAATCATCAGACTATGCTGTGATTATGCACCTTATCAGAATAATAAAACATAATTGGAAAGGTGTATTAACTCATTTATGTTTTAAAACACTTTTATATTAAGGATTCTTGTATAGACATTATGGGAATAAAAAATTTCTACTGCTGTATCCCAAGGTTAAGATGATTAATGGGACAGTTGTTGGATCCGCAAACAGAAATGTAAATGGAAACCCTATGTGATTAAATTGTTCTGAGCTATTTCTAAACACTATCTCCTCTATCTTCTTTTCAGTGTTAAAATAGGCAAATACAAATTAGTTTATATGTTTTTCTGAGGGGAGAGTTGCAGTATTACATTGCAATTAATTTGCTCTACTCTTCTCTTCTGAATAATATAGTCATTGAAACTGTCAGCCAAAGGATTTTTTTTTGGAACATTTTTTTTTAACTCTAAAAAGTAACAAGTTTTTTAAATTAATTGAAAGCAAACAGCTGAAATCATGCATTGAAAGGGTTAAGTCGACATGAAAGAATTCATTTCCACTTTAATGACCTAGCCTTGCTGGGTTAGGACGATGGGGAACATGCTTCTGACTTGTACTCCTATTGCCAATTAACACCTCCTATAACAGGTTGCCTTAGCTAGTCATTGAAGCTCATGCAGTAGAAATAGTTTACATGCAGCTTGTTTTTCACACTAGTTGTTTAATACAAAATTAAAGTATTAAAAGGTTGTTTCTTACCTTGCTGGGTAAGAGATAAACAGTACAATGGTAGTTAGTTGTATGTGTTTGAATTCATTTATGTTGCATTTTTTTAAGGGAATTTTTAATTGAGGAAACTGAATGTAGTGGTTTCATCAGAATTTTTGATTTTATGATAAAATTTGTTGAGGGTTATATTAGATACCATAAAATTAAGAATTATTTTCCATCAACTCAATAAATTATATGTTTAGGTTTTGTTTTAAAACATATAATCACCTTCATTTGTTCCTAAAGCCTATTTTCTTTTTTGTTATAAAGCATATATTTTAACAGACTTTTAAAAATAATTTTTAAAACACAGGACTAAATATGCACTTTTAAATAGCCATTATAAAAATAAGCCATATGTAATATTTAAATATTCAAACTCCTTTTTTTTTTTTTTTTACAAATTTTTGAAATGTTTAATGTCATTTCCCGAGATAACTTTATATTTTTAGATATTTTTGGAATGTTGCAGTTCAGTGATGCTATTTATTTTACATTTCTTTTAAGTGACACTTTAGTTCATGTTTAATCAGCAGGTATTTTAATAACATAATAAAATTGGCTAAATAATTGATACCAGTTCACACTAAGAGAAAGGTGGAGTAATATAACTAATAGTGTTAACAAATTTGTTAAAAGGCCTGAGTAGGTAACACTTTGAGGCATTAGTTTTTATGCTGTTATAATGGCAAATGCCTTTTTTTTTTTTAGCACTTAGTCAACAAGGGCTACCCATGTAAAAGTCACAGGTTTTTATACTGGATCAGATTTTAATCTTCTAAATGGAAAAAAAAAAATCCACCTCATGCCTCAGTTAATTTAACCACATTTAAAATTTGTAAACCTGGATGATAATATCTGTCTTACTAAATGTGTCACATCATAACTCATTGTACTGAGGTTTGTTTGCCTTTGCAGAATTCATAACAGGTTTTATATCATTGGTTGCTTAGATTTTCATGAATGAATAAAGGCTGGTCACACTGCTTGTGCCTGTGGCTCAGCTTTTTACCCTACAGTTCTGTTAGATCACTGACTTATAATTTTAGTCTGTTTAAAGGTATGGATTTTCCCCCTTTTTATAACAAACTTATTTTCAAGAGTCAGAATTACTTAAGTGATTTCAAAGTCGCTTGTAGGAATTTAGTATTGAGGATTTATATAGCAAAAGTAATTATTTCAGTTCCTTGTTTTACAAGGGATATGTGCATTTTAGTTTCATATTTTTTACAGAAGTATGTAACTATAAATCATATTCCAATTTTCAAATGGTAATATTCATTTAAGTTTTAGCAGCAGACTGTGAAGTTGCAGAATATTCAGATGTTTCTTATTTACTTTTCTATTGTCAGTGATGTGTGTGCTTATTTTATAGTGGCATTGTATGAAAGACGAGACTATTTTATGTAGCTTAAGTACCTCTTTAGTTATACTGGTGCCTTCGTTTATTCTAATAGGTATTATTAAATGACCTTGAAGTTTAAGTTCCATCACATTCAATCTCCAATCAATGACTTCCTGTTCTTTTTTTTTTTTAATGGTGGTGAAACAGTTGTTATAAGGTCAACAAAGTTAACTTGAATAGTTCACATACTGTATAAGCTGATAATTTTAGAACTATGCTCTTGATTAAGCACCAGAAAAAAGACTTTTTTTCCATTACTTTTTTTTATAGTGGTAACAGCCTAAGCCAATTTTAAAAATTCAAAAAGTATTTGGAGGCCAGGTTTTCATTTGGTTTATATCATTATATAATTTTTTTAACCTCACTTTACCCAGCATTTCCCTGACTTTCTTAAACATAATAATTTCTCAATAAATAAAACATGATTGAAGTGATTGACACTCTGTAAATCCAGGTCTTTTTTAGTCCTATAAATAGGACATGTATAATTTGTCCTCATGTGATCACTTAGTCCATTTTAGTTGAATGTAAATACAAACTAGCAATAAAATAGTTATAACTTAAGTCTAACTTAAGAAAATATGTTAACAGTTTCTACTTGTGAAATCTTTAGTTTCTTATTTATGTCTAGGATTGGAAATATGAGACATAAGGGTAGGGGTAAAGGGACTTGGAAACTTACTGTGGGTGAGGGATAAAAACCGTGCGCTGTCTCCTTTCCGCTAGGTAGCTCCTCCCAATCCTGAAACTTTGTGTCTCTGCCCATTTCTGCCCATTACAACCTCATTAATCTGACCACTCCTACTCTACATTTCCCCTCACTGAAACCCTTGACTCATACGTTTTTCTCCTTAAGTTTTTTCATGTTTAAAGAGCCTGGCCGGGCACGGTGGCTCACGCCTGTAATCCCAACACTTTGGGAGGCTGAGGCGGGTGGATCATGAGATCAGGAGTTTGAGACCAGTCTGGCCAACATGGTGAAACCCCGTCTCCACCAAAGATACCAAAAATACAGGTGTGGTGGCATGTACCTGTAATCCCAGCTACTTGGGAGGCTGAGGCAAGAGAGTCACTTCAATATCTTTATTTGCTCAGGGCATAGCCATCTAGCACATGAAGTATCTTGAAAACCCTTCGTATTTGAGACTTCTGTTTCTATAAGGAATTAGTGTCCTATTTTTGTTGTTTATTCAGTTCTTTTTCTGGAGATAGGGCCTCGTTGTCCAGGCTGGAATGTGCAGTGACACAATCACAGCTCACTACAGCCCCAGCCTCCTGAGCTGAAGCAATCCTTCCACCTTAACCTTCTGAGTAGCTGGGAATACAGGCACACACCACCATGCCTGGCAAATCTTTAAAAAAAAATTTGTGGAGATGCGGTCTTACTATGTTGCCCAGGGTGGTCTTCAGCTCCTGGGCTCAAGTGATCCTCCAGCTTTGGCCTCCCAAAGTGCTGGGATTATAGGTGTGAGCCACTGTGCCTGGCCCTACTCAGTTCTTTAAAATACATTAATACTAAGAATATAATTTTATATGCTTATATATATGCATCCATAATTTAATTCTTTGAACTGGTAATATATTTGAGAACTGTGCTTGCCTGGTTTTTATTTTTCTATCATTTGTGTGCTGTGATTTTTAAAAAGTCTCAAATGCTTTGTGTAACTTAGATTTCCCACAGCTTTTAATAAAAAGTTATTTTTTTAAGGCAAAGATTTTTTTTTTAATTGGACTTGGAAAAAGGCATATTTTAATTTTCATATTAGTATCTATACAGTGTATAGTGCATTTTGCTCTCTATAGCCCACTGTGCCCATCTAGACTTCAGGAAATATGGGGAGACACTGAAGTGTTCTCTGTTCTCAGTGAGCATACTAACTACTTTTGAATAGGAAGGACATCTCAAGTTTTCTTTCCATTTTCTTTAATAGGAAATGGCTCCAGGTGGCAGAGGATTCTAAAATTATAAACAATGGAAGTGAACTAAGCTCCCAGAATAAAAGTAGACTTGGGCATCTGAAAATGGGATGGCGTACTGTACTGGAAAGTATATTACTAGCGTCAGAAGTTGCATTTTAGCTCTGATTGTGTTACATTTTAGCCTTGTGATATATGTCGATGTAGATGTATATTTGATTACCTCACAAGCTTCTCGAAGCTTTTGTTTAACCACACAGCTAAAGTGGTAGCACATGATGAATACTTAAGTATTATTTGTGTAGTATGGGATTGGTATCTATCACACATTTGAAAAAAATAAACAAAAAACAAAGATGTGTTTTTCCAGAGCCTGAAAAATTCCAGATTTTCTCTGATAGGACTATGTGGCTCATGGAATGATTTAAGCTTCAGGTTAAACAAAGATAAACAGCTTTTTTCCACCCCGTAACATATATATATGCATGTATTTTTTTTTTTTTTTTGAGACAAGGCCTCACTGTGTCCCCCAGACTGGAGTGCAGTGGCGAGATCATGACTCACTGCAGCCTTGACCTGGGCTCAAGTGATCCTCCCACCTCAGCCACCCAAGTAGCTGGGACTACAGGCATGTGTCACTGTGCCTGGCTGAGCCTTTCATATTGTTTTTTTTTTTTTTTCACCCGCTCTGTCACTGAGGCTGGAGTGCAGTGGCATGATTTTGGCTCACTGCAACCTCCACATCCCGTGTTCAAGCGATTCTCCTGCCTCAGCCTCCAAGTAGCTGGGATTATAGGTACCCGCCACCATGCCTGGCTAATTTTTGTATTTTCAGTAGAGATGGGGTTTCGCCATGTTGGCCAGGCTGGTTTTGAACTCCTGACCTCAGGTGATCCGCTTGCCTCTGCCTCCCAAAGTGCTGGGATTACAGGCATGAGCTACTGTGCCCAGCCCTATTCTGGGTAGTTGGGATTGCAAGTACATGCCACCACACCTAGCTAATTTTTTGTATTTTTAGTAGAGACGGGGTTTCACCGTGTTAGCCAGGATGGTCTCCATCTCCTGACCTCATGATCCGCCTGCCTTGGCCTCCCAAAGTGCTAGGATTACAGGCGTGAGCCACCACGCCTGGCCTTCGTATTTATTTCATCATGTATTTCTGATGTAATTAGTCTCTATTATTCTTTGCCCATGTTTCCATTATGGTTTTAGTATTTTTAATTTGCTTGTGTACTGACTTCTTGTCATAAATGGGAAAACTATTTTTTCAGGGTGTTTTGTTTTAAAGTCTTTAGGTATTTAGAAATTTAGATTATGTTGGCAATTTTATGTTCCTTTATTTGTTCAGTTGAGTTTCTACCTAAAATGTGCTTCTTCACCCAGATCAAATAGGCATTCACCAATATTTTTGGCATAGCATTTGTTACACTTTAATTTTTTAAAAAAACATGTAACTCTTTAATCCATCTGGGTGGTGGTATAACATGATATAGGAAAGGAAATTTAGTTTTAAATGCTTCCAGTACTAAGAAAAAATGAAAAATTAAAATAGAATATGTTCAATTCTATGGTGATAACTTTGAAATCTAAATGAAATGAAACTTTCTGCAACACTGTAATAGTTCATCTAGTCTCAAGATATAGATAACCTGAATTTATCAATACAACTGAAAAGATTATAACAATTAGCCACAGAACAGCCTCAGAGCCAAATGTTTTAATAATGAACACTTCCAAAATTGAAAAACACGGATAGATTTTTTTTTTCACATACATATTATTGGAAAATAGAAAATGGAAAACTTTGTAATTGGGAAACTTGTAAATTTTTCAGTTTGTTTTATAACTCTAACATAATGATATCAAAACCTGGCAAATTTCACACACACAAAAATGCCAGAACAATCTCACTTATGAGAAAAAGAAAACATAAATGAACAAATAGTAAAGAAAACATGAACAATTAATCTAGAAGTACAAAGATGATTTAATAGTGGGAAATATTAATGTAATACACCACTGAAGAAAGGTAAGGTGAGTGAACCAGTGGCCATTGTGGCTTCTTTTAAACAAAAAATGTTGGTATCTCATTGACAAATTTTGCTCAGTCTTTTTGTTTTAATTGTTACTCGTAAGCAGCATACACAAGAATTTCCATTTTAAACCCATTATGAGAGGCTTTTATCTTTTAACAAGGGACTTTAATCCATTTATATGTTTTCATAACTAATATATTTGATCTTACCTTATGTTGCTTGGTATTTTTTTCTTCTTTCTTGATTTCCTACTGTTGTTTTACTGTCAGTATTGTGTTTGGTTTTTCTTCCCCAGTGACTTAGTAATGTGTACATTGCTTTTTAATTTTAATTAAAAAAATTTTTTTGAGACAGGGTCTCACTCTGTTGCCCAGGCTGGAGTGCAGTGGTTAACCATGGCTCACTGCAGCCTCAGCCTTTCGGGTTCAAGCCATCTTCCCACTCAGCGTCCTGAGTAGCTGGGATTACATGCTTTTTAATTTTTACAGTGGTTAAAGTTGTTCAAAAAACTAATTTATGTTTCCAGAATAGTAAAGTCAACACTTACATCTGTATTTTCCCCTACTATAAAAGATAGAGCATATTGTATACTTCATTTCTCCCTCCTGCCTATATAGTTACCTGGATAATGGTGGATTCGGATCCTGATTATTTACATTATTTATATCTATATCTTTTTAACTGCATTCAGTGGTTGTAACAGATTTCTTTATATGACGACTCTTCCATTTTTTAGCTTTTAATATTTATTTGAGGAGTGGGATGCTCAAGTGGATCTTTTATTCAAGAAGCTCTTTCAGGGAAAATATATGGAATCCTATTTTCTGAGCCCTTACACATTTAGTAATGTATTTGTGGGCCTTTGGATGTTTTTTAAAAATTGAGTATAAAATTCTTTACTTTCAGTTTTTTACCTAAAACTTTGAAGATTTGCTTCATTGTTTTCTGCCATCTAATGTTGCAAATAAATCCAAAGTCAACCTGTGTTGCATTTTTTTCCCAGCAGGCTGTTTGGTTTCTCTACTCGTATGGTTTTAGACATTTTACTTTATGTAATTGAGATTTAGCTAAGATTTCTCAAGATACAGTTTTTTATTCATTGATTATTGCCTCACATATGATGGTCCCAAAGGTGAACTTTTTTTTAAATTCAAGAAAATTTTCTTCAGCTTTGCCTTTGTTTATTGTTTCTGTTTATTTTAGCCTTAGAAACAACTCTATTTTTTAGCTTTGAGCTCTTGTCTGTCCTGTAATTCAGGTGTCCTCATATGAGTCTGTGACCATAGAAACCAGGCCACACAGCAAGAGGTGAGCAGCAGGCAAGTGAGCATTACTGCCTGAGCTCCACCTCCTGTCAGATCAGTGGCGGCATTATATTCTCATAGGAGCACAAACAGTATTTTGAACACCTATGTGAGGGATCTAGGTTGCATGCTCCATCTATAATGCCTGATGATCTGAGGTGAAACAGTTTCATCTCAAAACCATCCTCCCTGCCCCAAAACTCGAAAAATGGTCTTCCATGAAACTGGTCCCTGGCACCAAAGAGGTTGGGGACTGCTGCTCTAATTTTATTATATTTCTAAAAGTTTTCATCTCTAACTTTTTACTGTACATTTTGGGACATCTAGAAATTTATATTGTATATCACTGAATTAAATTTGTTATAATACTTTTACCCTTGTTTCTCCTAGTGTGATTTTAATTCTAAATTATTTTTCATCTTTTTATCTTGGTCTGTCCTCCAGCTTTCTGTTTCAAAGATAAGGAACTTCTGTTTTACTGATGTCAAATAGTTTTCTAAAATTTTGTTCATGATTCCTATATTTAGGTGACTTTCTTTTTGAATCACCAGAATACTGCCCCCCAGGAGTGTTTGCCAAAAGATAATGTATGTAGATGGTCCACAGCCCCACATTTTTCTCATCTTGGGAGCTAATTGGGTCATCTTTGATCTGTAGCTGTGAAATGGGAAAAGTTCCCTTGTCCCCTTCACAGGGCATTCGATTGGGATGTGGCCTGCTTCTTCAGTGCCCCACTGCTCACACCTCTAGGGGAGCATACAGACAGGCAGGCTTTGGGGCTCTGACCCCACAGCAGTGTCTAGGATTGAGTGTTTACAGCTGAGGCCCCAGTGGGTGTGTGTTATAGGGTGCTCTTTTAGTTTAGCCATCCATAGGTGGCTTGTGTTAGACAGCTCAATTAGACCCCCTGCCTTACTGCAAGGACAGAGGCCTTTCTGTATCTGGGGGTTCTTGCCTTGGTGTACTGGAAGAATCAGATCACACGTGGGCTTGGAGATGAGTGCAAGGTTTTATTGAGTGAAAGTAGCTCTTAGCAGATGGGGGAGCCAGAAGGGAGATGGTTTTCCACTGGAGTCAGGACGCTGTCCTCCAACTGCCCTGGCCAGACTCTGCTTCATTCTGCTGGTTGATAGCCTGCCTGCGTGCTGGTTTGCTCATACCCCAGTGGTTTCTCTCCACGTCCAGCCGTTTGTGTGTCCCTCTGCTGATGTGCTCCTCTCTCATGTTCAGCTGCCAGTATCATCTTCTGCTTATGTGTTCTGTTCCTCTCAATGTCCAGCCACTTGTGTCTTTGCCTGCTAGGGTCTGGGAGTTTTAATAGACACAGCATGGGGGAGTGGCAGGCCAGGGTGGTCTTGGAAATGCAACATTTGGGGAGGAAAACAAAAATACCTTCACCTAGGTCCATGAGCGCAGGCCTGGTGGTGGTGCCTTAGCCAGGGGCCACACCCTCCTCTACCCAGCCCTGCCTTGGCCCCCCTCCCCTCATATCAGCTGTTCATGTTCTTACATACCTCTCTGAGCTCAGTTTCGAGTCTTTAATGGGGTTTTCTTCTGTTGCCTGGTTTTTGCTATTCTGAACAGGTGAGCATGTAGGAAAACAACAGCCTTAGTCACTGCTGGCTGAGGTCTTTAGTATCTGTCCCATTGATGGTGTATTATATGCGATTTCTCTCTCTCTCTGGCAGTATTTCACTGGTACCAACCTTCTCTAGTTCTTGCCCACAGTAGTGAAAGGGGCAGCAGTATCACTGGCTGCTGTTTTAAAAACAGCACTCATGGCTGGGTGCAGTCGCTCACGCCTGTAATGCTAGCACTTTGGGAGACTAAGGCGGGTGGATTGCTTGAGCTCAGGAGTTCGAGACCAGCCTGGGCAACACAGGGAAACCCCATCCCTACTAAAATACAAAAAATCAGCCTGGCGTGGTGACATGCCCCTTGTAATCCCAGCACCTCAGGAGGCTGAGACAGGAAGAGACGCTGGAACCCAGGAGGCAGTGGTTGCAGTGAGCCAAGATCGCGCCATTGCACTCCAGCCTGGGTGACAGAGCGAGACTCCGTCTAAAAAAAACCAAAAATAAAACAGCACTCATACAATAAACAGCTGCATAGTCTTCTCTTAGTACATGGCTTTCTTGTTAGTATGTTTCTGAATCAGAAGAAAATCCATTGTGAGTTAGTATGTTTCTGAATCAGAAGAAAGGCCACTGACATGTGGCTTGCTTCCTCTCTCTCGAGGTAACTCTAGTTGGTATTTTTCTTTTCTGTTCCATTGGCTTGCAGTAGTACCTTAATTTATTCATTCATTCTTTCAATCAGTACTTATTAAGTTCTTACTATGGCCCAGGCACTTTTCTAAGTACTGGTTATATATATAATATTGAAGAAAATAGTGTTTCTTCCTTCTTTGGTGGCAGAAATAGTTTCTGGATTCTTTCAGTAATGCATTTTGGTGATGGTTTGATGTTTTATTTCCCTTTTTTTCTAAAAAAAAATATTTTCAGGCAAGTTGAGAAAGGCTGTGTCAAGATACCAGTTTAACTTCTTTCTCCATATGCAATGTTTAAGATTGCTCTGGATTCAGGAATAATTTTATGAATACAGTGTTCGTTAACCTATTTTTCTACTTTTATTTTAAATTGGCAAATAATTATATATATTGGTGGGGGGTGATGTTTTGATAAATATATATGTTATGGAGTGATCACATAAGGCTAACATATCCATCACCTCAATATTTATCATTTCTTTGTGCTGAGAACATTTAAAGTCGTCTTTTAACTATTTTGAAATATACATTATTATTAACTGTAGTCACCAGGCTATGCAGTAGATCACCAGAATCAATTCCTTCTGTTTAACTGAAACCTTATTATTATCCTAACCTTTTAAGGTTACTACTACTTCCCCCAAACCTCTCATCACAACCAATTTATTGTTGTCCTCACCTTTTCCTTAATCTTTCTTAACTTTCTAAGTGAAATGAGTAAAATTATCATACCACTAAAATTAGGTTTATATGATGACTTCAGCAAGATGCTTTGGCCTGTTATTACTTTACTTTAGCAGAGTTTTCATTCTGAAAGAGATCTTAGCTATTTGAAAAATAAGCAATAAAACTGCATTAGGTGATAATAGATGAAGAATTTGGTCAGTTTCCAACTTTATTGCCTGGCATTTATGGTGAAAATTAAATTTGAGGGACTTGATTTTTCCCACCACTTTGAACAAAAGTAAATAAAAACAAAATTATTTTATTTAGAGAAAACTTATTCTAGAACCTTTTATACTTAATGCTTCCAGTAAATATATGAACTTTTAAAACAATACAAAGTAATAGAATTTAACACACACACACACACACACACACACACACACACAAAAGCACAAAGTACACATAGACCTATATGTATGGAATGTAAAGCAATTGTTTACTTTTAGTATGTAAAAGTATAAATGGGAGAGAGAACATGGCTTACAATTTGGATAAGGTAACATGTTGTTTACCTAATTTGTAATAGAGTTATTGTCAGGGAAAGGGAACTTTAAGCAAAACACGACCTGGCAATTATAAGTCATATCTCATTATAATTTCCCAGATTGTCCAATATTAAAAAACAAGAAGCTTTTTAGGTGCACTAATTGTGGGGCAGAATCACATTTATAAGATTATAGGCATCTTGAGGGTAAGAACTATATGTCAGTTACCTTGTGCAGGTGAATGTTATAGTCAAGAGAAGTTTGCTTCCTTTCAGGAAGAAGATAGAATCCTTAAAGGAGAAACATAGTGTCTTCCTTAGTAATACTTGTTTTAAAGGTAGTGGTTAGGATTTTGGAAGTATTTTCACGTCAGCTATACCTGTCTCAACTGGTTTGTTCACACCTGGGGCAATTGTGTTAAATTTGTTGTTGTATAGGGGGAGGGGAACAGCTTCATTAGGTGACATGCAGAGGATGTTGTTCACAGCTCTTTCACCCAGGGATTAGAAGTCTTCTTTCCCCTTCTCCTCCACTGTTGTGATGAATTTGCAGAGGAATCCCATAGCCTTAATCTATTAATACTCAAAGAATTTGCTGTTTGTGTTGATGCTTTAGTTAATTGTGCTAGTCCAACAGCATTTCACATATACACACTGTGGTAACAAATGTGGCTAATTGGTACATTATAGCCATGTTGTAGCCAAGGTAGATTGGCATTGCCGAAAGACTTAAACTTTATGTCCATTAGACCCTTGGCTTAGTATTAAGTTTTACCTGTTTTCTACAGGTTTGATATTTGCAAATGTGTTTTGATTATGTCATAGCCAAATAAAAGGATACTTGACATGTTTTGCAAAACTATTTTAAAAATATCAAGTTTATACCACATGTAACTTGAATTTTAAACTCATAAACTCTGTGTTTGTTTTAATAATAATTGATGTATTTGTTTCTAGGGGCCACCTACAGATGCTCCTGCAGTGGACACAGCAGAACAAGTCTATATCTCTTCCCTGGCACTGTTAAAAGTAGGTAATGAATGTAGTTACTTGCTTTAGAGAACTCTGTTGCTTTCACTGTATCTTTTACTTTGGAATATTTGTCACCTTAATCCTCTCAGACATAAATAAGCTATTGTTTTAGGTACATTTATAAAAGGAGTTTTTATTTTCACTGGAACAAAATTTGGTTTTTGTTTTATAAAGAAGAACCAGAGACCTCAACGAAATTTGCTTTGTGTCCACATCTCTTCCTTTCTACAGATGTTAAAACATGGCCGTGCTGGAGTTCCAATGGAAGTTATGGGTTTGATGCTTGGAGAATTTGTTGATGATTATACCGTCAGAGTGATTGATGTGTTTGCTATGCCACAGTCAGGAACAGTGAGTACTTTTATGGTTGCCTGCTGCAAGTAAATGTGTTTCTTTTCATTTTTCTTTTCCTATGCAAACTAACTCTCATCATATTACATTTTCTCTTTCCAGTAGGAAAAATTAATCATAAGTTTGATAGAAATTTTTAGATTGTATTGAATTAAATCATTAATCTTTAAAACGCAGCATAACTTCTTATAGGTCTACAAACTGAATGATGCTAATGCTAAATTTCTTTTCTCAGTCCTTCGGCTTAAACTGGTGTAAAATACTGGATTTAAAAGTTACTTACCCTATAATAGCAGAGTGTTAGTTTGATTTTGAACCAAGTGTTCAAAAGATTTGAGATTCTCTTAATTTAGATTTTCAACTCACATATACTGGTTCTTATGTCTTGTTCCCATTGTTTTGAAATATGTCATTTAAAAAATGTTCTATATATGGTGATGAATGACTTTTTAAGCTTTTCTTATTTAAAATGTTAAGTTAAAGCAAAACAAAACAATAGCAAACCTGAATATTTTTTTCCCAGGCATGGTATTTTGTTTATATGCACCGTACTCCATACAAATTACCTGTATAGAATACATTATTCTTTCTAGAGATGTTTGTTTTGTTTTGCCTTTTTGTTTGATGCATTAGACTTGTGTTGATAGATGTGCATTTTGACTGAAAGAAAATAGCCAAAAAACAATAACCATTCCATCTACCTTCCAAAAAAAGCACATATATCCTTCTCACCTGTTTGCTTAGAAAAATATGCATGTATTTTTCCAAGCGATATTTCTTCTTTGCTAGGCAATATTTCTCTTACTGAGCCTTGTAAAAGAAGGATTAAAGAAATTGTTGTTATAAAGCTGTTAGTTCTATTCGAAGTTCTGTAAGTTTACTTTGATAAGGTAGATGCTGGAGAACAAATTACAATTTTAAGTACTGTAATATATATAGTATGTATATTAAAAATAAGCATTTAAAATAGAATATTTGCTACAGAATGCAATATATTTAAAATAATGTAAAGTTTTCTCTAAATAGATGAATTTGTTGAGGTAAACTAATTTGGATCTACTGATTTTATCCATCTTGATATCCATTATATTTATTTTATACATTTGGAAATAGAGAAACACTCTACATGTTAACCAAAGGTTTAGATTTAAATCTTAGACTATTTATTACTTGTATCTGTCTTTTTATATTAGGCTACATGAAACACATAAAACTAACTTATATATGTTATGGGTACTTATGTAGATACCCATTATAATACATTGTTCTTAGGCTTTAATATCATTACTTCCATGTAAATGCTTGTTTGACAATATAAAATAAAAGATTTTGATCCCTATATTCACTCTAATTCTATTTTCTAGTGTCATAGAATTAGAAAGTTTTTCTTCTGACCCCAGAGTCAGTAAACTTTTTCTATAAAGACATATGTCTCTGTTGCATATTCTTCTTCTTTTTTAAGACAGTCCTTTTAAAGTATATATATGAAAAGAAAGAAAAAAACCGAAAACATTCTTAGCCTATAAGCAGCAGATTGCATACCCCTGTTCTTGAGGATGTACTCTCTGTTGGAATTCAATATGCATACTGTTTGTTTTGGTGGGAAGGAAGTGCTTATGTTAACTAGTTTCTTTAAGTACATTAGATTTAGATTCCTGAGGTTAGAAGAAAGCCTTGGGAGCTATAAAGACAGTACTCTATCGCCAGAGAGATGATCTGAACCTTTTAATTCTTCCTGTTCAAATATCTTATTTTGGTTGAACTAGCAAAATAATGCTGTATGTAAGAGACTTGAGGCTGTTTCATTATGATAGCTGAATATTTGTAGAACTTTGGATGAGGCTCATTTTAGTCATCAGTTATGATAGGATGGCATTAGGAAGTATGCTTGCCTAAATAGGTCTAACCAATAGTTATGGTTGGTTCAATTATTTCGTATTTCTGGTAAACATATACACAGCAATGGCCATATACTCTTAAAGAATCCTGAAAGTGGGCTTAACTCGATCGCCAACAGCAGTTTGGTAGTTGGCAATTTTAGAAGCTTGATTGGTATGAGGTTTATAATTGAATGACTTGAGTAGGTATCAAATGTAGGTATCAAAACCTATAAAATGATTTTGGCAACCCCAAATAATATACATAGGGAAGCTTTTTTTCCAAATTTACAAAAATTAATAATTTTTCTTTCTTTCTAAATCAGGGTGTCAGTGTGGAGGCAGTTGATCCAGTGTTCCAAGCTAAAATGTTGGATATGTTGAAGCAGACAGGAAGGTAAGCATTTTAAATGATCAGTTAAAGAAATAATGGGAAATATTTATAGAAACATACCTCAAAGTTATAGATGTTTATCAATGTCATTTCTAGAAAAAGTGGTTATGTAATTGACATAAAAGTATCTGTAAATATCAGTGCCATGCACCACCTGTCTAGTATATCTTCCCTTTAGAACCAGAGAAATTTGCCCATCAGAGAACTGCCTCATGTTAAAATTCTTGACTGTCACATAGTAAGCTTGGGCTGTAGCTTCCCTCTGTTTAGCATATGGAGTTACTGTCTAGTCACTTATAATTGAAAGAGCTTGTATGTTCCATGTATTTGAGAGTTGCAACTGAATGAGATTATGAATATTTAATTATGTTTGTAGGCATAGTTTTAAAGACAGAGAAAGTATAATCCAAATATTCTAAAGTTTTTTCCTCAGACCAAATCTCTCAATAGTTGTCATTCTCTTGCTCAAATTCTTCTGCTGTGGAAACAACTTCAAAATTAATGTTAGCAAAAGGCTCAGCAGCTGAGCAGAACAGTGCAAATTGGTTTTTGACTGAGTTCCTAGTTCTACTGCTGGTTTAATTGATATTTAATCCTTTCACAACAGTGGATCCTGGTGTCCATTGTTAAAAATGTACTCTGTGCCTGGAAAATCCAACTCCCAGAGCTAAGGAGTTAAAGAGTAGATATTTACTTGAATGCTGAAAGGGTAAAAACTGGCTCTGAGAAACTGTGGTAACAAGGTGAAAAACTGAAAGCCTTATCTACCACTGCTAATGTGCATCTCTTAATGATAGCACTCCTTTGTCACACATATTCATTTCCATGTTTTCTGGATAATATGGTGTACAATTTCAGGGTTTCTAATGGTGCTTTTTCACACCTGTGTGTTTTTCATCTCTTCTTAATTTATACCCCGTTAGTGTGTTGTTTCTTTTCATATCATAAATGTATTACTTGTTCTGTTCTGAGCATCTGAATGCCCTCTTTGTTTCAGGCCGGAGATGGTTGTTGGTTGGTATCACAGTCACCCTGGCTTTGGTTGTTGGCTTTCTGGTGTGGATATCAACACTCAGCAGAGCTTTGAAGCCTTGTCGGAGAGAGCTGTGGCAGTGGTTGTGGATCCCATTCAGAGTGTAAAAGGAAAGGTAGAGTAGATTCTATCTTTATTGCCATCTACTGCCACATTCTGTTTACAGATACATTAAATAAAAATCAATTTTGTTCAAAGCAGGATTCTTAATTACACAGAAAGCTGCTGTCTGTTTACTTAAAAAACAAAAAAACTGTACAAGTTGATAACTGTGTCTTGGTATTATTAGCAATTTATTTAGAGATTTCTTCTTTAATCACTTATTGTGTAATTTTCCTGAATATTTATCTTTAAATTTTTTGAATTTCATAAAATTAGGAAAGTTAAACCATACTCAAAGCCTGCTATAAACATTTTATTAATATTTAAATAAACATTGCTTTACCTTTATTTTCAAATGATGAATTTGGAATTGGCACAACATTTTAAAAATCTATTTAAAGGGCATTGTTTTGCAGACATTATGCAGGACATATTCTGGAGGTGTGTTTTCCAAATATTTTAGACAATGAAAACTTGCCCAAAGACTTGGTATCAACCATTCACGTTTTTGGAGTGAGGACGCAAATGAATGATTAAATATGCTAAATAATTCTGAAAACAGATTAACTTGCAAAGCATATTGGGTTATAGTTCTTTGTTGAAACCCCTTTTGTTCTTGTTTAGTTCTCTTTCTCTTTTTTTGTTCATTCATTCTTTCTTTTTTTTTTTTATTTCTTTCTTTCTAGCCCCATATGCCATTTTCCTATTTCCTGCCTCATGACAGCAGGGAGCAGCTCTATTATCACCTTCACAGAGCTGTCTGCAAATGTGAGAGGCAATTCGATTTTGCTCAACCACAGGGAGAGTGGATTAGAAAAACTACAGACATACAGAAATTGGCTAGGTGGTTACTGCTTTAAAATACTGCTGAGGTGTCTTGTTTGAGCATGTACTTCCATTGTAGTGTAGAATAATTGTTAAAATAAAATCACAATATATTTATGCAATCCTTTTTATGCAGGTTTTACAAATAATTTTTAGAGTACTTAGAAATAAATATTAGCTTGTTATCTATCAGACCTGGAGTTTGATAGTAGTGCAGATTACATTTATATCTGCTCACCAGCAGAAAAACTAAACATGGCTGTTAAAATACGGAGTTTTTATCTGTCATAAATTTGAAGTTGAATGTTTTCTGACATCATGTCATTATCATGTATAAAAATTGAGGTCTTCTCTAAATCATGATCCTATTAGGTGTGATTTAGCTTTTCAGAGGCAAAAACTATCCACAAAAACAGTAATAGAAACTGATATACTAGACCATTCAGAATGGATAGCTTCTGATTCTTGCTATATGCCTATATTTCAATTTATTTACTTTTTTTTAACTATATGTGTTGTTACTCAACATATAGATAAAAGAGGTTGAAAAATCCTTGATTGTTATTAGCTTTATGAATTATATTTGATGCCTCTTAAGTTTAATTCTCTATTTTAAGGTACCTTTTTAGTAACTCGTAAGTAATTCATTTAAGTAATGATTACTGTTTTACAAATATAACAATTATCTAATAAAGTCCCCTACCACAATATTTACAAGTAATAATTAAAGCTTAATTTTAAATATAATTAGAATTCTATTTTGTAGTATTAGTTCAACTTAGGTTTTATGATATCTTGACTCATGTGATGGTGGCTACTTTGAAAAAGGAAAGTATAAACATAAACACAATGAAAGAATGCATTCTCAAAATAGAGTAAATAAATGTAAATGTAAATAAATGAGTATGTATTTTATTTTTGGTTATCCTTTTGTAATGTTTAAAATGGCAATTTTAGTTTCCAAACCTAGTTTAAGTATTGTAAAATATTGGAATTTTCATTATTTCTAATTAATTGTAATTTATATTAAAATGATGAATTTCATTTAAAAATATGTATGTGTCACGTCTTAATGTTAAATTTAGTTTTTAAAAAATAATATATCTAAAATTTATGAAATCATATGTATCACTGTCTACTTTTGTATGTTAGGAAGAAATCTTTTTGAAAAAATTTAGTGTAAATATCTATCATTGATGATTTGTATCACTTGTTGGACCTAATGTCTAGATTCATACTATTATATCTCTTGAAATAAGGATCCAGTTCTTTGTCAGTAATGCAACTTCATCTTTAAGGAGTCAGAGTTTGATTGTAATTTATGGTTCTTTCAGTGTCAAGTCCTCTCATCTCTATGAATCAGATTAAATGCTAGTAAATCCTTAGTTAGTGTTTTAGTTAAATCATGATACTTAGGAATATAAACTTATAAAAATGAAGAATAGTATAAGAGTCTCCCTCTCCCTTTTCCTGCGTGTGATTTATCAAAGCTGTCAAAATATTTAGTAAGGCAATGATTAGATCAAGAATTAAAATGACATTTTATATATAAATGATTTAAGTTGGGTCTCTGTTCGCTTTTTATAAAACCACTTTCTTGAACATTTTGTATATTTCCATTTTTATAAATTCCAATATTTCTGTCTTTGAGAAATTAGATAAGCCTGGATTCTTTCTTGGTAATCTCAATTCATTCACAATAGTTTGATTTTCTTTTATGATGACTTGATTATATTTTTATTGAATAATTGCTGTGAGCCAGGTATTGTGAATAACCATTTCAACTTATCTCATTTATTCTTTGTTATAATCCTAAAGATAGGCCCTGTTACCATTACATGTTATTAGTGGTTAAAAAAAAAAATTAGGGCCAATGAGATTGCTTTGCCAAAGTCAGACCATGAGTTAGCAGCAGAACAAAGATATGAATCCAGTTCTGTAAAATTTCAGGGCTCAGGCTTTTTTAATGGCTCTTTAATTCCTTAGTATTAAACCACTATGAATGATGTAATCAGAGTAACTGCAGAATGCAAAATGAATACCAGAGGTCATTGTGAGGCCATTCCTTAAGTTACTGTGGATAGGTGTCACTCTCTTCAGCATAAGTCAGGGGAAAGAGCTGTACATTTCCTCTAAGTTTTCCATAGTTTTCTGTAGGTATTATGTATTATATATTAATTGATTTTTTAAAATGTGTTGTTCAATTAATTTTAAAAAACAATTTAGACAGACTTATTCCTGTTGACTTTTGTGACATCCCTAGGAGTAAACATTGAAATCAACATAAATAATGAAATACACTATATGATAAAGAATCTGTAACCCTCTGCATATTGTACAGTACTATAAATGTTTTAAAATGATACAGGTGAAAATCAATGGTAATTGCATTCATAATTTAAATGGAGAGTAAGCTCACAGAAGTTACCAGTGAGTTCTGCTCTAATCAGTGAAATAGTTTATAAGGTCCGCTTGCAGCATTTAGTTCATTTGTAAAATATACATATTTACATATTTTAAACTTTAGTTCTCAAGTGGCACAGTGGGGACCTCCTGCTGAATGTTGTATTATCTTGTATACTCAGCCCATAACCAGATCCAGCAGCAAATTTAGAAGTTAATTCAACTTGTAATGTGACTATACTTCTTTCTTGAGGCAAAAAGAATGGTCACTTTGGGCAAAATCATAAAACTAGCATACAACTTAATTAGGATATTGTAATATATTTATTAAAAAGCATTACTGCTTTAGAGAACTCATTTTCCTTGATGGGTTCCTGTTAGTAAAATGCTCAGTTATTACCAGCTAACTAACTCCTAACAATCATTGTGTCTGTTCTCTGTTTTGAAAACATAAAAAAAGGAATGACTAATTATGTCCAAATGTGTCTTCCACTGGTTAGGTTTTCTTGAAGCATTTTTATTTAATCTGATCAAAACACTCAATGGACTTTAAAAAATGTGATGTTTATCTAACTGCAGGTCAGCTTATCTGCAGGTATTTCTTAAGTGTACCTGATCTGTATGCTAATGATTCTAAGATGCAAAATGAATTTTAAAAAATGGTCTTTGTGTTCTTTGAGAAGATAAATTATATACATTTAGTGTTAGTAGTGAGCAAGATCTTATTCTGCCAATTATATACTGATAACCTACATTGCATACTGATACAAAATATACTGAAATTGCTTGTTTCTGTAAGTATTAAGTTGGTTGCTAGAGACAGAAATAATTCAACAAATACTTATTCAGAATTTTGTATATGCCAGTATACAATAAAGTATTACTTGTATAACAAACACAGTAAATGCAAATTAAAATTAGAACAAGGGAGAAATCAGTTGTAGGTTGCACAAAGTAGATAAAGCTTGGGCTGAGCTTTGAGGGGTAGGCAGGACATCACTGAGAAAAGAAGAGCTTGTACCTCATGGGAAGAATGTAGAAACAATATCATTCCAAGTGGTACTTACCTCTTTGTTCATTCTTTTTTCCACAGATATTAGAATGTAAAATGAGTGCTTTGATTGGTTTTAATTTGTTTAAACAACTAGCATTTTACAAAAGATGGGGCTTTGGAGAATAAATACAAATACAGGAAGAAAGTTAGGGAATGTGGCCAGGTACCATGTCTTCACATCTGTAATCCCAGCACTTTGGGAGGTCAAAGTGAGTGGATCGCTAGAGCCCAGGAGTTTGAGACGAGCCTGTGCGACATGATGAAACTCTGTCTCTAATTTTTAAAAAAATTAAAATAAAAAGTTAGTGAATGAATGCTGTAAGAGCATACCCTTTATTTTCAGATATCTAGAAGGTCGTGTCTTTTCTTTCAGGGGTGGGTAGCAAATATTTTACTTTTCCAAGAAATTTTATATTAGAAAGTTTTAAGATGGTGAAGGTTTTTAAGTACTCAGTTTACTCAAATAGTAGTCTTCTTTTGAGCTTCTTATTTTATATATCTATGTATATATATACATATATATATATATACTCTCTCTCATATAGAGAGAGAGGGCATAGAGTAATAAAGAACACAGACTTAGGGGTCAGGCCTGCATTAAAATCCCATTTTTATCTCCTCTTTACAGTGTGACCTTGAACAAGCCTTACCTAATTTTCTTGAGCTTCAGATTTTTCATCTATATAACAGGAATCTTAGTACCTATTTCATAGCATTATGACTATCATGAGGTAATATATGTAGAGATTAGAGTACACATGTCATATTAGGAGGTGTGCAATAAATGATACTTTATTCTGAAGATTAACATAATTCATACTTAAAAGGATCAAGAACTAGAATATTAAAAAAATAGAATGTGAATGTTTCTGCAAGTTTTGATAAGAACAAGCCCATAAATTAATCTCTAATTTGCTACATTTAGGAATATGGTAATGACTACAAAAGAAATGAAGACTTCCCTTCTTATATTTTGTGCATGCTAACTAATCTAGGAATACTCTTCTGATTGGCCTACTTTTATTTAGCACTTACCATTTTCTAAGATATTTTCCTTGGGCATGCTGATGAAAAGGAAGTGAATATATTACTTTGAAACTTGGGCCTATGAGGTGATTAATGTATTGCACTTAACCATTTTGTATTTTATTCATCTGTCTGTGTTGTCTTCCCCACAAGACTGAGACTTCTTTGAGGAGAGATACCAATTCATATCTTGGAATTCAGTGCGTTGCAATAGTTTTTTAATAAATGTTTATAAAATAAAATCGAGGAATGAATTTGCATCAGTGTTCAGCCACTACCAAATCTATTTTTTTTAGTTTTTAGCATATCCAAAAAACTGCAGTTAATTTTGTGACATTTATTAATTTTTTATATGTCAGCATAGAGTCGTTTATTAAATGACTGGAACGTGTGATTGACAAGGTCAGTTAGCCAGTTTACTCATGGACATTATCCTTGATCAATTTGAACCCTGTAAAATTAGAGCTAGAGTTCAAGTTTAATAGTCATTTGTCTACTAAAAGTAGGAAAAGATATTTAGCATAGCTGCTATATTTATAAGATAATTTTTTGATCAGTATCCCACGACTATCAGCTAGGGCTGGGTAGTCCTAATCATAAATTATACACACCTCTTTTCTTTGTCTAGTTTTCCAGGTGGAAAGAGAAAAATAGGAAATCGAATACATAAAGAAATCTATTTCCATTCCTGACATAGCTCTATGAGCATACCCTTCCAAGGTATTCTTGGAACAAGTTTTGTTACTGTATTATCTTTTGTTTGCTTCCTGTCTTTCACTCTTATTATCAGTTTGAAGTTTTATAACACTCTCAGATCTTGTGAGGACAGCTAAGAAAATATTATAGGTACTAATTTGCCTATACTATTTATGATAGAATAACATGTAATAGTTTATCACATTTATTTAGCTGATATAAGAAATTGTCTGCTAGGAATGTAGAAATAATTTTACTTTTAAAATTCTAAGAGCATAAGTCGTATATAGAGGTAAGAGTTCCTATGGAGTTCTTTTAACCTAGAGCTTCTATATTAATAATATAATCTCTGATCTAATTTGTTATGCTTTACTACTTGCTGTGCATTTTGAATGATGTAAATGTGCTTCAAATTAGTTTGAATCCAACTGTTTCAGTAAAAATACATCATTCATTACCTGTAAGAATATTATTTATTGACTCTCACTTCTTGAATGCTTTTCTCTCTGTAGTCATCTAATTATCCCTGGTCATTGGTTCAACAGACACTTGTTGATCACTACTTTGTGCCAAGAGTACATTGGAATTATAGAGAAGAATACGATCTACTCCCTGTCCTTAATGCCAGTTTTGTACCAGCAAGTGGAAACGTGGAAACTATGACTTTGATTGAGAGGCGTTTTCAGAGCCCATATATTTTAATTTTTAAAGATCACATTCTAGATGTGACATTAGCCATTGTTATTTGTGAGGATATTTCTGGACCTGGGACTTAGTTTTGTCAGGTTTAATGTCTTCTTGTCATTGTAATTTTCTAAAGAGGGTAAAAATGAAGTGGTAAATTTTCTTCAGTCATAATTGATCCCTCAGTTGTGATTTTTAGGCTACTAGTAAGCTGATTAATAGATGTTTACAGCCACTTTTCACTTTCCATATAGCTTTACCATATGCAGTTTTAAATCCAAATTAAATACATGTCAGTGCTCTATGAGTTTCTCAGTTTAGCATGTCACAAAAAAGTATTTCATGAACTCAGAACTGAGCAGTGATAAGTAAAGACTATATTGTTAACAAGCTACTGATTAGATTTTGTTTATAGATAATGGATATTTTTCTTTTCCTTTAAGGAAAAATAAACATAAGTGGTAAAAATTTCTATAGCATAGTAACCAAAAGTGCTCTTTTTTTTTGAGGTTTTCATTTCAATAGATATTTATTTTGCACTGTATTTTGTGTGCCACTTACTCTGTTACAGAATGGATATTCAGTGACGAATGAGACACAAACCTTGCTGTTGAGTATAACTGAACCTAGTAGTAGTCCTTTCTTGGTTTTGTGTCAGGACAGCTATTATAACAAACAGCTTTATGATGAAGAGTACTGGCTTTGGCATGCTGTATAGGTACAGATCATAGTGATAACATTTACTGGTTGTGTCATTTCATTTAATTGATTTAAATTCTCTACACTGCAGTTTCCTCATCCATAAATTGATAATATTAATACCTACACTTGTTTGTTGAGAGGATTAGCAAGATAATTTCTATATAGTATTTAATTGATAAGCAAAATAAAAATACACAAAGTGATACACAGCAAAGTAATTGGCCTTTACATATTTTTCCTACTAAAATGCCTTTGCCTATTGAGAGACAGTAGTCCAGTGGATATACTTTGTATTTTTGTTTGAATGTGGTGTTACAGCACAAGCAATGTATATAGGTCCTTTATTCTCATCCACATGCTCTACTGCCATGCTAACAAAGTTGAGCCCATCTTTGTTCTCTAGGGCCCTTTATTGCTTTGCTTTATATGGAATTGGCAACAGGCAAACGAGTTGTTTTAATTTTTCCACTAGAAAGGGATCTGAAGTCACTGGTTCCATTTTATGTAGGCTGAGTAGCCACTAGATAGAATTGACACTCTTAAGTTGATATCAGACTAGTGACCCATAGGTGATAGTCTCTTGTAGCTTATTAGTAGTGCCCTGAGGAGTTCAATTTTAAGCTCACTGTTTATTTGTCACTTGTGAGTGTAGAAACACCGATCATGCAGGAGTAGTATCAAGATTCTAGGCATATTCAGTCATTTTTAAAAGAGAGATAATAACCTTCAGTACAACTATACACTTTCTTATTGTAATTAGGAATTTCCCTAAGGAAATATATCTTAAAGCGTCACTCTCTAATTTCCTATTTTTTATGTGTCAGGTGTCTCTTGATGTAAAATTTATAGTTATAACTTGATTTTTAGGGTAACTTTTTTCCAATTTTAACACTCTTCATGATAGCAGTACTCTGCTTTGTTAACTGTATCAGTTTGGGTCTTCTGTGGATCAGATGCCAAAATGAAATTAGACATGCAAGAGATTTATTGGGGGAGACACCCATGTTGGAGAAAGGGGAGAGCCTTCAGACAGCAGTGAAGGGTTGACCATGCAAAGGAGAAAGTGAAGGTAGATTGGGTAGAAGAACCACAGACTGCAGCTAGTGCTCAGAAAATTTCAGCCAGGCTGCTGGGGAGTCCTTGAGCCAAAATTAGCCTTTAGAGGAATCCCTTATTTGGCAGGAATGGCTAGGTTCTAGTACCACTGCTGTGTTCAGTTGTTGGCAGGGAGCTGCCCAGGAGAAGTATGACCTGGTGTGAATGCCCAGTAGAGCCAAAGGTGTAAAAGCTGGAGGTTGTGAGTCAGTCATGCGCTCCACAGCAGGTTCTGTTGAAAGATCTGAGCTGGGCAACTCCATCAGTGCCACAGTTAGTAACACTGAAAACTACAGTGGCAGAAACATATATATTATTTTATTACCAAGTCTATGAGGCATCGTCATTCATGAGCAAATGGAGAAATTGAAGGGTTAAATAACTTGTTAGAGGTCCCTTAGCTAGTAAGTGATAGACCCAGAATTCTAACTTAGGCAGGATTGACTCCAGAGTGCCTCAAGCATTTAAACCTCTACACCATACTGACTACATGCATATGTTGAAAAGTTTTCTGTGAAACTTTATTTTTATTATAACTTAAGTAAATTCTTTTCCCAGTGTTTCATGAATCTAAAAATGTCTAATTACCTTTTACCATACTAGTTTCTAAAGATCGATTTGTTTTCATTAAAGCATATACGTTCAAAACTTGTGGATTTACTCTTTGAATTTTGATGCATGTCTTCACTTGTCAAAAAAAGTAAATTATGCAAGTTACACCCCATCCCCCTTTTCTCCCAATATACTGAAGTTGTACTACAGATCTTTAGCTACAGTAAGCAATTCTCCGAGGATGAAGAAAGAAAATGTACATACACATAGGAATTTCTTTTCCAGAGCTAAAATTGACATTTTATAAATAATTTCCGTGTTGCAAACTTGAGACTAAGAAATCACAGCAATTCAGTGATATGCATTTGGCATGAGTCAGTTTTAGTTCTTAGTGATTTTCATTGGAAATGGCATAAAAAGTAAGATTTCTCTGAATTTTTTATGCTGTGGGCTTACAAGAGACATAAGATGTTTTTCTCTTATAGATGTCTGGCAGTGCATGGCAGCAGAAGTAACGAAATGGTCACAAACCCCAGCAGTACTTCCCAGGTCACATGCACTCTTAATTTTTAAAGAATCTAGAAACAACCTAAGCAGTTGATAACAGGTCATTTCTAGGTGATAAAGAGTATTGGATATGGGTTAAGTGTTGCCTTTCTTTCCACACCTTTCATTTTTATAATCATTTAGAGATTTACTTTATATAGTGATGGTTTTATGTTTTAAAATATGTAATCTAACTAGTAACTGAATTTTTACTTTTTTTCTTTTTAGTGTTTGACATTGATTTTGAGGTCTTAAAATTTTTTTCAAGATTTTAAAAATTATTTCAGTTCGTCACTTATGTTTACCCCATATATGATGAACTGAATAATTTTTATTATATATAATATATAGGTATACATATATAATACATACATTATATATATAGTGAGCTGACTTGAGGTTATGGAAGATTCTGATTGTTTCATTTTTAAGCTCAAGAAAATGAATGCATCATAAATTCTTAAAACATTACTTCTACTCTGTGTAGATACCCATAGTCACTGACTGTAATATAAGTGCAACTGGACCAAAGGCAACTACTGAAAAGAGAGAGAGAAAAAAATTACAGCTACTGCCAGAAGTGTTTGTGTATTTTTTTTAAAACAGCTTTGTATTAAACTAATTTGAAGAGCTTTGCTTAAAAATAGCTTCCTTCGGATGTAAAAATTGGGAACTATAGATTGGTGCTTTACAAATTTAGTCTAGTCTTTCAGTGACCTAGCAGTTGATATGAAAACACAAATTTTAAAATAAATAGCATATTGGATGAACTGTATTCTACTCATGAAAGAAGCCAAAAAATTATGGTTTAAACTGAGTTTTAAGTAATAAACCAGATTCGTCATTAAAATGAAATGATAGATCCTTGACCCTTGGGCATGCTTGGAATAAATACGGAACTCAGTATTGTTTTTAAAACTATTTTGCTTTTATAATCTAAGACAGATGTACAAAAAACATGCAGTTTTTATTTTGTATTGGCAGCTTCCAAATATTTAGTATCTATTTCCAAGAGTTGCAATTAGTAAAGCAACCATGGTACTGAAATCTGCACATCCCACAAGCTAATTATATTTGCAAGGTCAGAGTGAATACATATTTTCAGAAAAATAAAGGGTTATATAAATATGTGTCTTCTACTTGGCTGTTATATCACAGTTTGTTGATCTGGAGTATAATGTGTACAATTCACAAATTTGTCTGATAACAGAAAGTGGTGTGTGATTGTGTTTATTTTACTAACCAGTATATTCACAGCAATCACTTCCAAATATCTCTCCAGTAAAGATGTGTTAATTACAAAACAGACAAGGTCTTCTATTATATTAAAGCTACTAACAAGAAGACAGCAGGAATCACACATGTAAATAGCATCATCAACCCCTATTTTAGTCCTCTGTTTTGATCTGTGAGTTGCGCATAGACCAAAGGTGCTATTAAAGACTGAGTGTATGAAATAGGCAGCATTATATGAACAAAATTTATTCAACAAGAAAACAGACCTTTAACATGAATTTAACAAGCCTGAGAAATTATAAACTATCATATGCTGCAGATTCATGCAGTGATAATAAACAAAAAAGGAAAGTAAGAGGTTTCCCTAAGCTAGCCAAACTGCTAATGGTTTTGTTATAAGCTGTCTACTGTTGCAGTGACCTCTGAAAAGTCTCAAGGCACTTGTACCAGAAAAAATTAAATGGTCAGGCGGGTGAATAGAGATTCAATGTATTGTGTAGGCCTTCAGCATGGAAAGGAATTTTTCAAAGTCTAGCATCATATTCCTGAAAATATTCTTCATACTTTAGCTCAGAGGTTTTCGTTATTATATATTAAGGAGATAGTTTTTGTGTAAAGTTTTTTGGTTAAGTTACTGTTTGAGTTTATAAGATATAAACTGAACTAATTTAATGTCTATATACTTCAAAATGAACTGTTTAGAAAATTCAGAGAGCTCAAAAAAATGGATTATTTCCCCTACCAACCCATACATTAATTAATTCTTGGGAGTTCTTTGTTCAGTGTGTTATATCTAAGATTTCTGTTCTTAACCATGGAGTGACCATTTTGCTGTCATTCTATTGCATCATGCTGTAAATACACAAACATGGAGAAACGCTTTCAGCTTATACACACCATCGAGTGCTCACTAGGGCTTTTTTTTTTTTAATCTTACGGTGGCATAATTAACACCTTCTTCACCCATTGCTCATTAGCGCACTGGACATTAATGAGTCTATTTTGATAGGTTGCTCTAAAGGATAAATCCACTTATTTTCACAGTGCAAAAAGCAATTATAAAATTATACCAAAATTAAAATGTAGACTATATTGCCATGTTTATATTTTATTGCATACTAAATCTAATTTTGGTCTGCAGGTTGTTGAACATGTTAGTTTCCTTAAGACAGTTGCTATAGTGATGGCAGCAAATTCCTTTAATCTTAGTGTAAAGTAGTCATTTTCTATAGGCCATCATTGCTACTCAGGAATTGTCAATGAAAGCATCTCATTTTATTAAGTTCTTGAATTTTTCTCTTAGTTTCTTAAGAAAATTTAAAAAATTTGTTTTTAACAGATCATGATATCTACTGAACTAGTATTTTCATTTCCTTTTTATGAAGTTTCACACCTGCTTATAATATTTCAGAGAAATAATATAGACTTCTACAAGTAAAATAGCTGTCTGCTATTTTAGTTTCAAAGCATTCAGTATAAAAAAGTATATAGGAATTTTGTTGTGATATATAATGAAATTTTCATAATTTTGTAGTAGCTTTTTCTCCCTCTCACAAATGAATTTACTGAAATCTTGAAATGGGCCAAAATGATGCTTTGCTCCTAAATATTTACTGTTAACAGTTAGGGTGGCAATTCTTAATTTTCTATTTAAGTTATATACCTATCTTGGAAAATGGCCACCTTCTTCCTCCTTTGCCAACATTTTAACTTTATCTTATTTTATGTTCTTTTTTAGTATGAGTGTGAGGAAATTTTACTTCTATATTTTTAACAATTGTTTGAAGTTATTTATGATAACATCTGACTAAAATATGTCTGATAGTACTTGTTTTTATTGCTTTTTTAAAAAAGAGAATATGTTTAGAAAAAAATTTTAAGTATAAGCATGTAGGCCATATTTATATATAAACATGAAAGTTAAGTGTGGATTAAGGTTATTGTATAAAAAGAAAAAAGTTTTCACAAACTATTAATTCATGTTCTGGGGATACTTGGCTTTATTTTGATGCAAGAGGAATGAATCTTTGGGAAAATGTTAACTGTTCAAAATAAAAGTAAAATTCAGAGTTGATATTGTAGGCCGAATGAGTAGACAGAAGCTTAGACTGATTAACTTGTCATCATGTTTTAGTCTAGGTTTGTATTTTTTGTTATTGTCTTTGGACCCATCATAGCAATCTTTTACAAAGGGTGATTTTCTTTCTTTAAATCTTGTTCTTTAGCATACAGCATACAGTAATACTTATTACAAGCAGAATTTTCAGACTTGATTAGATTTGGTTGGCTTAACTATTTTTAATCTCTTAATATCCTCAAGTAATAATTGTATAAATAAGAACAAATCTAGTTGACACAGCTTTTAAAACATTGATAAATCTTAATCGTTCAGCACTTTTAAAGGCAAAATATAGAAATACTGTTACTTAGTATATGATCTTGCTGTAAGATTGTTTCATGTGATAAATCTATTGAGTTAAATTCCCTTAAAGTGGCAATCTGTCTTAAAGTCACATGACTTTACATAAAACTTTACAGTGTTGAAAAGCTTTAGCAAGTATGTGATTCTTGTTAATCTCTTTATATGTAAGAGCTAACAGATGTTATTGTATCATAGGAGAATTTGAAGTATTTCTGTACACACAAAAAGAATATACTTATTGTAATATCTTTACCATGAATTTAGGACCATATCATTCCATACCATTTTCTTGGCTTAAAGCATGGATGACCTTGGTTTTCTTATATTGTGCCTTTTATACTTGACAGTGGCTTGGACATTTAAGGCCATCAGACAAGGTATAAAGTCTTTCATAGTCACAAGAAGTAAAAGGTATCTGACTAGAAGAGAATATGTGGGCAAGTGCCTTGCTGGCTGTAATTTTGTTGTCATTTCAAGTACTGTGGTGGTGTAATTGATGTGACAGGGCTGGGCTTTAGATGTGGTCCCTTAACTTGTGCTCACTTTCAGTTTTAGTTTCTCTGTCATTCATTTTGATTAGGTAAAATTTAGGTGACAAACATATGCACACCAGTGAAAGCTGTTTGGTGTAAGTTTAGTAATGACATATTTCAATAATAAAGATGCAAAGTTAATTTTTTTCTTTACTGCTTCATGAAAATTGCAATAATTGGTGTCACCTTACATTACAAGATAGAGGGTGGTGTGCTGATGGCACAGTCAGCAGGAGGTTCTTTTTTATTAATATTATAATTAAATGATTTTCTGGATATAGTCCAGAAACAGATGCACGTCGATCATGCCTTGTCCACTGTTGCTTGGCATTATCACTTGCTTTTTAAAAAAAAATTGACTTGACACCTTGTTTTTACAGGTTGTTATTGATGCCTTCAGATTGATCAATGCTAATATGATGGTCTTAGGACATGAACCAAGACAAACAACTTCGAATCTGGGTCACTTAAACAAGCCATCTATCCAGGTATTGCCTATATTTGATAATGTGTTAAAACTCTTTTAAATTTTAAAAGCCTGCTATAAGTAGTCTTTTTAAGTTCTAATTCTTAGCATTTTAATTTGCTTGCAAATTAATTTTTCTTTTGTTTTAAAAGAATTGTGGAAATACTGTTGTAAAAATTAGATTTGCTCATATGTGAGTCAGTTTTTAATGGGGTCTTTAAATTTTCCTATCATATTTGAGGACCCCCTTTTTGGGAGCATAGTAGATCTTTTATCTTGAAAGCATTCTGGCTTTGCATGGTTAACATTATAGAGAAGGACCAATAGGAGTTTCCGGTGAAGGATGTAACTATTATCATTGCTTGATTAGTAGGTATTTTTCATAGCAGAAAACAATGGAGAAATTGCTGTATATTTTAAGATATCCCTAGAAGTAATTCTTAAATATACTTAAAATTTTCTTCTTTAAAAAACCCACCTTTAAAATAAATCCTATAAAAGACATCCATATGTTACTTGTGATGAGAGTTTATGTCTTGTTTTTTATTGTGATAGTCAATTACCATTAATTGCAGTTACTGGTATTCAGACACTTAATATCCTCTTGAGTGATTGTTTTCTTTGTATCATTCACATGCCATGGTGTTTTTATACAAATCTTTATTTTCTGCAAAAATTATTTTAAATGTGTTTTTAAACGCACCACAGTCTGTGTCTATCTAGTTAATTACTACTCTAAAGATTAATTAAAAGGACAGAAATACCATGTTTGGTTAAGTAGAATACATAAAACAAAGACATTATAGTAGCTATTGCTGCTCCCTTCTGAAACCTTGCTCTGTCATGAGGTTGTCTTTGGGGAGTTGTGGCTTTGACAGTTAACCATGGTTAAGCCTTGGTTACACTTTGATAACTTTATACTTTTAAATGCTTAATTTTGGGGCAGTCACTCATCTGTAATCTTCATCAAAGTGAAGTGTTTTGTTTTAAAGGATTGAGGTGTGTTGATTTGAAAAAAAAAAATGCAAGTCAAGGAAAACTGCAAAGTATAATGTGTATGAAATAAGCTACCAGTGGTTTTGATTGGGTACAGACAAGCCTGTACTTGCATGTTCCAAGAGAATATATTATTGGACCTGTTTAGCCTTGATAATGACCTTTCTTATAAACTTCGGTAGCATCATACTGCTTCATTATTTTTTGCAAAAGGTTAAGTAGCATCTCACAAGCCAAGATCATTGTGATTACTACATGGTATGTTTCTGCCAGAAGTTTTTACTAATTGCAAGTCACTCACCACCTGTTGCAGATTTCTTTTTTAAAATTAAAGCACTGCTTTTTAACCTTAAAAATCGACTGTAATCAATATTAATAACGTGTTTTTTCTATACCAGTCCAGTTTGTATTTTTTAATCTTACCTTATAGCCTGTAATTTAAAGTGCACCTTATAAAGCAGGTTCCAAACCTGTGTTAAACAACATGTGTATGTAACAACTACAGCATCATTATTTTTCCTTTCATTTTAGTTTGTTTTGCCTTCCAGTTAGAACCTGTAAATATATTTATTTCACAGTTTATATAGCGCCTACCAGAATGACATCTATCTGGGTGCTCTACAGTTTTAAGACAATTTCAATACTAAAACACACAAATGAGACCAAGCCAACAAGTGACAGAACAAAGCCACACCTTAATACACTTTCTTATTTTTCTAAGACAAGCTAGAAAGCAACCCAGAAGAGCCTGAAGGGAATGGTAATATCTGTAATGGAATTTTATTTTATGTTAGCAGGATCTTTAACTCTGGGATCAGAAACCTTTCAGAAATGCCATGCCTTTTATTTTGAAGGGGGAGTTAGCTGGTGTTAAGAGGGGCCTTGCTCCTAAACCAGCTTTCAAGTAGTAGGGATAAAAGTCTGATAACAGCCATCAGCTCACATGCTGGTGGTCACTAATGATTTTCTAACAGATTTTTTTTTACTCTTATACTTAGTAGTAGAGAAAAATTATGATTCACTGTAGACTGCTATTTAATAACTTGGGGAAAGTTCAAATATGTTAAGTAAGAAAAGATTATAAAACAGAATATATCAGTTCTCCATTCTGCAAGTGTATATTTTATAGATGGTGCCTATATATTTATACCAGGATATTAGCATTGGTTACCTTTGGATGGTAGAATTATGAGATTTTTTTGTCTTTCCTTGTCCATATTTCTTAAATTTTTTTACAGTGAAACATATATTGCTTTTAGAAAATGTTATTTTTTAAAGTACTACTTGACAGTGTTGAAATAAGCTAAGAGACAAAGGTTATTTTCACGTTCATGTTTTATATAATAGAAGCCACTAATAATCCTGATAGAGAGGAGAAAGTATAATGCCTATCCTCTAGGCTTTTATATTAATATATGATAATGTATATTATTTTTATTTTGCACTTGGAACATTTGGCTATTACTTTCAAATGTTTAGAATTGAGAGTTAACAAGCATTTATTTTAGTAACTAAATTTTTTAAACTATTCCATTATAAACTGTTCAGTGACATTTTGGATTCTTAAGTGTCACAGTAAATTTGAAGATTGGTAGTCAGTCTCATGGAAATTTACTAAATATTGATGCATAGATGCATGTGCTAAGGCTAAGAGCCTCTAAGTATAGTCTTGAGTACAGTTGCATTGTTTAATAGAGTTAAGCTATTTGGAAAACATTGTTTCAGTAATTACTGAACATATAAGTTATAAAACAATTGCACTAGAAAGGAGCCATTGTAGTCATTTAGTACATGAGGAAACCTGAGGCCCATAAAGTTGAGTTGCCCAGGTAATCCAGTGAGGTAATGTAGGAACTAGTACTCATAACCAGACTGCTTCATTCTTTTATATTATCATTGGAAATTTAATTAATTAATTTTGGCATAGAAAATATATATACAGTTAAAAAAATTTAAAGTACAAAGTCATTTAGCAAAAACTCTCCCTTCCTCTTTTGCCTTCTGCAACTCAGTTCTCCACTCTAGAGGGAACCACAAAACACATTTTGTTTCTTTTCAGTTATTCTATTTATATTCAAAAAGCTTCATTTTAGAACGTGATTTAAAGGATATCAGTTACCACCGTATTTTCAGTTTATCAATATAAAATAAATTAAGGCAAACAAATTTGTCTTTAGATCCAAGCACACCTTTTTAAGGAGCATGAAAACTTTTAAAAACTTATCAGGAACCCATGAATAGCTTATATATAATCCGTAAGCCGTGTGTTTTATAATGCACCTGCTTTTCCACAGCAGTGAGTGCATAGAGGTAAAATCATAAGTCAGTTGGTCTTGTGTAGTTCTACATGAACCCAAAAAGGACATGGCCGGTTGACTTATGATTTGGGAGGAAGGCACTGGGGGCACACAGCAGGTGAGTAAGTGAAATTGAAAGACTACTTGAGGATATCATTTGATTTAAACTTACCTTTGTTTTGTTATTGTTATACCTGCTGATCTTTCATGCTGTCTGTGTTAGTTTTAATGCTTTTATCTATATAATGTAATTGAAAATCAAGTAGATTGTGCCTTCAGACACCAGTTAATATTTCATTAGTACAGTTAGTCTCAAAAATATAGGGCCTAGTATCTGTGAGTCCATTAACTGGCTTCTGTATGTATTGGCTACAGCAGTTACTAGCTTTATGACCACCATGTAGGGTTGTGCAAGTAGTGAGTGCATCGCGCAAATGTGCTTGGATGAGGGAGCTTCCAGCTCAAGCTCCACTCTCTACGCCAGACTATGTCTGCTTAGAGGACTGAGCACCTTTTTCTAATTCTCTACCAGGCTGATTCACCTCCTAATGTACACGAATATGAGCACAGATTAAAGGAAGCCCTGATCATTTCTACTTTTTGATCTGTACAGTATAGCATTTTTATGCACTAAAATTTAATTCATTGCTTCTGATGATTATTGAAATGAGTAAGGATTTAATATACACTCTTGGTACTTTACAATCAGTCACTGCTCCCTATGGAATTTCATAGCTCACTTTTATAACAGACATTGGTAAAATAAGAATCTATTGTTAAAGTACTCATCTAAAATATTTTAATACTCATTGGAGTGATTTTTGCTAGCAAAGCTTAAAAATTAACATAATGCTTTGTTTCATCCTGATCCTTAAAGTAAATAGACTTAATCCAAGAATTTCCTGACATGTATTGTGGCATAGTATGTTAGAAAGAACATAGGCTATGGAATCAGAATGACCTAGGTTCAGATCCCCATCTAGCCTTTTACTAGCTAGAAACTTGGACAAATTAATATTTGTGTCTTATTTTCTTTCTTTTTTGTTGTTTTTTTTTTTTTTTTTTTTTTTAGAGATGGGGTATTGCTATGTTGTCCAGGCTGGTCTTGAACTCTTGGGCTTAAGTGATTCTCCTGCCTCAGCCTCCCAGAGTGCTGGGATTACAGGCTTGAGCCACTGAGCCCGACCCTGCATTTTATTTTCATCTGTCAAAATACAAATTGAATTGCCCTACCTTACAGTACTATGAAGATTAGAAGATGTAATGTGTAAAGCAGATACTAGCTGCTCATTAAATGTTCTCTTCTTTACCCCTTCTTCCTCTACCTCAGTGACATCTTAAGACCTACATTGTAAAAGTCTATTAGTTAGAGAAGTGGTGGTTATTTTGGTTAGTTTTTCTCTTTAGATTCCTGAGGGTTAACCCCAAAGTCCTTTTTGTTTTTATACTTGTTAAAAATATCCCTAAAGGTTTATTTCTGACTTTCATGTTTTTCTAGGCTGCCAGAGGATCCTTTAGGTCCACCAGAGTACTGTTGAACCTCATTTGAACACTTGATGTTGTCAGAGTTAGATATGGGGGCAGTTGTGAATTGATTTCAGGACATCCAGGATTATTGTTTCTTAATAAAGCCATGCTATTAGCTTAAGATTTTATTATGATTGGCCTGTTCACCTTGGAGACAGAGTGAGGTGAAAAAAATTCTGGTTGGTGAGATTGCATGTCACTGGATAAGAGCATGAGCTAGACAGACCCAGTAAAGACCAAAATCCACATAGTTAATTTGGAGACATGCATAACATAATTATTTGAATCAATCAAAACTGAATTAGGAAAAGGGGAATTCCAGATTAATGTGGGTAAAGAAACAGCTGTGTTATTGTGGCTTTTTAGGCTTTTCATTTGAAATACCCATGAGCCCCCTAGATATCATAAAGTTAGATTTAATAAATTATGAATGATTTATAAACTTAGCTTATGATAAGATCAAACCTTATCTCTGACTGAGCAAGGCTACTGAAACTGCTTAATTTGTGCTCCTCCATATCATGCTTTGAAGAATGTGTAACCCGTTCCTCTAAACCTTAGTTTTAAACTTGTAGCTAAGAAGAATACTTTAATTTCATCTTAATTTACTTGAAATAAAATGCCTTTATTAGAGGATGGTACAGGTATTATGTAAGAATATATCAACAGTTTCAAACATTTTTATTAGGTGAAAAATATTAATTTGTCCTTTTTAAAATCATTTATCTATATAGGCATTAATTCATGGACTAAACAGACATTATTACTCCATTACTATTAACTATCGGAAAAATGAACTGGAACAGAAGGTAAGTTTAAATTTTTATCTTATAGGAGGAAAAAAATCTTTTTCAAACCATTTAAACTATTACCTGGTATGTGATTTAAATTCGAATTTTTGACCTCTTTCAGTGTTTCCAAATATTATTCCATTATTGATGAATTGCAGCACAAAATAAGGGAATATTTTATTGGACTATTTAAAGACACATTTCACCTTATTGGTAGGTGCTGAAGTGGGAGAGGAAGTAGGAAATAAATCAAACGTTCCACTTTGGTTTTATGATAAGTCATAAAAATATTTCTTTTAGTTCTGTGATTTTTCTGATTAACTTATCTTCTTCAATAAAAAGGCCTTTTGTAATTAAATTAGTAATATATTGCTCTGTAAATTTGAGAGGAATAACTTAAATTGCAGTTGTGTAGTGCTTTTTGTTTGTTTGTTTGTTTGTTTTAAGAGATAGTAGGGTCTTGCTCTGTCTCCCAGACTAGAGTGCAATGGTGTGATCATGGCACACTGCAGCCTTGAACTTTTAGGCCCAAGGGATCCTCACTCTACAGCCTCCCGAGTAGCTGGGACTATAGGCATGCACCACCACACCTGGCTATTTTTTGGGTGGTGGGTGGGAGGTAGAAACGGAGTCTTGCTTTGTTGCTCAGGTTGGGCTTGAACTCCTGTGCTCAAGTGATCCTCTCACCTCAGCCTTCTAAAGTGCTGCAATCATTAGCATGAGCCATTGCACCCAGCCTAGTGCTTTTAGAAAACATACCATGTTTACTCTAAAGAAAACTAAGCTGAGTCAAAGGGAAACAGTTTTAGGGTTTTCAGATAATTTGTACTAGATTCTGATCCCATTTTATACCAGTTTTCAAGTTTGATTAGTTTTTAACATTACCTGACGTTTTGATGAATTAGCATTCTCATTTGTTTCTATTTTAGGATTATTTCTAGTACAGTTTTTCTCTCAACTAATGCCAAGTATTTAAATCTGCCTGTTGTTTTTTGATATTACAATCTGAACCAGTTTCCCCCCTTTACTATTACAATTAGTCATCCACCTAATTAGTTTCTTGTATTTCTCTCTGGGAAAGTTAAAAGCATTTTTTAAAAGAACACTGAGTTTACTGTTGATTGATAGCCAGTAAGTTTTGGTTAGTGAGACCGCTGTCAAGTCAGAAAGTGATAAGTAATCAGTAGCAAATAAGATCATTCTATCTAGCCCAAACTGTTTCTCACCAAGGTGTCTTAGAAGGGGATTCTGGTACATGGCAAGTGGCAGATGGAGTGAGTTGGGCTCTCCACGCTTACCCCCTCTTTCAACCAGATCACATCCATTTTTAATCTAATCTATATGCTGGGGGGGAGGATGTGCAATATAAGATTTTCCTTGAAATAAGAATTCTAATTTTGTTTTTTTAAGTTTGATAAACTAGAGTTTTAAAAGGTCAAATCCACTCATAAACTCATCTGAAGGGCCCAGTGCTTGAGCATGTGATGAGTGAGGGGAGTGGGGGACCACTTCCCCCTTGGCGCAAGGGGATCTTATAATGCTCTCTTCTAATTGCCTGCCTGTGTACCACAGTTTACTTCTGCTGTGATAGATTTAGTTGATTAAGTGTATTTTTAACACTTATTTTTAAGTTTACATGGAATGAGTACAGTCTGTGAAAAATGGCACCATTCAGGGACAAACAAAATTCATTCAGAATATAAATATTTTATCAGACTGATATCTGACACCCATCTATTTGGAAATGTCTAGCTAATTACATCAATTTTTCTTTCTTTTTTTTTGGGGAGTATCTCATAAACTTAGCCATTTTCCTTGGCATAAAAAGCAAATATATAAGCACTTACATAAATTACTTAATGTTATGTTTATGTTCTTAATAGCTCAGTTTAGCTGTTAACCTGCCTTCTTGGTAACAAAAGCTCTGCCTTTACTCTTATCCAGACAACTTGTTTACTTAACCCCCAGCCTTACTCGAGGGTCGCAAGGGAATCCTTGTCCAGGTATGATAGGAATATCCTGTTGCTCCTTGGGAACTGTCTTTGTTTGCTTTTGAAGTGGTAGGGAAATCTGAGTCTCAACACTTAATTATAGGTAGCTGTATAGCATAGGTAGTTGTAGCAGCACCCACATTTCCCAAACATGTATTTTCTAGAACAGTATCAGTGGAGAAGCTAGGAAGGAATCAGAGAAACTGAAATCATCTGTGGAGGGTTTTCCTAATTTTTTTTGGCATACTGTCCTTACCCCTGGAGCCATGGGAGAAAATGGGAGAATTAGTGTCCTTGGAGCCAAAGGAAGGGAATGGAGGAGTTTTGTATCTTCAAAAGCCTTATAGGTGATTTTGACAGGCAGCTTATTTTCCAATGTAAGATAAAATTTGTACCACAAATAGCTGTAAACTTCTAAGCAAGTAGGATAATTTTTCTAAACTAAACCCCCATATACCTCCAAGTACATCTTCAGATTCTTATGGCTCAGGGATCTCATTTAAAGTATAATGGTTCTATTGACGAAACAACAGTCATTTTATAGCCATCATTTTTTTTCTTTTACTTTTCACAATTTTGTGAATCATCCAAAGGGAAAAAACTTCTTATTTAATGATGGTCCTCAATTGAAGAAAATTTGTAGGGTAGGACTTTAAGAAAAACCGTCTTAAAATATAAACTTGAAAACTTAGGAACATCTAAGAATAAGTACTCAGAATTGTAAGTCCAATTTGAGAAACATTGAACTAAGGTGTTTAGTTTCATGATCACTGATATAGAATCCAACCCCAATTTGCTGGTGTGATTGCACACTAGATAATTTTTTTTTTTTTTTTTTTTTTGGAGTCTCACTCTGTCACCCAGGCTGGAGTGTAGTGGCGTGACCTCAGCTCACTGCAACCTCCGTCTCCCGGGGTCCAAGTGATTCTTCTGCCTCAGCCTCCCAAGTAGCTGAGATTACAGGCGTCTGCCACCACACCCAGCTAATTTTTGTGTTTTTAGTAGCGACAGGCTTTCACCATTTTAACCAGGCTGGTCTCGAATTCCTGACCTCAACTGATTCACCCTCCTTGGCCTCCCAAAGTGCTGGGATTACAGGCATGAGCCACTGTGCCCGGCCTAGATAAATCTTTTATTTGAGAATAAAAGATTTTCATGGCTTTTCATCCTGACAATAAGGAAGTTTTAAGTTTTTAAATTATAGATGGAATACCAGAATTTGAAGGAAACTTTGAGATTACCTAATACAAGCCCCTTAATTCATAGATCTCTAAACTGAGGATCAGAAAGATTGACACAAGGTCACTCAATAAATGGGGCATTTATCTCGTTATCTTGGCATTTGAAAGCTAGGCTATATGAAAAATTAGAGATACTTATAAATTTCATTAATTCATTCATTCATCAGATATTTATTGAGCTATTATTAGATATTGTTCTAGAATTTAGACCCTAGTGATCTTGAAATGAATAGGGCAAAGTCCCTGCCTTCTTGATTTCCCTTTAGTGGGAGAGAAATGCAGTAAACAAGTAAACAAAAATTTCAGGTCTTTGTAAGCATTATACAAGTAATACAGCAGGTTAAGGGAAGAAAGATTTTGTTTAAGGTAGTGTAGTGTGACTATTTTAGGTATATTGTTGTTAGGGAAGACATCTATCTGTAAGGAAGAGAGGAAGGTAAGTTATGCAAAGATGAGAATAGCCTTCTAGGTAGAAGGACAGCAAATGCAAAGGCCTTGGTGTTGGAGTACTCCTTAAGTTATATTAATACAAATATAGGAGCATTCTAATTGGAGTTCATTTGAATTAATAAAGTTAAATCCATTAAGTCGAAATGTTTTTTTTTTTTTGAAGTTTTTTTTCTCTAGACAATGAAGGGGGTATCCTCAAGGCAGAAAAAGAATTACTTTTTCTTTTATTTTTTAGATGTTGCTAAATTTGCATAAGAAGAGTTGGATGGAAGGTTTGACACTTCAGGACTACAGTGAACATTGTAAACACAATGAATCAGTGGTAAAAGAGATGTTGGAATTAGCCAAGAATTACAATAAGGTAAAAGTTACTTCTGCCATTTCTTCTTTATAATCTTTGGAATATGTATGATTAGATGCCAAGCATTGTGTAAGTAATTAAAAATAGAGAATCCTGTTTTGTAAATAAAATAGTAAATATTTGCTTTGCAGTTCATCTGGTCTGCAACTACTCACCCTTGCCTTTGTAATGCAAAGGCAGCCATACACAATATGTAAAAGAATGAATGTGTTTGGGATCTATTAAAACAAGCAGCTAGCCAGATTTGTCCCATGGGCTATAGTTTGCCAACTCCTGTTGTAGACCATGTAATACAGTTGCACATTTGAAATCTCTTCATTATTTAGGGTATTTTTTTCTTGAAAGGGACAAGGAGTAAGGGGATATAGATAACAACAGCACTTACTACTTGCTGTGTCTAATTTATTTTATGAACGTTTCCATTATTTAATAATTATTTATTGAAAATCTAATGTGCCAGGCATATCATACATGTATACATATAGATTGCAACTCATTAATGGGTTGAAAACCTACAATTTTAAAATACACATTTATACATTATGCAGTGTTATATTAACAAATATTTATTGAACATCTCTTATACAAGTTATAATAGAAAATGGATCCTTGCTTTATTTATAGGAAAACAGGAACAGTTAGACAAGCTTCTAAATAACCAGGGCATTAGTTAAAAATCAGTCTGTACCATAACACCTTCATATTCAGATTGTCCACACACCAGCTACATTAGCATCACCTAGAATCTTGTTAGAAATGCAGACTTTCAGACCTAATGGCTCAAAATCTACGCTTTAACCAGCTCTCCAATGTCTACTCTTGTAGTTAGACATTAGAGAAACACTACCATAGAGAAGACCATGGGAAGCCCTGTAGGAGCTCATAGGCTCTGACTTTCAAGCTGGCCAACACCCAGGTTGCTGCCTTACAGATAAACAACATTTGAACTAGGCCTTAAAGCATAAGTAAGACTTGAACATACAAAGAAATGTTACCCTAGGCAAAATAAACATCACAGGCAAGGGCTAGGAGATAGAAAAGGCATAGAACAGATCCCGCAATCCCACCACTGGTTGCACATCCAAAGGAAATGAAATCAGTACGTTGAAGAGATGTATGCACTCCCATGTTTATTGGAGCATTATTCATAGTACCCAAGATATGGAGTCAACCTAAGTGTCAATCAACAGACAGATAAAGAAAATGTGGTGTATAGATATACATACAATGGAATACTATTCAGCCATTAAAAAAAGGAAATCCTGTCATTTATGACAACATGGATAAACCTGTAGGGCATTATTTTAAGTGAAATAAGCCAGGCATTGAAAGCCAAATACCACATCATCTCACTTATATGTGGAATCTAAAAAAGTTGAACTCATAGAAGTAGAGAGTAGAATTGTGGTTACCAGGAATGTGAGGTTTGGGTGGAGCGGGGTGGGTTGGGAAGGTGTTGGGGAGCAAAAAAGACATAGGACATGTTTAAGAAACAATATGCTTGGCTAGCATGCATAGAACGTGAGGGTGAACAGTGGGGAATTAAGTTTTAAAAAGTTTCTGAAGTCTAGTAATAGCACTTGGGATGTCAGGATAAGAGGTTTTTTTGAGGAGTTTTTGTTTGTTTGTTTGTTTGCTTTTTGAGATGGAATCTCACTCTGTCACCCAGACTCAAGTGCAGTGGGGTGATCTCAGCTCACTGCAACATCTGTCTCCTGTGTTCAAGAGATTCTCCTGCCTCATCCTCCCAAGTAGCTGGGATTACAGGCGCCCGCTGCAACACCCAGCTAATTTTTATATCTTTTAGTAGAGACGGGGTTTCACCATGTTGGCCATGGCTGTTCTCAAACTCCTGACCTCAGGTGATCCACCTGCCTTGGCCTCCCAAAGTGCTGGGATTACAGGAATGAGCCACCGTGCCTGGCCTAAGAGTTATTTTTGATCAGAGGCATGATATGCTTAGAACCTGACTTTAGAAACATGATTTCACAACAGTATAGAAGGAACACTGTAAGAGAAGATTTGAAATGGAGAGTGTGTTTAAGAGGAGCTTGCTACTACCCAAACAAAAGGTACGAAGAGTCTGGATTACCATGGTAGCAGTGGGAATGGAGGTACCAATAGGCAAATAAATAAAGCATGGCACTGGTCGGATAGACGAAGTGAAAGAAGGAGGAGGAATCAAAGAGGAATTCAAAGTTTCCTGCCTGGGTGACCAGTAGTATGGTAGTACCATTAGCATTTTCAATTTAGGTAGAAGTAGAAGGATTGAGGAAGGAGGTAAAGAGTTTATTTTTAAGGAAGCAATTAGAATGTGGGACTAGGAATTAATGGTAAAGGCTAGAGCTCAAGATTTCAGGATCATAGTTAAGATTGTTGTTGGTTATTACACCAAAACGTAGTATTTCCCTTTTAAAAATAAATACATCTTAAAAAATATTTTATCCAAGAGACAGTGTATAAAATTTACCAAGTGTAGCAATAAGACTTTTGAGAGAACTAAGCTTTAAAATAAAGTTGATGGGCCCATACAAATGAAATCCCAGCAGAATTAGGGTTGGCTTTGAAAAGTATGCCCTGATTATAGTGTTTCAACTGGAAATCCCCATTAGTGCTAGATTGTAGGGAAAATATTTCTTATCTTTCTAGTATACGTTTTCATGCTGTGGAGATTAGATAAAGAGAAATAAATCGCTCACCGTATTTTAAATAGTTAACCTTTTATAAGTAAAAAAGTTATGACTTAAGTAATTATTCAGCAGACTGTAGGAATGGTTTTCATTTCTCTTTAACATTACACGTTTAAGTAAATTTGTATTGGTACTACTGCCAGGAAATAACCTATTTATGGTTACTGCTGCCCATCTACAGAAGTTTTTCCTATTTTACAGTTTTAAAAAATCTCTGTAGTACTCAAAAACTTGTAAGGTTTGGTTATAAAATGAAAACAATGTGTAAGCTGTGATATGAAAGAGTCCAAATTTGGGAATGTAATTCCCTCTGTGATTGAAAGAAATACGGTGGGTTTTTTTAGTAACACTTAAAATATAAAAAGAAAGGCCCATGCTACCAATTCTTCATAGTATTCTTTTTAATTGGTTGGTGTTTTAAGCTAAGGTAATTGCTGTTGGATGCCAGTTAGGTCCTAAAGTAAAAGAAGGTTAGAGAATAATTAAATTCTTACGTCCCAAGTTTTCAGTTTCAAGTCTGAATTCCACACAAATTCTGCTTGATTATTATTAGACATTTGATTTTTTTCTAATTACTGAACCACAACACCCACAGTTCTGTTACTCCAAGTCTCCTAATTTATTCATGCGGAGATGCATCTGCTATTTTTTTTTAATTTTGATAATGTTTGATTACATATTTGTAAATGAATGTGCAGGTGAAAAAATGAATTGTGAAGAACATTTTAAGAATAGCATAGAAACAAAAATTTGCCTTTTTTTTCCCAAGCATGTAGTGCTATAAATTTGGAGATCTGACGGTTTACTGTTCAGGTAGAAATACTGACCTACTTAGTAACCTGAAAGAAAGTTTCAGTATTTCTTTTATATGCTTACATATGAAATATGTAAATATACAATTACAATTGGTTTAATACAGTAGCTATATTAAATGGAGAAATCTCATTTGGTAGTACAATATGATAAAAACAACAGATATAAATATTGGGGAAAACAGGTAAGATGATTATTATTTGGATATGATAGAATGTGTTTGCAATCAAACATAAAAATCTAAGAGAATAAACTTAGAAAACTCTTAGAACTGTTTTAATCAAGAATTATGTAGGTGGTAAACAGTTATATAAACTGAAAACAGTTGAAAAATATAATAGGCAAATCAGTTCACAGTACCATCTAAAATTATAAAAATATTCAGGAATTAACCATCACAAGAAATGTAAATGTATAAGTGTGTATGACCTTTGTGAAGAAAATGAAAAACATTTGTAAATAAATTGGGACATAACCATGTTTCCAAATGGGAAGACTTAGTATTGTAAAGCTGCTGTCAGGCTTCCCAAAGGTTACTATAATTCTAGTAAGAATATTAACGTGAGCTTTGAAAAATTTGATAACATGACATTAAAGTTTATCTTCATAAAATAACAACTAACATTTACTGAGTGTTTGTTACGAGTCAGAATGGAAGAAAATATTTTTACCTATAACACAGAGTGAGCTAGTATCCAAAAATGCATAATATTCAGAGAATTCCTATAAAATATTTATTTTATTTTTGTTTTTTATTTCTGTAAGTTATTGAGGAACAAGTGGTGTTTGGTTCCATGAGTAAGTTCTTTAATGCCGATTTGTGAGATTTTGGTGCACCCATCCCTTGAGCAGTATATACACTGCACCCAATTTGTAGTCTTTGCCTATAAAATATTTTTTTAAAATAAGTTGAGCAAAAGAGAAAACTCACTGAAGACAAATGGTGTATAAACATGGAAAAGTTCTAGCCTTTTTAAGTCGTCAAAAAAAGTTAAAATAAATAGAAAAATATTTTTTCCTTTTAAATAAAAAAGAATTTTTTTAGGAAAATATACCACTAGTGGGAAAGTAATTGATACATTTTTGGAGGCCGTCTTTCAGTTTTAAGTGCATATAACTCTTTAAACCACATGTTCTCTTTAAAGGATTTATTATGAAAAATAAAATTTCACAAAAACATACAGAAATATCTACAACCTGCTGTTAGATGTACAAAATTAAATTGTATAACAATGTTAAAATAATTCCTATCACGTTATCTTCTCTCCCTTTTTCAAAAGTATCTCTATCTTGCATATATGTCAACATATTGTGTTGGTAACAGTGTGTGTGAGGCAGGAGACTCCTATACTTTATGTAACGCCTGAATTATTTTCAGTTTTTGCATTAAACAAGTAATACTTAGATCTAAGGTTGTGTTAGCTCAAAATAACAATGGCTTAAACAAGGTAGAAAGGTATGTCTCATATTTCAAGTCCAATATAAAACTTCAAAGACATTAGAGACCCAGGTTCCTTCTATCTCTCTGCTCTGCTTTCCTTGTGTTGGCTTTCTTCCTTTAGGTCACCTCATGATTCATTGTGATTGCGATAGCTTCAGCCATCTCATCTGGGTTTCATGCAACAGGAAGAGAAGAAAGGGCAAAAGGGGGATAAATCAGTTTCCTTTCAGGATCCTTTCCATAAGTTCCACACAGCACTCCTGATTACAACCGGCCCTGGAACTATATGGATTTGGACTGTATAGGGCCACTTATACATGGATTTTTCTCATAAATATATTAGAATCTTTTTTGAGATGTACAACAATTTGAAAAAAACCTCAAACTGCATAGCCCAGAATTATTATTTTTATTTTTATTATTAAAGACAAGGTCTCACTGTGTCACTCAGTCTGGAGTACAATAGCATGATCATGGTTCACTGTAGCTTCCACCTCTTGGGCTCAAGCAATCCTCCTGCCTCAGCCCCCCAAGTAGCTGGGACTACAGGCATGTGCCATCATGCCTGGCTAATTTTTTGTAGAGATGGGGTTTCACTCTGTTGCCTAGGCTGGTCTTGAACTCCTGGGCTCCAGCAATCTGCCTGCCTTGGCTTCCCAAAGTGCTGGGATTACAGGCATGAGCCATAGCACCTGGCAGCCCAGAAATATTGAAAAAAAAAAACAAGGTATGTCACAAACGCATAAAATATAGGAGACACTAGTCTGTTTTATCATTTGCTACCATAAAACATACACTAATCTACTATAAAATAAAAATTTGTCAAAATGTATACATACATAGATGTACATGGCACCATTCTCAGTTAAGAAAGTTGAATTGCTTGATATGTACTATAGATAGAGGTCTGCAGCTGCTGTTGCCTGCCATTTCAGACAGGCAATTCACCTTGTAAACAGATAATGTAAACTTATTGTATTGATAAATAAGTACGGTACTGTAAATGTATTTTCTTTTCCCTACACCTTTCCTAATAACATATTCTTTTCTCTAGCTTACTTCGTTGTAACAATATAGTATATGATGTATATAACGTACAAAATATGTGTTAACTGTTTATATTATCAGTAAGGCTTTCAGTCAACAGTAGGCTATTAATAGTTAAGTTTGAGGAGAGTCAAAGTGACATACAGATTTTCACCTGTGACGGGTTAGCACCCATAACCCTCATCCCCATTTGTTCAAGGGTCAACTGTACATCTCATTTGACAGAACGTAGTTAAATGGACGCAACTAGCTGCAAGAAAGCTTATGCAGTGTGTGCAATGTGGTCTTTTAGCTGGGGTCATTGATACCTTTAGTAAAATCAGAGTTATGTTACAGCAGAAGAAGGGGAAGATGGACATTAAGAAGGTGACTGTCGGATTCTGCCATAGAAATTTTTTCCAACAACCTTAACTACAGTTTCTCTTACATACATATATACACACACAAGCATGTGTGCACATACATATATGATCTTTATTATTCATCTCTATTTCATGTAATTACATTCTGAAATTGAATTCTCTGTGAAATTTTTATGAAGCAACTATGTTGTTTAGGGCCACTTAATAAATCATGCATTTGACATTATTATTATTATTATTCAGGTTGTATCAGTGAAAAGTAATGATTTCCCCAATTGCCATGAATGTTTCTTTGAGGTCTTTGGAGATACATAGGACTGTGTTTAAGCCCCAGTGTCATTGCTTATTGTGTGTATGGCTAGAGGCAAGTCAGCCTCTCTGAACTGTGTTTCCTTATCTCTAAAATGAGGTTAAGGATTGTGATATATGTGAAGTATCTGGCACATGATAGGCATTTAATAAAATGATAGCTACAACCACTTCTGATGTTATTAATATTCTTGACTCCTCTCTCTTTCTCACATCTACTCAATCAGTAAACCATTCTGACTAAATTCTTGAATTAATCTGCCTCTTCGCATTGCCAGTTCCACTGCCTTACCTCTTAATTGGTTTGCTTGCATCTCCAGTCTTTCCCTTTCAAATCAATTTTCCATTCTGTAGAATGATCTTTCTAAAATGCATATTGGTCATGCATCAAAGAAAACTATTTAAAAAAAGAGAAAAGACAACCTACAAAGTGGGAGAACGTTTTTGCAAATCAGGTATCTGATAAAGGTCTAATATCTAGAAAATAGAAAGGCATGTGTGGTGGCACATGCCTGTAAGCCCAGCACTTTGGGAGGCCACAGCAGGAGAGGATCATCACTTGAGCCCAGGAGTTCAAGGCCTGGGCAACATAGAGAGACCCTGTCTCTACACAAACACACACAGAATTAGCTGGGTGTGGTGGCATGCACCCGTGGTCCCAGCTACTCAGGATGTTGAGGTGGGAGGATCACCGAGGCCCAGGAGGTCAAGGCTGCAATGAACCGTGATCATACCACTGTACTTCAGCCTGGGCAACAGAGCAAGGCTCTGTCTCTTAAACAAAACAAAACAAAACAAAAATGAAAAGAAAGTATACAAGAATTAAAAACAGGAAAAAAAAAAAGAAACTATAAAGAACTCTTGCAATGCAGCAACAAGAAGACAATCCAGTACAAAATTAGGCAAGGACTTGGATAGAAATTTCCCAGAGAAGATATGCAAATGGTTACAAACACATAAAAAAGATGTTCAATCAATTATTGGTCATTAGAAAAATGCAAATCAAAACCACAATGGCTAGAATCAAAATAATGAAAAATAACAAGTGTTGCCAAGGGTATGAAGAAATTACTAGTGGGGATATAAAATGGTACAGCCACTGTGGAAAACAGTTTGGTGGTTCCTCAAAAAGTTAAACAGACAGTTCCCATATGAGCCAGCAATTCTGCTCATAAGTATATACCCAAAAGAATTGAAAATAGGTATTCAAACAAAAAGCGTGTATATGAATGTTCATAGTAGCACTGTTCACATTAGCTAAAGTTGGAGACAATCCAAATGTCTATCAGTAGATGAGTGGATAAACAAATTGAGGTATGTACTTACAACATACTATTACTCAGTCATAAAAAGGAATGGAGTGCTGATACATGCTACTACATGGATGGACCTCTAAAACATGGTAAGTGAAAGAAGACAGATGCAAAAGGCCACATATTATATGATTCAATTTATATGAAAAAAACAGACTAGGCAAATCCATAGAGACAGAAAACAGATGTGTGGTTGCCAGGGACTTGGGCAAGGCAGGAATGGGGAGGTAACAGCTTAATGTGTACTAGGTTTTCCTTTGGGGTAATGAAACGTTTTGGAATACAGGTGATTGGGGCACTAAATGTGATTGAATCGTACACTTTAAAATGGTTAATTTTATGTTATGTGAAATGTACCTCATTTTTAAAAATGCAAATTGGTTCATGTCACTACCGTGCTTTTAAAAAGCCTTTGATGACTGACTTCTCATTGCCTTAGAATGAGGTCCAAACCCCATTTGGCTCCTGCTTGCCTCTGTTGCTTTATTTCTTATCACTGTTGTGTTGTTGAAATACTGAGTAATTTGCAGTTCTTCTAACTTATAATGCTTTTTCTTGCTTCCTGGCCTGAAGCACTCCTTACTACTATATTCCCATCCCCACTCCTTTTCATTCAATTCTCAGCCTAACCCTTTCTCACTTTTGAGACCCTCACCATACCACCAAATGAGTGCTATTTACTCCTTCTTTATATGCCAGTAGAACTTTGTTCTTCTATCAAATGAATTTAAATTTTTTTTTTTTTAAGGGACCAGGTCTTGCTCTGTTGCCTAGGCGGGCTGCATGATACTATCATAGCTCACTGCAGTCTTGAACTCCTGAGTTTAAGCAGTACTCTTGCCTCAGCCTCCTGAGTAGCTAGGACTCCAAGCACTCACCACTATGCCTGGCTATTTTTTTTTTTCTTTTAAGATACAAAGTCTTGATGTGTTTCCCTAGGTGGTCTCAACCTCCTGGCCTCAAGTGATGCTTCCCCCTCAGCCTCCTGAGTAGCTGAGATTATTACAGTTGTGAGCCACTATGCCCAGCCTAATTATTACTTTTTAATTTCCTGGTTTTACAGCTAGTCTATAAGCTCTGTGAATTCAGATATTGTCTCATTTTATCTTTAGTACACTGCCAGATAAATGGTAGATGCTCAATAAGTATTTATTAAATGAATGAAATTATGCTATACTTGTATTTTTCTACCAAAAATGTAACTTTATTAAGTGGCCAATCATAAGCACTGTTATTAACTAATATTAACATAATATAAACTAAAATTTAAGGAAATGCAATGTCCTCTAAGGGGCACCTTTCTTCCTAATCTTCAACTGTTCTCTATCATGGCACCCTTTGCCCCTCTCCCTTCCTTGAGGCTAACTGGATAAAATATAACCTCCTACGTCATTGATCATTTCCTTCCACCTGCCTCCAGTATTCTCGGAGTCATAACCTTTTCATGACAGAGTATGGCGCTGATGACAATTTGCTGTTTCCAGCTTGTTAAAAGAGATGAGTGATTTATTTTCTTAGTGCACTGAGTCTTGCATCTCTTTCAGTTATTTTCCTTGTCCTCTTGCCTTCACATCATACCTTTGAACTTCTGAAGTCTCTTTTTACTTCCATGGCCATACATTCCCGTGGTTCCCCTGACTTTTTGGCAACTACACACTCTGCTGCCTTTGCTATGAGCATTTCCAAGATTCAGCCCTTGCCTTTCTGCTCTTCTGTTTTTATACCTTTCTTTAAAAGTCTGTTTTCATAGTTTAGCAATGCCAACAACTTTGAAATCTCTTCATTTCCTCTCATTTGAAATGTATTATCATCTCCACTGTCTGAGACCTTTCCAGTTACATGTTCATTACTTCAGATGCTGCTGTTCAAGAGTAAGCAATATTGTCTACCCTACTTTCTACTTTTTCATGACAGTTCCCTCTACCAATTTGGTTATAACTGACACTCATTTTTCTAGGCATCGTGTAGGTTTGAAACTTTGGACTCATCTCTCTTGCTCTTCTTCCACATCCAGCCATTCTCCCATGGTTTTTCCCTTTCCCTGTTACTACTAAGTATCACATGATGTGTTCCTCCCTAATGCATTCTTTATACTCTCATCCTGACTCTCCCTCTGTTTCCCCAGGTGATCCACAAGAAAAAGTTAGGTACATTTACTTAACCCCTATGTCCCCATCGTGCTTTGTGCACACTCCTTTTTTGTATGTTTTACACTGCATTATGATTTGAGAAAAGCCCAAATGTGAGCTCCTTGAGAGCAAGAAGAGTTTGAAAAATTCCTTTTATGCTAGAAATTTTGCTGGAATTAACATATGAAGTGTAGATTAACTTCTTTATTGAGATGTTTTAAGGATTCAGTAAATTAATATTTGTAAAATCATGCCTATATTGATGTTTAATTAGTGATGGTAGTAGAAAAACTAGTTTTAATGTCTTCATATAACACATAATATTGTTTATATAGTCAATACTTTAAAAATCATGAAAGAAGTAAAATACATATTTTTGAAATCCACTAGCAGTTATGCATTGATTGCTTAATAGTGAAAAATTAGTATATGCCATTTTAGCAGTTTGTGCTGTCTTATGTAAAAATTGCCATAATGGTGATATTAAAAAGATATTTAAATGGGATCATGGCATGTTATAGTGCGAACAAAGTTAACATGTTAATGTGGGAAAAAGAAACCAAAGAAATAGTGAAAGAAGTATGATGTGGAATAAGAGAGATACAGGGTGGCAAAAGCAAAGGCTAAGGGAATAGAAGAGAAGACAGATGTTGGAGTAGCTCTAAGTATGTTCAGAAAGTTAAAAACAACAACAACAAAAACAACAAAAAATCCATTGGAATTGACCTCCTGGAGATCCTTAAGAGTGTTAGTGAAGTGCCAAAGATCCCATCAGTGTTTGTAAAAGGGTAAATAAAGTGATGGAATTTGAGATACAGATTTTCCATATAAGAAACTTGACCATTAGCAGAAAAAAGAGAATGAGGTTAATGGGTTTAGTAAAAGCCTCTGTAAGATAGGGGATACATTGGAGGGGATTATGATCACATAACAGACCAAATTCCAAGGATTTCTTAGAGCTGTGCAGACCGTGCATGATGGGATAGCCATCTGGGGGTCTTTGTTGATAAACTGTTAAAAACGTTTCTAGTGTGAATAGCCACAAACATTTTCAGTGCTTTTTTGTTGGTTGAGTAAACCGAAGAGCACGAATGCAAAAGCAAAATTTGACGCCAAATCACAGAAGTTGCCATAAACACAGAAGTTCCCTAGTGAGGACACTGCCTGTGCCTGAATTTCATTTGTTTCTGCTGCAATCATTTCTTACGTTTTTCCTGGTAACTAGCCAGATTAGAACTGTGAATGAAGACAAACTGGTCTTGCCCAGATGGTAGATGAGATACAGGTAACTTGGGTAGATAGAGAAAATATTTAGGCATTTGATTTGGAATATCTTAGAATTGAAGAGATATGCTTACTCTTTTGTCATGGGGGTTTGCAACCTTAGTATATGCCTAAATCTACAGCTGCTCCTCATTTCCCAGATGGCATCTATGGCTGGGAGTACTTTTTACCATCTGTACTTCTCAAAGAGTTTGTGAACTCTCTCTTTTAATTATTGGGAATGGAAAAACTAATTGGTAAAGTGGGTAAATTATGTAAAAGATTTTTAAAATTTGAATTAGCGCTTTTTATACCTAACTTTTCAAATAAGATCAGTACTTCAAGTCCTTTTTGACCTTCATCTTTCATTGTCTATCTACCATCTTTGTTGTTTGCAATATTCCGCAATACTCCCTAATAACTGTTTTGTACATGGATTGGTATTTTGAGCCAAATTCCAAAATTTTTGCCTCCTTCCAATACTGTAGTAAGTACTGTTGTTGGCATGTACCCAGAACAACTAACACTGAATGGGTATGGAGTACAAACTTATGTGAATTGTTCCATTCATCTAAGTGCTTTTAAGTCAATAAAGTTTAGTGTCACAATTTGTGAAAGTAATTTAGAAAAACATACTCTTAATATGTTTTGTCAATGTTTCCATTTATGTAAAACATTGAATAGTGGGAGAAGCAATTTCCCAGTTAGGAAATACTTTTATAACTGAAAATAATAGAGTGACATCTGACTCTGAAAATGAGCATATTCTCTGTCTAGATTTGGCATGTTATTAACTTTTTCTTCTTTCGGGCTTATGAGTCATAAATGCATTTCCTAATGATGTGTTGTAAATAAGTATCCTTTGATAATCAGTAGATACAATACCTATTCACTATCTTTTCTCTTTAGGCAGGTTCTACTGGGGAAAATTCTCTAGATAGTTTGTCCATTTATAAAATTAGACACTTGCCATCTTTGCTCATTTTCAAGTTCTCTGTTTACAAAACTATTAAGAAGGTGTGAAATGCAGCCAAACTTCCCAGTTTATGGGGAATGTCTGATGATTACATTTCCTACATGTTCATTGTTCGCACATGAAGAAATTTGGCAGCTGTGAGATTATAAAGTTCAGAGTATCCAAATCTAACCCTCACTGGGATTTTGGTTCCCTGCTTTCTGCCACCACCATCTCACCTCCTTTTGTAACTCTTTTTGTGGTAAATGCTGTGTTGGCATTTCTTAAGGTTAGTGATCCTTAAATTTTCTTGTTTTTTTTTCCATTTATCAGATGCTATGAATAAATCATAGATTAAAAGTTCACCTGATACAGAGTCTTGTCTTCAGGCCATAACATACCCAAACTGTTAAGATTTCTTACGTGTGAAATTCTCAATAAAGAGGTTTTATATTGGTGCCATTATTGGGAGAGGAGGGCAGTAGTGGTAGCCAATCTAAATGTTATAATTATTTCAGAATTACTCTGCCAGAAAGTTATGATCATACATAGAAGAGTTTGTAGCTAACTTTGAAAGTAGTGGAAAGTGGTTTTCATGTATTGTTTGGGTTAATTTAATTTTGATTATATTTGGTTTTTAGTTCAGGTAATTTTTTTGTTGAAAACTTCAAATGACAATTTCTTCATGGTTACTAAAGATCACTCATGTGGAGTAGTTTCAGATTTTTTTCTGAATACATGTATTACTTTTAGAGATGTAAAGATGTGAAATTACTAAGAGAGAAACCCATGTGATTTGTTTAGTGGATCAAAAGTCGGTAGCTCCTTTGATCCTAAGTGCCACTGATAGTTAAATAGATACTGAAGCTATGGGCAGGCTGGATTGATAAGAAAAAAGGAGACAGAGAAATGGGAAATTGGGAAAGAACTGTGCAAATAGGAAAAGGAGAGAGCAACAGAACAGAATTAGTACCACAGTGCCGTAAGTGCCACCTCAGGTACTTCCATCTCCCATCTCCTGAAGAATTCAGTAACAGTTTGCAAATGGTCAACACAATCATTTAGTGATCCTGTTTGATATTTTCAATACTTTCTGTGTATTTCTTGTCTGTTTTCAAAATGATGATGCTGATAGTTTTTATTGCCCTGAAGGTTATTCTGAAGTTTAGCATAATTTTATTTGTTCAGTAAATTATTTGAATAAAAGTTGTATGAATGAAAATTCTGGTCATCATTATTTTTGGTGATTATCCTGCAGTGGGAATAGAGGATTTATAATTTTAAACTCTGTCCTTTGTGTTTCATTCACAGGCTGTAGAAGAAGAAGATAAGATGACACCTGAACAGCTGGCAATAAAGAATGTTGGCAAGCAGGTGAGGTGTACTGTTAATAAGTTATGCAGTTGCATAATAACATGTTCTTATAGAGTTAAAACTGTTTTAGGGCCTATATAATTTTTTTCCTGTCCACTCTATGTTTTTCTTCTGTCATGTAAATGTGATACTAATTGTAAAGGTCACTAAATTTATTTGATGTCAGGTTCTCTATAGAGAAGTAAATCACAAATACCTAAGAGATATTATCGTCAGTGAAAATAATTTACTAGGAACAAATTAGGACACTTGTATCCTGAATTAATTTTTTAAGTATTATTTTTACCTACAGATAAATAAGATAATAGAAGGGTAGATTTATTTCATGTGTAACAAGTTTTGTTAATCATGTACTTTATCAATATGTAGGTAATATTCCTGAGAAAGGTTAGAGCCTTATTGGGTTATACTGAGTGAAGAGAAAGGGCTTTAAGTATTTGCTCTTTCACTTTTCTAAGAAGAAATATATATTTTAGTCTCTATTATCTGAGGGTGGGGGAAGACACCAACCAATTAAAGGAATCTACAGATTAATTAGACTGTTTTTTAAAGAATGTTGATTACATTTTTTCCCCATTTCATGGAACATGGTTATCATATTGCTGATGTTGGCAGAATCTTGATATTTCAGATGCAAGACACTAAGCTGTCTTTGCTTTCAGCCATCCTACCATATGCTCTGATCCCATCACATCTCACAAGCTATGTAGGTTTGGGCCAGGACCATTCTTGGATGGGAAATCTCTAAGAATCACCCAGCTGCCACAAGAAGTAATGTAGATAACTGAGGGAAGCGTGTTACCAATTCACTATAAAATGAATTACTCCAACAGAGCAGTAGGGGCAAAGGTCTGACTTTATCATATGTCATAAATGAGAAAATCAAATTTCACTACCTTCTAAGTATTACAGTTTAAAAACAAGTACCCTCAAAAAGCAAAATGAAATACAGTTCATTTTATTTTCTCATCTTATGTGATATCACCCTTGTTATCTTTTCCACTACTTATTTTAATCATAATACTAGATCACCAACTTGGAGCCTTATACTTTATAGAATTCAGTAACTGTTTTTTGAATAAATGCCTTTCCAAGGCCATAGTTTCTTGATACAGATTTAAAGCAGCAAATAAAAGGTCTAAATACAAAATGAAACTGAAAAATATGTAATTGGCAAAGTTTAATAATCATCAGAATCATTTTTAAAAATATAGTTATTACCTCACTGGTTTGGCCTACTGCATGGCAAAAGCAAAACTGTCTGTAATGGAATTAAACCAATATCTTTTTTTCTCCTGCCAGTGTTTCTCAGTGTTTTTCACCTAAAATGCCCTAAGACTTATTTCTGAAATAAAAAATATATTGTAGTCTAGTCACTTAATTATTTGTAACATGTTGTATCTCTGGGTTGTTTAAAAAAAAATAGTGTATTAAAATAAGGGTTAGAAAAGCATGGCCAAGAAATAATTCCAATAATGAACATTTGTTTAAAGTTAGGAGTCTTGGGTATTTTAACAATAATCGTAAGAATATAATCATTTAAATTATAATTTTTCTATTGTGTATAATATATATTCCTTATTTCAAAGCTCTGAAATTTTGCTCAAATACTTAATTCTGCCTAAAACATAAATACATACTAAGCATTTTAATTTAAATTAGTTTATTACAATACAATTTTAAGCCTCCTTTTTAACTCAGTCTATTTCAAAAATAGATTTGATCAGGTTTAAGTTAAAGGATTGCACCTGTATAATTTGCTATGATACATTTTTTTCAAAATAGCTACATGAAACATTCTTAACATTTTAGAATTGATCCAAATTGTATTTAAATTCTTCAACTACAAACGGCAGCTTTTGATCCAAGAATATTTTCTGAATCATTTAAAGCACTACTCTTGAAATATTAAAATTGTACAGAATTCTGATTTTTGCTATTATAAAACATAGAAGAAGTGCTGAGAATTCACACTGAACTCTTACCCTTTGGTATGTCCGCTTTGAATTAAGCATTCTCTCAGACATTCAAGATATATGAACGGTAGAGAATATACACATATATTCAGACAGGTATACATATATAAATGAAATTTTTTAAAAAATCAGATGATTGTGAGCTGTATAGAATTCCTTGTTACTCTTTATAAAAATCTCTGGTACATAGTCATTGCATTGTATAAATCAAGCTTTCATTGTGTAATCTATTATTTTATTAGCTACTTAACTTTTTGATTTAGAAATTCTAAGAATGTAACAATATACTAGTAAAGTTAAATTGTAAAATATTTAAGTAAGGTCTGGCTTTCTTTACTAGTTTCATCAGCTACTGAAAAAAATTTAAGTAATTTATCTACCAGTAATATGGTTCTGTTTTCTCTTTCCTCATTTTTGTTCTTTTAGGACCCCAAACGTCATTTGGAGGAACATGTGGATGTACTTATGACCTCAAATATTGTCCAGTGTTTAGCAGCTATGTTGGATACTGTCGTATTTAAATAAAGCAACGAAAAACGCTATTAATGATGCCTTCAGTGTATATTCCTCTGTTGTTCCTAATGCTCAAAATCAAGGGACCTCTGAAGGTGTACTTGGCTAAATGTAAGACATCTGGCATCATTTGCAGCACTGTAACACCTTCAGTCTCAGTTGTGCAATTACTTCTGTTTCTTTAGTCAGGGTCTTTGCAGATTCTAAAGTTATACATGAATACATCAAAGTGGACAAATTTTGTTAAGATCCCATTTAATATTTGAAAAAATCAGTAGCACAAATATATTTTGATTGTCACTTACAAAATAAAATACATTTACAGTCTATGCCTCCTGAGATCTTTTTGGCAATGGGTGGGATTGATGGAATAACATTTGACAGTGGTCTAGAAATCTCACACAAAGATATGTTTCCGTTTGCATTTTAAGATCTTACAACACATAAAACATCAGTGTGATAAAACTTCACAGATGTATAATGATTTCCATTAATGAGTGGCTACCTAATTAGTGAGTAACTCAGAAAAAATGTTGACATTTTATTAGCATTTGTCATAAGCTAAATATTGTATACTCACTATCTTATAAACATACTTTTAGGATTTTGGAAGAGTACATTTACAAAGAAAAGGGAGCAATTTTAATTTAGACTTTATCATGTTTTAAAAGAGTACATTTCTACCAACAGTTTTGAAACTGGGAATTGGCTGCTGCAAACTCTACTGGACTTTCATCTAAAATAGCCACAGAAAGTATATGTCTAAAAAGCAAAATGAGAAAAGTAGTCATAATGTGAGTTTAATATAAGCTTATAAGCAATAATTTTGCTATTGTTTGGTCTCATCTTTTCTAAATTAGGACTACCCAGTTTTCTAATAGAGAAAAAAAAATGGCTAATACCAACTTCTAATGTGATGTACAAAAGTAACTGCCCCTGTTATTACTTACGGTTCAGAACCATACTGATTATACCATTTGTATGGCAAAAGATACAGAGACAAAGATCTAATTCTAGTCTGCACCCTTGTGAAAATATGGTGAGAGTATTACTGTAGCTTCATTAAAGGAATGTTTTACATGGACTTGCAATTTAACTTAACCTACTAGAACTGTTATGAGTGCTGTGATAGATCAAATTACTGTCCTACTGGAACAAGTCTAGGCTCTTATTGGTTCCCTAGTGAAGTTACCAGAAACTGAAAGTCAAAATGGCTTAAATTCCCAGTATGTTTCACAGTATCTTTTTTGGTGGAGTAAGAAGTATTCTGAGCATTTCTTGCTTGTCCTGTGGTTTACTGTTTCAGATATAGTGACAGTATATTTTATGTAGGACATGTAATATGTATTAATTTAAGTTGTTGGGATTACATTTAACCATTTAAAATTCAAATATAAGTGGAAGTTAGTGAAATTTTCTTTTGCCTAATTCAAACTTGTGTGCAGGCTTTTTGGATATGATTTTTCCCTTTGCAAATAAGATTCTATAACTTATTTCACAGATGTTGTTAATGAGTGCTAGTCAATGATTTTTTGGGGGGTACAGTGCCCTCAGAAGAAGGCCTTAACATTTCAAGAACTATTCTCAATATTTGGGTTGAAAGGGTTTTTTTGTTTTTGTTTTTGTTTTCTACTTAGTCCTCTGAAAATATCCTGAGTCCTGTGACTGGAAAGGCTTACCTTGCCTGTTTTTTTGCCCTTATTTGATCACCCCATCTTCCTGGACTCCCTATAGCCACACACCACTTACTCTCACTTAGTTCATGTTGGTGACATTCCCAGTTTCAGAACCTTGTCAAAATCTTTGCTAGCAAAAACCTACATTACTTTTTGTAGATTTGGAGTCGATCAAAATCAAGATGCCCTAAGAGGCAAGGCTCAGTGAACACCTTTGTCTTGGAATGTACAGCTATTTTCGCAGCAGCCTGATGTCCCAGGCCCAGTTAGGCACTGAAAAGATGCATTTAATCACAAACTTAGTAAGCTGTTTAAGACTGTATATGTATGCGCGCACATGTGCACGCAATTACCCCTCCATCATGCAGAGGTAAAGCAGCTCTGGAAACAAAACTGTTTGTCTCTAGTGCAGAAATGTCCCTGCTTTTCTCTCAGACTAATACGGGGGCACTGAAAGCTCCGGCCTCACTATTCAAAGTGTCATCTGCCTGGACCAATAGCATCTGGGTCTTATGGAAATTCGTTATATATACAGAAAGCAAGCCCCACCCCAGGCCTATTGAATCATAATAAAGAATCCTGGTGTGGTTCATATACACTTTAAGGTTTGAGAAGCCCTGGCCTTCTTTTAGAAGTACGGTTCACAGGCACATGTGGTGATTCTGAGGAAAGCCTTCATTTTCCTTAGTATATATAAATTCAAGGCATACCCTATATGTGAGCAATCACTGAATTTGGTACTGATAATCCAAAGTGGGTCAGAGAGCACATCAATTCAATTCCTTAAAAACTCTGAAGGAGGTGCACTCTTTCCCTTTTCTATCCTTTAACACCTTAACATTTCAATTTAGCATAAAAAAAAAACAGTTTAGGGTGTCGAGAATGGCAAAGCCTCAAAAAGAGCCCAGGTGATGTCTCACCTCTACACATTTAAGGCTCTGTCCCACTGAGAACGGAGGAAAGTACTGTCTTCCGAAGCACCGGAGGGAGAGGCACTCAGGGACAGAGAAGTTGAAGATGGAGAAAGAAGGAAACAAAAGTAGCCAAAAGTAGTCAAGAGGTCAAAAGCCTCTCATGAGGGCAAATGGCAGTAGAAGGTCAAGGGCAGAAAAACAAGTGTCAAATGGCATCCCCTACTCCCCTCCCCCGCACCCCAACGATTCAACAGCTAAGACTGCTTGTTTATGAAGCTTCCTGGCCAGGAGCTGAGGTTTGCTTTCGAAAGGAAAAATGGGTCTGGCTCTCTTTTTATCCCAGAAAATTGTCTCGGCTTTAGTCTGGGACATCTGGTCAACAACCTGCCCTGCCCAGGCCGCCAGCGCAGGGCCTTGCCCGCGGCGCGTTGATGGAGGCCGCAGCTGGTGCCCTCTGCAGCCAAGGCGCTCAGCCCGCCTGGAGGGGCGCAGTCTCGGCTCAGCGCTGACCGCTCGGCCCACCGAGGCGCAGCTCTGAAAATGCACCACAGTGGCGAAGCGGCGAGTCTGGATAACCCGTCTCCGCCCATGCTCAGGACCCACCCAATGTCCCCAGGCGCTGCTCTCACTCCGGGAGCTGCCCCGGCCCGGGTAGGACAGACGCGCTCGCTCGAAGCCAGAGGCTCCCCCGGCTGAGGTGCCCAGGCCGCTCCTCCAGCCCGGGAAGAGCGTGTGCCCCTGGGGTCTGCGCCAGACGCAGCTCACCCCTTGCTCCTTCAGTCTCCCGGGCGGAGCCCGCCCTCGGGCCGGCCAGCTCTCGGGGCCGAGCGGAGCTCTGGGCGGCGCTCCTCCTGCTCATTCCCGCGCGGCTCGGCGTCCGGGAGGAAAGCCGCGGGAGGGCAGGTCAGCGAGCGCCGGGCCGCGGGAGGCAGCTTTGGGCAGATAAAAAGCCTCTGCCGCTCTTGGCCCTCTGGCTCAGGCCGAGGGCTGGGCTCCTCTGTAGAGCCGGTGCTGGGAGACTTCCTCCCTACACCTCGGGGTCTCTTCGGGCCTCGTGCTATTTATTTGTGCCAACATCTTTTTAAATTGGTTTTTTTCTATTCCTCTTTAGATTCTTTTTCCTTTTAAAAATTATTGGCATGGATGCTTTTTCTCCCCTCCAGATTATATAAACATTAAACACACACACGTACACACACACACACGTTTTCAGTAGCGATTACTGTGTTGACACCACTTCCACTCTGTCTCCCCAGATCAGCGCTTCTGACGAGCCCATTTGCACGGGGACTCGGCCCTCTCTTTTCCTGGCGAGGCTTTTGAACCTGTCGCCAAGCCAGTACCTCAGAGAGAAGGAAATGCAGAGGGACGAGAAGGATGCATGGCGCCTGCCCCCAGTTAGATGTTCTTCAGATAATCTGCAACCAAGTGCGCTGATAAAATATTTAATAAAGAGCCGGTAAACATCACTGCAAATACATTAAGGCATTTCAGCCCGACAGCTTATGATTATTTCAAAACTTAAAAAGGAGATCATAGATTGTCACTGTTTCTGTACTCAACCAAGAAACCGAACCTTCCTGAGGTGGGTGGATTGGTGGGTGAGTTGCTGCTTTTCGCCCCCTCTCCTCCCCCCTTCTGCTTGTCGCTGTGGCTCTCAGCAGCAGGGATTTATTTATTTATGTTTGCAGTTTAAAAGGTGGGGGTGGGGGCGCCGAGGACATGTAGGATCTGCTCACAAAGCACCAGCTCAGGTGTTGTGTGCTTTTGTATTAGCTGGAAAAGACAGACTCTGGAACTTTTACAGGGCGAGAAGAGGCCACCGGCTCGCGCTTTGTATACTTTGCACTTGAAATCGTTACATTCAACTGAATATTTGGCTCATTCAGATCCGAAAAGTCTCCTAGCATCGTCGAATTCCCTCCTCCGCCCCTCCGCTCTAAAGGGGGGAAGGGGGGGAAGGTAGGAAATGTTTAGTAAATTCCACATCTTTGAATCTTCCTAAAGCAGTGGTCACAGAGCTTAAAGGTGACACAACAGTGCTCACGTAAACCAACACACATTCCCCACCCCCCAAGCCAACAATAAAATCATCCCCTTCAATTTGCCATGATCGTCGCTACCAGGAGCCAGGTGATTATCCTAATTAATGTCTATCTAATTAAATTACTGTCAGCAGCTAACCAATGGCAGGAGCCGTTTCATCGGCTGCACAAGCAGCAAGATCAAAAGTGAGCCTTTTCTGATTGCTGCATAGTGTCAATTGGCCAATCTCTTCTCCCAGGGAAAAAAAAAAGTAAATCAAACCTTTGAGAAGCATTTGCTGGTTGAAGTGCTTTCTGTCTAGTGAGGGGGTCTGTGGATTTCTAGTTTATGATAAATAGGACTTTAAAAACCAGGGACGGGAGGGCGAGTGTTCAGGTTCTAGAGCTATGCAGCTGGAGCACTGCCTTTCTCCTTCTATCATGCTCTCCAAGAAATTTCTCAATGTGAGCAGCAGCTACCCACATTCAGGCGGATCCGAGCTTGTCTTGCACGATCATCCCATTATCTCGACCACTGACAACCTGGAGAGAAGTTCACCTTTGAAAAAAATTACCAGGGGGATGACGAATCAGTCAGATACAGACAATTTTCCTGACTCCAAGGACTCACCAGGGGACGTCCAGAGAAGTAAACTCTCTCCTGTCTTGGACGGGGTCTCTGAGCTTCGTCACAGTTTCGATGGCTCTGCTGCAGATCGCTACCTCCTCTCTCAGTCCAGCCAGCCACAGTCTGCGGCCACTGCTCCCAGTGCCATGTTCCCGTACCCCGGCCAGCACGGACCGGCGCACCCCGCCTTCTCCATCGGCAGCCCTAGCCGCTACATGGCCCACCACCCGGTCATCACCAACGGAGCCTACAACAGCCTCCTGTCCAACTCCTCGCCGCAGGGATACCCCACGGCCGGCTACCCCTACCCACAGCAGTACGGCCACTCCTACCAAGGAGCTCCGTTCTACCAGTTCTCCTCCACCCAGCCGGGGCTGGTGCCCGGCAAAGCACAGGTGTACCTGTGCAACAGGCCCCTTTGGCTGAAATTTCACCGGCACCAAACGGAGATGATCATCACCAAACAGGGAAGGTAATACTACATTTTTGGCTGCCGCTGCTCTAGGCGCAGCCGGGGACAAGTGCACCTAGGCTGTGACTGCCGCGGCAGCGACGATTTGGGGTCGGGAGCGGAGTGGAAGGCGCCCTAGAGTTGGCTAGTTTTGGAAAGGGGGAAAGTGGAAGGGATAACCGCCAGGGTGATGTTGGTGGGGGGGACCCCGTTCTAGGAACATAGTGGGAGAGCCAGTCAGTGGCCAGAGGAAGGCAAGAAAAAGGAAGAGCCCTGGCCAGCGGCTGGGCGATGGGAGGGACGCATCAACACTGGCATGCACGGACAGGTGGAGACGCAGGTCGCCAACCTCGCTCTCCACCTGGGCAGTGATAACTGCCACCTTCCCACTCCAGCTCACCCGCCGCTCTCCCTGATTTGGGTTGCACTTCTTTTCTTCTCCCACCACCCTTTTTCTAATCCAGCAAATATTCGCCTATTTGCTGCAAGTACAAGTTTTGCTTTGCTAACTGGCGCCCCGCTTCTTGCATTTAATCTTTAACATTTATGTTTCTTTTTTCCTTGTTTTCTCCCCCCACCCCTTAATTTAAATAGGCGCATGTTTCCTTTTTTAAGTTTTAACATTTCTGGTCTCGATCCCACGGCTCATTACAATATTTTTGTGGATGTGATTTTGGCGGATCCCAATCACTGGAGGTTTCAAGGAGGCAAATGGGTTCCTTGCGGCAAAGCGGACACCAATGTGCAAGGCAAGTCCTTCCAATTAACACATTTTCTTGACACTTATTTAGGTGAGAATGATTAATTAAAGCCTTTGTGGACTGGCTCGAGCGACTTTTAAAACGATCGGCCAATGACTTCTAAAAGGAAACGAGGGGGACAGGGGGACAGACTGAGCTGCGAGAAGGGGGAGGATTATGCAAAAGCTATTTTAATCACCCCCAGTTAATAGGAAGAAAGAATGGCCTAAAAAAGCCCCAGTTAATGGGCTTCATGGTGGAGTAAGGTGTGTGTATGTGTGTGTGTGTGTGTGTGTGTGTGTGTGTGTGTCCTACGTGGTGAGGAGCTGGGACTGGGCAGTGCCAGGGGCATATGTAAACAATGTATTTCTTTCTCTAGGAAATCGGGTCTATATGCATCCGGATTCCCCCAACACTGGGGCTCACTGGATGCGCCAAGAAATCTCTTTTGGAAAATTAAAACTTACGAACAACAAAGGAGCTTCAAATAACAATGGGCAGGTCAGTGGCTCAAGCGCTCGTGTTTTCTCTCTCTCTCACCCCTTCCTCCCTGACATCCAGTTCGTCAGTGTAAAGCAGCATATGGAACTGGATACACGTTTCTTTGCTTCATTAAAAAGACTTAAAAATTGTATTTCCACCCTCCAAATTTATATTAAATCTGTAAAGTTGTTCTCATTGGCAACACCTCCGTCGGCCCAATTTTGGAGTGCCCGACCTTCCCAAGTACTAATACTGATTGATTTTGAGAAGAAACCCCACAAGATCTGCAGGTTGTGGAAATCTTTGTTCCTCCTTACAGGAGGACTAGGAGAAGGGCCCTGAGGATCGGGCGGTCGGCTTCCCCCTTTTTTCCGGTGCCCCGGCTTATCTTCGCTCCCAGAGGTGCGAAAGCCGGTCTGCCCCAGCCAGCCAGCCGCCAGCCAGGCGAGTCCCGCGGTCAGTTAGCCTGGAAGGCGGGCTGCAGGCTGCCTCCGCCGGCCCGGGCGCGCAGCCGGGCGCACACAGCCACGCGCACAGCGACCGCGTTAACACGCCACCCGGCGCTCCCCTTTCTTCCCGCCGGACAGATGGTGGTTTTACAGTCCTTGCACAAGTACCAGCCCCGCCTGCATGTGGTGGAAGTGAACGAGGACGGCACGGAGGACACTAGCCAGCCCGGCCGCGTGCAGACGTTCACTTTCCCTGAGACTCAGTTCATCGCCGTCACCGCCTACCAGAACACGGATGTAAGGAGACCTAGGGGCTGGGGGCGAGGCGGGCGGCACAGACATCTCTCCCACCCTCTCACATTCTCCCGCCATGCAAGGCTAGGGTACTAGCAGCGCTAACATCAGCAACAGCTGGCTCCGCTGTGCGTTTTAAGGCTTAGGGCTCGGGGCCTGCCCACGGCACCTTTCCTAAATACCAAGCCGGTGGGAAAAAGCTTTCTATTTGTTTTCGTCGCTGGTCACCCGGGCCACCTTTGAGGTGGCCAGGATTTCTAAAGACTCTTCTTTTGGGAGTTTTAATTTGGGCTTTGAACTAGAACAGATTAAAATCTACTTTAAAAAAAAATTCTCTCTTTCCTTTAGAAAACAAGCAGATTTCCCCGTGCATTTTATTCTTGGCAAGCTTTGGCATCTAAAAAAAAATTTCTCTCTCTCTCTCTTTTTTTCATCTCAGAACTGATGGCTGAAATGAACAAACATCACTGTTCTGGGAGATCAAAAGAACATACACATTCATATATGTGAAAACTACAATAAATCAAATTACTGAGGGCTATGGATTGAGCTTTCTAGCACTTGAACCACTTCTGATTTTTCAAGTTTGCAAAAACAGATTTTAGTGGCTGATTTGACTACTAGGAGTGATAGGGGTTTTTGTGTTTGTTTCTTTTTTTTACTTAAATGATAATATCAGAAATTAAAACATGCTTTTAAATCCAACCTGATTTTAAGATGCAACTTGTGGTTTCTCAGGTTGTGAGTCAGAAGCGACAAACGTTTTAAAATATAAAATACTTAAAATAGTCAACATTTAGTGATGAATTCAAGTTCTCCTTAAAGATTTTTGTCTGAACAAGTGCATTGTGTGTAACAAGCATTTTTAAAATGTGAGTTTGAACAAATTTAGAAAACACAGGAGAGCTAATTGAAAGCAGTTCTTTGGCTATAGGTATCATTAATTTAAACATGTTCCTCATAACTTTCATGATACTTTCTCTTTTTTTCCTTTCCACTCAATCCCTCAAATTTTTCAGTTAGGAAAACCTTGCTATTTAATAAATTGTAGGCCTTAAGCCCCTGTAAAAGTGGCAGATGATATATTCTCAAACACCCAGTCTTCACGTATAAAAGGTGAGATAACATTCATTTTTTTTCTTTGCCAGATTACACAACTGAAAATAGATCACAACCCTTTTGCAAAAGGATTTCGGGATAATTATGACACGTAAGTAACTTTGTATCTTCCTTTTCAAATAGCTGTGGAATTGGGCTTTAGGTCAAAGGTGTATTATTATGTACAAGGATTTTGAAAGCTGGAATGTGTGAAGACAAGGTTGTTTTAGAGGACTTCTTCTTCTTCGTCTTTCTTCTTTCTTCTTCCTCTTCTTTTTTTTTTTTTTTTTTTTTTTGGTTGGCTCCCCTTCTCTCTGGTGACCTTGTGGCTTGGTACTTGCGTGGTTTTTGGTCAGAGGTTTCCTCCACCTAATTTTAACTTTCCTGTGGATTACAAAGTTGTTGGTGGGCCTCTGGGGCTGGCTGGCTGGCTGGGGAGGCTGCCCTGGTTCTCGGGTGCGAGTACTGTATGTGGCGCTGCAGATGCTCAGCTCAGATTGTCTATGTCTGTCTGAAACGGGCAATTCTGCCTAAAAGTGCATGTGGCTCCTCTGGCAGTTGTTAACAGTCTCCTTAGCATATGCGACCTTTATTTACCCATTTCCAAGTTTTGTATAATAGCATTTCCTGTGCAAGTTGGCTACGGACTGAATACAAATGTGCACCCACCACAGGCGAGTTCATGAGCAGAACCGCTGTTATGGTCATTTTAGGCTTTCGGAAAGATTCAGACGGTGTTGCTGTGTATTATTTATAAGCTTCAAAAGAAAAATATTTCCTCTTTGTTTTGTATCTAGGTGTGTTTTAATTAAACATGCTGGTGCCCTTTTCTTTAGGCCTCCCTTACCTCCCTCCTTTCTATCAAAAGGCTGTTCTCTGGGGCCAACAGTAGGTGTAAACTGAATGCTTTCTGGGCTTGTTCTGCAATTCTCACTCAGGGTCCATAGTGCCTAAGAGTTCAGATAGTGTCATAAATCTAAATCTGGATTGTGGGGTTCCCCCACGTTTTCTGACCATAAAAGGAAAGGGTACATACATCTTAATTTCGTGGCTTACATTGAGCGCCTGAGACAGAGCTAAAAAGTTGAAGCTGCCTTTGACTAGCATAGATTAAATGTGTGGAGAAAGAGACAAGTGACTGCCTCTATTCCATCTCCAAGCAGATACCAACCATCCCTCCTGATATTTTCTAATAATTTAAAAGAGAGTCATTGATATTACTGCCTATAACCACCATATATATTCTTCAAAAGTACTCCAAAGGAACCAAGTCTCATCAATATGATTCCCCAGAATAAAAACTTGGCTACTCTATTCCTCACAATCTAAAAAGGTGTGCCCAGCACAGTGGAAAGTATATGGCTCAAGAGACTAGAGATGTTAGAGGAGAGTCCTGTAGATTTTGAGATTTTAATTCTGTTGTGAACATCTGTTCAAAAGCATTTTATTTTGCACAAATCAATTCAGTAATCCCAAGTGGGTGGGACCTGGATAGGCATCTAAACTGTATCTTTTGCGGACTGCTTTTTTCTTTTTAAAATATTGTGGTGATAAACAGAGAAGATATTTGCACCTTGCTAGTTATGTTCCCTTCCTGCCTCCCTCTACTTCTCTTATTTGAAACTGGAATTCAATTTCAGAAGGGAAATTTTGTGCACTAAACAGAACGGACCTGAGCAGCCACAGCAAAACTCTCACATGCCCCTCCTCCTCTGGCTGCCTTCTGTTGGAAAAGCCACTCCTCTTTGATCTTAAATCACTTTAAATCTTTCATAAAAGCTTCTTTATCTATACACACACACACACACACACACACACACAAACCTGAGATTTTTAGGGGACAGAGAAGAGTTGAGTGGTTCATGACACTCTTCCTTTCCCCTTTTACGTTGGTTACTTGGACATGGCTCAATTTTGGAGAAAGAGGGAGAAGTATAAGGGTTCATGGGGTACTAGGAGCTTGCTTGGCCACTCACCAGGGAATCTCCTCCCCAAAGGATTAAGGTCTGACAAGACTGAGGCTCTCCTTCAAAACAGTCTGTTGACTAAAGATTAAAACATTTATGTGTGAGCTAAATAAAAAGGGAGGCATGTGTGCATGTGTATGAGAAAACACTTCTACCAATCTTCATCCAACCCTTGGTTTCCTCTCAATTCTAATGGGATTTTCTAGGCCCAGGGCCTAAAGTTAATCTTTGATTATTTTATCTAAGGTAATTCCCAACAACACAATCACTGTCGCTGGTTGGGCAAGTTATTTAACTTCCTTTTGCCTCAATTTCCTCATCGGTAAAGTGGGATAATAAAAGTTACCTAGCTCACAGTGCCTGGCATATAGTCGAGCTCCGTAAAGGTTAGCTATTATTAGTGGTCCATTGCATGGAGTAGGCTGATAAGTACACTGTAGGTTTGCCCCGAAGTTTCTGCGGGTAACGGACCAAAAGCTAGGAAAAGAAGGTCAGAGTAAAGAACACCTTTTCTCTTAAGAGAATATTTCTGATTGATGACTACTGTTTCAGAGTAGTAATTCTTGTTTGTATTAGTAGAGGTGGGAGTGAAAGTTTCACACAGGGGAAACAATAGACACTAAGTACTTTGGAGGCTTCCAGCAGCAAACCTCGGGTTCCAGAACACGGGTGAAGGCCAGTCTTTCATGATTACTGCGTGCGCGGCTTTTTCCTAGGGGTTTCTGAAACAATCTAGAAAAAGGAGAGATATCACCTGAACAATCAAATGGACACAGGAGGTCTTAAAAGGGTGGAGGAGTGAGTACCTTGCTTAGAAATTTCACTCATAAACTGACCGCAGAGGAAAGGCCCACTGGGCAAAGAGCATCTTACTCCCTAGGTAAATCTGCCTTAATGTGCACACATATGTTGGAGAAGTGGGATGAAAGTCCTTGCTTGTGCCCCTCTCTCAGTACCCCAGTACACTTGACGAGAGAGAGCAAGAGAAGAGGGAAGTCGTTCCCTTGATGGTCTGTATCTTGCTCAGGTCCCTGCATAGACAGATTGGCTCCTCTATAATTCCGTGATTTATTTTGGGAATGATAGAGGTCTGTGGCCTCTTGTATTCTCCAGGAAATCCTGGACTGCAAGTTTGTAGATGGAGGGTGTGGGGGTGGGCGAAAAGTGGAGGTGGCCTTCCCTTCTGCCCCCACCCCCACCCCAAGGGACCTCCGCGCCACCCCTCGGCTCTCTCTCTCTCTCTCCCTACCCCGCAGGATCTACACCGGCTGTGACATGGACCGCCTGACCCCCTCGCCCAACGACTCGCCGCGCTCGCAGATCGTGCCCGGGGCCCGCTACGCCATGGCCGGCTCTTTCCTGCAGGACCAGTTCGTGAGCAACTACGCCAAGGCCCGCTTCCACCCGGGCGCGGGCGCGGGCCCCGGGCCGGGTACGGACCGCAGCGTGCCGCACACCAACGGGCTGCTGTCGCCGCAGCAGGCCGAGGACCCGGGCGCGCCCTCGCCGCAACGCTGGTTTGTGACGCCGGCCAACAACCGGCTGGACTTCGCGGCCTCGGCCTATGACACGGCCACGGACTTCGCGGGCAACGCGGCCACGCTGCTCTCTTACGCGGCGGCGGGCGTGAAGGCGCTGCCGCTGCAGGCTGCAGGCTGCACTGGCCGCCCGCTCGGCTACTACGCCGACCCGTCGGGCTGGGGCGCCCGCAGTCCCCCGCAGTACTGCGGCACCAAGTCGGGCTCGGTGCTGCCCTGCTGGCCCAACAGCGCCGCGGCCGCCGCGCGCATGGCCGGCGCCAATCCCTACCTGGGCGAGGAGGCCGAGGGCCTGGCCGCCGAGCGCTCGCCGCTGCCGCCCGGCGCCGCCGAGGACGCCAAGCCCAAGGACCTGTCCGATTCCAGCTGGATCGAGACGCCCTCCTCGATCAAGTCCATCGACTCCAGCGACTCGGGGATTTACGAGCAGGCCAAGCGGAGGCGGATCTCGCCGGCCGACACGCCCGTGTCCGAGAGTTCGTCCCCGCTCAAGAGCGAGGTGCTGGCCCAGCGGGACTGCGAGAAGAACTGCGCCAAGGACATTAGCGGCTACTATGGCTTCTACTCGCACAGCTAGGCCGCCCCTGCCCGCCCGGCCCCGCCGCGGCCCGGACCCCCAGCCAGCCCCTCACAGCTCTTCCCCAGCTCCGCCTCCCCACACTCCTCCTTGCGCACCCACTCATTTTATTTGACCCTCGATGGCCGTCTGCAGCGAATAAGTGCAGGTCTCCGAGCGTGATTTTAACCTTTTTTGCACAGCAGTCTCTGCAATTAGCTCACCGACCTTCAACTTTGCTGTAAACCTTTTGGTTTTCCTACTTACTCTTCTTCTGTGGAGTTATCCTCCTACAATTCCCCTCCCCCTCGTCTTTCTCTTACCTCCTACTTCTCTTTCTTGTAATGAAACTCTTCACCTTTAGGAGACCTGGGCAGTCCTGTCAGGCAGCAGCGATTCCGACCCGCCAAGTCTCGGCCTCCACATTAACCATAGGATGTTGACTCTAGAACCTGGACCCACCCAGCGCGTCCTTTCTTATCCCCGAGTGGATGGATGGATGGATGGATGGTAGGGATGTTAATAATTTTAGTGGAACAAAGCCTGTGAAATGATTGTACATAGTGTTAATTTATTGTAACGAATGGCTAGTTTTTATTCTCGTCAAGGCACAAAACCAGTTCATGCTTAACCTTTTTTTCCTTTCCTTTCTTTGCTTTTCTTTCTCTCCTCTCATACTTTCTCTTCTCTCTCTTTTAATTTTCTTGTGAGATAATATTCTAAGAGGCTCTAGAAACATGAAATACTCAGTAGTGATGGGTTTCCCACTTCTCCTCAATCCGTTGCATGAAATAATTACTATGTGCCCTAATGCACACAAATAGCTAAGGAGAATCCACCCAAACACCTTTAAAGGATAGGTGTCTGTTCATAGGCAAGTCGATTAAGTGGCATGATGCCTGCAAAGCAAAGTCAACTGGAGTTGTATGTTCCCCCCACCTTCTAAATAGAATAGCTCGACATCAGCAATATTATTTTGCCTTATTTGTTTTTCCCCAAAGTGCCAAATCCATTACTGGTCTGTGCAGGTGCCAAATATGCTGACAAACTGTTTCTGAATATCTTTCAGTACCCCTTCACCTTTATATGCTGTAAATCTTTGTAATGAATACTCTATTAATGATATAGATGACTGAATTGTTGGTAACTATAGTGTAGTCTAGTGAAGATGAATTGTGTGAGTTGTATATTTTACTGCATTTTAGTTTTGAAAATGACTTCCCCACCACCTAGAAACAGCTGAAATTTGACTTCCTTGGGAGAACACTAGCATTAATGCAAGTAAGACTGATTTTCCCCTAAGTCTTGTTATATTTGATAAGGAGCATTAATCCCCCTGGAAATAGATTAGTAGGATTTCTAATGTTGTGTAGCAAACCTATACTTTTTTGTATTTAAAAATTAATGTGAAATATGCATCATACACAATATTCAATCTAGATTCCAGTCCATGGGGGGATTTTTCCTAATAGGAATTCAGGGTCTAAACGTGTGTATATTTTGGCTCTTCTGTAAATCTAATGTTGTGATTTTTATATTTGTTTCGTTTTGTCTGTGAACTGAATAATTTATACAAGAACACACTCCATTGAGAAACGTTTTGTTTTTTGCTCGTTTGTATCGTCTGTGTATAACAAGTAAAATAAACCTGGTAAAAACGCTAACTATGGTGTTTGAAAGCAGTTTACAGTTTGAAAATAATTTAATTATTATAGGTGATGATATTTAAGGGTTAAGGAAGACTAGCCCGTCCCCACTCCAATATGGGCAGCCTGTTTAATGGAAGCCACCTCCCATTCCCCCCTTAAATTTGTTTTATAGTACTTCCAGGAGCTACTTTTTTCTTCTTATTTATAATTATTTAGCTACCTATGAGCCAAGTCTCACTTTTCTGCGCTCATTTTCTTTTTTCAGGAAAACATATGCACTTTTCTCATCATATTTATCTGATTCTCTCTGAAGTTGGAAATAATGCGAACAGGAAAAGGAGGTTCTTTAAATAAGGAGTTAAGAATTTCTTTAAATTTCACAGAGTAAGGCGGGAGGCGTTGGCCAAAAGTAGGGTGTAATTTAAATGCATGTCAAAATAGGATGTTGACCGCAGATTTAGTAAATTCTGGTTGTACATACGAGGCCTTGGAGGTGAGTGGCGAATCTGTAAACGCAGACACAGAACAGCCTACATTTCTTGAGTGGATGGTTTCCGAAGACTGGGCAGGGGTAGGGTGGCGAAAGACACGTAGAACAAACTCGCGAAAGGGTCGTTTTTTAACCACTGAGCTTAAAACTGCTTCTGGGAGGCATCTGGGCTGGGGGTAGGGGCACTGCTCTATCCCTTCTGTAGTGGAATCTTATGCCAGTCCTATCCCTGCCAGATTCACACCTGGGGAACAAATGCAGAAATGCGAAATCCCAACCTGGAGGGCGCTGCGTCTAGTGAAGTCCGCAGAACTCTTTACCTCGTGGAGAAGCGATTTTTGTACTTTTGTCTCCAAAGAGAGGTGATCCAGGCAAGAGGCGGAAAATGGTTCCACATTCTTGCTTAGTCTGGGCCAGCCTCAGGTTACAGGACTAAATTTACCTTTACATAGACATTGTCCTGTGTCCTTTCTGCAGTTTGACAGATGTAAGGAGGCCTCAAATTTCTAATTAAAATGAAAATTCGTGGGAGGATAAAACTAACTTGCCTTCCCTGGACAATTCCGCCACTAGACGGCGTTCCGTGGAGTTTTGTCTGCCACATAAAAAAGCGAGGACTGAATTTCCTTTGTGTTTCTTTCCCCTCCTCACATCTAAGAACTAAGTAAGAGGACAAAAGTACAAGACACGGTGCATGTGTGGCGAGTGAAGTGGAGCAGTGCATTCGTGTCATCACCCACCCGACCCCGGCTGCGCTCCTCCGACCCCGCCGCCTACTCCCGCCGAGGAGGAGGAGCACGTGCGGTCGGTGGGGCGCAGGGCCGGGGAGCCAGGGGGGTGCCGGGGCTCGAGGCCGCGGGGCCGCGGGGGCCGCGCTCTGCTCTCCGCCCAGGCTGGGCCACTGGAGCGCGGGAGCCCTGGAGCCCGGCGCTGCCCGGCGCTACCCGCCGCCCTCGGGACAGTCACCGTGAGCAAAAGAGTCGGTGTCATGTGCGTAAACGAAGCTCTTAGGAGCCGAGGATAGATTTCACAGGAACGTAGTGCCTTGTTCTGAAAGACGCGCTTTGGTTGATATTAGGAAGTATTTTTAAAAAATTGGGGAGGTCGTTTCCCTTGCAGCTCCGCCACCATCTGCTGCGTGGACTGAGTCAGCGTGAGGTAAATTTGCAGCTTCGCGCTCCTCTCGGAGGCATTGTGCTGTCTTGTCCCTTTAAAACATGATCATTTCTCCTCGCTTCCAAGAAGTCTTGGGTGTCTGGTGAAATGACACTGTCAGTGCGTCTGAGAGGCTGAGGCTGTTCAAAGGAAATCAGAGGCTGGATTTGGCAGGCCCTTTGGGAATCAAAGTTCGCGTCTCCTGTTAGAAGAGAGTTGCCTTTTCTCTCCTGAGGGCAGGGGTCAGGGGATAGCCTGAGAGGAACGGCGATTCCTCTCCGTAAACTCAGATTTCCTCAGTTTTTAACAGTGTATTTTCAAAAAGAGGACGAAAGAAGAAGACGAGCGTGCGGCTAGCACTGTATTCTGGCTCGTGTCTTCCCGCCACTCGCAATCCGCGCCATCTTAACTAACTTTCAATGTCCCTCGGGGCTGAGCGTGCCGGCGGCGGGTGCTGCTCGGGCTGGGAGATGCTGCGGCCTGGGTTCTCAACCTTCCGGGTGGACGCCGCCCGTCGGGGTAGACAGAGGCGGGAACAAAGCGCGTTGCGGCGGCGGGAGGCAGGCCGGTCTTGCCCCCACAGGCTAGGCTGCAGCTTGGCCCTGGTGCACCCGAGCCCAGAGCAGCGGGGACGGGCGTCCGGGAGCTCGCCCGGGTGCGGGGTCGCTCCTGAGGCCTGGGCCGGGGCTCTACTGCTTTGCCGTCGGGCGGGCGGCGGCGCCCGGGGCTGTCACAGTTGGGGATCCAGGTCAGAGGTCCAGGCCGAGAAGCAGGCTGTGGGGCGAGACTAGAAGGAAGTCCAGGCCCAATTCAGGCCGCAGGTCCCAGCTGGGGTCCAGGCAGTTCTGAGTACCCCCGACCCCAGCATCAGTTGAAAAGGGCCGCGGCCTGGGCTCTGGCCTAAGCGCGCAGCCTCTGTCCGCTGCTCTTTCAGAGCCAGGCCCGGCAGCCGAATAGGATTTAGGACGTGGAATCCTGTTTCGGACTAGCAGAAACTTACTGAACAGTTTGTTTCAAAAATCAGGTTGTTTCTGTCTTTTTAGGACCGACTTACATCACTGGAGCTTTTAAATTGTAGTAATTTAGGGTCTATAGATAACTTTCTGAACCTCTTATCCCCCGCAGTTAACATTTTCATATAAATCTCACTGCTACAACTCTTTGTGACCCACCTTTTTTTGGGGTGTTATTGAGTATTTATATTTTTAGCGCTGAAGCTTTAAAGGATGCTCTACTTTCTGCTTAAGATGCAGGTTTGGAACAAAAGCTTCGTTGAACAGAGGCCGTTTATATTCCCAGAGTTTAAAATGCTTCATAGGTATTTGGACAACGTATGTGTTCACAAGTGATTTTTATAAGATGTTCAGCCTGTCCTATCTGGTGCAGCACCTTTTGTGTGTGTATTTGAGTTACTTTATCATATAGGCATTTTGGCCATGAGACGGGGGAAAAAACATAGAACCCATGTTCTTGCTGAAAACAAACCTGTGTAGATTCCCGTGAAAGAAACAGCAACAATTATCATTTTTAGACAAATGTACTTATGAAGTAGTCAGCAACTTTAAAGATAGTGATCAATTTTAAACATATTTAATTTACCCTGGTATGTTGGTGATTGCTTGGCTAATTTTGACATTTAAAAGAGTAATATTTTAGCCTAATATCAGTAAAATCAGTTTTTTAAAAAGTAACTGATACTTTTTAAGGAAGTTGAATTATGTGATTTATTGAAGTTACAGTCTGAGTGCAACAAGATTTACTTTTGGACAGTCGGGTTTTCTTTTACCAGAACAAAATAAGAGTCTCTCAGAGAAGACTAGATAAAATTTTAGGCATTGCGTTATACTTGGTTTAATTCAGTTGCTCTGAGATTTGTGTGTTTTCCTGGTTCCCATCCTCAGTTTGTGTGTTAGGCTGCCACACATTAAAAAATATATTCACTTGAAAGAAAACCCCATTGCTTTCACAATAAAGTAAACTTGATGGTGTACAAGTCACTGGTCTCATCTGAGCTGATTATATCTTCCTTGCATGTATTTTACACCCACAGTATGGTTTGCAGTGGTGTTCAAGGCATGGCGTGAAAAATTTGATTTGAATAGTTCTATTAAAGCAATGAAAAAAAACCACATGGCTTAATAGACCTTCCAGTGATAGCTCCCCCTCTTACTATGCTAACTCTGAAAGAAATATGTAATCTAGTATTAGGAACATGGCATCTAGAAGACCCTTGCTGGTAATATTTAATTTAATAAACATGCTAACTGTGACATTATTAATGCAATGAAGCTTGCACTACAAGCTGATTCCTACAGGTTGTTTGACCTATTACTTATCACTAGATTCCTTATAAACATATCCTGCAATTTAGAACTTGAATTGTGTATTAAAATTATTTTGAATTCTAATCCTTAAAAATATCAGCATGACAGGGCACTCATTTTATATACAAAGTATTTATACTTAGGTACCCTGGCACGCCTTTTATGAGAAGGAAGAGGAAGTTTAGGAGAGGAGGGCGTCTCTAGGGATATGTGTCTGGTTGTTTTAGTCAATATAGTTATTTTGTTCCAATACTAGTAGAAAAAAAAGAATATAATATTAAATTCTGGAACAAGAGTTGACTCTATATTTTGATGGTTACTAACTTTTAAGAAATGGCAAATTAATTAAACTTTCTGGTTGAAAAAGAAAACAAATCGTGCTTATATTAGGTTAAGTGCTTATATTAGGTCTTTTAGGTTTAGATTTCATACATCTCTTCATGTTAGCAAAAGGGTACTGTGTGGGAAAAAGCCTTTACATTACAGTCTTATCTTATTTCAGGTGTCTAAAAAAAGAAAAAAGCCAACAATGTTGTTCTGAAACCACAGGGTCTTCCTAGCTCACATTTAAACTTTCAAGATGTATTTGTCATTTATTTTGCCATTCCTAGTATGAGAGGGAAGGCATTTTTCAATCTTAGGAAAATTCAGAAGCAATTTTTTGGTTCTCAGTTAATTCAGTTTCATCTTAAAAGTTCAAATTTAGCAAAGCACATGTTCCCTTGTTCATGCCAAGTGTGATAAAAACTAGTCGAAAAATAAAACCATTGCAAACAAGTAGAGCACTGCACTTCACTGCACACTATACAGGCCACATCATTTCTAGGACTGATGTCACTGCCTGCTGGGTTGCCATTTGTGGGCACACGTAAGTCTGCCTTTGAAGGCTAATAGAAGGCATTAGTACTTCAGATACATATGTGTGTTTGAATTGTGCATGTGTTTTAAATATCCTTTTTGAGTTGTGATATGCATACCCGTGAACGTTCAAACATTTGCCATCTTTTATCAACAAAAGGTTATTCTTTGTAGAGCTCCAGGATGTTATTTTCTCCCTGTGCACTAGGAGATAATATTTTCTTTGTATCTAAAATACGAATTTGCAAAATCACTTCTACCCCTTTGTAATGTAGTCAAATTATAGGCTATTTTGTGGAGTTACAACTATTTAAATTAGTTTAATCTTTGTATTGACAATATTAAGCTATCACATATGTTTTTTAGTTCAACATCCTTGACCTTAAAAATACACATGCGTGTTATGTAGATTCAGGTTAGGCCATAAGAATCAATACAGACATTTTATGAGAACTTTCCAGTTATTATATAGTTTTCTATTATTTTGAATGGCTTGTTCAATTGAGAATTTACTGAAGGCCAAAGTATTGCTCCTAATTAAGTATGTTTCAAAAGGTGGCTAGTACTTTTATAACCTAATGTGTTTTTGAATTGCAAAATTATAATTTCGGAGACAATTTTTACCAAATAATAGCAACGTTTACTACTTAGCACCTTTCTTTGAGAAAATAGAAACTGTAATGAGGACTTATCCTTTCCCAGTTTACTTACCATTTAATGTTATATGTTTTGTTCAAATAAAATCTTTTTTTCTACTTCTGCCTTAATTTGCTGTTTGTTAAAATGACTGTGTTCTTAATAATTCTTAGAGTTCATTCACCTTTGGGATTCACTCTTTTAATTTATGCTTTCTTTCTGCTTTGTTCCTGTGGAGAAAGACAAAGAAACATACTGACTTCTTTCTCAACAAATTTGTTCTTTCCTCCTCCAACTCTGCTCTCTCTCTGACACTCATTTTGCCCTTGTTGACTCTCTTGCCAACAACTTTTTTTTTAACCTACTCTTTTTTTTTTTTTCTCACGCTACCACCCTGAACCTGAATCTTTATAAAATCTATGCCTGATTCATCAGTTTGTTTATTTCAGGTCAGAACTTTTCTATTTTCCCCAAAAGCAATTGGGGGAAAAAAGCAATGTTTTTGGAACAAATATTGGTTAGAATATGTTTTTCTATTTCACCTCCCCACATTATTATACTTTTTTCCTATGAACTTCTATAATTACTTCATCTCTTGATAGTCACTTTTTCATTATCTTGTTTCTTTTTTGTATTTGTGAAAGGACAACTTGATATTTTTGTCTCTTATTGGTATTTCTGTTCTCTTCTTTACACATAACATTCTTAGCTATGTGAGGCACTGCATTTATCCCTGCTCTCTTTTGTTGTACTTAGGACCCATGTTTCAATACTTTCTTTGATCCTTTTCAATTCAGCTTTCTCATTTGCACGGACATTACAATCTTTCTTACTAAGTTCACCAGTGTCCTCTTAACGAAATGTAATGGCCTTATTACAGGCTAATCTTTATTCTCCTAGCCATTTAAAATCATAATTAGCCCTTTGGGTGATTGAGAATCACAGATTCTGCAACTCCTTCACTTTTCCCTTCCTTCTTCCAACTTTTCTTTCATGGTTCTCTCTTTTTGCTCATTCATTCATTCATTCATTCATTCATTTTACAGGTTTCCGTAGCATTTGCTTTTCACAGGGTATGTCCTCATATAGCTCTCCTAAGAAAACTTGCTAGACATGTGACATGTGATATGGAAGAATAAGGTGGAGGAAAGAAGATCTGGTAATGTTTTTCTTAATATGTCTTTTCAACCCATTTTCTAACGGCCTTCCCCTCCTCCATGGTTTCTTATTTCTTGTAGCCTAATACATTTTAATTGACATTTGGATTGTCTTTCCTTGAACCATCTGATGCCAATTCACTTTCTCTTTACTCTTCACCTAAGTTTAGCATGATGAAGATTAAGAGGAATTTTTTAAAAAGCAAAGTTTTCTTAGTTAATATTAATTTAATCCCTTGAGAAGATTGCAATATGAAGTGTACACGCCACTATTAAATAGGAAGGGTTCTACAATTATCTGCACTATATCTTATTAAGTAAATATATCACTATCAGCCCTTTCTCAGCATAGCCATAAAAAAATAAGGTACAAAACCTAAGAGATTCAGGCCTTGCAGATCATGAGAAACAGTCTTACTTGCATTACCACTTGTTTAGGAAACTCTGTTCTGTTTCTGAGTTTAAACTTTTAAAGTGACACACATTTTATTTTAAATTGTTTTTGCTTTAGGGTCATATTTCAAAATATAAATTGTGTGTGTGAGTGTGTGTGGTGTGTATGTATAGTAGCCTGATGAGTCCAGAGAATAAGGACATAAAATCAAGAAAAGCAAATAGGTGATTTTTGACACTCCTTGCATTTTGCTGCTCTAGGTGCTGTCATGACTGTGTGCTCTTTGAGGATTTCCTGTTGGAGTCTGAAGTGCTCTTTCAATAATCTCCTATTTATGTAAATAATTATCTACTTCCTAACATTAGGATCAAGAGTCTTTAAATTTATTATTACTTAATTTGCATGTAGTACAATTTCCATTTGAGTAAGAAGTTGGTAAAAATGCCATGTCAAAAAAGTGTTTATATAACTGAAAATTTGTAATTGGTGTCATGGAAATTTAGTATGTAAGATACCATATTAAATGAGTTCTGAAAATACAGGTTTCAAAGAAACTTGATTCCTGTGGTATAGTAGAAAACTGTGGGCACAAGTAAGAGGCTGTATGTCTTATGATTTCCACTATCCTCATTTGTAAAATGAAGTTATAATTAATCTTTCAAATACCTTCCAGACTTAAACACCATGGATTTTGTGGACTTCTGACTGCCTATGCAGTTTGAGTTCAAATGTTCTGAGCTAGGGTAGAACTACCTCTAGAGCAGTGGCTTTCAAACTTTTTAAACTGGGACTCACAGTAATAAACATATGTACATGCCCACAAACAAAAGTTTCACAAAATAATGTTTACCTGTGTCACATTTGATATACTCTGATATTTTTCTTTTGTGTTTAATTTCCTTGAAAAGAAAATTCTGGTTATGACCTAGTAAATTTATTTCATGGTTCTCTAATATATAGGGACTTGAAGTTTGAAAAACATTGCCATAGTATTACTGTTAATTTAACTAGCCTAGAATGTTCTGTTTCCTCTTAAGTCTCTACACACACATTTTGATATTTCATTTCTAGAATGGTAGACTATACATGTTAGCAATCGTGGGAATCACTTTTTATGTAATAACATACTTGAGTGTATGGCATACAGTGTGATTGGGAATAAAGATGGAGAAACTGTTCTTTACAATATTCCATGATGATCTGCAGGGGCTTTTTTTGTTTGTTTTTTAAAATCATTAAGGCATTTCTCTTTAAGATTGCTTTATTTTATTTAGGACTTTATCTTATCTTTATGTTTCTTTTTTTCACAGTCCATATTTTTCTCCCCTTTCTCTTTCTCTCCCTGCCTCCCACCATGCACACACGCACACACACACACACACACACTTCCTCCAAGCATATTGATTTATTGAAAATCAAGGTGACTTCTGGTGTTGGAGATAAGCAGGCCCACACTTGTTGGTGTGGTTCTTTGCATGAACTGCCTCCTTTTCCTGACACTAAGGCACAGCTGAGTGGAGGGAAGAAGATAGCAGTGACTTCTCCTATCCTCTAGGTCATTGGCTTCACATTAGAAGCACCAGAGGAGTTTTAAAAATTATCATTCTCAGATTCACACCCCATCCCAAATAAATCAGGATGTGAGTATCTTGTGTTGAGATACACATATCTGTACTTTTTAAAGATTCTTAAGTGATTCCAGTGTGCTGCAAAGTCTGCGCTGCGAAGTCTGGGAGACACTCTAGGTTTTTTGTTTGTTTTTATAATGAAACAGTAGTTTTTTTTTTTTTTTTGAAGTTTAACAGCTATTAATGGTGGCATAGTACCTTGTAGGTAGTTTTTCAATCCTCACCCTCCTTCTAACCCCTACCCTCAAGTAGGACCCTGTGTGTATTGTTCCCTTTCTTCTATCCATGTGTACTCAGTGTTTACTTCCTACTTATAAGTGGAAACGTGATATTTGGTTTTCTGTTCCTACATTAATTTGATTAGGATAATGGCCTCCAGCTGCATCCATGTTGTGCAATGGACATGATTTTTTTTAATGGCTATATAGAATCCCATGATGTATATGTACTGCATTTGCTTTATCCAGTCTACCATTGGTGGGTATATAGGTTGATTCAATGTCTTTGCTAATATGAATGGTGCTGTGAGGAACATACAAATACATGTTTCTTTTTGGTAGAACGATTTATATTCCTTTGAGTATATACCCAGTAGTGGGATTGCTGGGTTGAATAGTAGTTCTGTTTTAAGTTCTTTGAGAAATCTCCAAATTGATTTCCACAGTGGCTGAACTAATTTACATTCCCACTAGAAGTGTATAAGCTTTACTCTGTAACCTTGCCAACATGTTATTTTCTGACTTTTTAATAATAACCATCCTGACTGGTGTGAGATGGTATCTCATTGTGGTTTTGATTTGCATTTCTCTAATAATTTGTCATGCTGAGCATTTTTTTTTATATGCTTGTTGGCTACTTGTATGTCTTCTTTTGAGAAGTGTCTGTTCATGTCCTTTGCCCATTTTTTAATGGGGTTGTTTGCTTTTTGTTGTTGAGTTTTGTTTAAATTCCTTATAGATTCTGGATATTAGAATTTTGTCAGATGAATAGTTTGCAAATATTTTCACCCATTCTGTAGGATGTCTGTTTACTCTGTTGATAGTTTCTTTAGCTGTGCAGGAGCTCTTTAGTTTCATTAGGTCCCATTTGTGTATTTTTGGTTTTGTTGCATTTGCTTTTGGAGACATTGTCATGAACTCTTTGCCAAGGTCTATGTCCAGAATGGTATTTCCTAGGTTTTCTTCTAGGGTTGTTGTAGTTTTAGGTCTTACATTGAAGTGTTTAATCCATATTGAGTTGATTTTTGTGTATGGTATAAGAAGGGGTCCAGCTTCAATCTGCTGCATATGGCTAGCCTGTTAACCCAGCACCATTTATTGAACAGGCAGTCCTTTCTGCATTGCTTGTTGTTGTCGACTTTGTCAAATATCAGATGGTTGTAGGTGTGCAGCTTTATTTTTGGGTTCTGTAACCTGTACCATTGGTCTATGTGTCTGTTTTTGTATCAGTACCATGCTGTTTTGGCTACTGTAGCCTTGTAGTATAGTTTGAAGTCAGGTAGCCTGCTGCCTCTGGCTTTATTCTTTTTGCTTAGGATTGCACTGGCTTTGGGGGCTTTTTTTTGGTTCCATATGAATTTTAAAATATTTTTTCTAATTCTGTGAAAAAATGATGTTGGTAGTTTGATAGGAGTAGCATGGTCACCTTTTAGAACTGGCAGTTTATCTCCTTGACTATAAGAGAAAAGTGACCTGAAGTACATTGTCTTCTCAATTTTTGTATAAAAGAAGCATTTGTACTCTTCCTCCAGTTCATCATGATAAAACATGATGATTACTGCTATATCTGGAAACTCTGCAATCATCCATAAGGTAGCTTTTATCTAGATAGACTGAAATTGGAAGGTTGTCTGTAAATAATATATGTTTGACATCTGATGTCATTCTTAAAAGAATAAATGCCAGAGCATCAAGAATAGTCCCAATCCATGGAACAATACAGAATTCTAACGGTGGGAAGTCTGTATAAGCAATGCCATCCATATACCATATTTTAATTCTGTTATAGAGGGATTACCTCTAAATATGTCAGATGGAAAAATTTCTTCCTCTCAATATAGGCCAGATACAAGCAGCTTACTTACTCACACAGCTTCATAGTCCATGGCAGCCTCCCAAGTCATTCATTTTTAAGTAGTTGCATCTATTTGAGTCATGATGTGAACATTACCCAGCAAACTGAGTCACAAATTAATTTACATATTTGAGAAGTTGTTGTATTCGGTATATTGCAATAGAAATATCATAGAAACTTGGTATTCTTGTTTCACTCAGATTCAGAATTCACTAAAGTATGACGAGTTATTATTGCTATTATTATCCCTAGGAATAAGTTAATATTAATTGATTGCATTTGTGTTTTACATAATATTTATATGTGGGAACATTATACCATAACTAGAAGATAGAATGCAATGAGAAACATAATTGTAGAATATGAAAATTCACCAGCTGTAGGATTCAAAATGGTTAAAATTCAAAAAGATAAAAGGAAAATGCTTGGTTAAATATACTGGGATTTTCTAAGCTTACAGTATTAGAAAAGCCATATAGTTTTTGTTATGTACAAATAATTTAGCTTACACAATCTTTAGAAATCTTTGGGTTCTGGGATTTAAAAATAAAAGGAAACCAACAAGAAGAAAAGTTAAAGTTACTGATTCGACTTAGTTTTTATACTACATAGTACCCACCTCTCCAAATGCAATATTTCATGTAAGCTGGAATTAAGTATTTATTAATGTTCAAGAAACTAGGCAGTCATATGATCGTGGCTTATTATAGCTTACTCCTAAATTTAGAAGTGTTCCCAGATTGAAAAATGGTAAAAAGATTAGAGAACAAATGCACAGTTTTTAGTTTTTTCCTTGTTTTAGATTTATTATATTTTTTGAAACTAGATTTTATTATCCTAATCATACTGTATTGAACCTTTTAAGAGAATAAAATAAGATTGTGTTAGAATTTTTTGAGATCCCCAAGTTTTATTTGTATAATTATGCTTCTTTTGTTTGTTCAATTGACATACTTTCTATAAATGATATGTGGTCAAAGTTTTATTATTTAGGCATTTCCTGTTTCTGAATTATCTGTGTACATTACTTCTCACTTGCCCCCATCTGCCAAGCTTTTGATTACTTTTACTTCTTATTTTTACTAGACAACAAAAAGTTAAGTGTGTGGTAAAAATGAAATCTGTGTATTAGTAAATGCAATTTGGCAAGAAGGAGGATACAAATATTTCTAAAATGAAATTTTTGGACTAATACATTTTATTTATTCTTGCTTTTTTTGCTGTTTTGAACTATAATTAAACAAAAAGGTCCAGTTTATTTATTTGCAAACTTCAAGCAACATTGCAATAGTTCATTTCATAGAAATCCTAGTGAGTATGTACTTACCAAGGTGAACTAAGATAGGAATACCTGAACCAAAGCTCAGGATTTCTCTGCTGTTAGTTCCAAGGCCTTCCTGATAGACCTCCAAGCTGACCATTCCTCTTTTTTCCTGTGGCTTGCCAGTTGAGAGAAGAGCAATAATGGACAGTGTTACACTCCCATTTCATGTTTCTGTTTAGGGTTATTGTGGTGTAGATGAATTTCCTTTCTCTTCTTCTACTTCCTTTGCTCTCACAACTTTGAGAAATGAAAAGTAGCTTCCCTTCATAGAAAGATTTGGGATCCTTTATCTGATCATATAAACTGATATAACAAATACTTTTTATATGGATTTGATTATTTTGATTAGCAAGCCTCTGTTAATTGCTGACTATGATTGAGGCATTATATAAGGCATCATGGGGATTGTAAGATGAATTAAATATGGATTCGCTGTGATTTGTGAAAACACTATTACAAGATAAAAAGTGGTGAGAGTAGTGGGTTCTAGAATAGAAGCATAGGAAAAATCCTTTGGAAGCACAAGGGAGGGTGTGGTTATGTCTAGCTGAGATAATTATGAAAACCTTTATGGCTGTGACACTTGTTGAGGTTGGACTTGCAGATTTCCTGGGGTGGAAAGGCATTCTGGACAGAAAAAAGGTCATAAGCAAATTCTATGAGGTAGGGAAGCAGAGACCTATTTGAGAAACAGGTTTTCATGCCTGGGAAACGAGTTAGTAGAGGAGATAAAAGGAAGGTAAGATTAGAAAAGCTGGGTGCCATATAATGGAACATTTTGAGCGTTAGATTAAGACAAATTGAGCCTCTGATCAAATGGAAATAAGAGTTTGATTAAACTTAATTGACTTTTATTATGAATTCTCATAGAAGGAACCATGTGAACTATTGTGCAACTTATATTTGATCACATTGATAAGATTAAAAACTGGCATCTAAAATAGGAAGACATTCATTAACTAGGGAACATATAATGCTGAGAGATGTGTAATCCTGGGGTGGGATGATGTAAGAGAAAACTTACAGGAATAATATGACACACCTTTCTAGATTGTTAATTTTACTTAAGGATTTGGGAGTGCATGTTAATTTCATTTTAAAACAAGTTGAAAAATATGAAGGTAAAGTTTATGTTATTTCTTTTTTTATTAATAAAAGGAACATTTATTCTATTTCACTATTAAATAATACATCTGACAGCACTTTGCATATTGGGAAGTACTATACAAATTTTATTACTGTGTTAGCTAACAACAGGACATAAAATCTCTTTCAGTACTGAACCAAACCATCAATATATAAGAAAAAGGAATGACAAATTGTTTATTTATTCAAATGTTTTGATAGAATTGCCACATATGCAGATCAGAAGGTATCATAGGGTAGTTAACACCTACTTCTTTTTTTTCTTTTCAGGTTGTAAGCAAACTTTTACATTGCTTTAAATAACTTCATTGTAATATGTGTTTGTTATATATTTTGCTTTTATTGAAAAAGCCATTTTTTACAGTTGCAGGCATTAGTTTTTTTTCTGTCACCATATAGTTTACATTACTCTCTTAACTGGCAGATGAACTGAAGGAAACAGGCTAAAAGTACTTAGCAGAACCCCAAAAAACAGGACTCTAATTTCTCAGCAAAATTCCATCAACATCAATAAAATACTTTTTGTCTATAATTTTTGCCATAATTACTTACACATTTCTCATATACTTAGTTCTAATTCAAACTTATTTAAATTCATATTTAAGATAACACATTAGGGCGAGGTGCAGTGGCTCATGCCTGTAATCCCAGCACTTTAGGAGGCTGAGGCTGGTGGATTGCTTGAGCCCAAGAGTTTGAGACCAGCCTTAGCCAGGCGGGGTGCCTGTAGTAGTCCCAGCTACTTGGGAGGCTGAGGTGGGAGGACTGCTTGAGCCAGGGAGGCTGAGGTTGCAGTGAGCTCAGATTGTGCCACTGCACTCCAGCCTGGGTGACAGAGAATGTGTCTTAAAACAAAACAAAAACAAAACAAACAAAAAAGAGATAACGCATTCAAAATAAAGAAGCACTAAAAAAATATTATGAATTTTCTGTCTGTGTTTACCAGGGATGACGGTGGTCAACAGAACTCTTTATCAAAATGCGTTGATATGCATAATATAAAACGTGTAAATGTGGAGCTGTTCTGTTGAAGCAGGGTGAGGTCCCTGGACTTCTGGTCACTGGGCCTTTCTTGCTCAGTTCATCCAGTGACTCCTAACGTGCCTCCAACAATATCTAGGTTATTGGGAACACAGTGCAGGGAAAATGCTCTTCTAAGCAATTCTGATGCCCCTGATTTTCAGGAGACACTAGACAAAAACCCCTGTTGCTCAATGGATTAATCCGTAGTCTATTCTAGGAAGACAATAAATCCTGAATTTGATACATGAAAAGCTAAAAGCCCAAGGTTTTAGGTTCCAGGTTTCTTGGTGAAAGCAGACAGGTCTTTGAACCTCACTTTTTCATATTGTTTATTGATTTCCATGAGCTGAGCAAACATAATAATAAGTTACCTCTGTGACCCTTGAGGAACTTTTCTATTGTGATTCATTGATCCTTTCTCTATGGATTTCTTTTAAAACGTGAGATTTGAAGGAAATTTTACAGCTGGACTAGATGCTTTGGGCTGTGCTCCTGACTTATAGGATCTCCTAAGTCAAAATAGTAACTCTGGTGGAAAAGCTAAAAAAGAACTCATTTAAAAAATAATGATCATGTGTTTCTGAGATAAGTTAAGCTTTGGTGATTGGCTTATTGATTCATTCTAAAGGTAGCTTTATTCCAGGAATTCTGCCTTAAATATTCTGTTATAAGAATACTGCTTTTTAAATGATCATGCTACAGATAAATCTGGCCACATAGCCAGAGAGAAATGAAATGTGACAGATAGACTGAGCCACTAATGCCAACTCTGTGTATTGAAACTTGTGATTAAATCCAAAAGGAGGCTAGATGTGCCATAAAGTGCTCCTACTGATCTTCAAAAATTATGAACCAAGATCAAATTGAAAAGGTTTTATAAATTTAAACTTTACAGAGGTTTAATCTTCTTATTTTTTTGTCAACATTCTTTGGAACTTTAAATTGTTGTAGTAGTTGTTGATAAGCAGAGGACTCTAACCTGGAATGTTCTGGATAATCCTCAATGTAAAAGTGCGCATGTCCATCAAATTAGTGTCCTTGTTTAATGCCACATCTTACAAAGGTATTAAGTAAACTATATTTACCTATGGATTTAATTAGAATTTTTTAAATGTTATTTTTACCTTTGACCAATGAATGGATGGGAGAATTCATTATTCTGCATTTTCTAATGAAGTTCATAGCTGCTGCTTCTTCTTTTTTTTTTTTTTTTTTTTTTTTGAGGTAGAGTTTCGCTCTGTAGCCCAGGCTGGAGTGCAATGGCGCGATCTCGGCTCACTGCAACCTCAGCCTCCCAGGTTCAAGCAATTCTCCTGCCTCAGCCTCCTGAGTAGCTGGGCTTATAGGTGCCTGCTACCATGCCCAGCTAATTCTTTGTATTTTTAGTAGAGTCTTGAACTCCTGGCCTCAAGTGATCCGCCCACCTCAACCTCCCAAAGTGTTGGGATTACAGGCATAAGCCACCACTCCCGGCCCTCATAGCTTCTTTAGATCTGGTCAGCAGTATATAAATTCTCTGACCATTTAAGTAATTTTCTTAAAGAAAATATTTATGAAACGCTAATAAACTATTAACTGAACAAGTAATACAATATGTGATAATTTTTACACCCTACAATGCATAAAATTTTAATACAAACTTGGTGTATACTTGATAACAATTTATATGTTTATTTTACCATCTGGTAAATGTGTAAATGATATTTTGAGAAGCACATTTCATATTCACTTTGACAACTTATCCTTAACAATATGTGCCCTGTCTTATGTATCGACTGGAATAATCTTGGAAATTTTTGAAAAAGATGAATCCAGGAAAAAAAATTCATGTCCTAGTTTGTTTGTTTTAAAAATATTATGGAGATTTGAGAGTTAGATTTTTTGTACTAAACTGAGGGATTTTGTTGTTTGCTGACTTTTACCAGACATCCTGCTAATTAGGGTAGAATAATCAGAGCAGCTTCCAAACATTATATCATGTACATCAAATCAAGTTTCCTACTAACACTATAGGCCACATAAGTAGCAATAATAAAATGAATATGGTTCTGTGTGTTGTTGTATAACAGTATCACATCTTTTACAGAGTATTTGGTTTGCTATCACTTATGTCTAAATATGGGATGATCATTTTTTCCAACGTGTTGTAATGAACCTCAAGTGAATAGCTTTTATCGAATAACAGCATTTATGACACTTTGGCCTTCTGCCTTTTTTATTTCATTCTCTCTGCTTATCAGTCTTGCTGGAATAAATCTCGGGGACTTACACAAAACAAGCAAGCAGATAATGTCCATATTTAGTTTTCATGCACTATTTCTTAGCTTATAATGATGTAAGAACCTTTGTAAGATATCATGGACTACATCTGCACACTAATTACTCTCTTTTCTAAAATAAAGTGGTTTGATAAGCAAATTACAAATTTTGGCCTGACAAATTTATCTCTTATTACAAAATATTTAAATTGAAGTAAAAATAAAAACTCAAAGCCACATTTTAATCTCTTAGATTTAGAAATCAAAGTACAGTGGTATCTTAAAAATATTTGCTTAAATGAATCATACCATCAATTACTTTTGTATTCTAAATAGCCATTTGAAACTTTTCAGTTTAGTTATTATCATTTGCTTCCTCATAGAATACATATCTTACTGTTGAAATGATCATATAGTATAATTTTGAGAAATATTTTCTGTTTATATCTTTATCTGCAGGTATGATATTGAGCTACATTATTCCTGATGCTGTATAAGCTTATAACCTACTCTGTACAACAACCTTGCAGGATGAGCACCAACTTCATTTTATAGATAAGGAGATTGAAGCACAGAAAGTTTAGGCTATGTAAACTTTCCCGTGGTTTATACAAGGAGCAAATGTTAAAGCAAGAATTTAACCTCAGATTTGTTTTGCCTGAAACCATGTTCTCTTCACTATACTATTGCCTCAAATATTTAGTCAAGAGGACATGAAACCTGGAAGTATTTAAAAGTCCAACATCACGTCATTTAGTCTTGGAAGCATGAAGCTGCTTGACATAGGTGTGAGATGGTAAGGGTGAAGTTCGGGCTGAAAGAAAAGAAATGGGGCTGACCTCCTAGAATCCCTGCAGCATTTTGATTTTACATTTTTTTTTTGTTGTTGTTGTTGAGACAGTCTTGCTTGAGGTCACCCAGGCTGGAGTGCAGTGGCATGATCTCGGCTCACTCCAACCTCTGCCTCCTGGGTTCAAGCAATTCTCCTGCCTCAGCTGCCTGAGTAGCTGAAACTACAGGTGTGTCCTGCCATGCCCGGCTAATTTTTGTATTTTTAGTAGAGACGGGGTTTCACTATGTTTGCCAGGTTGGTCTCGAACTCCTGACCTCAAGTGATCCAACTGCCTCAGCCTTCCAAAATGCTGGGATTATACAAGCTGATTTTACAATTTAAAATCTGCCTCTGTTCAAACTCTTATCATGTATCCAACTCAACTCAGACCAATGCACAGGGTTTAGTTTGTCATAAAATGGATTTGAAATTCAAATCGAGCATCTAAGAATCAACTACTCAGATTTTTTCAAAACCAAGCAAACATAGTATCTCAGACACCATGGCAACTAAAAAAATTTTTTTTGAAATACCTAAAGTATTACAGTGATAATATTAATGATACTTAGTGAATGCTTCCTTTGTGACACTGTTCTTCTACATATATAACTAATCCTCACAATTATGTGAGATCAATGCTATTATTATTTCCATTTTGCAGATGAAGAAACTGAAGTATAGAGAGGTTAAGTGACTTGCCTAAGGGCACAGTAAATAATAGTTGAGCCAGAATTCGAACTCTGGCAATCTGGTATTAGAGTCATGACTATTAGCAGTAGTATTAAGATAAATGGGATGATAACTGATTTCTCTTTCAGGGTGATTATTACAAGAAGTATGAAGAAAAAAACTGGATGAAATGGAAGCTAAGAACTTGAAGAAGAAAGCTAATCTGCAATATTTTAGGTTGGTGCAAAACCAATTGCGGTTTTTGCCATTAAAAGCAACAGCAAAAACAATAGCAAAAACCTGCAATTACTTTTGCACCAATGTAATATTATTTAGAACTTTAGTTTATTTAATGATGTAAATATGAACAAAACAAATGGATAATTTGCTTTTCATTTTTCTTTTCTTTTTCTTTTTTTTTTTTTTTTTTTTGAGTCCTGCTCTGTTACCCAGGCTGGAGTGCAGTGGCGCAATCTCCGCTCACTGCAACCTCTGCCTCCCAGGTTGAAGTGATTCTTCCTGCCTCAGCCTCCCCAGTAGCTGGGATTACAGGCGCCTGCCATCAAGCCCGGCTATTTTTTGTATTTTTAGTAGAGACCAGGTTTCGCCATGTTGGCCAAGCTGGTTTCAAACTCCTGACCTCAGGTGATCCACCTGCCTTGGCCTCCCAAAGTGCTGGGGTTACAGGCGTGAGCCACCGTGCCGGGCCTGCTTTTCATTTTTCAAAAAAGAATTAGGTTTTTATTTCAGTTATACAGTATTTATTATTTCTTCCAAATGGAATAATAGGAACGTATGTTGTTTGTGAATCTTTCAAATTATTCCTCTTTATTGGTCTCTCATGGTTCTTTGTAGTTTACAATAAGTAGGACTATTGAAGAATTTTAAAAAGTTTAAGCTATGCAACCTTTTTTTAAAAAAATATATAATGAACAGAAAATTTTCACCTTTTGCTCAAAATTATCAGTGCCTCAGTGATATTTTTGTTGTACAACTTCCTTTGTACAAAAAAATAAAATATACCTTGGTAAAATAGTTATAATTTTGAGTTAGAAAAATTATTTTTACCAATAACATTGCACATTTTAAAAGAATTAATCAGAAGCTTGTTAAATTCATGTGGAATCATCTAGTTTCTTATTTGGCCAATAACGATGGTCAGAACCTCGGAAAGCGATTGCTAAAATGAAAAGTTTTAATAGTGTTTTTAATGTTTTATTGAACACAAGATCAATTAAAATACTTATGTGGAACATATGGTAGGGCTAATCATTGGGTATTTAAGCTTAGAGATCAAGACTTTTTGCAACAGTTTTTGTTCTAAAGTTGAATATTTTATGCGCTTTATGATTTTTTTGTTTGAGACAGAGTCTCCCCCTCCGGGGCTCAAGCAATTCTCCAGCCTCAGCCTCCCGAGTAGCTGGGATTACAGGCGTGCACCACCATGCCTGTAGAGACGGGGTTTCGCCATGTTGGCCAGGCTAGTCTCAAAACTCCTGACCTCAGGGGATCCGTCCGCCGGCCCCCCAAGTGCTTGGGCTTACAGGTGTGAGCCTTCGCGCCCGGCCATTTTATGTGCTTTATAATTATTGTTAATCCCAAAATGTAAATCTGCATTTCTTTTTCTTAAAAAGAGGAGCAGTTTCAACAAAAAGGGAAACAAATAGGACATGTAAAAAAAGAAATAGTAAGAATTTATTTTTTATTTATATGGCTTATTTTACAGATTCAATGAAATATATATGTCAAATTGAGAAAAATTTCCGCCCATATTTTAAAAATGTTTATGTTTTATGAACGGTCTTTTATTTTGTGGTTTCAGCTTTCAAATGAGGCTGTAAAAGAGAGCAAATACTTCTGCATTAGTAACTATCTTTAATAGTTTATTTTTACCCTTTTTTTTTTTTTTGCAGTAGCACTGCTCTACGCCTCTCATTCCAACACTGTCCCAAGGAGTAAGTTGTAGGTTTACATTGTTGGCCAAGGCAAAATTGTAACTCTTGCTTTTGACTGCCCTAGCCTCCTGTGTCTCTCTGCCTCTATTTTGTATACTGACTGCTTCTCTAGTCTTTTTTTCAGTGACTACATATCCTTTTGCTTTCTCTTGTACTTATTCAAATTTGTTTGACTATCTTACCAGTAGTTCTTAACGATGGCTGCTCATTATAATCACCTGTCATGCTACAAAACAAAACAAACAAAAACAAAAACAAACAAAAAACCACATGCCCAGGCTAAAATAAGAATCTTTGGGGCTGAAGCTAGGGCACTGATGTTTTTAAGAAATGCCCCAGATAATTATAATAATTAGCCAGGGTTGAGGACCACTGAGCTAAAAGGATGAAATGCAAATGCTTGCTTCAGGAATCAGCAGACAGGGTAGGAAGAAGGTATTTTGGGCCTGAAGCCTTTCTGATATCCTAGGCTCTCATTACATAGATAGTGTCTCCTTAGCTTATGGTTAGCCATGGTGTTGCCAGTAACCCAGTGAGGAGTGGCTGTGCAGCAGTTTGTAACTACAGTCTATGGAATTTGCTTCATTTGTGTTTATCATCCCCAAGAAGCTGGCATTAAGAAAACAAGAGGTCAGATTTATCTGTTCCCACCTCCAACAGCCTACATTGTCAGTTCTCCTAATATTTGGTATTTGGGATAAGACAAATTATTCCGACTTAGTCTATTCCTACTTTGTGTTTGCAAAAATTTCAATACATTATATAATGGGAATTGACGCTGGTCTTGGCAGCTTATCCATTATTCAAACACCTTTGTTGAAAAAAATAAAAACAACCTCCATTTTTTGGATAAGTCAGTAAGTAATAGCCAGAGCTTGATTAAATCTGGTCACAAGCTCTGGCATTTAGATTAGGTGTTATCTGAAACTTGCATGGATTAATCGATTATTTTCTTTTAAAGATCTTACACTGAGATGCACCATAGTGGATCAAATACTTTTAATTAACTCAAATGAAAGCAATATCCAGCACTACCTATGGTTTCAGAAATTGTTTTGCTGTTTGGTTGAACTAAGATTGTTCAGACTACTTGACAGAACCTGTTCAAACTGGCTCAAAAAATTAAGCTTATTTGAGGAGTCCTTAAAGCCTAAATTACTTTGGATTAAGTAGCATTTCTGTAGAAAATTTTTAAAGAAATAAAATATGGCACTGGGAGTCAATTTGAGGTCTGTAAGTCATTTAATTTTGTTGAGCCGCTATTTCTCCACCAATGATTTGGGTATAATGATGCTTGCCCTGCACATATTAATATTTTAGAGGGATTTGGAGAAGGAAGATCTTCCTATAAATAAAATATTGTTGAGCCTTCAGTAAAGCTTGGTTGACATCTTTTAATAAAATGATATCTTCTTATAAAGATAGTAAAGTAGAGCAATAAAAATTGCAAATATTATTGAGAAACCAATAGTCACAAGTGGCATAATGTGATGTTTCCCTACAGCGCTTTGTGTTACCTTTCCTGTATCATGTAGACCATTTTAAAATATTTGTTTTTTTAGAGACTGGGTCTCTGTGTTTCCCAGGCTGGTCTCAAACTCCTGGGCTCAAGCAGTCCTCCCACCAACCAAGTAGCTGGGACTACACTGTGTGCAGCTTGAGACTTTTAATGAATTGCTTATGTCTATTTCTTCTATTAGTGAGCAGACTTTCTAGACTTTCATCTTACTAGGCTGATCTTGAAAGCAGGGTCTCTATTTGTCTTCATATAGAGTCTGGTGTAGACCTTGGTACATAATAGATTGAATAAATATTTTCTCAATGAATGCCCTTTTTGTATTTTGGATAAAAATATTAGCCATTTACAAAAACTATTATATCACTTTTTTCTTTTTTGGGGAGGTATACTGTTAGAAAACATAATTATACTGTGTTGTAGGTACATACACATAAATTTATGAAGAGATTTGGTGCTTTTGAAAACGCACATTGGATTGGGAAGTGCATAACATTAAGTCAAAGTGACCTGGTGGAGGATGGAGGTTGCTATTTTATAGTAGTAGGTAAGGTGTCAAGGAAAGATCATGGACTTTGGAGCTATGCTGACCTGGATTTGAATGAGCAACTTTGAAGCTGTGTGATCCCGAGCAAATTTCTTAATGTCTTAGTTTCAATTTCTTTATCTGTGAAAAAGGGATAATACTATTTACTTCATAGATAGTTGTAATGATTAAGTAGAGACCTTGGTAAAGCATCTGATACAATGTCTGGACATATTAGAGACTATGATGGCTGTTATTATTAAATTATATTATTAAATTAGGAAAAGGATTATTTTTAGGTAGAAAATGATTTAAAGTTTACTTCTATTTTCCAAAGACAGTCTTTTCAATTGGATAGCAATCTTTGTCTTTTGTCTTCTTCTTTTACTTTAGTTTGCTGGAAGTTAATTTCCAAATGTTTCCAAATTAAACGTTATAAGATTGTATAGAGTATATTTTGCTCTTTGCTGATAAGGGATCTTGTACTATCAGAGGATTACAAGGTGAAACTAAGCTGGTGGTTTTCATTCTAGCCCCTGTTAGTCCCTGTCACCAAACTACCACACAATTTGGAGCACTTGCCAGAGCTGGCTCAAGAGAGGCCAATCGAGACACTAATAGATGCATTTTCTCCATGAATACACCCTTGGATCACACATAGAATTCCTATTAACAGCAATGAGAGTTAAACTTGTAAATCCCTTATGCATTGATGGGAGAATAGACCTTTTAGTTTACTTAGCCATCTTCCAGTTATTTGGCACTTTCCCCATCCCTTGTGAGTTCTCCAACATTTTCATTAAAGGCTTTTCTATTTTCTATTCTGCTTCATTCAGTTTGGGTAGTAATTCATGTTGGCCTGATGCCTTGGCAGCAATGAATGATTCTAATTGCCTCACTATCTATCTAGTCTGGCCTACCCATAAAGCCTTTCAACTTTTAATTCAAGCTTCCTGCAGTATCAACTTCATGGGTCACAAACTTCCCACTCATATCCTTTCATTGCATCTTAGCTGCTTACCTCTTGTGTATTTAAGAAACTCGAGAGAGTTTATCATTATCTCACTACTTTTCTGTTACACCACCTTATGCTTTTTGTAAAATTAAAGCAGCATTGCAGAAACCTAAGGATGCAAGGACAACTTTTGTCTAGACATTGTATCAGAAGAGCTAGATACCCTCGTTCACATTTACTCGAGTTAGCTAATAGTAAATGGTTAAAAAATAGAAAATTTTAAGTATCCTTCTATATCTACTGTTACCCCTTTCATTATTGTCAGTTCTACTTTCTTGCTCACCCGCTGAAATACACATTTTTCTCTTCTGATCCTGAGTATGGATGTAGCATGTGGATCATAACGATAAATGGAAAACAAAGGTCTTGCTTTGAATTCGTGATTTTCTGGCAGACAGGGAGGCTGCTTCTGTACTTTATATAGTATGGGTGTTCTGCTTTGATTCTATGTGTCAGTGCTTATTTTGGAGGTTTTACAAGAAGCTTTCTCATATGATAAAAAAAGTATAGTAAACACACAGCCCCACAATATTTAAAAGGAAAGAATTACATGCTAATAGATTGTGAGATATTTTATTTTTTACCTGCTTTTAAAAATTTTTATTTATTTATTTATTTTTGATGGAGTCTTGCTCTGTTGCCAGGCTGGAGTGCGGTGGCGCGCAATCTTGGCTCACTGAAAACTCCGCCTCCTGGGTTCAAGCGATTCTTCTCCCTCAGCCTCCCGAGTAGCTGGGACTACAGGCACGCGCCACCACACCTGGGCAATTTTTGTATTTTTAGTAGAGGTGGGGTTTCACCATATTGGCCAGGTTGGTCTCAAACTCCTGACCTCGTGATCTGCCTGCCTCGGTCTCCCAAAGTGCTGGGATTACAGGCGTGAGCCAACGTGCCTGGCCTAAATTATTCTTAAATTTAAAAAAGTTTTTTAACTTAGAAAATTATAAGTATTACATAATAATATAAGAAACGCTTATTTATCCATTGATAGATCTATGAGCCTTATCAGAATCAGGTTGGATTTTTGTGGCAAAACTACTTCATACATGATATTGTGTACTTCTATAATGTCTGATTGTCTCTTATTTTTTTCCAGCCAAAAGAGATGTCTTTTTTGTCTATCAGCTGAGATGATTATTGTCAAAACCATTAATTCATTAGATTTTTGCATAATGAGCTTTAAAAATTCGATCATTTCTTCATTTATTACCTAGAATACTTATGAAAAGTATTACCCTCTCTATTTGGTTACAATAAAGTAAATTCATTCTTTCTCTTTGTTTGTCAGTTTTCAAAATAATTGCTTGGCTTCCAATATTTTCCAAAGGTGACCAATGAGGTATTTTCTTTTATCATCATAAATTCATGGATTTAAACATATTTGATATGTTTTAATCCATTGTAGTAATCATCAGATCATTCCATCTTTGGTCTGTGATGGCCTACTCATTGTAACTCTTGACTCCTTTTGACAGGACCCCACTAGTCATTGATAGCATCTTTTCCTTTCTTTTATAGCAAGATTTCAGCTTCCTCTTGAATTCTAAATAGTTCATCTAGATCTAGTTTCTTTAAAAACAAAAACAAAAACAGCGTCTCCCTCCTTCCCTCTGGCTGGAGTACAGTGGCGTGATCCTGGCTCACGGCAACCTCCACCTTCCAGGCTCAAGAGATCATCCTGCCTCAGCCTCCTAAGTGGCTAGGACTACAGGCATAAGCCACCACACCCAACTAATTTTTGTATTTTTTTTGTAGAGACAGGGTTTGCCACGTTGCCCAGGCTGGTTTTGAACTCCTGAGATCTGCCCACTTTGGCCTCCCAAAGTGCCGGGATTACATGTGTGAGCCTCTGTGCCGGCCTCCTTTCCCACCTTTAACATATTCTCTAGTGAGCTCTACTTAATTTTTGTGAAAATACAAATTAAAAACTATCTGGATGCTACAGGTGCTCATTGCTACTGGATTGTTCCTTTCAGGGGATTGTGCTAGGGAATTTTACACACATATATAAGATTATAAAATAAAATACATCCTGGGTTGAACATACCAATATTTCTACTTCCAATGTAGGACTCTAGAGTTTTTATTTAACTATCTCTATAATCTTAAATTTTTATCTCATTCCTCACATGTTGAAATTCCTATTCCCTACCTTAGTGATCTAATTACTTATTTGCATTTTTACCACAGTATACTCACAATAACAATACCAACAGTACTACCAATAATATGACCACTGAAAACAGTTTAAGACTTTTTGTTTGTTTGTTTGTTTTTAGACGGAGTCTCGCTCTGTTGCCCAGGCAGGAGTGCAGTGGCGCAATATTGGCTCACTGCAACCTCCACCTCCCGGGTTCAAGCGATTCTCTTGCCTCAGCCTCCCGAGTAGCTGAGACCACAGGTGTGCGCCACCATGCCCAGCTCATTTTTGTATTTTTAGTAGAGACTGGGTTTCATCATGTTGGCCAGGCTGGTCTCAAACTCCTGGCCTCAAGCGATCCACCTGCCTTGGCCTCCCAAAGTGCTAGGATTACAGGCTTGAGCTACTGCCCCCAGCCTGATTTCTTTATAGTTCTTTTCATGCCTAGGATATATCCCATTAAGTAGGTATAGTCAAATCACTGTCTTTTAAAGGAATGTGGGATATTCCTTTCTTTGTGGTTGTGCCATCAACTGATGAGGTAGACAGAATAATGGCTTCCTTAAAATGTCCATGTCTTAATCCCTGAAACCTGTGAATATGTTTCCTTACATGAAAAAAGAGATTTCCTGCACTCAATGATTAAGTTAAGGACTCGAGACAGAGATTTTCCTGGATTATCCAGGTAGGCCCAATGTAATCACAAGGGTCCTTAAAAGTACAAGAAGGAGGCAGAGTAGAATAATGTGATGTGAGGATTAAACCCACCATTGCTGGCTTTGAAGATGGAAGGGGACAATTGACAATGTATGGTACTGTATTTCCATCACTACATTACACAGGCCTGGTAACCAAGGGCTTGAAAGCAAGGTGAGCCTTGTGCTTATTGCAATTACACATCATAATCCATGTGCAAAATTTTTACTAATGGTGCTTATGATCCTAGGGTTTGGTAGTAAGAGAATTGTTCATCAAAAGCAGGCATATAGCTCTTCACTTTTAGCAAGGTTAATTGGGCATTAAAAATATTGATAATTTTGACTAGTAACCAATGGGCACTGAGTCTTCCCCTTAGTTTTATATGTTTCCATTAGACTAGCATCAGGTTCCATGTGTGGCTTCAAACATTTTTCTCCTCTATTCCTCAGAGATTTCCACTGTGTGAGCTGTAGGACACATTTATCATGCAATGTGACCTCTGCTTCTGCGCCTTCATTGGGTGAGTCAGTACAGCGCGGGGTAGAAGTATTTCTGAAAGCCATTTTTATAGTGGGATGGCTAGAAATAACTTGTGGAGATGACCACATATATATTCAACAAAACCAAAACTGAGTATGTCCCTGACTCAACTTTCCTGTGGCAGAATCCCTAAAATGCCTGAAGCCACTTCAGCACCACCCAATGTGAGGAAAGTGGTGAAGAAGCTGGAGTGAAAAGAGACAATGGTTTTAACTGATGGCGGCTAAAATATATTACTTTTGTGAATGTTACAAAATATTACCATGGAAGCCCATTGCTGAAACCATTTCCGGGAGTTGGGAAGGGTATTAGTTTCCTACTGCTGTGGTAATAAATCACCACAAACTTGGTTTCTTAAACCAACACAAATTTATTACCTTATACAGTTCTGGAGGTCAGAAGTCTGAAATGGGTTTTGCTGGGCTAGAATCAAGGTGTCAACAGCATTGTGATTCCTCTGCAGGTTCTCTATGGGAGAATCCATTTCTTTCCCTTTTCCAGTTTCCAGGGGCTGTTTGTGGTCCTTGCCTCGTGGTCCTCACCTCGTGGTCCTCCTCTCTCTTCAAAGCCACCAGATAGCATCTTCAAATCTTTCTCTCTGACTCTGATCCTCCTCCGTCCCTTCTATAAAGGTTTTTGTGATTACAGATAGGCCACAGGCTTATCCCTCATCTCAGGATCCTTAAATTTAATTATATTTGCAAATCTGCAAGCCCCTTTTACCATGTAAGATAACATATTCACCGGTTCTGGATACTAGAACATGGACATCTTTGGGGGGCCATTATTCAGCCTACCACAGGACAAGTGCAGGGCCCTGAAACTAATGAAGCTTTTTTTTTTTTAAGTTTCACAGTAAATCTGCCTCTGTCCTTCAGTAAGATTTAAAAAGTTTTAAAATATAGGTACTATATGGTCCTTGTTAAATATGCTTTTAAATACTTGGTTTATATTGTTCCAGTTATGAAAAGCGTTTCCCATTTCCATTTCTAGATGGTTATGGTGGTATAGAGAAGTTACTAATTTTTATATGTTCCTTCTGTATTAAAAAGATGTAGTCCATTTCATTATTAATTCTAGTGTTTTTTACTAGAATCAAACATTTTCTAGCTATATAATTATATCATCAACAAAAATATTGTTCCATTTTCCCTTACCAATTATTTTATTTATTTTTTCTTATTGTGCTCACAGTCTGCACTCAATGCCCAGGCTTTACTGAAATATTTTATTACTTTAGTTCCAGATTATTATTAGATTTTTAAATAGCAGCATGTCTCATCTATTTCAAGAATTCTTATTTAGCGCTTACATTACAAATTTTTGTCAATCTGTTATTATCTAAATGAATAATTATAAACTATGTCAGTGGTTCTTAACTCGGGCTGATTTTTTCCCCTAGGGAACATCTGACAATATCTGGAGACATTTCAGATTTTCACAACTGGAAAGGGGAGATGCTACTGAAATCTAGTGAATAGAAGGCAGAGATGCTGCTAAACACCCCACAATAGACAGCCCACCCCTTCTCTTCCCTAATAAGTAATTATCTGATCCATTATGCCAAGGTTAAGAAATACCTAACTAAGTGTATTACGAGGCTTGCTGCTTACCTGTGTCCCTCTCTTCTTCATTTTCTCATATCTTCAGGTTGTCTTTCAACATGTGTGTGTTGTTTTTTTAAGTGTACTATCTTTAATATTTTTCCTTATGTGTCTTATGTTGATGATATGTTCTCTGTATTCTTATATATATGCAAAGCATCTTTATTATGGTTGACAAGTGAATGATATAATTTTTTCCATTGTAAATAACTACAGTTTTAAAGATATCTTGGCTAAGTATAGGATTTTTGAATTATATTACTTCCCAGTGTTGTGTCAATGTTGTATTCTTTCTATTTTCCAGTGTTGCTGGTATCAATCTGATTTTTTCCTTTTCTTTATTAAAAACTTGCTTTTTAGCTCCTTAGTTGGTTATGTATTTCTTTTTATCCTTGAAACTTTAGACATTTATTAGCATATGCTTAGGTTTATCTCTTTCCTTCCTTCCTTCAATTCTTTCCTTCTTCCCTCCATCCCTCCCATCCTTTCTATCAGTGAACTCTTTTAAGTGCAGACTTGAATGTTTTCTTGTTCCAGAGAGAGTTGCTTCTTTTATTTCTTGAATTATCGCCCCTCTTCTCTACTTTAATTTTTTGATTATTGACATTTTAGGCCTCCTCAATCTCTTCTCCAAGTTTCTAAACTTTCCCCTCATGATTTCTTTTTGTATTTTTTCCTTTGAGCCAAACAAACCCTTTAAACTTCTAAAAATTGAGATATTATTTACATATAGTGAAATGTGCAGATTTTAAATGTACAGATTTGTAAGTTTTGACAAATGGATACACTCAATGTAACTCACACTCTGAGAAGATACAGAACATTCTTATCATACCAGAAAGATTCCTCATGTTCCTTCCCAGACATTTCCAAGCCCCCCACCAGACAACCACTCTTCTGATTTCCTTCACCTTAGATTAGTTTTACCTGTACTAGAATTACATATAAATAGAATCACATTGTACTAACTCTTTTCTATTTTTTTTCTGGGTGTTATGTTTTTTGAAGTTTATTCATGGATGGTGCATGTATCAGGAGATTGTTCCTTTTTTTTTTTTTTTTTTTTTTTTGAGACAGCGTTTCGCTCTTGTAGCCCAGGCTGGAGTGCAGTGGCGCCATCTTGGCTCACTGCAAGCTCCGTCTTCCGGGTTCACGCCATTCTCCTGCCTCAGCCTCCTGAGTAGCTGGGACTACAGGCGCCCACCACTACGCCTGACTAATTTTTGTGTGTGTGTGTGTGTGTGTGTGTGTGTGTGTGTGTGTGTGTGTGTGTGTGTGTGTGTGTGTGTGTTTTTAGTACAGACGGGGTTTCACCGTGTTAGCCGGGATGGTCTCGATCTCCTAACCTCGTGATCCGCCCGTCTCGGCCTGCCAAAGTGCTGGGATTCAGACATGAGCCACCGTGCCCGGCCGAGATTGTTCCTTTTTATTGCTGAATAGTTCCATTGTTTGGATATATCATGATTTATCATTTCTCCCTATGTAGAATATTAGTTTTTTTTCCATTTATGTACTGCCACAAATAAATTTTCTATGATCATCATTGTGCAAGACTTTTTGTGTACAAATGCTTTTATTACTCTTGAGTAAATATATGGAAGTAGAATTGCTAGGTCACAGGTTAGGCACATACTTAACTTTATAAAAAAACAGCTAGACCAATTTCCAAAGCGGTTAGGGAGAATATCAGATGGTATAACCATTAATCTATTTCTCTATTTTTACATCAATTCCACACTGTTGTGATTACTGTAGCTTTATAATTATTCTCTAAAACAGGAGGATTCTTTTTCAAGATTGTTTGGCTATTCTAGGTTTTTTACATTTCTATATGAATTTTAGAACCAGGTTGTCGATTTCTGTAGAAATGCTTGCTGTAAATCTGTAGATTAATATAATAATATTGAGCCTTTTAATCCATGATCAATCATGTTATATTTATTGGCCTCTTATAATTTTTATTGCCAGTGTTTTATAGGTTTCAAAGAAATCTTATACATAGTCAAATTTGTCCTTATGCAAATTTTCTTTTGTAAATAGTATTGATTTTAAAATTTTATTTTCTGATCATTTATTTCTAGTAGATGAAAAAACTGTGGCCACTGACCTTCTACTTTGCAGTCTTGCCAAATTCACTTATTAGGTTTAGTAGATTTTTTTAAAAAGATGACTTAGTATTTTCTATGTACATGACGATTTAAATGACAAAAGCCACATTTTTACTTCTTGTTTTATAATCTGCATGTCTTTTACTTCCTTTTCTTGTCTTATTGCACTTGCAAGGATCTCAGTAGTATACCTTCCCCACTCCACCAACCAAGGAAAACGAAGTAGTGAGAGCGGATGCCTTGCTTTATGCTTGATCTTATGGGGAAAACTTCTAGTATTTCACCATTAAATATGATATTAGCCATAGACTTTTTGTAGATGTTCTTTATTAGACAGATGAGGAAGTTTTCTTCTCCTAGCTTTCTGAGATTAAAAAAAATCATGAATGGGGGCTGAAATTCAACAAATACTTTTTCTGCATCTATTGAGGTTGTCATATAATATATTCTGCTAATATGATGGATTTCATTCATTTATTTTCAAGTATTGAACTAATCTTGCATCTCAGGATAAACTGTATGTAATAATGCCATATTATCCTTACTTCATATTTCTGCATTCAATTTGCAAATATTTTGCTAAGGTATTCTTGTGTCTAGTAAATTATATTAGTTTGTAATTTTCTTTTCTTGTTATTTATTTTTTTTATCACGGATAAAAAACATAACATTGTATTGTATGTATACAATACAATACATTATATGTATTATATTTATTTACTTATTCATTATACTTTAAGTTCTGGGATACATGTTTTGAAAAGTGTCTGTTCAGTTCAACCATTGTGGAAGACGGTGTAGCAATTCCTCAAGGATCTAGAACTAGAAATATCATTTGACCCAGCCATCCCATTACTGGATATATACCCAAAGGATTATAAATCATGCTGCTATAAAGACACATGCACACATATGTTTATTGCCACACTATTCACAATAGCAAAGACTTGGAACTAACCCAAATGTCCATCAATGATAGACTGGATTAAGAAAATGTGACACATATACACCATGGAATACTATGCAGCCATAAAAAAGGATGAGCTCATGTCCTTTGCAGGGACATGGATGAAGCTGGAAACCATCATTCTCAGCAAACTATCGCAAGGACAGAAAACCAAACACCACATGTTCTCACTCATAGGTGGGAATTGAACAATGAGAACACTTGGACACAGGACGGGGAACATCACATACTGGGGCCTGTCATGGGGTGGGGGGACAGGGAAGGGATAGAGTTAGGAGATATACCTAATGTAAATGACGAGTTAATGGGTGCAGCACACCAACATGGCACACGTATACATACATAACAAACCTGCACATTGCGCACATGTACCCTAGAACTTAAAGTATAATAATCATAAAAAAAAGAAAAGTGTCTGTTCATATCCTTCACCCACTTTTTGATGGAGTTGTTTGTTTTTTTCTTGTAAATTTGTTGAAGTTCCTTATAGATTCTGGATATTAGCCCTTTCTCAGATGGATAGATTGCAAAAATTTTCTCCCATTCTGTAGGGTGCCTCTTCACTCTGATGATACTTTCTTTTGCTGTGCAGAAGTGCTTTAGTTTAATTAGATCCCATCTGACAATTTTGGCTTTTGTTGCAATTGCTTTTGGTGTTTTAATCATGAAGTCTTTGCCTATGCCTATGTCATGAATGGTATTGTCTAGGTTTTCTTTTAGGGTATTTTTTTTATAGTTTTAGGTCTTATGTTCAAATCTTTAATCCATCTTGAGTTAATTTTTGTATAAGGTGTAAGGAAGGGGTCCAGTTTCAGTTTTCTGCATATGGCTAGCCAGTTTTCCCAACACCATTTATTAAATAGGGAATCCTCTCCCCATTGCTTGTTTTTGTCAGTTTTGTCAAAGATCAGATGGTTGTAGATGTGTGATGTTATTTCTGAGGCCTCGGTTCTGTTCCATTGGTCTATATATCTGTTTTGGTACCAGTACCATGCTGTTTTGGTTACTGTAGCCTTGCAGTATAGTTTGAAGTTAGGTAGTGTGATGCCTCCAGCTTTGTTCTTTTTGCTTAGGATTGTCTTGGCTACATGGGCTCTTCTTGGCTTCCATATGAAATTTAAGGTAGTTTTTAAAAAAATTCTGTGAAGAAAGTCAATGGTAGCTTGATAGGAAGAGCATTCAATCTATAAATTACTTTGGGCGGTATAGCCATTTTCACAATATTGTTTCTTCCTATCCATGAGCATGGAATGTTTTTCCATTTGTTTGTGTCCTCTCATTTCGTTGAGCAGTAGTTTGTAGTTCTCCTTGAAGAGGTCCTTCACACCCCTTGTAAGTTGTATTCCTAGGTATTTTATTCTCTTTGTAGCAATTGTTAATGGGAGTTAACTCATGACTTGGCTCTCTGTCTATTATTGGTGTATATGAATGCTTGAGATTTTTGCACATTGATTTTGTATCCTGAGACTGCTGAAGTTGCTCATCAGCTTAAGGAGTTTTTGGACTGAGATGATGGGGTTTTCTAAATATACAAGCATGTCATCTGCAAACAGAGATAATTTGACTTCCTCTCTTCCTAATTGAATATGCTTTATTTCTTTCTCTTGCCTGATTGCTGTGGCTAGAACTTCCAATACTATGTTCAATAGGAGTGCTGAGAGAGGGCATCCTTGTCTTGTGTTAGTTTTCAAAGGGAATGCTTCTAGCTTTTGCCCATTGAGTATGATATTGGCTATGGGTTTGTTATAAAAAGCTCTTATTATTTTGAGATATGTTCCATCAATACCTAGTTTATTGAGTGTTTTTAGCATGAAGGGGTGTTGAATTTTATCAAAGGCTTTTTCTGCATCTATTGATATAATCATGTGGTTTTTGTCATTGGTTCCATTTATGTGATAGATTATGTTTATTGATTTGCATATGTTGCACCAGCCTTATGTCCTAAGGATGAAACTGACTTGATCATGGTGAATAAGATTTTTAATGTGCTGCTGGGTTTGGTTTGCCAATATTTTATTGAGGATTTTCACATCGATGTTCATCAGGGATATTGGCCTGAAATTTTCTTCTTTTGTTGTGTCTCTGCTAGGTTTTGGTATCAGGATGATGCTGGCCTCATAAAATGAGTTAGGGAGGAGTTCCTCTTTTTCTATTGTTTAGAATGGTTTTAGAAGGAATGGTACCAGCTCCTCTGTACCTCTGGTAGAATTTGGCTGTGAGTCCGTCTGGTCCTTGGGCTTTTTTTGGTTGGTAGGCTATTGATTACTGCCTCAATTTTAGAACTTGTTATTGGTCTATTCAGGGATTTGACTTCCTCCTGGTTTAGTCTTGGGAGGGAGTATGTGTCCAGGAATTTATCTATTTCTTCTAAATTTTCTAGTTTATTTGCACAGAGGTGTTTAAAGTATTCTCTGATGGTAGTTTGTTTTTCTGTGGGATCAGTGGTGATGTCCCCTTTATCATTTTTTATTGTGTCTATTTGATTCTTCTCTCTTCTCTTCTTTATTAGTCTGGCTAGTGGTCTATCTATTTTATTAATCTTTTCCAAAAACCACCTCCTGTACTTTTTGAGTTATTGAGGAGTTTTTCATGTCTCTATGTCCTTCAGCTCTGCTCTGATCCTAGTTATTTCTTGTCTTCTGCTAGCTTTTGAATTTGTTTGCTCTTCCTTCTCTTGTTCTTTAATTGTGATGTTAGGGTGTCAATTTTAGATCTTTCCTGCTTTAGAGGGAAATTTGCAATAAATTTCCCTCTAAACACTGCTTTAGTTGTGTCCCAGAGAATCTGGTATGTTGTGTCTTTGTTCTCTTTGGTTTCAAATAACTTATTTATTTCTGCCTTCATTTCATTATTTACCCAGTAGTCATTCAGGTGTTCCGTTTCCATGTAGTTGTGCGGTTTTGAGTGAGTTTCTTAATCCTGAGTTCTAATTTGATTGGACTGTGGTCTGAGAAACTGTTAGTTATGATTTCCACTCTTTTGCATGTGCTGAGGAGTGTTTTACTTCCAATCATGTGGTCAGTTTTAGAATGAGTGCGACGTGGTGCTGAGAAGAATGTATATTCTGTTGATTTGGAGTGGAGAAGTTCTGTAGATGTCTATTAGTTCCACTTGGTCCCACTATTATTGTGTGGGAGTCTAAGTTTCTTTGTAGGTCTCTAAGCACTTACTTTATGAATCTGGGTGCTCCTGTATTGGGTGCATGTATATTTAGGATAGTTAGCTCTTCTTGTTGCATCAATCCCTTTACCATTATGTAATGCCCTTCTTTGTCTTTTTTGATCTTTGTTGGTTTAAAGTCTGTTTTATCAGAGACTAGGATTGCAACCCCTGCTTTATTTTACTTTGATTTGCTTGGTAAATGTTCCTCCATCTCTTTATTTTGAGCCTATATGTGTCTTTTCACATGAGATGGGTCTCCTGAATACAGCACACTGATGGGTCTTGACTCTTTATCCAATTTCTGGTCTGTGTCGTTTAATTGGGGCATTAGCCCATTGACATTTAAGGTTAACATTGTTATCTGTGAATTTGATCCTGTCATTATGATGCTAGCTGGTTTTTTTGCATATTAGTTGATGCAGTTTATTCATAGTGTCAATAGCGTTTACACTTTGGTATGTTTTTGCAGTGGCTGATACCGGTTTTTCCTTTCCATATTTAGTGCTTCCTTCAGGAGCTCTTGTATGGCAGGCCTGGTAGTGACAAAATCTCTCAGCATTTGTTTGTCTGTAAAGGATTTTATTTCTCCTTAACTTATGGAGCTTAGCTTGGCTGGATATGAAATTCTAGGTTGAAAATTCTTTTCTATAAGAATGTTGAATATTGGCCTCCACTCTCTTCTGGCTTGTAGGGTTTCTGCAGATAGATTAGCTCTTAGTCTGATGGGCTTCCCTTTGTGGGTAACCCAACATTTCTCTCTGGCTGCCCTTAACATTTTTTTCCTTCATTTCAACCTTGGTAAATCTGATGATTATGTATCTTGGGGTTGAGCTTCTTGAGGAGTATCTTTGTGGTGTTCTCTATATTTCCTGAATTTGAATGTTGGCCTGTCTTGCTAGGTTCGGGAAGTTCTCCTGGATAATACCCTGAAGTGTGTTTTCCAACTTGATTCCATTCTCCCCATCACTTTCAGGTGCACCAATCAAACGTAGGTTTGGTCTTTTCACATAGTCCCATATTTCTTGGAGGCTTTGTTCATTCCTTTTCATTCTGTTTTCTCTAATCTTGTCTTTGTGCTTTATTTCATTAAGCTGATCTTCAGTCTCTGATAACTTTTCTTCCAATTGATTGATTCAGCTGTTGATACTTTTGTATGCTTCACAAAGTTCTCGTGCTGTGTTTTTCAGCTTCATCACATCAGTTATGTTCTTCTCTAAATTGGTTATTCTAGTTAGCAGTTCCTGTAACCTTTTATCACGGTTCTTGGCTTCTTTGCATTGGGTTAGAACATGCTCCTTTAGCTTGGAGGAGTTTGCTATTACTTACCTTTTGTAGCCTACTTCTGTCAATTCGTCAAACTCATTCTCTGTCCAGTTTTGTTCCCTTGCTGGCAAGGAGTTGTGATCCTTTGTAGAAGAGGCATTCTAGTTTTTGCAATTTTCAGCCTTTTTGCATGGGTTTTTCCTCATCTTCGTGGATTTATCTACCTTTAGTCTTTGATGTTGATGGCCTTCTGATAGGGTTTTTGCGTGGTTGTCCTTTTTGTTAATATTGATGCTATTGCTTTCTGTTTGTTAGTTTTCCTTGTAATGGTCAGGCCCCTCTTCTGCAGGTCTGCTGGAGTTTGCTGGAGGTGCACTCCAGATGCTGTTTGCCTGGATATCACCAGTAGAGGCTGCAGAACAGCAAAGATAGCTGCCTGCTACTTCTTCTGGAAGCTTTGTCCCAGAGGGGTACCCACCAGATGCCAGCCCAAGCTCTCCTGTATGAGGTGTCTGTTGACCCCTGCTGGGAGGTGTCTCCCAGTCAGGAGGCATGGGTTTCAGGGACCCACTTGAGGAGGCAGTCTGTCCCTTAGCAGAGCTTGAGCACTGTGATGGGAGATCCACTGCTCTCTTCAGAGTTGGCAGGCAAGAACGTTTAAGTCTGCTGAAGCTGCTCCCATAGCTACTCCTTCCCCCAGGTGCTCTGTCTCAGGGAGACGGGAGTTTTATCTATAAGTCCCTGACTGGGGCTGATGCCTTTCTCTCAGAGATGCCCTGCCCATAGAGGAGGAATCTGGAGAGGCAGTCTGGCTAGTGCGGCTTCAAGGTGCTGCAGTGGGCTCAGCCCAGTCCGAACTTCCCTGCAGCTTTGTTTACACTGTGAGGGGAAAACCACCTACTTAAGCTTCAGTGATGATGGATGCCTCTCCCTCCACCTAGCTCAAGCGTCCCAGGTTGACTTTAGACTGCTGTGCTGGCAGCCAGAATTTCAAGCTAGTGGAGCTTAGCTTGCCAGGCTTCTTGGGGGTGGGATCTGCTGAGCAAGACCACTTGGCTCCCTGGCTTCAGCCCCCTTACCAAGGGAGTGAAAAGTTCTGTCTTGCTGGCGTTCCAGGCACCACTGGGGTAGGAAAAAAACCTGCAGCTAGCTCGGTGTCTGCCCAAACGGCCGCCCAGTTTTGTGCTTGAAACACAGGGTCCTGGTGGTGTAGGCACTCGAGGGAATCTCTTGGTCTGTGGGTTGCGAAGACCATGGGAAAAGTGTAGTATCTAGGCTGGATAGCGCCATCCCTCATGGCACAATCCCTCACAGCTTTCCTTGGATAAGGGAGGGGGTTCCCAAACCCCTTGCACTTCCCCTGGTGAGGCGATGCCCCACCCCGCTTCTGCTAGCCCTCCGTGGGCTGCACCCACTTTCTACTCAGTCCCAATGAGATGAACCGGGTACCTCAGTTGGAAATGCAGAAATCACCTGCCTTCTGTGTTGGTCTCGCTGGGAGTTGCAGACCAGAACTGTCCCTATTCTTCCATCTTGTCCAGGAATTTGTTTGTTTTATGTTTAATCTGGTTTTGGTATTGGTGGAATGCTGACCTCATAAAATGACTTGAAAGTTGTTTCTTCTCTAATTTCTGGCTGAGTTTGTGTACAATTGGTATATATTTTTCTCAAATGGTTCATAGCATTTATTGAGGAAGCCACATGGACCTGGAATTATCTTCGAGGGGAAGTGTTTAGTAATAAATTTCTTAAGAGTACAGGGCTTTTCAGACTTTTAAATTTACTCTTGTGTCAGTTTTAGTAATTTGCACCTTTCTAAGGATATGTCCTTTTCAATTAATTTTTAAATTTATTATCATACAATTATTTGTGATATTTCATTATTATTCTTTTAATGTGTGTAGTATTTATAGTAATGTCCCTATTTTATTTATAATATTGGTAATTTGGGTTTTTTTCTTCTCTGTTTTTGTCTTGCTACTGATTTATTAATTTTGTTGCTCTTTCAAAATACCAGCATTTGGTTTAATTATATTTTATATTATTTGTCTGTCTTCTATTTCATTACACTATTATTTTCTTTTTTATACTTTTTTATTTTCTAGCTACTGAGTTCTTGGTTGACCTTTTTAAAAGCACATAAAAATATAATTCCATTGTTTTTTAGCCAAAGTTTCTGACAAGAAATCTCTGTTCCTTATCTTGGTACATCTGTAAGCAATGTATCTTTTTTTAATGGATGCTTTTAAGGTTTTATTATTATTAATTAATTATTTTTTTTGAGACAGGGTCTCACCCTGTTGCCCAGGCTGGAGTGCAGTGGTGCAATCTCAGCTCACTGCAGCCTCAATCTCCTGGGCTTAAGCAATCCTCCCACCTCGACCTTCCAAGTAGCTGGGATCATAGGCATGTGTCACCATGCGTGCTAGTTTTTGTTTATTTTTTGTAGAGATGAGGTCTTACTATATTGCCCAGCTGGTCTTGAACTCCTGCACTCAAGCAATCCTCCCTCCTCAGCCTCCCAAAGTGCTGGGATTCCAGGCATGAACCACTGCACCCGGCTTAAGGGTTTTTTCTCTCTTTATCACTGGTTTTCAACAATTTGATTATGATGTACTCAGTGGTTTTCTTTGTGTTTATTCTGCTTAGGGTTCAATGAGCTTCCAGGGTCTCTGAGTTTATATTTTTCATCATTAAGAAAAATTTTGGCGATATTTCCTTAATTTTTTTTTTTTTTGCCAGAGTCTTCCCTGTTGCTCAGGCTGGAAGGCTGGAGTGTAGTGGCATGATCCTAGCTCACTGCAACCTTGAACTTCTGGGCTCAAGTGATCTTCTACCTTAGCATTCTATGTAGCTGGGACCACTGGCATGCATCACCACGCCCAGCTAATTTTTTCATTTTTTGTGGAGATGAGGTCTTGCCATGTTGCCCAGGCTGGTCTCAGTCTCCTGGACTCAAGTGATCCTCCTCCCTCAGCTTCCCAAAGTGTTGGGATTATAGGCATAAGGCACTACACTTGGCCCCTTAATTTATTTTTCTTTTCATCTCTCTTCCTTGGACTTTAATTACATGTATTTTAGACATTGACATACTGCTTGACATTGTCTCACAGGTTATTGCATTATTTTACAATCTTTTTTCTTTGTGAGCTTCATTTCTGGATAATTTCTGTCAATATATCTTCAAGTTTATTGGTCATTTATTTTCCATTATCTGATCTGCTATTAATCCTTTCCGGTGAATTCATTATTTTAATAATATATTTTTAATCCCTAAAAATTATATTTTGTTCTTTTTTATATCTTTGTTTTTCTCTTCTCATGATATTGATATTGATGCTTTTCTTTTTCTTTCTTTTTTTTTTTTTTTTTTTTTTTTTTGTGAGACGGAGTCTCGCTCTGTCGCCCAGGCTGGAGTGCAGTGACATGATCTCGGCTTACTGCAAGCTCCGCCTCCCGGGTTCACGCCATTCTCCTGCCTCAGCATCCCGAGTAGCTGGGACTACAGGTGCCCACCACCACGCCCGGCTAATTTTTTGTATTTTTAGTAGAGACGGGGTTTCACCGTATTAGCCAGGATGGTCTCGATCTCCTGACCTCGTGATCCGCCCACCTCGGCCTCCCAAAGTGCTGGGATTACAGGCTTGAGCCACCGCGCCCCGCCGATGTTTTTCTTTAAATATTTGAGCAAGTTATAATAGCTGTTTTAACATTCATGTCTACAATTCAATTACCTCTGTTATTTCTGTATCTCTATTATTTTTCTCTGCATATGAGTCACATTTTCTTATTTATTTGAAGGCCTAATTTTTTTCTTCTGATTTGTTGGGTTTTATTTGCTCTTCTTTGATTTAGAGTTGTTAGTGTGTATGCTAATGTCATTGATTTAGGACCTTTAAATTTGTCTCCAAGCACTTCTTAGCTGCATCCACAAATTTTGATATGTTGACATGTTTCACTTTATTCAATTCAAAATATTTTATAATTTCCCTTGTGGCTTCTTTTTTTACATAATTATTTAGGGGTGTGTTGTTTAATTTACAAATATTTAGGAATTTCCTATTTTTCTTTCTGTTATTGACCTCTTGGTTAAGACTGTTACGGTTAGAGATCATATTTTGTATGATTCTAATTATTTTAATTTTTTTGAAGAGGGTTTGTTTTCTGATTCAGAATATGATCTATATTGGCAAATATTCCATTTACACTTTTGAAAGGAATGCGTGTCTGTGTTTGTTGAGTAGAGTTTTGTGAATTTCAGTTAGGGTGTTAGTTGATAATGTTGTTCAGGTCTTCTATACTGTTATTTTCTGTCTACTTTTTCTATTGATTATTAAGAGGACTGTTGAAAGCTTCAACTATGATTTTGGATTTGTTTATTCTTCCTTTGAGTTCTGTCGGTTTTTGCTTCATATATCTTGAAGCCCTGTTGTTGGTACATACACATTTAGGATTGTTACACCTTAATGAATTGATGCTTTTAATACTATATTTGACCCTATTTGTTCTTGTTAATATTTCTTGTTTTGAAGTCTACTTTGTATGATATTAAATGGCCACTCTATGTTTTGATTAGTGTTAGCATTGCACATCTTTTTCTACCATTTTACTTTTGATCTATCTACATTTAAAGTGGATTTTCAACAGCATATAGCTGGGTCTTGTTTTTTTCCAATATAATATGATGATCTGCGTCTTTTAAATGGTATGTTTATACTATTTATATTTAATGAAACTATTGGTATTTTTGGATTTAGGCTTACCATCTTACTATGTGTTTTCAGTTTGCTTCCTCTTTTTTGTTCCTGTGTTCCCTTTCCCTATCATCTTTTCACTTATTTAAATATTTTTTAGTTTTTTATTTTAATTCATCTGTTGGCTTTTTCATTATATTTATTTTGTTAATATTTCAGTGGTTTTTTGGATCACAGTATACATATCTAATCTTTTATAGTCTATTTAATATTGTACCATTTCATGCAAAGTGCATATATCTTTTAGATTTTCCCAGATATTTATCATTTTATTATTTATCCCTTATTCCTAAAATCCAGATTTCCCGCTGGAATCATTTCCCTTCAGCCAGAAGAACTTTTCCTTCATCTCAGAATGTCTTTACTTGACCTTCACTCCTGAAGGGTGTTTTTGCTGGCTGTAGAATTTTGAGTTAACATTAATTTTGCTTCATCAGTTTAAATATGTGATTCTACTGTCTCCTGGCTTTTGTGGTTTCTGATGAGAAATTTGGGTAATTCAAATATTGTTCTCCTATATATGTGGCCCTGTACAACTCCTGTGGACCATAGTTCCAATCGAAGTTCAATTTTCAAAAGTCTTGATGTGCTGATTTAGTCTATCTTGCATAGGAATCATTATGGGTGATATTTTAAATCTTAGAACAGTTTCTAAAGCCTTTGCTATGCTACCTTTGGTTCTCTTCCATACACACACATCCTCAAAAGTGAGCCATGATTTTGTGGGTTTGTATACAGAATGTGAGAATCCCTTTCTCCAGCTCTATCTGAAGTCTCCTCCCACTTTCTGGCCTACAGGGATTTCTGTTCCTTATATCTCTGGTCAGAAAGATGGGATTTATTTTGGAATTGTAGGTAGGAAGCTCACCCTCTTGCAGGTTGCTTGTCCCAGTATGAATCACTTTTTACAATCAGCCTGCTTCTAAAAAATTATTTAACAGTAGAAAATTTTTAATTGTGGTAAAAAAGTATTACATAAAATTTATCATTTTAACCATTTCTAAGCATACAGTTCAGTGGTATTAAGTAAGCGCATATTCTTATGCAACCAATCACCAGACAGACACCAGAGCCTTTTCTTTTCTTTTTCTTTTTCTTTCTTTCTTTTTTTTTCAGATGGAATTTCACTCTTGTTGCCCAGGCTGGAGTGCAATGGCATGATCTCGGCTCACTGCAACCTCCGCCTCCTGGGTTCAAGTGATTCTCCTGCCTCAGTCTCCCGAGTAGCTGGGATTACAGGTGCCCACAACCATGCCCAACTAATTTTTTGTATTTTTAGTAGAGACGGGGTTTCACCATGTTGGTTAGGCTGGTCTCAAACTCCTGACCTCAGGTGATCCACCTGCCTTGGCCTCCCAAAGTGCTGGGATTACAGGCGTAAGCCACCACGCCTGCCCAACACCAGAGCCTTTTTGTCTTGCACAACTCTATACCCATTAAGCAACAACTTTCCATTTTCCCCTCCCCAACGCCCTGGCAACCACCATTCTGCTTTTGCTATGAATTTGACTAGCTACCTCATATAAGTGAAATCATACAGTATTTTTTTTTTTTTTGAGACGGAGTTTTGCTTTTGTTGCCCAGGCTGGAGTGCAATGGCGCGATCTCGGCTCACCACAACCTCCGCCTCCCAGGTTCAAGTGATTCTCCTGCCTCAGCCTCCCGAGTAGCTGGGATTACAGGCGCCCGCCACCACACCCGGCTAATTTTGTATTTTAAGTAGAGACAGGGTTTCTCCATGTTGGTCAGGCTAGTCTCGAACTCATGACCTCAGGTGATCCATCCGCCTCAGCCTCCCAAAGTGCTGGGATTACAGGCGTGAGCCACTGCGCCCGGCCAATCATACAGTATTTGTCTTATTTTGTGACTGGATTATTTCACTTAGATGAATGTCTTCAAGGTTCATCCATATTGTACCATGTGTCAGAATTTCATTCTTTTTTTAAAACTGAATGATATTCCTTTATATATATATATATATTTGATGTGTGTGCCACATTTTATTTATTCATTCATCAGTTGATAGACACTTGGGTTGCTTCTACAACTTGGATATTGTGAATAGTGCTTCTATGAACATGGGTGTGCTAATGTCTCTTCAAGATCCTGCTTTTAATTCTTTTGGATATATACCCAGAAGTGGAAATTGCTGGATCATATGTTAATTCTATTTTTAAATTTTTGAGGAGCCACTAAACTATTTTCTGTAACAGCTACCACCATTTTTCATTTTCACAACAGTGCACAAGAATTCCAGTTTCTTCATGTCCTCACAAACACTTGTTATTTTCTGTTTTCTGCTTTTTTTGTAATAGTCATCCTAATGAGTGTGAGGTAAAATCTCACTGTGGTTTTGATTAGCATTGCCCTAATGACAACCTAATTACTTTTGTTCACTTATCATTGTTAACAGATTTTTGGGTTTGTTTTTTTTTTGGTATTTTGCCTAGTTTTAAAAAATTGTAATCAGTGGGAGAGATAAGCTTTGGGAAGCTAATCTTGCCATAACAGAACCAGAACTCTAGTAATTTTTAATTGACTGTCTGACATTGTGAGTTTTATGTTTCAAGTGATAGGTTTTGTTTTTGTTTCTTTGTTTGTTTTAAGTGTTGCACTTTGTTCCAGAAGGCAGTTAGATGTTTTGGGGAGTAGCTTGATGTTAGAGGACTTGTTTTTAATCATTACAGGGTTAGTATTGAATAGCCTTTATGCTAGGGCTAGTTTATTTAGCCTTAGTACTAAGGCATACCCATTCAGTATCTCTACTGAATACCTCATATTTTCAACAAGGTCTCTTCAATCTGATTGGTGGGAACTTGAAAAGTTCCCAGTCCTAACTGAACTTGGGAATCATTCAGTGTGCAGTTACCTGGAAACTGTTCTTTTCTTGGCAGTTTTTTTTACCTGGCATTGTGGAATTTCACACTCTGGGCACACAAATTAATATTCAGCCAGAAACTCAAAGGACGTTATATAAGTTTTTAGAGCTCTTTGTGCAGCTTCCTCCTGTATGGTATTATCCCGATTATCCCGTAACTTCTATTCTTCTTAGTTTACTTGAATTCCAATTTCTGCCTCCAACTCAGTGGCACTGCTGGACTCTGTTTTTGTTCTACACCTTGCACCACAGGGATGCCTCTAGGGATTTTTTTGTTTGTTTCCCTTCTATTAGGGATCATGGTCCTGCACTGCCTGTTGTCTATTTGAAATTAGCTGTTTTATGTATTTTGTCTTTTCTTATAGTTGTTTATAGCAGAAGGATAAATGCCAGAGCAGTTACATTTTTTTGTGGATAGAAGCAGAAGTCCATCTCTTTGTAGCTTTGCTTTGTGTTTTGAGCTGTTTCTTCCACTTAAGCTTCTACTTTGATTTTCAGCAATGATAATACTTCTTTTCAATTCAGCTATGGAATTTTGGAATCAGAAAATCATGCTTAATTCTAAAAAGTTATTTTTGTGTTATAATTGAATCTCATGTATTCTTTTTATCTTTGGGTTAAAGTTGTCTATCCTTTTTTTTTTTTAGCATTTCTCTTTCATTGGTAGCTTCTTAATCTTTTTCTTGAGTTGTTTGGATTACATTAAGCACATTGTTAGTTTTTAAAAATCTTACATATGTTCACTCTCGGGGTATACAGCTTTTGGAGGTAACTTGAGTATTAGTAGCAAACTCCTGAATAGAAGGAGGGAAAATGGTTTCCTCCTATGGGTTGTTGATGTATCAGCTAAAAATCTGTAAGACTTTTGTTCTGTCAAGATAAAGTCCAACATTTTTAGCATGGTAGATAATGTCCCCATCATTCCACTAACATCTCTTGCCACCTTCTTAAATGCACCCTGTGTTAAGATATTCTATCTGGGATTCCACATACAACCCATTTTCTTATGCGTTTGTACTTTTGTAACCACAATATCTTCTGCCTGGTATACTTTTCCCCACTCTTGTCCTTCCAGGATATTCTTTCTTATTGATACTTTGAGATTCAGCTGGGCAGGACTTTCACTTCAAGAATGGCAGGGCATCGCTCAATAGGCTGATCAGTGATGAGGGAGGATCAGAGAAAAGAACACCCCACTGGGCAGGTTATTCTGAAGTAGAGAGCCAAATAGTTTCTGTGCTATGTACATGCTGTACATTAGTCATATTCAGAAGAGAAGTAGGCACCATAGGATATAAGTCTCCTATCATATTTCCAGAAAAACATTAAGGAGAGGTGGTGTAATGACAGAATCTTATTCCCCAATACTTCTGAGAAGCTAGAGGCTTCATTTCATGGGCCAAGGCAGGAACACTGAAGAGAAAGAGAAAATGGTTACAGTCCTGATTTTCCTCCTCACACACAATTCATGATTTTGTCACTGGGCTCAAGAGTCTTCTCTGTATTCCAAATCTTGTCGTGATCCTGGAAACTTCAGTTTCAAAGACCCATTCAAACATTCTCAACTTCAGTGATGTTCATCTGCCCTCCAAACAAAAAAACATTTCCTTTGGCCATACCTGAAATTTGACCTGCCCAGATTTGAAATTTTAATCTTCAAATTTTATTTTTTTACTAACTTAAAAAAATCAGACTAGTTCTTACACATCTGTACACATTATACTTTTTTTTTTGGCACATACTGATACTTTGAGTCCTTGAAGCTCCATCTCCTTTCAAAGTAACAGCACCCTTCTAGTTGTGTTATTATCCAGCATAGACACCAGGGTACATAAATTCAATTACTCTCTGGTCAATATTCTCAACTTTCCTACAGTTTGTCATTTCACTGTATCCGGCTCCACAACCACAAATAAAAAACAATGCAATCTTGGGATTTCCCCAATATAGGAAGGGTATTTGGATGCTGAACTGCCAAAAATAGCAAGTGGAGTGGGGATTGTCTTCTTTATTTCAACATATGGGTTTCTGGAAAAAAATAACAACCATAAATATTAGTATTAATCATCATAGAAATGTGCTATCATTAATAATACATATCTATTTACGTATATAATGTAAACCCAACCAATTCCTTGTGGAAATCCAAGTCTTCATGGTACTATGCCTAGACAAATATTGGTCCCAAAGTTCACATAGAGAGAATAACATGTTGTTTTGAAAATATAAACAAAATAATGAGAATGTTAGAGCTGTATCACAACATACCATTGTGGTATCATGTGCAAGTTTACCTGACTAAAGACAGTTTTAGGGGGTCTGCATGATATGATTAGGATAGTTAACTTACCTAATTTAATCCATGAAACACTATCTTAATCATTCAGTATTCTCAATTGCAAACAAAATAAAACCAACTCTGTCTAAATTAGAAGCAAAAAGATTTTTTTTTTGGAAAGATATCACACAGAATAGTTCATAAAAAGTTTGGAGAAAAAAACCTTGAAAAATGGGTGGGAATCAAGGGAGAAAAGGCTGAGAAAACATCCTATCATAAAAATAATCTACAAAGGACACTTATTGTATTGTTGCAGATAAACTTACTCCCATTCTGCTGATTCTTCCTTCTGTTGCCACTACTAAAGAAAATCATGATACAAAGCCCCAGTTATGTTTCCTGCGAGGAGCCGAAAAGAAACAAAACAACAAAGTCCCAGTTGACTAAACCTCAATCCAACTGATCAAGCCTTGATCACATGTATACTTCTAGCTTCTAGGGAATGGGGAGAGGGAATATTTGTTCTTTGGTGTTTGCAGAGGGAAGCAAGGTCCTGTTTCCCCATATCTTGGGATTCTCCCAATACAGGAAGGATATTTAGATGTTTAGCTGCCAAAAATAGCAAGTGTCCACTCTGTCCTTCAAATAACCCTTCCTAAGTATTATTTATCTCGGCCAAGATTTTGATCTGTATCAGACAGTATGAGTTCAAGATTGTATTTACTGACAACTACCTGGAGTGCTGCTAGTCAGTGTTGCCAATTAAATAACAGACAGTTGAATTGTTTAACAGAGAGTTGAATTGGGAGTAGGATTAATAGCCTCTTATAAAAGTTAAGTTTTCTGAAGTAGACATAGGTCTGACTAGAAGGCCACCACTGGTGCAAAGCAAGTTGTGGGAGCATCCATTTGCATGGCCAAGAGTCCACTTTTAAAAATGTTTATGAACTTTAAAAAATGATCATGAGGCTTGGCGTGGTGGCTTACGCCTGTAATCCCAGCACTTTGGGAGGCCGAAGCAGGTGGATCATGAGGTCAGGAGATTGAGACCATCCTGGCTATCATGATGAAACTCCATCTCTACTAAAAATACTAAAAATTAGCCGGGCATGGTGGTGGGCACCTGTAGTCCTAGCTACTCGGGAGGTTGAGGCAGGAGAATGGCGTGAACCTGGGAGGCAGAGCTTGCAGTAAGCCGAGATCACACCACTGCACTCCAGCCTGGGTGACAGAGCGAGACTCTGTCTCAAAAAAAAAAAATGGTGATGAATTTGCTCTAATATACAGACAGGGGAACATTTATGTCTCATTTAGCAAAACCATAATAATATTAGCCTAGAAAAATTCAAGACAGGGATAATTGATACCTCCTTAGCCATTACAAAAAAAAAATCAGTAAAGGTCCCATAGAACAGCAGTCCCCAGGCTTTTTTGGTACCAGGGTCCAGTTTCATGGAAGACAGTTTTCCCATAGATGGGAGTGGTGGGGTGGGGGTGCAGGGGGTGATGGTTTCAGGATGAAACTATTCCACCTCAGATCATCAGGCATTAGATTTTCATAAAAAGTATGCAACCTAGACCCCTCATATGCACAGTTTACAATAGGGCTTGCACTCCTATGAGAATCTAATGGCACTGCCTATTTGACAGGAGGCAGAGCTCAAGTGGTAATGCTTGCTCACCTGCCTGCTGCTAACCTCCTGCTGTGTGGCTCGGTTGCTAAAAGCCCACGGACCAGTACTAGTCCACGGCCCAGGAGTTGGGCACCCCTGCCATAGAATACAATGCCTAGCTTTGAAATTTGCTACTGAGTATTGCTACTGTTTGGTATATTTGTAAAAAAGGTGACCAAGAAACGTACTCCAAAGTAATTGAAAGTGGAAAGTTTCATGAGATTTTTTCTTTTGATAAAAATGGATGTGGAAAAAATTTTATGTGAAAGTTGTATTTTGTATAGATAATGTGGTTACATAGCTAAAAATAGTACTGAGTGCAAAATTTCCTCATATCCCACCTGTCCAGTGCTTTCCCCACCATAGTTAACTACTTAAATTGATTTTTATAATCCTTCCAGTCACTTTTATGCAAACTTAAGCAAACATATACATATAGTCTTGTTTGCCCGTTTTATTTATTCATTTATTTTATGTACTTATTTTAAATTTATTTATTTTTAGTTTTCATGGTTACATAGTAGGTTTATATGACACCTTTAAAAAAACACAAAAGTGTCATACCATATTCACTTCTTTCCACCTTGCTATTTTTTAAAACTTAGATATTAGAGGAACGTACAAATTTTCTCACTCTTTTTCCTTTAAATAACAAGCCATTGCATGCATATACCATAATATTAAAAAATTTAGTCCTCTATTGAAGGAGATTTGAGTTGATTCCTCCCATACAATAACATAGTTTGTTTTAGCATTTGACATCAAGTGTTCTTTGGTGTCTTTGAGTAGTGTGTTCAAGTTTTCTTTTTATAGGTCTTGACCATTTCTTGTCAAGTTTATTACTACATACTGTATTTTGGGAAAGAGTATTGAAAATGAAACCCTCCCACAATTTATATTTTCTACCAGTTGTTTTTATATATAAACCATAGTGATTTATAGATAATGATTTTGCATTATACTAATGTATTGAATCCTTTTGCTATTTTTGGTAATTTTGCAGTTAATTATTTTGAGTTTTCCAAATATATAATTACCTGCATTTTTGTGGTTGTATTGGCTGGCACTTTCAGTCCCTGTTAAACAACAGTGATGACAATGACCTACTTGTCCCTGACTGTAGTGTCAATGCTTCTAATGTGTCCCATAAAACATGCTGTGGGCTTTGGGGACACACTAGACCATTTTACTATATTAAAGAAGTATCTTTCTATTTCTATTTTGTTCAGTTTCTTTTTTTTTAATAAAAAATGGTTGTTGGATATTTTTCTTTTTATTTTCCTTTCCTTTCTTTTTCTCTCTGTCTCTCATTTTTCTTTTCTTTTTTTTTGGAGACAGAGTCTCACTTCCATTTCCCAGGCTGGAGTGCAGTGGCATGATCTTGGCTCACTGCAGTTATGACTCCCCAGGTTCAGGTGATTGTCCCATCTCAGCCTCCTTAGTACCTGGGACTACAGGTATGCACCACCACGCCTGGCTAGTTTGTATATTTTTTTGTAGAAACAGGGTTTTGCCATGTTGCCTAGGTTGGTCTCCAACTCCTGGGCTCAAGCGATCCACCTGCCTCAGCCTCCCAAAGTGCTGGGATTACAGGCGTGTGCCTGGCCAAATATGCTTATATTTAAATTGTGATGTGTCATCCTAAAAAGTTATTCTTTGAATCTCAATTATTATAGGTGAGGTAATCACTGAACATACTGTTTCTGCCAACTTCCTATACTTCTTAATGGAAGTTAATTCCTTTTGGATTTATTTTTAGTGTCTTTCATTTTATCTCAAAGAGCCGTTCATTTTTTCCCTCTGTACTTTGAATCCACGCTTCTTTCCTTCTTACTGAGATCCTAATCCGTCATCTTCTATTCTTTACCTTCAGCATTTTCTTTTTCTATAGGCATTTTTCTTTCATAGTATGCACATTCTCAAGTCTTCATTATCTTAAAAAATAACTGGGGGCTGTGTGCAGTGGCTCATGCCTGTAAATCCCAGCATTTTGGGAAGCCAATGTGAGAGGATTTTTTACAAAACATAAAAAATATTAGCTGAGCATGGTGGTGTGCACCTCTAGTCCCACCTACTTCAGAGGCCCAGGTGGGAGGATCACTTAAGCCTAGGAGTCTGAGGCTGCAGTGAACTTTGATCATGCCACTTCACTCCAGCTGGGGTGACAGACTGAGATCCTGTCTCTAAAAAAACAAACAAATAAATAAACAACTGTCAGCAAAATCTCAGGAGACAAAATCAACGTGCGAAAATCACAAGCATTCCTCTGCACCAACAACAGACAAGCAGAGAGCCAAATCATGAATGAACTTCCAATCACAGTTGCTACAAAGTGAATAAAATACTTAGGAATACAGTTAACAAGGGAAGTGAAGGACCTCTTCAAGGAGAACTACAAACCACTGCTCAAGGAAATCAGAGAGGACTCAAACAAATGGAAAAACATTCCAGGGTCATGGATAGGAAGAATCAATATCATGAAAATGTCCATACTGCCCAAAGTAATTTATAGGTTCAGTGCTATTCCCATCAAACTACCATTGACATTCTTTACAGAATTAGAAAAATCTACTTTAAATTTCATATTGAACAACAACAACAAAAAGCCTGCGTAGCCAAGACAATCCTAAGCAAAAAGAACAAAGCAGAGGCATCATGCTACCTGACTTCAAACTATACTACAAGGCTACAGTAACCAAACAGCATGGTATGAGTACAAAAACAGACACGTAGACCAATGGAACAAAATAGAGAAGTCAGAAATAAAACCACACATCTACAACCATCTGATCTTTGACAAACTGACAAAAGTAAGCAAATTCCCTATTTAATAAATGGTGCTGGAAGAACTGCCTAGCCATATACAGAAAATTGAAACTGGACTCCTTCCTTACATGTTCTACAAAAATTAACTCACGATGGATTAAAGACTGAAATGTACAACCCAAAGCCATAAAAACCCTAGAAGAAAATCCAGGCAATACCATTCAGGACATAGGCATGGGCAAAGATTTCATGATGAAAACATCAAAAACAATTGCAACAAAAGCAAAAATTGACAAATGAGATCTAATTAAACTAAAAAGCTTCTGCGCAACAAAAGAAACTATCATTAGAGTCAACAGACAACCTACAGAATGGAAGAAAATTTTAGCAACCTGTCCGTCTGACAAAAGTCTAACATCAAGAGTCTACAAGGAACATAAATTTACAAGAATAAAACAAACAACCCCATTAAAAAGTGGGCAAAGGACATGAACAGACACTTCTCAAAAGAAGCCATTTATGAGGCCAAGAAACATAAGAAAAAAACCTCAGCATCACTGATCATTAGAGAAATGCAAATTAAAACCACAGTGAGATACCGTCTCATGCCAGTCAGAATGGCGATTATTAAAAAGTCAAGAAACAGCAGATGTTGGCAAGGCTGCGGAGAGATAGGAACACTTTCACACTGTTGGTGGGAATGCAAATTAGTTCAACCATTGTGGAAGACAGTGTGGCAATTCCCCAAAGACCTAGAACCAGAAATACCATTTGACCCAGCAATCCCAATGGGACTGAACTCGTTTACATTCCCACCAACAGAGTAAAAGTGTTCCTATCTCTCTGCAGCCTCATCAGCATCTGTTGTTTCTTGATTTTTTACCTAAAGGAATATAAATTATTCTATTATAAAGATACATGCATGTGTACGTTAATTGCAGCCCTATTCACAATAGCAAAGACATGGAATCAACCCAAATGCCCATCAATGATAGACTGGATAAAGAAAATGTGGTACATATACACCATGGAACACTATGCAGCCATAAAAAGGAATGAGATCATGTCCTTTGCAGGGATATGGATGGAGCTGGAAGCCATCATCCTCAGCAAACTAACACAGGAACAGAAAATCAAACATTGCCTGTTCTCACTCATAAGTGGGAGCTGAACAATGAGAACAACAGGGACACTGGGAGGGGAACAACACAGACTGGGTCCTATCGGTAGGGGATGCTGGGAGAGGGAGAGCGTCGGGAAAAATAGCAAATGCATGCTAGGCTATTATACTTAGGTGATAGGTTGATAGGTGCAACAAACCACCATGGCACACATTTACCCATGTAACAATCCTGCACATATACCCCGGAACATAAAATAAAATAACTGAAAAAATTCTGTCTTAATCAGCATATACTATTAATTTGATAAGGAGGAAATTTCTTATCAAATGAATGGTATATGCTTCCTCATCATTCACTCATGAACCACTACAATGTGGCTGTCATCCTCAGTCATGCTATTGAGAGCATTCTTATCATGACCATTAGTAAATTCTTGCTTATGATTTTCAGCTAATCTTTCATGACCTGTCTGTACCATTTGGCAATATTGACCGCTGTTTCCTTCTTGATTTTCAAGATAGTGTATCTTCTCACTACTCTGACTTCTGAATTTTCTTCATGGATTTCTATCTCTTTGTACCTGTTCTGCAGGAATAAAAAATTATATATTTAGTTATCTTCTTTCCTTTAGTAATCTTGGAAGAGCTCACCTATTCTTATGACTTTAGTTTCCACCTTAAAATAGTTCAAGACCTGGCCGGGGGCAGTGGCTCACGCTTGTAATCCCAGCACTTTGGGAGGCCAAGGCTGGCAGATAACCTGAGGTCAGGAGTTTGAGACCAGCCTGGCCAACATGGCAAAACACTGTCTCTACTAAAAATATAAAAATTAGCCAGGTGAGTGGCTCACGCCTGTAATTCCAGCTATTTGGGAGGCTGAGGCAGGAGAATCGCTTGAACCTGGAAGGTGGTGGTTGCAGTGAGCCAAGATTGTGCCATTGCACTGCAGTCTGGGCAACAAGAGCAAAACTCTGTCTCAAAAAAAAAAAAAAGTTCAAGACCTTTGGTCTTCACAGATTCATAAAAAATCTGTAGTTTTAGCATAGCGTAAAACATTTTAAATCTCTCGTCTGTGTTTTCTTTCATGATTGCTTTTGAAAAATTATATATATTCACTGTAAATAATTTTAAAAATGTAGAAAAGCACAAAAATTAAAGAAAATAGCCTAAGTTCCACTATTCAGAAATTACCATCACTAACATTAGGTAAATATTCCATATATCTTTTAATGCAAATTTGTAAAGTTGGCCCTTCATATCCCTGTGTTCTGCATTTGTGTGTTCAGCCAAGTGCGGATCAAAAATACAGTATTTGTGGGATGTGGAACCCACGGACACAGAGAGCCCTCTTTTCCTATTTCAAATTCTGCAGGGCTTACTGTGGGATTTTACCATCAGCAGATTTTAGAATTCTTGGGGGTCCTGGAACCAATGACCTGTGGACACCAATGGATGACTCTATCTATCTATCTATCTATCTATCTATCTATCTATCTATCTGTGTGTGTGCACGCGTGTGTGTATAGGCAGAAATGTGATATTAAAAATAGGTTGGAAGATATAAAAATAATTTTATAAAAGGGGATCATACTATAGATTCTATTTTAAATAAAATAATAAATTTAATTTTATGTAAATTTAATAGATGGAAAAGAGACTGCAGTTAATAAAGTAATGTTGAACTTTAAGTAAATGCCTATTCACCAAAGGATTTATTTCTTTTGACATTGTTTTTATGGTTAAATAGTATTATTAAAAAACTCAAGAAATTGAAGCATGATGTTTTATTTAATGAATGTTCAATTTCAGACAGTATTGCTTGATACGCTGGTATGGAAAATAAGAATATCAGCACTCTTATACATCCTCCTGGCTTAACACCCTTCAACTTTTATAAGTTACATTGTTATGTTGTCTATGTTTATGATATTCACAGTCTATTTATTACTGTAATTCCTGCAGTTGTTTTGTTGTTCTTTATTTGTAGTATATGTAAATGAATTTAATGTTTTTTCATCTATCTTACTATTTTTTCACTATGGTTTCTTTATTCCTGAAAATTTTAGTTTGATTAATCTTTTAATTGTCTGATTCATTGGCAAGAAGGAGTTATGGCTTTGTAATCTCTGTGTTTTTTTAATATTTGATGATGTCTGCCTGTTGCCTTTGTGTATGAATAACATCTTGACTCTTAACATGTTCCCTGGTGAAAGTGTACCCACTTTAGGGAGCAGGACTCCTAGCTTTACCCAACCCAGAGCTGCAATGATGAGAAATGAAGTCCTCCAACAGGTCATTGGTAGTAACAGTGAGGCCACTCCTGCTTCTACCTGTTAGTTCCAGACCACATATGCTTTCTGTTGTGACACTGCTTCATATAAAAGTCTTCGATACAGGAAGTGTTGTGCTTGGGGATGACACTCCATTCTTGAAAAGTTATTGTTGAAGAGACTTGGAGCAAGATGGCTGACTAGAGACACCTGATGCTTGTCTCTCCAACAAAAAAGGACTGAGTCAACGAATAAACAGATAAAATTTGACTGAAGCGTCAAAGGGAGAGTGCTGAAGTGCAGTAGGGGAGTAAAGATACACCTGTGGTGATTAGGAGACCAAGAGGGCAGAGTAGAGGCAGCTGGCCTCGGCAGCCCCATCTTTCGTGCTTGGATTGGATCTGCCTGGAGTCAGGAGAGACTTCCATTTCAGGGAAAAGGTAAGCAGAAGATAAGCCCCAATTTACATCACAAACACCTACAATTCTTACTACAGGAGAACCTTACAGTCCTCGCAAACCCTGAGTCCAGTTTGTAGAGCTGCTGGGAATTTACATAGCTATATTGCCCTGGTTAGGAGCACAAGGTTTGTACTCCCCACCCTCCACTTACCCGCTGTAAGCCAAGCTACTCGGTAGCTTGGTACAGGCATGGGATTATCTTGAGATCAGAGAAAGCTCTGGAGTGTGCCCTCTTTGAGGGTTAGTAGCCACTGCACTTCTCCAGCACTGGGGCTCCATCTTCATTCCACCAAACCCACATTGGTGGCTGAACACCACAACCCCAGCAGTGGGGAGCATGGGCCCAGACTGGCTGTTACTCTTGTCCTTCACAGCAGGGAAACCAACCCCCACTGCCTTCACTTCCAGCTGAAGGAAAAGCCTGGCAGTCCCACCCAGGATGAACCCACTCTAGAGCTGGCCAAGCTGTTGCATGCCTCCCCCAAGTAGGAGAGGCCCTCAAGCCTTTGAGTAGTTGACATGGTCCTAGCTGGCAGGATGGTTATGTACCCATACCCAGGGCCTGATGAAGAGCCCTGTGGTGCTTCGACCACTACAGACAAGCCCTTGGCCAGCCCAACGGCCCTGTGCCTGTAGTCAGGGACTTAGAAACAGCTCTGGGGGCTGCTCCTGGCAGAGGTGCCCCAGGTTCAGCTGAGCAGCTGTGTGCCTGCATCCTAGGCCTGAGAAGCAGCCCCACAGGCAGCCACTGGCAGACACGCCCCCAGGCCAGCCAGCTGAGCAGCTGTGTACCTGCATCTTGGGCCTAAAAAATAGCCTCCTGGGCCATGCCCAGCAGACATGCCCCTAGGCCAGTTGAGCAGCCATGGGCCTGTGTCTGGGAACTAAGAAAGAGCCCTGTGGGATCCCCCAGTAGATGTTCCCCCAGGCTGGCCAAGTAACCTTGTGCTCACATCCCAGGTCTGAGAAACAGTCCTGTGCGCTGCTCCTGGCAGGCACACTCCCAGGCTGGCCAAGCGGCTTTGCGTTCTAGGCCTGAGAGAGAGCTTTATGGGGCACCCACCCTCAGAAGACACACACGCCGGCCAGCTGAGAAGCTGGGTGACCACATCCTGGGAATGAGAAATAGCCTTACAGCCTGTCCCTGGCAAATATACCCCTAGGCTGACAGAGTGACTCTGTGCACATGCTCCTGGCCAGAATAACAGCCCCATAGCCCCAAGTTGGCTTACCCACCATGGCATGCATGTGCTCCTAACCTGAGAAACAGCCCAGTGTACCCACTCCCAATAAAGCTGTGCCACTGCCACCACAAACTCTCTCAGCCTAGGACACTGAGACACTTGCAAACATTACTATTATAGCAGGGATTAGTCAAAGAAATTGCACAAAGACTACACTATTGCATCCACTTACAACCAAAGCCAATGCACTCCACTGAATTGACACTTTAAGACCCATTCATATGAATAAGTCTTTCCCTGTGAAACCTATTCCATAAAATTGGAAGAGGTGACTTTTCCAACAGATGTGTAGAAAGCAATGTAGGAACATAAACATGGAAAAGTAAGAAAATATAACACTTCCAAAGGTACACAATAATTCTCCAATAACAGACCCCAACCATAATGAATACATGAAATGCCAGAAGAAGAATTCAAATAAAAAATCTGAAGGAAACTCAGTAAGATACGGAGATAAGATAAGAGAATACAGATAGACAATTCAATGAAATCAGGTAAACAACTCATGAATGAGAAATTCAATGAAGAGATTGATGTTACAAAAAAGAACCAAACAGAAAGTGTATACCTGAAGAATTCAATGAATGAAATAAAAAATCATCGAGAGCTTTAATAGCAAACCAGACATACTTAAAGACTTGTCATTTGAAGTAACGCAGACAAAAAAAAACTTTTAAAATAAGAGAAAAGAATAAAAAAGATAGAACAAAGCCTACAGGATATATTGGACACCATTAAGTGAACATTATGAGCATTCCAGAAGGAGAAGAGAAGGGAAAAGGTGAGGAAAACATATTGAATGAAATCATAGCAGAAAACTTCCAAAGTCTTGGGAGAGAAATGGACATTCAGGTTTAGGAAACTCAAAGAATGCCAAATAGATTCAACCCAAACAGGTCTTCTCTGGGGCACATTATAGTCAAGTTGCCAGTGTCAAAGATAAAGAATTCTAAAAGCAGAAAGAGAAAAGCATCAGGTCACATATAAAGGAATCCTCATTAGACTACAGTGGATTTTTCAGCACAAACCTTACAAGCCAAGAGAGAATGGAATGATATAGTCAAAGTACTGAAAGAAACAAAAAAAAAGAATATTATACCCAGAAAAACTATCCTTCAGAAATGAAAGAGAAATAAAATCTTTCACAGACAAGCAAAAACTAAGGGAACTAATTACCACTAGACTGGCCTTACAAAAAAATGCTCAAAGGAGCTTTACGTCTGTAAGTGAAAAGACTACAATCATCATTATGAAAATATTTGAAACTATAAACTCACTGATGGCTGGGTGTGATGGCATGTGTCTTTAATCCCAGCACTTTGGGAGGCCAAGGCAGGCAGACTGCTTGGGCCCAGGAGTTCGAGACCAGCCTGGGCAACATGGCAAATCCCCGTCTCTACAAAAAATGCAAAAATTAGCCAGGTGTGGTGGTACATGCCTGTAGTCCCAGCTACTTGGGAGGCTGAGGTGGGAGGATCACTTGAGCCCAGGAGGTCAAGGCTGCAGTGAGTCAAGATTATGCCACTGCACTCCAGCCTTGGTAATAGAGTAAGATCCTGCCTCAAAAACAAAAAAACAACCAAAACCCAACAAAAAAAACCTCAACAGCAACAGAAAACAACTCATTCATAGAGCTGATACACAAAGGAGAAAGAGAATCAAACCGTATCAGTACAGAAAGCTGCCCAACCACAAAAATAAGCAATTAGAGAAGAAGTAAGGAGGAAAGGATATACAAAACACCCAGAAAACAATAAATCAGATGACAGGAGTAAGTCCTCACCTATCAACAATAACCCCGAATGTAAATGGATTAAATTCCCTTTTAAAAGATATAGTCTAGGCCAGGCTCAGTGGCTCATGCCTGTAATCCCAGCACTTTGGGAGGCTGAAGTGAGAGGATTGCTTGAGCCCAGGAATTTGACACCAGCCTGAGCAACATAGTGAGATCTTGTTGCTACAAAAAATGAAAATAAAATAAAAAATTAGTGTGGTGACATGTGCTGTGGTCCCAGTTACTTGGCAGGCTGAAGTGGGAGGATTGCTTGAGCTCAGGAGATTGAGGCTGCAGTATAGACTGACTGAATAGATTAAAAAACCCAACAAAACCTAACTATATGCGGCCTATGAGAAACTCATCTCTAATGACATACATAGGCTGAAAGTGAAGGGATGGAAAAGGATATTTTATGCAAATGGAAAACAAAAGCAAGCAGGAGTAGCTTTGTCTATATCAACAAAATAGGCTTCAAGTCAAAAGCTGTAAAGGGAAGCAAAGGACATTATATGATAAAAAAGGGAATAATTCAGCAAGAGAGTATAACAATTGTTAATATATATGCACCCAATACTGGGACACCCAGGTATATAAAGTAAATATTTTTAGGTTTAAAAAGAGAGATAGAGCCCAATACAACAATAGTTGGGGACTTTAACAAAACTCAAGTATCAGCATTGGACAGTTCATGTAGACAGAAAATCAATAAAATTGGATTTAAATGGCACCATAGAACAAATGGACTAACATACATTTGTAGAACATTTCACTCAATAGCTGCAGAATACAATTCTTTTCATCAACACATGGAACATTCTCTAGGATTGATTGTATGTTAGGACACAAAACTAATCTCAACAAATTTTTAAAAATTGAAATCACACCAAATATCTAACCACAATGAAATAAAATAGAAATCAACAGGAGAAACATTTGAAAGTATATAAATAGGTGGAAATTAAACAACATATTCCTGAACAAACCCGGTGAAGTAGCAAATTAAGAAAGAATTTAAAAATTCCTTGTAACAAATGAAAACAAACACAACATACCAAAACCTATGAAACATAGCAAAAGCAGTATCAAGAAGCAAATTTATAGTAATAAATGCCTACATCAAAAAACAAGAAACATTTCAAATAAATAACAATGCATCTCAAAGAACTAGAAAAGAAAGAACAAGACATACCCCAAATTGGTAGAAGGAAAGAAATAATAAAGATCAAAGCAGAAATAAATGAAATTGAGACAAAAATATAAAAGATCAACAAAAGTTATTTAAAAAGATAAATAAAACAGACAAAACATTAGCTAGACTAAGAAAAAAAGAATCCAAATAAATAAAATCATACATGAAAAAGGAGACATAACAAGATACCACAGAAAAGATATCATCTTTTTTTGTTAGTTATTGTTATTATTATTTTTTTAGACAGGGTCTTGCTCTGTCACCCAGGCTGGAGTGTAGTGACCTGAACATGGCTCACTGCAGCCTTGATTTCTTGGGCTCAAGTGATTCTCCTGCCTGAGCCTCCCATGTAGCTGGGATCACAGTACCATGTCACTGTGCCTGGCTAATTTTTTTGAGTTTTTGTAGAGATGGGGACTCACTGTGTTGCTCAGGTTGACCTTGAATTCCTGGGCTCAAGTGATCTTCCCATCTCAGCCTCCTGAAATGTTGGGATTATAGGCATGAGCCATTGTGTGTGACTAATGATATTTAAGACTACTATGAATAGCTATATACCAATAAACTCGTAAACCCAGAGGAAATGGATAAGTTCCTGGACACATACACCTACCAAGATTGAACCAAGGAGAAACAGAAAACCTGAACAGAAAATAGCAAGTAATATGATTTAATAAGTAATAAAAAGTCCTCAAACAAAGAAAAGTCCAGGACCAGATGGCTTCACTACTGAATTCTACCAAATCTTTAGAGAGAAATTAATACCTACTTTTCTCAAACTATTCCAAAAAATCAAAGTAGAGGAAATTTTTCCTAACTTACTTTATGTGTCTAGCATAACCCTGATATCAAAACCAGACAATGACACAATAAAAAAGAAAACTACAGGCAAATATCCCTTATGTACATAGATGCAAAAATCTTCAACATAATACTAGCAAACCTATCCAAAAACACATTGATAGGATAATACCACCGTGATCAAATGGGATTTAGCAAGGAATGCAAGGATGTTTCAACATATGCAAATCAATAAATGTGATACATTACATCGACAGGATGAAGGACAAAAACGATATCATCTTCTCAATAGATGCGGAAAAAGCATTTTATATAATTCAACATTATGATGAGAACTCTAAATAAATTAGTTATAGAAGGAAGGCACTTCAACACAATAAAGGCCATATATGACAAACTGCATCATACTAAATGGGGAAAAGCTGGAAAGTTGTCCTGTAAGAACTGGAAAAAGACAAGGATGCCCACGCTTACCACTCTTATTCAACATAGTACTGGAAGTCCTAGCCAGAGGAACCAGTCAAGAGAAATAATTAAAGGATACTCGAATTACAAAGGAGAAAGCAAAATTGTCTCTGTGTGCAGATGATATGATCTTAAGTAGAAAAACCTGAAATTCCTATCAAAAAATGCTTAGAATTGATAAACAAATTCAGTAAAGTTGCAGGGTACAATATCAACATACCAAAATAAATAGCATTTCTATATACAAACTAGCTGAAAAAGAATTCACAAAGGTAATCCCGTTAACAATAGCTACAGAAAAAAAAAACAAACAAAATCTCTAGGAATAAATTTAACCGGGAAGGTTAAAGACCTCTACAAGGAAAACTACAAAATGCTGATGAAAGAAATGGAAGAGAATTGAATGCAAACAAATGGAGAAACATCCCATGCTTAGGCCCATCAATTGGAAGAATTAATATTGTTAAAATGGCCATACTGCCCAAAGCAATCTACAGGTTCAATGTAATCCCTATAAAAATATGAATGACATTCTTTACAGAAATAGAAAAAAAAAATCTTAAAATTTGTACAGAACCACAAAAGACTCCAAATAGCCAAAGGAATCCTGAGCAAAATAAACAAAGCTGGAGGCATCATACTACTAGACTTTAAAATGTACTACAAAGTTATACAAACCAAAATACATGGTACTGGCATAAAAACAGAAACACAGACCAACTGAACAGAATAGAGAATCCAGATATCAATTCATATCCAAAGCCAACTGATTTTTGACAAAAGTGCCAAGAACATACACTGGGGAAAGGGCAGTCTATTCAATAAATGGTGCTGGGAAAACTGGTTATTCCTATGCAGAAGAAGAAACTAGACTCCCACCTCTCACCCTATACAAAAATCAATTCAAAATAGATCAAAGACCTAAATGTAAGACCTAAAACTATAAAACTACTGGAATCAAACATAGGGGAAAATGCTTCAGGACATTAGTCTGGGAAAAGATTTTATGAATAGGACCTGAAAATCACAGGCAACCAAAGCAGAAACTAATAAATATGATTATATCAAACTAAAAAGCTTCCACACAGCAAAGGAAACAGTCAACAGAGGGAAAAGACATCCTGCAGAATGGGAGAAAATATTTGCAAACCATTTATCTGACAGGGGATTAATATCTAGAATATAAAAGGAACTCAAACATCTCAACAGCAAAACCCCCAGATAATCCTATTTTAAAAAGGGCAAATGATGTGAACAGTCATTTCTCTATTCAGAAGTCATACAAATGGCCAAAAATATATTTCAAAATGCCAACATCACTAGTCATCAGGGAAATGTAAATCAAAACCACAGTTAGGTATCATTTCACCCTAGTTTGGATGGGTACCAAAAAGACAAAAAATAACTCATGCTGGCAAGGATGCAGAGAAAAGGGAACTCTTACACACTGTTGGTGGGAATGTAAACTAGTACAGCCACTGTGGAAAACAGTATGGAGATTCCTTGAAAAACTCCAAATAGAACTACCATATGATCCAGCAATCCTACTACTGGACATTCATACAAAGGAAAGAAAAACAGTGTATCAAAGAGATATCTGCACCCTCTTGCTTATTGCAGCACTATTCACAATAGCCAAGATAAGGAATTAACCTAGGTATTCAACAACAGATCAATGGATGAAGAAAATTTGGTTTATATACATTGCAGAATACTATTCATCCATAAAAAGGGATGAAATCCTGTTACTCATGACAACATAGATGGAACTGGAGGACATTGTGATAAGTGAAATAAACCAGGAAGAGACAGCACTGCATGTTCCCACTCATATGTAGAAGCTAAAAACTTCTTGATCTCATTGAAGTAGAAAGTAGAACAGACCATACTAGAAGCTGGGAAGGGTCTTCCTCACTAGTTCTTAAGCCAAGGACCAATATGGAGGTTAGAGTAACTGCCAAATATATCAATCCTAATTATATATTTGAAGACCAGGGACATATATACTGGCTGGGTGTGCACATCTAGTGGATCCACTGTATGCTGGATCTTGCTCAGGATTGCATTTATTACTTAATTCATATTTTTCTAATAGGGAAAACATGATGATGTTTCAGGTCTTTAGGTATTTATGAAGTTCAAACTCTGTGTCCAGTAGTCCTCAAAATGTTTGAGTATGCCCCTTTTCTCAATGTGTAGTTTCCCAAGTAAATGTCCGTAGGTCTTTATGAAGAAGGACTGAAGAAATTATTACCATGTATAACGTGCCATGTTGTTACAGGGTCCTTCCTTCTGCAGACCTAGCCACCTTTTCAATCATTGGGGTTTAGCTCTGAAAATTGGTTCATATCCCAAAACCAGGTTAGGAGTTGTTAATTTTTTTTGTGTGCATGATCATTCTCAGTCTCTGTCTACATTTAATTGATTCTGGTACAATGTGAGTCGTACCCTTTTTTTTTTTTTTTTTTGAGACAGAGTCTCACTCTGTCGCCCAGGGTGGAGTGCAGTGGTGCGATCTCAGCTTACTGCAAGCTCCGTCTCCCAGGTTCATGCCATTCTCCTGCCTCAGTCTCCCGAGTAGCTGGGACTACAGGTGCCCACCACCATGCCCGGCTAATTTTTTTGTATTTTTAGTAGAGACGGGGTTTCACCGTGTTAGCCAGGATGGTCTCGATCTCCTGACCTCATGATCCGCCCGCCTCGGCCTCCCAAAGTGCTGGGATTACAGGCATGAGCCACCGCGCCAGGCCAAGTAGTACTCTTCTTAATTGCCCATCTAATTTTCCTCTAGATAAATGTTCTATTAACCATCTCTATAACTCTCTACACATCACGACCCCCTTGGCTGCCATTCTTGCTCTTTTGGTCATTATGACAATTATGATCCCCTGGCTTCTGGCCGTAAAGTGTCATCACCTGGCTCCTATTTTCCCATTGCTATTTCTGAAGCAAGTTCTCCTACTGCCATCCCTGGCCAACAGAGGAGAGTCATCACTACATATTTTAGTGATGCTGGTGCTCCTCTTACCAGTGTATTTCCTATGGCCTTGGTAGGTTAAATGGTGTGTCCTCTTGGCCTTCCAGTGGAACATAATCAGCTGGTGGTCTTTTAGCTATGCATCAATTTCAGTGTGCGTACTTCTCTGAGTCGTTTAATCCTATCTTCCACTGTTTCCCACGGCCATTATGGCATTTCAACTTCACTTAGTGTGCACCATCACTTTTTAAAATGTTTCTATGAGCCATCCTAGGAATGAATTTACATTATCTCCTAGGGGTCCTAGCCAGGATGTTAAATTCTGCATCTTGGAATGAATTTACAACATCTCCTAGGAGTCCTAGCCAGGGTGCTAAATTCTGCATCTTGGGAGAATTTTCCTAGGTGACTGAACTATTCCTAATACAATTTATGTTCTGGTGCCTTAATTAAACACCTTCAGAACCTGGTCCCACATGTACTCCTCAGGTTCTTGCTGGTATATAATGCCTAGATTTTGCACTTGTTTCAAGTATAATTTCCTTCCTTCCTTCCTTCCTTCCTTCCTTCCTTCCTTCCTTCCTTCCTTCTCCTTCCCCCCCTTTTTTTGAGAGAGTGTCATTCTGTAGCCCATGCTAGATTCTTTTTCTTTTATAAGGGCTACAATTTCCTCAATTGGGTTAGGCTGAAACTTAATTCTAATTATGGGTCTCATAGCTCAGAGGAGAGCCGGGGCTAGGTACTAAAGAGACATATATTGTCTTGCAGGGCAGAGGCCTCTGAATTATCTTCTACCACCTGGGGTGGTGATGGCTGGGGATGTATGGCGATGCATGGGAGCTGGATGGAGGATGGAGGTCAGCTGTACTAGCTCTCAATGAGGAGAGGTCTAATTTTAAAGTCTCAGTAGGTCAAGAGGAGTCTAAGGAGTCAAAATCTAAGGTATCCACCAAGATGTCCACATTTCATGTGCTCCAGTTACATGTTTTTTCAACCAAGTTCTTGGTCTTTGTACACAGACCTGCTTTGGTTGCATATATAATTGTCTTTGAAGTTTAGCCACTCTGACAATTAAGTCCTGGGCTTAGTTCTTGCTTTCTGTGCCCTCCCACTGTGGGAAATGATAGTATAAAATTGAAGAGGTCTGCTGGCTTTCACATGTGGCTTTCAATTGCCTGTTACTCTTATTCGTTTGTTATCTACTATTGGGCATCAATGGGGCTTTGAAATAATAATCTAAATGTATTACCCTTTTAGTCACTGTTTCCTCCATGCTAGTGTATTGCCTTCCATCAGTACACCCTCCCAATTTGTTACCAGGGAATGTTTTAATAACTGGATGTCACTTGGCTGTCTGTGCTCTACCTACCCATCACTGATGGAATCTTCATTGTCATTTCATGCTCCATAGTTTCACCTTACTGCTCATTTTTGAGACCACTCCCAGGGCCAACTTTCATAGACTGGGTTCTCTGGAAGTCAGCATTGAGATGGAATTTGGGGTGCAAGATGTCTGTTAGGGATCAATTCCTATTAAAGGCAAGGGCAGAGGGAAGTGGTATTGAGAAGAAGAAGAAACCGAACTGTGAAGTAGGCCTGACAAAGCCTTGTCCAACTCAACAGGGAGCTCTGGAGTTCCCCATGTCAGGCCAAAATTGCTCTCATATTAGGTGATTCATCGGACCTGAAGTAATTGTAAAGAAAAAAACCAACATAGACCAACATAGGTACTGAAATTACATGGTAATATATAATGTATTCTTTGAGATGGTCTCGCTCTGTCACCCAGGCTGGAGTGCAGTGACCTGATCACAGCTCCCTGTAGCCTTGAACTCCTGGGCTCAAGTGATTTTCTCACCTCAGCCTCCCTATAGCTAGGACTACAGGGACGTGCCACCACACTTGGTTAATTTTTTTATTTTTATTTTTCTTAGAGATGAGGTCTCCCTGTGTTGTCCAGGCTGGTCTTGAACACCTGGACTCAAGCAATCCTCCCGCCTCAGCCTCCCAAAGTGCTGGGACCATGCCTGGCAATTTATATGGTAATATTATTGGAAGGCAAGCATTCAAATGATATGGAAAGTGGTGATAATAATTTCTAAAAATTAACATGGAAATTAAAATATATATAAAATAATCATGGCCTGGTGCAGTGGCTCATGCCTGTCATCCCAGCACTTTGGGAGGCCCAGGCTGCAGATCACTTGAGCCCAGGAGTTCCAGACCAGCCTAGGCAACATGGCAAAACGCTGTCTCTACTAAAAAATACAAAAATTAGCCAGCCATGTTGCCTTAAACCTATAGTCCTAGCTATTTGGGAGGCTGAGGTGGGAGGATCACTTGAATCCAGGAGGCAGAGATTGCAGTAAGCCATGATCACACCACAGCACTCCAGTCTGGGTGACAGAGCGAGACCCTGTCTCTCTCTCTCTCTCTCTCTCTCTCTCTCACACACACACACACACACACACACACACACACACACACACACACACAGAAAATCTCACAGAAAATATATGTTGAGACTCCCTGGGACCATAGACCCATTGTGAGACACATTCATTTCCATAACTTTAGCCTGGCATAATATCTAAATCATAGTCAATACTATGTAGATATGAAGGGATATATTTCTTTATGGTGCCCTTTATTAACACTCACTGCTGAATTCCTTGGCAAACTGCTTATTTTCTGTCAGTTCATTTTGGACTCTGAGAGTTTTCGAGCGTTCCTTCTCTCCACTCTCTAGACATAGCAGATATTTACCCCTCAAGTAGAAGAGTTTTAGAGAATTGTTCACCTTCATGCATTTTCCACCATCTGGAACAAATGTGGATTAAATTGTTACCAGGTGGAATGGAAAGAAGAGTTAGGAAAAAGATTCAGTCTTATAATTTCCAACTCATTGGTCTTTCCACTAGACTATGCTACAGATCTATTCTATGAAGCTAGATTTGTCCCATCATCTTAAACAAGGATCTGTGGATAGGAATGCTATGCAAACTAATTATACTTATGTCATTAATATTGCATAAGAATTATGTGCGTGTGATATACTGTCCTGAGCATGTGGAGTTGATACTACTGATTTACTATCACTAGGACATGCCTGTGAATGAACTGCTTTTCAAATGTAGTGTGATACTATTTGGTAATCTATATACTTTGATGATGTCCTCTAATATTGATGAAATGGTGGACCTTTTACCTACCCTTGAGATATAGTCTGGGGCCCTGAAGAAGAATTTTGCTGTTTTTTTCTAGATAATTGGTTATTATAGCCCTTGAGCTCACACCCTTGGCTTAATTAGTATAAGGTTTCACAATTGAGTAAAGTGGCTTAGATATTTGATCTTTGAAATGTCATTGCAGAAGATAAAAATGTTGTGGATATAATGTCTGTGAACATGAGGATATTAGAATGTTATAAATGTGTTCCATATGTTTAAGAGTCAAAGCAACACATAGAAATCATTTTTTGGAAGAGTAGAGATACAGAGTTTATCAATGTCATCCCACTGATGGCAGGAGAAGAAAGGTCGTATATACAGTCTGCTGGTCGAAATTAAAGGCATCACCAGGATGAGAAAATTCGTTGAAAATGATGGTGTGTGAGATGAAATAATCATTCCTTTTGACAATTATGAAGTTAGGATAGAGAGTGTGGGAGGTGTAAGGGTTACAAAGAGGATTAGGTGTAAGAATAACAAGGCAGAGTGGGAGGACAGCATTTAGTGCAGATGGTAATTAATGTATCGTGGCTATATTGTTGGGCTTATTAAAACTGGTTAAAGAGATGATTTTAAAGCTGGTGAAGATGAACATTTTTCAAATAACTTTTACAAAGAACAGGTGTTACCTTTTTATCAAAATTAGGAATGGTTGATCAATTTATGAAATGAAACATATTTTGACCATAGTAACAAAAAAAAAATGGGTGTCATGGGGATTTATGAAAGTCTCAGTGAAGTGTTTGTACCTATTCTGATGAAATCTGTATAAATGGTATACGCTGAAGCATGGTACTACTCTCTTTTAGTAAACATTGCTTTGGACAATTATGGCCTAAAAATGGTGTAAAATAGATTGTTGAACAAGTTGGGCAGAGTACACCATAAATCTAACTTTCTCAACTAAACTGGCAGTGACACTGTAGCTCATAGATTTATACATTAGAAAAGTTCCCTTATAAATTTTATAATTTCATAACATCTGTACTCCTACAGTAAATCTGCAAACAAATGTTCCATAGTAAAGAAGTCTGAGTAATCCACAATGGTTGTTGCTCATAAAACATGCTTCAGAAATGTGTTTATTCTCAGAAACACCTAATAACACAATATTAGGGGGGATAACTTTCTGTTGAAATGAAAGCCTGCTCTTCTGTGGGCAATGTAGTTGTGATCCAAGAACACTTCATGGTCCCTTGCTGATAATAGGTACTCAATAATGTTTATTGAATGGCTGTTAATGAATGAGAGTTGCATGCAGTAGGGGTAGTATCATAAATAGGCTAGCAAAAGTCATTAAGTGATGTCATTTGAGGGACTGTAGAAAGGCCATCCTGCTCCAATTCATAATCCCTAAGATCATCATCGTATTGCCTGAAATGGAATATGAGAGGTTTTTGCTGTTGAATTAAGGCATTGCTTTCTATAGAATTCCTTATAAAATGAGAAAAAATGTTTAGAAAAAGGTAACAAATTACCTACAGCACACCATAGCATATGGATTTATAGATTAGAAAATTTCTCCCATAAAACTGAGAAGTAATGAATCTGAGGTTAGGAGTTTGATTAGAGGTAGACAGAAGTACTACGACCATTGTGGTGAGGAGAACAAGGGAATTTCTTAGGATCTCTGGCCTTATTTGTTACCTGAGGTAGGTGGTTTGAAAATCTGTAGCCCTTAATGGGAAGAGGAGTGAAAGAAAATAATCAGAGGAAGATCTACTTTGTTATTTTTATGTTGGAGAAGAGTTCAAGAACCTAAGTGTCCATTATGTTATTATACAAACTCCACCTGAGGAAAATAGCCACAGGTGACTCCTTGAATATAACATTTCATGGTTTATGCCATGTGACTCTGGTACTCTCCTAATAGAGACTGAAGACCAGATATTGCTGCTGTAGCCAAGCCACCTATCTGGCTACTTGTTGGGTGACCTGACCTGAATAGACACTCAGGTAAAGTTGGATGGTAATTAACTCATGAAAGGAACATCTCTCTCAAGAGTTTTGAGTTCAAGATAATTGGAAGCAGAGTAGTAGAGAGAAAAGCAGAGAGACATAGGAAGTAATTAGTTTTTTAAATAAATATTGAATGTCTGCTATGTGCCAGGCACTGTTCTGTGATGCTCAAGATGCAGTAGTAAACAAAAGTTTGCCTTCATGGGCTTAATTCTAGCTGGGGAGACTGACTAATATATAAAGAATAATTATAGGCCTGGTGTGGTGGCTCATGCTTGTAATCCCAGTACTTTGGGAGGCTGAGGTGGGAGGATCACTTAAGCCCAGGAGCTCAAGACCAGCCTGACTAACATGTTGAGACCTGGTCTCTACAAAAAAAAAAAATAACCAAGTGTGGTGGCATGTACCTGTGGTCCCACTTACTGGGGAGGCTGAGGCAGGAGGATCACTTGAGCCTGGGAGGTCGAGGCTACAGTGAGCTGTGATTACTGCCACTGCACTCCAGCCTGGGTGACAGAATGAGATTGTGTCCTCCCCCCCAAAAAAGAACAATTTTATAATATTTTTTCAGGTAGTGATAAGTCCAGGAAGAATAATAAATTGGAGAAGGGACTAGAGTCATGTTTTAGTTTAGGTGTCCAGGGAAGGCCCCTTTTAGGAGTTAGAGGGACACTTGGATAACATAAGGAGGAAGCCATGAGATTATCTGGGAAAAGAGTAATTTCTAGGCAGAGAAAATAATATGTGGAAAAGCCTCGAGGCAAGAGTATGCTTGTCATATTTGAGGAACAGCCAGAAGAAGGCTACAATTATAAGAAGAAGGCTTCTTCTAATGGGATTTGTAGCTAATGAGATTGGGTTGTTTCTAGGGATTAGATTATATACAGCTTTACAAACCATGGTAAGAAACTCTTGTTTTATTTTAATGTAATGGAAGTCACTGGAGGGTTTTGAACAGGAAAGTGACATGGTATGATATGCATTTTAACAAGATTATTTGAGCTACTGTCTGGAGAGCTGACTGAGTTAGAGTAGAAGTAGAAAGATGGGCTAGTAGGGAATTGTAGTAGTCCAGGAAAGATGATGGTGGCTTAGAATGGGGTATTAGCTGTGGGTCATGACAGTGGTTGAATTCAGGATATATTTTGAAGCTAGAACAGACAGGATTTTTGTGTGTGTGTGGTGCGTGAGGGAAAGAGAGGGCTGAATTCCAAAAATGGCAGAATTACCATAAGACAGGCAACATATACTTGAGACAGAAGAGATCAGTATATAAGCAAGTTTTCAGGGCTCCTAGTTGGTTCCTAGAGTTGGGCTTTAAAACCACTGTTGTATCCAGAACAACAAGGAGCTGATTTTATACTTCTCTGTGTTGTCTGGGTGTATAGCAGCTGATTCGGTTTCCTGAGTTTTCTTTCTTCCCCATGTATTTGTATAGTAAATCTGTATCACTTCAGCGTACCTATATTCCCTGCAGTGCAAAAGACCCTAACTAATATAGTTTTGCTGAGTACTTCCCAGGTTCGCATATATATTATTGATGTTATAATGCTTAATCCAAAGCCTTGGCAGAATTATCAAGTATTAGACTTTAATCTCTAAAATCTCTGGTAACTCCGTTTAATCTTAATGTCTCAGGTCTTAATAATATTTTTACAAAGCAAATTTAAAAGTGTTTGGAATTAAAAAAATACCTTAATGGAGGCATGTCATGACCCTTTAAAAATTATTTAGTTATTTGAATAGTAATATGATTTAATACCCTGACAACAGGATAACCTCCTTTAGAACAAGAAATGTGTTTGTTCTCAGATACATCATTAGTGCCTTGCTTGTTATCTGACAAGCAGTAGATTTTTAATAGATCTTAAGGAATGAATAAATTGATGTATGCTAACACTTTATATATACTTTTTGTATAGAGAGCCTATCACCTTTTTTCCCTTGGTACCCTGACAGGTTTAGTGGGCTGGCACAGAACTCCTTACATTCAATGTAGTCATTGAATTAAAGGAGATATAACCGCAGAGGGTAGATTTCAACTTGTAGGAGTTAAGCCAGAAATTTATTTGGGTTTAAAATGTAGATGTCATTTGTTTACTTGAAAAAGCCCCAATTTTGTGTGTTACGTAAAAATAAGTACAACTAGAATAACAAGAGGTTAGGTTTTGTAACATCTGTGTACAAATTATTATTAGCATTGCTAATCCAAGATCTTAATCACTGGCATGATACCTATATCACCACCAGATGTGAGCTTTATGAACCTAACAGTAAATAAATGATTTAGAATAACTTTAGTATAATTTTTAAAGGAAACAAAAATGTAAACATTTTTTCCCCAAAGCTAGCTCATTGGTCCAAAGCTAGCCCATTTATAAATGAATATTTTAAAAATGTGCCATTGTGTTTCTAAATTTCAGTTTTCCTTTCATATAAAACAAAAATAGACATCCATGAATAGTAGTTGTTATGAAAACAGAATTTTAGTGGATGTACCAACATAATTAGAAAAAAATACAGAAAGATTTTCAAACAAACTCATTCCTCAAGACAAGAAACTAACTTTTGTTAACAATGGAAAGCTACCACCAGCCACATCTGTCAATGAAATGTTTTGTAGACAGGCTTGGAATAAGATATTTTAGTGGCCAAAGCCATAATTACTTTTGCAGCAACCTAACAGGTTTGAAGACTCAAATGGACTTATATACTTATAGTGAATTAAGAATATAGAAACTGCTATGTGGAGTTAGTCCACAGTTTTTCTGACCCAATATTTAGTTTCTGCTAGTTAGAACCAAGGAGCATATTGGAGGAGGCAAACATTTCTCTCCCTCATATCAATCAAACTAAATCATTGTAAATTTCCCTAAGACTTTATGATTCTATCATATTTCACTTTAAATAATTTTGAAGATATTTATATCATCAGTTTGTACGTTCTTGGAAGGAATGAATCCCATGTATTTACTACTTCTTACTATTGTAATTCTTTCTTTAAAAAAATTAATTATTCATTGTTGCCATGAAAGTCAGGGTCCAGACTATCTTATACTTTGCCCTCTCTTCAAGTCTTGGCAGTAAGTTTATTTTAATTTTTAATTTTTTAATAGACAGGGTCTTGGTCTGCTCCCCAGGCTGGAATGCAGTAGCACAATCATGCTCAATGCAGCCTGGAACTCCTGGGCTCAAGTGATCCTCCTGCCTCAGCTTCCTAAGTAAAAAAAATTAAAAACAATTTTTTTTAGAGATAGGGTCTTACTGTGTTGACCAGGCTGGCCTTGAACTCCTCATCTCAAGCGACCCTCTCACCTTGACCTCCTAAACTGTTGGGATTACAGGTGTGAGCCACCACGTCAAGCCTTGAGAATAAGTTTAATACTTTGTACTAACTTTGAAAGCCTTTGTAAAACTGATTACCAATTTCCTTACCTACTTATCACGAGGAAAGTTGGCATTACTAATTTGTTACCATTTGAACATGATCATTGAATATATATATATATAAATATATGAATAAATAAATAAAATATATGATATATAGTGGCCAAATACATATAACATAAAATTCACCATTTTAATAATGTTAAAGTACCCAATTCAGTTACATTTAGTACATTCACAATGTTGTGCAACCATCTCTAAGGTCCAGAACATCTTCATTATTCCCAAAGGAAACCCCATACCTGTTAAGTATTAACTTCTCATTTCTCTCTCTCCACAAACCCTGGCAACCATTAGCCTGCTATCTGTATTTGTGGATTTACCTATTCTGGATCTTTCACGTAAATGATATTATATAATACATGGCCTTTTGTGTCTGGCTTCTTTCACTTAGCAAATTGTTTTCAGGTTCATTCATGTTGTAGCATGTGTCAGTATTTCATTCCTTTTTATGGCTGAGTAATATTGCATTGTATGGATGTATCACATTTTATTTATCCATTCTTTTGCTGGTGGACATTTGGGTTGTTTCCACCTTTTGGCTATTGTGAATAGTGCTGCTATGAACATTTGTGCATGAGATTTCTTTTTGAACACCGATTTTCAGTTTATTTGGGCATATATCTAGGAGTGAAATTGTGGGGTTCATATGGTAATTCTATGTTTAACTTTTTGAGGAACCACACAAAATTGTTTTCTACAGTGTGGACACCACTTTACATTTTCACAGTAATGCATGAGGTTTCTTTCCACTTTCACACATCCTTGTCAACACTTACATTCTTTTTCTTTAAAAAAAATTTTTTGTAGCCATCCTAATGTTTTTGAAGTATTATCTTACTGCAGCTTTGATTTACGTTTCTCTAATGCCTAACAGGGTTGAGCATCTTTTCATGTGTTTGTTGGTCATTTGTATATTTTCTTTGAAGAAATGTCTATCCAAGTCCTTTGCCCATTTTGTAATTGAGTTTTGTGTCTTATTGTTGTTGAGTTTTAAGAGTTCTTTAAATATTCTGGGTGTTAGACTCTTATCAGATATATGATTTTCAAATATTTTCTCCCATTCCGTGAGTTGTCTTTCCACTCTGTTGATAATGTCCTTTAATACACACACATTTAAAATTTTTATAAAGTCCAATTTATCTATTATTTCTTTAGTTTCTTGTGTTTTTGGTGTCATATCTAAGAATCTATTGCCAAATTCAAGACCATGAAGATTTGTCCTTATGTTTTCTTCTAAGAGTTTGTAATTTTAGCTCCTATATTTAGGTCTTTGATACATTTTGAGTTAATTTTTGTATATGGTGTGAGGTTAGGTTCCAACATTGTTCTTTTGCATGTGGGTATCTAATTGTCTCAGCACCATTTGTTGAAGAGACTACACTTTCCCCATTGAGTGGTTCTGGTACCCTTGTCAAAAATCGGTTGACCATAGATACATGGGTTTATCTATGCACCCATCAATTCAATTTCATTGATGTGTATGTCTGTTTTCCTACCTGTACCACTGTTTTGATTATGGTAATTTCATAGTTTTGAAATCAGGAAACTTGAGTCCCCCAACTTTCTTTTTCTTTTTCAAGATTGTTTTGGCTGTTTGGGGTTCCTTGGGATTTCATATAAATTTGGGAAGAGCTTTTCCATTTCTGCAGTAAAGGCTGTTGGGATTTTGATAGGGATCACATCGAATCTGTAGATTATTTTAGGGGAGTATTGTCATCTTAATAATATTAAATCTTCCAATTCACAAGCACAGAATGCCTTTTCTTTTCTTTCTTTATTTTTTTTTTTTGAGATGGAGTTTCACTCTTGTCACCCAGGCTGGAGTGCAATAGTGTGATCTTGGCTCACTGCAACCTCTGCCTCCTGGGTTCAAGTGATTCTTTTGTCTCAGCCTCCTGAGTAGCTGGGATTACAGATGCCCACCACCACACTCAGCTAATTTTTGTATTTTTAGCAGAGACGGGGTTTCACCATGTTGGCCAGGCTGGTCTCGAGCTCTTGACCTCAGGTGATCCACTCGCCTTGGCCTCCCAAAGTGCTGGGATTGCAGGTGTGAGCCCAGAATGCCTTTTCTTCTGCTGTATGGAGGTATAATTAACAAATAAAAAAAAAGATGTACAGTGTGATGTTTTGGTGTGTGTATACATTGTGAAATGTTTACTGCAATTAAACTAATCAACATCTTTATTTCACATAGTTGCCCTCTTTTTTTGTGAGACTAAAAGTTTACTTTCTTAGCAAACTTCAAGTATGCAACACATGATTATTAACCATGGCCACCATGCCTTACATTAGATTCTAGAACTTACTCATCCTAACTGAAACTTAGTACCCCTTGACCAACATCTCCCCATTTCTCCCACCCTTAGTGGCAACCACAATTCCACTCTCTGCTTCTATAAGTTTGACATTTTTAGATTCCACATATAAGTGAGCTCATGCAGTGTCTGTTTTCCTGTACTTAGCTTTTTTTATTTAGCATAATATCCTACAGGTTCATGTTACAAATGACAGAATTTCCTTCTTTTCTTTTTTTTTTTGTTGTAGCAACACATTTTAATGAGCAGTGTTTTTATTCAAGCTATATAAAGACATTTATACATAAGTACATACATTCATTTAAAATATATATAAAGTTCATTTAGAACAGGCAATTTGTTTGCTTATGATCTACATTCACAGAGGGGGAAAAAGTACATTTATTAAAAACAGGTACCACACATCTATATTCACCAAATTGCGTTGGTTTAAAAAAGTATTAACTTGACATACATTGCATCCATGTTTATTGTGCTACTTGCGCAAAGGAATAAAATTGTTTACTGAATTATGTTTAGCTCTTTATTCATTTAACAAGTTCATTTAAATAAGTTCAATATTCCATAAATGACAAGCAGCTTAAATACAAGTTTGATAACTATCATTAAAAAAGTAATAAAATCAAAGTCAGTGAAATTTTCAACAAGACAGCGTAACATCCATCACTAACCTGACTAAAAGGCCGCACTCGCACTGCTACTTTCACACTGTCAACACTTGGCGTAGGCATTTTCACCAATTTCTCATTATCTGTATTATTTGGTAGAAAAATAAATGCAGAAAGCACACTGCATATGCTTCACATTAAAATATTAAAAGCTTAGCCCACGAAAGCAGTTCGTTTCTAGATGATCAATTATTAATAGTCCATTCATTACACACTATCAATTACCTGTTATAAATTATTTTACAACACTTATTTATTGATGAGTGTTAGAGCCTACATCAAGTACCATTGCTTAATTGCACACAGTTGTACTGTAGAGAACAGGGCGTGTGTTGTTTTTCTCCTTTTCTACATCTACTCACTCTCTCCCAACCTTAATAATCTGTGCCTGAGGTCCTGTGAGAATTTGCCAGTTTTAAAACCTGAATATTAAGGGATTTCTGTGGTTCAGTAGCAAGCTCCTTCACAACAATATTATAAAAATTTGTTCAGACATCTCATCCTATCAATATTAGGCACATACAAGATGCACTCAATATCCATAAACAGATTTATTTTACATTTCCCTTTGTCAAATCCTTTGATAAGGTTGCAAGTGAGCAGTGAACCGGTCAATATAACCTGGATTAGTCTTTGACTAATTAAGACTTTAAAGAGCCTTTAAGCTTGCCGAATAAGAGATGCCAACATTATAGTTAACCAATACTTGGATTATTCATTTGAGGTAGATTGCACAAAATTTGTGAAACTACAAAGATGGCAAAATTACATGCCCATAATTCAATTTTAACATAGTAACAGCCAAAAACAAAAAAATACATTTTATGATTAGAAATCTGAATCACAGAATCAAAGTGCATAAATTATAAAATAGTAACTGTAAAAAGAAACATCAATACTTCAATCATCCCCATTTTAAGACTGGTCTAGTATTTTAATTATAGAGAAAATGAGACCAATGAGCATATAAAACTATTTAAACAGATATCCCCTCCCTTTCAAAAATCCAAGACACAAACGACTGTGAAGTATACATTTCATTTAACATTCCATTAATAAGCCATATTTACATATATAAACGTATGAAGTCTTAATATAAAATAGAAAAATTGCCTGGACTGAAACAATCACTCCATATGGAGTTACTTTACTTATTGAAGACCTTCTGTTTACATACAAATTTACAATAATTTATATAAATTATTTTCTTCCAAACTAGATATTTAATAATCCACACTATTCTGATGACTTTACAAATAGGTGTACATTAAAAACTTCCCAAGAAATTACAGCATTTTTCTGCGTAAAATTTGCTTTGGATAGGAAGACAGTTTCTTTCTGTTCCTTCCAAGACCTGTTCCTGTCACTTCTGTAGTTTTTCTTGGTTTGCTCTTGACTCCGTCAACTGGGCTAGCCAAGGGGGAAATCAGCCGAATTTCTACGGCAGGAGGTGACCAAGCACTTTCTTTTTCTGTGTTTTTGCTTGTTTTGTTTTTGACGTCCTGATTCCTTTCGCTTTTGGCTTTCCCACAGTTTCTACTGATTGTGCATCATCTTTCAGTTCATCTTCAAGCTTGTTCTTATTGGATGTGTTTTTTTGTCTGCTCCTTAAAGCAGGAGGTGAGATGACAAACTGAGAAGATAAATCCGAAACTAATTCTTTCAGCTGTGCAGGAACCTCTATTTTTTTAGCTTTTGCTTTCTTGGAACTTCTGCCGCTGGAGAAAATAAAGGCTCATTGTTTGGTTCAGAAAGGTCCGGCAACAAGATGGCCTTGCTAGACTGAGTCCTGGTGCTGCGGGATGATTTAGTGAAGGAAGCTGTGGCGAGCAATCTTTCTTCCTGCTCATTTGTTTCTTTATGTGTCATTTCATCTGTGCGTTCTTCTGATACTGAGTGCAATGAACGTTTTTGACTTTGACTTTCAGTCTTTTTTGTAAGTTTTTTCTTAGAGCTCATCACCATCGAAAGTTCCTCGTTTGGCACTAAAATGGATTTTCCTAAAGCTGGTTTTCCAACATCAACATTTTCACTTTTAGCTGGGGTATTTCTTGTAGATCTCCTTTTAATGCTGGGAGCCTCTTTCTTCTTGGGGCTTCTCTCTTCCTTAACAGCCTTAGATCCTACATCTTCAGATGGATTGATTTTTCTTGGTCTACCACGTTTTCTAGGTATGGCAGACATATCAAATTCTGCTTGAAGAGTCAACTGAGATGACTCAAGGTTGGAGTTTTCTCTCACATCTGATGGACTAACTTCTCTCCCTCTGACCCTTCTAATATGTTTAATAGGCAGCTGCTTGTCACTGGATTTATCTTCTTGCTTATTTCCTGTATTTTCAGAAGCATCTAAATGAGCACTTCTCAATTTTCTGATCATTCTGCTAGGACTTGTTACCGTACTAACTTTTAGATCATTTATAATTTCAACACTTTCCTGATTTTCTACAGATCTTTTAATTGTTCTAGGAGTCCTTTTTGTAACAGATGAAACCTTAACTTCTTTTTTAGTAGTTTCTTCAACTGCTGGTTCCAACAGCTGAGATGATTTTAATCTTTTTGATTCCCTACCTGTAGTGATCTGTAATTCTTGTTCCACAGAACTGGTGTTTTCTAGTATGTCCTGATTAACTTCTTTCTTTCTCCTTCCTCTCCTAGGCGTAACAGAATTTTGAGGTATTTGCTGGTTCTGAGATAGTCCTCTGACATCAGAATAGATGTTTTCAGAAGCTTCAGAAATTTCTTTTGCCTTCCTAGTTTTCTTCTTGACTGACTGCCCTGGCATCTTAGGAGTAGCAACATCTGCTGATGCTTCCTGTTGTGCTGATTTGACATTCACGTTTTGGATACGTTGACCTCTCGTACGAGTTTTGGAGGAAACCACGTCATCAACCTGGCTGACATTCATAGTCATTGTGCTTGTTTCCTGAGCAGTCTTAAATGCAGATTTGACTAATTTAGTGGGACACATTATGTTTTGGCTCACTAAAGGTATTGTTTCATGAATGGACTGTTCCATTGTATCTGAAGTAATTTCTTTACTTCTTGTGTCTTTAATTACGTCTAGCAAATTTTCTGCAATTGCTACTTTAATAGGTTCAGGCACATATGGTAAAGTCTCTACTTTTTGGGACTTTTGGTCACTAGTTACAGCAGATGGCAAATTTGCAACTTGTCCATGATTATCATTTTTCCCACTGCATACAAGTTTTTCTTCAGTTGCTGTGTTAGCTGCTTTAGGTAACACATCAGATGATGCAAAATCACCTGGCTCAACTTCTCCTTCTTCACCTTCCAATATCAAGGTAAAGTTGCTTGGAGCCACAAAAAGTTCCCCATCTACTTCAGCAATGTCACATTCAGCAGTGTCTTTATTATCAGCTAAGTCACAAAACTGTTGGTCAATAGTATCAAAATTGTACTGAAGCTTAAGTGTTCCAGAGGGATATAACTCATTAAATGAAAGATTCCTAGCCTCTTCTCCTGAATCTTGAGCTTCAAGCTTTTCCTGTTCAATCACATGAATTTCTTGAGTATCAGGAGGGCTGTCAGAAATTGGAAGCTTTTCTTCTGGTAAGTCAACACTTTCTTTTAGTACACCAACTTCTACTTCATGATCTTCTTTTAAGTTCAGCGCTACTTCCTGGTTAAGCCTGCGCTCAGAGACAATAGGACCTTCAGAGATAGTGAGTGAGGAGTTTCCACCATCACCAAGGACATCAGCCATAGATTTATTGTCATTTGCTCTAATTGCAGAGGTGTAGGTTTCAACAGATGTTAATCCTTCATCCAACACTGGTACCTTGGACTTCTGGGTGAAGATTTTCCCTTCATAGACTGATGGTGCACAAAGAGAAGCTTCAGTTCCTTGAACTGGGCTTAAGTGATTCAATTCTGAAAATGCCTCTGCTGCAACTAAGAGATCCTTGTTTCTGCATCTTCTAAATTGCCCATTTGTTTCTGTAGGTCTGAAGGAGTTACTTCTGATGCAAATACATCTTTATCTCCATCCTTTTCAGTTTGTTCAGTTACATTAGTAGTTAGTGCAGTGGAAGAGCTTTTGGGCTTAGAGGCCGTGAAAACAGTCTCTTCAAGGTCTTCCGGTGACAGTGCATCCTGATACTCTAAGGTAGTCTCATCGGATGTGATTGAAACACTGCTGTTTCCTTTGCTCACATCCAGTTTCTCTAAACTTTGTGACCCCACATCCATTTCTTGATGCTCCTTTTCAGGGCTGTTCAGGAAAAAAGATGTGGTCCTATCTTTGCTCTTCAGCCATTCAGTTTCCACTGGAACTGCACATTTTTTAGGTGTAGTAAATACTTCTAATTTGCTATCATCTGCAGCCCCAGGAATCCACTTTGGGTGGACATCTTCTTCCACAAATGAAATTCTAGTTTCTTTAAGTCGTTGAGGAGACCTTCCAGGTGATGGAGAGGGAGATGCTAAAGGTGTTGATCGAAGAGTAGACCTCAGGATGGACTGAGGAGTGAACTCAGAAAATCCAGAAGTAGTAACTGACATGGCCAAACTTTTAGCTTTGTTAACTACAAGAGGAGTTTCAAGCAAATGTAATTCTGAAGCCCTGGAGATGGCCTGAGGCGATCCTTTTAATTGTGAACTTGAGGGCAGTGAACGGGATACTAGGTACAAAGGAGATTTCATGGAGCTTTGCTGAATAAACTCCGAACACTGAGAAGGCCGGGGGACAGGCTGAACAACCAAATCTAGCAGTCTAGAAATTTTTTGTGATGCTTTTGAAATTGGTGTTCCAAAAAATGCCTCAGGCAGCTCTGGAGCTGGGAGCGAATACACTATAGGAGATGGTTCTTCTATTTTAGAACTATTGAAAGGTGTGGTGCTATTTATAGGTTCTTTGCTTGCCCAAACTTCTCCAATTTTAGATAACACATTGTTGATGAAAACAGATCTTGTCAACACAGTTCCTGTTACAACTTGCTTTGGAACTGCTGATAATGGTTTGGGTCTAGAAACTAATCGAAAAACTGATGATGTTGACAGATGATAAGGCTTAGCTCGTTCAATGGCTAATTTTCGATGGACTCTAGGAAGGATTTTTCCATACTGGTCTAATATAGAATTTCGAGCCAGTGATCTCTCCCGCAAACGAGGATCACGATCATTCATAACATTAATCTTCAGAGTTTGGTTCAGCTTCAAGGGAGGCACATAATTGGCATGCTGCAAATGGTGCACTAAAAGGAATTCATGACTCTGAATGCTGGCACTGGACTGCAAAAATTTCACTAAACATTCCTGCTCAGTGTCTGTAAATGGTAACTTCAGTAAATCTTCCATCAAGCCCATTTCCTGACAGACTTCATACATGTGCTTCAGTAACTCCTCTATATTCAACCTATTGCAATGTTGCCGCAAAAAATTCCAGGCTTCAACCATGCACCTACTAAAAAGCAAAACAGTGAGGTGAAGGATAACATCGCTACCACTGGACACTGTTGGCTTCATTGTCTGAATATATCTGAGGGCTTGTCTGTGCTCGCCCTGACTCATGAATGCCTGAATAATCTTTGAATGTTGCCATGACAAAGGTTTTGCAGTAGCTGGATGAAACAAAAGATCCAAACCACTCTCATAGTCATTATGATCTATCAACCAAAACCCTGAATAAGTTTAACTTGGCCCCAAGAAATGGCAAATACAGTTGGGAAAGATTCAATGGGAGTGTCTGTTTTGTTGGGAAAGGAATACATAATATCAAGTAGCAAATAAATGGTAATAGAGTGTTTGGCTGCTTCAGTAACGCCATCTAATAGGTACATATCAAGTACTGCATGCAGACTAGCAGGAGGATATTTTCCTGTGCCTCCTTCATCTCGTTTCCACAACTTCTCAATTCGCTCTCCTAACTGAGAAACCAGTCCATCAATCATCAAGCAATCGGGATTCCACTTCCCTCTTGATAAACGCTCAAACTTCTGTCGACGACTGGTGTAGTAGTTCTGAATTACAGGGTAGTTGTAGCATAACCTTGACAACTGCACAGAATCATCTATGCCTTCTGGTAAAAGCCCAGAATGAGAGAACCAAAGAACCACTTGTGCATACTGACAGATGAGGTGGGAAACCACAAACTTATTGCTTAAGTCTATCAGTCCTCTCTCAGTGATCTCTCGGGCTTCTGATGCAAAACAGCTCAAGACTATATTAAGATTGCTAAGAAGCAAATAGCATTGCTGGATAGACTGTATAGTTTGTGGATCCATGAAATGACACGAACCATCAAATAATGGCACACATAGTCTGTCAAATTCCTCTTTTGTGAGAACCACTTTATTCCACGTCCATTCAAGAACAAAGCGCAAATTAGTGGCAGAATTTGGTTGTTCTTCTGTTATCCATCTTCGGATATAACCAGTCAAAAGTCCCAGGGAACTAGTCTGAATTGCTGTTGACAATATAGCTTCTAACTGTTCTTCTTGGCTTAAACTGGAAGGCTGAACATCAACAAAACTTGGGGAAAGAAGGCCAGCTACAAGACGTCGATTATAACCACCAGGAATGAGTTCATTGAGTGATGGACCTGATTTCTTTAAAAAAGTCAAAGTCTCCTTCTGAAAGCCAGTACAAGTTAAATGAACAACTCCCGAGTTTAACAAACAAGTGGCATCAAAATTATAAGTGCTTGGGTTAAAAAACTGCTCGGGAGGTGGATATGAAGGAGGGACTCCTCTATTTAAACTTCTCTCATGTACTAATATATCCAAGATGCCATGTGGAGAAGTCCTACTTACAACAGACTCCAATGACCACAGTGCAAAATAAGAGCAATTATGTAGATATTCTCCTGACCTTAACGAATCTGGCATTTGTGCATGATACCAACGATTTATATCAAAAAGCCCCAAATATACAGAAGGCTTTCCCTGTCCATATATATTCACCTGCCAGGTAAAGACTGAAACACTAGTGTCAGGCGATAGAGCTTCATTCACGCCTTCCTCCCTGTCACCATGAGATCGAAATTTCTCTATACTCTGGCATCCCAACAATTTGGTATTACTCGTCTGTCCCCTCAAAGGGAACATGCCACCTGTCAGGTCCAGAGTGTATCTTTCTTCACAGTATTCTAACCACTCATATAAGATTTGTCCTGATGCCAAACACTTTCTATTACCAAAGGCCAGCTGCAGTAGATGCAAACTCAAAACATCCCCTTCACTATCTTGTGTAGACTGAACAGCCCACAAGTAGCAGCAATTCCGACGATCATTCTCAGGTTCTTGAAAAGTGACAGCATATACAGGAACTTGTCCACTTTCCAATTGTATGTAATATTCTCTTTTCATGCTTTTCATGTTCCAAAGTGCTAGATAGCCATCAGAAAAACCTGCAGCAAGCTGATTTGTCCTGCTTATGTAACTAAGAGTTGAAACGGCTGTTCCTGTTGGACTTACTAACTGGAAACACAGATGGCGCCCTTCTCTCATCACACTTTCTCTAATGTGTGGTACTTCAGCTGGGATACCAGTTAGAACTTCAAGATCTGATGCTTCAACTTCATTTTGATTGCATGACAAGTCATCCAAACATAGGTCAATAAGAAGGATCTGTCCAACATCAGTGACCACAGCTGCCACTCCAAAAAGCCATCGCAGACTTGGATGTAAATGCTGAGTGCTTGCACTGGCTCCTCCATGATTAATTATAGGTTCAATAGCTGTTACCCTTCCAGGAAGAACAACTGCTTTAACTACTTTTGATATTCCAAGGTCATAAAGACAGAGAACACTCCCTTCTGTTTCTTCCAATCCTATTAATAATCCAGTTCTCTTCTGCCAAGAGAATTCTTTCACAGCTAAAACTACAGGAGGCTGTTCATTGACTCCACTGAATCTGTAAGCAGACAATCGCTCTCCTGTTATAGAGTTTACTACCTCAAGTTGTGGACCACAAGCCAAGCAAGCAAGTCCATTTTTCCCCGCAGCAAACTTTCCACGAAGCACAGATTCTAATGTTATTTCGTCTTCTCCAAGGGCTTGAAGAGTCACTTCTGGAAATGGCAGGAGACCACTAGTCACTTGAGCTCTTAAGTCTCGCATACTTCCACAGCGCCGTTCCGCCGCCATGTGCCACCGCTCCTCCGGTCCGAGATTATGTAACGAAGCCCGGCGCCCGCGAGCCTGCCGTACCCGCCACCGCCAGCGCTCGCCCCCTCGAGCCCCATCCGTTGGCCCCGCGCACGCCCGGCCTAGGCCCGGCGCTCGCGGGGCAGAACCCCCGCCGCCGCCGCCGCCGCGGGCCCAGGCCGCGCCTCCTTCTTTTCAAAGTCTGAATGATATTTCTTTTTTTTTTTTTTTTTTTTTTTTTTGAGACAGAGTCTCGCTCTGTCGCCCAGGCTGGAATGCAGTGGCGTGATTTCTGCTCACTGCAAGCTCCGCCTCCTGGGTTCACGCCATTCTCCTGCCTCAGCCTCCGGAGTAGCTGGGACTACAGGCGCCCGTCACCACGCCCGGCTAATTTTTTGTATTTTTAGTAGAGACGGAGTTTCACCACGTTAGCCAGGATGGTCTCAATCTCCTGACCTCGTGATCCGCCCGCCTCAGCCTCCCAAAGTAAGGCCGAATGATATTTCATTATATATGTGTGTATCACATTTTCTTTCTTTTTTTTTTTTTTTTTGAGACACCGTCTTGCTCTGTTGGCCAGGCTGGAGTGCAGTGGTATGATCTTGTCTCTCTGCAACCTCCACCTCCCAGGTTCAAAGTGATTCTTCGGCCTTAGCCACATGAGTAGCTGGAATTAGAGGCATGCACCACCAGGGTTTCATCATGTTCGCCAGGCTGGTCTCAAACTCCTGGCCTCAAGGGACCCACCTGCCTCGGCCTCCCAAAGTGCTGGGATTACAGGCATGAGCCACCATGTCCAGCCTACATTTTCTTCATCTATTCAGCAGCAAACACTTTGTTTCCATGTCTTGGCTATTGTGAATAATGTTGCAATGAACATGGGAGTGCAGTTATCTCTTTGGGATAGTGATTTTATTCTTTTGGATATATACCCAGAAGTAGGACTGCTTGATTGTATGATAGTTCTTTTTTATTTTTTAACTTTGTGAGAAACCTCCATACTGTTTTCCGTACTGGTTGTACCAGTCTATATTTCCACCAACAATATATATGGGTTCTTTTTTTTTCTCCACATTCTGGACAGCACTTATCTTTTGACTTTTTGATACATAAATAGTTATTCTAACACTTGTGAGGTGATATACTATTGTGGTTTTGATTTGCATTTCTCTGATGACTAGTGATGTTAGGCACCTTTTCATATACCTATTGGCCATTTATGTCTTCTTTGAAACAATGTCTATTCAAGTTCTTTGTCCATTGAAAATACTGAGTTATTTGTTTTCTTGCAATTGAGTTGTATGAGTTCCTTATATATTTTGGATATTAAGCCCTTATCAGATATGTAGTTTGAAAATATTTTCTCCTATTATGCATGTTACCTTTTCATTTTGTTGATTATTCCCTTTGCTGTGGAAAAACTTTTTCTTTTGATGTAGTTGCACTAGCTTATTTTTGCTTTCATTAACTGTGTTTTTGGTGTGATATCCAAAAACTCATTGCCAATACCAATGTCATGGAGCTTCCCACCATATTTTCTCCTAGTAGTTTTACAGTTTCAGGTCTTACAGTTAAATCTGTAATCTATTTTGGGTTGATTTTTGTGTATGGTGTAAGATAAGGATCCAATTTCTTTTTTTTTGCATGTGAATACCCAGTTTTCCAAACCTAATTAATTGAACAGATTATCCTTTTCCCATTGTTTATTATTGCTGCCTCTGTAGAAGAATATTTGAGTGTATATGCATGGGTTTATTTCTGGGCTTTCTATTCTGTTCCATTAGAGTATGTGTCTGTTTTTATACCAAGACCGTACATAGTGTTTTGATTACTATAGCTTTGTAATATAATTTGAAATCAGCAAGTGTGATGCCTTCAGCTTTGTTCTTTTTGCTCAAGATTGCTTTGACTGTTGGAGTCTTTTATGGTTCTATATGAATTCTAGGTTTGTTTTTATATTGCTGTGAAAAATTACATTGGAATTTTGATTGAATCTGTAGATTAGATTATTTTGGGTAGTATGGATATTTTATGGTATTGGTTCTTATGATCATAGATATTTTTCCTTATTTGTGTCTTCAGTTTCTTTCATCAATGTTTTGCGGTTTTCAATGTATAAATCTTTGACTTCTTTTGTAGAGTTTTGTTCTCAGTATTTTATTCTTTGTAATGCTGTTGTAAATGAGATGGCTTTCTTAATTTATTCTTCAGATATTTTGTTGTTAGTGTTATAAACACAACTAATTTTTGTGTGTTGATTTTGTATTCTGAAACTTTATTGTATTTGTTTGTTAGTTCCAACAGTTTTTTGGTGGAGCCCTTAAAGTCTACTGTCTATACGATTATGTCATTTACAAAAAGAGGCAATTTTACCTCATCCTTTCCAATTTGGATTTTTTTTTTTTTTTGACAAATTGCTCTGCCTAATACTTCCAGTACTACGTTAAGTAGAATTGGCAAGTATAGGCATCCTTGTCTTGTTCCTGATCTTTGAGAAAAATCTTTCAACTATTCACTGCTTAGTACATATGATGTTAGCTGTGGCTGTGTGATATACGGCCTTTATTGTGTTGAGGTACTTTTTTTATATCTAATTGTTGACAGTTTTTATCATAAAATGATGTTGAATTTTGTCAAGTGCCTTTCTGCATCTATTGAGATGACAATACAATTTTTATCCTTCATTCTGTTAATGTAGTGTAACACATTTATTGATTTGTGTATGTTCAACCATCCTTTCACTTCAGGGGACTTATCCAATTTGTTGGTGTTCATTGTAGTCTCTTATGATGCTTTGTATTTATGTGGTGTTGGCTGTAATGTCTCATCTTTATTTCTGATTTTATTTATTTGCATCTCTTTTTCGCTCCTGGATAGTCTGGCTAAGGATTTTTCAATTTTGTTTATCTTTTAAAAAATCAACTTTTTCAGTGTGCGTTTCTATTTTTTGGGGGTAGTCTTTATTTCATTTTTTTCTCTTATGTTATTTCTTTCCTTCTTCTAACTTTGGACTTATTCTTATTTTTCTGGTTCACTGAGGTATAATATTAGGACAGTTTTTCTGATATCTTTATTCTTTTTAAATGTAGATGTTTATTCCTATAAACTTTCTGTTTAGAACTGCTTTTCATGCATTGCCCATGAACATAAACAAAAACCATCTTTTCTATTAATTTAGGGGTTCTTTAATTTCATTCAGCAGTGTTTTGTAGTTATAAAAGTCTTGCACCTTCTTGGTGGGCTTTCTTTCTAAATATTTTATTCTTTTTGCTGCTATTGTATATGAAATTATTGCTTAATTTTCTTTTTGGATTGTTTACTGCTAGTGTACGGAAGTACAATTGAGTTTTGAGTGTTGGTTTTGTATCAGGCAACTTTGCTGAAATAGTGTATTAGCTAATTTTTGTGTATTCTTTAGGATTTTATATGCAAGATCATATTGTCTATAAATAAGGGTTTTTTTAAAAACTTCTTTTCCTATTTGGATAATTTATTTTTTTTTTGCCTAATTACTCTGGCTAGAACTTCCAATATAATGTTGAATAGAAATGGTGAAATTGGGCCAATGTCCTTGATTAACATAGATGCAAAAGTCCTCAACAAAATACTAGCCAAGCAAATCCAGCAGCACATCAAAAAGCTAATCCACCACGATCAAGTAACCTTCATCCCTGGGATGCAAGGTTGGTTCAACATACAAAAATCAATAAATGTGATTTATCACATACACAGAACTAAAAACAAAATCCACATGATTATCTTAACAGATGCAGAAATGGCTTTTGATAAAATTTAATATCCATTCATGTTAAAAACTCTCAATAAACTAGGCAATGAAGGAACATACTTCCAAACAAGAGCCATCTATGACAGACCCACAGCCAACATCATATTGAATGGGCAAAAGCTGGAAGCATTCCCCTTGAAAACTGGAATAAGACAAGGATGCCTTCTCTTACCACTCCTATTCAACATAGTACTGGAAGTCCTAGCCAGAGCAATCAGGCAAGAGAGAAATAAAAGGCATACAAATAGGAAGAGAGGAGGTCAAACTATCCCTGTTTGCAGGTGATATGATTCTGTACCTAGAAAACCCCATAATCTCTGCCCAAAAGCTCCTTGATCTGATAAACAACTGCAGCAAAGTTTCAGGATACAAAATCATGTGCAACAATTAGTAGCATTCCTAAACATTAAGAACATCCAAGCTGAGAGCCAAAGCAGGAATGCAATCCCATTCTCAGTAGCCACAAAGGGAATAACATACCTAGGAATGAAGTGAACCAGGTAGGTGAAACATCTCTGAAATGAGAGTTACAAAACACTGCTCAAAGAAATCAGAGATGATACAAGCAAATGGAAAAACATTCCATGCTCATGTATAGGAAGAATCAATATCATTAAAATGTCCATACTGACCAAAGCAATTTACAGATTCAATCATATTCCTATCAAACTACCAAGCACATTCTTCGTAGAGCTAGAAAAAACTATTTTAAAATCATATGGAACCAAATAAAGAGCCTGAATAGCCAAGATAATCCTTAACAAAAGAATAAAGATGGAGGCATCATGCTACCTGACTTCAAACTATACTACAAGGCTACAGTAATCAAAACAGTTACAAAAACAGACATAGACAAATGGAACAGAATAGAGGGCCCAGACATAATGCCACACATCTACAACCATTTGATCATTGACAAAGTTGACACAAACAAGCAATGGGGAGAGGACTCCCTATTCAATAAATGGTGCTGGGATAGCTGGCTAGCCATATACAGAAGATTAAAACTGGACCCCTTCTTACACCATATACAAAAATTAACTCAAGCTGGATTAAAGACTTAAATGTAAAATCTAAAACTACAAGAACTCTGAAAGAAAACCTAGGAAATAGGACATAGGACCTGGCACAGATTTCATGACAAAGACATCAAAAGCAATTGCAACAAAAACAAAACTTGACAAATGGGAACTAAATAAACTGAAGAGCTTCTGCACAGCAAAAGAAACTATCAACAGAGTGAACAGACAACCTACAGAATGGCAGAAAATATTTGCAAACTATATAACTGACAAAGGTCTAATATCCAGAATCTATAAGGCACTTAAACAAATTTATAAGCAAAACCAAACAACCCTGTTAAAAAATGGGCAAAGGACATGAACAGGCACATTTCAAAAGAAGACATATTTACTGCTGGTGGCTGGCAAGATGGCCAAATAGAAACAGCTCTGGTCTGCAGCTCCCAGTGAGATCAATGTAGAAGGCGGGTGATTTCTGCATTTCCAACTGAGGTACCCAGCTCATGTCATTGGGACTGGTTAGACAGTGGGTGCCTCACCCAGGAAGAGCAAGGTGTCAGGGAACTCCCTCCCCTAACAAGGGAAGCCATGAGTGACTGGGCCATGAGGAACAATGCATTCTGGCCCAGATACTATGCTTTTCCCATGGTCTTCGAAACCCACAGACCAGGAGATTCCCTCAAGTGCCTACACCACCAGGGCCCTGGGTTTTAAGCACAAACCTGGGTGGCTGTTTGGGCAGACACTGAGCTAGCTGCAGGAGTTTTTTTTTTTTTTTTTTTTTTTTGTACCCCAGTGGCACCTGGAAAGCCAGCAAGACAGAATCGTTCACTCCCCTGGGAAAAGGGCTGAAGCCAGCGAACCAAGTCGTCTAGCTCAGTCGATCCCACCCCCAGGGAGCCCAGCAAGCTAAGATCCACTGGCTTGAAATTCTCGCTGCCAGCACAGCAGTCTGAAGTCGACCTGGGACACAAAAGCTTGGTGGGGGGAGGGGCGTCTGCCATTAATAAGGCTTGAGTAGGCAGCTTTCCCCTCACCGTGTAAACAAAGCCCCTGGGGCAGAGCACACCACAGTGACACAAAGCCACTGTAGCCAGACTTCCTCTCTAGATTCCTCCTCTCTGGGCAGGGCATCTCTGAAAGAAAGGCATCAGCCCCAGTCAGGGGATTATAGATAAAACTCCCATCTCCCTGGGACAGAGCACCTGGGGGTAGCAGCGTCTGTGGGCGCAGCTTCAGCAGACTTAAACATTCCTGCCTGCTGGCTCTGAGGAGAGCAGTGGATCTCCCAGGACAGTGCCTTAGCTCTACTAAGGGACAGACTGCCTCCTCAAGTGGGTCCCTGATCTGCCTGCCTCCTGACAGGGAAACACCTTCCAGCAGGGGTTGACAGACACCTCATACAGGAGAGCTCCAGCTGGTATCTGGTGGGTGCCCCTCTGGGGTGAAGCTTCCAGAGGAGGGAACAGGCAGCATTCTTTGCTGTTCTGTAGTGTCCACTGGTGATACCCAGACAAACAGGGTCTGGAGTCCACCTCCAGCAAACTCCAGCAGACTTGCAGAAGAAAGCCCTGACTGTTAGAAGGAAAACTAACAAACAGAAAGGAATAGCATCAACATCAACAAAAAGGACATCCACACAAAAACCCCATCCAAAGGACACCAACATCAAAGACCAAAGGTAGATAAATCCACAAAGATGAGGAAAAACTTGTGCAAAAAGGCTGAAAATTCCAAAAACCAGAATGCTTCTCCTCCTCCAAAGGATCACAACTCCTCGCCGGCAAGGGAACAAAACTGGATGGAGAATGAGTTTGATGAATTGACAGAAGTAGGCTTCAGAATGTGGGGTAATAACAAACTCCTCCAAGCTAAAGGAGCATGTTCTAACCCAATGCAAAGAAGCCAAGAACCTTGAAAAAAGGTTACAGGAACTGCTAACTTTATATTAACAGAACAGAGCCCTCAGAAATAATGCCACATATCTACAACTATCTGATCTTTGACAAACCTGACAAAAATAAGAAATGGGGAAAGGATTCCCTATTTAATAAATTGTGTTGGAAAACTGGCTAGCCATATGCAGAAAACTGAAACTGGACCCCTTCCTTACACCTTATACAAAAATTAACTCAAGATGGATTAAAGACTTAAACATAAGACCTAAAACCATGAAAACCCTAGAAGAAAACCTAGGCAGTACCATTCAGGACACAGGCATCGGCAAAGACTTTATGATGAAAACACCAAAAGCAATGGCAACAAAAGCCAAAATTGAGAAATGGGATTGAATTAAACTAAAGATCTTCTGCACAGCAAAAGAAACTATCATCAGAGTGAAGAGGCAACCTACAGAATGGGAGAAAATTTTTGCAATCTATCCATCTGACAAAGGGCTAATATCTAGAATCTACAAGAAACTTCAACAAATTTACAAGAAGAAAACAAACAACCCTAGCAAAAAGTGGGCAAAAATATGAACAGAAACTTCTCAAAATAAGACATTTATGTGGCCAATAAACATGAAGAAAATCTCATCATCACTGATCATTAGAGAAATGCAAATCAAAACCACAATGAGATACCATCTCATGCCAGTTACAATGGCTATCATTAAAAAGTCAGGAAACAACAGATGCTGGAGAGGATGTGGAGAAATAGGAACGCCTTTACACTGTTGGTGGGAGTGCAAATTATTTCAACCATTGTGGAAGACAGTGTGGTGATTCCTCAAGGATCTAGAACCAGAAATACCATTTGACCCAGCAATCCCATTATTGGGTATATACCCAAAGATTATAAATCATTCCACTATAAAGACACATGCACATGTATGTTTATTGCAGCGCTATTCACAATAGCAAAGACTTGGAACCAACCAAAATGCCCATCAATGATAGACTGGATAAAGAAAATGTGGCACATATACACCATGGAATACTATGTGGCAATAAAAGGGATGAGTTCATGTCCTTGGCAGGGAAATGGATGAAGCTGGAAGCCATCATTCTCAGCAAACTAACACAGGATTAGAAAAGCAAACATACCACATGTTCTCACTCATAGGTGGATGTTGAACAATGAGAACACATGGACACAGGGAGGGGAGCATCACACACGGGGGCCTGTAGCAGGGTGGGGGGCTAGGGGAGGGATAGCATTATGAGAAATACCTAATGTAGATGACGGGTTGATGGGTACAGCAAACCACCATGGTACGTGTATACCTATGTAACAAACCTGCACGTTCTGCACATGTATCCCAGAACTTAAAGTATAAAAAACAAACAAACAAATAGATGAAATGTTTCCAATTAAAAAAAAAAAAGAAGACATATATACGGCCAACAATCTTATGAAAAAATGCTCAACATCACTTATTATTAGAGAAATGCAAATCAAAACAACGAGATACCATCTCACACCAGTCAGAATGGTTATTATTAAAAACGTGAATAAATAACATGCTGGTGAGGTTGTGGAGAAAAGGGAGTGCTTATTCACTGCTGGTGGGAGTGTAAATTTGTTCAGCCATTGTGGAAAGCAGTGTGGCGATTCCTGAAAGAACTTAAAACAGAAATACCATTCAACCCATCAATCCCATTTCACTTAGCATAATGTCCTCAAAGTTCATCCATGTTGTAGCATATGCCAGAATTTTCTTCCTTTTTAAGTTAAATAATACTCCATTATTACTTATTACATTTACTCCATTATTACATTATTATTGCCTTCCTTTTTAAGGCAAATAATACTCCAGGTGTATCCCGCATTTTGCTTATCCACTCGGCTGTTGATGGACACTTAGGCTGCTTCTGCATTTTAGCTATTGTGAATAATGCTGATATGAGCATGAGTGTACAAATATTTCTAAGAAACCCTGCTTTTAATTCTTTTGAATACATACCCAGAAGTGGAATTACTGGTTGATATGGTAATACTATTTATAATTTTTGAGGCTCCATCATACTGTGTTCTATAGTGGCTGTTCTAGTTTACATATCCACCAATAGTGCACAAGACTCCAATTTCTCCACATCACGTCTTTGCCATCATTAATATCACTTGTTATTTTGTTTGTTTTTTGTTTTTTTAAGAAAATAGTAACCATCTTAATGGCTGTAAGATGTATCTCATTGTAGTTTTGATTATAATGATTAATGATGTTGAGCATCTTTCCATGTGCTTATTGGTCATTTGTATATCTTCTTTAAAGAAATGTCTATTCAAGTCCAATTCCCATTTTTGAATTAGGTTGTTTTTTTGTTGTTGAGGTTTAGAAGTTCACTATATAGTCTGTATATTAATTACTTAAAAGATATATAATTTGCAAACATTTTATCCTATTTCCTGGGTTGCTGTTTTACTTTATTAATATCGTCTCATTTGGTGCTCAAAATTTAATTTTTTTTCACTTTTTCCTATCAACATTTATTTACTTATTTTATTTAAGTAGGTTTTTGGGGAACAGGTGGTGTTTGGTTACATGAATAAGTTCTTTAGTGGTACTTTCTGAGATTTTGGTACACCCATCACCTGAGCAGTGAACACTGTACCCAATGTGTAGTCTTTTATCCCTCACCCCCTCCCAGTCTTTCCCCCGAGTCTCCAAAGTCTATTGTATCATTCTTATGCCTTTGTGTCCTTATAGCTTAGCTCCCACTTATGACACTTATGAGTGAGAACATTAAACTTTATTCAGTCCAATTTATTTTTTCTTTTGTTCCTTGTGACATTTTCCCTTTTTTTTCTTAGCTTATCATTTGTTCTTTTCAACTTTTTTACTGTTTGCCCTAGAGTTTTCAATATACATTTACAACTAATTCAAGTCCACATTATTTATTTATTCAGTTAGTTAGTTATAGACAGTGTCTCGCTTTATCACCCAACCTGGAGTGTAGTGGTGCAAACACGACTCACTGCAGCCTAGACCTCGTGAGCTCAGGTAATCCTCCTGCCTCAGTCCCCTAAGTACCTGGGACTGCAGGCCCATGCCACCATGCTTGGCTAATTTTTGTATTTTTTCTAGAGACGGAGTTTTGCCACATTGCCCAGGCTGGTCTAGAACTCCTGAGCTCAGGCAATCCGCTCACCTCAGCCTCCGAATTGGCTGGAATAACAGGTGTGAGCCATTGCTCCTGGCTCCAAGTCCACTCTTAAATGACACTATACCACTTTATGGGTAGTATGAGTTATTATAGTAACAAAATAATCCTAATACTTCCCCTCCATCCCTTGTGTCATTGCTGTCAGTTATACAAAACATATATGTATATGTATACCCCCATATATATATATATTCATAACATACACAACGAAAAACATTATTACCATTATTATTTTGAACAAACTGTTATTTGTTAGATCAATAAAAATAAAAAAAATTATTCTATCCTCACTGGTGCCTTTTCTGACGCTCTTCTTATGTGTATTTGAGTTTCTGATGTATGTCATTTTTCTTCTCTCTAAAGAATTTCTTTTAACATTTCTTGCAAGGCAAGTTTACTGGCAACAAATTCCCTCAATTGTTTCTCTTTCACTTTTGAAGCATAATTTCACAGTGTACAGAATTCTACATTAGTGTTTTTCCCTATTAATACTTCAAAACTTTACTTTACACTCTTCTTGCTTGCATGGTTTCTGAAAAGAAGTCTGGTATAATTCTTTTCTTTATTTCTCTATAGGTAAGGTGTCTTTTTTTGTAGTTTGAAAATGATATGCCTAGGTGTAGTTTTATTTTTTTAGTTTTAAAAAAGTTTATCTTTCTTGATGTTCTCTTAGCTTCCAGAATCTGTGATTAGGTTTCTGACATTAATTTCAGAGAAATTGTCTGTCATTATTGTTTCAGGTATTTCTTCTGCTCCTTTTGCTTTTTCTTCTCCTTCTGTTATTTCCATTATGTGTATATGTTACACCCTTTGTAGTTGTCCCCACAGTTTTTGAATATTATGTTCTGGTGTTCTTTTCAATTTTAAAATATTTCCTTTTTAATTTTGGAGGTTCTTATCAATACATACTTAAGCTCTGAGATTCTTTCCTCAGCAGTGTCTACTCTACCAATAAGCCTATCAAAGGCATTTTTAATTTCATTAACAGAATTTTTAATCTCTAGCATTTTTTTCATTTTTTCTTATAATTTTCATCTCTCTGCTTATATTCTGCTCACAATCAGTACAATGTTAAATAGCAGTGGTACAAATATGCATTCTTGTCTTGCTCCTGATCTTAGGAGAACAACCATCAGTTTTTTTTACCATTGAGTATGATGTTAGCTGAGGGTTTTTCATAAATGCTGTTTATCATATTGACATAGTTCTCTTCTATTCCTAGTTTGCTGATAATTTTTGTTATGAAAGTGTGTTAAATTTTGTCAGATGCTTTTTTCTGTGTTGATTGAAATGAACATGTGTTCTCTTTTCTTTTCTATGTTCTATTAATGTTGCATTACGTTGGTTAACTTTCTTATTTTGAGCTACTTTTGCATTCCTGGGACAAATCTTAGTTGGTTACAAATGTATAATTCTTTAATATGCTGCTGAATTTGGTTTGCTAGTATTTTGTCAAGGATTTTTCATTTATATTCATAGAGGGTATTGTTCTATAATTTTCTTTTCTCGATATATTCTTCTGGCTTTGGTAATGCTGGCATCCCAGAATGTATTGGAAAGTGTTACTATCTCTTCTGCTTTTTGAGTTTCAATAATATTGGTGTTAATTCTTTAAATGTTTAGTAGAATTCCCCAGAGAAGCCATCTGGTCCAGGTTCTCATTTGGGGATTTTTAATAATTCATTCAATCTCTTTATTTATTATACATCTGTTCAGATTTTCTAATTCTTCTTGAGATACTTTTGGTAGTTTGTGTTTTTAAGGTAATTTGTCCCTTCCCTTCAGGTTATCTAATTTGTTGATATATAATTGTTCATATAATTCTTTTGTAATTCTTTAATTTATGTAATCCTGTAGTAAAGGTCACACTTTTATGTCTGATTGTAGTTATTTGTGCCTTCTTTCTCTTGTTCTTAGTTAAGAGAACCAACTTCAGTTTCATTGATTCTTTGTACTACTTTTCTATCTCTGCCCTTTTATTACTTCTTCCTTCTACTAGTTTGGAGTTTGGTTTGCCATTTTTTTCTAGTTTTTTAAGTTGTTAAGTTAGGTTGTTTATTTGAAATCTCTTTTCTTTTTTTAATATATGCTATAAATATCCCCCTGAACACTGCTTTCACTGCATTCCGTAAGTTTTTGTACATTGGGTTTGGTTTTTGTTTTTATTCATCTTATTTTTTTATTTCCCTAGTGAGTTATTTGGCCCATTGGTTGTTTAAATATGTGTTGTTTAGTTTCCATGCATTTGCAGATTTTTCAGTTTTCCTTCTGTTACTGACTTCTAGTTTTGTTCCATTATGGCCAGAGAAGACACTTTATATGATTTAAATCTTTTTTAAATTTATTGAGGATCTAAAAGAGTGTATCCTGGAGAATGTTTCATGTGTACTTGAGAAGAATGTACATTATGTTGTTGGAAGGAGTGTTCTGTATCTCTCTTTGAGGTATAGTTTATGGTGCTCAAATTCTCTATTTCCATATTGATCTTCTGTTTAGATGTTACATTCACTATTGAAAGTAGGGTATTGAAGTTTCCAAGTTATATTGTAGAACTGCCCATTTCTGTCTTCATTTCTGACAGTTTTTGCTTTCATATATTTTGAGGCTGTATGCAATGTGTGTATGTTTATAATTGTTATATCTTCTTGATGAATTGATTTTTTAAATCAATATAAAATGTCTTTGTTTTTAAAATAATTTTTATCTTAAAATATATTTTGTCAGGTATTGGCATAGCCATTTCAGTTTACTTTTGGTATTATTTGCATGGACTATCTTTTCTCATCCTTCCACTTTGTCTGTTTGTGCCTTTAGATTTAAATTGTCTCTTTTAGGTAGCATAGAGTTAGGTCATATTTTATAAAAATTCAATCTATTTGTGCCTTTAGATTTAAATTGTGTCTCATTTAGGTAGCATAGAGTTGGATCATATTTTATAAAAATTTATTCTGCCAATATCTGCCTTTTAATTGTAATTTAATTCATTTACATTTAAAGTAATAATGATAAAGGAAGGTCTTGCTTCTGACATTTTGCTATCTGTTTTCTATGTGTCATATCTTTTTTGTTTCTCAATTCCTCTATTACTGCCTTCTTTTGTGTTTAATTAATTTTTTCTAGTATACTGTTTTGATTGCCTTTTCTCCTGCTCCTCCTCTTCTTCTTGGAGTATTTTTTAGTTATTTTCTTAGCTGTACTTGCGGATTACAGTCAACATTTAAAATTCATCACAGTCTAGTTTGAATTAATAGCAACTTCTTTTCTTTCTTTTTTTTCTTTTTCGTTTCTTTTTTTTTTTTTTTTTTGAGACAGGGTCTTACTCTGTCACATGAGCTGGAGTGCAGTGGCATGATCTTGGCTTACTGCAACCTCAGCCTCCTGGGCTGCAGCAGTTCTCCCACCTCAGCCTCCCAAGTAGCTAGAACTACAGGTGTACACCACCACGCTCAGCCGACTTCTGTATTTTTTTGTAAAGATGATGTTTCGCCATGTTGCCCAGGCTAGTCTCGAACTCCTGAGCTCAAGCAATCCACCTGCCTCCGACTCCCAAAGTGCTGTGATTACAGACATGAGCCACTGCGCCTGGCCCTTATTTTCAATAGTACACAAAAACTCTGCTATTAATAATTTCATTTCCTTTTACATTTGCATTGTCACAAATTACCACTTTATATATTATGTGCTTATTAACATAGATTTATAATTATTTTTTAGTATTCACATTTTAAATTACATAGAAAACAAAAAGAAGAGTTACAAACCAAAAGTACAATAATACTAGCTATTATATTTACTTACTTAGCTACTTTTACCAGTTTTAAATTTCTTCATTTGGCTTTGAGTTACTATCTCATGTCCTTCATGTCCTGTTTTTTTTTTTTTTTTTTTGAGATGGAGTCTCGCCCTGTCAGCCAGGCTGGAGTGCAATGGCGCGATCTCGGCTCACTGCAACCTCTGCCTCCCGGGTTTAAGTGATTCTTCTGCTTCAGCCTCCTGAGTAGCTGCGAATACAGGCGCATGCCACCACACCCAGCTAATTTTTGTATTTTTAGTAGAGATAGGGGTTCGCCATGTTGGCCAGGCTGGTCTCAGACTCCTGACCTCAGGTGATCCACCTGCCTTGGCTTCCGAAAGTGCTGGGATTACAGGCATGAACCACCGTGCCCATCCCTTTTTTTTTTTTTTTTTTTAAGTTTTAAGGACTCCCTTTTATCATTTCCAGAGAAGTCCTAGTGGTAATGAAGTTCCACAGTTTTGGTTTATCTGGGAATGTGTTAATTTCTCCTTCATTTTTGAAAGGATATTTTGCTGGATATAGAATTCATTATTAACAGTTATTTTTTCCCTTGATCACTTTAAATAGATTATTTCACTGCTTCCTGGCCTCCACAGTTTTTGATGAGAAATTAGTTGTTAACCTTATTGAGATTCCCTTGTGTATAACAAGTTGCTTTGTTTTGCTGTTTTCAAGATTCTGTTTTTGTCATTTGACAGTTTGTTCATAATGTGTCTCAGTATGGAGCCCTTTGTGTTTTTCTTATTTAGCATTTTTTGAGCTTCTTGGATGTGTAGGTTCATGTATCATCTGGTTTGTCATGTTATTGACATTATTCCTTAAAATATTCTTTATCTCTCATCTTCTTCTGGCATCCTATTTTGCAATTTTTTTTTTTTTGAGACATGGTCTCACTCCATCATTCAGGCTGGAGGGCAGTGGTGTGATCATGGCTCACTGTGGCCTCAACCTTTTGGGCTCAAGTGATCTTCTCACCTCAGCTTCCTGAGTAGCTGAGATTATAGGCACACACCAGCACCCCCAGCTAATTTTTGTATTTTTTGTAGAGACACGGTCTCACTATGTTGCTCATGCTGGCCTTGAACTCCTGGGCTCAACCAGTCCTCCTGCCTCAGCCTCCCAAAGTACTAGGATTAAAGGTATGAACCACCATGCCCTGCCTTGCATATGTTATACTTGATGGTTCCCCACAGGTCCCTTATGCTCTGTTCTTTTTTTTTGACAAGAGTTTCACTCTGTTGTCCAGGCTGGAGTGCAGTGGCACGATCTTGGCTCACTGCAACCTCCCCCTCCGAGGTTCAAGCGATTCTCCTGTGTCAACCTCCTGAGTAGCTGGGATTATAAACGCCCACCACCACATCTGGCTAATTTTGTTTTTTTTTGTTTTTTTTTTTTTGTAGAGATGGGGTTTCACCATGTTGGCCAGGCTGGTCTTGATCTTCTGACCTCAAGTGATCTGCCCACATTGGCCTCCTGAAGCATTGGGATTACAAGCATGAGCCACAATGCCCAGCCTGCCCTGTTCATTTTTCTTTATTTTTTCCATCTTTGCCCCTCAGATTGTATCATTCCCATTGCACCATTTTTAAGTTCTTTGAGTCTTCTTTTTACCTGCTCAAATTTGCTGTTGAATGCCTCTAGTGAATTTTTTACTGTAGTTAGTATACTTTTCAGCTCCAGAATTTTTATTTGTTTTCTATTTATAACTTCTATTTTTAAAAACTGATACTCACTACTTGATCATATATCATTCTTTTGTTATCTTTTAGTTTTTTTTATCCAGAGTTCCTTTAGCTCTTCAACATATTTAAGACAATTTAAAGCTTTTTTCCAGCAAGCACCATGTCATGTCACTGTTTCCTCAAGGATTTTTTCTTTAAATTTTATTTTTTCTGTAAGTGAGCCATGTGTTCCTATTTATTTGTATGCCTTGCAAACAGGACTTTGTAAATATTGTAATGTGGCGACTGTGGAAGTCAGAAGTTTCCCCTTCCCAGAGAATGCTGTTGTTGTCTTGTGAGGCTGCAGTTATTTGTTTATTTAGTGAATTTTCCATACTATGTTTAAAAAGCTATATTCTTTGTTATATATGATCTGGAGGTCAGTGTTCTGTTAACTTCATGGTCAGCCAATGATCAAACGGAGATGTCTGTAAATGTCTGATCTAGCAAGAAAATAAAAGAAATAAAAGGGTTTTCTGTCCTTAAATTTTTTTTGATAGAGACTTCCTGGGAAGCTGCTTCAGATTAATGAGGTTTAAACAATGTCCAGACCCTGTGCCAGTCCCTCAGTGTATTGCCAGGCAGATAAAAACACATACCCTGAGTTTTGGAGGGCAATGTTATTATTGCCCATTTTGGCAACATTCAGTTGCACCAAGAATACAGGCTGCTGTCCCCATGGCTGCCTGCTGTGTGGTTGGAGGATTGGAGGGTAGGGGGTGATGGTAGGTGCTATGTAAAACACTAAAATTTATCAAAATTTACCAGCCTCTTTCTTCACCAAGCACTCACCTGGATGCTGCCATTGTTTGACTAGACTGCAGTTTTAAAATAGTGGAATTTGAGTTTTTTAGCTCCACAGGGAGCTTCCTATTGTGCTATTCTCTGTAACTTCACTCCAAGCTATGTTTTCAAATGCATTATGCTAATTTTGTCTTTTAATTTGTGTATTTAAGTCATTTACCTGTAATTTAATTATTGATATGTCTTTTATTTTATTATTTGTTCTTCTGCTTTTCATTTCTTTATTTCACTTTTCTTGCCTTCCTGTTGGTTACTTGAAATTATTTAGCATTCCATTTTGGCTTATCTTTTGAGTTTATAAATGTATTTCTTTTTACTAGTGGTTTTCTACATATTAAATTATATATACATAACTTATCATAGTCTTTACTGATGTCAATGTTTTACCAGTTCATGTACAGTGTAGATACCTTACTTCCACTTGAGACTTTTTTATGCCCCCTTTATAATATAGTCGCTCTAAATACTTAGTCTGTATACATTGAGAACTATATCAAACACTGTAATTTTTACTTTAATTAACAAAATTTAGAAAACTCAAGAGGAGAAGGGTAATCTATTATATCTATCCATATTTTTACTCTTTTCATCATTCTCTCTTCATTCCTGATGTTCCAAATTTTCTTCTTTTATCATTTCTTTTCTTTTTGGACAGCTTCTTTTAGCCATTTTTTGTTGTTGTTGTTGAGTAGGTCTGCTAGTAACAGTTCTTTTGTTATTTTCTTTTAGTCTGAGAATGTCTTGATTTTTCTTCTATTACTGAAGAATAATCTTACTATGTTTATAATTCTTAGTTGACGTTTTTTTTTGTTCTCTTTTTCCCCCCAGCACTTGAAAAATGTGCAATTTCCTTTTGGCCTTCATGGTTTCTGATAAAAAAAATTAACTTTCATTTCGATCATTCTTCTATAATTACTATATTATTTCTCTCTTAACTGTTTTCAATATTTTTTCTTTTTCTTTAGGTTTTTAAAATTTGAATATGATGTGTCTTTGCATGAATTTTTATGGGTTTAGTCATTTGTGATTTGCTTAGTTTCTTGAATATGTAAGTTTGCATATTTTTTTTGCTAGATTTGGGAATTTTTTAAACCATTATTTTTAGGAATACCTTTTCTTTTTTTTTTTTTTTGTTAGAAACTAGTTTAATAATCTAAAATAGGAAATACCTCTTCCTAGAAGGGAAGTTTACATAAGACCAGAAATAACAAGAGCTATAAATTAAGACAAGAAAGCAACTTGGTGAATATTCAGTATTTGAACAAAGAAGGATCCCCAAGGAAAAGCCTTTTCCAATTTTTGGATAGTCTTGTTTAGATAGGGGTCCTCTCCTCTTAACCATGATTCTGTTTCTTTCTTTCTGATAGTCTTTCAAAATGCTCCAAATTTCTTTCTTAATATTTTGGGTTTCAACAACTTTTTTTTTCGCACCAAACATTCCAGATTGTTTCATTAAAACACATTTATTAAACATGCATAACAATAATAGCCAATATTTATTGAAGGTTTATGTGCCAGGTACTATTCTAAATGCCTTTACCCCTTATATATACTCTGTAAAATAGATATTTTTATCGCCTTTTTTTCAAATGAGTGAGACACATGGAAACTAGATATCTTACCGAAGATTACACAATTAGGAAAGGTCGTTCTAGAATGTGTGCTGTTAAGCTAGGAATACCGTTTCAATTTCACACTCTTTATATTCCCTTTTTGGGACTCTGATGATATGAATATTAGATATTTTATTATTTTCCTACAAGTCCGTTAATGTCTGTTCATTTTTTTCCTAATTTCTTTATTGTTCAGATTGGACAGGTTGTTTTCATTCTTTTTATTTATTTATCTTTTGAGATGGGGGTCTCACTCTGTTGCCCAAGTGGAGTACAGTGGCATGATCATAGCTCACTGCAGCTTTCAACTCCTGGGCTCAAGCAATCCTCTCACCTGAGCTTCCCAAGGAGCTGGGATTACAGGTGCATGCCACTGTGCCCAGATAATTTAAAAAATTTTTTTTGTAGAGACAGGTTCTTGCTTTGTTGCCCAGGCTGGTCTTAAACTCATGGCTTCAAGTGATCCTCCCGCCTTGGCCTCCCAAAGTGTTGGGATTACAGGCATGAGCCACTGTAGCTAGTCAGTTTTTCTGTTCTATCTTAAAGCTGACTAATTCTTTCCTCTGTCATATTTATTCTGCTATTGAGCCCACTATTTGAAACTTTTAGTTATTATATTTTTAGTTATTGTATTTTTTAATTCTAAAATTTGCATTTCTTTTTCTTTTTTTTATTATTATACCTTAAGTTTTAGGGTACATGTGCACAATGTGCATGTTAGTTACATATGTATACATGTGCCATGTTGGTGTGGTGCACCCAGTAACTTGTCATTTAACATTAGGTATATCTCCAAATGCTATCCCTCCCCCCTCCCCCAACCCCACAACAGGCCCCGGTGTGTGATGTTCCCCTTCTTGTGTCCATGTGTTCTCATTGTTCAATTCCCACCTATGAGTGAGAACACGCGGTGTTTGGTTATTTGTCCTTGTGATAGTTTGCTGAGAATGATGGTTTCCAGCTTCATCCATCTCCTTACAAAGGACATGAACTCATCATTTTTTGTGGCTGCATAGTATTCCATGGTGTATATGTGCCATATTTTCTTAATCCAGTCTATCATTGTTGGACATTTGGGGTGGTTCCAAGTCTTTGCTATTGTGAATAATGCCGCAATAAACATATGTGTGCGTGTGTCTTTATAGCAGCATGATTTATAATCCTTTGGGTATACACCCAGTAATGGGATTGTTGGGTCAAATGGTATTTCTGGTTCTAGATCCCTGAGGAATCACCACACTGACTTCCACAATGGTTGAACTAGTTTACAGTCCCAGCCACAGTATAAAAGTGTTCCTATTTCTCCACATCCTCTCCAGCACCTGTTGTTTCCTGACTTTTTAATGATTGCCATTCTAACTGGTGTGAGATGGTATCTCATTGTGGTTTTGATTTTCATTTCTCTGATGGCTAGTGATGATGAGCATTTTTCATGTGTCTTTTGGCTGCATAAATGTCTTCTTTTGGGAAGTGTCTGTTCATATCCTTTGCCCACTTTTTGATGGGGTTGTTTGTTTTTTTCTTGTAAATTTGTTTGAGTTCATTGTAGATTGTGGATATTAGCCATTTGTCAGATGAGTAGATTGCAAAAATTTTCTCCTATTCTGTAGGTTGCCTGTTCACTCTGATGGTAGTTTATTTTGCTGTGCAGAATCTCGAAGATCCCATTTGTCAATTTTGGCTTTTGTTGCCATTGCTTTTGGTGTTTTAGACATGAAGTCTTTACCCGTGCCTATGTCCTGAATGGTATTGCCTAGGTTTTCTTCTAGGGTTTTTATGGTTTTAGGTCTAACATTTAAGTCTTTAATCCATCTTGAATTAATTTTTGTATAAGGTGTAAGGAAGGGATCCAGTTTCAGCTTTCTACATATGGCTAGCCAGTTTTCCCAGCACCATTTATTAAATAGGGAATCCTTTCCCCATTGCTTGTTTTTGTCAGGTTTGTCAAAGATCAGATGTTTGTAGATATGCAGCATTATTTCTGAGGGCTCTGTTCTGTTCCATTGGTCTATATCTCTGTTTTGGTACCAGTACCATGCTGTTTTGGTTACTGTAGCCTTATAGTATAGTTTGAAGTCAGGTAGCATGATGCCTCCAGCTTTGTTCTTTTGGCTTAGGATTGACTTGGCAATGCGGGCTCTTTTTTGGTTCCATATGAACTTTAAAGTAGTTTTTTCCAATTCTGTGAAGAAAGTCATTGGTAGCTTGATGGGGATGGCACTGAATCTATAAATTACCTTGGGCAGTATGGCTATTTTCACAATATTGATTCTTCCTACCCATGAGCATGGAATGTTCTTCCATTTTTTTGTATCCTCTTTTATTTCCTTCAGCAGTGTTTTGTAGTTCTCCTTGAAGAGGTCCTTCACGTCCCTTGTAAGTTGGATTCCTAGGTATTTTATTCTCTTTGAAGCAATTGTGAATGGGAGTTCACTTATGATTTGGTTCTCTGTTTGTCTGTTATTGGTATATAAGAATGCCTGTGATTTTTGCACATTGATTTTGTATCCTGAGACTCTGCTGAAGTTGCCTATCAGCTTAAGGAGATTTTGGGCTGAGACGATGGGGTTTTCTAGATATACAATCATGTCATCTGCAAACAGGGACAATTTGACTTCCTGTTTTCCTAATTGAATACTCTTTATTTCCTTCTCCTGCGTGATTGCCCTGGCCAGAACTTCCAACACTATGTTGAATAGGAGTGGTGAGAGAGGGAATCCTAGTCTTGTGCCAGTTTTCAAAGGGAATGCTTCCAATTTTGCCCATTCAGTATGATATTGGCTGTGGGTTTGTCACAGATAGCTCTTATTATTTTGAGATACGTCCCATCAATACCTAATTTATTGAGAGTTTTTAGCATGAAGGGTTGCTGAATTTTGTCAAAGGCCTTTTCTGCATCTATTGAGATAATCATATGGTTTTTGTTGTTGGTTCTGTTTATAGGCTGGATTATGTTTATTGATTGCGTATGTTGCGTAAGTGGCCTTGCCTCCCAGGGATGAAGCCCACTTGATCATGGTGGATAAGCTTTTTGATGTGCTGCTGGAGTCGGTTTGCCAGTATTTTTTTGAGGATTTTTGCATCGATGTTCATCAGGGATATTGGTCTAAAATTCTCTTTTTTTATTGTGTCTCTGCCAGGCTTTGGTATCAGGATGATGCTGGCCTCATAAAATGAGTTAGGGAGGATTCCCTTTTTTTTCTATTGATTGGAATAGTTTCAGAAGGAATGGTAGAAGGTGCTCCTTGTACCTCTGTATTTCCTGAATTTGAATGTTGGCCTGCCTTGCTAGATTGGGGAAGTTCTCCTGGATAATATCCTGCAGAGTGTTTTCCAACTTGGTTCCATTCTCTCTGTCACTTTCAGGTACACCAATCAGACGTAGATTTGGTCTTTTCACATAGTCCCATATTTCTTGGAGGCTTTGTTCATTTCTTTTTATTCTTTTTTCTCTAAACTTCTCTTCTTACTTCATTTCATTCATTTGCTCTTCCATCACTGATACCCTTTCTTCCAATTGATTGAATTGGCTACTGAGGCTTGTGCATTCATCACATAGTTCTCCTGCCTTGGTTTTCAGCTACATCAGGTCCTTCAAGGACTTCTCTGCATTGGTTATTCTAGTTAGCCATTCGTCTAATATTTTTTCAAGGTTTTTAACTTCTTTGCCATGGGTTCAGACTTCCTCCTTTAGCTCAGAGTAGTTTGATTTTCTGAAGCCTTCTTCTCTCAACTCGTCAAAGTCATTCTCTGTCCAGCTTTGTTCCGTTGCTGGTGAGGAGCTGCGTTCCTCAGTTGAAAATGCAGAAATCACCCATCTTCTGCATCGCTGACGCTGGGAGCTGTAGACTGGAGCTGGTCCTATTCGGCCATCTTGGGTCCACCCCCTTCTTTTTCTTATATCTTCTATATATATATATATGCATATATATATATATTTTTTTTTTGCTGAAGCTTTCTGTTTTTTTTTTAATTTGTTTAGAACATGTCTTTAATTAGTTGTTGAAGCATTTTTATGATGGCTGCTTCAAAATCCTTGTCAGGAATTCTAACATCTGTGTTATCTCTGTTTTGGCATGTTTGGATGATCTTTTCTCATTCAAGTTAAGATTTCCCTGGTTTATGGTATGATGAATTGTTGTTTTATTGTATCCTGGATGCTTTTGGGCATTATTTTGTCAGACTCAGCATCCTATTTTACAGACAGTCTTCATATTTAGATAAGTGCATAGGTCCAGGGGCGAGTAGATATTCAGCTCCTCACTGAGTTCTGCTGACACAATCCTGGCAAAAGAAGAAAACTGCCTCACACTATCTTATTGCTGATAGGTGAGGGTGAAAGTTCAGTTTCCCACTTACCCCTGATGACATCTCCCCAGCATAAGTGAAGTACCAGCTATGAAAGTGTATCATGAAGCAGAAGCAAAGAACTCAGAGAAGGGATTGCCACACAAGAAATGAGGCGTATTAGTTTTCTATTCCTACTGTGACAAATCACCACAAATTTAGTGGCTTAAAGCAACACAAAATTTTATTTTACATTTCTGTATGTCAGAAATCTAATTCAGATACCACTGGACTGAAACCAAGATGTTGGCAGGCTACATTCCTTTTTGGTGGCTGATATGGTTTGTCTGTGTCCCCACCCAAATCTCCTCTTGAATTGTAATAATCTCCATGTGTCAAGGGTGGGGCCAGGTAGAGGTAATTGAATCACGGAGATAGTTTTCCCCATAATGTTTTCCTGGTAGTGAATAAGTCTCACAAGATCTGTTGGTTTTATAAATGGGAGTTCCCCTGCAGAAGCTCACAAGCTCTCTTGCCTGCTGCCATATAAGATGTGTCTTACTTCTTTGCCTTCTACCATGATTGTGAGGGCCCCCCAGCCATGTGGAGCTGTGAGTCAATTAAACCTCTTTCCTTTATAAATTACTGAGTCTTGGGTATGTCTTTATTAGCAGCATGAGAACAGACTAATACAGAGACTCTAGAGGAGATTTCATTTCCTGCTTATTTGGATTATTAGAAGAATTCAGTTCTTTGAGATTATAGGATTGAGGTTCCCATTTTCTTACTATAAACTGAAGGCTGTTTCCACTTTCTAGGGGCTACTGCTTTGCTTGGCCTGTGGTTCCTATACTTCATTTTTAAAGGTTGGAACAACAGATCAAATCCTTCTTACATAGCATCTCTCTGACCCACCCTTCTTCTGTATTGTATTTGTAAAGATTCATGTAGTTACATTGGGTCCACCAAGAAAATCCAAGATATCTCCATTTCAAGGTCTCTAACATTATTCACACCTGAAAAGTCCCTTTTGTCATGTAATGTAACATAGTCATAGGTTCCAGTAGTTGGGATGTAGACATCTTTGGAGGGCCATCACTTTGCCTACCACAGGAAGTCTGAAGAAAGAAAGATGGGTCTTATTATAAAGGTATTAATTAAAGATAACAACTAGAGAAAAATTACTGACCTTCCTAAATATCAGAAAAAGTACAAAAATAAAAGAACAAAGACAATTGTGAAATGTTTTTAAAAATATGATATTGGATTGAATCAAATAAGCCATAAATAGACACATCCTAATTTCAGAGATGGTCAAAGGGGAAAAATGAACAAAAGTGATTGTAAAACATTAGTTGTAGGACACAAATCAAAATCAGGGATCTCAAAATGTGAAAAAAAAACATGTTTTTAAGAATAGATATACAGGACACATAAACTAAGCTCAGACAAATTACAACAATAAATGTAAAATAGCTTACCTCAACTATAAAAAGAAAACTTTGCAGATCTTACAAAGCAAAAACCACCCCATGCTATGCATAAGATACACTTAAAGTGATTAAGAAAGGAGGAAAATTAAAAGTTGGGCATTAACATTAAAAAATTTAAATAAGTAAAAAATTAATATTAGCATTAAAAAAGAAAACATTTTCTTAATCCAGTCTATCATTGTTGGACATTTGGGTTGGTTCCAAGTCTTTGCTATTGTGAGTTCATATCCTTTGTAGGGACATGGATGAAATTGGAAATCATCATTCTCAGTAAACTATCGCAAGAACAAAAAGCCAAACACCGTATATTCTCACTCATAGGTGGGAATTGAACAATGAGATCACATGGACACATGAAGGGGAATACCACACTCTGCGGACTGTGGTGGGGTCGGGGGAGGCGGGAGGGATAGCACTGGGAGATATACCTAAGGCTAGATGACGAGTTAGTGGGTGCAGCGCACCAGCATGGCACATGTATACATATGTAACTAACCTGCACAATGTGCACATGTACCCTAAAACTTAAAGTATAATTTAAAAAAAAAAAAAAGAAAACAGCTGGGCGCGGTGGCTCACGCCTGTAATCCCAGCACTTTGGGGGGCCGAGGAGGGCGGATCACGAGGTCAAGAGATTGAGACCATCCTGGCTAACACGGTGAAACCCCGTCTCTACTAAAAAAAATACAAAAAAATTAGCTGGGCGTGGTGGTGGGCGCCTATAGTCCCAGCTACTTGGGAGGCTGGGGCAGGAGAATGGCGTGAACCCAGGAGGTGGAGCTTGCAGTGAGCGGAGATCGAGCCACTGCACTCCAGCCTGGGGGACTGAGCAAGACTCTGTCTCAAAAAAAAAAAAAAAAAAAAAAAAAAAAAGCCAGAATTTTGATATCACAGAAAAATATTTCAAACCAAAAAATTATGAAATAAGACAGAGGTGGGCCCTCATAATGTTAAATGCTACAATTCACAATGAAGATATAACAGTTGTGAACATCTATGTCCCAAAAAACCCAACAACAAATTACAGGATATACAAGAAGAAATAGAAGTACATTAAAAATAGGAGTGATTATCACACTTTCTCTTGTCTCAAGATTGATCTAGCAGTTACAAATTAAAGACAGAAAACAAAAACAATATAACAAGAAAGTTATGTCTTACAGATAAGTATGGAGCTTTCTGTCTTGGAAATAGGAAATACGTCTTTATTTTCAATGAAAATTAATTATTAATATATGATAAGCCACAAATGAAACCTTAATAAAATCCAAATATAGAAATTTTAGTAACATTATCTGATTATAGTACAACAATATTAGAAAGTAATAACAAAATTAGAAAACCTAAAGGCGCTTAATTGAAAAAATAAAACCAAGGTGTAGAATAGAATATATAATGCTACATTTTTTGAAAGAAGATTAAAAATATGCACATATTTAGAGCATGATGGTAGAATAGGAGGTCCCAGGCTTTAATACCCCCCACAGAAAGTTTAACTAGCAACTATCCACAGATAGAAAAGCCTGAGTCAGCTGCATGGCTAACAGAATGTAATAAAAACTGCATGGAAAGGGTAAGAGAAATGATCTTCCTTTGACCACATCATCCTTTCCCTCTCCCAAGTTGGCAGAGTGTCACACAGGATTCACCAGGGACCACAGTTTCTATAGAGAAAAAAGAGAGCAAGAGATGGATATCCAGCTTTCCTAGCATTCCAAGACATTTCCAAGGAAGCCCACTTCGGTCTCACCTCATGGAGAATACAGGAGGAGATATCATGGCTAGACCACCTGAAGTCAGGTAGAAACAAAGCAAGGAGGTAGAGTTCACAGCCCCAAACACACCTTAGACTCTGCCCAGGTTGAGAGACAACTGCTGCAGTGAATTACCACAAAGAATAAGGGGTAGATCTGCCCCTGCTGAGTTTGAGCAGTGCTCAGTTCAACCTCAAAGTCACCCCAAGGCCCCACCTAGGCAGGGAGGCAATCCTCAACCATGTATTTCTACAGATCATAACAGCTGGTCTCATCCACTCAATCAGCAACTCCACTTAATCTCTGTGGCTCTCCTGTAACCCTGTCCAATTGCTGAACTCAAATAGTGGTACCATCTGACCAGGGAAGGTACTTTGTGGTTCAGCCTGATCAGAGGTGATTGCAGTGTCCATCCAGCACCTCAGCCTGATTGCACTGCTCAGCCAGTGCTTTTATTGGATAGCAGAGCCCAGCCAGTGGCCCCATCCAAAGTCAGAGCAAAGGCAGCTGCGCAGCCATCTAGAGAACCCAAAGCAAGCTCTGCCGGCCCAGAATTGTTACCAGTTGGCTCATCCAGAATCACAGACTAAACTAAATAGTGAAGATCTAGCCTTGCCTAAGAACAGCTGTGACAGCCAGAAAAGGTGGCTGTCTCCTGAAGTTTACAGATACCAATGTGAAAAACACAGATATTACAAAGACTCAAGAAATCATGATACAGCCAAAAGAAACTAACAAAGCCCCATCAGTGGACCCTAAAGAAAGAGATATTTATGAAATGACAAGGAATTCAGAATAATCCTCTTAAAGAAGTTTAGTGAACTACAAGAATATAGTAGTTCACTCTTATCTGCAGAGGATATGTTTCAAGATATTCAGTGGATGCGTGAAACTGTGGCTAGTACTGCACCCTATATATCCTATATTTTCTTTTATACATACATACATACCTATGTAAAGTTTAATTTATAAATTGGGAACAGTAAGAGATTAACAACAATAACAAAATGAAATAAAACAATTATAACAATATGGTGGCATCTCTACTCTTGCACTTAGGGTCATTATTAAGTAAAATAAGAGTTACTTGAACACAAGCACAGCAATACTGCAACAGTCAAGCTGATAATTGGGATAGCTACTGAGGGACTAATGAGCAGATAGCATATACAGCATGCTGCACTGGACAAAGGGATGATTCAGGTCCTAGGAAAGATGGAGTCATACAGCACAAGCACAAGATTTTATTATGCTACTCAGAATGGTGCATAATTTAAACTTATGAAGTATTTATTCTGGAATTTTTCACTGAATATTTTTAGACCACAGTCAACCACTGGTAACTGAAATCATGAAAAGTGAAACTGCAGATAAGAGAGAACTACTGTATAGTAATAAAATATTAAATGAAATTTGGAAAACAATGCAGAAACAAAATGAACAGTTTAACAAAACATAGAAGCAATTCAAAATAAAACAAATATAAATACTAGAGATAAACCAAACTGGAAAATGTAATAGAAAGCTTCAAAAGCAGGCTTGATCAAGCTGAAGAAATAATCAGTGAGTTCAAAGACAGAATATTTGAAATTATCCAGTCAGAGGAGTAGAAAGAATAAACAAATGAAAAAGATTGAAAAAGGCCTATGGCAATTATGGGATAACATCATATAGAAGTTAAAGATGGAGAAGGAAGAGAAAAAAGACCAGAAAGCATATTTAAAGAAACAATGGCAGAATTATTCACAATAACATAAACATGAAATCAACCTAGGTGTCCATCAAAGAACATAACTTCATCTTTTTTTATGGCTAGGTAAAAATTAAAGAAAAAAGTGGTGCATATACAGCATGGAATACTACACAGCCATAAAAAGAATGAACTCACATTCTTTACAGCAACATGGATGCAACTGGAGGCCATTATCCTAAGTGAATTAGCATAGGAACAGAAAACCCAATACTACATGTTCTCACTAGTGGGAGGTAAACATTGGGTACACATGGACATAAAGATGTGAAAAATAAACATTGGGGACTACTAGAGCAGGGAGGATGGAAGTGGGGCAAGGCTGAAAAAACTACCTATTGGGTACCATGCTCACTACCTGGGTGACAGGATCATTCATGCCCCCAAACCTCAGTGTCACACAATATACCTATGTAACAAACCTGCACATGTACCCTTTGAATCTAAAATAAAAGTTGAAATTGTAAAAAAAAAGGTGGAAAACTTCACTAATCTGGGAAAAGATACTAGCATCCAGGTATAGAAAGCAGAAAGGTCTCAATGAAATTTAACTCAAAGGGAATTCACTAAGAGACATAATAATCAAACTATCAAAAATCAAAAACAAAATATTCTAAGAGCCTCCAGGGATAAGAAACAGATCACATACAAAGGAGACCAAATACAATCATTAGTGAATTTCTCAGCAGAAACTCTGGAAGCCAGGAGACAGTGGGGTTATATAGTCAAAGTGCTGAAGGAGGGGAAAAAAAAAACTTCCTGCTAACTAAGAATATTTTACCCAGTACAGCTGTCTTTCTGAAATGAGGGAGAAATAAAAACTTGCTCAGATGAAAAAATGAAGGGAGCTTATCACCACCAGGCCTGCCTTATAGAAACTGCTTTAAGCTTAAACAAGAGACCACTTATTAATAATGTAAAACTTACAAAAGCACATAACACAATGGTAATACACAGCCATATTTAGAATACTCTAGGAAATGTAATGGTGGTGGGTGTGTAAAGCAATTTTATCCTTAGTATGAGGGTTAAAATACAAAACTATTAATAATAATTATAGCTAAAATAAAATTCCAAGAAAACCATATTATGGAATGATAGAAATTCTGGTATCAAAAACATAAAATGTAGAAGGGGGAATGAAAGTGTCCAGTTATTTTATACGATCAAAGTTAAGTTGTTATTAGCTTGAAATAGAATGTTATATTCTATTTAAGCCTTATGGTAACCACAAATCAAAAATCTACAGTAGATGCACAAGACAAAAATAGAAGGTTTCAAAGCACACCACTACAGAAAACCATCAAACCATAAAGGAAGGCAGCAAGAGAGGAAGAAAGAAACAAAGTATCTATAAAACAACCAGAAAATGAGCTCCGGTCTACAGCTCCCAGCGTGAGTGACACAGAAGACGGCTGATTTCTGCATTTCCATCTGAGCTTTGAAGAGAGCAGTGGTTCTCCCAGTACGCAGCTGGAGATCTGAGAACAGGCAGACTGCCTCCTCAAGTGAGTCCCTGACCCCTGACCCCCGAGCAGCCTAACTGGTAGGCACCCCCCAGCAGGGGCAGACTGACACCTCACAGGGCCGGGTACTCCAACAGACCTGCAGCTGAGGGTCCTGTCTGTTAGAAGGAAAACTAACAAACAGAAAGGTCATCCACACCAAAAACCCATCTGTACATCACCATCATCAAAGACCAAAAGTAGATAAAACCACAAAGATGGGGAAAAAACAGAGCAGAAAAACTGGAAACTCTAAAAAGCAGAGCACCTCTCCTCCTCCAAAGGAACGCAGTTCCTCACCAGCAACGGAACAAAGCTGGACGGAGAATGACTTTGACGAGCTGAGAGAAGGCTTCAGATGATCAAATTACTCAAATTACTCTGAGCTACGGGAGGACATTCAAACCAAAGGCAAAGAAGTTGAAAACTTTGAAAAAAATTTAGAAGAATGTATAACTAGAATAACCAATACAGAGAAGTGCTTAAAGTAGCTGATGGAGCTGAAAACCAAGGCTCGAGAACTACGTGAAGAATGCAGAAGCCTCAGGAGCCGATGCGATCAACTGGAAGAAAGGGTATCAGCGATGGAAGATGAAATGAATGAAATGAATCGAGAAGGGAAGTTTAGAGAAAAAAGAATAAAAAGAAACGAGCAAAGCCTCCAAGAAATATGGGACTATGTGAAAAGACCAAATCTTCATCTGATTGGTGTACCTGAAAGTGACGGGGAGAACGGAACCAAGTTGGAAAACATTCTGCAGGATATTATCCAGGAGAACTTCCCCAATCTAGCAAGGCAGGCCAACATTCAGATTCAGGAAATACAGAGAACGCCACAAAGATACTCCTTGAGAAGAGCAACACCAAGACACATAATTGTCAGATTCACCAAAGTTGAAATGAAGGAAAAAATGTTAAGGGCAGCCAGAGAGAAAGGTCGGGTTACCCTCAAAGGGAAGCCCATCAGACTAACAGCAGATCTCTCAGCAGAAACTCTACAAGCCAGAAGAGAGTGGGGGCCAATATTCAACATTCTTAAAGAAAAGAATTTTCAACCCAGAATTTCATATCCAGCCAAACTAAGCTTCATAAGTGAAGGAGAAATAAAATCCTTTACAGACAAGCAAATGCTGAGAGATTTTGTCACCACCAGGCCTGCCCTAAAAGAGCTCCTGAAGGAAGCACTAAACATGGAAAGGAACAACTGGTACCAGCCGCTGCAAAATCATGCCAAAATGTAAAGACCATCGAAACCAGGAAGAAACTGCATCAACTAACGAGCAAAATAACCAGCTAACATCATAATGACAGGATCAAATTCACACATAACAATATTAACTTTAAATGTAAGTGGACTAAATGCTCCAATTAAAAGACACAGACTGGCAAATTGGATAAAGAGTCAAGACCCATCAGTGTGCTGTATTCAGGAAACCCATCTCACGGGCAGAGACACACATAGGCTCAAAATAAAAGGATGGAGGAAGATCTACCAAGCAAATGGAAAACAAAAAAAGGCAGATGTTGCAATCCTAGTCTCTGATAAAACAGACTTTAAACCAACAAAGATCAAAAGAGACAAAGAAGGCCATTACTTAATGGTAAAGGGATCAATTCAACAAGAAGAACTAACTATCCTAAATATATATGCACCCAATACAGGAGCACCCAGATTCATAAAGCAAGTCCTGAGTGACCTACAAAGAGACTTAGACTCCCACACATTAATAATGGGAAACTTTAACACCCCACTGTCAACATTAGACAGATCAATGAGACAGAAAGTCAACAAGGATACCCAGGGATTGAACTCAGCTCTGCACCAAGTGGACCTAATAGACATCTACAGAACTCTGCACCCCAAATCAACAGAATATACATTTTTTTCAGCACCACACCACACCTATTCCAAAATTGGCCACATACTTGGAAGTAAAGCTCTCCTCAGCAAATGTAAAAGAACAGAAATTATAACAAACTATCTCTCAGACCACAGTGCAATCAAACTAGAACTCAGGATTAAGAATCTCACTCAAAACCGCTCAACTACATGGAAACTGAACAACCTGCTCCTGAATGACTACTGGGTACATAACGAAATGAAGGCAGAAATAAAGATGTTCTTTGAAACTAACGAGAACAAAGACACAACATACCAGAATCTCTGGGACGCATTCAAAGCAGTGTGTAGAGGGAAATTTATAGCACGAAATGCCCACAAGAGAAAGCAGGAAAGATCCAAAATTGACACCCTAACATCACAATTGAAAGAACTAGAAAAGCAAGAGCAAACACATTCAAAAGCTAGCAGAAGGCAAGAAATAACTAAAATCAGAGCAGAACTGAAGGAAATAGGGACACAAAAAAACCTTCAAAAAATTAATGAATCCAGGAGCTGGTTTTTTGAAAGGATCAACAAAATTGATAGACCGCTAGCAAGACTAATAAAGAAGAAAAGACAGAAGAATCAAATAGGCGCAATAAAAAATGATAAAGGGGATATCACCACCGATCCCACAGAAATACAAACTACCATCAGAGAATACTACAAACACCTCTATGCAAATAAACTAGAAAATCTAGAAGAAATGGATAAATTCCTCGACACATACACTCTCCCAAGACTAAACTAGGAAGAAGCTGAATCTCTGAATAGACCAATAACAGGATCTGAAATTGTGGCAATAATCAATAGCTTACCAACGAAAAAGAGTCCAGGACCAGATGGATTCACAGCCGAATTCTACCAGAGGTACAAGGAGGAACTGGTACCATTCCTTCTGAAACTATTCAAATCAATAGAAAAAGATGGTATCCTCCCTAACTCATTTTATGAGGCCAGCATCATCCTGATACCAAAGCCGGGCAGAGACACAACCAAAAAAGAGAATTTTAGACCAATATCCTTGATGAACATTGATGCAAAAATCCTCAATAAAATACTGGCAAACCGAATCCAGCAGCACATCAAAAAGCTTATCCACCATGATCAAGTGGGCTTCATCCCTGGGATGCAAGGCTGGTTCAATATACGCAAATCAATAAATGTAATCCAGCATATAAACAGAACCAAACACAAAAACCACATGATTATCTCAATAGATGCAGAAAAGGCCTTTGACAAAATTCAACAACCCTTCATGCTAAAAACTCTCAATAAATTAGGTATTGATGGGACGTATCTCAAAATAATAAGAGCTATCTATGACAAACCCACAGCCAATATCATACTGAATGGGCAAAAACTGGAAGCATTCCCTTTGAAAACTGGCACAAGACTAGGATGCCCTCTCTCACCACTCCTATTCAACATAGTGTTGGAAGTTCTGGCCAGGGCAATTAGGCAGGAAAAGGAAATAAAAGGTATTCAATTAGGAAAACAGGAAGTCAAATTGTTCCTGTTTGCAGATTACATGATTGTATATCTAGAAAACCCCATTGTCTCAGCCCAAAATCTCCTTAAGCTGATAAGCAACTTCAGCAAATCTTAAGATACAAAATCAATGTACAAAAATCACAAGCATTCTTATACACCAATAACAGACAAACAGAGAGCCAAATCATGAGTGAACTCCCATTCACAATTGCTTCAAAGAGAATAAAATACCTAGGAATCCAACTTATAAGGGACGTGAAGGACCTCTTCAAGGAGAACTACAAACCACTGCTGAAGGAAATAAGAGAGGATACAAACAAATGGAAGAACATTCCATGCTCATGGGTAGGAAGAATCAATATTGTGAAAATGGCCATAGGGTCCAAGGTAATTTACAGATACAATGCCATCCCCATCAAGCTACCAATGACTTTCTTCACAGAATTGGAAAAAACTACTTTAAAGTTCATATGGAACCAAAAAAGAGCCTGCATCGCCAAGTCAATCCTAAGCCAAAAGAACAAAGCTGGAGGCATCACACTACCTGACTTCAAACTATACTACAAGGCTACAGTAACCAAAACAGCATGGTACTGGTACCAAAACAGAGATATAGATCAATGGAACAGAACAGAGCCCTCAGAAATAACGCCACATATCTACAACTATCTGATCTTTGACAAACCTGAGAAAAACAAGTAATGGGGAAAGGATTCCCTATTTAATAAATGGTGCTGGGAAAACTGGCTAGCCATATGTAGAAAGCTGAAACTGGATCCCTTCCTTACACCTTATACAAAAATTAATTCAAGATGGATTAAAGACTTAAACGTTAGACCTAAAACCATAAAAACCCTAGAAGAAAACCTAGGCATTACCATTCAGGACATAGGCATGGGCAAGGACTTCATGTCTAAAACACCAAAAGCAATGGCAACAAAAGCCAAAATTGACAAATGGGATCTAATTAAACTAAAGAGCTTCTGCACAGCAAAAGAAACTACCATCAGAGTGAACAGGCAACCTACAACATGGGAGAAAATTTTCGCAACCTACTCATCTGACAAAGGGCTAATATCCAGAATCTACAATGAACTCAAACAAATTTACAAGAAAAAAACAAACAACCCCATCAAAAAGTGGGCAAAGGACATGAACAGACATTTCTCAAAAGAAGACATTTATGCAGCCAAAAAACACATGAGAAAATGCTCATCATCACTGGCCATCAGAGAAATGCAAATCAAAACCACAATGAGATACTATTTCACACCAGTTAGAATGGCAATCATTAAAAAGTCAGGAAACAACAGGTGCTGGAGAGGATGTGGAGTAATAGGAACACTTTTACACTGTTGGTGGGACTGTAAACTAGTTCAACCATTGTGGAAGTCAATGTGGCAATTCCTCAGGGATCTAGAACTAGAAATACCATTTGACCCAGCCATCCCATTACTGGGTATATACCCAAAGGACTATAAATCATGCTGCTATAAAGACACATGCACACGTATCTTTATTGCGGCATTATTCACAATAGCAAAGACTTGGAACCACCCCAAATGTCCAACAATGATAGACTGGATTAAGAAAATGTGGCACATATACACCATGGAATACTATGCAGCCATAAAAAATGATGAGTTCATGTCCTTTGTAGGGACATGGATGATATTGGAAATCATCATTCTCAGTAAACTATCGCAAGAACAAAAAACCAAACACCGCATATTCTCACTCATAGGTGGGAACTGAACAATGAGAACACATGGACACAGGAAGGGTAACATCGCACTCTGGGGACTTTTGTGGGGTGGGGGGATTGGGGAGGGATAGCATTCGGAGATATACCTAATGCTAGATGACGAGTTAGTGGGTGCAGTGCACCAGCATGGCACATGTATACGTATGTAACTAACCTGCACATTGTGCACATGTACCCTAAAACTTAAAGTATAATAATAATAAAAAAAAACCAGAAAATGATTTAAAATGGCAGTAATAAGTGTTTTCTATAAATAATTGCCTTGAATCTAAATGGATTAAATTATTTAATAAAAAGAATGCCTGAATGGAGAGAAAACAAGATCCAACTATATGCAGCCTTCAAGAGACCCACTTCACTAGTAAGGACAGAGAGTAAGTGAAGGGGTGGAAGAAGATATTCCATGCAAATGGAAAAAAAAGAGACTATACTTAGACAAAACATACTTTAAGTCAAAAATTATTAAAAAATACATTATATACTGATAAATGGGTCAATTTGTTAAAAGGATATAAAAATTGTAAGTATATATGCACCCAAATTTGGAGCACTGAAATATGGAAAGTAAATATTAAGAGATCTGAAGAGACGGATTGAAGTACAATAATATTACGGGACTTTAATACCTCACTTTCAATGATAGATTATCCAGACAGAAGATTAATAAGGAAACACTGGACTTAAATGGACCTAAAAGATATATGCCAAAAGAATACACATTCTTCTGAAGTGTATACAGAACATTCTGCAGAACAAGTCATATTAGGCCCCAAGACACAGAATGAACCCAAGTATAAACCATGGACTCCAGTTAATACTAATGTATCAATGTTTCTTCATCAATTACAATAAATACACTACACTAATGCAATATGTTAATAGGCTGGGTGCAGTGGCTCATGCCTGTAATCTCAGCACTTTAGGAGGCTAAGGTGGGAGGATTGCTTGAGGCCAGGAGTTCAAGACCAACCTGGGCAATATGGCAAGATCATCTCTACAAAAAAATAAAAAAATTAGCCGGGACTTGTGGCGCACATGTAGTTGTAGTTACTCTGGAAGAGTATATGGTAGGATCCTTTGAACCTAGGAGTTTGAGGCTGCACTGAGCTATGATTGCACCACTGCACTCTAGGCTAGGTGACAGAGTAAGACCCTGTTCCTAAATAAAGAAGCAAAAAGATGTTTGTACTAGGGGGCTGTGGGGCAGGAGAAGGAGTCGGGGAGGTAGTGTATAGGAGCTCCCTGTACTTTCTGTTCACTTTTTCTATAAAACTAAAACTGCACTAAAAATAAAGTCTATTAATTAATTTTTTTAAAAAAGGACACAGGAGCCAGGTTGGAAGGACTCTATTGGCCAAAGTTGTGATGATTTGAGCATCTAAAAGATTATTATTCAGTCCCTGGGCAATCGTTCATTGTCTTTCCTCCCTGCTCTATTCTCATCCCTTGGAAACTGCTAAATGGCTTCATATTACTGTAGATAACTTGCACTTTATAGGACTTATAAGAAAGGGAATCAAATTATAAGTATTCTGTTTTGTCTGGCTTATTTCATTCTGCATAGTTATTTTCAGATTAATCCATGTTTGTTGCGTGCAACAATAGTTAGTTCTTTTTGAGTAATATTCCACTGTGTGAATATACCACAATTTGTTTATTCACCTCTTAACGGACATTTAGACTGTTTTCATTTCTTGACTACTACAAATAAAGCTGCTATGAACACTCTTGTAAAAATTATTATTTAATAATTATTGAAGCATATTGAATCTGCAAAAAATCCATACATCTTTAATGATAAAATGATAATGCCACAAAACCAATTTGTTTCTATGGGAGGTTATTATTAAGCCAAATAATTAATTTGAAAATTATTAACTTGAGGGAAATAATTAAGCATTTATTTGTCTTTCCAATAGGAACTATATTTCAAGGTAACCAAATGAAAAGGGAAACTGTATGTTACAAAATGATGCCCCGGTTAAAGGAGAAAGCTACATTTTTACAAAACAGTGGCATAGGTGTAGGGAAAAAAGCTAGAACCAGAAAATTACCATTTCACAATACCTAACAAAATTATTATAGTAGAAATTGAGTGTTCATTGGTGTTAAAACAAATAGGTGAATGGTTGAAAGTAAACTGGACATTTGAATGGTGCTAAAGTAATAACATGCAGATTCCTCACTGAAAAAAAAGAAACTGTATAATGGAGGGGTTGTGCTGTCACCACTAACACAGTGATTAATGGTAGGAAACAATATTATGTACCTTCAGCCATGATGCAGTATGAACCATGTAACCTCACTTATGATGTATTTTAGCCAAAAAAATTTTAATTTGAAACCAGGCAAATCTTTAGATCTAACTTCTAGTTGATTTTTTCAGGAAATTCAAGGGATAGTTACTGAACTAAATAAACCACAAGGAAGCAATCAGATAAATCTGGAAAGGTGAGATTTTATGGGACAAATGCCCCTATAGCTCCAATCAGTTGGTGTCATGAAAAAGTGAAGGGTTTAAAAGAAACTTAATGGCTGAACAACCAAATGCAATGTGTGGTTCTATTTTGGATGCAGTTTTGGAACACCAGCTGTAAGATATTTTGACAGCAATTGCAGAGGAGGGGGGGATTTTAATGAACTGGCTATTAGATGATACTAAGGAGTTTCTGTTATATTTGTGAAAATGTTGTCTTAGCTGTACAGAAATGTCTAATTGCATTAAGATAATGTGGCACAGAGATAGACAAATTGACTGATGGACTAGATTAGAGAATCCAGAAACAGTTTGAGGCTTGATATGGTACTAACATGGCACTGCAGATCATTACAGAAAAGTGGTCTATTTAATTAACGGTCCTGAAATAAATTGATTCACCATATAAAAAAAATGAAATTGAATTTCTACTTTACACCATACATAAAAATCAATTACAGGTGCACAAAAGACATAAATGTGAAAGGCATAACTTTAAGACTTATAAAATAGAGCACAATCTCTTCATGATTTTGATGTAGGAGATAATTTCTTAAACATAACTAAAATTTTTTAACCATATAAAAAGTAAAAGATCAATAAATTTGATTTCATTAAAATCAAGAACATGCATGGAAAGAAAATGAAAAAAAAAACAAATCGTATACTGGGAGAAGATATTCACAAGACATAGAATTGGTACAGTGTTGTTATCCAGAATATGTAAAGAATTTTTATAATTCCATAAGAATAAATAAGCAATTTGAAAAAATAGACAGTGAGCATTTTAGTGGAATTATGATTGGCAAGTAAATCAATGAAAAAGATTCTAAACCTCACTAGTAATAGATGATTTATTATAATGAGATATTATTTTACACTCATTAGTTTGGTAAAATTAAGTCTAGCAATCAAAAATCTTGATATGTATATGGAGGAACAGGAACTTTTTTTTTTTTTTTGAGACGTGGTCTCGCTCTGTCGCCCAGGCTGGAGTGCAGTGGCGCAATCTCGGCTCACTGCAAGCTCCGCCTCCCGGGTTCACGCCATTCTCCTGCCTCAGCCTCCCGAGTAGCTGGGACTACAGGCGCCCGCCACCACGCCCGGCTAATTTTTAAATATTTTTAGTAGAGACAGGGTTTCACCGTGTTAGCCAGGATGGTCTCAATTTCCTGACCTTGTGATCCGCCCGTCTCGGCCTCCCAAAGTGCTGGGATTCAGGCGTGAGCCACCGCGCCCGGCCAGGAACTTTTATATATAGCTAGTGGGAGTGTAAAGTGGCACATTCCTTGTGGAAAAAACTTTTAAATTCAAATTGTACACATGGTCTATACCTAGCTATTTCATGTAGGTGTAGGTTTTAGATAAACTCTTAAGCACATCAGCATACATGAACAAAAATACTTGTAGTAACATTGTGATAGCAAAAAAACTGAAAATAAGTCAGTTGTCATTTGACCAGAGAATGGATTAAGAAACTACATTGTCACACAGCAAGAATGAATATAACATAGCTTCACATAATAATATAGATGGATCTTAGAAATAATGTTGAGTAAAGAAATCAAAACAGTATATTTCTATAATGCTTTTAAAAAAGGGAAAACTAAAGATTACATGGCTTAGTGATCCACATATATGTGGAAAAAACTTTTTTTTTTTTGTAAGCAAGGGAATGGTACTATTCAGGATAGTGGTAACTGAGGGAGGCAGGGATGGGATCAAAGAGGTAACACAGTTTTAATGCTACTGGTAATGTTCTCATTCATAAAATAACTGGTGGATTAGTATATTTTGGGTATGTATTAATTATTTTAAAATTTAAAATAGAATTTATGAAAGATTTCTGGCAACTGCTGGATTGCATTCTTCTGTATGAATATTTATTCACCAGTGAGGATGAAAAAAATATTCTTACCTTTAGATTATTTTGTTTGATGTTGAAAATAGTTTAATAGCAAAACAGTTGAGATGGTGTTTTTGTGTTTTTTTTTTTTTTTTCTGGAGATGGAGTCTTGCTCTGTCACACAGGCTGGAGTGCAGTAAGGTGATCTCAGCTCACTGCAATCTCTGCCCCCGGGTTCAAGCGATTCTCCTGCCTCAGCCTCCCTAGTAACTGGAATTACAGGGCCCGCCACCATGCCTGGCTAATTTCCATATTTAGTAGATACAGGGGTTTCACAATGTTGGCCAGGCTGGTCTTGATTTCCTGACCTCAAGTGATATGCCCGCCTGGGCCTCCCAAAGTGCTGGGATTACAGGAGTGAGTCACCGCACCCCGCCAAGATCGTGCTATTTTTAATAGATCTTTCCATAGGAGAAAAAATGGTGTTAATTCTGTTTCTTTATTTGGATAGCCTAATGTACCTTTCCTAATTCCTTTTCTCCGTGGCAGCTAAAATAGCATAATCTCTGAGAGGATACATCTAATTTAAATATCTCAGTGGTGTTGAAGTAAGCCTTGGTATAGATTTTATTTCATTTGATATAGTACCTTAGAATTTATTATGATGAAATTTATTCTGGAAGTAAAGTGAGAGTAACTATATATTTTAGTGTTTTATTACTATTTTTAAATGATTTACTAGTCTGTTTTCACATGACTATAACGAAACACCTGAGACTGGGTCATTTATAAAGAAACACCTGAGACTAGGTAATTTATAAAGAAAAGAGGTTTAATTGACTCACGGTTCCTCAGGCTGTACAGGAAGCATGGCGGCTTCTGGGGAGGCCTCAGAAAAGTTTTACTCATGACAGAAGGCAAAGCAGGAGCAGGCGTCTTACATGGCAGGAGTAGGACTGAAAGAGAGCGGGGTGGTGCCACACACTTTAAACCAACCAGATCTTGTGAGAACTCACTCACTATTGCGTCACAATACCAAGGGGGGGAAATCTGGCCCCATGGTCCAATCGCCTCCCACCAGGCCCCACCTTCAACACTGGGGACTACAATTCTTCAAGAGATTTGGGCGGCGATACAGAGCCAAACCACATCGTTAGACTTAGCTGATATTTTAGAAATGTGTAGTTTTACCAATTGTATGGAAATAATTCCAAAATAATGTGATGAATTTTGTTTCTTTTTCTATAGTACACGTTCTCAGCGGCATTACAAAAATCTTCTTCAGAAATGACCTAGGTGCCATATACAAACTTTTAAAATCCTATTTGTCGATTTCATATAAGGCACAGTTCAGGGAAGCAGCCACCAAATTTTCATATGGTGCTAGTTCATAACTAGATGTGGATAAAATATTATCACAAAATATGAGCCAAAACTGTTCCTAAGGATCTCTACCAGAGATAGTTTAGATTTCATAGTGGCTGCCAATTTCTAATTGGGTGAGGGCACTGCCTTTAGGCAAAATTGCTAAGCAAGCAAAATATGTCTTTAGTGTTTCATTAGTCTTACCCCACCCATCCATCTTTAAACTTTATTTACAATTTGTATTAGTTTCTTTCTTCTTCTTCTTCTTTTTTCTTTTTCTTTTGAGACAGAGCCTCGCTCTGTTGCCCAGGCTGGAGTGCTGTGGCGTGTTGTCAGCTCTCTGCAACCTCGGCCTCCTGGGTTCAAGCGATTCTTCTGCCTCAGCCTCCCAAGTAGCTGGGATTACAGGCATGTGCCACCACACCTGGCGAATTTTTGTATTTTTAGTAGAGACGGGGTTTCACTATATTGGCCAGGCTGGTCTTGAACTCCTGACCTCAAGTGATCCACCTGCCTCAACCTCCCAAAGTGCTAGGATTACAGGCATGAGCCACCAGGCACGGCTGAGTTTCTGGCTTTTCCTTCCAGGCGTTTTTTTTTTTTTGCAAGCTGGGCAAACATACATGCACACACACACATTCTTGCATCTCCTTTATCACAAAAAGGGTAGCATGTTTTCTGTCTTGCTTTTTTCATATAATATATCCTGGAGACCATCCCATGTTAGTATATAGAGGTCTTCCTCATTCTTTTCTGTGGCTGGGTGTTGTCTATACATTTTGTGGAAGTATCATAGTTGAGCTAACCTATCCCTTTTAAATGATATATTTGAATTATTTTCAATTGTTTGGTATGACAATGTTATGGTGAATAACCTTGTGCATATGGTGTCTTGTATTTCTTGAAGTGGTTCTTCAGGGAAGATTGTTAGAAGTAGGACTGCTGGGTCAAGGGTAAATATATCTGTACTTTTTTTTTTAATATTACCAACTTCTCAGTAGGAATCACACCATTTTTACTTCAGCCACAAATGTTTGAGAGTGCCTGTTTCCCTACAGCCTTGACAATGGAGTGTGTTATCAAACTTTTGGATTTTTGCCAATATGATTGGTTAAAAAAATGAATCTCAGTATAGTTTAATTTGCATTTCTCTTATGAGATAGGTAGAGTATATTTTAATTTGTTTAAGGGTCATTAGTGTTTCTTTTTTTTGGTAAACTGTTATTTTCCTATTATTCTGTTAGATTTTTGGTCATTTTCTTCTTAGGTTTTCAGATCTCTTTGTATATATCTGTGGCTACACATATAATATGGATGTATATATTTTTGTCATGCAAACTAATTTTGTATTTATAAAATCAAACATCATATTTATTTTATGCCTTCTGGATTTTAAGTCAGAGTTAGAAAGGCTTTCCCACTCCCAGGTTGAAAGGTATTCAGCCATTCTTTCTTTGAGTAGTTACATAGTTTCCTTTTTTATATTTAGACCTATGATACTTTTCGAGTTTGTTCTGTGTGTGGTATGATATATTGATCCAATTTTATCTTCTTTCAAATGGTTATCCAATTGTTCCAGCATCATTTCTTGAAAGTTCTTTTTCCCGATCATTTGGGATGCCATTTTTTTGAGATACTAAATTTTGATATCTATGTGGTTTTATTTCTAGACTTCATAATCTGTTCCATTGGTCTATTTATGTGTCAGTAGATTATTGTATAGAGACTTTGTAGCAGTTTAAAATCTGATAAGTCTAGCAACCCTCAATTTCATTACTATTCTTTTTTCTGTGGTTTTATGGCTAGTCTTGCTTATTTACTTTTACGTATAAGCTTTAGAATCAATGTACTGTATTGAGATCCAAGGACTTGGTATTTTTTGTCCTTGATGAGATTGTAAACTAAACTTTGGGAGATTTGATAATCTTAAGAACATTGCATACATTTTTGTTATTCTTATCTGTTTTTATGTGTTTAATGAGTTTTATAGCATTTTATATAAAAGTTTGAGTGTTTCTTTTCAGTTTAGGGGTCTTCTATTATCTTCTGATTGTTTATGAGTTATACATGAAAGCTATTGATTTGTGGGTTAATTTCCTATCCTATTACCTTACTGAATTATCTTATTATTTGTAGTTTTACTGTTGATTTTATTGTGGTTTCCAGGAATATCATCATGTCAATCTACATAGTTTGCTTCTTCCTTTCTAATTTTTTACTTCTTTATTTTTAATTGAGTTGCTAAGATTTTCAATATAATTTATATAGCAGCAGAGTTTTATTTCCAACTTTAATTAGAATATATTCACCTTTTTTTTCCCAGCTTTCCCAGGGCTCCTTCTATGCGCCCCCCCAGGCCTGAACAGCCTCTTTGCTTAAACCAGATCTTTCTTCCCCATCTTCTTAGCCTTCATCTTAATTAAAGTATGCTTTCCTTTGGCATACTTGCTAAGAGCCCTATTTTTCCTTCTGATTTGCAATTTTGAAAATGAGGAAAATTCCTTTATGGTATTTAATTTTAGTCCTTTATCAGGCAGCTTAAACTCAATTCCTATTGTTATTTTCTGAGTAGAAGTGGACAAAAGAATAGTGTTTTTAAGTGTGAAAACTTTTCTCATGGTTAAAGATTACTGTTAAAGTATTACTCAGTTTCTGCCAGGCATGGTGGCTCATGCCTATAATCCCAGTACTTTGGGAGGCTGAGATGAGAGTATCACTTGAGGCCAGGAGTTTGAGACCTGCCTGGTCAACATAGCGAGACCCCATCTTTAATAATAATTTTTTAAAAGTATCGCTTATTTTCTATGGGCAATTAAGATACAATTAATAAAGCAGAATTATTCTCTTTTATGGCTTTTGGCTAAGTTTTTATCACTATCTTCTGTTTTTATCCAAGCAGTATGCTAGCTGGCTATTTGCCTTTAATCTCTGAAGTGGCCATACTATACCAAAGATGTGAACATCTTTAGGATGTAGAAGATTGAATAGGATGCAAAACTATTGAACAAATCTTACCAAGGTTGAAAAAAGTGAGAAGATGAGTCTTACTCTTGAGAAAGTCAGATAATTTAATATCAAAACTTAATTTTATCTTTTTAATGTTTAAACTCAAGCCTAATGTGAATAGCGTATCATCTTTACTCTACTAATATTTTTAAATAAAAATATTTCTTACCTTGAAATTTCATCACAATACATTTTGCCAAATATGATCGACTCAAAATAACACTTTTGATATATGAAAAGAATATGAAATATCAATTCCAGACAAGCCTATACCAGAGAAGGCAAATAGGTCTCATTTCATGCCAACTTCAATTGCTTGCTGCTAAGAAAATTATATTAAGAATGATTCTAAGGCTGTCTCTAGGTTTAGAGGGAAGAGTGTTGTGATATCTGCCATGGGCAGGGCTGGAGAAGTAATGGCATAAATGTCTCTTTGAAATGTCTCACCTATACTTCGGAACTCTAAATATATGAGATGGCATTTATGAGCTATACTTGTTATGTTTTAGGAATAACTTTTTTGTTTAAAAACAACCTTATAGTTGGTAACAAAGTTTCAGATATATTTTAATGTGTCTTAGTCTGAATTTTTAGTGTCCGTCTTTCTCTTTGGTTTAAATCTGAAAATCACTAAGTTATGGAACACCTTGTAGATGTTCTAGTAAGTCATCTACATGGATGATAGTATAGTTGATCTCTGTAACGTGGGAATGATGGCAACTTGTCATTCAAAATTTTTACAAATTGGTGTTTATTACCTTGGTATCAATCCCTCAACTCTGCAGATTTTTTTTTTCCATTAAATTGAATCCATTTATCATGGGTGGACTCACACTAACCAAGGTCATAAAGTATATTTGTTAATTTCTACCGAGAACTTTAACTGGAATAGTGACAGAAAACTGTAGTTAGCCTGATTAGCTCATGATACTTGTAGTCTTTACTTGGGAAGCCAAATCTTAATCAAAATATGAAATTATTAACTTATAATAAGAAATATAGCTATCATTAGAACTGGAACAATCAAATCTACGTGACTGGTCCATGACTTTACACACCTACATGGAAATTAAAGTCATAATGTTCTTTGTTAAGCATTAATTAGAACAAGGGGAATTAGATTAATTGAATCCAAGAATGTTTTTTTCAGTGGGTTTGGTTTTGGCCCAAACAGATTCTCCTGTGTACAAGTGCTTGGATGAGCATTGCCAAAATACTGCTTTCTAAGCCTTGTTTTTCCATTTGCATTTGATTGGCCAATTCCCCTTTTGATTGACACATTTAATAAAGCATGGTAATATAATTAATCAAATAGCAGCCAAGTCTGTCAGGCCTTTCTTTCATTCATCTTTAAAGGTGACTTTGCTCTCTACTGTGGTCCATTAGGCATTTAAAGTTTTACACTTACGAGGCATTCTTATCTTTCTAATTTCCAGGTTCTTGTGGGAAGCCTTACTACTTATAAATACTCAGAGTACATCGTATTAAAGAATTGTGTTTAGGCGTAATTTTTGTGAGTTACTCGAGAACTATTTAGCTATCTCAATTGTTTAAAATACAGATAATACAGAGTGAGGGAGGGGAGAGATGGAAAAACGTTATGAGATGTGTTCAGTACAAAGAAAGTTTTTAATGGATGTTAATATTCAGTAAAGTATTTCAGAAGTATACTGCTTTTCGTACATTTTTTGCTGCATGCTCTAGCTTTAGCCCTCAGACCTCCCGTGCAGACAGCACATATGTTCAATGGGGCTGTGCTGTTACAGTTAGTGTCTAATGATGTGTGCTCTTAGTCTGTGGTAATATTCTCAGGGAAGCTGAATTAGACTCAGGATGTTACCTAAAAAGGACTTCATTGCTTACTAAAGATGTGTTTTTGTTTCTTTTTCCCACTTTATTTGATACTATGTTTCTAAGATTTATCTTTCTATAAACCACAACATTTTAAAAATTCTATTCTACTCAACCCTGAAAAACAAAAGCTGACCCAATCACCACAGTTTTATGTAAATGCATACTGTTAAGCAACACTCGGTCTTCTGAAGCAATCTCTAGTTGAGGAGCTCTAAGTATTTCTTAAGTACAGCTTCCAGTCTTTCATTTAATCAGAATTAGGGCTAAGGAGCAGAGAAGATGGCAGATTTTGAATTTTCTTCAATTCTGTGGTTCCTATATGCAATATGGGGCACATCATGAAGTGATTTTGTGTAACTGGTTGTGGTGACAACTTTTTCAAAAGGAAAATTATCCCTATGTATGAAACTGTTATAATTGGGGCAAATTCACAGATACGGCTTTGGGACTTACTGCTTCTTCCTTATAGACTGGGGAGATTGACAAATAATTTTTTTGACTAGAAAAATATCTTATTATGGTTAGTAAGATAAAACAAAACCAAAAAGTTCTATGTTAAAAATTATTAATAGTTATTTCTGAGTTTTGGGGTGGGAGGTGACCAAGGGAAGACTGTTGTATTTAAGAAGACTGTATTGGACTTGGGTCATTTTTGTTATGTAGCAGAAAACTGTTGGCAATATTTCAAGAAGGAGATGAGAAAAAGAGATCCCAATGTTATTCCTTGTGATTTGAAGTTAGAGAAAGCTTCCAGGAATGAGCAAGGAATCTCTGAGGAGGGCAAGTTAGACAGGGAATGGGCTTGCTGGACAGAATGAGACAGATGTGGGAGTGGGAGTGAGTGGTGACAGAGGTAGTTCTGAATCTTTGAGGCAGTGGGTTCTGAAACTGACTCCAACATTTTTGGGATCAGTTTTAATAATGGGAAGAGGTTGTATGTGTGAACCTGGATCTGGGCCCTAAGAACTGAAATATTTGGCACTTGGGCTTGTTAAAAATGATTCTTCCTTTATTGAGCATAACATGAGGGGTCACATTCAACTTTCAGAAAAGAGGACTCAGGCTCCAATTCTATGTTCTGTTTCTATCCTTTAGGGGTAGTTTTTCAACCTCAGAAAACATTTTCTGAGTTTAGGTTGTATTTTGCTTCCTTGAAATTTGTTTTAGTTCAGACATTTCTTAGAGAATTTTTGTTGTAACAGGATAGAGTTGGACTTTTCCTGCTAAGACCCTAATGATAAGGTTGAGTGTACAGTCAACCTTTTATGTTTTAAGGCATAAATTGAGGACTAGACTCTGCACCTGCTTGGGGCTTATTAAGAAGTAAAGAGGCTCTGCTGTTCCTAATCATCCCATCAGCACCAACTTTATCATTCTCTCTCCTCTCCTCCCTCCCAGAAGCAGATCAGAAGACTAGGGTGAAAAAAGCATTGGAGCTATGAGTCATTAGCCTAGAGGGAAAGGGCCGTGGTTTTTATTTTCTTTTCTTGAGGGGAAGAAGAGGGATACTCAGCACCCCAAAGCCAAGCGAGGGGACAGTTACGTATAATGATTTTTGTGTTCTCCTAGTTTGAAGTTTGCTTATGCTGTAGACTTGGTGATCTGCCCAGTGCCCATTTGAACAGGATAGACAATTGGAAAAAGAGTGCATGATGGGGTGAAGGGCAGTGGGGAGCAGCCTGCACTCTCATGTTAGGCTTAGAAAGGATGCGTGAGTTTCTTGAGTCATGTGGGAAGCTAGCTGGGCCTTAGCCATCTTGACAGAAGCCTACCCAAGACAGCTTGCCACCAGGCAAGTATATCCTGGCAGAAAGAGGATGTAAAGTGAATTGTTCTCCAGGTTACACACTGAGGGAGCATTGGAAGAGGATAAACTGGAGACAGATTTTCCACCTTATGAAACCACATTTACCTAATGAAAGAACCAGCATTTTAATGCCTGCCACACAGAGTTCATCAATATCCAGCTTTGGCCAAGAAAGGATAACAACAGGGATCCAATAAGAAAGAGCCACTTGTCTCTTTTCAGCTTCTTCCTCCTTATCACAACAAGCCAGGACAAAGGGGCCTGGAAATGGGGCCGGGGGAGGAAGAATGAAAGATCAGATTACTTTCTTTCTTACTCTTAAGTCTTTCAGGCTAAGGCTTGGACACCACTTCAGGGGAAGGACGAAGTGAATTTTTAAGTTGGAAATTTCAAACTGGACTGGGCTATTTTATGCCTGAAAAAATGATCCAGAAAGGTCTTCAATCCTTCCAAGATGTCAGTTAGGAAATGACAGGGATGGGAAAGGTAGAATGGAGCTAGTACAGCTGAAGGCAGCAATGGGAGAAATATGAAATCCTTCAATGCCTTGTATCCTGTCTCCATCTAGAGCTGCCTAGCCCTTTGTGTTCCATTAAAGGCACTGTTTCATAAAACCCAAAACTTATCTTGATTCATGCCTATATGTTGACTGTCACCAGAACCTGACCTGTGTTCACTTGTAGGACTGTGTGAAAGTGATTTAGGGAAGGAATGAAAGGAATTATAGAACCTAGTAGTCCCTGTTCAACTTGACTGCAAGTCCTCTTCCATGAGTAGAATACTGGTGCTGATAGGATGATACTCTGGAAGACTTACTACCACCAGTTCAAGGTGTTGTCCAAGCACCCAGATTGTTACAGAAGTAGGAGCTCCTGCCTTAGATTCTCGGTTCAGTTTCTTCCTGCCAAGGCCAGCTTTTACCCAGCAGTAATACCTTTCCACAGCTTGCAGTGGGGATAGACTCTTTCCTCAACTGCCTTATTACTAATGGCCTAGACAAACAAACATTGCCCCGGGATGATTTTTGCACTCCAAATTGTGGTTAAGTAATATTCTGTTTATGTATCATAACTTTTTAATTTTTCCATGTAATTTACATAGTCCACTTAAAATTCTATTAGGAATATGTGTCATACTTTTCCCAATTTTGGACATTGAGGTGTTTTCTTCCTTTATAATTGTTGCTATAATTTTTGTGTACCTATTATTTTCTTTTTGTGAATTTTTAATTGCTTTATTTTAATTTTTGTGGATTATTTCTTCAACAGAATTTACTGGGTGTAAACATTTAAACATTTTTAATAATCTTGAAATATGTCCACAATATATCTTTAAAAATATTTAAAAATTGTCATTTGCTATTTTCAAACTTTCCTATTCACCCCTATGAGATTAATCTTTTGAACACACTTTAAAAAAATCATTCTTGTTTTAAAAAGTTTTAATGGTTCCCATCATCTCTTCTTTTGAATGAGTTAAAACTAATATTAATTTTTTATTCTGGCCTGGTTCCAAAAGTTCTTTTAATCCTTGTACCTACTACTTTCTAATGTGAAATCCTTGCTCACTGTCTTTAAAATATGCTACTTCAACATGTTTGCTACACTATTTCATCTACATGGAATGCCCTTTCTCCACTTTTAGGTCTCAGGAAATTCTATCTACTTATTAAGGTGTACTTTTCAAGAACATACTGTTTTTATAAAGTTTTACTTGCCCATTCCTGCCGTGTACAAACTTACTTCTCTCAGCTCTGAATATTTAAAGTACTTATTTTTTATGTTAACTTTTACCATCATTTATTTTGCTGTCTTGTATTGTAATTATAAAAGATTGCCTGAGATAAAATGCTCCAGATTGGACAAACAGAACAAAAACCAAACCAAACCAAAAAGACCCCCAAACACACCCACTTTGATGGGAACAGTAGAAGCTACAACAACTGTTATTTCAAAATGGATGCACTCTGTCTTGCAAGAAGAGATAGAGATTTGAGCAATTCTAGGTGTACGTTCTTTATTTCGGGGAAGAAAATGGAATGGGTCCTTTAGTTGAAGTGGAACTCTTGCAACAATATACATTTTTATCCTGTAATAGTGCAGTGGCATAACCAGAAAAATATGTGATGATATTGCTATCTTGAGATAACAAGACCATTACATATGGTGAGTAGTATGGCTAAAAATCTTACTCTCTAAAACTCTGAGTATGTATCTCTTGAATTATTTAACAAGAACCTGCAAGGGGTGGAGCATTATGCTGTTGTCTAAAATTTATGCGTGTCTAGGAAATGATGTCTGTATCTTGTGAGCACCAGGGATATTCTTACATTTACCTAAATTTTTGTATGCAGGGTAGAGGGAAGCCTGCCTTACTTCCTCCCTCAAATGTTCAAGCCTGAATGGAACCTCTCTGGCACTGGTATTTCATGCAGTATCAGCTCAGCTTGAAACAATGAAAGTAGCATATCTGATCACAAGCAGTTGATCCCCAGACATGTTTATTGATGGCACTATGAAGGAAAACAGCATACTGACATACAATACAAAGAAACTTGGCAGACTTTATAGTGGCAATTCAGTTTTGGCATTTATATTGGTAAAAACAGATTACAAGGCTTAGTGTAACTCAAACCTTATTTAAGCTTGCAAAATGTCTGATTTGATCAGTTGGCATTCCACTGAGAGCAACACCTCTATCTCTAGGAATTCCTCTTAAGCAGTTTACATTCATGTAGTGCCTGTGCTTTGCTTTAAGTGTGTTATGTAATCGAATCATTTTTATTTTTTTCTGATTGACCCCATTCAAAAGATTCTACTGAGTCACCATGCCCATCAGCATAGTTTAAAAAAATTTAAATGAACAGTGACACTTAGTGGGTAGAAATATTCATTACAGTGCTCTTCCGTAAGAATCTCCATTAACACATCCCATGGTAATAAAGTAAATGATACCAAAATTTAGTCTTCTTGGCAAAGTAATATACAGTATTTGAAGTGTGTTGGTTTTGCAGCAGCTGTCATTCCATACCAATCCATTTAGTTAAAAAGCAAACAGGTGGCTCACACATATTGTTTTTACTACATAAATTTTTAAATTTTCTTCAGTCCTACTGAAATAAATGGGGCATTTTTGCTGTTGATTTCAGTTCACTAGAAAAAATATGTAACAATACAGTGGAGATATTATTAATAGCACTGTTCAAAGTGCATGCTTTCTTCTAAGCAGATATCTATTGACCCAAAATATGAACAAGTAACTTAAGTGAGACAAGTAAGTTACATGGATACTTGTGAGACTGAAACAAAACAAAACAAACAAACACAAGATTAATGTGTCCCAATTAATTCCTTTGTTTTGGTACTATGGCACACAAGAAGTAAAATTATAGTGAGGTTTTAAAAATATTTACTCCAAGATCAAGACTTTATTCCTTTAAGGTTTAGGTTAAGTTTTCCCTCAATTTTATTGCACTTATGGATTTATTTTTGACCTTTAAGGAAGGCTTTGTGACAATAATTAGTGTTTTATTTTCTTGCAAAATGAAAGCATGTTATCTTGCCTGAGGTTAATGTGTTTTTAAGTCTCTTGAGGTGCTGCGGTTGGAAAGCAATTTAGAATATTGTCTTCTGCCAGCTTCACATACAACAGAGAGATGAGTGGAAAATATCTGATTAGTGGGTGTGACAAAATATGGCAAGACAGTTATGGAAATATATGTAAACTATGTTGTTTGACTTACATATTGGTTTTTTAAGAACCAAAACAAATACAATGAAAAACATTTTTTGACAACTTAATTAGAGAGTGGGAAGAGGGAGGTGATACAGTAGTCTTTTACAAGTATAGCAAGAAGTCTCTTTCAAGTAAATTCAGTGTATAAAAAGCTGACTTTACAAAACAGATAAGTTATAGTGTGATTATGAGGTTTATGGAAGCATTTACCAAAGCCTGGAAGTAAATCATGTATCACTTAAAACATCCAAAACAATTATTTCGTTTAGATACTTTCCCAGTTGAGTGAATTGAGTGATTTAATAGCTTAATTCTCCACTCACTGGTTATATTGAACTCCCACTCCTTCTCTCAAATCCCCTCCCATTTGAATCCTCTCTCCCTGGTCAGTAGGGGATGATGCCTGTGGTCTCAGGGTAATATGGATTTACTCTTAACCCTTCATGTACTGTACTGTAATTGCCTGTAATTGTCATCTCTCACAGATGACAACCTCCTTGAGGATTGAGGTTGTATATCTTATTCACTGTCTAGCATGTAGCACAGTGCCCAGCATATAATAGGTGCTCATTAAATATTTAATGTTTGTAGGTGCCAGAATGTTGGAATAGAGCTAGAGGGATGAGGCAAAGTGAAATTCCTTTCTAGTCCCTTGGGGACAAGGAGAACCCCCCCTGCTTGTGGGGCTTTAATTTGTGTTTGCCCAGGTGGGATAGTTTCCAGACTATTGATGTTTCTTTTTGCTCTTGATAGCTTTGAGATATGGGTTTGGAGATCAGCCATCCTGTATAAAAGAAGCCATTCTGTTCCAGAGACCGTGTAGTTGGAATTCAGCTTCAGATGGTATTCAGCTTCAGATGGTATACAGATTCTTTAAATAATAATGCATTTAGACAGACTATGAAGGAGACTGTCTCTTCGTTTGAGAATGTGTAAAACAAAGTAATATGATAAAAAGAATGTTGTAGACCCTTTTGTAGTTCATGAGCATGATGATTGGGTGTTCACACACATGTGTGAAATGTGCCACCCTCAACCTTATTATGAGGTCAGCACATTACCCATCTGACATGAAAGAAAGGAAAAACCAAGAAAAGTATTGTATTGAGAAATAGGACATTAGGCCTTGTTTCACTACTAACTCTGTATTTAACCTTGACCTTATCATGTATCTCTTTTGTCTTAAATTTCTTTTAATTATTTTTGTTTTATTTATTTATTTTAAATTTTTTATAAATTTAGAGGGTACAACTGCAGATTTCTTACATGCATATATTGCATAGTGGTGAAGTCTGGGCTTTTAGTGTCCCCATCACCCAGACAGTGAACATTCTACCCAATAGGTAATTTTTCAGCCCTCATCCCTGCTCCCGGCCTCCCACCTTTTGTAGTCTGCAATGTCTGTTATTTTACTCTGTATGTCCATGTGTCCCCATTGTTTCGCTCTCACTTATAAGTGAGAACATGTGGTATTTAACTTTCTGTTTTTGAGTTATTTCAGTTAGGATTCTGGCCTCTAGTTGCATCCATGTTGCCAAAAAAGACATGATTTCCTTCTTTTTTATGGCTGAGTAGTGTTCATATATATATATATATATATATATATATATACACACACACACACACACACACACATACACCACATTTTCTTTATTCAGTCCTCCATTGATAGACACTTAGGATGATTCTGTATCTTTGCGATTGTGAATCATTCTGAAAGAAGTGCAGGTATCTTTTTGATATAATGAGTTCTTTCCATTGGATATATACCCAGTAATGGGATTGCTGGATTGAATTGTGATTCCATTTTCAGTTCTTTGAGAATTCTTCATACTGTTTCCCATAAAGGTTTTACTACCTTATAGTCCCACCAACAGTGTATAAGCATTCCCTTTTTTTTTTCTACAACCTTGCCAACATCTGTTTTGGGTTTTTTTTTTTTTTTGACTTTTTTTAATAGTCATTCTGACTGGTATGAGATGGTAATTCATTGTGGTTTTTATTTGCATTTCTCTGATTAGTGATTTTAAGCACTTTTTCATATGTCTGTTGGCAACTTGTATGTCTTCTTTTGAAAAATATTTGTTCATGTCCTTTGCTCACTTTTTAGTAAAGTTATTTGGTTTTTTTCTTGTTGAGCTGTTTGAGTTTCTCATAGATTCTGGATATTAGCCCTTGTTGGATGCATAGTTTGCAAATATGTTTTCCAATTCTGTAGGTTTTGTGTTTATTCTGTTGATAGTTTCTTTTGCTGTGCAGAAGATTTTTGGTTTAATTAAGTCTCATTTGTCAATTTTTGTTTTTTACTTTGGATTTTGAAGACTTGATAACAAATTCTTTGAATAGGCCAATGTCCAGAAAAGTTTTTCCTAGGTTTTCCTGTAGGATTTTTATACTTACAGGTGATACATTTAGTTCCTTAATTTATCTTGAATTAATTTTTGTATATGGTAAGAAGTATGAGTCCAGTTTTATTCTTCTGCATATGACTATCCAATTTTCCCAGCATCATATATTGAAAAGGGTTTCCTTTCCTGAGTATGTGTATATATATATATATATTACTTTGTAGAAGATAAGTTGGTTGTAGGCTCATTGATTTATTTCTGGGTTCTCTATTCTGTTTCATTGACCTATGTGTCTATTTTTAGACCAGTACCATGCTGTTTTTGTTATTATGGCTGTGTAGTATTATTTGAAGTCAGGTACTATGATTTTTCCAGCTTTGTTCTTTTTGCTTAGGATTTGGCTATTTGGGCACTTTTTTGGTTTCATGTGAATTTTAGGATTGTTTTTTCTAATTCTGTGAAAAATAATGTTGGTAATTTGATAGAGATTTCATTGAATCTATAAATAACCTTGGGCGATGATATGGTTTGGCTCTGTGCCCCCACCCAAATTTCATCTTGGAGGTCTCATAATTCCCACATGTTGTGGGAGGGACCAGGTGGGAGATGATTGAATCATGGGGGTGGGTCTTTCCCATGCTGTTCTTGCGATGGTGAATGGGTCTCATGAAATCTGATGGTTTTAAAAACAGGAGTTTCTCTGCACAAGTTCTCTTTTTTGCCTGCTGCCCTCCACGTAAAATGTGACTTGCTCCTCCTTGCCTTCCGCCATAATTGTGAGGCCTCCTCAGCCATGTGGAACTGTAAGTCCAATTAACCTCTTTCTTTTGTAAATTGCCGAGTCTTGGGTATGTTTTTATCAGCAGCGTGAAAATGGACTAATATAGTAAATTGGTACTGGCAGTGGAGTGCTGCTGAAAAGATACCTGAAAATGTGGAAATGGCTTTGCAGCTGGGTAATAGGCAGAGGTTAGAACAGATTGGAGGGCTCAAAAGGAGGCAGAAAAATGTGGGAAAGTTTGGAACTTCCTAAGACAGGTTGAATGGCTTTGACAAAAATTCTGATAGTGATATGAACAATAAGGTCCAGGCTGAGGTAGTCTCAGATGGAGATGAGGAACTTGTTGGGAACTGGAGCAAAGGTAACTCTTGTTATGTTTTAGGAAACAGACTGGTGGCATTTTGTCCCTGTCCTAGAGATTTGTGGAACTTGGAACTTGAGAGAGATGGTTTAGAGTATCTGGCAGAAGAAATTTCTAAGCAGCAAAGCATTCAAAGGGTGACTTGGGTGCTGTTAAAGGCATTCAGTTTTATAAAGGAAGCAGAGCATAGAAGTTTGGAAAATTTGCAACCTGACAATGAGATAGAAAAGAAAATCCCATTTCTGAGGAGGAATCCAAGCCAGTTGCAGAAATTTGTATAAGTAACAAGGAACTGAATGTTAATTCCCAAGACAATGGGGAAAATGTCTCCAGGGCATGTCAGATGTCTTCATGGCAGCCCTTCCCATCAAAGGCCTGGAGGCCTAGGAGGAAAATGTGGTTTCTTGGGCCAAGCCCAGGGTCCCTGCACTGTGTGCAGCCTAGGGACTTGGTGCCCTATATCCTAGCTACTCCAGCCATGGCTGAAAGGGACAAATATAGAGCTCAGGCTGTAGCTTCAGAGGGTGCAAGCCTCAAGCCTTGGCAGCTTCCACATGATGTTAAGCCTGTGAATGCACAGAAGTCAAGAATTGGGGTTTGGGAACTTCCACCTAGATTTCAGAAAATGTATGGAAACTCCTGGATGCCCAGGCAGAAGTTTGCTCCTGGGGTGGGGTCCTCATGAAGAAACTCTGGTAGGGCAGTGCAGAAGGAAAACGTGGGGTGGGAGCCCCCATACAGAGTCCCTCCTGGGGCACTGCCTAGGGAGCCGTGAGAAGAGGGCCACTGTCCTCCAGACCCCAGAATCGTAGATCCACTGACAGCTTGCGCCATGTACCTGGAAAAGCCACAGACACTCAACGCCATCCCGTGAAGGCAACTGGGAGAGAGGCTGTACCCTGCAAAGCCACAGGGGTGAAACTGCCCAAGACTAGGGGAACCTACCTCTTGCATCAGCATGACCTGGATGTGAGGCACGGAATCAAGGGAGATCACTTTGGAGCTTTAAGATTTGACTGCCCCACTGGATTTCAAACTTGCATGGGCCCTGTAGCCCCTTAGTTTTGGCCAATTTCTCCCATTTGGAATGGCTGTATTTACCCAATGTGTGTACCCGTATTGTATCTAGGAAGTAACTAGCTTGCTTTACATTTTACAGACTCATAGGTGGACAGGATTTGTCTTGTCTAATGAGACTTTGGACTGTGGACTTTTGAGTTAATGCTGAAATGAGTTGAGACTTGGGGGACTGTTGGGAAGGCATGATTGGTTTTGAAATATGAAGATATGAGATTTGGGAAGGGGCAGGGATGGAATAGTATGGTTTGGCTCTGTGTCCCCACCCAAGTCTCATCTTGGAGATTCCATAATCCCCACATGTTGTGGGAGGGACCAGGTGGGAGTTGATTAAATCATGGGGTGGGTTTTTCCTGTGCTGTTCTCATGATAGTGAATGGTCTTATGAGACCTGATGGTTTTAAAAACGGGAGTTTCTCTGCACAGGCTCTCTCTTTTTTTTTTGCCTGCTGCCATCCACATAAGATGTGACTTGCTCCTCCTTGCCTTCTGCCATGATTGTGAGGCCTCCCCAGCCATGTGGAACGGTAAGTCTAATAAACCTCTTTCTTTTGTAAATTGCCCAGTTTCGGGTATGTCTTTATCAGCAGTGTGAAAAAAGACTAATACAGGCAGTATGTCATTTTAACAATATTGATTTTTCCAAATCATGACCAAGGGTTGGAAGCATGGTATGTTTTTCTGTTTGTGTCATCTATGACTTTTTATAACAGTAATTTGTTGTTTCCTTATAGGGATTTTTTACCTCCTTGATTAAATATATGCCTGGTATTTTATTTTATTTTTTATAGCATTGTAAGTGGAATTGCCTTCTTGATTTGGTCCTCAGCTAGATTATTATTGCTGTATAGAAACAGTACTGATTTTTGTATGTTAATTTTTTATCCTGAAACTACTGAATTCATTTATCAAATCTAAGAGTTTTTTGGTGGACTCTGTAGGGTTTTCTGGATATAAGATAATATCATTAGCAAACAGGGACAATTTAACTTCCTCTTTTCTAATTTGGATGCCCTTTATTTTTTTGCTCTTGCTTGATTGTGCTGGTGAGGACTTCCAGTGCTATGTTAAATAAAAGTAGTGAAAGTAGGCATACTTGTCTCATTCCAGTTCTTAGAGGGAATGCTTTCAAACTTTTCCTGTTAAGTATGTTGTTGGCTATAGGTTTGTCATATGTTGCCTTTATTATGTTGAAGTATGTTTTGTTCTATGCCTAGTTTGTTGAGGATTTTTATGATGAAAGGGCATTGAATTTTATCAATTGCTTTTTCCACTTTAATAGAGATGATCATATGGTTGTTGTTCTTAATTCTGTTTATGTAATGTATCACATTTATTGATTTGGGAATGTTGAACCATCTTTGCATTCCTGGTATAAATCACTCTTGATCATGGTGTATTATCTTTTTGATATGCCGTTGTATTCAACTTGCTTGTATTTTGTTGAAGATTTTTGAATCTATATTAATCAGGGATATGGGTCTGTACTTTTCTTTTTTTGTTGTGTCCTTGTCTGCTTTTGGTATCAGGGTGATCCTGGCCTTATGGAATGAGTGAGGGAGAATTCCCTTCTCTTCAATTTTTTGGCATAGTTTTGGGAGAATTCATCTTTGTTTTTCTTTGTATGTTTGGTAGAATTTGGCTGCAAATTTATCTGGTCCTGGGATTTCTTTTGGCAGTTTTTTAAAATGACTTTGAAATGCCACTTAATGTTTTTCTGGCCTGTAAGGTTTCTTCAGAAAAGTCCACTGTTAGTCTGATGAGAGTTGTTTTTTTTTTTTTTTTAATAGATGACTAGGTGCTCTTCTCTAGTCAGTTTAAAAATTCTTTGTTTCACTTTGACTTTAGACATTCTTAATATAATATGCTATGGGAAGTCCTTTTTGTAATGTATTTGCCTAGGGATGGCTGGACCTTCTCTATTTGGATGTCAACTTTCTTGATAGACTTGGAAATTTTTCACTGATTATTTTCTAAAGTAGGTTTTCTAAATTTGATCTCTCTGCTCCCTTGGGAATAATGATAATACATAAGTTTGGTCACTTTGTGTAGTCCCAGATGTCTCAAAGCCTTTTTTAATTCTTTTATTTAGTTTTTTCCTTATTTTTGTCTGACTGGAATATTTCAAAAGACCTGTTTTCAAATTTACAAGAAAAAAACAAACAACCCCATTAAAAAGTGGGCAAAGGACATGAACAGACACTTCTCAAGAGATGACATTCATGTGGCCAACAAATATATTTTAAAAAGCTCAACATCACTGATGATTAGAGAAATGCAAATCAAACCCACAATGAGATACCATCTCATGCCAGTCAGAATGGTGATTATTAAAAAGTCAAGAAAGCGCAGATGCTGGTGAGGCTGTGGAGAAAAAGGAACACTTTTTCACTGTTGGTGGGAATGTAAGTTATTGTGGAAGATCTAGAAGCAGAAATAACATTTGATCCAGCAATCCCAATACTGGATATATACCCAAAGGAATATAAATCATTCTATTATAAAGATAAATGCATGCATGTGCTCATTGCAGCACTATTCACAATGCAAATATATGGAATCAACCCACATGCTCATCAATAATAGACTAAACAAAGAAAATGTGGCACATATACACCATGGAATACTATGCAGCCATAAAAAAGAAATGAGATCATGTCCTCTGCAGGGATATGGCTGGAAGCCATTATCCTCAGCAAACTAATACAGGAACAGAAAATCAAATACCACATGTTCTCACTTATAAGTGGGAGCTGAATGATAACAACACATGGACACATGGGGAGGAACAACACACACTGAGGCCTCTCAGAGGGTAAGGGGTGGGAGGAGAGAGCATCAGGAAGAATAGCTAATGGATGCTGGGCTTAATACCTAGGTTATAGGTTGATCTGTGCAGCAAACCACCATGGCACACATTTACCTATGTAACAGACTGCACATCCTGCATTGGTACCCTGGAACGTAAAATAAAAATTGAAGGAAAGAAAAAGATTTGTTTTCAAGTTCTGAGATTTTTTTCTTCTGCTTGATCTAGTCTATTATTGAAGCTTTCAAATGTATTTTGTATTTTCTTCAATGAATTTTTTACATCCACAATATCTGCATTTTTTTAAAAGATATCTATTTCCTTGGTAAATTTCTCATCCATATTCTGAACTTTTTTGTACTGTTTTTCATATTTCTCTTGCACCTCATTGAGCTTTGTTAAAATCAATATTTTGGTTTATTTATCTGGCATTTTGAGGCATTCTTTTTTATTTGGATCTGCTGCCATGCAATTGTTGTGTGGTGTCAAAAATCCCTACTTTTTCATGTTTCCTACGTCCTTCCATTGATATCTGTGCATCTGGTATAGCAGTCACCTTTTCATTTTTTTGTTCACATTAATAAAAAATTTACTTTCTATATAATTGTTACAGATTTCAATAATTTTATTCTTTTCACTCCCTCTTCTTGCTCTAAATGCCATTTTAAATTATTAACTATGTATTGAAGTCAGCTCCATTGTATGCCCCTTGTAGTTCCAAAGATTTCTTTTTCTTTCTTTTTTTTTCACTTATACTTTAAGTTCTAGGGTACATGTGCACAATGTGCAGGTTTGTTACATATGTACACATATGCCATGCTGGTGTGCTGCACCCATTAACTCGTCATTTACTTTAGGTATATCTCCTAATGTTATCCCTCCCCCTCCCCCCACCCCACGGCAGGCCCCGGTGTTTGAAGTGCCCCTTCCTGTGTCCAAGTGTTCTCATTGTTCAGTTCCCACCTATGAGTGAGAATGTGCGGTGTTTGGTTTTCTCTCCTTGTGATAGGTTGCTGAGAATGATGGTTTCCAGCTTCATCCATGTCCCTACAAAGGACATGACCTCATCATTTTTTATGGCTGCATAGTATTCCATGGTGTATATGTGCCACATTTTCTTAATCCAGTCTATCATTGTTGGACATTTGGGTTGGTTCCAAGTCCTTGCTATTGTGAATAGTGTCACGATAAACATACATGTGCATGTGTCTTTATAGCAGCATGATTTATAATCCTTTGGGTATATACCCAGTAATGGGATGGCTGGGTCAAATGGTATTTCTAGTTTTAGATCCTTGAGGAATCGCCACACTGATTTCCACAATGGTTGAACTAGTTTACAGTCCCACCAACAGTGTAAAAGTGTTCCTATTTCTCTACATCCTCTCCAGCACCTGTTGTTTCCTGACTTTTTAATGATTGCCATTCTAACTGATGTGAGATGGTATCTCACTGTGGTTTTGATTTTCATTTCTCTGATGGCCAGTGATGATGAGCATTTTTTCATGTGTCTGTTGGCTGCATAAATGTCTTCTTTTGAGAAGTGTCTGTTTATATCCTTCACCCACTTTTTGATGGGGTTGTTTGTTTTTTTCTTGTAAGTTTGTTTGAGTTCTTTGTAGATTGTGGATATTAGCCCTTTGTCAGATGGGTAGATTGCAAAAATTTTCTCCCATTCTGTAGGTTGCCTGTTCACTCTCATGATAGTTTCTTTTGCTGTGCAGAAGCTCTTTAGTTTAATTAGATCCCATTTGTCAATATTGGCTTTTGTTGCCATTGCTTTTGGTGTTTTAGACATGAAGTCTTTGCCCATGCCTATGTCCTGAATGGTATTGCCTAGGTTTTCTTCTAGGGTTTTTATGGTTTTAGGTCTAACATTTAAGTCTTTAATCCATCTTGAATTAATTTTTGTATAAGGAGTAAGGAAGGGATCCAGTTTCAGCTTTCTACATATGGCTAGCCAGTTTTCCCAACACCATTTATTAAATAGGGAATCCTTTCCCCATTTCTTGTTTTTGTCATGTTTGTCAAAGATCAGATGGTTGTAGATGTGTGGTATTAAAATCTAGAAGAAACGAATAAATTCCTGGACACATACACCCTCCCAAGACTAAACCAGGAAGAAGTTGAATCCCTGAATAGACCAATAACAGGCTCTGAAATTGAGGCAATAATTAATAGCCTACCAACCAAAAAAAGTCCAGGACCAGATGGATTTACACCCAAATTCTACCAGAGGTACAAGGAGGAGCTGGTACCATTCCTTCTGAAACTATTCCAATCAATACAAACAGAGGGAATCATCCCTAACTCATTTTGTGAGACCAACATCATCCTGATACCAAAGCCTGGCAGAGACACAACAAAAAAAGAGAATTTTAGACCAATATCCTTGATGAGCACTGATGCAAAAATCCTTAATAAAATACTGGAAAACCGAATCCAGCAGCACATCAAAAAGCTTATCCACCATGATCAAGTGGGCTTCATCCCTGTGATGCAAGGCTTGTTCAACATATGCAAATCAATAAATGTAATCCAGCAGATAAACAGAACCAAAGAAAAAAACCACATGATTATTTCAATAGATGCAGAAAAGGCCTTTGACAAAATCCAACAACCCTTCATGCTAAAAACTCTCAATAAACTAGGTATTGATGGAACGTATCTCAAAATAATAAGAGCTATTTATGACAAACCCACAGCCAATATCATACTGAATGGGCAAAATTGGAAGCATTCCCTTTGAAAACTGGCACAAGACTGGGATGCCCTCTCTCACCACTTGTATTTAACATAGTGTTGGAATTTCTGGCCAGGGAAATCAGGCAGGAGAAAGAAATAAAGTGTATTCAATTAGGAAAAGAGGAAGTCAGATTGTCCGTTTGCAGATGACATGATTGTATATTTAGAAAACCCCATCGTCTTAGCCCCAAATCTCCTTAAGCTGAGGAGCAACTTCAGCAAATCTTAGGATACAAAATTGATGTGCAAAAATCACAAGCATTCTTATACACCAGTAACAGAAAAACAGAGAGCCAAATCATGAGTGAACTCCCATTCACAATTGCTTCAAAGGGAATAAAATACCTAGGAATCCAACGTACAAGGGATGCGAAGGACCTCTTCAAGGAGAACTACAAACCACTGCTCAATGAAATAAAAGAGGACACAAACAAATGGAAGAACATTCCATGCTCATGGATAGGAAGAATCAATATCGTGAAAATGGCCATACTGCCCAAGGTAATTTATAGATTCTGTGCTGTCCCCATCAAGCTACCATTGACTTTCTTCACAGAATTGGAAAAAACTACTTTAAAGTTCATATGGAACCAAAAAAGAGCCCGCATTGCCAAGACAATCCTAAGCCAAAAGAACAAAGCTGGAGGCATCACGCTACCTGACTTCAAACTATACTACAAGTCTGCAGTAACCAAAACAGCATGATACTGGTACCACAACAGAGATATAGACCAATGGAACAGAACAGAGCCCAAAGATTTCTTAAGTGACGTCCAGGTCAACACTACTTACACCAGTACTGCAGCTTCAGATGCATGAAACTCCAGCTACAAAATAGGATGAAGTATCCTTTAAAGAGCACTGTGATACCACTGACTCTACTCTTCTTTATGGTGGTATTGCACTTAGTCCAGCCTTTTTGTACAGCTCCCAAGAGCTTCATTAGAGAGAATTTGGAGATTGTAAGTCTGATTGGGGGTTTCAAACTTCTTATATCAGTCGAATTTCTTTCCAACGAAGGAACTTGTGAAAGTCTTCCCTTCTGGGAACGGATAAGCTGTGGTTTCTGGGCCATTGCATTCTAACACTGAGGCTTTCCTGGGAACACCCCTAGTCCAAGATAAGCAGGAAACAACTCCAGCCCCATGGAGCTGAAAGGTCCTTTCTGCCAGCAGTTGTAGCATGATTGGTGAAGGGGCTCTGAGAAGTGTGATCCTGGGGTGAACATAAAGGGCCCTGTCACTAAATGTGCAATGCTTGGAACTGAAGCCAGATATGGGCTCCAGAGAGACTTGTTCTTTACTCTCCACTAATGCCTTTACATCTGAGACTCAGTTATGACTGCAGTCTTTTACTTTCTCTTCTTGAATAAATTTTCTAGACAGAGAGGCAAGACTTTGGCTGCTTGGTTGCATTACAGAAAGAAATTCATTGTAAGTTATCGCCCTTGGAATGAACAAGCTTAAACGGAGTCTTCATCTTGAGATTTCTTCTCTGTGGCTGAATCATCAGTGTTGAAGTCCTATGAGCCATGCTCATGGCAGGCCATTCCTGCTTTTCTGTCCCAGACACACTTTTCTCCTGCATTTTCTCTACTCTGAGGCTAAGTCCTTATTCTTGGTTCCCCAAGACTCAGATTTTGCCTAAATAGCTATTTTTAAGGCTTAATTAGTATTCTGTGTTCTTTCCCAAGTCTCAGTGTCTCCAATATCAGTGGAGACTCTTGAGGGGTGATCCCTACCTTTGGGATCTCTCTCATTGCTTGACAATGAGATTGTTACTGTTTTAACTCCATCAATGAGATTCTTTGAACTGTAATAATCACCAGGAGGCACATCTACTACTTTTACTAGATGCTGTTGTTTTTGGGGATCATTTTTTTTCAATTTCAGATCAGCAGAAACTGTTTGCACATCATTAAGTATGGCTGAGAAATATTTTCCATCTTGTTTTGACAAAGAAGTTTCCATTGAGCTAACCAGCAAAGGTGCTTCAGTTTCTGAAGGATTACATCTCCTTTCCCCTGATTTAGGCAAATCTTTGTTAAGTTCTAGTTTAGGAACAATGTTCTCTGATGCATAAAATGGAGACTTTGTTTCTCCTTGGAAAGTAGTCTTTGGCTCAGTACTTTTTAACATTTTGAAGGAATTTGATTGTTGATGTCTTTATCTGCTTTTGTAGTACTTGCTCTTTCCAAACCAAGGCTAGTAGTGGAAAGGACTTAATTGTGCATTCTGGTTTGCCCCTTATCAATTTAACATAACTTACCTCACTCACTCTCCATTTCTAACTCTCTCTTTGTAGCTTTAATTAAATTTTTGGTTGCCTCCACCTTTTTTTTAGCTTGTGGGAGTACAGCTTGCTTGGGCTTTTTGATTAGCAGGTATAGTTGGTGTTGTCATCTTACAATATGGCAAATGGAATTTTAATCATATAAATGGCTTCATACAATAAAGACAGCCTTCTCTTTTGGATGGAATATCACTCATCCTCTTCTGGTGCTCCTTTAGGGGGATACTAATTTTGCAGTTGTTTCTCCGAGATCCCCATGTTTCCTAATCACCATTCCCGGGTTTGGCAGAGTTTGGCAGTTTTCATGTCAGCCTTGGAAGAGCTGAAAGCCCAGGAAACCCCCATCATGACCCCCACAGGGAAGCCCCTTTCCAATTTTTTGAAAAATTATTTTCATAGGGGAAAATTTTTTCCTGAAGATGTGTGTATATTGTTGGTTGAGCAGGATATTTTAGCTTTGATTTTGGGTGCCTGCGATAGTGTGATCTTTGCATTGGCTTCTTCAACAGTACATAGGGTCAGTGATATCTGTGATTTTCCTGATGGATTGGGGTACATTTCTTATTACAGTTATTAGTCGATGTAGTAGTGAAGTTTTGCTGGGGACTTGGATGTCTACCCGAGCAGGCCCCATGGTGGCAGCAGTGGGGCAATGTGCCTTTTTTTTTTTTTTTTTTTTGGACTCAGAACAGCTTACACTGGCTCTGGTCTTTGTGGGTCCTGAAGGGCTGATTCTTGGACATTCCGGTGGTTTTCTTAGAAGCTATTAGTGGCAGCAGTGGGCCAGGAGTGTGGGTGGGTTCTCAGGTCCCTGGGCTGTTGGTGTTGTGTGGGTGATGGCAGTAGCAGTGGTGGAGCAACCTACTGGGACTTAAACAGTCTGTGTTGGTGTTCCTGGAAGCAGCAATGCGTTCAGCAGACTAGTCCCCAGTCTCACAGCTGCATGTAGCAGGGCAGTGGGTATTGTCCTTAGGAGAGCTTGGTTTCCCTGTCCCTCCTACTGCTGGGTGGTGGCTGCAACCACATCACCTCAAATTTGGCCCGAAAGTAGGGCAAAACTCAGTGTTAAACTCTCAGAATGGTGCCAGCTGTGGGCTGGTGACCAGAATGGGTAGGCCCTCCCACCTCAGGTGAACAGCATGGGGAAGAAGCTATGGAGAGTGTAGTCCACTCAAGTCTCAGTCTCACAGGAGCCTGTGGCAAGGCAGTGGATGTTGTTCTAGGTATGTGTAAGAGAGCTTTGTTTCCTTGTCCCTCCTTGGCTAGGCAGTGGAGGCTGGCTAACCACATCAACTTGAACTTGGCCCAAGGGTGGGGCCTAGCTTAGCATTAAACTCTTAAAATGATACCTTGGGCTTGAGACCAGAGAAGGTGGCGCCCCTCCCAGGCAGGCAGTGTGGTCAGGAAGCTGTGGAGAGTGCTAGCCACTCACATCTCAGTCTTAATAGCAGCCTGCATCTGGGCAGTAGAGACCTTCCCAGAGGTGCAAGGGAGAGCCTAGTCTCCCATTTCCCTGCTTGGAGCTGCACAGTGGCAGCAGCCACGTCTGTATGTCCCCTGTAGCTAAGGTCTCAAAATGGCACCTTGCTGAGGCTGCTCTAGGCCTGGATGTTTGTGAGATTTCATGTGGGTTTTCTTTCTAGAGCAATGTCTCTGTGAAATCTTTAGGCAGCTCTGTACATCAGGCTCAAGGGCCTAGTGGGTCAAGGGTCTCCCCTATAGTCAAGGTCATAAAAGCTAAGCCCTGGGGGTTTCTCTTTTCCTGTTTCCCTGTGTTTAGAAGCCTCTCCCAGTTCTTAGTCAGTCCCTGGCTGGGCAAGATGCTTCAGATCCTCTATTTACTTACTTCTGGTGCTTCCCATCTCTCTCTCTGAATCCCAGCATGCTCTCTTAGACCATCTCTTCAAAAGGTGAGTATCTACTTACTATTCTGGTTCCTCTTTGTGGAAGAGGCACATACTACCTACATCTAGTCAGCCATCTTCTCTCAATTTCATCAAATCTGGTCAGCCATCTTCCCTCAATTTTTTCTTCTATAAAATGAGAGTTGAATTGGATGACCTCTAAGGTTCCTTGTGACCCTTTACAGTAAACTTGCATTGCTCATCATGACACAAAACAAGGATGTTGAGTTGGGTTTTAATTACCCACAAGCTCAAGACAGGGCTGTCCATCAGATGAAGCATAGGCCAATAGGAATTGCCTAGTCGTTTAATCATTGTTCGATTTAACACTATGTTTAGGAAATATATTTTGTTGACTATGGGATACTCAATATTGTTTCCTTATTCTAGTTCTTTAAGAAAAATGATGTTTTTTTTTTAAAACTTTGAAATTGGATTTTATTGTACATTTACATATACTTTTAAGAAATAATACAGAGAGATCCTGTGTACTCTTACTCTTACAATATTGTGATATTGTACTATAGTTTTACAAGATGTAACCATTGGGCAACATTGGGAGATTTATATTGATACAGTCATGATACAGAACATTTCCATCACCACAAGGGTCCCTCATGTTTCCCTTTTATACCCACACCGAATTTCTTCCTGCTTCCCACCCCTTCCTTAATCCCTAATAACCCTAATATGCTCTCCACTTCTATAATACTATCATTCAAGAATGTTATATAAATGGTACCATACAGTATGTATGAGTTTCTCTGCATCCTCACCAGCATTTGGTTTTGTCACTATTTTTAATTTTAATCATTCTGATAGGTGTGCAGTTGTATCTCATAGTTTTAATTTGCCATGTCACTAATAACTAGTGATATTGAATATCTTTTTATGTGCTCCTTTGCCATCTGTGTATCCTCTTTGGTGAAATGTTGTTTCATGCCCATTTTGCCCATTTTCTGTTTGTTTTGTTTTGTTTTGTTTTTTTGAGACAGAGTCTCGCTCTGTCATCCAGGCTGGAGTGCAACCTCTGCCCCTCGGGTTCAAGCAATTCTTTAGCCTTGGCATCCCCAGTAGCTGGGATTACAGTTGCCCGCCATCACGCCCAGCTAATTTTTTTTGTATTTTTAGTGGTGACGGGGTTTCACCATGCTGGCCTGGCTGGTCTCAAACTCCTGACCTAAGTGGTCTGCCTGCCTCAGCCTCCGAAAGTGCTGGGATTACAGGTGTGATGCCTGGCCCTTTTGCCCATTTTCTAATAGATTTTTTAAAAGTGCTGAGCTTTTAAGAGTTCTTTCTATATTTAATATATCATCATTTTTTGGATATGTGGTTTGCAAATATTTTCTCACAGTCTATAGTTTGTGTTTTCATCTTAGAAACAGAATCTTTCAAAGAGCAACATTAAAAAAACTCAGAGTACAAGAATGTATTACATAATGTACGTTAATTCTGGTATGCTTTATAATTACTTATGATATGGTACATATGTTTTTTTTCCTCCAACTTTTATTTAGTTTTTGGGGTACATGTTCAGGTTTGTTACATGGGTAAATTGTGTGTCTCTTGGGTTTGCTATACAAATTATTTCATCACCCAGGTAGTGAGCATAGTACTTGATACATAGTATTTTTTTTTTCCCCCGCATTCTCACTCTCCTCCCATCCTCCACTCTCAAGTAGGCTCCAATGTTTATTGTTCCCTTCTTTGTGTACATGTGCACTCAATGTGTAGCTTCCATTTGTAGGTAAGAACATGTGGTATTTGGTTTTCTGTTCCTGCATTAATTTGTTTAGGATAATGGCCCCAAGCAGCATCCATGTTGCTGCAAAAAACATGATTTCATTCTTTTTTTTTATGGTTGTGTAGTGTTTTATGGTGTATATATGCCATATTTTCTTTATCCAGGCCACCATTGCTGAGCATCTAGGTTGATTCCATGTCTTTGCCATTGTGTGAATAGTGTTGTGATGAACATACAAGTGTATGTGTCTTTATGGTAGAACTTCTTTACTTATATATTGCTCTCCACAGTGACTGAAGTATATTATATACTTCTGATATATATATTATATATACCTCTGCTATATATATTATATACTTCTGTTATATATATTATATACTTCTGTTATATATATATATTATATATACTATATATAATGAAGTATATTATATACTTCTTTACTTATATATTGCTCTCCACAGTGACTGAACTAGTTTACATTCTCACCAGCATCATATAAGCATTCCCTTTTCTCTGCAACCCTGCTAGCATCTGTTGTTTTTTGACTTTTTAATAATGACCACTCTGACTAGTGAGAGATGGTGTCTCACTGTGCTTTTGATTTGCATTTCTCTAATGATTAGTGATGTTGAACATTTTTTCATATGCCTGTTTGCTGTGTGTATGACTTCCTTTGAGAACTTTCCAGTACATGTACTTTGTCCATTTTTTAATGGGTTTTTTTTTTTACTTATTAATTTGTTCTGGGTACTTGACATTTGTTGGATGCATAGTTTGCAAAATGTTTCTCCCATTTTGTATGCTGTCAAAGAGAGAAAGTTTTTAATTTGGTTGAAGTCCAGTTTGTCATTTTTTTCCTTTTATCGATTATGCTTTTGGTGTCAAATCTTAGAACCTTTTTGCTTAACCCTAGATCCTGATTTTCTACTATGGTTTTTTTTCTAAAAGTTTTACTATTTTATACTTTATTTTAATGTATATAACTCATTTTTAGTTAATTTTTATATAAAGTGTGAGATTTAGGTTGAAGTTCATTTTATTGCCTATGGGTGTCCAGTTGCTCCAACAGTTTGTTGAAAAGTCTATCTTTCGTCCATGAATTGCTTTTGTACTTCTGTCAAAAATCATTTGGGCATATTTATATGGTTCTATTTCTGTGTTCTCTGTTCTATTCCATTGGTGTATGTGTCTGTAGACCAATATCACTTAGTCTTGACTACTGTTGTTATATAGATAGTCCTGAAATTAGGTATATTGATTATTCTTCATTCTTCTTTTAAAAAATTGTTTTAGCTATTCTAGTTCTTTGATTATTCATATACATAGTAAAATAATCTTGTATAAATATAAAAGCAAACCTACTGAGATTCTGATAAGAATTGCATTAAACCTATGCATCAATTTGGGGAGAATTAACATCTTTAATATATTGAGTATTTCAATTCATGAACATGATAGTTTTTATTTTTTTATTTTTGGTCCTATCTTTGGTTTTGGCCTAAGCGTAATATTATCTTCATAAAACGTATTGGAAAATGTTTCTTCCCTTTCTATTTTCTACAAAAGATTGTGTAGAATTTGTGTTATTATTCTTCAAATATTTAGTGAAATTTTCCAGTGAAACCACCTAGGCCTGCAGATTTCTTTTTTTTTTTTAGTTAAAAATTCAATTATTTTAGTAGTGATATGGATTTTCAAATTATGTATTTCATATTGGGTGAGTTACGGTGATTTGGGTTTGTTGGGGAAATGGTTCATTACATCTAAGTTGTCAAATTTATGTTTGTAGAGTTGTTCATAGTATTTCTTTATTATCCTTTTCGTGGCTGTAGGGTCTATAGTAAAACCTCCTGTTTTATTCCTGATATTGGTGATTTGTGTCTTCTCTCTCTCTCTTTCTTTAGAGACAGAGTCTCACTCTGTTACCCAGGCTGGAGTGAGGTGTTGTGATTATAGATCACTGCAGCCTCAAACTGCTCAAGTAATCAAGGGGCTCAAGTGATCCTCCCACCTCAGCCTCCTGAGTAGCTGGGACTATAGGCACATACCACCATGCTGGGCTAAGTTTGTTTTTTATTTTTGGTAATCTAAGATGGGGGTCTTGCTATGTTGCTCAAGCTGGTCTCAAACTCCTTGCCTCAAGCAATCCTCCTGCCTCAACCTCCTGAAAGCACTAGGATTACAAGAATGAACCACTACCCCAACCTGTATTTTGTTGTTGTTTTAAAATCCATTCATCCACTGTTTTTTTAATTAGTGATATGGGATAGGGGGCAGGGAAATGCTAGGAGAAGGGTGGGGTCCCTGGCCAGCACTCCGCCCCGGGTCTGTGCCCACGGACCTAGGTAAGGACAGGCATTTCTGTTTTCGTGCCCAAATGTTGAATTTTCCAAGACCACCCTGGTCTGCTATGCCTCCATCCTGTTCCTGTAAAAACCCTGAGACCCTAGTGGGCAGAGATGCAAGTGGCTGGACATTGAGAGGATCACACTGGTGGAACACACAAATGGTTGGACGTTGAGAAGATCACATTGGCTGAAGAGCACGCCGACAGGCACCAACAGATGCTGGCAGGCCATCAACCGGCGCAACAATGCGGACCTGAGGGGAATTTGGCTGGAGCGGTTGGAGAGTCTGGCCGCTGGGCACACCGACTCCAGGGGAAAACCACCTTCCCACTCCATTCCCCTTCTGGCCTCCCCATCCACCTCGCTGAGAGCTACCACCACTCAATAAAAAACCTTGCAGTCATTCTCCAAGCCCATGTGTGATCCGATTTTTCAGGTACACTAAGGCAAGAACCCGGGATACAGAAAGCCCTCTGTCCTTGCGATGAGGCAATTTGCGCTGATTAACACAAGCCGCCTTTGAAAGGCTACACTGAAAGAGCACACTGTAACACATGCCCACTGGGGCCTCAGGAGCTGTAAACATTCACCCCTAGACGCTGCCATAGGTCAGAGCCCACATTCCCCATGACCTGCCCATCTTCCTGCTCCCCCTAGGGGTTTTGAGCAGCAAGTCATGAAGAAGCGAGCCACACCCCCATCACACGCCCTGTGTGGGGAACAAGGGAACTTTTCCTATTTCAACAGGACTTAAATTTACCCTATATTTTTTGTTTTATGTTTGTTCTCTTAGCTGTTTTCTTCTTCTTGTCTTCTAGTGGGTTGCTTGAACAATTTTTAGTATTCCATTTTGTTTTATTTATAGTGTTTTTGAGTGTATCTCTTTGCATAGTTTTTTTAAAAAAGTTTGCTTTAGGTGTTGCATCATATATAGTTTATCACAATCTACTGGCATCATTATTTTACCAGTTTGCATAAAGTATATAAATGCTACCTCCATCCCTTTCCTCTCCTTTGTTTATAATTGTCATATTTACTCTACATATACATTTAGAACCACATAATAGAGTCTTATAATTTTTGTTTCAATGTTCTATCATAATTTAGAAAACTCAAGAGGCAAAGGAAAGCCCATTTTATTCGCCCATATTTCTGTTGCTACATCCTTTTTTCGTTTCTGATGTTCCAAGCTTCCTTCTTTTAACATTTGTGTTTAGAGAGCTTTTTTAAAGCTATTATTTTAGGGTAGGTCTACTTTTGAAAAACTATCATAATTTTCCTTTATCTGAGAATGTACTGCTTTCTCCTTAATTCCTGAAGGATAATTTCATTGGGTGTAAAGTTCTGGGTTGACAATTCTTTTCACTTGAAAGATACTGTGCTACTTCTTTCTGGCCTCCATGGTTTTTCCAGGGAGAAACTCACTGTTATTCAAATTGCTTTCCCCTACATATAAGGTGTCATGGCTGCTTTCAACACTTTGTCTTTAGTTTTCATAATTTTAATTATGGTATGTCTTCCTGTGTATTATTTTATTATCTTGTTTGGGGTTCAGTCAGCTTCACGAATTTGTAGTTTTGTGTTTCTTGCTAAATGTGGGAAGTTTTCAGCCATTAGTTCTTTAAGTACTTTTTCATCCCTGCCCTCATTTTTCTCTCCTTCCAGGGCTTCAATGGCACAAATATTACATTTAAAAAATACTTCCAAAGGTTCCTGAAGCATGTTCACTTTTTTCAAGTCTTTTTTCCTCTGTGTTGTTCAGATTGAGTAATTTGCATTGTTTGCTCTTTCTGTTCATCATTTCTTTCCTCTATTTCCTCCATTCTGCTGTTGAACTTATTCACTGAGCCTTTTAAAATTTCAGTTACTATTATCTCTCAGTTCTAAATTTCAGTTTGGTTCTTTATATCTTTCATTTATTTGTTGAGACATTCTTTTTCTTTGCTAAAGCTTTTTTTTTTCATTTTTTCAAGCCTGTTTGTAATTACTCATTGAAATATGTTTATAATGGCTGCTTTAAAATCTTTGTTAGGTAATTCTAGCACCTCTATCATCTGTTGTTGGCATCTATTACTTTTTTTCACTCAGTAGAGACCTTCTGGTTGTTAGTGTGACGTGTGATTTTTATGTTTGTTCTCTGGACATTGAAATCTGGACATTTTCATATTATGTTATGAGACTCTAAATCTTATTTAAACCTTCCCTTTTGATTGCACTTCTCTGACACCACTCTAGTAGTGGAAGGAGGGAGGTGCCACCTTGTTAATATCAGGTGGAATGGAAGTCTAGGTTCTCCAATTGGCCTTGCTGACACTTGAATGGGAGGGACTCCTTATTACTGCTGGGTGAGGGTGGGAATTCTGGCTCCCCACATGGTCTCCATTGACACGGTGGTGGGGGTGGCCTCATTATTGCTGGGTGATGGTGAAAGTCTTGATTCTTTAGTAGGCCTCCTCTAACACTACCTCAGTGGGGTGAGGAGGGTGCCTCATTACTGCTTGATGGGGGTAGAAGTTCTGGCTCCTTGTGTGGTTTTTACTCACACTGCAGGGAGGAGGAGATCATGTTATTGGCCAGTTGGATGAATGTCCTCACTCCCTACTTGGCTTTCTTTGATACCACTCTGGTGAGGGGGTTGGAGCATCTCATTACTGTCTCATGAGGGTGGAAGTGTAGGCTCCCCACGTGGCCTTCATTGGCATGGATGGGAGTGGAGCAACAGCTTTTTCCTTGGGGTTAGGCTGGAATAGAGCACTTCTTGTCTAAAAATTTTCTGTCTGACTAGGCCACCGTTTTCCTGGCCTTCAGCTAGAGAGAACAAGCTTTCGTTCAGGCTATTTTGCCCATGCATGTTGGTGTTTTCATGTTTCTGGCTTCTTCAGCTGCAGGTCTCAGATATATTAGGCAAAAATGAATTCCAAGCAACACATGACCATGTTGTTCTTTGGGTTTTGATGTTCCTAGCAAGCAATCTTCTCTCCACCTTTCAGAGTCTTCCTGTGTTTGCCTTACATATTATGTCCAGGGTTTTTAGTTTTACCTAATAGGTGGAATAAAGAAAAGTACATTTATTTCATCTTCCTGGAATAATGTGTCTTATAGAAAAGATCTTTTATTTGCTGCTGAGGTTAGGAGTTTTAGTGGATGAGAATGGGGTAGTTGAGGGGAGGAGGAAGAGAAAGGAGAGGAAAGAAAAACAGGTTCTACCACTCCTAAAAATCTCTATGAGTCCTGATTGAATATTTGTTCATTCATTCATCATTCAGCAAACATTTATAATTCAACACTGCATGCCTACGAGTGTAATTGGTGCTAGGAACACAAGGATAAGTAAGATTAATTTTTGCTTATTAGGAGTTTGAAATCTAGTCTTGTAGAGGCTAACACCCAAATAAGCAAATTATTACATGTTGTAATAAGTGAACTGTGTCCTGAAGTATGAGTAGAAGTTCTCTAGGTTAGCTAAAAAAAAGATGATTTAGACAAAAGAAATGGCTTGTTTGAAGGCACGGAAGCATAACATTTTTTTGGATTTAAAGAATGGCATGCATTGGTGTGAAAAGAGTAAGGGGTTCTTATGAATGAATGGTGGGAGATTAGACTGAAAATATTGGTTAGGACCAGATTGTTGAAGTCTTTAATATATTGTCATGCTAAGGATGTTTTACACTTCTTTTTTTTTTTTGACAGGGTCTCACTCTGTTGCCCAGGCTGGGGTGCAGTGGCATGCTCTAGGCTCACTGCAGCATTGACCTCCCAGGCCCAGGTGATCTCTCCACCTCAGCCTCCCCAGTTGCTGGGACTACAAGCATGCGCCACCGTGCCTGGCTAATTTTTTGTATTTTTTGTAGAAATGGGGTTTTGCCATGTTGCTCAGGCTTGTCTTGAACTCCTGGGCTCAAGCAATCCACCCACCTTGGCCTCCCAAAGGGCTGGGATTACTGGTGTGAGCCACTGTGTCCGGCTGATATTTTACACTTTCTGCAGGCAATGGTGAATAATCTCTAAACTATTTTAGTGGATATTTAAAATAACGACTTTTGGGCACAACCTGAGACCTGTCCTCTCGCTTTCCTCCCTGGACAGCATGAGCTTCACCACTTGCTTCACCACCTTCTCCACCAACTACCAGTCCCTGGGCTCCATCCAATCACCCAGCCACAGCGTCCAGCCTGCCAGCAGTGTGGTTAGCCTCTATGCAGGCGTCAGGGGCTTGGGCTCCTGGATCTTTGTGTCCCCACCAGCTTCTGGGGACACTGGGGGTCTGGAGGCCTGGTCATAGGGATGGCCAGGGCTCTGGTGGGAATGCGGGGCATCCAGAACAAGGGGACCATTCAAAGCCTGAACAGCCACCAGGCCTCCTACCTGGACAGAGTGAGGAGCTAGGAGATTGAGAATCAGAGGCTGGAGAACAAAATTTGGGAAAACCTGGAGAAGAAAGGAACCAAGGTAAGAGACTGGGGGCATTACTTTAAGACTATTGAGGACCTGAAGGCTCAGATCTTTGCAAATTCTATGAACAATGGCCACATCATTCTGCAGATTGACAAAGCCCATCTTTCTGCTAATGACTTTAGAGTCAAATATGAGACAGAACTGGCCTTTCATCAGTCTGTGAATAGCAACATTCATGGGCTTCACAAAGTCGTCGATGACGCCAATGTCACTCAGCTGCAGCTGGAGGCAGAGATCAAGGCTCTCAAGGAGGAATTGCTCTTCATGAAGAACCATGAAGAGGAAGTAAAAGGCCTACAAGCCCAGATTGCCAGCTTTGGGTTGACTGTGAAGGTAGATGCCCCCAAATCTCAGGACCTTAGCAAGATCATGGCAGACATCTGGGCCTAGTACAACAAGCAGGATCTGAAGAACCTAGAGGAGCTGGACAAGTACTGGTCCCAGGAGATTGAGGAGAGCACCACAGTGGTCACCACACAGTCCACCAAGATCAGAGCTGCTGAGATGACCGTCATGGAGCTAAGATGTACAGTTCAGTCCTTGGAGATTGACTTGTACTTGATAAGAAATCTGAAGGCTTGCTTGGAGAACAGCCTGAGAGAAGTGGAGGCCTGCCACTCCATGCAGATGGAGCAGCTAAACTGGGTCCTGAGGCACTTGGAGTCAGAGCTGGCACAGACCTGGGCAGAAGGGCAGCCCCAGGCCCACAAGTACAGGCCCTGCCAAATATCAAGGTCAAGCTGGAGGCTGAGATTGCCAGCTGCCTGCTGGAATATGGGGAGGACTTCAATCTTGGTGATGCCCTGGACAGGAGCAATTCCATGCAAACCATCCAACAGACCACTGCCTGCAGGACAGTGGATGGCAAAGTGGTGTCTGAGACCAACAACACCAAAGTTCTGAGGCATTAAGCCAGCAGAAACAGGGTACTCTTTGGGGAGCAGTAGTCCATTAAAAAGTTTAGAGGTCCAAAAATAAAATTAAATAAAATAATGACTTTTTAATGTTTGTATTTATGTCTATGCATATCTTTTAATATCCTTTTACATGTGTTGGATGTAAGACTTGCCACTCTGCCTTCATCTATCTTTTCCTTTCTACCTAGTCCTGTATGACATCTGTGGCTAGAAATAGGGGAGAGAGATGTTTGGCTAAACATCTAGAGTTACTAGATAGAAATGTGTAAATCTACCAGATGCACAAGTGGAGCTCAGGATGAAGCTACTGTTTCAAATCTGCTCTCACAGACAGTTCTGTTGTCACTAGTTGTGAGTGCATGTCTTTAAACGTAGTAGCATCTAGTTAATCCTAATAGTCACCTCACAGTTCCTTCATCCCCTTACAGTCATTTCAGCCTACTTATCAACAATAGCTTTTCATAGAATCTACTAGAATTATACACTGATGGGACTATATTAATCTCAGGAAATGAAATACTCATATTTTATCCAGGAAACTGGTGTATTAGGCCACTCTTACATTGCTATAAATAAATACCTGAGATTGGGTAATTTATAAAGAAAAGAGATTTAATTGGCTTCTGGTTCTGCAGGCCGTACAAGAATGGCATCCGTATCTGCTTGGCTTCTAGGGGGGCCTCAGGGAGCTTTTACTCATGGCAGAAGGTGAAGTGGGAGCAGGTATGTCACATGACCAGAGCAGGACAAGAGAGAGAAAGAGTGGGAGGTGCCATACGCTTTTCAACAAACAGATCTCATGTGGACTCTCTCAGGGCCAAGGTGATGGCACCAAACAATTCATGAGGGATACGCCCCCACGATCCAAACATCTCCCACTAGGCCCCATTCCAACACTGGAGATTACATTTCAACATGAGATCCAAACCATGTCAATGGGAATATATGGTTCTGGCTCATTATGTTAAAATAAATAAAATAATTTTTATCATGCAGAGTGTTATGTTAATTTTCACTGTTTTCTTCTTCTCATTTGCATCTATGGTCATCATCTTTCCTTGCCTTCAGTATTAGTATCTGTAAACTTTCTCTCTTCTGGAATAGCATTTATTCAAACCTTACGATATCCCTAATGTATTGGTGTATTTTTAAAAAGCCCATATACAATAACGCTTTATTTTTATGCTGTCTAAATCTTTTATTTAAAGACATCTGGTATGTTTGGCTCAGCGGACAAAATATGACAGTGCTGAAAAGTAGTATTAGCAATTCTTATGACTTTCTACATATTTTAAGTTGTTTAAGGCAGAAATTACATACTGTGGTGGATAGAGTAGCAGACTAAGAAAAATTTATCACTGACATGCTATTACTTACTTTTTTGTGACCCTGAGAAAACCAGTAGCCTTTTCTATGATTCTGATTTTTAACCACAATTTTATAGCTATGAAAGAAGAAAACAATTGTTCCAAATATCTGCACAATAGGAATACCGAGATTTCAAGAATAATTCTTTGTGTGTTTTCTTAAAATGTAGCATAATCTATTGCTACTGTTAGTGTTTCCAAAGTGGCAAGCTTGAATTCAATTTCTTGTAATAAGTAAAAACATGTCCTTTATATGGCCAGCGGTAACTTTTTGGTTTGAACTGCTATATGAATTAGGAATAAAAATATAATATTGGATTGAACTTCAACTTATCAGAAAAATTCTTTAACTATTAAGATATTTTAGGTATTAAAATTCAATTAGTATTAATATAAATTTGAAAAATTATTATATTTCAATTATGTTTAGCTGCTTATAGTTTTAATTCAGAGACATTAGTTGATTAAATACTGTCTCTGTAACTAGGCCTTGATAAATAATGCTATTGTGTGTGACATGGATAAGAATCAGGTCATAGTTTGGTATTTCAGCTTGTGTGCACTGTCCTTTGCTGAAGAGAAAACATCATCTTGGTTCAAATGATCAGTACTTGCTAATTTATTAGTGATTTATTTTCCTTAAACCTTGAAAGTCTTTTTGTTATATTTGCTGAGGGTAGGGTAAATAAATTTGTACTCACAAACCAGATGATCTCAGATGTGACTGATTCTGGCTACTTCTTTGATTTATGGAATGATTAATTTCATTATGAATATTTCACAATCATCTGGGAAATTGGTTAAAAAAAGAGGAACTTAATTTAATTTGCTATGGTATGTCTATAGGTATATTTATATCCCTCTTATTTAAGGCAAAGATGAAGATCTAGGCCAACTAGGGAACTCAATAGGCCATGATCGTTGGAAGTTGTGGGTATAGTTACTTGACATTGTGATTTCTGTGTATTTCTTTTTCAGACTGATGTTATTTAAAAATGGTGCCTGCTTAGTAGAGGTGCATAGGGAGAGGAATGTTGGATTTTTATGTTATTCACAATACACATGCCAGATATATTTTGCTTTCCTGAAAAAGTTGTACTATCTTTACTCCTCTAAATCTGTTGCCTTTCTAAGCATGATACCAAAGGCAAATATCCTGAAGAAAAGAGTGATAGATTTTACTACAAAAAATTTAAAACTGTCTGCCAAAATCCACTATAAACAAGATTGAAAGGCAACTGACAACTCGGAACAATGGGAGCAACACATATGGTGAACAAAGGGTGAAAATCCTTATAAAGAGCTCTTAAAATATAAGAGCATATTGCACATACCAGATCATCTTTTCATCTGGAGAGCTAGGTACTCTTATTATCTTTATTTTATAGATAGATAAAGAAGTTAAGGCTTAAAGGGGTCTTACAGTTAGTCATGAGTGAAAGATTCAAACCTGGGTTGTCTGACCCCAGAGTCTGTACTCTTAACCACTAAGCTACACTTCCCTCCATTTTTACAGGTGGCCAGAGACATCAACAGGCAATTTGCAAAGACACCCAATGGCTAGTAAACATATAATATTTATTTTCTCTCTGGAAAACAAATAATGGAAATGAAAATAACTAGAGAACATTTTGTCTATCAAACTGACAAAAGTTTTAAACAATGGTTATGTTCATTTTTGGCAAGATATGGAAAAACCAGACAATTGGTAAATCCTTTCATTGGGAAAATTACCCACAAAATCCCTTAAAACTCAGTTATAGTTTTTAACATTGTAATTTAATTTTTAGTTATGAATCCTGAGAAAATAGTTGTGTATATGTGAGATTTAGTTATGATGATGTTAACTCAATATTTGTTTATAATGCTAGAAACTGTAGACAACCAAAATGTTCAACAATAGAAGACTGATTAATTAGCATACATCTATAAAATGGAATGCCAGTAGTTGTTTAAAGTGATATTTTAGAGTTGTTTGGGCCGGGTGCGGTGGCTCATGCCTGTAATCCCAGCACTTTGGGAGGCCGAGGCGGGTGGATCACCGGCGGTCAGGAGTTCAACACCAGCCTGGCCTGGTGAAACCCCGTCTCTACTAAAAATACAAAAATTAGCCAGGCGTGGTGGTGCGTCCCTGTAGTCCCAGCTACTCAGGAGGCTGAGGTAGGAGAATCACTTGAACCTGGAGGAGGAGGTTGCAGTGAACCGATATCGTGCCACTGCACTCCAGCCTGGGAGACAGAGTGAGACTCTGTCTCAAAATAAATAAATAAATAAAAATAAAAATAAATAAATAAAGAGTTTTTGATGGCATTTTATGTGTTAAGGGAATAAATCAGATCATTAACTCATTAAGATTCCATTTAAAAATTGCACGTTATTGTATTGATAAAACACTGAAAATGTTTTTATGAAAATATTAACTGATTTTCTCTAGTTAGAATATGAGTGGGTCTTATTTTTAATTTTCCAAAGTTTCTACAATAAAGAAATTTTATTTTTTTAAAAACATAAAAGTTACCAGCCAGGCATGGAGGCTCATGCCTGTAATCCCAGCACTTTGGGAGGCTGAGGCAGGTGGGTCACCTGAGGTCAGGAGTTTGAGACCAACCTGACCAACATAGTGAAACCCCGTCTCTACTAAAAATACAAAAATTAGCTGGGCATGGTAGCGGGCACCTGTAATCCCAGCTACTCAGGATGCTGAGGCAGGAGTATCACTTGAACCTGGGGAGGCGGAGGCTGCAGTGAGTGGAAATCGCGCCATTGCGCTCCATCCTGGGCAACAGAGAGGGAGACTCCATCTCAAAAAAAAAAAAAAAAAAAAAAAAAGAAAAGGTTACCAGAAAGTTTCTTTAATTTACTTCTTTTTGCATGTAAGATTTTAAAAAAGTATAATCACAGATTTACAAGAGAAAAAATTTTGATCTTTCCATCCTTTTCCACATGGTGGATCTTTATTTTAGTCTTCTAATGGATAGTTGTCATAATGTTATTCCTGGGTAAACTTGAATGATGTTTTATTTATTATTTCCATGTGAATTTTTTTTGACTCTTTTTTTGGCCATAGTTTTATCATTATTTCTTTTCTTTAACTTCTTCCCATTTATATTTGCCGATTTCTACTCTTTCTAATATATTTCCTATATTCTGTTTTTTATTAGAAAAACTCCAATTTTTTAAAATTTTTAAACAATAATTTTAATTTATTTTAGAGTCAGGGGTTACATGTGCCTGTTTGTTACATAAGTATATTGTATTATGCTAAGGTTGGGGTACAAATCATCTCATCCCTTGGGTAGTGAGCATAGTACCCAATAGTTTTTTGGCTGTCTCCCTCCCCCGCTCCCTACTCTAGTAGTCCCCAGTATCTATCGTTGCCATCTTTATGCCTATGAGTATCCAGTGTTTAGCTTTTAAATTCATTGCTTGTTAATAAAATATACCAGTGTTCAAAATTTTCTTCTTTTCTACGGAATAAAAATTTTGCAAAATTGGCATGAAATTTGTTGTGCAAAATGGAAGATGCCAGCTTGCTTATTTTACTTTATATTATTTAACAGAATTAAGATTACATAACCTAGTTCTCAATAACTGGTGGTATTTGTTGATAAACTTCTATTGATATGTTAATTTTCTGTTAACGTGGGACTTATTAGTTACGTCTCGTTCCTGAATTCGTGAAACCTCCCCTCCCCCAAACAAATGCTCTCTCTCTCTCTCCTCTTCTTTCAGTAAGTCAATTTATATTTGGAGACATGGCACAGTAGTAGATGATTCAAGCTGAGAAAGAACGAAAAAAAGATCTCTGGCACTCATTCCTTGCTTTCGTATGAGCTAGCTCCCGACAGGTATCTAGTATATGCTGAGTTTCCTGTCTTTCTCATATATATCAGGCAGAGTAAAGCAGGTAGGAATCAGAGGCCTCAAATTAATGTCTGTAAATCCTGAGGAAATATTTTGAGGCTGCAGTAGACTAAACGATGCTAGATTTGGTTTGATTTGCTGTAATTCTATCATTTGAACACTAAGTGGCACTAAAGCCTAGGTCACAGATAACATATTGTCAATTTAAATTCTAAGATTTGGGGTCTATTGGTGGGTAAATGGCTTTGGAAAAGTGAAAAAAGGATTAGTAAGAAAGTATTCTGAGCTTAAAGAAAGACAGAAAAAATAGTTTTACAATCAGTTATTTTTGGGAACTGGAAGTTTAACCAAACTCTCTTGCTTTTATTTGCAAGTTATTTAAAAGCAAGGAGTAAACCGCTCTTAAAATGACCAAAGATGATTAACCTCACTGGCACCTATCCTTGAATATTTTCCCTTTTTCTTTGAAGGGAAGGAAAATCTATACTTAGAAGAAGGTTTTCAGATGGAAAGCACCCATATGCACGTTGAACCTTAAGCTCTTGCGTACCCATAGATGACAATACCCATAATAAACATTTTTTTCAACGCTTTTGAGACTATTTACTTATACCTATAATATGTATTTTTACATTTGACCTAATTTGGGAAATGTCAGTATAATTTGAGTTAGAAAAAAAGATCAGAATTTGGTTATTTTGGAGAGGAAAGAAAATCATATGTTTTATTGCTTATCTGAACTTTAAAAAATTAAAATAATCTTTCCCAAGATTTATTGAGATATATAATTGATAAATAAAAATATATATGTTTAAGGTATAAAATGTAATGATTTGATATACATATACATTGTGAAATGATTAGTACAATCAAGCTAATTAACACATTCATAACCTCGAAGCTACCATTATTTATTTCCAGCTTTATTGAGGTACAATTGACAAAAATGTATATACGTATGGTGTATGACGTGATATTTTGATGTATGTATACATTGTGAAATGATGACTACAATGAAGCTTAACATATCCATCACCCCACATAGTTATCTTTTTGTGGGGAGAAACATTTAAGATCTCTCATAGCAAATTCCAAGTACGCAATACATTATTATTTATACTCACCATGTTGGACATTAGATCTCCAGAACTTGTTCATCTTGCGTAACTGAAGCTTTGTGTTGTTTGACCACCATCTCCCCATTTCCCCAGCTTCCTAGCCCTGGGGCAACCACCATTCTACTCTCTGCCTCTATGAATCTGACTCTTTTAGCTACCTCAGATAATTGGAATCACGTAGAATTTAACTTCTGTGACTGGCTTATTTCTCTTAGCATGGTGTCCTCCAGGTTCATCCATGTTGTTGCAAATGACAGAATTTCCTTCTTTTTCTAAGGCTAAATGGTATTCCATAGTACGTGTGATATATGGAAAAGGAAGTATATACATACATACACACACATACACACAAACCCCACATTTGCTTTATCCATGCATCTGCTGTTGGACACTTAGACTGATTCCATGTCATGCCTATTGTGAATAATGCTGCAATGAACATTGGAATATAGAAATCTCTTCAAGATACTGATTTTATTATCTTTGACTATATACCTAGAAGTGGGATTGCTGGAACATATTATAGTCCTATTTTTAATTTTTTTGAGGAGCTTTCATACTGTTTTTTCATAATGGCTGTATCATTTTACCGTCCTACCAACAGTGTACAAGGGATCCTTTTCACATTCTGGCCAACATGTTATCTTTTGCCATTTTGATGACAGCCATTCCAACAGAGGGGGCATCCTTATTTTGTTCCTGATCTTAGAGCTTTCAACTTTTCATCACTGAGTAGAATGTTAGCTGTGGGACTGTAATATGTAGCTTGTATTATGTTGAGGTATATTCCTTCTATACATAATTTGTTGAGAAGTTTTTTATCATAAAGGGTACAGAGTTTTGTCAAATGCTTTTTCTGCATCTATTGTGATTACCATGTGATTTTTATACTTTTCTGTTAATGTGGTATATCATATTTATTGATTTGTGTATGTTGAATCATCCTTGCATCCCAGGGATAAATTCTAATGGTGTATGAGCCTTTTAATATGCTGTTAAGTTCTGTTTTCCAGTAACTCAAGATGTTTGCATCTGTGTTCATCAGGGATATTGGTATGTAATTTTCTCTTCTTACAGTGTCCTTGTCTGGTTTGGTATCAAGGTAATTCTTGCTTTGTAAAATGAGTTTGGATTTGTTCCCTTCGCTTCAGTTTTTTGAAAGAGTTTGAGCTAGGGATTGGCACTAATTCTTTATTAAATGTTTGATAAAATTAACCAGTGAAGCCATCGGGTCCTGAGATTTTCTTTGTTGGGAGATTTTTGTAAAATTACTGACTCAATCTCTGTATCTGTTATTGGTCTGTTCAAATTTTCTGTTTCTACAGGATTCTATCTTGGTAGGTTGTATGTGACTAGGAATCCATCAATTTCTTCTGGATTATCCAAATTGCTGGCATATAATTGTTGAAGTAGTTTCTTATTATTCTTTGTATTTCTGTGGTATCAATTGTAATGTCCCCCCTTCATTTCTGATCTTACCTATTTATTTGAGTTATCCCTCTTTCTTTCTTAGTCTACCTAAATGTTTGTCAATTTGGGTTATGCTTTCAAAAAACAGATTTTCAGTTTCTTCAGTCTTTTATGTTGTTTCTCGAATCCCTATTTCATTTATTCCTGACCTTTTTTATTCGTTTCCTTCTTCTAACTTTGGATTTAGTTTTTTTTTCTAGTTCCTTGAGGCATAACATTAGATTGTTTATTTAAAATTGTTCCTCTTTTTTGATATAGGCATTTGTTCTTATAAATATCCCTCTTAGGATTGCTTTTTGCTGCATCCCGTAATTTCTGGTATGCTATGTTTCCATTATCATTTGTCTCAAGGTAGTTTTTGATTTCCTTTTTGATTTCTTCTATGGCCCATTGGTTGTTTAGGAACATGTTTAATTTTCACATATTTGTGTAATTCTAACATTTTTTCTATTGTTGATTTCTAGTTTCATGCCATTGTCATCCAGAGAGGTACTTGACATGATTTCAGTCCTCTTGAATTTGTTAAGATTTGTTTTGTGGCTTAACATGTGGATTTGTTTTGGAGAATGTTCTGTGTGTACTTGAGAAGGATATGTATTTAGCTGCTGTTAAATGAAATGTTCCATATATGTCTGTTAGCTTCATTTGGTCTGAAATGTAATTCAAGTCCAATGTTTCCTTATTGACTTTCCATCTAGATGATCTGACCATTGTTGAAAGTCAAGTAGTGAGGTGCCACCATTACAGTTTTGCATCCTATTTCTCCCTTCAGATCATTTAATTGTTGCTTTATGAATTTAGGGACTCTGATGTCAGTTACATATATATTTACAACTTTATTTATTTATTTTTAATTTTTTTATTATACTTTACGTTTTAGGGTACATGTGCACAATGTGCAGGTTTGTTACATATGTATACATGTGCCATGTTGGTGTGCTGCACCCATTAACTCGTCGTTTAACATCAGGTATATCTCCTAATGCTATCCCTCCCCCCTGCCCACCCCCCCACAACAGGCCCTGGTGTGTGATATTCCCCTTCCTGTGTCCATGTGTTCTCATTGTTCAATTCCCACCTATGAGTGAGAACATGCAGTGTTTGGTTTTTTGTCCTTGCAATAGTTTGCTGAGAATGATGGTTTCCAGCTACATCCATGTCCCTACAAAGGACATGAACTCATCATTTTTTATGGCTGCATAGTATTCCATGGTGTATATGTGCCACATTTTCTTAATCCAGTCTATCATTGTTGGACATTTGGGTTGGTTCCAAGTCTTTGCTATTGTGAATGGTGCTGCAATAAACATACGTGTGCATGTGTCTTTATGGCAGCATGTTTTATAGTCCTTTGGGTATATACCCAGTAATGGGATGGCTGGGTCAAATGGTATTTCTAGTTCTAGATCCCTGAGGAATCGCCACACTGACTTCCACAATGGTTGAACTAGTTTACAGTCCCACCAACAGTGTAAAAGTGTTCCTATTTCTCCACATCCTCTCCAGCACCTGTTGTTTCCTGACTTTTTAATGATCGCCATTCTAACTGGTGTGAGATGGTATCTCATTGTGGTTTTGATTTGCATTTCTCTGATGGCCAGTGATGATGAGTATTTTTTCATGTGTCTTTTGGCTGCATAAATGTCTTCTTTTGAGGAGTGTCTGTTCATATCCTTTGCCCACTTGTTGATGGAGTTCTTTATTTTTTTCTTGTAAATTTGTTTGAGTTCATTGTAGATTCTGGATATTAGCCCTTTGTCAGATGAGTAGATTGCAACAATTTTCTCCCATTCTGTAGGTTGCCTGTTCACTCTGATGGTAGTTTCTTTTGCTGTGCAGAAGCTCTTTAGTTTAATTAGATCCCATTTGTCAATTTTGGCTTTTGTTGCCATTGCTTTTGGTGTTTTAGACATGAAGTCCTTGCCCATGCATATGTCCTGAATGGTATTGCCTAGGTTTTCTTCTAGGGGTCTAACATTTAAGTATTTAATCCATCTTGAATTAATTTTAGTATAAGGTGTAAGGAAGGGATCCAGTTTCAGCTTTCTACATATGGCTAACCAGTTTTCCCAGCACCATTTATTAAATAGGGAATCCTTTCCCCATTGCTTGTTTTTGTCAGGTTTGTCAAAGATCAGATGGTGGTAGATATGTGGCATTATTTTTGAGGGCTCTGTTCTGTTCCATTGATCTATATCTCTGTTTTGGTACCAGTACCATGCTGTTTTGGTTACAGTAGCCTTGTAGTATAGTTTGAAGTCAGGTAGCATGATGCCTCCAGCTTTGTTCTTTTGGCTTAGGATTGACTTGGTGATGCAGGCTCTTTTTTGGTTCCATATGAACTTTAAAGTAGTTTTTTCCAATTCTGTGAAGAAAGTCATTGGTAGCTTGATGGGATGGCATTGAATCTATAAATTACCTTGGGCAGTATGGCCATTTTCATGATATTGATTCTTCCTGTCCATGAGCATGGAATGTTCTTCCATTTATTTGTATCCTCTTTTATTTCATTGAGCAGTGGTTTGTAGTTCTCTTTGAAGAGGTCCTTCACGTCCCTTGTAAGTTGGATTCCTAGGTATTTTATTCTCTTTGAAGCAACTGTGAATGGGAGTTCACTCATGATTTGGCTCTCTGTTTTTCTGTTACTGGTGTATAAGAATGCTTGTGATTTTTGCACGTTGATTTTGTATCCTGAGACTTTGCTGAAGTTGCCTATCAGCTTAAGGAGATTTTGGGCTGAGGCGATGGGGTTTTCTAGATATACAATCATATCATCTGCAAACAGGGACAATTTGACTTCCTGTTTCCCTAATTGAATACCCTTTATTTCCTTCTCCTGCCTGATTGCCCTGGCCAGAACTTCCAACACTATGTTGAATAGGAGTGGTGAGAGAGGGCATCCCTGTCTTGTGCCCGTTTTCAAAGGAATGCTTCCAGTTTTTGCCCATTCAGTATGATACTGGCTGAATATTTACAACTTTTACATCCTCTTGGTGAATTAACCAATTACATAATGGCTCTCTTTGTCTCTTTTTACAGTTTTTACTTAAAGTCTATTTTATCTGATATAAGTTTAGCTATCTCTGATCTTTTTTGGATTCCATTTGCATGGAATATTTTTTCCATCCCTTTACTTTTACTTACTGTGTGTCCTTACAAGCAAAGTCAGCCTCTTGTAGTCAGTACATGGTTGGATCGTGTGTGCGTTTGTGTGTGTGTGTGTGTGTGTGTGTGTGTGTGTGTGTTTAGAGACAGGGTCTTGCTCTGTTGCCCAGGCTGGAGTGCCGTGGTGTGATCATAGCTCACTGTAACCTCAAACTCCTAGACTCAAGCCATCCTCCTGAATTAGCCTCCCAAGTAGCTAGGAATACAGTAACTACAGCCATGTACCACCATGCCCAGCTATTTTTTTTTTAACTTTTTTGTAGAGGCAGAATTTCACTATGTTGCCCAGGCTGAGCCTGAACTTCTGATCTTAAGTGATCCTCTCTTGCACTGGGATTATAGGCATGAGCCACCAGAGCTGGCCTGGGTCTTGTTTTTTTAAAAAATCTATTCAGCCACTCTTTTTTTTAAATTAAAGAATTTTATACATTTAAGGTAATTATTGATGGGTAAGGACTTGCTATTGCCATTTTGTAATTTATTTTCTGATTGTTTTGCAGGTCCTTTGTGTCTTTCTTCCTCTCTCACTGTCTTCTTTTGTGGTTTCATGGTTTTCTGTGGTGTTTGATGGTTTTCTGTGGTGGCATGCTTTGAATCCTTTCTTTTTATCTTTTGTGCAACTACTATAGATTTTTGCTTGTAGTAACCACCACAAGGCTTGCATAAAATATTTTATCCTTATAACAAGCTACTTTAAGCTGATAATAACTTGACTTTAATTGCATGCAATAACTCTATGCATTCACTCCCCTCCATGTATTATAATTTTGATGTCAATATTTACTTTTTTTTGTAATTTGTATTCCTTAACCATTTATTATAGCTGTAATTTATTTTTTAAAAGTTTGACTTTTAACCTTTGTAATGGTGATAAAATTGCTTTACATACCACTCTTACAAAATTAGAGAATTCTGAGTATGACTATGTATTTCTTATAATTGAGTTTTTACTTTCATCTGTTTTTTTAAAAAACAAATTGCAGCCTTTATCCTTATTTTAGCTTAAATGATACTCTTTAACAATTTCTATGAAGCAAGACTGCTGGTGATGTACTCCTTTAGGTTTCGTTTGTCTGAGAAAGTTTTATTTCTCCCTCATTTCTGAGGCACATCTTTGCCAGATAATGTATTCTTGTTTGGCAGTTTTTTTCCTTCAGCACTTTGAATACATCATTTCACTCTCTTTTGGCCTGAGATACACAGACACACACACACTCACACACACACATATGTACATGTACATCTTGCTTTCAGTATTCTCTTTTTTTGTCTTTGATTTTTAATAACTTGATTATGAGGTATCTTGGTGAACTCCTCTTTGGGTTGAAGTTCACTGGCAATCTCTGAGCTTCCTGTACCTAGATATTGTCATCTTTCCCCAGATTTGACCATTTTTCAGCCATTAATTTCTTATATATGCTTTCTAGGACTTTTCCCCTCTTCTTGTTCTGTAACTTCTATTATGCAAAAGTTAGTTTGTTTGATAGTGTCCCATAATTCCCATAGGCCTTGTTCATTTTTTTTTTATTCCTTTTTCTTTTTGTTCCTCTGATCGGTGAATTTCAAATGTCTTACATTTGAGCTCACAGATTTTGTCTTCTGCTTGACCAAATCTGCTGTTGAAGTGTTCTATTGAATTTTTCAGTTATATATTCTTTCTCTCTAGAATTTCTATTTTGTATTGTTTCTATTTCTTTGTCAAACTTCTCATTTTGTTCATGAATTGTTTCCCAAATTTTAATTTTCTGTCTGTATTTTCTTGGAGTTTTCTGAACTTCTTTAAAAGGATTATTCTGAACTTTTTGTGAGTCATTTCATAGATCTCCATTTCTTTTGGCCCAATTATGGAGCTTTATTAGTTTCTGTTGGTGGAGTCAAATTTCCCTGATTTTTCATAATTTTTCTATTCTAATATAATATATATTATATTATATATATTACAAACAATATACTATTGTTTATAATCTGCAGTTACAAGACAGGGCTGTGTGTTATGCTCTAAGGCTAAGTGAAGTGTCTGGAATTGCTGTTTGGCCATATAGAGTGGGCAGGGCGAGAAGCTATACTCCACAGATATGCATGGATTTGGGCTTGGTTCCTTGCCTATGGCAGGTTTAAGTAGAGCACTGAGGCTTGGTAGAGTTGCTGCTCAGCAGGCAGGGTTGGATGGGGCCAGATGCTCCCTCCTTGAGGGATCACTGACCTGTCGTTGCCTCCCAGCTTTGGAAAGACTTAATGTGTGTTCCAGAGTTGTGTGGGGAAATTGGCTACAGACCCAAGCCTGGTTGACCTATGGACTACCGTTTATGCAGCACAGTGCTATTCGCTAGTCTCTCCGGTGTGGTGTCTCTCTTGGCTGAAGTGCAGAGCAATGACCAAGATTTGTGTGCTGGCAGCTGTGAATCCTACCCTTGTGTTTCTAACTCTCCACTGGTGGTCTAGGTTCTGCTGGCACTCCCAATATTTCCATGGGACAGCACAGGAATGAGCCTGCTGTAAAGGGTTCCACAATGGTGGGGTAGCTGAATGTTTGCCTCCAACTTATTTTTCCCACTGTAGAAACTGTAGGTCCAGGGGAATCTTCTGTGTGTGGCACTGTACCACTTGAGGTATGGGTGGCCTGGTCAATGAGAATTGTTCCTCTTACTCTTCAAACTAGGCTTTTCTCAGTTCTGTACTAAAGAGGTGTCTCAGCCTCACTTTCAAGTTCTACGATATTCATGAAGGTATTCTTGCCTGTGGGTAGTTGCTAACTGGATTTCTCTGGGTTGGGGGAGTAGAGCCAGAAAATTCCTATTTTGCCATCTTGCTCCATACCACAAATTTTTAAAAATACTAAAACTATTAAGAAACAGGGGTTGGAGTCATCTTTTACAGTTGATAAAGTTTCATGCTTATTTAAAATATTAGGACTTTTTCTTATCTCCCATACTTAAAGGACATAAAAGTCATTGGCTACATCAGTTTTCATGGTTTCTGAAGAATAAAGTAAGAGTGAAGACAAAAGTTAATTTTTCAACCTGAATGTAAAAATAGGAATTTAGAAATTTATTCTGAGCAGCCAGGTAGACAGTGGATGAACTCATTTTGGGCTTGGATAATGGAGGAAATGAGAGAAGGACCTTGAGCAGGAAAATGTATCCTGTAAAAATGGTAGGCAAGTATCCAAGGAAGAGGCAGAGTGTAATAAATTCCCTGTGGTTGGAATGGATAAGGTATTATAAGAATAATACTAGTATTCAAGTTCAAATTGTCTCTTAAACAAATATGTTGTGTTATACTCAAAACATCAATATAAGCCTTTATGGCTGGGTACTGTGGCTCACACCTGTAATCCCAGAATTTTGGGAGGCTGAGGTGGGTGGATCACTTGAAATCAGGAGTTTGAAAGCATTTTGGCCAACATGGTGAAACCCCATCTCTACTAAAAATACACAAGTTAGCTGGGCATGGTGGTGGGTGCCTGTAATCCCAGATACTCAGGAAGCTGAGGCAGGAGAATTGCTTGGACCCAGGAGGTGGAAGCTGCAGTGAGCCAGGATCGTGCCACTGCACTCCAGCCTGGATGACAGAGCAAGACCCCATCTCAGCAAAAAAAAAAAAAAAATGTATATATATACACACACCGTGTGTGTGTGTGTGCGCGCACACCTGTTACAATGCTGGGTAACGCTTTTGGGAACAAAGGAATTGTGGTTATAAGTTATATCCTTTCTGAGGGAAGATCAGGAAGAAAATGAAATTGCAGTTGTAGGAGGTAAGATGATGAGAGATAATTAAGAATGCAGGAGAAGTGGGAGTTCAGAGTAAAATGTGATTAAAGGTGAAAGTTAGGCTTTCTTAGTTCCCACTGGAAATATTTAAAAATATTCAGGGAAGGGTTGGGTACTAGAATTCCCACAGTTATATAGAATGGGAACTTAAGTCATTTTATTTGGCTATTAAGGGAAAGGCCACAGAAAGTAAAAGAATTTAGGGACATTCAAGTTCTAATAAATGAATGAGTCACCTACTGTGTAAGTCCATGAAAACTTCTAGAATGGTTGCATGTCTATAGAGTGCTGTGGAGAAAGCACCTTGAACAACTCAAAGCAATGGTGAATTCTAGCTGATTATGGGTATTATATCTATAGGTTTAACCTGGAACCTAGAAATAAAGGGGAAGGGTTCTCTGCCTTTGGAAATATTTTTAGATATCTGCTTAGGAAATTCTTTTGGTGAAGTCAGAGTATAATCTGCTGGAAATTAATGGTTTCCTTACCTTGATTATGACTGAGTTTTTTTTTTTTTTCAGGCAAGTGTTAAATTTTTAAGCTTTTTTCCCCCATATAAATGTTTTATACATATTTGTATATTCAAATATATCAGTCATTTCCTTTATGGTTTTTCTGGTTTCTGTTTTACCGAGAAATTATAAGGAAATGTATTCCTCATGTTTTTGTCTCCCACATACACATATGTATTTCATCTAGAACATGTATTGATGTAAGAAATGAAATAATAATTTAGCTTTATTTTATTTTTAATGATAAAAATGGCTAGCCAGTTAACTCTCTATTATTTAATGAATATACCTCTCTCATTTGAAATGACTACCTCTTTTTCATGTAGTAAATCCTTGCATGTTCCAGTGCTTCTCAAATTTTAGTGTGCATCAGAATCACCTGGAGGGCTTTTAAAAATAGAAATTGCTGAACATCACCTTTCTCTAACAAGTTCCCAGATGATGCTAATGATGTTGGTTTAGGGAGTCACACCTTGAGAATAGCTGCCAATTCTAATTTCATTACCATGGCTATTAATGCCCATGATGAATATAGACATAAAAATTCTCAACAAAATCCAGCAAACCAAATCCAATAGAACATCAAAAAGTTAATTCACCACAATCAAGTAGGCTTGGGATGCAAGGCTGGTTCAACATATGCAAAGCAGTATATGTGATTCATCACATAAACAATTCAAGGCAAAACTCGCATGATCATCTCAACAGACACAGAAAATGCTTTTGAGAAAACTCAACATTGCTTCATGATAAAACCCCTAAACAGACTAGGCATCAAAGGAACATACCTCAAAGTAATAAGAGCCATCTATTACAAATGCACAGCCATCATACTGAATGGGTAAAAGCTGCAACCATGCCCTTTGAGAGCTGGAATAAGACAAGGATGTCCACTCTCACTGCTCCTATTCAACATTGTGCTGGAGGTCCTAGTCAGAGCAATTAGCAAGAGGTCATCCAACTATCTCTCTTCATTGATGATATGATTCTACACTTAGAACACCATAAGGACTCCACCAAAAGGCTACTAGAACTGAAAAATGATTTTAATAAGGTTTCAGAATACAAAATCAATGTACAAAAAATCAGTAGCATTTCTATACATCAACAATATCCAGCTCGAGAGTCAAATCAAGAATGTAATTCTATTTACAATAGTCACAACAAACACAAAATACCTAGGAATACAGCTTACCCAGAAGGTGGAAGATCTCTACAAGGAGAACTACAAAACACTGCTGAAAGAAATCAGAGATGACACAAATAAATGGAAAAACATTCCATGCTCATGGATTGGCAGAGTCAATATCACTAAAATGCCACACTACCTAAAGCAGTTTACAGATTCAATGCTATTCCTCTCTAACTATTATACAAATGTCGTTCTTCACAGAATTAGAAAAAACTGTTCTAAAATTCTTATGGAATCAAAAAAGGTCCCCAGTAGGCAAAGCAATCCTAAGCCAAAAGAACAAAGCTGGAAGAATAACACTATCTGACTTTATACTATAAGGCTACAGTAACCAAAACAGCATAATGGTACAAAAACAGACACATAGACCAGTGGAGCAGAGTATAAATAAAGCCACACACTTATACAACCAACTGATTTTCGACAGGGCTGATAAACACATGCAATGGGGAAAGGATTCCCTATTTAATAAATGGTGCTGGAATAACTGGCGAGCCTTATGCCGAAGAATGAAGCTGGACCCTCACCTTCCACTATATACAAAAATTAACTCGAGATGGATTAAAGATTTAAATGTAAGCCCTCAAATTATAAAAATCCTAGAAAAAAACCTAGGGAATACCCTTCCCCACATTGGTCTTAGTAAAGAATTTTTGGCTAATTTTGCAAAAACAATTGCAACAAAAACAAAAATTAACAAGTGGGACCCAATTAAATGAAAGAGATTCTCTACAGCAAAAAAGAAAAACAAAACTATCAATAGAGTAAACAGAACCTACATAATAGGAGAAAATATTTACAAACTGTGCATCTGATAAAGGTCTAATATCCAGAAGCAACAGGAATTTAAACAAATCGATAAGCCAAAACCAATAACCCCATCAAAAATGAGCAAAGGACAAGAATAGGCCCTTTTCAAAAGGAGACATACAAGCAGCCAACAAACATATGAAAAAATGTTTGTCATTAATCATCAGAGAAGTCCAAATCAAAACCACAATGAAATACCATCTCACACCAGTCAGAATGGCAATTATTAAAAAGTCAAAAAACAACAGATGCTGGCGAGGCTGCAGAGAAAAGGAACCACATATATACTGCTGGTGGGAATATAAATTACTTCAGCCTCTGTGGAAAGCAGTTTGGAGATTTCTCAAAGAATTTAAAACAGAGCTGCCATTCAATCCAGCAATCCCATTACTGGGTATATACCCAAAGGAAAATAGATAATTATACCAAAAAGATACTTGTACTTGTATATTCACCACCAAACTATTCACAATAATAAAGACATGGAGTTGACCTGGATGCCCATCAATGGTGGATTGGGTAAAGAAAATGTGGTACATACACATCACGGAATACTACACAGCCATAAAAAAGAATGAAATCATGTTCTTCACAGCAACATAAAAGGAGCTGGAGGCCATAATCCTAAATGAATGCGGCAGCAGAAAACCAAATACTGTGTGTTCACACTTACAAGTGGGAACTAAACTTTGAGCACACATGGACATAAACATGCGAGCAGTAGACACTGTGGACTACTAGAGGAGGGAGTGCAGTAGAGAGGTGTGGACAGAGAAACTAAATATTGGGTACTATACTCAGTACCTGGATGCAATATACCCATGTAATAACCCTGCACATGTGCCCCCGTATCCAAAATAACAGTTGAATTAAAAAAAAGAGTTCGGGCTTTGGATTAAATGATGACTCAACCAATTAATGCTTTGGGCATGTCTGTAATTCTCTCTGTTCAGTTTTTTTTTTTCATTTTAAAATGAAGATAACAATTGTGTTATCTCATATAGTTGTGAGAATTAAATGAGATAATATGTATAAAGTTCTCGAATATTGCTTGGCAAATAATAATAGCTTCAAAGCTACTTATCATCATTTTCATTATAATTATTCCCATCTGTATCTTCTCTCAGTAGGCATAAAGGTTATTTCCAGCTTTTTGCTACTATAAATTTTGCTGCCATGAACATTTTTGTACATTTCTACTGGCACACTTAGACAAAAGTTTCTGTAAGGCATATTCTTTTTTTTTTTTTTTCTTTGAGACAGAGTCTTGCTCTGCTTGCTCTGTCGCCCAGGCTGGAGTGTAAGGCATATTCTTAACAATGGAATGTGGGATTATAAGATATTAAGAAGTTCAGTTTTACTAAGTAAAGCTACACTGTTTTCCAAAATGATTGTGTCAATTTCCATAGTCAGCAGTAAAGAATGAAAATTCCTGTTGCTTCATATCCTTCCCAACACTTCGTAATTTCTATTAAATTTTTTCTTGCCAGTGTTGTGGATATGAAATTGTACCTTCTTTTAATTTGCATTCACTTGATTACTAGCAAGGCTGAGCAGCTTTTGTTATATTTACAGGCCATTTGTGTTTCATTTTTGGAGAAATTCCTGGATTTTGCCCATTTTTTAAAAAATTGGGTTCTGCTCTTTTAGCAATTCTTTTTTTTAGATACTAATTTTTTTGTCAGTAATGTGTTACAAATATATTCATCAGGATCAATTGCAGTCATATATGTGGCTGGAGAGTGGGCAAAGAAGTATTAGTAAAGAAGGCTTTTCTCTGGAGATGAAGCATTTTAAGGTCTTTCATTTTTGAGTGTGTGCCTCTTTCCTAATCTCTGTCATGATTTGGAGCCAACTTTCTTGGTTTCTGCTTTGCTTCTCTCTCCAGTTCTTATATATAGATTAGGAGCCATGCCTTCTCCTTTCTTCCTGCCGCTACTAATCTGGTGGGTCTCCACTTTGTTTAAATAACTATCATAGCTTTATCACAGTGAAAATCGCCTAAGTATCTGCCTTGTGTTCACAAGAAGGGAGATGAGAAGAGTGTATCTTAGTCAGCTTATATCAGGTAGTCTTTAAATTTACTGTTGATTTGTCTAGTGGTTCTCAAATTGTTCTGCACTTTGGAATCACCCTGGGTCTTTAAAAAATACCTATGCCTGGTTCCCATCCTGCTATATTCTGATTTAAATGGTAAGGCCTGTGACCTGCACAGAGGCATTGTTTAAAAAGCTCCCCAGGTGATTTTTAATGTGCACTGGATTAGTCCTTCAGACTTAAAGTGTTATATGTGAACCAGTAGCATTCCTATCACCTGGGAGGAGCTTTTTAGGACTGCAGGATCTCAGGTTTCACCTCAGAATTTGTATTTTAGTAAGAACCATATTTAATAAGAAATAAGTGCATTGTGTTCATATTCAGGTTTGACAAATGCTGGCTTGTCTACTGTCGGCTTTTGCTTGGATTGTTAACCCAGAATTTTTCTTGAAAATCTTTAAGAATGCTACCTTCTCAGTAGCTCTCAGCCACACCTACTTTGGTTGTGGTTTTTCTGCTCTGATTGCTCTCTTTTTCTGATCCCATTAGCTTTTGGCTTCCAGAAAATCCTCACATTTCTCATCCATTCTCATCCTCATATTTTCTCATCCATTCTCATCCATTCTTCTCTGTTTTGTAACATGGTTATGGATTTATTCTTTTCTTATGTTTTCTCTCATTTCAGTGGAATACTTTTGAGGAAGACAATGTTGTTACTATAGCAATACTTCCCAAAGTGATCTACATAATTCATTGCAATCCCTATCAAAATTTCAATAGCCCTTTTTTTTTGCATTTATGGAAAGGTTGATCCTCAAATTTATATAGAATAATAAGGGATTCTAAATAGCCTAAACAATCTTGAAAAAAAACCAAGTTGGAGGACCCATACTTTCACATTTCAAATTGACTACAAAGCTACAGAAATCAACACAATGTGGTACGAATATGAGAATAGACATATGTCTATATAAATGTAATAAATTGAGAGTGTAGAAATAGACTCATACATATATGGCCATTTGACAAAGATGACCAAGTATGTCAAAATCATTCAATAGAGAAAGAATAGTCTTTTCAATAAATATGCTGGGGCAACCAGATAGCCACATATGAAAGAATGATATTTAACTCTTGAGAAATTTAATCCTCATGTATTACTGGTGGTAACTTAAACTGATGGAGCCAGTTTGAACAATAGTTTGACAGTTTCCCAAAAATTACATGTAGACTTACCATATGACCCAGCAATTCTACTCTTAGGTATATACCTCCGCCAAAAGGAAAATATATCTTTAGCTAAAAGCTTGTCTGTAAATTCTCATAACAGCATTATTCAAAATAGCCAAAAGTGGAAACAACCAAAGTGTTCATTAATTGATGAATATAATTGATGAATTACATGAATAAAAATCCATGTAATGCTGTGTTATTCACTGATAAAAAGGAAATGAAATAGCTATACATACTACAACATGGATGACCTTGAAAACATTCTGCTAAATAAAAGAAGCCAGACACAATGGCCATATATTGTATGATTCCATTTATATGAAATGTCCAGAATAGGCAAATCCACAGAGACAGAAACGAAATTAGAGATTAGTAGTTGCCAGTGATTAGGAGCGGGACTTCTTTTTGGTGTGATGGAATGTTCCAGAATTAGTGCTGTAGTTGCACAACATTGTGAATATGCTAAAAACTATTTTAAAAGTTAAAACTGGTGAATTTTATATTACATGAACATGATCTCAATAAAAATGTTTCTGATAAAAAGAATGATTTTTTTTTGTTTTTTTGTTTTTTTTTTTTGGTAGAGACGGGGTTTCACCATGTTGCCCAGGCTGGTCTTGAACTCCTGGACTCAAGTGATCCACCCACCTTGGCCTCCTAAAGGTCTGAGATTATAAGCATGAGCCACTGCGCCCACCCAAAAGAATGATGTTTGACTCTTATTTCATACCGTATACAAAATTAACTTAAAGTTAATCAAAGACCTAAAGGTAAGAGCTAAACTATAAAACTTAGAGGAAAGTGTAGGAGTAAATTTCATGACCTAGTGTTTGGCTTTGGCTACTTAGATATGACAACAAAAACACAAGCAACAAAAGAAAAAAACAGATTGGTCTTCATCAAAATCAAAAACTTTTGTTCATGAAAGGACACTATCAAGAAAGTAAAAGACAACCCACACAATCAGAGATAATATTTGCAAATCCTGTATCAGGTAAGGAACTAGTATACAGAATATGTTAAAACCCTAACTACTCAACAACAAAATGACAACCCAGTTTTTAAAATGAGTAAAGTCATAAATAGACATTTCTTCCAAGAAGATATACAATGGGCCAGTAGGCACATGAAAAGATGCTCAACATCATCAGTCACTACAGAAATGTAAATCAAGACCACAATGAGATGTTGTTTTCCACTGCTAGGATGGCTATTTTAAAAAATGGGAAATAACAAGTGTTGGTGCAGATGTGGAGAAATTGTAAACTTCATACGTTGCTAGTGGGAATATAAAATTGTGCAGTTTCTGTGGAAAACAGTTTGGCAATTCCTCAAAAAGTCCTACTTACAGTTACCATATGATCCAGCAATTCCACTCCTTGGTAAACACTCATATGAAATGAAAACAGATGTTCAAACAAAATCTTGTAAACAAATGTTCATAGCACTATTCACCATATCCAAAAAGCGGAAACAACCACAATGTCTATCAACAGTTGGGTGGCTAAGCAAAATACAGTATATGTATTCAATAGAATGTCATTCAGGCATACAAAGGAATGAAGTACTAATTCATGCTACAATAAGAATGAAGCTTGAAAACTTCATACTAACTGAAAGAAGCCAGTCATAAAAGGCCACATACTGTATGATTCCATTTGTAGGAAATATCCAGAATAGGCAGATTCCCAGGGGCAGAAAGGTTACTGATTGCTAGGGCATGGGGTTTGGGGCAAATGAGGAGTGACTGATGAATGGGCATGGGCTTTCTTTTGCGGCAGGGAAAATGTTCTGGAACTAGAAATTGGTGGATGGTTGCACAACATTGTGAATGTTCTCAATGCCACTGAATGTGCACTTTAAGATGACTAAAATGGTGTCTTTTATGTTATATGAATTTTACCTCAATAGAGTTTTCTGATTATAAGATGCCTGAACTTCTTATTAAATTTATTGGGATGAATTGGCTACTTCTTCCTCTTTGTCGTAATCTTTAAATTTTGCTTTAAAAAATTGTGATTTGCATAGTAAATAGTTTCTGGGTCTCACTAAATGAGATTAAGCAAATATGCTCTATACTATTATATAAGCTGTAGTCAAATAAAAAACCCTTATAATACATTATGCTGAATTATAAATACGATTATTTCATTAGGTCTGAGTTGCCTATTCATTTATTTTATGTTAAAGGGGAACATACATTTAAAATGTTATTCCTAAAGCAATACTTGGGGTTATAACATTTAATTTCTCACAATTTAGTAGTGTACTGATCCATGTGCTTTCATATTAACTATTTAAGAGTTGCTTAATGAATATTGTACTTAAGTGAAAAATTAAAATATTTTTAATGTTTTTAACAGTAAGTGAATTTACTGTGTAAAATGCTGAACACTGCACATAACATTCAAAGTATAGTTTATATGTTATCACAAATTTGTGCTGAAAAGTAGAAATATGTAAACACTTAAAGTCATTAAATCTTACTGGAACCCAAGTTTTTCCCAGAGAGTTATTACATATTAAAGTGTAAAGTAAACCAAAAATAAAATCTTATAATCAGATTAAAATGTTTTTCAGTTGATATTTTCCCTTAGCTTTTGTTAATTGACACATATAATAATTTCAAGAGATGATAGTAAATATATAGGGTATACATGGCACATGCAGAAATCTGTACATTTCTCTAGCGTATACTAATGTATCTATTTGAGATTTAGCTAAAACAACTGAGATGAGTGCTAACAAAAATTGGGTTATTTAAACCAGGTTGTAGAGAGTACAGTTGGTTTTCAAACTGTGTTAGACAGAAAATGATTGTTGACTCCAGCTCAGTGTTCTTGAATACTTGTTTCTAGTCTTAATATAAATGTAATTTGTGTATATATACATAATGCTAAAATGACTTCATTTTTTTATGGATCTTAGGGTACAAGTTTCAGAGTATTCATTTGGGCTTAAGCAGCAGGGAGCAGAACAGAATTGAGACTGAGATAAGTTAGCATTTGGGTATACTAGATAATCTGTCTGGAGGCAGATAATTGGACTTTTTGAGTCAGATATGAATTGTGACTCCAGGTGAAGAAGTGAATCTGAAACCAGGCAGGCAGGCAGAATTCAGGTTTATAGATAAACCAATTGAACATTAGGGGAAGGCAGAAGACCAGAAACCAGGCAGACAAGTTAGCAGAACAAGACAATGAAGTACTATTAAGGCAGACACTTTAATCTAGACAGGTAATTCATAGGAACCGAAAAGGCAATAGCTGACTTTCATTTTGAAGCATGCTCTTGATAAAAGGTGATGATTTTCATAAGCTTCCCATTAAACCAAAAGCCAGTCTCAAGTTTTGGTTTTTGTAATACTTGCTGGTATTAATAGAAGTAGAAAATAATGACTCAGCCTAGCAGGAATAGGGAAGGTGCCCACAGCATATAAGGCCACATTCTAAATACTATTGGGAATATATATTCTTTTGCTTTTTAATTGCTTTATTGCCTGGGTGGATTTAAAAATTCATATTTCTGAAGTTTGTCTGAGACAGAAGTTGAAGATTTTTGACAGTTCACAAAATCAATAATTCTTTATTAATTATATATTTTATTATTTCATCCCAGAAAGGAGCTACATTCTTAAAAGATAACTCTTAGAAAACCATATGAGTGGCTTTCAAATTTGTATTTATCTGTCAGCCATTCTTCTAATAATTTAACTGTCATTCGGCATATATTTATTACTCGTCTGCTATGTGCTGGGCATATTTTAGGAATAAAAAAGCAGGAATAAGGGAGGAAATTGTATGTAACAGATTAACAAGATACTTTATAATAAATGTGTAATTTATATAGAGGAGTATACCTCAACCATCTTTCTATTTTTTTTCTATTTGACGCATTCGTTGCCTTTTTCCTGTATTCTTTTGGATTGTGTAATTTTTATGATGACATTTTATCTATTTTATTGACTTTTAAACTGTGTTTTTTGTTTTGTTTTTAGTGTTTGCTTAAGCATTTACAAATTATATTTTAACATGCCACAGTCTACTTTCTAATATTTTTTTTTCACTTGACATATTGGATAAGAACCTGCAATGGTATACTTCCATTTCCTTTTATTCTCTTTTGTGGTAGTTTTGTCATATATTTATTACTGCCTATGTTATAAACTCCATATGACACTGATAATATTTTTGCTTTAAACAGTTACCTGTTAAGAGTTTTTAAAGATAAGAAAAAGCTTGTTTTACACATACCGCATATTGACCATTTCCAGTACTTCAATTCTTTGTGTAGATCTACTTTTCCATGTGATATCTTTCTTTCTTTTTGAGTAGCTCCCTTTAACTTAATTTCTTGTACTGATGGTCATTTAATAACCTCCTTAAAGTTTTGTATTTTGTCAGATGTATTTTATATTTGTCTTTGCTTTTTATTGAACAGTTTTATTGAGGTATAATTTGCATCCATAAATTTACCACTTTTAAGAATACAATTCAATGATTTTTAGTGTATTTAAAGGGCTGCGCAACCACCACCACATTCTTACTTTAGAAAGTCTCCATCACCCTGAAGAGAAACTTCATTTTCATTTGTGGTCATTCCCACCCTGTCTTAGGCAATCACTTATCTACTTTTTGTCTCTAGATTTGAATTTACTGGATGTTTTGTATAAGTAGAATCATACCGCATGTGGTCTTTTGTATGTGACTTCTTTCACTTAGCATAATGTTTCTGAGGTTCATTCATGTTGTACTGTGTATCAGTACTTCATTTTTTATTATAAAAAAGTATTACATTGTAATACCCCTTTTTGTTTATAATTTTTCAGTTGCTGTCTGGCATTTGTGTTGTTTCCACTTTTTGCCTACTATGACTTGTGCTACTATTAATATTTGGATACCGTTCTTTGTGTGGATAGATGTTTTCACTTTGGGGGAAATACCTAATTGTCTTACCTAGGTTGGTAAAATTCTGGATATACATCTTGGAGTGAAATTGCTGGGTTATATGGTAAATTTATGTTTAACATTTTAAGAAATTGCCAAACTTTTTCAAGGTGTCTGCACCATTTTACAGTCCCAATAGCAACATATAGTGCTCCAATTTCTCCACAGCCTTCCAACTGTTATTATCAGTCTTTCTGATTATAGCCATTCTAGAGAATGTGAACTGGTATGTCACTGTGGTTTTGATTTGCACTTTCCTAATGACTAGGGATGTTGGACATCTTTTAATGTGCTTACTGGCTATTAACATATCTTTTCTGGGGGGAATATATCGATTCAAATATTTTGTCCTTTCTTATTGAGTTTTAGGAGTTCTTTATAGATTATAGATGAGTCCCTTATAAGATCTATAATTTGCAAATGTTTTCTGTCTGTCTAGATCATGTCTTTTTATTTGCTTGATAGTGTCTTTTGGAACACAAAAAGTCTACATTATTTTTTTCTTTTATTATTTGTTCTTTTGGTGTCCTATCTAAAAATCGTTGCTTAACCAAAAGTCATGAAGATTTGCCCTTATGTTTTCTTCTAAGAAGTTTTGTGGTTTCAGTTCTTACACACAGGTCCATGATTTATTTTTCATTAATTTTCGTGTATGGCATAAGGCAAGGGTTCAAATTAGTCCTTTTGCATGTAGATATCTAATTGTTTTAGAATGAGTTGTTGAAAAGACCCTGTCTTCCCCATTGAACTGTCTTGCACCTTTTAAGAAGTATGTTTCGTATATAATATGAAAGTTAACTTTATTCCTGGACTTTCAATTCTATTTTATCTATCTATCTATCTATCTATCTATCTATCTATCTATCTATCTATCTATCTATCTTCCTATGCCAGTACCACATTATCTTGATTATTGTAGCTTTAGAGTGAGCTTTGAGATTAAGATGTGTAAGTACCCCAAACTACTTGTTTTATTTTAGATATTCTGTTTTAGATATTCTGTTTCCTTTGAATTTTCATATGAATTTTAGGTTTGCCTTGTCAATTTCTGCCAAAAAAAAGCCTCCTGGGAGTTTGATAGAAATTGCCTTAAAATTTCTATCTAAAAGAAGTCAATTAGATTTATTGCCTTAGATTTATAAGATGTAATATTACCATCTTAACAAGAAGATATCTTAACAAAGTCTTCTGATTCATGAACATGGAATGTCTCTTCCTTTATTTAGATATTCTTTAATTTTTTTTTAACTTGTAAGTTCAGAGGTACAAGTGCAGGTTTGTTACATAGGTAAACTTGTGTCATGGGGGTTTGTTGTATAGATTATTTCATTACCCAGGTATTAAGCCAAATACCCATTACTTATTTTTGCTGATCCTCTCCCTCTTTCCCACTCTCCAACCTCTGAAAGGCCCCAGTTTGTGTTGTTCCCCTCTCTGTGTCCATGTGTTCTCATCATTTAGCTTCCACTTCTAAATGAGAACATGCAGTATTTGGTTTTCTGTTCCTGCATTTGTTTGCTAAGGATAATGGACTCCAGCTCCATCCATGTCCCTGCAAAGGACATGATCTCATTCTTTTTTATGGTTGCATAGTATTCCATGGTGCATATGTACCACATTTTCTTTATCCAGTCTACCACTGATGGACATTTAGGTGGATTACATGTTTTTGCTATTGTGAATAGTTCTGCAGTGAACATATGCATACAAGTGTCTTTATAATAGAATGATTTCTATTCCTTCGGGTATATACTCAGTAATGGGATTGCTGGGTTGAATGGTATTTCTGTCTTTAGGTTTTTGAGGAGTCACCACACTGTCTTCTACAATGGCTGAACTAATTTACACTCCCACCAACAGTGTATAAGGTTTCCTTTTTCTCCAAAACCTCACCAGCGCCTGTTATTCTTTTACTCTTTAATAATAGTCATTCTGACTGGTGTGAGATCCTATCTAATTGTGGTTTTGGTTTGCATTTCTGTAATGGTCAGTGATGTTGAACTTTTTTTCATATGATTGTTGGCCACATGTATGTCTTCTTTTGAGAAGTGTCTGTTCATGTCCTTTGCCCACTTTTTAATGTTTTTTTTTTTTCCCTTGTAAATTTAAGTTCCTTATGGGTGCTGGATACTAGACCTTTGTTAGATGTGGAGTTTGCAAAATTTTTCTCCCATTCTGTAAGTTGTCTTTTTACTCTGTTGATAGTTTCTTTTGCTGTGCAGAAGCTCTCTGCTTTAATTAGATTCCATTTGTCAAGTTTTGCTTTTGTTGCATTCTGTAGGTTGTCTTTTTACTCTGCTGATAGTTTCTTTTGCTGTGAAGAAGCTCTTCAGTTTAATTAGATACTATTTGCCATTTTTTGCTTTTGTCACAATTGCTTTTGGTGTCTTTGTCATGAAATATTTGCCCTTTCCTATGTCCAGAATGATATTACCTAGGTTGTCTTCCATGGTTTTTATAGTTTTGAGTTTTACATTTAAGTCTTTAATCCATCTTGAGTTAACATTTGTATATTATGTAAGGGAGGGATCCAGTTTCAATCTTCTCCATATGGCTAGCCAGTTATCCCAGCACCATTTGCTTAACAGGGAGTCCTTTCCCCCTTCCTTGTTTTTTTTTTTTTTCAGCTTTGTTGAAGATCAGATTGATTTTCAGCTTTGTTGAAGAAGGTGTGTGGCCTTATTTCTGGGCTCTTTATTTTTTTCCATTGGTCTATGTGTTTGTTTTTATACTAGTACCATGCTATTTTGGTTACTGCAGCCTTGTAGTACAGTTTGAAGTCAGGTAGTGTGATGCTACCAGCTTTGTTTTTTTCGCTTAGGATTGTCTTGGTTATTTGGGCTCTTTTTTGTTTCCAAGTGAATTTTAAATTAGTTTTTTTCTAGTTTTTGTGAAGAATGGAATTGGTAGTTTGATAGAGATAGCATTGAATCTATAAATTGCTTTGGACAGTATGTATGCCAGATAATTTTTTAGTAGTTGCTAAACTAATTGTGCATTGTACTCTATCGAGTACTGAAAATTCTTTTATTCCTATAAATATTCTGGAGCTTCTTTTTTTTTCATGATACAGTTAAGTTACTTGGAAGTAGCTTGATCTTTTCAAACATTGCTATTAGGCTTGGTTAGTTAGAAACAGAGAAGCCTTTAGACTAGGCCTCATTTTCCTTATTCCTGAGGCAATAAATTTCTGAGTAGTCTAGCCAATGTCCTGTGATTTGCAGGGTTTTCCACTCGGCTGATGGGAACATTAGTATTCCTGGCACTGCTTGAGTCCTGAGGATTATGATAATTCCTTTGCTTCCTTTGCTCTGTGCAAGTGATTTCTTCAATGCCCCATCTCCACCCCATTCAAGTAGTTTCTTCATACACCAGTGTTTAGCATTATGGAGCTGAAGACTGGAGAGATCCTTTGCATCTCTCTCTCTCTGTGCATCTCTCTTCTCTTTGGTATCTGCTTTGCTAAACCTGGGCCTGTCTGGACTCCCAGCTTCATCTCTTCAACTCAAGAAGAGCATCAAAGTCTGCCTGGATTTCCTTTTCTTGTACTACAGGCGTAGCAGCTGGGGCACTCAGAGAGCTCAGTTTGTATTTTGCATTCAGGGATTACGGTTCTGCATTCCTTTATGTCAAATGTCCAAAAACCATTGTTTCATATATTTTGTCCAAGTGTTATGTATTAATAGTTTCATGCAGTAGGGCAAATTGGGTCACTGTCACTCCATAATGACTGGAAGTGGAAGTGGAGCTTATATTTTTCTAGGAAGAAACAGTAAATAAAAAAAATGAATAATGCAAATTCAGATTTGGGTTGTTTAGAGAGTGTTCAGGGAACACCTCTCTGAGGACTGAATTTCAGCTTGAGACCTGAGTGGTGAGAAGGAGCAAGCCATTCAAAGATCTGGAGGCATAGGAATCTGGCGTAGGGTAAAAATCTGGCATGCGTTAATTGCTTTATTTCCCAGAGTATCTAGCACTTTGCTTGTCACAATGTAGCTTGTATACCGGCAGTAATGCATTACCATGGATCTTTTGAGAAGTACAGAATCTCAGCTCCCATTTCAGAGCTACTAAACTGGAATCTACATTTAACAAGAATCCCAAGTGGCTCATATGCACAGAGCACCAGTTTTGTTTATTTTTTTGGGAGAATAAATTGAGAAAGGTTTAGTGTTTTATCTTTGCACAGAGTTATCACACTAAATAAGTATTTGAGGAGTATAAAAAGAATAACTATGTGTTGAAAATAAAAAGCTTCCAGAATGAAAAACAAGTAATAAGTATTTATTGAGAATAAAAAGCTTCCAGGTCAAGTATGATGTGTACTACCAATCCTTTATTAGAAAATTACATTGAATAGAAACTTAATCAGTTTTGTAAGATTAGCCCATTTGCTAGATAATGTAGTTCTTCAAACTCCAAACTCATCAGTTGTCAAGTCTTTGGAATATGTTTTATAAATATTCCATAACTATCAACATGTCCGTACTATAGAAATTTTATCATAGGGTAATGGTTAATGAAGGGTGATTGGCTTTGGAATCAGAATTGTTTGCTGGTCATTTTGACCTGGGGGGCAAGACACTTAAGTTCTTTGAGTTTCAGTTTTCCTATAAAAATGTAATCAGCATGTTTCTGGACCTTTCCAGTCTGTGGCAATAAAATGAAGTGACACTTTCCTTTAATGCCTCTATTAGGCAGGATTCTTCTGATTGTAAGAGACGGATATCCAGTTTAAATTAGCTTAGGAAAAAGGATTATTGGCTTTGGTGATCAAACCACAGGAAGTGCTGGATTGTGTCTAGATCTCAGCAGTAATTATCATTTGTCACTCATTACATTTATCCTCAGTTATTTTCTGTGATTTAGATTCATTGTCCCCCAGGGATTTTTCTTCTGGTGAGAGACATGGTCTCCACTTGCTCTAAAACTTTAAATTTCCTCCATCAGAGAGGTTTGGAGACTAGGTATGTCTCCTACCAAGTTGAAGAATCCAGGGAAAGAGCACTGATACTGATTGGTACACATGGGATCAGATGCCCATCCCTGAACCAATAAAGTCTGACTGAATGAAAGGTTAGGTGTGACATTTTCTAGAAGGAAAGGACTGATCTTCATGATTGGCAAAACAATACATTTTCAGTATGAGATCCAAAATATTACTACAAATTTTCATCCCATAGATAGGGTAGTTACATTTTTTTCTGCTGGTTTCCTTCACTGAGTTAATGTGTGAGACTACCAAAAGAATTTTAGTATCTTCCATTAATCTGTCTTATTGGTTCTTTATGCACCCTTCCAGTTGTCCACACTCTCAATCATTGTTATTCCAGAGATACAGTGATGATTAAAGACAGTCTCATAATTGTCCAAGCTGTTTCCTCATATTAATTTGTTCACATGTGGTATCACGTGTCAGGGCAAGCTCAATTCCCACCAAAGAGAATCTATAGGAATCCTGGACCCAGAGTCCTAAATCCTCAACTATTATTTCAGAGAAACTCCTTTTCATGCCCACTCCAAAGCCTGCCCCATGATGGCTAACAGAATTCTTTCAGAGGAATTCTCATCCACACCCACAGGTATGGTTGAATCTCCATTACTCAGACAAGAAAATGGAAATATTGAACATTATACTTCTAAAACTCTGTGTTATTTATTCATAAATAACACTATGTGGCTAATATGAATGGATATGTAGGACATCTTTCTCTTGTTCTAGGACATCTTTCTCTTGTTCTAGCAGGGCACAGTCAGGCTAAAGATGAATTCAGTTTACATTGTTTAAACATTACACATCTGAATCTTCAACACCAATATTCATATTTATCGTGACTTCACAGATTTCTTCATGAAGATTCTCTCAAAATATGTCTTATTCTTAAGAACAGCAACTGATGGAAACCCCCCTGTGCTAGTTTTATAAAATGAAGAAGGCCAAATTAAGTTTTTCTTCACCAGCCATATCAATGAAGTCAGTAATAATATCTTGTTTGGGTAATCAAAATAGATACCATATGGGTAGTCTTTAAAGTGTTCTATTTTTGTGGTATGGGTAAGTTGTGGTGGTTATGTATTGTAGAAGCAATTTATCAGATGAGACTCTTGACTGTGCCTGTGATTTATCATCTATTATAGTTCCATAGAGTTAAGGTGGCATTCATTCATTTATTCATTTAACTGATTTTTTCAGGCTTTCATTCACTTATTGAAAAATTTTATTGAATTCCTATTATGCATTCAGCAGCATGATAGACCCTGGGAAAACAGGGAACAAGACAGATTTAGTCTATACTATCATAGAACATAGACGGTAGTGGAATCTTTTGAATGAAGCCCCAAATCACTATCTGTTTTTCCTCTTGGTGGAAAAACACACCTAAAAATTCTTCCATGCTTTCATGAAGAGAGCTGCATTGTTGTTATCCCTGATGTCCTGACCTGACTCTGGGAATTATACTTAGTTTACCATAATGGTTCGTTCATTCATTCAGCTGAATGGCATTCTTTGCTTCCTTTCTCCAGCAGATCTATGTCTACCAGACCACAGGAATTAACATTTCATGGTGAGAGAACTGATACCATGATACAGTTTAAAAATATTTGTGTCCTTCTTATGTAATCAGGCATTTTAATAAAGGAAATAACTCCTATTTATTGCTGATTACACCACTAAACTCTTTTCCCAGTGGATGTTCTAGTGGAAAAAAAATGATTTGCTGCTAAAAATGATTTGCTGTTTATTTTGTACATGTTCTTGAAGTATTTTGAGACATTATTGTTATGCTGTTGTAATTTGACTTGAATGAGTCCAATAGTAATTGTTATATTAACTTGCTATTCACAGGGAAGTAAAAAGAAACACAAATAGGATATGGTGAAACAACCTGAGAAAACAAGATAATCTACATATTTTCATTTTACTTGTGTAGATTGCAAAGTAAACAATAACTAATTTCTTTTTCTGAGCCCATTTCTCCCTCTACCTCCTGCCCTAATTCTTTGTTCCTCTTTTCCAATCTTCTGGAGTACAATTGTTGATACTCCAATTTCTCTCATCCTATTGTTTCTTAAATTGTCCTCTCTCACTCTGTTGAACTGCTCTTGTGAAAGTCCACAACAACTTTTTTGTTTCTACATATAAGTTCTCAGTACTCATCTGTCTCAGGCAATGGAAATGCCATCCTTCAACTTTCTCAGACCAAAAACCTTGGCATCATCCTTGATTTCTCTTTTTCTCCTTTATCCCACATTGCATCCTTCAGCAAATACGGTTGGCTGTACCTGCAGAAACACATCCACAATTCTACCATTTCTCACCTGCTTCAGGTCTTTACCATTTCTTGCTTTTTACTGGTTTCTCTGCTTCCTCCCTTACTCTGCTCTGTCTATTCTTACTTGTTCTCCTTGTCTGGAAAACTGATTCAACCATATAGCTTCATTGCCCACTACTTCACTTCCCTCAGATCTTTACTCAGATGTCACCACAGCAAGTTTTTCTCTGGCTACCTTAATTAACATCGGAAGTAGGGACCCTCCTTTTTCTCCTTTCTTACCTTGTATTTCTTCATTGCACTTATCATCATCTCACATGTTATATGTTTTGCTCATATGCCTATTTATTCTTTGACTGCCTCATTTCCCTTCCTCCAACTAGTATTTTTGAATGTTTTATTTCCCTACTATATCCCCAGTTCCCAGGACAGTGAGTATGAAGTATCTGGCACATAAAAAGTGCTTAAATAATAATTTTTTGAATAAAAATAAATTTTATTTTAATGAGGATAATTTTTTTCATTGAGTCAGTAATAGTCTGAATAGGTTTGCTTTCTATAGACCTGGTTTACTGGGGGAGAATATCATGCTTTTAGATTCAACTGTAATTTTAAAATAAAAATGACATATTAAAACAATAAAGTATTAATCTTACAATCACTCTTTCTTGCTTTGTGTGATTTTAATTTACTTAGATTAAATAGCACATTTCAGTTTTAGATCTTCCTTTTTATTAATGTGAGAATTGTTTTGGAATGCCATAGCACAGACTGAGCTCTTGATCTTACAAATTCTTCTATAGACACCAGAGTCAAGTGGAGCAGTGACATATTGGGGTATGATAACTGCTCACTTGTTAACTCAGCTGTTCCTCATTTTTTCTATATTATTCTGTGTCTCTTTTGCTGAATTATATTTTTTGAGGGCTAGTAGACCTATCTTTGTGATTACCCCTGCTTTAGGCCTTAAAAGTATTGAATTTCTTGAGAAAGCTCTGTTGTTCTCTCTTAATATCTTTAAAGTGGAAAGGAAATATTACCAAGAGAAGCCCCTTTTGACAATTTAAATGAATGAGAACCTTAATGCTAAGAAGTAGACTATTAGATTAGCATGTAGGAGAATCCTGACTGAGATTGTGGCAAGCAGTGCCATCAGACAGATGCCAAAGGACAAAGGCTTCTTCCAAACCCACTTTTTGTCACATTTTGTTTTCCTGGAGCTAACACTGCCAGTGAGTCCCAATAGCTCTTCAACAGGAGTCAAAATTGTACATGAACATAGAAATCATGAATAGCTCCTCATAATATGTGGATGATATTTGTGTCAGTAAAGAAGTATTTTAGTACATATATAGCCCTATTGAGTCTTGCTCTAAAGGATATGGCAGTTTTCTAGGAAAATTGAAATAGACAATAGTACATTAACATAGATTTATACAAATAAAAATCATAAGAATAGGTTGTAAGAATACTTATAAAGGGTTTGGACGTTTGATTTATTGGAAAAAATATTTTTAGACTCACAAACTGTGACCCAAGAATGGTTGAAACCAAAATTTGGGATAATTAGTGCATCAATACAAAGTCAGAAATCCTTTTAATGTTGGTGTTTCCTTAGAAATCCATCATTGTGTTATTCTAACTCTATATAACCTCTTAAAGAAACACCATCCATACTTAGAATTTCTCCTGGTCCCAAATCCGTATTTCCAACTCTTTTCTGACAATCTGCATTTGGACATTCTAGCCTTCTCAATCTCAATTAAACAATGATAATAGCCACAATTTGTTGAGGGATTACCATTTTGCTAGGCAGTATTCTAAATGCTTTATTTGCATTAGTTGATTTAACCATCAGAACAATTCTAAGTTGGTTCTTTTATTATCTTAGTTTTATAGATAAAGAAACAGTCTTCAGGAGTCACTTAATATCCTTGTGACTTGCCCAAGGTCACATGGATATTAAGTGATATTTCTGAGTGCAAAGCCTATGTTCTTAACCACTGTGATTACTTTTAAAATATAATTCTTCAGGTGTTCTCTCAAATTGCTTCTTTTACTGTTTTTTTTTTTATTTGTGTGTATTGTTTAACAGCACCACTATCCATCAAGCCAAAAACCTAGACATATTTCTCTTCCTCATTCACTGCATCTGAATAGTCAGCAATTCACATCTACTTTTCCTCCTATATCTCTTGGGACCATTTCCTTTTATCCCTCCTCACTACAGCTTCATAGCTCAGGCTTTTGTCCTCTTTTATTAGCTTACTAACTAGTCTCCCTGTCACCTACCTTGCCCCAACATTTTTCATGTTATAGCTTAAGTGACCTTTCTAACTGTTTAAGATCTTTAAAGAACTTCCCTATCACCTATAAAATAAAGCCAATCTCCTGAGTATGGCAAATACGGAATTTTGTAATCTGGTCCTTGCCCTCATGTTCATCCTTCATTCCTGCCACATCCTTTGATATATCCAGTGTTTCAGTTATAGACAACTTTTTATAGTTCTTGAGCAAGCTATTCTTCCTTTCCGGAATACTTCTATTCTTCCCTATAATCCATTTTATACATTTATTACAGTAGTTATCATATGAACTATTAAATAAATGTTTGTCTTTTTCCACTTCCAAGTACTATCTTTTACACTAAGTCAGAGTTTATTGGAATTTTGTGAATTGTCTTCTCTGAAGGAGAGACAGTGGCAGACTTGGAGAAAGCAGTGTTATGTCTTATTTGGCCAAAGAAAGACTAAAACCACCTGGCTCAGGAGATTACCACCGTAGGATTTCTCACCCTGACACAGTAGTTATCAGCCCAATTATTTTCTGTTAAGAAATGGGATCCTATGCATCTTCCTCAGTGTTTTCTGAATGAGCTGGAAGAAGCCTAAACATGAGGCAGCATTTACATGAATCATTGTTGATAGAAATACTTTATTTCTGGCTTGACAAGTTTCATTCTTTTAAAAATGTCTGGCCATAGTACCAACACTGAGTTTGGATCTGGTGTTCTTATTCTTCTTTGTGGTAATTAGAATTGGAGAAAACATTTCACTGGCAACCTTTACAAGTTAGAGATCAGTTATAGCATGATGCAAAAAGTAAGTGCGTTGGAGGCAGATAGCCTGGGTTGGGATTTCTGCTGCTTATAGCTGTGTGAAGTTCAGCAAGTTATTTAACTTCACTCAGCTTCAGTTTCTTCATATATAAATGGAGGTAAAATGCATACTTCTCAGGGTTGATATGAGTGGTAAATTAAATAATTATATAAAAGATTTGGCACATACCTGACATGTAATAAACACTAAGTAAATGGTAGGTTTCATTTTTAAACAGTGGATGGCACATTGTCCTAATAATCCTAATATAGTGTTACATGTTTTCTTCTAAATAATTGTAAATATTTAAGCCAAGTGTGTGTGTTTTTCTTTTGAGGAAGAGTTGTAGTTAGAGAATGGAAAATATGTATATCAAATTTGGAATAGGTGATGCATAGGCACTTCTATCAGAATATCTTGTGAAAAATACAGAATCCTTATCCTCACCCCAATTTACTAGGTTAGGATCTTTGGATATGGGACCTAGGAATAAAAAATTTTCAGAAGCATCTAAGGTTATTCTAAAACACCTCAGGTTATTCTGATAAACTCTTCTGTATGTTTTAAAGTTTATCTCAGATATGATGTCCATTGGGAAGTCTTCTCTAATATCCCCTATAAAATAAAACCAATCTCCTGAGTATGGCAAATACGGAATTTTGTAATCTGGTCCTTGCCCTCATGTTCATCCTTCTTTCCTGCCACATCCTTTGATATATCCAGTGTTTCAGTTACAGACAACTTTTTATAGTTCTTGAACATGCTATTCTTCCTTTCTGGAATACTTTTATTCTTCCCTATAATCCATTTTATATCTTTATACCTCCACCCTAGTCTGGAACAGGTGCCCCTTCTATTTCTGTCACATACCTGTCATATTTAAGGTATATGTCTTGGACATGTCTGATTGTTTGTCTCCCTTCCAGACTATCAGATCCCTGGGGCAGGGACTTTGCCTTTCTAGTGCCTTGCATAGTACTGAGCCCATAGGAGGTATTCAGTAAATATATATCAAATGAATAAACAAGTTTTTGTGCATCTTCCTGGATGTATGAGATTATGTTTCTGAAAAGTATCATTTAATTCAAACACATATGGAAATCAATTTTCTCAGAGAAATAAAAGCAAATTTCAGTTATTTTGTTTTTTACTATTTTATTAATATTGAATTAAGATAATATTTTTAAAATCTTAATTAAGTTTCCCCATACATTTATTTAAGTGCCTTGTATTTCTTCATTTAGTCATTGGTTTTTCATATTTCAGGATGTATCCATCCTGAATGGATGCAGCAGACAATCTGGCTTTAAGTTTCAGAAGCCTTAATCTAGTTGGACACAGTTTCCAAATGATAGCATTGTGAGAAAAGATGAAGAGCCAGGCTGTCCATATCAAAAGATTCTCCAGAATGGAGGAAAGGAAGAATTGGAAGTAGTAAGAACTTCATGTGTCAATGTGTAACCTTAAGAAAGGGCTATGTGCTTTTTCCACTAACTGAGCCCTAGTTTGGGTTTTGGAAGAGAGAAAATAACAGGTAATTCAGTTAGGTTTACAGAATTTGAAAGAAAAGACAACTTGTGTCCCATTCCTGATTAGAGGGTTTGAAAGTTTCTCTCATTCCTGATGCAGGCTGGGAGAAGTAGGATAGACATATTCGTATAGTAATAAAGGATCAAATCTAAGAGGTTATTTGGGTATCATATTTTTCTAGTAAGGACTTTCATTTCCTATATGCAACATAATTCCATTGCTTTAAATGTGATGGAAATAATAAATATAAAAGAATATCATTCCCCACTCCCAGAATTGTTAAAAGAAGTCTATAATGAAACATGCTGAAATGTTAACAGTGACCATCTCTGGTTGGTGGGATTATGAATGACTGTCATTTGCATCTTTATACTGCTCTGAATTTTGAAAAGTTTCCATAATGAAAGGGCTTTTTCACTTGGGTTTGCCATTACTCATCCTTTAGTTTATGTTTCATCTCCCTGATTTACAAACTCATTAGTTGGGATTATGTCCCTATTTGATACTCCTTTAATATTTTGGACAGCTCATTGTCTTATCACCACAGTACATTGAAATAATCACCTGTTTCCTATTCTAGAGAGTCGGGGATCCTATTTTATTTATCTTTGTACTATCACATAGTACAAAATCTGTGCTTAATCTTTGTTAAATTGACTAATTAAAAAAAGGTCTACATAAGATTATTTTATGTTTTGCCCAAATTACAGCTTCAGATAAGATTTTTTCTCTGTTAGGAAAAAAAGCCCTTTACATAAATAATATGTAAACACATGTGAATTGTGGAAGAATCTGAAAATTTCGGCAAAATGAAAAAAATTCAGGTTCTTAGGTAATATAAGACCATGTAAAATGCATCTGAACACTCTTTGTTCACTAATAGTTTGGTTGCTTATGATGAAGCTGAGAAATTGCTATAGGTACATTTTGATTTTTTCTTATATTTTTCCTATATGACATTTGCCATCTTTCTTTGACAGACAGAGTGCAAACTCAATAATAAACACAAAGATTTTTCTTGTTTGTTGTCATTTGAGAATGTATACTAAAATTTACACATAGAACACTGTGAATAATGATTATTTTAGCGTAATTCTTCATAACTTGGGATACAAAAGGACACGTTAAGGATTAGATACAAGATTAACTCTGTAAGTGTGATATTGATTATTTTCAAGTTAGGGATAGAAATGATACATTCAGGATCATTTAATAAAGGCAGTGATAATTAGGCTTAAAGGCTGATAATTGGAGAAGTAATAAGTTGAGGCATGCATATATTTCTTGTTTATATAACAAGCAAAGGAAAATTAGGTCTTTCCATAGAAACAAGTCCCCTAAGGATTTTAAATCTCTGGGGTAAGGGTGAGAAAAATGCTATTAAAAGTTAGTCATTTTGTCTTCTGGTCTACCTCTGATTTTTGCAGAATTTTTTAAAATTTAAATAGCACTTTGCTGAATGATGTTATCTTTGTTCTCTTCTAAATTATCTCTTTGAGTCCAGGGGCTATGTCTTATTATTTGTTTCTGTATAGTTGCTAGCACATGGTAGGTACTCAAATTTTTATTGAATTGAGTTAAATTAAATTAAGGTGCTGCCCTCTAGAACTCAGTCTAGATAGTAGGCCTTCTATGAGTTTCCCTGTAGGAGGCAATTGGGACAAAGAGTGAAAATCAGGTCTTTGTTCCAATCTTCAGAAGTGGAAAAACCAGTCATGAACTAAGAGAAGTGGGACTAAGAGAGTTTTTTAAATGTGGACATTAGCCCAATGTTGGAATGGGCGCCCTAATTACTTATTTTATATATTCCTTTTCATAGTTGATGACTGGAGTCACTATGGGGTTGGAGTCCAAGAACATCTGTAAAAACGTAGTGTCATTTGACACCTTTAAATTTTAGTATTATACAAAGAAGTTCCTTATGATATGCCAGGTTTTAGAATGGGCATTCTTACCCTTTTTCTTAATGGTTAAGTGCCACCATTTTTAAGCTGTCAAGAAAGCATTTTTGGTATTTCTTGGGTTGGTCAAATTCAACAAAATACTTTTGTACTGACCCTTGAACAACAGAGGTTTGAGCTGCATGGATCCACTTATATGTAGATTTTCTTCTACCTCTGCCACCCCTGAGACAGCAAGACCAATCTTCCTCTTCCTTCTCTTCCTCAGCCTATTCAAAGTGAAGATGATGAGGATGAGGACTTTATGATGATCCACTTTCACTTAACGAACAGTAAGTATATTTTCTCTTCTTTATGATTTGCTTAACACTTTCTTTTTTCTAGCTTACTTTATTGTAAGTATATAAAACATATAACATATAAAATATCTGTTAATTGACTATTTCTGTTATTATTAAGGCTTCCGGTCAACAGTATTGTAGTTAAGTTTGGGGGTAGTCAAAAGTTATACACAGATTTTCAACTGCTCAGAGGATTGGTCCCTCTAACCCCTCCATTACTAGTAGTTTTAATACAAACTTTAGTCAACTGTATTTGGCAAGGGTCAACTGTATTTGACAAATCTTCATAATAATGCTTTAAGTTGTTGAGAACATTTGTATAGGTCTCAAGGGATAAGAGATACAAAGGAATGAAACATAAATAAATGACGTAAATATATGCATTTTCGTATGTGAAAAATAGTAATTTTTTGAAATATCATTCTTGAACTGGTAATATTACCACTAACATAGTATTACTGTTCAGACTATATTTCTGAACTCAATGCAACCTAAAATTTAGTTATTTTATGTTAAAAAGGGCCAAAGCAAAGAACTTTGAGAGCTAAGCCAGAAACTCAATACCACCAGGACTGAAAGTGTTTTCTTGAAATATCAGTGTTGGCAATACCTTTAGAATCCAGTGTTTTCTTCCAATACAATCAATACTAGATGGTCTTTTCTCTAAGATAAAAATTATATTAATGTGCATATCTTAACACCAGGGGCTTAAAATAGCAAAAGGAGGTAGGAACTGAAAGTACATTGAATCCACGCTGATTTGCTTACTTAAGGGATTAGTAAAATTTGAGGTCAGCAAGAGTCCGAAGATACAGGAGAGATCAAGGAAGGAAGCACACCATGGTGGCTGTATTCCTTTCCTACTGGTCACAACATGGGCAGCTGGACAGGAAGGTGGCTCTTCTGTTTAGTACTTTCTGTTATTCCTCTGTCTATACAGTTGGCTTGTGGCCGATCCCTACTTTTATTTCATTCTTCAGAGAGGAAAATTCCACTTTAATATTGCTGTGCATGACAGGAAGTAGCATAGTACTTCACACATAGTAGGACTGACTGAGTGAAAATCAGACTATTGTCTCATTCCAGTAGGGTGTCTGGAACATTTAGTTCCTTGGATAAATTCAGTCTTGCAATACTTTAATGTGATGATTGAAATCATTGCTGTCAAATTGTACTAATAGAATCTCATTGGATTTCTAAATAGGAGCAGGCTAAACAGGAACCTATTTTTATAATCTCAGATCCAAGGAAACTTTACTGTAGTGGAAAGATCTCCAGACTGGCAGAAATATAAAATTTACCTGGGAGTATTTTTCAAAAAGTATATCCTCACCTACTTCTTCTCCTCACCCCCACCAAGGACATATCAGAATCTCCAAGGCAGGTAATATGTAGTTGAGAAAAAGTTGTTCATGCAATTTGTATTTCCTGTTCCCATCTGTTTCTCTTCACTTTCTGAATTTGAAAATCAATGGAGAAGTTGAGCTGTAAAATTCTATGATTTTGTTAGTAAAAATTCCACTACCTACTGATGGTTTTCTTCCTAGGAGTTATTAGTTTTATACATATCTTCTTCATTGGGACTTATTTAGTATGTGGATGTATTCTGTCAGGTCATTGGCATTAATTTTCGTATATTCTATTAGATAGGTAGCAGATTAAATGAGGATCATTTTCTCCACTTTGTTGTGCTAGGCTAGTATTTGACATCTTGGATCAGAGAACTTTAGATACATAGGCTTTCTTGATCTTTAGAAGTAGACTGTCTGCTGTTGCAACCCTGGCTGAGTCCTATTATATTGGCAGAAATAGTAGCTCTGTCATATCGTAAGCACTCAAGCAATGGTTGTTCCAGAAAAGTACCTTTGTAGTTTAATAATATACATTTTAAGAAAATATTGATAAAAAGTAATTTTAAATACAATTTTACTTTTATTTTGGCTTTTGGAATTAAGGGCCAGACTTTTTCTTAGTTATATTTAAATTAACTTTGAAGAAATGTCAGTGGAACAACATAGGCTTCTCAATGGGATAGAAACAATCTTTCTAAAGTGAAGTTATTATTTTTATTATAACAAATTGTTTGTGATTGTTGATTATGGTCATTTGAATGAGAAGGTAGCTTTTATTCATCAGTCTGTGGTAGAAAATCAAATTGACCCCAATATCAGTAAATTCCCAGTCAGATATCTTGTTATTTAAACCCTTGGTATCAACTCAGTATGCTATGCAGAAAGTAGCCACTTAAATATATTAATCATTAGGGTTTTAAAATAAATGTTTTCTTATAAAAATAATAAAAGCTTGTTGTAAAGAATTGTATTGAGAAGGAAAGCAGATAAAAGTTATCGATAATTCTACCTGCAATGAGCATTATGGAAAATTTTGGTGTATTGCTTAAAATAATTTAATATTCATTCCTGCTTATTAAAGGTTTTAGAATCTGGTAAAATTATTCTTATTTAAGACAAACTATGTTAATAATTTTTAGTCACCCTCTTTTAATCCCTGAAAGTTCTTTATTACTCTTCATTTGTAACCTCCATACACTTAGTCTGGAGTTCAGTGATATATGGGCTTCATTACTTAAAATACTCTAGATCTATAATCAGTTTTAGGAAATATGTGTAGTCACTTGATGATCCTCACCAACTACTTCTTCCTACAAAAGAGCATGTCTTTTCTTCTGTGGATTATTTAAATAATCCCCTACCCCTATTTTGTTGAGACTTTTAGGCAAAGGGATATATGCTTGGGCTATTCTTGTCAGATTCATTGTCTTTTCAAAGTGCTTTAGTATCCTGATCATTCCTACTATCAAAATATTTTCTTTCTGTCATTTTTGTTGGGAAATCATAGAAAAACATATACTTTATTTTTAATAATGTGTGACTTACCTAAGTTTTTCACTTTTAAAATACTGCAAATATCTGTCCAATCCTTACTGAGTCAACAGTGACTTAAATGCTTGATTTTGTTGTCGTTGGTGGTGAATAGTTCAGCCTCACTAAGACATGCTAATATTAAAGTCATCTTATCTGTTTTAAAAGCCCCCAGGTACTCAGAGCGGAACACCTAGTAAACCTTATTTACATCATCTTGCTTGAATTATGTCTCCTATAGGGTTCTGAGAATGAAGCGAGTACCTCAAAGTGTCAAAATCAGACTGATCTGGTTGGAGGCCAACTTGGACTAGTCTATATGAAAAGTGAGCATCTTAGGTGAGATTTTTAATGCCCATTAGACTTGTAGCATTGCTTGCTGTATTTTATACTAGTAGCCAGGTGTGGGCAGTGATACAGGGCTTGGGGGATCTCTCTTACCGGCCCAGGGATCCAAGGCATTCAGTGCAAAACCTGGCCAGCAGCCCGAGTGAGTAGGAGCCATGTGACTCTGGTGAGTTGGAGTGTGCAATTGCCTCCTGCTTCAGAGCTACCTGATCCGAATACTAAGCAGAGCGAGTGCCGGGCTGAGTGTAAGACACTGAAGACACTGCAGAGCAAGGTGCTTATTCCAGAGGCGTTACAAAACATGGAGATTAAAGACCAGGGAGCCCAAATGGAGCCGCTGCTGCCTACGGTAAGAGACAACCTGCTATCACATAGATTAACCGCGTTTGCTGCAAAACCTGTTAGGCAAGCGGTCTGCTAGCTAGGTGCAGCGAGTGTACTTTTGGGGTGGTGGATAGCTCCTACGACATATGGACAGGGGTCTCCTCCCATCTTGGGAGACTGAAATGCATAAAGCAAAGCACACGATTCTCCTCCCCCCCCCTTCTCAATATGGATGCACTACGGTGATGAAATGTCTCATGTTTGCTGCTGTTTGAAGAAATGGCTAGGTTTTAGCAGCAGGGGCAGTTACGTGTCTCTCTGCCTGCCTGTTACTGCTTATCTCTCTGATTCTCAGGCTGTGTGCTGGTTTAAGCCCTTGCAGAGAAGCCCCCTTTTATCATGTTTAATCCCTATCGAATTTCCTCCCCCTGCCTCATCCCCAGGCAGTGAGGTGAGGGAATCTGCTGCTGTTGCAGCTCTAGAGATTTAGTCTCTACAGAAACCAGGGGAAAGAACAGAAGGATCGTGTGTGTGTGTGTGTGTGTGTGTGTGTGTGTGTGTGTGTGTGTGTTCTGTCTCTTTCTCAAAGGCAAATGTGTCATGGTTTTTGTACAAAGAAGGTATGCATTTTTGGGGGACAGGCACACAATTCAGATGTGAATATTAGAAAGGTTTCTGAACTGTCATTTGGTAATAGCCCATCTGTTTACCTCTGGGTTCTTAAGCTGTTTCCCTACATTTAATTTTTGTGTAAGTGATGGATTTGCCTATCCTCTCCACAATCTCTCTGTCTGGCTCGCAGACTTTGGAGATCTTCAGGCAACATCTTTTTCTGTCTGGAGCAGCTGCTGTTTCTGTGTTTAAGGAAAAAAGAAAAAAAAAACCCAGTATTTTCTTGATGCAACAGAGATGACAGTCATAGCTTCCAGCCATCTATCAGTGCTACCACAGCAGAAATCCCCTCCCTGCACCAAACCAGACGGAGGGGCTGTTTCTCAGCTCCCTGTTACTAAGGTTGGTGACCCACCTTGCGCGGAAGGGACTGGCGGTGAGCTGTCCATTTCCGAGTCCATTCCTAGGTTTTCAACAAAATGCTTCCGTAGGAGGAGTGGGCAAATTCTGGGCCACAGTATTTTCAGGGCCTTACCTCTCCTGCCGGGCTCACATGCTGCAAAAAGATTCCAGTTTGCATCCCCGGAATCAACTGTGGCGACTGAGCATGCCCAGTTCTCCTGCGGACGCCAGGTTTGAGCAGGGAGGGAGCAGAGTGATGGGAAGAATGCAAGGAGTTACCACCAAGAATAGAGTCTCAACAGAGGACAGGGGCAGTGTCGGGGTAGGGGGCCGGGAGAAAGGGAACAGGAGAAAGAAGTTTGTCAATTACCCTGTCTGCCTAAAAATAGAGATATTTCTTTGTGGCATCAAAGTGGAGTTATAAAAAAATACGTGTAAAAGATTTGTCTATCTTCCCAAACTTGAACAAATACATAAATTAGGATTCTGTTAGTACTCAGAATAAATACTGTTAAGAATACCAGGGAACTCTTCTTCCCTGGATGAGAGACGGGAACTATACACAGGAATCGTGGTATGGGGATTAGGGAAGGTTTAGGGAAACCCCCAACCCTTTTTTTGGCTGGCAGTGGGGGTGGGGTGGGGTGTTGGAACCTGTCCTAGAAAAGCAGGCTAAAGCCAGTTTGATGTGGCTTATGGATTGTCACTTGTGGGGAACAGTTAAAGGGTTTAGGACCAAATGAGGATTAACTAGAGGAATTTAAAAGAGGATGACATTACTGGGCTAGATGGGCAACCAATTTATAGCTTAAAAGAGCAGAGAAAATACAAGTCTTTCCTGAAAAGAAGGTCTACAATACATCTGATGGAAATTTTTGAAGGCCAGAGTCAAAAGTTTGCATGTCATGGGGTTAATGGTCAGTACAAAATAGTGACAGTTTAATGGTAAGAGGGAATCATATTAGCAGATCATCACAAGAAAAACAAGCCTGAGGGGCTAGAGAGGATGCTGAATTACTGGTCCAGTTTTATACTTGTATAGCAACTCCCCCAGTTGCTTTTATGAAAACCTTTTTTGTTTAATTTTCAAAACAAACATGTTATGTAAAGCAGATTTTATTATTTTCATTTTCAAGGTGAGAAATTGAGGCACAGGGAGTCTGAATAACATGTCTAAGATCACCCAGTGATGAAACCAGGACTAGAATTTAGGTCATCTAAAACTAGTTCAGAAATTGTTTTAAAAATTCAATATTTTTTACATTACATTCTTAACCAAGCTTAACATGATCAGTTCCTGGGCTGAAGTTTTTACGCTTGGAAGAGAGCTCTGGGCTCTGTTTTAGAAAATTAATCAGACGACTTTGCAAATAATTTTGTGAGAGGCAATATAGCATAATATTTAGAACTCAGTCAAGGCCAAACACTGCTATTTATTTGTTATATGATATTGGGAAAGTTATAAGTTACAGTTTCTTCAACTGAAAAATGAAAAGGGAATGTTATTATATATCTCTTGAGTTTTGGAATCAGTTAAATAACTTATATGAAGTTCCTGACATTTAGTAAGTGTTCAATAAAACTTGCTATTATCATTGTCAATGTTGCTGTAAAATGAATATATTATTGCTATATTCATCTCAAAGTAGATATTGAGAGGATGTATAGGTTTCAGGTTTTTATGAGAAGTGGCTTGTCAGTACTTTCTACCAAGAAGGAAAAATGGAAAATGGAGAACTGGAAAAGACTCTTCATAGTGGAGGTGGGAGGTGGCGTTTTTTAGTTATAATTATGAAAACTTTGCAGTATGCTTGGAGAGCCAATTGGACAGGCATTAAAAGCCAAGATTAGATATGGGACAGAAGCAGTCAGAGGTAGAAAGATAGGGAAGTGAAAGAGAAAGGAAAATAAGAATAGATAAGTATGTCAAATGAGTGAATGTATTAATCCTGACTCAAGTGAAATGGAGGAACAGATTCTCATTAAGCCTCCCAGGGTTTACCTCCATTTAGTATAGTATATATAAAGTACATTTGAAGGATACGGGCAGAGGAGGCCTAGATATGTTTCTCTTTTTTTCCCAGTCCTTCTTAGGAAGCTTCAGTGATAATTTCCTTTTGCTGGACAAGCCATCATTGCATTTTGTAGACTCTAATCACTCCAAGGGTTAGGGCGTTCACTCTTGTTGGCTAAGTGTATAGTCTGGTTTTGGTAACAACTGACTGCTATGTCTGAAGTTACAGAAAAAGTGTGTCAGAAAGATGTGTTCTCTTAAGTGCCTACTGTTGGCCAAACACATTCTTGGTGCTGGAGATGCAGCAATAAATAAGGCAGGCAAACACCCTATATATGTGAAACCTCACACTCCAGCTAGACTAGAAATAGGACTCGATTTAACTTTTTAAGAGACTGCTGCTTTCTCTTCAAAATATTTAATAATTGTTATAACCTTTTTGATATGGATATATATGGAGAATATATGTAACAGTAATAATGGTGATATCATTTTAGTAAGAATGGAATTAGCCTTTTAAAAGTATGAAGCCTGATATTTAGGATTGCATTATGATTTCACATTTTCCTTTGATATTCAATGTTGAATTTGCTTTTAGGAGTAACCTAACAATTTAAAAATTATCAGGCCATGGAAGAAGCTTCCAGAAGAATATATAACTTATATTTATATCTCATGACGTTTAATCTTGGGTGATCTACAGTGAGTCTACTTTGGATCCCTTCTAAGATTCTGATGTCTGAAAAAGGACTTAAGTTGAGCTTACTCATAACATTTCCCTAAGGTATAAAACTACAGTAAAGTTCACTTTTAAAAGATAATTTGATGATATAGGATAGATGATTGGATTTAGTACTTTTAGAAAATGCTAATTCCATATTTCCAAGTGGCCCAGTTTATTGAATTGTTTTATTTGTGGAAAAAAGTTATAAAAAGTCTTTAATGTAATTAAATCAGGGAAAGAAAAATGGGACTAAAATGTCAAAGTAACAAAAAGAGCACATGGAATGGCTAAGTAATATTGTTTTTTCTATTCAATTTGCATTGAAATTTAAATTATAATCTGAGTTTAAAGAAAACATACTCACTACACCTTGTAGTCAGTAGGAAGCAAAATGCAGTATAAGAAATTAATCCCCGTTTCTACTTTCATGATTTGAATTGTTACTCTAGCATGGTGAGTGACTATGGAAATAAAATATATGTATAAAATGCTAAGGTTGGGAATGAGTGGTAGAATCTGAAGGCTATAAGTATTGAGTTTACTTATTTATTAATATTATGTTTATGATAAAAATATTGAGATCAGATTAGGAAGTGGGCTAGTTTATGATGAAGAGTTAGAAAATATCTGGGCCAAGGTCTGGAACTCAAAATACAGTCAGAGAGCATGGTCAGAATACAATGATACTTCCAATATATCATTTCTTTCTAACCTTGAATGATGGTTGCTTCAGAAGTCTAAACTGGGCATGAATAGATTGCAGTGTATTACGATGGCCCGCAAGTAAATGGAGAAATGTGGATGCCACTCTCAGCCCTTCTGTGAGAGAGACTTCAACTCTTCCTTTCCCATATCACATAGGACACATGACAATGATCATTTGACTTCCTGTGAGGACACCATTGTCAATCTATATAGTAAATATTAGTTAAGTTTTATGTTTTATTTTTAGGTAAAATAAATTTAGATTGAAGTTTTAATATATTCTCGCACCACAAACAGTTGTCTCAGATACTCTTTGGGGTGTACTACTTTTTTTTTTTTTTAGAAAAAGGGAATAATTTGTGTGTGTTGCATCTTTTATGGAATTATATGTATATATATTTTAATGGGTCTTATTTTTGAGAGCGATATAGGTTCGCAGCAATATTAAGCAGAAGGTACAGAGATTTCCCATATATCCCCTGCCCCTTACACATACATAGCTCCCCCATTAACAAGATCTCTCACCAGAGTGGTACATTTGTTACAGTTGATGAAACATTATCACCCAAAGTCCACAGTTTGCATTAGGACTTGGTGTTGGACATCCTATAGTTTTGAACAAATTTATAATAACATGTATCCACCATTATAGTATTATACAGAGTCATTTCACTGCCCTAAAGATCCTCTGTGCTCTGCCTATTCATCCCTCCCTTTCCACTAACCCCTGGTAACCACTGACTTTTTTACTTTCTTCATAGTTTTGCATTTTTTAGAGTATTATATAGTTGGAATCACAGTACATAGCCTTTTCAGATTGGCTTCTTTCATTTAGTAATAGGCATTTAAATGTATTTTCATGACTTGATATCTCATTTCTGTTTATCACTGAATTATATTTCATTGTCTTGATGTACTACAGTTTATTTATCCATATACCCACTGAAAAATATCTGGGTTTCCTCCAAGTTTGGCATTTATGAATAAGTCTGGTATAAACATCCATGTGCAGATCTTTGTGTGGACATGTTTTCAATTTCTTTGGGTAAATACTAAGGATGTTATTACTGGATTGTATAAGAGTATTTAGTATTTTTAAAAACTGCCAAGCTGTCTTTAGTAGTGGCTGTACTACATGCTATTCTCATGAGCAATGAATGAGAGTTCCTCTTGCTCCACACACTTACCAGCATTTGGTGTTGTCAGTTTTTTATACGTTGTCGGATTGATTCAGTAATATTTTGTAGAGAGTTTTTGCATTCATGCTTATGAGGGATATTGGTTTGTAGTCTTCTTTTCTTATAATATCTTTGTTTGGTTTTGGTATTAGGGTGATGGCCTCACATACTGAGTTAGGGAGTGTTCCTCCTTTCTATTTTCTGACATAGATTGTTTTGGAAGGTTATTCATTGTTGACACCCCATTATTTTTAATAGATAGATTCATATATATTTTGACCACAGGATTGTAGAGATCAACTGGAGTCTAGATTTTAGACTGGCTCCTTAATTTACGGATGATGGAACTGGACATCAAAGACATAAAGAGATATATTTAAGGGCATGCTACTTATGATGCTAGTTAATGGCAGAACTCAGCCTAGAGTCCAAATCTCTTGATTATTCATTTATCATTCTTTCCACTATTATATAGTCTCTATTACTAGCATAGCATCAACGGCTGAGTTCCAAATTAAAATGGAAATTAGGCAGTTTGTAAAGTAATAATAGATATTGTCTCAGGCTCATGATAGGTACAAACATCTGTAATCCTCATGATAATCCTGAAAAGTTGCTAATGTTTTCCAGCCTTGCAGATGAGAAACTGAGGTCCAGAGATTTGTATAAATTATCCAAGTTCACATAGCTAAGAAGTGCTAAGCTAGGATTTGAAAATATTTTTTTAGTTAATAAGTAACTTGTCTCCCTTAACGCTAATTAAACAATAAAAAAGAATCCCATTATAAAACGAGCTTTCACATCTTCCCCTCCAATAAAATATGAAAGTACTCTGATACAAGGTGCTATAAAATGTCAGGTCTTTTTGCCCACATATTTCATGATTCCATTTATATGAAATGTCTAGAATAGGCAAGTCCTTAGAGACATAAAGTAGATTAGGGGTTGCCAGGACCTGGGATGTAGGGGAGAGTTAGGAGTGACTGCTAATAGGTACAGAGTTTCTTTTTGCAGTGATGGAAATGTTTTGAAATTACGTGGCGGTGATGGTTACACAACACTCTGAGTATACTAAAAACCAATGAATTGCACACTGTAAAATGGTGAATTTTATGTTATGTAAACGTTATTTCAAAAAATTATTTTAAAAGTAAGTTACTGTTTAGCATTATCATGAACAAGGAGAAGGCCGAGTATCCAAAAAATGCTTATATCAGTTACATTTATATAAATTAAGAAGAGGGCAAATAAAATATTCACAAAATAAAAATAACTTCCTCCCCCCACAAGAAATTCTTTACCACAAATTTGATTCTGTTTGTCAAGATAATGCTGAGATTGGTCAGGGTTTCAGGTTATTTGCAGACCTAGAGGTCTTGGAATATATCTTCAAAGCTGAGTTAAGAGAATATATGGTGCATTTTATGTACCAGAGAGAGAGAGAACTATTTCACTTGAGTCACACTGTATTTAGATATTTAATTTCTTATGGCAATATTTTGCAGTTTTGTCTTAGTGTAAATTTCTATGCAATATAGCAAGAATAACACAAAAATTGCAGAAGTGCCATTTATATAGTGGTTCCTACATTGAGCTTAAATACCAAATTCATGTTGAATTCCAAGTAGCTCAGAACTCGAGAGGTGCTCTCAGAAGATGAAAATGGAGATTAATCTACAAACTCAGTTGGATAGAGTGAGGATGTATTATAGCCAAAGACTCTTGATATAGTTTTGAATTAATGACAAAGTCCCTGTACCAACATCAGCAAGACTTGCTCATTCATCATGAAAATTATGCTCTAAGGATCTAATAAGCAAGTTTTTAAGGCAGAATTTTCCCATTGCATATTGAATGTGCTAGGTTGCTGGAGTGCCTCCAACATTTATTTGTAACTCCACTTGTTCTTGCTAATTCTGGAAAACCAAAATTATTTAGGGAAGGCTGTTTCTTTCTAGTGTCTTTTTTCCCCCTTTTGACTAATGAGGCTTTGATATAAAAGATGATGACCTAGTCAAATTTCAGAAAGCAAGTGACATAAAAAGTAGGTATATAACAACTACCAGATGGGATCAAAACATAGCTCTGCTTAGGAAGCGTATTTCATTATTGTTAGATCCATACAGCTTTTTTCACAAAGTGGTGAATTTCTGTTGATATTTAAGGTTTTCTGGGAATAAACCTCTCCAAATGCTTCTGATTTTCTCAGATACATGAATGTGGTTTAAAAATGAAAAGAAAAAAACCCACCACATACACACAACAAACCCAACACAGAGACAGCAGCAAGACACACCCTTAAGGTATAATATAATTTATTTTAGTGCATAACCATGTACTTTGTAGTATAACTTTATGATATAAATGTCTGTTAAAAACATGTCATATATAATTGACAGAACACCTATAGTAAATATAAAAATTTGGTATTTTTTTCCTAAACAACGGGATTATTGAAAACCTTACTCTTGAGGACCACCTGCATCAGAATTGTCAGGAGGGCTAGTTAAAAATTCAAGTTCCAGGCCTTATTTAAGCCTACAGTCTGAGAATATTAAAGGGTAGCACTAAGGAAACCAGCATTTAAAAAAACCTCTAGGTGATTCTTATGTACATTAAAGCTTGAGAATTTTTGCCTTAAATATCAACAAAATAGAAAAATCATCATATATTTTTAAATTATTTTAACCGTAAGAATGCTGGGAGACTAAGTTTTGCCATAAAACAGCCTTTTTAACAATAAATCATAATGGGCTAGAAAATTAAGTGCTTATTTACTTATTTAGCATATTACCTATTACTTTGCAATATTGTGTATATACATGTATATATATCCTGATGATTTCAATATATGATGGCTTGCTTATGATTTTTCAACTTTACCAGGGTGCAAAATCTATGGACATTCAGTATACTACTCAACTTTCCATGGTGTTACCTCTGGATAAACCCATTGTAAATAGAAAATGCCATATATGGAAGATGCACTTTCAACTTATGATATTTTCAGTTTACAGTGGGTTTACCAGGGCATAACTCCATTGTAGGTTGAGAAGCATCCATATGTGAATTATTTTACTTAAATGCAAATACATATAACTTGTTGCCTCAATCGGTGGCTGGATTCTTGAAAGCAGCTTATTTTAGATAATTTTTGTGCTGCTCTCACAGAACCAAGTGCATGGAACTCCTTGTTAAATATATCATGGGTAATAGATTAAGCAGCAACACTAGCAGACATTAATTGTTAAGAGTTTGGACATTGGAGTTGGAAAATTCTAAAAGTTTCAGTTAGGAGGTGTGTCAATTTTGGCAAGTTATCTAGGTTTTCAATGTCTTACTTTTCTTACCTACAAAATAGGAATGGTAATAATATATCTATCTCCCAGGTTTGTGAGAAGCAATGAAAAAAATACGTGTTATATCATTTAGACTAATGACTCAGTAATAGTAGCTATTATTCTTATTCTTGGCTTAATAGTTTTCCTTTTGAATGAAAATCATTACCTGATATGCACAATTAATTCAATCCTTGATTCAATAATGCTTACTCAATAACTCGATGTATCCATTTGACAGTAATATAGAAGTATGTCAATGATATAAATTGATAATTATAATACAGTACAATCCTTTTCCTAATAATAAAATTAATACTTGATTTTTAGGATCATTTGGAAGGCATCAAAAGTAAATATAAACTAATTTTATCATTTTTTAGCTTTTTATTTTGACTCTATTTTTACTCATGGAATACTTGCAAAAATAGTACAGAATTCCCATATCCTTTTCATCCACCTTGCCTTAACTTTCTAAAAACTAGAAAGTTAACACTGATACAATTATATTAACTAAACTACCATATTCGAATATCACCAGTGTTTTCACTAATGTCCATTTTCTGTTCTAGGATACAATTCAGAGTACCATATTGTGTTTAGATATCACATTTCTTTAATCTCCAGTTTGTGACAGTTATTAAGTCTTTTTCTTTCATGACCTTGTCACTCTTGAAGTGTACAGGTCAATGTTTTGGAGATTATTACTCAATTTGTGTTTGAGGTTTTCATGGTTAGATTGAGGTTATGCATTGTTTGTCAATAATACTGTAGAAGTGATGTTCCGTTTTCCTTTCTTTATATCAGGATATACATATCTTACTTCTGGTGACATTAACTTTGATTATGGAGGTATCTTCTGTTTTTTTCCCATTGAAAAGTCAAAAAAGTTTCCCTTTGTAATAATATATTTGGGGAGATACTTTGAGACTATATGAATTTCCTATTTCTCCTCAAACTTTTGCACATTAATTTTAGCACTCATTGGTAAATATTTCCTGTAGCACTTATGGAGGTGTCTGCCTCATGACTTTTTAAAACTTTTATTTGGTTTTTAATAGACACATAATAATTATACATATTTGTTCTGTAAATATGTATGATATGATGTTTTGATACAAGTATACGTTGTATAATAATCAAATAAGGGTAATTAACATATCCATCACCTCAAACACTTATCTCTTTATTATGAAAACATTCAAAATCCTTCTTTTTAGCTATTTTGAAATATACAATATATGTGTTAACTATAGTCACTGTACTGTACAATAGAACACCAGAACTTATTCCTCCTATCTAACTGTAGCTTGGTGCCCATTGACCAACCTTTACCCATCATTCCCTTCTCCCTACCTTCCCCAGCCTCTAGTAACCACTATTCTATTCTCTACTTCTACAGAAACAACTTTTTAAGATTCCATATATAAGGAGACTTCAAAAGTTTTGTAGAAAAATGTAATTAAAAGATAAAAATAAAATATAAACTTTATTTCTGATTATAAGCTCTATCAAGTTCAAGACACTTTTGTAAGTGATGATACCAGCCATTTAATTAATCCCTAAAGAACCAAGGGTCTTGGGAATTTAACCATGTCAATGCAGTCTCTCTTTTACATTAATAACTGAAGAAAAATGAGTGCCCTTTATGTATTTTTTTTAAGATTCACACAAAAAAGAAATTAGAATGAGCCAAATCAGGACTTTAAGGTGGATGCCTAATAATTTCTCATTGAAACTCCCTCAAAATTGCCCTTGTTTGATGAGAGGAATGTGTAGGAACATTGTTGTGGTAGAGAAAGACTCTCTGGTGAAGGTTTTCTGGGCATTTTTCTGCTAAAGCTTTGGCTAACTTGCTCAAAACACTCTTATACTAAGCAGATGTTGTCATTCCTTGGCCCTCCAAAAAGTCCACAAGGAAAATGACTTTAGCATCTCAAAAAACCGATGCTATGACCTTTGTTATTAATGGGTCTGCTTTTGCTTTGACTAGACCATATCCTCCTCTTGGTAGTCATTGCTTTGATTGTGCTTTGTCTTCAGGATCATTCTGGTAAAGCCATGTTTCATCTCTTTTGCAATTCATCAAAGAAATGCTTCAGGATCTTGATTCCACTTGCTTAAAATTTTAATTGAAAGTTCTGCACTTGTCTGCAGGTAATTTGGGTGCAGTGATTTTGGCACTGTTTTAGTTGAAAGTTTGCTAAACTTTAATTTTTCAGTCAGAATTGTGTTAGCTGAAGTATTGGTTATAGCTATGGTGTTGGCTATTGCTTGTGCTGTTAATCACTGGTCCTCTCCAGTTAGGGCACAAACAAGATTATTTTCTCCCTTGAAAATTGATATGAATGGTCTGCCACTGTGGGCTTCAACATTGTTTCTTCCCTTCTTAAAATGAGTTATCCATTTGTGAACTGCTGATTTATTTTGGGCATTGTCTCCATAAAGCATCAATGATTTCACCATTCTTCCACTCAGGCTTCATCATAAATTTGATGTTTGTTCTTGGTTCAATTTTAGCAGAATTTGTGTTGCTCTGATATGGGCTGTTTTAAAACTCATGTCTTATCTTTCTAGGTGCTTCTAGATACTCATCAGACATGTTATAACAAGTTAGTATGAGTTTATTTTGGTGCAAATTTTTTTTGAAATTCATGCAAATTTCTTTATCATACACATTTTCTGTGAACTTTTTGAAGACCTCTTGTATAAGTGAGATCATGCAGTATTTGTCCTTCTGTGCTAGACTTATTTCACTTAACATAATGTTCTGTAGGTTTATCTATGTTGTGAATGACAGGATTTCATTCTTTTTTGTGGCTGAATAGTACTCTATTGAGTGTGTATATTACATTTTTATTTTTATTTGTATTATTTGTTATTTATTCACCTTTTTTGAGTTGGAGTTTCATTCTTGTTGCCCGGGCTGGAGTGCAGTGGCACGGTCTCAGCTCACTGCAACCTCCAACTCCTGGGTTTAAGCAATTCTCCTGCCTTATCTTGCTGAGTAGCTAGGATTACAGGCGCCCGCCACCATATACCTGGCTAATTTTTTTTGTATTTTGAGTAGAGATGGGATCTCACCATGTTGGCCAGGCTGGTCTCGAACTCCTGACCTTAGGTGTTCCACTCACCTTGGCCTCCCAAAGTGCTGGAATTACAGCCACCACGCCTGACCTTTTTATTTTTTTAAGAGACAAGGTCTTGCTCTGTCACCCAGGCTGGAGTTTAGTCGTGCAATCATGGTTCACTACAGCCTCAAGGACCTGGGTTCAAGTGGTCCTCTCACCTTGACCTCTTGAGTAGGCAGGACTACAAGTGTGCACTACCATGCCTGTCTAATTAATTTTTTTATTTTTTTATTTTTATTTTTATTTTTATTTGTAGAGACAGGGTCTCAGTATGTTGCTCAGGCTGGTCTTGAACTACTAGCCTCAGGCAATCCTCCTGCCTCCGCCTCCCAAAACCACTGGGATTACAGGCGTGCATCACTATACCCGGCCTACATTTTTTAAAAATTATTTATGTATATAGATATATATGTATATATCTATATACATAAATACGTATATACATATACGTATATACGTATTTATGTATATATATCTATATACATAAATACGTATTTATGTATATAGATATATACGTATATATACATATATACATATATCTAGAGAGAGAGAGAGAAAGAGAGAGAGAGAGAGACAGAGTCTCACTCTGTTGTCCAGGCTGGAGTGCAGTAGCATGATTCTTGGCTCACTGCAACCTCTACCTCCCAGGTTCAAGCAATTCTCCTGCCTCAGCCTCCCGAGTAGCTGGGACTACAGGTGCCTGCCACCACTCCCAGTAATTTTTTTTGTATTTTTAGTAGAGACAGGTTTTTACCGTGTTTACCAGGCTGGTCTCGAACTCCTGACCTCAGGTGATCCGCCCACTTTGGCTTCCCAAAGTGCTGTGATTACAGGTGTGAGCCACTGTGTCCGGCCTATCTGGCTTACATTTTTAAATCCACTCATTTATTGATGGACACTTAATTTGACTCCATGTCTTGGATACTGTGAATAGTGTTGGTGTAAACATGGGAGTACAAATATCTCTTCAACATATGGATTTCATTTCCTTTAGATATATGGCAGTAGTGGGATTGTTGGGTCATATGACAGTTCTATTTTTAATTTTTTGAGGATATTGTCCATAATGGCTATACAAATTTATTCTCACCAGTTGTGAGAAAATCTCCACATTCTTGCCAGCATTTGTTTGTTTTCTCTTTTTGACAATAGCCACTCTAACTGGAGTGATATCTCATTGTGGTTTTGATTTGCATTTCCCTGATTGTTAGTGATGTTGAGCAGTTTTTCATATGCTAGTTAGTCACTTGAATGTCTTATTTTGATGAATGCCTAATCAGATCTTTCACCCATTTTTAAATTAGGTGATTTAATTTTTGCTATTTGAGTTTCTGATTTAATTTTTTGCTATTTAATTGTTTGAGTTTCTTATAAATTCTGGATATTTACCTTTTGTCAGATGCAAGGTTTGCAAGTGTTTTCTCCAATTAAGTTGTCTTTTTGCTCTGTTTATTGTTTCCTTTACTGAGCAGAAGCTTTTCAGCTTAATGTAATCCCATTTGTCTGTTTTTGCTTTTGTTGCCTGTGCTTTTGAGGTCTTATCCAGAAAATCCTTGCCCAGACCAATATCATGAAGCATTTCCTCTACATGTTTTCTTCTAGTAGTTTTATAGTTTCAGGTCTTACATTTAAGTATTTAATCCATTTTGAGTTGATTTTTGTATATGGTGATCCATAGGGTTCTAGTTTCATTCTTATGCATGTGGACATAGTTTTCCCAGCATCATTTATTGACAAGGCTTTTTCCAATATGTGCTCATGATGCTTTTGTCAAAAATCATTTGGCTGTAAATACGTGGATTTGTTTCTGGGTTTTCTATTCTGTTTCATTGATTTATGAGTCTGTTTTTATACCAGCACCATGATAGTTTGGTTACTATTGTTTTGCAGTGTATTTTGAAGTCAGGTAGTGTGATACCTCTAGTTTTCTTCTTTTTGCTCAGATATCTTTGTCTATTTAGGGTCTTTTGGGCTTCCATACAAAATTTAAGATTTTTTCTGTTTTTGTGAAGACTGTCATTGGTATTTTGATAGGGATTACATTAATTCTGTAGATTGCTTTGAGTAGTATGAGTGTTTTAACAATATTAATTCTTCCAAATCATCATCATGGGATATCTTTTCATTTGTGTCTTCTTCAATTTCTTTCCTAAATGTTTTATAGTTTTTATTTTAGAGATCTTTCATCTCTTTGGTTAAATTTATTTATAGGTATTTCTTTTTTTTAAGATAAAAAAAGACAAATTTTGAGCTAGACCAATTAAGAAAAAAAGAAAGACAAATAAATAAAATCAGAGATAAAAAAGGAGACATTTCAACTCATGGTCAAAGAAACACAAAGGATCATTATCAACAACTATACAACAAAAAATTGGAAAACCTAGAAGAAATGGATAAGTTCCTAGAAACATACAACCTGCCAAGACTGAATCATGAAGAAGTAGACAACCAGAACAGACCAATAACAAGTAATGAGATTGAATCAGTAATAAAAAGTCTCCCATCAAAGAAAAGCCCAGGTCCTAATGGCTTTACTGCTGAATCCTTCCAAACACATAAAGAACAAATGCCATTCTTCTCAAACTATTCCAGAAATTGAAGTGAGGGGAAATTTTTCCAAACTCATTTGATAAGGCCAGCAATACCCTGATACCAAAACCAGACAAGGACACAACAAAATAAGAAAACTACAGACCAATATCCCTGATGAACATATACATAAAAATCCTGAACAAAATATTAGCAAACTGAACCCAGCACATCAGAAAGATCATTCCCTACAATCAAGTGGGATTTATTTCAGGGATGCAAGGATGGTTAAACATATGTAAATCAATAAATGTGATACATCACATTAACAGAAAGAAGAACAGAAACCATATGATCATCCCAATAGATGCAGAAAAGCAATTAATAAAATTTAATATCCCTTTGTGATAAAAACCCTCCCAAATTAGGTAGAGAAGGAACATACCTTAACACAATAAAGGCCATATATGGCAAACACACGGTTAACATCATACTTGAATGGGGAAAAGTAGAAAGCTTTTCTTCAGAAATCTAAAACAAGATAAGGATGCCCACTTTGCCACTTTTATTCAACATAATTCTGGAAGTCCTAGCCAGAGCAATTAGGCAAAAGAAAGAAATAAAGGTCATTTAAATTGGAAATGAGAAGTCAAAACTTGTCCCTGTTTGCAGACTACATGATCTCATATATGAAAAACCCTACGCACTTCACCAAAAAACTGTTAGAGCTAGAACATAAGTGCAGTAAAATTGCAGAATACAAAGTACAAAATGCTAATTAGTAGCACTTTTATATGCCAACAGGAAACTATCTGAAAAATAAATCAAGAAAGCAATTCCATTTATAATAGCTCATGGTGACTATTTCTCTTATTCTTTCTGCATTTAGATATTTGAAATCTGTGGAGAAGAACTGTTACTTCTCCATTTTTTATTCAATTATTTATTTATTTCAGTAAGGACTCAAAGGTATTTATTTTATTTTCTGGGTCATAATCCAGTACTTTGTTGCTCAGATTGATTGTTTCATCTGTGGACATTGAGAACTCATTCTCAATGAATTCTCTCAATTGAGGGCTCCCATGTTCTTTTAACATGCTTCCATCCTTTTGTGAATACTCCCTTACAGTCTGGTACCACAGAGTTTTTCAACATTGTCTTGTATTTTCCCTGACTCCACTCTGGAATGAACCATGTCATTAAGGAGCTGCTGGGCTCATTTTTGAGGCTATCTATAAGTATTGTTAAAATTATTTCCAGAAAGATTGTATACCAGTTTTCACTTCCACTAGAAGCCTCAATGGTATTTAACAAACTTTGTCAATTAACTCGGTAAACATTTTACTAACTTTCTTTTGTATTCCATTTACAACTTTGTTTGCTATCAGTATTTCTCTATGAAGTAAGCTTTCTCTTTCTTTCCTTCCTTCCTTCCTTCCTTCCTTCCTTCCTTCCTTCCTTCCTTCCTTCCTTCCTTCCTTCCTTCTTTCTTTTTGAGATGGGGTCTTGCCATGTTGCTCTTGCTGGAGTGCAGTCGCTGGTTACAGGCATGGTCATCACAGTGCACTGCAGCCTCTGAATCCTGGTCTCAAGCTATCCTCCTACCTCAGCCTCCCAAGTAGCTGGAACTGCAGGCACACACCACCCTCCCTGGCCTGCATTTTCTTTAAAAATCACAGCTCAAATGAAACATTGAACTATTTGAAACATTATTTAATTTAGTTTACCAGTAAGGTGAATTTCATGGGTAACAAGGTATTACTGAAATGCTTGTGTACCTGGCTCCCTTGTACATTATAAGGTATAAGGTATAAGTCTCCAGCCTCATCATTACAGATCCTCTCTAGATACCATTTTGGCCATGACAATTTTCAATTTTTGAATAATGAATGAAATGGTTCTTTTGCTTCCTCAAAAACGACATTTTTTTTTAATTTTTAAGAGCAAAGTTGAAAGAGGTCCAGTTAACAAGGTATTTCAGTGTCTTATCCTTTTCCAATCTTACTGTTTATTACAATATGATAGGCTAGACAGAGACACTTGTTTTTATTTATTCTATTAAGATGATTTTTATGTACTTTCATTTATGTCATTTCTTATGAAGATACTCATTCTTATTTGAACTATCCAGTAGCTTTTGTATCATCAAAACCATGTTGAAGAACTGACCAAAAGTCATAATATATGACAAATTTGACAAAAGTAAAATTGCTAAGCCCCCCTATATGTTGTAAGTGAAATAAAGCATGATGATTTGAACCTTGCTCATAATGCTGATTTAATAATCCTGCTTTTTATCTTTAAGAGATTTGAAAAACAATTAGTTCTTAAGAGCTGAAATTAGGAGTAATCTATCTTAAATTGAGTAATCTTGTAGCAGTTATACCATAGTAATTGTTTCACATTCATTATTGTATTGTGAATATAGTAGTACTTTCTATTTAGATTTTTAACATATTCATTATAATTGGTTATCATGAAGACTAAACAACAACTTTCTGACATCAGTCCTCTTAGCCTGATATTAGAAGTTGTTTGGATAATAGTGCTAGTCTAATAAAGGGAGTTGGAATATCCAGTAAAGACCATTTGTGTAATATAAGGTAATATAATATTTTGCTAAATCTTTATGAGGATAATGAAATGGTGAACTTAATATCCACATTGTCCATTAAAAATACATGAAGCTGCCTCATAATTCAGGAACTTATAATTATACAATATTCATTTAGAAGGTATTGATTCAGCCTTGAATGCTGCTTTAAAAAATCGACTTTTCACAAAATTACTTTTAGTAACTTATAATTCCATCTGTTTCCTTTTATAATTTTAAGATATTCTTCCATCTCATTTCACAAAATTAATCTTCACTATCTCTCCTAGCAATATAATTCAGTATTCCTAACCTTTCACCTCCATCTAAACACATTTGCCCCATCTATTCAGATGGTAGCATGGCCTGGTATAGAACTAAAAGGATACATATATCTTTGATTCCCTAGTGTAGTGATGTATCTTAATGTAAAAATATCTAGTTAGCTAAGTAGCCCTTTTGATTTCAAATAGACCAAATATTTTAGATTGAATCCTAGAACCTAACTTTCATAGTTATACTGAAACTTTTGGCATTAGAATCAGCTTTTCTTGAAAAAATACATTTTTTTCTGTTGTTTTTCTTGGTTCAAAAAGTATCTTGAATGGGAATGGAAAGACTTCAAGTTTACTGAATCTCAGATGGTTCCATAAAAAAAGATTTGATGATTATGTTTCAATAATTTATCAATACACATTTACTTTTCTCTTAAAAATAATCTGCATATTTAGAAAAAAAGGCACAAGAATGTTTGGCAAAATGCAATTGAAATTTAGAACAAGTGTTAAAAATGAATGGTTCATATATTAATGAATCTTAAATTTTAGTTAACTCATTTACATTAACTCAATTTCTGTTAATGTCTTAGTGAGTAAGAATGGAAGTGGTAATGAAGTGGCTTTCCCGTCTTTTAAGAAATGCAGTAGGAATTCAACTCATTTAGGGAGGTGAAATTCTAATCATAGGCATAAGAAAAATATTGCACTGCTTTGATCGTAATATCTTCATGTAGATGATCCATGATTCATGAAAAATAGGTCAGTACAAATAAATAAGACTTAGTTAAAATTCCCATTTTAAGTCAATAGTTTCAGCCTCTGGTTTCTTAAACTTTTCACTAGTATTTTTGTAGCGAAGACAAAAATCATTTGGTTCAAGTTTTCTTTTCTCCAGTTCAGGTTAGAATATTAATGCTTTTGAGCTATTGAAATCTTCTAATGGAAATCTCATCCAAATTCTCATTTATTTTTGTGGATCCATATTTCATATCAAACTCCTTTAATATTTTTAAGTATTCTAACTAGAAATGGTGAAAAGGAAACAACCTGAGGCCAAGGTAATATGTAATTCAATATAGATAACTTATGTCAATGCATCTGAGTGTTTTATGAATTAAATCATGTTTCTTTGAAAAGTTGATAGAAGCTTACATTTCCACTGAATTTAATAATGAGGAATGTGCTGTTGTGCTATTAAATGAATAGAAATCAGACTTGAGGAAGGCAAAGGCCAAAAGGGTTTTACTTTTTATTGCTGCAGTTTGGATATTAGCATTTGAAAAAGCATTACTTTACTGAATCTTAATTCAAAGTGAACATACATTCCCTATAAATAGTTTGAAAATAAATTAATTTGAATTTTGAATTACACATGCCAATAAATGCTTAGTATTTTGGCTACTTTTAGTTCAATTTGACTGGCAGTAATTTACTTATAATATGGCATATATACTTTTGATGAAAAACTACATCCAAATATGAGTTGATGTTTAAAAATGCTTTACATAGAAATGGTATATATCTTACATATGACAAAAGAGATAGTTTTTTCATATACAGTTTAAACGTTTATCAGGTTGAGTCTACTAAGAGAGGGACTGGTAACTACATTTGGTTCTTATATTTGTGACTGACGTGGTCTGCATAAGGCAAGATATTTAAATATTTTCCATTATTTGTCCATTTTAAATATGTCCATGTTTTTATTATTTGCATTCTTTTCTATCATGAAGTCATTTAAGAAAAACTTCTATTCATTGCAAGGTAAAATTAATTGATTCAAGTAGAACATCTACTTTTGAAACAAATAGCAATCTATTAGGTTCAAATTAGGGGTGGGGTGGATTCAAAATAAGAGAGATGGTTCAAAATAGAATGGAGTGATTCCAAATAAGAGGATTTAGGATGGTATAATTCATGATTATGATGGCAGCACAATGTATTTGCCTGTCTCTTTACCCTTCTTTTATGTCTGGGTTTTGTTTGCTATACAAAGTCACTTCTTTCCTTCTGGCTTCTAATCTTTTTTTTTTTTTTCTTTTTCTTAACAACACTTATTAGATACTTATATGCATATATAGAAAGTGAGTTAAATATCTTAAGTGGTTTTAGATACATGAAATATCAAAGACAGAATGGAAGATTATGTTCCATAAAAAACAATAACACGACTGGGCATAGTTGCTCACACCTGTATTCCTAGCACTTTGGGAGACTGAGGTGAGAAGATCGCTTGAGTTCAGGAGCTCAATACTAGCCTGGCAACACAGCGAGGACCCATCTCTACCAAAAGTTAAAAAATTAGCCGGGCGTGGTGGTACGTTGCTGTAGTGCCAGCTACACAGGAGGCTGAAGAGAGAGGATTGCTTGTTAGAGGATGCATTGAGCTGTGATTGCCACTGCACTCCAGCTTGGGCAACAGAGTGAGACCCTGCCTCAAAAACAAAAAACTAGTAAATTAATGAATTAAAATTGCTTCACATCGTGGTGAAGTCTTATAATTTATTTTAAGAAAATTCTGTTTTTAGATTGACTCTATGAATGGATTTGAATAACTGTAAATATTTGATTATGTACAATTTTTTACTTATAGCAAGGTTTCAGGCTCAGCCAACATTTTGATGTGCTCACAGTAGTAACCAAACTATCCCTTATTTAAACTAAGACATTAATAACCTTTGAAATAGTGTTTATGATCTTACCAATTGTTCTAGAGATATCTTGTAGGTGTTCATAAGCTTCTGTTTTAAGCCAGAAGTTTTCATAAAAATTTTTATTTCTATCCACTATTTTTCAAGTAAAAGAAACACACAAATGAAACAAAATAAAATTTATTTATTAAAACATTTTGGAGCCTTTTTGGACTACAATTTGAAGTGATAATAAAGTTACATCAAAACAAGAAGGACTGGATCTTAACCCATCTAATGCTTTATACAATAAATGATGAGGCATGAGAGAGTTACAGGCCATTTGATTTTCAGAAGTAATAATTTAATAAGCAAAAGCAATTGAGAATTGGAAGAGACTATTTTTATTCTCAAAAGTAAAATGGTTATGCTATATTAACCCATAAGTTGTCCTTAAAAAGGAAATAGAAAAAAGTGTGTGTCAGGCCAGGTGTGAACATCCTACTTTATTTATTGACATCCACGTGTTGGAAGCAATTCGGGAATTTCCAATATTTTTTTTCTCTCTTGGCTTTATATGTTCCCATGAAACTATGGGCTTCTATGGAAATCTTATTAAAAATTCCAAATATAGTAGTAATATTTTTCATACTACAAGACTTCTTGTTATAATATTTTCTCATAACTAATGTAGTCAGGGTTACACCTATATATATATGGATTATGACAAAACATTTAATAATATAACCACAGAGAGAAATGTACAGAAAAGACAACATGTAATTTTTGTTAGCCTCATCCTGATATTTTTCCCCAGTTTTCCCCAAGTGAATTAGTAATTATGTCATATTAGTTTGACTTTCTAAATGCATATTCCTTTCTTTAAAACTATTACAGTGGTTTTATATTATGTGAATAAAGATACAAGAGTTCACCTTTGGTTATTTTGGATAAAGCCTGCAGTAGGAAACACATTGTATTGTGTGGATTTTGTTATATTTTCAATAAGCTAAGACTTTTTAAAAATATAATATTCCCCAAAAATTTAGTGTTGGCTGAACATTCAAATTGAAAACATAGTAAAGTAATTTTACATAAATCTGAGAGCCAGTCAAAATAATGAGCAATGAACATTTATTGAATGCTGAGGGATGTTTGGAAACTTCCTCTTAATTCTTGTTCACTTTTGAGAATCTGTATTATTTACAAAACTCCTTTTTAATATTAGTAAGCATTTACCCAGGGGTGGGGAAAGGAAATAGTCTAAAAAGGTGATCATATACTTCAATATATATAACTTCTATTAATGCACATGACTATGAATGAAATCATATTTTTAAAAAAGTTTGACAGAAGCTTAAATTTCCACTGAAGTTAATGGTGAACCATGTGCAAAATTTATCTATTGCACCAAAGGTTTTCAGCTTCTAGTGCTAATAGCTTTTTTGGGAATGCATATGTTATTTCATGATCTATTTGTAATGCAGCTAAGCAGATAAATTGATTAAGTTTCCATAGGGTCAGATTCAGAATCAGGCTAGAGATGCATAAAAGCAAAGTAGTTTTTATGACTCGTAGTGATAACTTAGAGTGCCCTCTGTTTAGATTCCTTGGTTTAATCCCATTAGAGACTAGCTAGGTATTTTTTATGATGTTCTTCAATTTTAGGAACTGAAATTTGCTTGATGATGCCTTTAAACCAAATGTAAAGGGATGGTTGCTAAAAACAAATATGCTAAAAATAAAGCAATGCAAAAATTTCTCTCTAACTTGTTTGAATTATGCATCACAAATAACTTGGAAATATTTTGAAGCTCTGAAGCAGAAAATAATAGGCTAACTTAATAATTTTCACACTATTGTTCCACATAGTGTGAAAGTCTTTATACCTATACTTTAGAGCTCAAATTTATCCTTGTATAGCCTGTTAAAATTTGAAAGTTCTATGTGTGAATCAGAAGAGATTTTAGGACATATTTTCAAATGTCTAAATAAGTAAATATATATTTTGTAATCAGTACTGCTGATAATACTCTAAGATTATAACTAGAAAATTATTTCTTCCTTGTAAATTAATTTCTTCAAAATTAGACATATCCAGTGCCATAGATATTTTTTATCCTTGACACAGTGACAAAAATTTATGGAAAGCCTTGCTACTATAATAGGAAAACATTTCACATTTGTTGAAATCCTCCCTTTCACCTGGTTTTCTTATGTATTGTTTCTGAAATTTTCATTATCTTAGTTACGAAGAGTTTTATGAGAGCATAATTTCTAACTTTTCCTCATTTATTCGCAGTTCTAAAATAGGTACTATTCTTGTAGCAGTGGCATATCTTCAGTGCTTAGAGATTTTAGAGGAGGCTTTTCAAAAATCAACTTTTTCTTCTTCTGGAATGATTATACAGGATCTTCTTAATTGAAAACTGTTAACGAAATCTGTTATGGTTCCTCTTTCATTTGGAGAAATCACACTGCCCTGATTTAACACTGAAACTAAGTACTTCCTCAGATGTCCTTGTAATCCCATAGTTAACAATATTTACATGCCTATCATGTTTAATGGTATATTTCCTCAAATAATTGAACAGATTAATTTCAGGTATTTCAGCCTGTCAGGGTGATTGTCAAGGAACATATTTATTTTCATGTCCAAATTAGAAGAGATTAAACCATGAAGAATTTGAAATATTAATTGATAATCAAGATGATATGTCCAAATAAATGTATGTCTCATTTTTCTGCATGCAACTATAATGATAAAAATAATTTTTTGATGTTGTGTTTGATCAATATCTTAGATCATTTACTGTGAAATAATTTATATATTAAAGTATTATAGATATACACCAAAATTTGAAATGAATTTTAAAGCCAACTTAGAATTTATATGTTTAAGAAAGAACTACAAGAAAAAGATGGAAGCACAACGTAGTAATGAAATGATTATCTTGTGTTCTTAGAGAAAAAAGGGAAAACTAGGTTGACTGAGCTAACCATAAAAGTATTAGCATGATATTATTAAAATGTATAGTAATTCTCTTTCAAACTGTTTTCCCTGTAGCTTCAGTTTCCTTAACACTTAAACATAGGTAATTTCTAGTTCTATATTTTATACGTTATAAATCTTCTCTCTGTCATCCAGATGTCACAAAGATCAGGCAAATTGGATTAGAGGAGAAGGTCCAGTCTCAATGACCACTTTTTCACTACTAGTACTCGCTGCAGAGCAATAATACCAACCCGATTAAATGGCATGATGGCTGGTTTTTAGAAGCTCTTCAAAAGTTCTTTTACTAGTGGTATAGCATTCATGCATTTTTCAAAATATTACTATATCTATGATCTCATTTCTGCCTCTGTGTTCTACATCTGTATGAAGTAATTAAGGCAGCAGCATTATTTTCAAGAAAAAATTTTAAACAAAATCAGGCTCAGTTGGGCTAATTTAACTGTGATGCAATAAGTCAGTGGCAAAACCAACACTAGAACTCAGATGTCTGGAATCTTAATGTGGTCAACTTTTTTTTTTTTCTGTTACTCTGTGAAATGGCAGCATTCTCTTATAGTTTACTTACCTGAGGCTGCAACTATACTTTTCAAAATAGATAATCTTATGTGATTACTTACTCATTCACTTACCCCTTCATTCGAATATTTATTGAAAACGTACAGTATATGCTATTGAGTGTTAAGGACTTGGCTCCGCTGACTTCAATTTCCTATCTAAGCTTAATGCTTGCTTGGTAAGAACTTTGAAGTGATTACTGTGATATTTATTGGAGTATTGTTCATCCTGAGACTCTAATAATTGATAAATAGGACCAAATGTTCTTTAAAAACAATAAATTCCAAATATTTGAAACAATTCATATAATTTAGTTGTAAAAAATAGAGAGCTAAGGTTTCCGTTGATCACCAACCCTGAGTGTTAGCCTCCTCCAATTTTCCCAGAATTAACCACTGTTTCAGTTTGGTGACTATGCTTCCAGACCTGGCATGTACCCAGGGATAATACATAACATTGAGGGTGTACCCCAATATGGTATCATACTATTGCTTTATAAATTGCTTTTTTATTTAAGCAATATGTTTTGGAGAGCTATGCATGTGGGTTGATTGATCTATCTCATTGTTTGTCTGTTGCATATTCTACAGTCTGTGTAACTATTTCTCTATTGATGGGCATTTAGGTCAGTTGTTTTTTATTTTTTTTCCTTTTATAAGTAATACCTCAGTGAAAAACTTATGTGTGTTCCTGGTAGATATTGAGATCCCTAGTTGCATCAAAAATTATACTAGATTTTCAGAAAATTGTCCTCCAGATTGGCTGACCCAATTTTTATGCAGTTTTTGAGATTTTTTAACTCGTCCTTTCTCCCAAATGTGATATTATTTAAAAATTGTGGGCCAGGAACAGTGGCTCACGCCTGTAATCCCAGCACTTTGGAGGCCGAGGTGGTGGATCCCTTTGACTCAAGAGTTTGAGACCAGCGTGGGCAACAAAGTGACACCACCGTTTCTACAAAAAATACAGAAAATTAGCTGGGCATGTTCCTGTAGTCCCAGCTACTCGGAAAGCTGAAATGGGAGGATGTCTTGAGCCTGGGAGGCAGGGTTTGCAGTGAGCCGAGATTGTGCCATTGCACTCCAGCCTGGGTGACAGAGCCAGACCTTGTCTCGAAAAAAATTGCTTTTGCCAATCTAATGATTGAAAAACAATATGTGACTATTTTAAAAATTGGATTTCTTTAGAATATATTTTCAAATTTAGTGGCCATTTCTTTTTCTGTGAATTGCCTGTTCATAGTTTTATCCACTTAAAAACATAGACTATTTTTTCTTACAGATTCTTAAGACTTATAGATTCTGACATTTTGTTTATTAATTATATTTCAAATCTCATTTTCTAGGTTTATTTTATTTTTAAATCAATTTTATTTTATTTTGCCTGTTTATTTGTGGAGTTTTTCTATAGAAGTTTTTCATAGGGTAGTTAAATTTATCAATCTTTTCATTTGTCAGTTTTTGCTTTTTGTATTTTAGTCAAGTTCAAAAATATATTCTCTCATATGTATTATATATTTTAATACTTTTTTGGTCCTTAGGCCTAAATAGACATTTTTTTTTTTGTAGTGCTTTAAGACAGGTATTTAACCTTATTATTTCAAATCTAATAAGCTTTAAAAACCTGATCTTTTTATTTTGGAATAAATTCAAGTTTATAGAAAGGATGCAAAGATAGAGAGCCCCCATATATTCTTTACTCAATTTCCTCTACTATTAATGTCATACATGGTAACTTTTTCCAAACTAAGGAATTAACATTGGTGTATTACTTTCAACTAAGCTATAGATTACATTCATATTTCACCAGTTTACCCACTAATGGCCTTTTTCTGTTCCAGTTCTCATCAAGAATACAACATTGAACTTAGTAGTCATATCTCCTTAGTCTTCTCTGATTTGTGACAGTTTCACTCTTCCTTTGTTTTTCATGATCTTGATACTTTTGAATAGTACTGGTCAGATATGTTGTAGAATGTTCCTTGATTCGGACTTGTATGATGTTTTCTGCATGATTAGACTGGGGTTATGTGATTTTTGGGAAGAACACCACAAAGGTGAGGCGTCTTTTTTCATTACGTCATATCAGGTGGTGTGTTACATGATAATGATGGCAGCAGTGGCCCGTCTGGAGAAGCTGCTGCAGGAACGCCAGCTGCAGCGGCGGAGGCCTGGCCAGGGCTGTGTGCTTGGTCATGGAGCCAGCGGGGGCTGGGAGCAGGCAGGAGGCCTGCCCTCTACCGAGTTTACTGGACAGGGGAGCCCCATGTTTCTGTGTGCAGCTGCAGCAGCCTAGCTGTGGCTCTGGATCTGGGCATCCCGGCACTCTCGGGGGGCCTGGGAAGACCCCCTGCCCCCACAAGCTTGGAAGTGCCGGCTCCTGTTCCTCCCGGCTGTTGACACCTGCTCTAATTTCGGAGCAAAGTTGAGGCTGAGCCCAGGTGCGGTTGCAACCTGGCTGGGTGTGCATGCACCCACTCAAGGCGGCACTTAAAACACCAGCCCCCTGCTGCCTTGGCCACCTCTGGACTTTGGGTGCCAATGAGCATGGGAGGGAGGCTGAGTGGGGGCTGGGAGCAGCTAGGCATGGGCCTACAGGTGTACCTCAGCAGGAACAGCCTGGGCGCCATGGACAGCATGTTGATGGCGGCAAGAGGCAGACAGGCTCTTGGGCAGAAAGGGCAGGTCCCTGGAGAAGCCCCGCCTTTGAGCCAGAGATGGCCTGAAGCCTGGGGGCTGTACTGTCTGTTTTGAGTGGAGTCTGCCACCTGGAGTGAAAACTTATGGTTCTTTTTCCAGGCTTTTCCATGGTCAACCATGGATCAATCAGCATGCACTTCCTCCCTTCTGAGCCCATAACCCCACCCCGCCTCCGGACTCAGCCAGACTCATACAGATGTTGGGACTACCAGCTGTAGGAAGGAGCTACCCATTTTGGGACTCCTCGCCTGTTCAGGATAAACTGCCTGTGGAAAGGAGCTACCCACTGTGGGTCTCTCTGCTGAGAGCTGGACACTCATCTGGACAACTTGCCTGTGGAAAGGAGCTACCCACTGCTGGTCTCCTGAAAGCTGTTCTGTCGCTTGGTGAAGTTCCTCTCCACCTGGCTCACCCTCCGGTTGTCTGTGTACCTCATTCTTCCTGGATGCAGGACAAGAACTTGAGACCCGCCAAATGGCAGGACTAAAAGAGCTGTAATACAAACAGGGCTGCAACATGCCCCCCTGCTTGCCATGTTGCAAGTGACAAGAAGGAGAGAAGAGCTTCAGCCCTTCAGGGAGCCCAGACCTATGACCTCCCTGAGTCAGGGCTGTGACACCCTCTTTGGGGCTCTGCGGTTTCTGGCATCTTTAAGCTTCTGGGCGCCACCACATTCCCCAAGTCCAGATGTGGGTGCCCGCAGCAGAGGCCACAAGTGGTACATCTGGTCCTGCTGCAGCCTTGCACGGAGCTAGCACTTGTGCCGGCGCCTGGAGCTGCCTGCCCCACCACAGCAGCTGGCATGCCTGGCTGTGTGCAGTGGCCAGACCCTGAGCTTGCTTACACACACATCCCTCCCTGCTCTGCGCCTAGCTTGCCCTTGGCAGGTGTGGGATCCAGGCTGGTTGCGCAAGCCGAGTGCACCTGCTCAGCTGAGTGGGCAGAATGATCCCAGTGGACCTGAGCAATACTCAGGCAGAAGGCGCCGCTGGCCACAGAGGCTTCTGGCTGGCAAATTGACACCCCAAAGATCCTGTGACAATATCAACCTGACTTATCACTTGGTGATGTTAATCTTGATCACTTGGTTAAAGTAATGTCTGCCAGTTTTCTCCACTGTAAAGTTACTATTCTATCCCTTTCATGCTTTACTCTTTAGAATCCACTCATTAAGTCCAGCCCATACTCAGGGGAGGGGAAGCTCCACCTCCAGGAAGAGAGGAGGTACCTATGTACATTATTTGTTCTCATTCATTATTTGTACTTTTTGTTCTGTGAAGAAAATTTATCCCTTATCTTCCATTTATCTATATTCAATCATTTATTTATATCAGTATGGATCATGCATATTTCTTTTACACGTTGGGGTATGAGTCAATACTATGTTATTTATTTTCTTGCTCAAATTGTTACAGCTTTGGGCATTGGTAATTTTTTCTTGTTGTTTTGAGGGATCATGTTGAATGCAAGAGAAAAGATATACACACACACACACATATGTGAAGAATTTTAAAACTTCAGAAGTAATAACATATACAAATATATTTACATTTCTAATATATTGACCTCTTTGAAAATATTTAGGGCTTAAAGTGATACAGGACATTTCAGTTTTCAGGGTTCTCTTTTTAAAATATTTTTATTTTATAGTGGCAAGAATATTAGCATGAGGTCTACCCTCAACAAAAGTTTAAATGTAAAATACAGTCTTGTTCACTATAGGAACAATGTTGGGTAGCAGATGCCTAGAAATTTTTCAGTTTGCATAACTGAGATTTTATGACCATTGATCAGCAACTTTCCATTTCCCCTTTACCCTGGCCCTTGAAAACCACCGTTTATTCTTTTTTTTTTTTTTGACCTAATTGACATTTATAGAATGCTTCATACAACTGCAGAATATACATTCTTTTCTTTTAAGTATATTTTAAGTTCCAGGATACATGTGCATAACGTGCAGGTTTGTTACACAGGTATACACGTGCCATGGTGGTTTGCTGCATCCATCAACCCATCATCTACATTAGGTATTTCTCCTAATGCTATCCCTCCCCTATCCCCCAATCCCTCGAGAGGCCTCAGTGTGTGATGTTCCCCTCCCTGCATCCATGTTTTCTCATTGTTCAACTCCCACTTATGAATGAGAACACGTGGTGTTTGGTTTTCTGTTCCTGTGTTAGTATGCCGAGAATGATGGTTTCCAGCTTCATCCATGTCCCGCAAAGGACATGAACTCATCCTTTTTTATGGCTGCATGGTATTCCATGGTGTATATGTGCCATATTTTCTTTATCCAATCTATCATTGATGGGCATTTGGGTTGGTTCCAAGTCGTCGCTATTGCCAACAGTGCTGCAATAAACATAGTGTGCATGTGTCTTTATAGTAGAATGATTTATAATCCTTTGGGTATATACCCAGTAATGGGATTGCTGGGTCAAATGGTATTTCTAGTTCTAGATCCTTGAGGAATCACCACACTGTCTTCCACAATGGTTGAACTAATTTACACTCCCAACAGTGTAAAAGCATTCCCATTTTTCCACATCCTCTCCAGCATCTGTTGTTTCCTGACTTTTTAATAATCGCCATTCTAACTGGCATGAGATGGTATTTCATTGAACCACTGTTTATTATACTTTCTCTTCCTATGAATTTGATTATTTTAAATATCTTATATAAGTGGAATAATGCAGTATTTGTCTTTTCAAGACTGGCTTATTTCACTTAGCGTAATGTCCTCAAGGTTCATCTATGTTGTCAAATATGGCAGGATATTCTTCTTTTTAAAGACTGAGTATTTCATTGTATGTATATACCACATTTTCTTTATGCGTTCATCCATCAGTGGATATTTAGATTGATTCCGCATCATGGATACTGTGAATAATGCTACAATTAATATGGGAATGCAGGCATGTAGATATCTCTTCAAAATGCTGATTTCATTTCCTTTGGATACATACTCAGAAGTGGGATTGCTGGATTATATTCTATTTTTAATTTTTTGAGGAATCTCTATACTTTTTTCCATGACTACTATTTTGCATTCTTACTAACAGTGTATAAGTGTCCAATTTCTCTATATCCTAACACTTGTTATCTTTTGTTTTTTTGAAAATAGCCACCACCACAGGTGTGAAGTGATGTCTTAAGTAATTCAATTTGCATTTCTCTGATGATTAGTGACAATGACCGTCTTTTCATATAACACTGGCCATTTGTATGTCTTCTTTGGAGAAGTACCTCTTCAAGTCTTTAGCCCATTTTTAAATTGGGTTATTAGAGTTTTGCTACTGAGTTATAGGAGTTCCTTATATATTTTGGAAATTAAACCTTTATTTGATATATGGCTTGCAAATATTTTCTCCCTTTGTGTAGGTTGCGTTTTCACTCTGTGGAGCCTTTTCACTCTTTGCTGGGCAGAATAATTTTTGTTTGTTGTAGTTGCATTTGTATATTTTTGCTTTTGTTGCCTGTGCTTTTGTTATTATAGTCGTGAAATCATTGTCAAGACCAGTGTCATGAAGCTTTTCCTCTATGTTGTTTTTCTAGGAGTTTGTTTCCAGTCTTATGTTTAAGTCTTACATCCATTTTGAGTAAATTTTTTGTAAATGGTATACGGGACAAATTTCATTCTTTTGTATGTGAATATCCAGTTTTTCCATCACCATTTGTTGAAGAGGCTATTCTTTCCCTGTGTGTATTCTTGGCACCCTTGTCAAAGGTTAGTTGACCTTATATGCATGGGTTTATTTCTGGGCTCTCTATTCTGTTTCATTGGTCTGTATGTTTATCTTTATTCCATTACCATGCTATTTTAATTATTGTAGATTTATGATATATTTTGAAATCAGGGAGTGTGGTGCCTCCAGTTTTGCTCTTTTTTCTCAAGATTGATTTAGCTATTTGGGGTTCTTTGTGGTCTCATATGAATTGCAGAATTGTTTTTCTATTTGTAAAAAAATGCCATTGGGATTTTGATGGAGACTGAATTGAATCTGTGGGTGGTTTTGGCTAGTATGAATATTTAAACAATATTAAATCTTCGAATTCATGAACACAGGATATCTTTCCATTTGTTTGTGTCTTTTAAACTTTCCTTCTTCAATCTTTTGTAAGTTTCAATGTACAGGTCTTTCACCTCCTTGGTTAAATTTATTACTAAGTATTTTATTTTTTTCATGCTATTGTCAATGTGATTGTTTTCTTAATTTCTTTTTTAGATAGCTAATTGTTAGTATAAATACAAATAATTTTTGTATGTTGATTTTGTATCTTGCAATACTGAATTTGTTTATTCTAGCAGTTTTTTGGTGGGATATTTAGGTTTGTCTATATATAAAATCATGTTCTCAAGAAACAGAGACAATTTCACTTCTGTTTTTGATTTGAATGTCTTTATTTCTTTTTCTTACCTTATTTCTCTGGCTAGGACTTCCAGTACTATTTTGAATAGAAATGACGAGAATGGTCATCCCTGCATTTTCCCTGATCTTTGACGAAAAGCTTTCAGTTTTTTCACATTGACCATGATGTTAGCTGTGAGCTTTTTATACATGGCCTTTACTATGTCAAGAAGATTAAATTAGTCACCAAAAACCTCCCAATGAAAAGCCCAGGATCAGATGGCTTCACTGGTGAATTCTATCAAATAGTTAAGAAAGAATTCATGACAACCATTTTTAAGCTTTTCCAAAAAACAGAAGAGGAGGGAATATATTTAAATTCATTTCATGAGGCCAATATTACCCTGCTACCAAAACCAGACAAAGACATTATAAGAGAAAACTACAGGCCAATATTGGTGATGAAGTACATGCAAAAGCAAAATACTAGCGAATTGTAGTCAACACACATTAAAAATTCTTCTTTTTTTTTTTTTTGGAGACGGAGTCTCGCTCTGTCACCCAGGCTGGAGTGCAGTGTATGATCTCGGGGCAGTGCAATCTCTGTCTCCCTGGTTCAAGCAATTCTCCTCCCCCAGCCTCCTGAGTAGATGGGATTACAGGCGTGTGCTACCATGCCTGACTAATTTTTGTATTTTTAGTAGAGATGGGGTTTCACCGTGTTGGTCAGGCTGGTCTCAAACTCCTGACCTCGTGATCCAACCCCCTCGGCCTCCCAAAGTGCTGGGATTACAGGCATGAGCCACCAGGCCCAGCCAAAAATTCTTTTAATACATCATGACTGAGTGGGATTTATCTTTGGAATGCAAAGATGGTTCAATATTCACAAATCAATAAACGTGATATACCACATTAACAGAATGAGGGATAAAAATCACATGATCATCTCAATAGATCTAGAAAAAGCATTTGACAAAATTTGACACCTTTTTCTGATAAAAACTCTCAGGATTCTTTTGTATTTTGAGACATCTTTCTTAAGCTGTTTCAACATATTACTAATTATATTTTAGTGGCAGAGTATTAAGTAGTGAATGAATTGTTCACTGTATATAAAAATTGGCAATTTAAATTAAAAATATTCACACACAAGAACATAGAAATGACATCATTTATCTATTGTATAATTATTTATTTTTAAATAAATGAGGAGGTGTAGAATGTATTAAAACAAATGTGATCACTACTCAGTTATTATGTATTCTGAATATGGCTCAACTTTGAAACTGTATTCTAATAACATGTATAAAATACAAATATAACTCAAGAATTGAACAATATATTTTTGCATAAAAGTGATATCTTTGAATTAATGTTTCGTGCCTGAGTCACCAGCTGACCATTTAAAAATTTCTACATTGACTAGCATTCAAGCCAATTGAACTTAGGCCTGAGAATTAGAAATTCTATTATAAGAATTTTCTAAAAATGTGCTTTGTTTTATAAATAGATAGCTATATTGTGAAATGCATATATGTTCTTTGTTAATATCGGTGTTTATTTCATTTGATTTTACATATTTCATTTGGTTCTCATAAAAAATTGAGAATATTATAAGCTTAAAAATGGTGTTCTGAACATGAAGTAAAAATATTATGTAGTCAAATATGCAAAGATTTATAATTTGTTAGATTCTGAGATGTAATATTTCAGGTGATATTCAAGAGTTTTCTGAGGATTTCTTTCTACAGCAAATCTATCATTATTAAAATGTCTAATAATTGTAGCAAGCTTTAATAATAAACACGACAAATTTGCAGCATTTTAGAATAATTTTCCCTTCTGAATATTTGTTTGTTATTACTTAATATATATGAATATTGAGTAGAAAGATAATGAGTTTTCAGTATTAACAAGCTTATTCTCTGAATTTCAGTTTATCTATCTGAAAAATAGAGATATAATACCTATTTTGCATGGCTTTTGTGGGGATCAGTGAGATGACATGTTAAAGTCATCTAGGATAAAGCCTGGCACATAAAAATAGATCAAAAAATGTTAATTCTTTTATTTTCTACTACACCATGTAAAATTCGTAAAATTAAAGTGTTTCCTAATATATTGTTCTAGATTATTTCTAGATTTAAGCTATTAGTTGAGTAAAGTTATTATAACCTACTCTTCATATTTTATACACTTACCTTTCTCTAAATACCCAAGAAGAATAAATAAAAGATTTCATCAGGATTATTATTATTATTTTTTTAACAATGAAGCAAATGTTCATAACTGGGAATATTTTTTATCAAGAAAATACACCAATTTTTAATTTTATATGATACAATGATGGGTCTTTATGATAGATATGATAAATTTGTTAAAGCTGTTTCTGTTATTTCTAAATTGTTAACATAGGGAGAAAATAAAATCTTTCTATGAAATTAAAGAGATAGCTTAAAAAACTAAAATGGGAAATTATAATAGACCAATATGCAATTAAAATAACAATCTACAGAAAATACGGGAGGAGTAGAAAATATGGATGAATGATGAGAAGTTCTAACTTATTTTGAGTTGGAGTTAAATTACAACATACCAAATTATAATAGACCAATATGCAATTATAATTATTTAATTAAATTATAATAGGCCAATACACAATCTTCAGGGCAATGACAGTAAATGACAGAGTATTTTACTTGTTAATAGCAGGGCATTTTTCTTTTCTACTTATAGGGTGCTCATGACACAATTTATCACTTATTTTTTTCTTTTCCTGCAAGCAATGAGTAGCTTTTAGATGTTAACTAACTTGTTAATTTAGGAGATAGTCAGTCTTTTCAACATATGCTTACAGATTGATTTGCTGTCCTGCAAAGCTCTATTTTATGAGTGCATTGAAATTTTGCATTAGAAAACTTTAGCCTGAATCCTTACTTTTTAGATTCAACATAGAATATCAACCCAGAGCAGAAAAAAATCAATTTAAAGAAAAACCCAGATGAATTAAAACATTTAAGATAAAACAATTGATAGTATTTGCCTTGCTGTTTAATAGGTTCCACTCCAGAGTAGGAGAAAGCATTCTTGAAAAGTTCTTGGTTTTGTATCTGTTGAAACAAATCTGGCGTTCAGCTTAATGGATAGTAATTTTGGCTGAACTCAGCAAAATCAAAGGGCAACTGGATTTGCACACAGTATGGTGAATTTTGCTTACATTATATTTATGATTATGACCACCAACAAAAAGTATTGAGACAAGTATACAATATTTTTACCATGTGTTTAAGAAAATAGTTTCCTTTTTTTTTTTTTTTTTGATGGAGTCTTGCTCTGTTGCCCAGGCTGGAGTGCAGTGGTACAATCTCGGCTCACTGCAACCTCTGCCCCCTGGGCTCAAGCAATTCTCCCTCGGCCTCCCAGGTAACTGGGGTTACAGGTGCATGCCACCATGCCCAGCTAATTTTTGGATTTTTGGTAGAGATGGGGTTTCACCTTTTTGGCCAGGCTGGTCTCAAACTCCTGACCTCAAGTGATCTGCCTGCCTCAGCCTCCTAAAGCGCCAGGATTACAGGCATGAGCCACCGAGCCTGGCCAGTTTTGTATTTCTTTTTAAAATTAGTATTTAAAGATTTAATTGCCACTTACATGCTGTTGGTGGAAAGTAGATTAATATAGCCTCCATGAAAAACAGTGTGGAGATTTCTCAAAGAATTAAAACTAGAATTACCATTTAGTCCAGCAATCCCACTACTGGGTACATATCCAAAGGAAAAAAAAATCATTATATAAAAAAGGTACCTTCATTCATGTGTTTATTACAGCATTAATTACAATAGCAAAGATATGGAATCAATCTGTGTGTCCATCTTTGGTTGACTGGATAAATAAAAGATGGTATATATACACGATGGAATACTATTCAGCCATAAAAAAGAATGAGGTCATATCTTTTGAAGCAACATGGATGGAATTGGAGGCCATTATCTTAAGTAAAGTCAAATACTGCATGTTCTCACTTATAATTGGGAACTAAATAATGTGTACACATGGACAGAGAGTGTGGAATGACAGACACTGGAGACTTGGAAAGGTGAGAGAATAATGGGGAGTGAGTGATGAGAAATTACTTTATGGGTACAGTGTATATTTTTCAGGTGATGGATACACTGAAAGCCATTATGCAATGAAAGTAGGTAGGAGAGTAATGGGGAGTGGGTGATGAGAAATTACTTTATGGGTACATGTGTATATTTTTTGGGTGATGGACACACTGAAAGCTATTATGCAACATATCAATGGAACAAAATCGCACTTATGCCCCTTAAATTTATACAAAAATAAATAAATAAAAAATAAACAAAAAATGAATTGCAAAGGAAAACATATGTCCACAGAAAAACCTGTAGAAGAATGTTCATAAGAACATTTATAATAGACAAAAAGTGAAAAATCTCAAATGCCCATCAACTGATGAATAGCTATATAAAATGCAGCATATTCATATAGTGGAATATTATTCAATATTAGAAAGGAATGAAGTACTGATATATGCTACGATATGAATGAACCATAAAACATTATGTTAAGTGAAAGAAGCCAGTCACAAAAGACCAAATATTGTGTGATTCAATTTATATGAAATGTCCAGATTAGGCAAATCCATAGAGACAGAAGTAGATTAGTGGTTGCCTGGGGTGAAGAGGGGATGAGGGTTGGAGGGGGAAGGAAAGTCACTGCTAATAGGCACAGAGTTTCTTTTGGGGGGTGATGGAAATGTTCTAAAATTGATTATAGTGATGGTTACAGAACTCTGTGAGCATACTAAGGACCATTGAATTGTGCACTTTAAATGGTTGGGTTGTATGGTATATGAATTACATCTCAATAAAACTGCTAAAAATAAAGAATTGCATGACATTCTAGCATTTTCTTTGAGTCCACAGTAAAGGTTTATTTAGGCTCTAACAACTACTAAGTTATATTCTAGCATTCTGCTGAAACCAAATTATTTACTGATCTCCTTACTTCTTTTGACTTTCAACATTTTATCGTGTGGCACGTTCCATCTGCTAAGGCATGAGTATCCAAAATTGAGAAATATAGTTATGTATTGATGAATTTTCAGTAAGAACAAGTGGGAGTATATGAGAGCATTATTGTTGTCCAGGACTTCTACCATATTTGGCCAAAAAATCATATATCCTTTTGGATGAAAAGTAAGAAACAAAAGTACATTAATAGTTTGTGTACTCATCTATATTTCTTTCTTTCTTTCTTTCTTTCTTTCTTTCTTTCTTTCTTTCTTTCTTTCTTTCTTTCTTTCTTTCTTCCTTTCCTTCTTTCCTTCTTTCTTTCTTTCTTTCCTTTTTTTTTTGAGACAGCGTCTTGCTCTGTCACCTAGACTGGAGTGCAGTGACACGACCTTGGCTCACTGCAACCTCTGCCTCACGGGTTCAAGCAATTCTCCTGCCTCAGCCTCCCAAGTGGCTGGGACTACAGGCGCCCACCACCACACCCAGCTAATTTTTTTTTTATTTTTATTTTTAGTAGGGACGGGTTTCACCATGTTAGCCAGGATGGTCTAGATCTCCTGACCTAGTGATCCACCTGCCTCGGCCTCCCAAAGTGCTGGGATTACAGGTGTGAGCCACCACACCCAGCCATGTATGCATTTTTCTATTAAATTAGATTTATAAATAAGCTTTGATTATATGAATAAGATTTCAGGAGCACCCCAGATCACATATTGTCCATTTAAAATTATAGCTTAACGATTTTTAATTTATATCATATAATTTCCTTTTCTATCTGCTGTTCATTAGGGTCTTCCAATTTAATTTGTTTCTCTTCTAGTGTAATACGAACATCATGAAAAGGCAAGACAAGAATAATGTTGGCCAGTCGCAGTAGCTCACGCCTGTAATCCCAGCACTTTGGGAGGCTGAGGTGGGCGAATCACAAGGTCAAGAGATCGAGAGACTATCCTGGCCAACATGGTGAAACCCCGTCTCTACTAAAAATACAAAAATGAGCTGGGCGTGGTGGCGCACGCCTGTAGTCCCAGCTACTCTGGAGGCTGAGGCAGGAGAATCACTTGAACTGGGAGGCGGAGGTTGCAGTGAGCCGAGATTGCACCACTGCACTCCAGCCTGGCAACAGAGCGAGACTGCGTCTCAAAAAAAGAGAGACAAGAATAGTGTTTAATGACAGTATTGAAACTGAATGAGTGGAAGTCTTTCTTTTGATTAGATTGAGTTTAGAAATCTTCAGGATAGTCTAATACTTAGCTTCTGTTTGAAAGTGCTTTATGGAATTTTACTGTATGAGATTTTCCTAGAATGCCTGTGAAAATGTACTGCTTTGTCTTTTAGCATCATTTGTTTATGGATCTCTGAGGAATTCATTAATACTTTTTAGGCTTTCTATTTGTTGGCTTCATTCCCATTTTTCAAATTGAATTATTCAAACTGCATAGTTAACATTATTTGTACAATCTTAGTAGGAAGTAAAAGTGATGAAACTTAAGATTTCAGCAAAAAAAATATATATTTTACTATCAATGAATATTTTAGTACATTAGGCTACCTTACTTCAGATAATGGAATTTTAGTTAAACTTGTAATATTCACAAGCTAAGCATGGGACCTCATACCTTGTACTTTGAAAAGTAAAAACAGTAGTTTCAGAAAATACGCTTTATGGAGATATTCTACTCATTAATAGTTAAAATGACTAGTATCCTGACTCTACAGACTCTTTTAACTTCTCCCTCATGCAGTAATCTAATATGAATGTTTGGGTAATGTATATATTCTTTATATCATAAACAATTGCTAAAGAGACTAAGAGATCGTCTAGGCTCTTTCCTTACTTCTGGTTAGATTGTATCTAAATTGTTTTACAGCTTATTTTTTCTACGGTAAAAAAAATATTGCTTAAGTATTCATTTTTTTAAAACCATATCCAGAACAATCAAACCTCTTTATTCATTGTTTTGAGGAGACAAATATGGAGTGGCTTACAGTTTCCTTAAAATTGTAATTTATTATAATTAGTGTGTATTTAAAAGAGTTTTCTCTCTAAGGAGATGCAGGATTTTTTTTTAAAAACTGTCTTCCAGTAATCTCTGTGACTAGAAACTATTCTGCCCTATCAAAATAGGTAGCCTGTATTACAAAAATAATACAACAATAATAGCAGTAATAAAAACCAACAACTTTTCTCTTGTTTGTAATTCCCTTGTTTTCCTGAGCTTTCCCTTCAGGCATCTTGACTCATGGTTAATCAGATTTCTGTATGATTTGCTAGCCATGAGAATGTCTGTATATTTAAAATTGAAACCAGTACATTTCAACTTCACTCACAGCAGGATCTTTGAAAGTCATATGCATATATTTATAAATTTACCTCTAGGCCTTAGTACCTCCATATTCCAAAGCTTTTTGTTTTGTTGTGTTTTGTTTTACCCAGGAACTAAAGTCAGTAACAGTTACCTATTGCTCTCTAAGCTGACAAACCATTGCTATATCTGTATGTCCTACATAAATCTTGGAAGTGTCCATTGTGTTTTGAAGTGGATATTACTGCAAGAGTAACTGGTTGATGAGGATGATTGATAGGTTGCCAGTGCATTTGTCTTTAACTTCCAGTTGAGAGGAAAGATAGACGTGGACCTGGCAGTTTTGGTTGTGTGTATTGTCCACCCCCCTTCCCCCAACTTAACTTTGTGTCCTTATGGTACCCCATTAGGTAATGTGGTAAATTGCTCTTGTAAATTAGATGAGGGACTATAGTATCATACTCTTGTTCACAGTACCTCATTTGCCTTTTAGATAATTTCTAAGAAATCTTTTTTATAACAGCCATATCTTGTTTCATTTCTGAAGGGACTAAAACAATTTTTAAAATACTGGAACCAAATTAGAGGAAAACAGCCATTTAACAAATCAATTTAAGGGAAATAAGAATACCAAACACACAAAAAACAAATTTAAAACCTGAAGTGAAGAATATGTTTCTTTTTGCTTATTTTGTATTTACACTCTTTCATCTTTTTCTTTGATGATTTGGGGCTATATTTCCATATTCTCTACACAATTATTTTTAAGTGGCGATTACTCACCTTTTCATTTTCTTTCTGAGTTATCGCTTTACCTTTTAAAGGCCATATGTTAAGTTTTGGGTATGATATTGTGAATATTGCACCACATTGGAATGTAATATTATCAAACACTCCCTTTTAACATACTTGAATCTAAACATGTTACTTATTAATGAAAGAAAGAAGATTTAAAGTGAGGGAAAATATAAATTATAAAACTAGTTAATGGAGATGGAGGCTGGGAAAGTGTGGGGTGGGGATGGGAGTACAAAAGGGGAAGCAGGACACTGTGAAATATGATTACATATCTGTGTTGCAGGGTATTACAAACTTGGAGTAGCAATATAAAATTTATTTTATCTGCACATTTTTGTTTCAATTGGTTTCCAAAGATGTTGAAACAATATAATCTTGTCAAATTGTTGTTATAATATGAATTTTTTTGAACAGCTGATAGTTTGACCAAGAATTTTTGATGTTTATGTAGAATTGGGGAGGCTGTATATTTCATAACTGCATACATTTTTTGTTAATAGATATTTGTAACATTTGTTTTCCTCCTGCCAAGAAATTTCCTGAGGCAAAGAAACATGATGCTGGGGAGCATTTCTCAGTAAGATTTTCTTTAGTTTTGCTTTAGATTCACACTGGTGAAATGTTAGGCTTCATTTAGGGAATATTTTTAATAGTGGCTGTGGTCTACTGGACATGAAAAAAGTAGAAACAAGAAGCTCTGGGATTCTAACCCTGATTCTTTTTTTTAAATCCTGCATTGTGGTACTGTTTTCTTAGTAAAATGAATGAGAGTTTTGGTTATCTCTTTAACCATGTCATAAGAGTTATTATGAAGCAACAAACAAAATAGTTGACGCTTTTGTGCAGTATTATCTTTGAACTCATAACTAAAAGTCACCTGGGCTAACAAATAGTCAGAACAGCATTTGTGTTTAAACCTTGGTGAATTGTATAATGTTGATACAAGATCAAATTGGATGTTTAATATCTAATGAGTGAACCAATAAAAAATGGTTTTTAGAATTTGTAATCAGATATAATGACACATGCAGGAGCTATTATGCATTCTGTTACAGTGGCTTCTTGTAAATAAAGTCTTTTTAGCATATTTTCAGCCTATGGCATCATTGCTAGACTATATTAGATCACTTAGATATTTAGTTCATATTTGAAAACAGACTTTTCCCATAATATTGCTCTCTTTTAAAACTGCTGTGAGAGGAATATTAGGACTTAGAATGAAAATATTTATGGAAAATATTGACTTATTGTCTAAGTTTAGTGGGGATTTTTTCTCCTTTTTTTTTTCCAATTTTTAGGGTGTTGAGTTAATATAACATTAGAGAATTATATAGTACCATATTTGCTTTTATGGGCAAAGCTATCTCCTTTAGCTTACTTGCATTTAATTTCATATACCTTATTTATATATACACATGGTTTCCTTAATGAACATAATTTTTTATGTGAGTTTTTGAAGCTTTGGCAAACAGTCTAAGAAGCAGAGGCAACATCAAAAAATTCTATGTAATATTTTCATTTCACTTTAATGAATGTGCTACAATTAAAATTTGAAACATATTTATAGAAAAATCTTGTACAACATTTAGTATACAAGTTAGTTCAGAGATTGAAGAATGTATTTCTGTAAGCAGAATTGCAGGAGTGTAACTGAAGCCATCCAATGAAGGATGGGTTCAATCCAAAAATAGTAGCGGCTTTTGATCAATGCAACTTTGCAAGCCCTTAGATGAGTAAATTTTCCCTATGGAATTGATGATAAATGAAATAATCATGCACTTTAACTTTTCAAAAGAGTTCATTTTACTTCATTCAGTTCCTTGCGTTTTCAAGATCATATATCTGAGAGGCTGTGTAGTGTAATGATGACAAAGGTAAAATTAATATTTTGGTCTTGACTACAGCATGAATGGAATAATATTTTGATTGGAGCCTGCTGTGATGTTCTGGATCACTAACTAAATATGACACTTTTGTCCCAATGTTGGTGGAATCATTTTGTTTATGTAGTTAAATTCTGTGTGAAATGTTAATTTTTGCAAAGAAGAAGAGGAAATAGGAAAAAACAAGATAGGTGAAGTCCTGTGGAAAAAAAAGCATATTTGAATATTGATTGGTTTCACTATTCATGTTGGGCTCTGGGGATTTCAATTATGGGTTGAATGTATAGTAGTAGACACAATTCTCAAAAATGGCCAAATCTTAAGCTATTTGACAACTGGAAAGAAATATTTATTTTTATTTTCAAAAATATACCTAATTTAAATATAAAAATTAATTATTTTGCACAAGCAAACTTCACATATAACACTGAGCCATAGAAATTGGCTTGTGTGATTTGAATGGTAATCTTGGAGGTAGCTAATAAAACTCTGATAAAAGAGTCCAGAGGCCATCTTTTCAGTACAATTTGTGTGTTGGTTGTCATGAGCATCCAAATGTTTGCTCTTTCTATGTTCAAATTCAGGTCTTTTTGTGGAAAACCCTATATATAGACTACATTATATATATATATAATATATAAAGACTATATTAATATAGTCTTTGAAAAGCTTTCATTTAATAGGAAATTATTTTATTGTAATGATACTACTTGTGATTTCTTTTGCCTTACCTATAAGTGAACATATATATTCTCAGGTATTTAAATTTTTAATGTTAAAAAACCCAAAATAATAAAAAAAGGACAGGTATCATACATTTTTGATATAGGCCAATCTTAATTGAGATGAAAAAGCTGTATTAGTCAAACAGTAATTGCAAATAATGAACGGTTTTTGATAATATCCAAATTAACCTGTAGTTTTCTCTTGACAGAATATTGTACCAAATAAAATTTTAGAAGCTTTGAAATGATACTCTTTGTTAGAGTGCCAGTTCCTTTGGTATGTGTTTCTTTTTGTCACCTGGGGCAATTTTTCCAACACGTAACACATGTGATTTTTTCTTTTTCTGCGTTTGGAATAATCAGCTTTTCCCTGTGCTCATTAAGGGGGAAAAAAATTGCAGCCAAGGTATTAGCACAAAGCAAGGTATTAACAGGGCCCAATCTCTACCAAATACCAAGTTTCTTTGTCTACTACCTAATTAACATACTTTAATGAGTTCACTAAGTTTAATGAATACTTCATGTAAAACTCAGCACTTTCTACCTCTAGATACATCTGACACCTGATGTAACAGATCTGGCTGATATTATGAATAATTCATGAGCTAGTATTTCTCAGATAACAAATAATAAAGAGTATGAGACATTTAATATGGAAGGAGTTCTTAAGGATTTGCTATATACTTACTGGAACATACTATAATTCTTTCCAGAAGTCTATTGAAATGTATGTTCTAGTTAATAATAGCTTGAAAGAAACAATGTAATTTATGTAAATATATTTCTGCTCATGTTAATGATTTTTAAAATGCCATGAACCATTTAATAGTAACACTTACTGCTTATAAGTTATATTCTATTAATAGGCTTGGTTACTTTGACACTATTGGGTGGGTCTACATTCTTTTTTAGTTTTAAGATGTGAATGATAAACATTTCTAACGTTAAAAAATGATTTTTTGAGCTGTTGAGGTTGGAAAGAGTATCTATAATGAAATTGATCACTGTTATTTATATTGGGCTAATAAATGTAGACGTGTAGTTGGTGTGTTCACCTCAATGTGAAGCATTTCATTTGGATTATGTTGAGAGATATAATCGAGCTGAGAATTTTAAGCACCCCACATCTGGGTTTGGGTTCTATTTCTACCTTGTTTTCTTCATCTTCCTGAAAAAGGAGGCAAAGAGAAATATGAATAAATTGCCTAATTTTATGATGTTATTTTAGCAAATATTTGAAATATTTGCAAAAATTATTACTGTGTTCCAGATTCTGCTCTAGGTGCTGGTAAAACAGAAGTGAAAACTAATGTCTCTGCCTTCCAAGGGCTTAGACTCTAGTGGGGAAGACAAGTTAGTTAATAATTGCAATAAAGTATGATAAGACCTATGAAGAAGGTTATCAGATACAAACACTTAATCGTTTATGATTCAGCAACAAGAAGTAAGCTTTAATTTGACATTGCATAGGGTGGGATGGGAAGATACTGTGACATCCATAACGTTTCAGCCATAAGTCCAGTGTAATCTACAGCCATAAACTAGTGTTGTGGATTTTTATAACATTGATAAAAATGTACCTATCACAATGAGTTGTAGCAGTTACTTTGAGAAAATATATTTATATATTGAATATATATGTACATATGTGTGTGTGTATACTGCCACTCTCAAGTAATACTGCCATCATTCAAACTACTTTTGCTCTTCTTTTGGACTTGTTTTCAGGTCCTATGACATACTGTTTTGATTGTGGTAGCAGATTTTCATATTTTGAGGTTGTATCTAGTTTTTTAAAAGAACTAGAAATTACTCAGAATAAAATATGTTGTATAAGGTAGCTAAACAGAGTAAATTAATTCTTGTTTAAAATAACAATAGAATAATAAATGCACAATCAAAGAAAAGTATGATATGAGACAGGATCTTATTTTCTATACTTATAAACTGACTTTAAAGGTAGTTTCAGAAAAAGTATTATCATTATACATAGCAGCAATGCTGGCACATGGTGTTTGGTAACAGAAAAATTGTAGTTGCAGTACTTATATGTTAGTTGTCTAATAAACAACTCTGGCAACGAAACTTTGAACTACTCCACTGATTAAAGTATGGAATGTCAGATTGTCATGAGTCCTGTTTAGGTCTGACTATATACCCAGAATTTTGCAGTTAAGATAAATGCAGCTAAAGGGGAGAGGAAGAAGGGAAGAAACTTGAACATTCCTCTAAGGAATGGGTGAAGGCATCAAGAAAATTTAGCCGGGAGAAGAGAGAATGCCTAGAGGATATGATAGCTGTTTGAAATGATCTGGAGAGCTTTCATGTAGAATAATTAGGTTTACTCTGTTGGTGACAAGAGGAGAAAACTAGAGCCAGAGAGTGGATTATACAGAGAAACAGTTTACCCCAAAGTGGAGCAGGCAGCCTCAGAAGTAGTGAGTTTCTCACTACTAGAAGTAATCAACTAGAGAACATGTGATCACTTTTGATTATTTTGAACAGGGACTTTAAATATTAGATGATAGTGTTTTATCAACCTTATGATTCTATAACATCTGGAGATTTTTTCTTTCCAAAATATATTTTACTGGTTCAGGGAATCCATAACTTTCATTACATATATTTCAATTCTCATATGTTGGAATATATTTAAGTTATAATATAGTCTTTTGGAACACATTACTTGATTTTTTTATTCCAAGAGAATATGGATATGCAAAATTTCACCCTTTTTAGCAGAGTCTTTTATAGAAGATTTCTAAATGGATTAATTTATCTTTATTCCTGGTTCTGTACATTTAGTTTGTGCAGAGAGCTAAGGCTGCATTTTCACCTTTCAATTTATTTCACTATGAATGTTCTAAAGGATGCCTTAATTCATTATTAAATGTGCATTGTGTCATGCTATCAAGTTCTAGCTTTTCAAGCTTTATGATAAGAATTTTGTGTAGAAGGTCTTTTCCCTCTTTTAAATGAATTATTTTATATCTGCCTCATGTTGAAGCTTGCCTTCTGTCAGTATTTGTGATAAATTAGCTTCTGAATATCATTTGAAATGCTAGACACAAACTGTATGACTATATAACAATTTTGGTATATCAGATGAAACAATTTATTTTTAGCCCACTAGTTTGACTGTCTTTTATTTTTACGAAGAAACAGCTAAATTCAATGTCTTTCCTACCAAATTGGGATTATGGGATCATGTAGGATTTGTGGCCTTTGTGGGCAAACATTGCTTATGCAGGAACAGTGAAGGATATATCCAAGTAAAAAGTCACTTGGTCTGTTTCATTTATTTAAGGATTTATATATGTACACACAGACACACACACATACAGACGTACATATAACACACAGACACACACACATATATAACATAAATATGGATTAGTGTTTCATTGGACTGCCTCTTTTCAAGTCCAAGCAGAATAATTTCATAATTAAATGTGCCATAGTTACTTTTGGTATAATTAATTTGTCATACAAATACTATTATATAAATTGCTAATGTGAGTGACATACTTTGATGTAGAGATCATTTTATAGTGATGGACAACATTTTGTAATATTAAATTGTTAATAAAATCATGTGGTATATAAACATAGAGCATAGTTGATATTTTAAAATATGATTAACCTTCGCTATTTATTTAGGGCAGGCAGAGGAAAATATGCTGCTCTTATTTTTGTTTTAAAGATGAGGCTTGTTGTTGCTTCCACTGTATACAAAATAGTGAGTTGAATTATTATTTAGAATACCAATCCAGGCCTCCAATTGGGTGACACAGTAAAACTGAATAGACTTATTATGAAGCCATGGTTTGTTATATTTGGCAATGGTTTGATATATTCTGCAAAGACTAAAGAAAACCGTGACCTCTTTTTCAGGGTTATAAATGCAAGATCTGTTGTTAAACTGTTAAAATCATGGTTCCATTGCCTACTGTCTGTGTGTGTCTTGCTGTTTCTCTGATCCTCAGTTTTTGTATCAATAAATTTGTGTAATAATTATACCCACTTCGTGGGTTGTAGTGAAGATCAAATTAATTAATACATGTCAAGTGCTTATAATGGTGTCTGGCCTACAGAAATGAATAATGTTATCATTATTATTTTAGTCTTTAGGGTCTTTCCCAGTATCCGATTTGCTGAGAAGGAGCCTTTTAAGTTGCTGCTACTCAAAGCTCTCTTGCTCTCCCTTTCCTTTTTTTTCTCTTCCTTCCTCTTTTCTTCTCTTCCTCCCTTTCATCTTCTTTTTTTTTTTCCATCCACAGGTTTTATTGAGCATTTACTATGCTCTAGGCATTGGATATAAGGGGAGGCAATTTCTCTTTTCCATTTTCATTAAGTATGCAAAATCTGCTGGTCTAGATTTTGAGTTTTTCAGTCATTCCAGAAAGAATGAGGCAAGGGTATTAGAATTTTTGATCCTTCACTTCTTCCTGTATCTCAGGTTTTGAGTCCTTTCTGTGCTTGGCCAGGTTTTATCTCGTGCGTACATAATTTACTCCCTTAGTAACCTTGTTTATAAATACTAACAAGGTATTTATTATGGGATATTTATAATACAGGTTTATAAATACTAACAAGGTATTATTAGGTCATGAGGTTAACTCTTCAAGTGTTTTTATAGTTTGGTCCAACCCAATTTCCCTTTATTAGTTTTGCAAAAAATTATCTTACTTCTCTTGAACATGTCTGTCTCCATACTTTTTCTCACATAATTCTTTCTACTTCAGTATGACATTTCCTGTAGTCAGGAAATTAAATTCTCCAGGGTCCAGATCAAACCTCCCTCTTCTATGCAGCTTTTTCAGACCACACTAAGTATAAGATATCGCTTCCTTCTCTAAGAGACTATTGTGTTCATCTGAGCCACATGTATGCTCCTCCTGAGTGTTCTTTTTGAATGCAGGACCCATTTTAATATTTCTTCGTATCTTTTCCCCAATAATTTGGTACTGAACAACTACAATGATAATAGGTCGTTGGTAAATATCAGTTCTATGGTCTGAACGTGTCTCCCAAAATTCGTATGTTGAAACTTAATTGCCAGTGTGATAGTATTAAAAGGTGGCGCCTTTAAGAGATGATTATGTCATGAGGGCAGAGCCCTGATCGATAGAATTCAGACCCTTGTAAAAGGACTTGAGAGGTTCTCTCCCTTCCAACTCTTCCACCATATGAGGACAACTTCATCCCCTCTAGAGGATGAAGCAACAAGGAGCCATATTGGAAGCAGAGAGGATGGGCTGTCAGCAGACACCAAACCTGCCAGCACCTTAATCTTGGACTTCCAGAACTGTGAGAAATAAATTTCTATTGTTCATAAGTTGCCCAGTCTCAGGTATTTTGTTATAGCAACACTAATAGACGGAGACAATCAGTTGATGTGATTAGTTGACGCCAGGAGCAATTCTTTTATCTTTCTTGTGTTAAATATAATGTAAATTCAAAAATTATCTCACACTGGGGACTATTAGAAGGGAAGAGAGAGGGAGGGAGACAAGGGCTGAAAAACTACCTGTTGGGTACTATGCTCACCACCTGGGTGACAGGATCATTCATACCCCAAACCTCAGCGTCATGCAAAAAGCCTATGTGACAAGCCTGCATATGTAACCCCTAAATCTAAAATAAAAAAGAAAACAGACAAAACATCGTCTGAAAATAATCCAACTCTGTTAAACGTTTTCATAGCATTTCAGAGTTTGGGAAATTTATAGCTTTTAAATTATAGTTATAGTGCTAGGTACTAGAGGAGACAGATAGATGAAAATTATCTCTGATATCAAGGTACTTGCATTTGAGAATGATCAAAAAACCCTATAAATCAAGCCAAAGGAAAACAGGTTCTTAAAGAGTGGGAAGATAATGTGTTTTGGTGATGAGAGGAAAGAACTGTTTTATTTTGATTGTGTGAATTAGGGATTGCTTCATCAAGAAAGTGCACTTAAGGTGAGCTTTGAGTCTTAAAAGGAATTTGTGAAAAAGAGAATGGGGGGTGTGGACAAGCTGTCACGATAAGCACGTAGGGTACATGGTGGGATGTACCAAGAAGCGCAGTTGGGTGAAGTGGTTTGGGATCAGTTCATTAAAGACCTGGTGGCTTTTGAGAGCAAAATGACATGGTCTAAACTGTTTAAGCATAACAGCCCTGGTGATCTCTTTAGAGATGAAATAAGATTTGAGTAATTTGAAAAGGAAACTTTAATATTATAATAATCAGTTTTTCTTCTTCATGCATTTTTACAAACTTGAGAAATATCTAAAGAGTGACTTTCAAAATTTAATGTTTAAAAAAACAAAAAAATTTTAATAAGGAATGAAGTGACAAAATACTCCTGCCTCCTGACTTTTTCAAATTAGAGACCATATTGGGAGGCTGAGGTGGGAGAATCACTTGAGGCCAGGAGTTCAAGACCAGCTTGGGCAATGTAACAAGACCCTGTCTAAAAAAAATTTTTTTTTTTTTTAATTTAGAGACCACAGTCTTTCTGATTGACTGAATTATATCTTTGTCTTACTGATTTTCTTCATCAGCTTTTACTTCGAGGGGTGACAGAAACATTTCATGCAGCATTACTTAGCTTTGTGCATATCAACTTCTGTCCTTTCAAGATTATATAGCAATTCACAATTTAGCAAAATGTGTCATAAGCATTAACCTCATGATTTAAATAATTAATCTAATTCTGAGTCAGTATTAAATCCCAATGCCAAATTATATCAAAGGGAATATCCAATTTATACTTCTTCAAGTATAATGATGTGAATGGATTTTTGATCTTTTTCATTTAATTGTGCTTCTTTTGGCTATGTTAAAAATAAGTATTCAGAAGTACAAGGTAAAAGAAAAACATTTTGGGATGGTACAGTTCTGGAAATGAGGGCAGTTATTTGTAGGTCATCAAATAAAGGTCAAACCATTCTGGAGCTTTCTGAGTCTCAGGCTAATGCGTGTATCACGTGCATATGCGAGTGCAGTATTACTGCACTGGGAAACTGCGCCATGAGCAGGGCAGGGGGATTAACTGTTTACTTACTGATACACTAAATGCCCAGCTAACACTCTTGTTGAAGTAGTGGAATAATTAACAACAGAATTCACTACAACATTCATGGATGAGTGTTGAAAGAGTCTGAGGTTGTATCTGGACTCTCCCTAACTCACCCTGTGACCCTGGGATTTTAGTTTCCCTGTCTCTAAAGTAAGTCACACAATGCATTCACTTGATTCCAGTTGATGATGGATTTGTTGTGAGGGTCAGTTTCATCAGGTCAGGGTGTACTGAGAAATATTTGATGGAAATATCTGAGTGAAATTGTAATCATGGTTCCCAAATGTAGGTAGTATTTTAAAAAAGAGAAGTTAGCATTATTTTAAAATAATTGGCTGGAAGTGTGTGAGGGAAGGGGAAGAATAAATGCTTTTTCAAAATTCTATAAAAGGTACAATCTGGTAAGATTTTCCTAGCAGTGATGAATATGATCTACTTTGACAAACAGATTAAATAAACAATGTACCTTTGCTTCTCTGTTTCATTAAAATGCCACATAAACATTTAAAAGCTTTCCTTGAAACACAAGAATCTTGGGTATAAAGTATTTAAGTATTAATACATTTAAAAAAATGAGGATTAGAAGTTCATTAACAATGGCTGGGCACAGTGGCTTTCACTTGTAGTTCCAGCACTTTGGGAGGACAAGGCGGGTGGATCACTTGAGGTCAGGAGTTCAAGACCAGCCTGGCTAACATAGTGAAACCCAGTCTCTACTAAAAATACAAAAATTAGCTGGGTGTGGTGGTGCACACCGGTAGTCTCAGCTATTCTGAAGGCTGAGGCAGGAGAATCGCTTGAACCCAGGAGGCAGAGGTTTCAGTGAGCTGAGATCACGCCACTGTCCTCCAGCCTGGGTGACACAGCAAGACTCCATCTCAAAACAAAACAAAATGAAGTTCATTAAAAATATATTTGAAAAAATCCACATTTAAAAATAGGTAAGTTTTAATACAACAATCACATTTAATATAAGCTAAAATGATTAAAAACATGCTTGTAAGAATCATTAATTGGATACGTATTCATTTGTCAACTCCTAAGAAGGCAGTGTGGTACACTAAAATGATATGGAATGTGGCTTCATGCAGGTCTGAATTTGAAATACTCCTAGATGTGTGACTTGAGAAAAATATCTTAATCTCTCTGAACTACAGTGTCTCCATCTGTAAATGGGATAAAAATTTCTACCTCACAGCATTGTGAAGTAGCATTGGTATTGCATTTAATATTTAATTTTAATATGAAGTAGCATTGATAGTGCATTTAATATGGCACCTAATAGGCACTAAATGACTAATGTATTATAGCAGATGTTTAATAGATGGTAGCTCTTACAATTATTTCTGCTACTGCTGCCACTGTTGCTGCTAAGCACTGTGTGATAGTTTAGCATTATCATCTTTCTGTAATAGAAGAAAAGTTTGATTTCTTGTTGAAAATGCTGTTCTAATGAAAGGGGAGATAGCTGGTTGGTCACCTGAAATTATATCACAAAATATTTTTATTTCATAATATGATTGGAAATCGATGGCACTGGGATCAAGAGAAGAAATATATGCATGGTCTGTTTATATATACCCTGATTTGGGAGGAAAGTCATCTTCATCCCTACCTTTTACAAATATACAAATACTTTTGTGGAGCAGCTGCTGGATACAAGCTACTGTCTCATGTCTTGAGGATATAGCAGTGAATAAGACAGAAATGACTTCTGCTATTAAAGAGCTTACATTCTAGTCAGAAAGACAGACATAAAGAACTAAGGGAACTGATTTTGTTAAGTCCATTCAGGCATTAAAAATAAAGCCAAACCAAACACCTTTAAGCATGACATTTCTCAAAATGTACAAACATCTAGTACTTGTTTCTCCTTCCAAGTTATAGCAGCTTAATGGGACTTTAATAAAAACTTCTTAACACAGTAGACCTGTCCCATTTCAAGGATCTTAAAAAATAAAATCCATTTCAAGATTAGAATTGTGAAGTTGCAATCAGGCCAGTTCAATGTAGCTGTAGTTAATTTTGTGTGACAGTGGTCCTTAAAGCCAGAGCTTGCATCCTGTGATGAGGGGGCAACTCCTACCTGGTCACTAACTTAATTGTGCCCCTGAGGCCTTCTTGAAACCTCATGAGTTTCCTGCCACTCTGCTTTTGTATTTTATTCTCCAAAGATGCCACGGATGATCTTCATGATGGTGATTATCTTTCTGATGGAGGGAGATTAAACCTGAAGCCTTCTCACATGGCATCTGCCCAGCTCAGATAGCACAGAAACAGCAACCCAAGGTTTCCTACGATCCATGTCTTGCCTTGGTAGCATTTTTCAAATAATAATTTTCCAAGAATAAAAAAATTAACTTCATTGATGTTTATTTTGGAAGACAGTTACAGGATTTTAAAAAATAAGATGTAAAAGTAAAAAAACCACATATGCTAACCCTCTTAACCATATGACTTTATGCAAAGCTCTTGACCTCTTTGGGTTTACTTTTTACTCATGCTGTAAAATAAGAGGACTACTAGATCTTTTTAATGCTCCTATTAAAACCTTAAAGAATTATATACTTTTATAATTCCATGGACCTTTTTTTCTAATATTTTCTGTTAAATGATTTCTACATTTTGTTAAATATAAAAGTTAATAGTTCATTTATAAATAGTTATTTTTCTTCACTTTTACTGAAAAATCATGAAAAACATGCACAGCATATGCTGTTTATTTTTAAAAGTCATTTCAATATAAACATCTTATATCAAGATGGCTTTGTTCCTCTATGCCTATTTTAAATTCTTCTCCCACAAGTATTTGAAGCCCTGAATGAAATCATGTACTTTTTCCTTTTGGATTTTTATTTAAAATCAGAATTCTGTTTTTTAGTCAGCGGGGCTTGGAAAACACCATTTATGCTAAATTGCTACACTAGAACCTCAGGACAAAAGATCATGGGTGGATTTAAAGTGTTCCAGGAATCACTTGAAATTGTAGGTAAACACTTTGTGGGTATGCCTTGTATACTTACGTGGGCAGAGAGCTGTCATCAGATGATCAAAGCAGCCCATAATCCACCAAAAGTTAAGAACTACTTTCTGCATCAGACAGATCTGCAAAATAGTGTTACTTTGATATTCTTGGTAGCCCTTACAATATAGCATGGGATCAGGGAGAATGGGAATGACTAGTTTATATCCCTTCTGAAAAGACTGTGGGCACTGTCATGGAATGTGGATGCGCATGTTGAAATGCCTTTAAAATAATCTGGTCATTTATTGCCTATTTTTTGCTAGACTTTTGCTGGTATTTGTATGTCAAACTTCTCATTTCTTTTTCTTACTTTCTATTTCATATTTTATGGCAAATTTAGGTGGTGTGGTAATATTTGGTTATCTTTTCTATCTAGGAAACTCACTTTGTAGCTGAGACAGATTTTTAAAACTAGGTTATAAATTAAATGAAGTTCTTTATTCTAGAGGCTAAGGCATTTAAGTTTTAAGTACTCCATTGACATAAACTGGGTGTAATTATTACAAAATGGAATGGGCTGTCCCTTTACTTTGGAGCATTTAAGTTTTTATATATCTATATGTTGAAAAGAATTGATATCAAAAATTTACCTTGATTCAAAGTTTCTAAGAATTAGTTGTAACTTAAGTTGCTTCACAGAAAAATATTCAGGTATGTTTAGAAAATGCAGGGCTGCCATGCTCTGCACTCTCGTTTGTAGTTCTATGAAAATGGCACCCTACAGGGCGTGCTGTATGGTAATTCTGGGTAAATAACTATAAATATATCACCTCTTAGCCTATTAAAGCCTCTGAGAAGCTCTACAGTAACAGTTTATTTGATTACACAAATTAAGATATATATAATATTGTAATGATTTTGATATGGTTTGTTTGGCCCTGTCAAGTCTCATGTTGAAATTTGATCCCCAGTATTGAAAGTGGTGCCTGGTGGGTGGTGTTTGGGTTGTTTGGGTGGATCCCTCATGAATGGCTTGGTAGCATTCTTGTGGAAGTGAGTGAGTTCTTACTCTTAGTTTTCTTGAGAGCTCTTTGCTGAAAAGAGCCTGGCACCTCTTCCCCTCTCTCTCAGTCCCTCCCTCACTATGTGACCTCTGCACATGTTGCTCCCCTTGCCTTCCACCACAAGTGAAAGCAGCCTGGATACCTCACTGGAAGCAGATGCTGGTGCCACGCTTCTTGTACAGCCTGCAGAACCAGCAGCCGAATAAACCTGTTTTCTTTACAAATCACCCAGCCTCAGGTATTCTTTTATAGCCACACAAATGGACTGAGACAAATATCTATTAATATTTGATGAGGCTAGTGCTCTGCAGAACACCAGAAAACTATTACACATATACTTAACAAGATATCTTATTCTTGAGATACAGAATATTTTTCAAGAACATACTGCTACAGAATGTTCCCTCGAAATATTCAGTTCATTATGGATTGGGAAGACACTCAGAGAGTTTTCCCAGAATTTCTGTAAATTTTTGGACAAGTAGTGGGAGGTAGCATTTATCAAGCACTTATTATGCACAAGTCTCTATCTTAGGGCTTTACATCAGTTATCTCATTTAATCTTCAAAATAAGTCATGTGATAGGTTCTGTTACTATGTTTACTTTATATATGATAAAACTGGTACATAGAGAATTAAGTGGCAGCAAGATTTGGCACAGCTAGTGAATGACACAGTCAGAAATGAACGTGGACAGTTTCACAATGGCACGTGGGACTTTTCTGTCTATGATTCTTACCTTGGCAGTACAATGTTACTTTAGGAAGAGGTAATAGGTCACAGGGAGGGCAAGAGGTATATCCTGAAATCACGTGGTCCTTCCTTTCTTCAGCTACCATGCTCATGGGGTCTGTCAACTTCCAAAGGCTTAGATAAGAGGCCTTTTTTGCCCATTATTTTCACCCACCTCATTTTCTTGCTTTTATCTTTTTTCACTGTGCATTTTAAATGTTAATTTTAGACAGATACGTCTTTCCTCATAACCTGACTTCCTTTAGGCCCAAATGAATTCCTCCGAGGACTCATATCTGTCCTAATCTGGATGACTGGCTTAGATAATGAATCTGGGAAGTTGGGAGGTGACAAGGTACAAAATGAGAATAGAGCATTGCATTTGAACTCAGAAGACTTCTGAATATCTCCTAAGAGATAAACAAAATGCTTTGCCTCCTTAAAAACTTGGCCATTTTTGCTATTTATAGAGAGGAACTTGTACTGTACACTTGAAGCTGGATGCTCATCAGTTCCCCTCAGAAATGGTTTTAAATAAGTATAGAAAAAGTTGATTTTATTAATGCCAAAGTGAGAGACGACACGGATATTTTAAAAACTCTTATTGAGCTATAATATACATACAATAAGTCGCATTAATCTTATGCGTGCATGTGAATGTTCACATATACATATGCCTATGTAGCCATCACTCTGATCAAGGTATACAACTTTTCCAATACCAGAGAAGACTCCTCCATGCTTCTTTCTAGTCAATGACCTTAAACTACAGATAACCATTATTCCAATGTCTATTACCATAGATTAGTTTTACCTCTTCTTGAGTTTCATATACACTGAAATAATATATATGAACTCTAGTGTCTGACATTTTTTGCATATCATTATGTCTGTGATACTCATCCATGTTCTTGCATTGAGTGGTTTACTCTTTTTTCTATGTAGTATTTCATTATATGAACATACCACAATTTATGTATTTCTCTATTTTACTATCGAAGGACATTGGATTATTTCCATTTTTGGCTGTTATGATTGAAACCAATATGAATATTCTCAAACATTTCTTTTTAGTAGACATGTGAAGACTTTCTTTTGGGTATATAACTAGGAATGAAATTGTTAGGATGTGAATACATTTACTTTAGTACCTATTACCCAATAGTTTTCCAAAGTGGTTTTATCAATTTACTTTCTCACCAGTAATCTGTGAGAATTCCAGTTGCTCCACATACTTTCTAACCTTTGGAATTGTCTGTCTTATGTTTTAGTCATTCTGGTATTTAGTGACATGGATATTTTATGTACAGGGGAAATTTAAAGACTCTTGTACTCTAGGTTGTTTTTCAGTTCATCAAATACTTATTTCAAGCTTATCATGTTTAATGTGTGCAAATGCACTTATTGCTGGCCCATAGTCTAAGGTAATAAATCATATTTTGCTTAAGGAGCACAAAATCTTTTTATTTAGTAAATATTTACTAACATTTGCTAAGTACTTAGTAGTGTACTTAGTGATGGGAAGGATACAAAAGGTAAAGTGAAAGACTAGTCCTTGCCCTCAATGATTGTACAGTCTGTTTAGGGAGGTAAAAACTGTACTTTAAATTAGCAATGCAAAATTACATGATGACATGTAAAATAGACTGTAAGTAGTGTAGGAAGAAGGAATTGAAATTAGTGTTCCTCAAGTTACCTTTAGAGATTTTTTCCCTCAGTTTCTCATATTGAATCAATCACTATATGCTGTCATTTCTGCTTTCTAAATCTCTGGAATCTGCTTTTATTTTTTTTTTAACCTCAATTGTAGGTCAACGTGTGTGTGTGTGTGTGTGTGTGTGTGTGTGTGTAGTATATCAAAACTGCCTTTCAAGTGGCTTGTCTGCTTTTATTTTGAGTCCTCTTTTATTTATTATTTTATCAGAGTATTCTTCCTGAAAGCTAGGTCTTGTTACTTGTAGTCATTCTACTGCTTAAATTCTTCAACTTTTTCATATTGTTTTGGGGGCAAAATCAAACTCTTCAGCCTGTCACTTAGGACTTTATCATACTCTAGCCATGGCCTGTATTTCTAACCTTATACCTTGCCACCTCTCCCAAGTGTACATGCAATTTTTTATATACCTTGAATTACTTCAATTTTTCTGAATTCACTATGATACTTCATGCCTTTGTCTATGGTGTTTCCCTTTGTATTTCTTTTCCATAAAGACCTGGATGAAGGTTCGCTTCATCTAGAAAACCATTTCGGATCCACCATCTATGTCTGGTTTAAATGCTCCTCTGTGCTCTCACAAGAGAGCTCTGTTCACAGAGTTTTGTAGTTGTTGATTCACTTATTCATTTTCTCTACTGGACTGTGAACTTATTAAGGGCAAGGTTGCTGTCATTCATACTTAATAGTAAATAAATATTTAGATGAGCTGGAATTTAAGCCACCTGCCAGTATATGTATAGGATTTTAGTAGATCAACAGGATGGGATAAAGTATTTCCAAGAGGTAAACATATAGCAAAACCAAAGGTGGGAATTAACATTGTGTGTACAGGGAATAGGAGAGGGAAGTGGGTCACAGGGTTGGGGAAAGATGGCCTGTGTTGGAAGTACTGGACTGGAATGGCTAGTTTATGTCAAAGAATATGGGAGTAAAGGCTGAAAATGTGGGATGAGGTCAGATTACGGAGGACCTTGAGGATCTGATAGAGAGTTTTAAGCTTGATATCGATGGCACGAGGGAGTCATTATAGGTTTGAATAAGGGAGTAATGTGATGAAAGCAAGTTTTAAGGAATATTATTTGATTTATTATTTATTGATTTATTCTCCCAGCTTTAAGGTGTAATTTACAAATAAAAATTGTATATATTAATGGTATACAATGTATTATTTTTATATATGTATACATTATGAAATGAATAAGGAATATTATTTTAATAGCAGTCTGCAGAATGAATTTTAGAGGAAAGGACAGAGTTAGTGAGATCAGACAGGAGGCTTTCACAGTAACCCAGATGAGATGATGAGAACTCAGGCAAAGGTAATGACAGTGCAGTTACAGAGGAAGAGATAGATATAAGTAACATCTTAAAAGACAAATTAATATAACTTAGCAATAAGTGAGATATAACTTCAATTTAACTTTCCTAAGTTCAGTAAGAAGCCAGGAGGTACTGGCTTACCCAATGTAACTCAAAGAATATCAAATGGTAACCTTCTCTCTTTTTCACTTTGCTTGAAGTTGATACCACTTACTTCAAATTCTCATTATCACTTACTATCCACCTGAATCCATTTATAACTAACAGAGAACATAGTGGACTCTCAATCTTCCTTTCCCTGCAGTTGGCTGCCAACATTCATGCTCATGACTCATAATTCCTCATTGCCACCATTTCGCATCAGCCATACACTGTTAAAAACTTAATCATCATGTGGCATTCATCCAGCTAGAATCAGAGACTCACAGAATTTTGAAACCAGACAGGAATATACAGTTGATATTCATTTTGGAGATGAGGATCTGAGGACAGAAATATTAAGTGACTTAGCTAGTGGAACATGGCTAGTTAGTTCTAAGTCTTCTGAATTTTAATTCAGTATACTTTTCATTAATATACATTTTCTAATCCTAAATTTCTATGTTCCAAAACATGGATAACTTTTCTTAGGTCAAAAACTTAGTAACTTTGCCCTTGTATTACTATATTCACTGAACAAGTTCCTCCGCTTTATAGGATTCCTGCCCTAAGGAGTTACTGTACTCAATTAAACACCTTCTGACCACCTATAACTCCTTGTTTCATCTGCAGGACATTTACAGCTATTTAAATACTCTCTTTATTAATATACTAAGCTTTCTTACATTTTAATCTTCTGATGTGATCACTGTGGCTCTTCCTTCCTCTTTTCAATTTCTGCGTTTGCCTTCCTGGAATGAAAACCTAATTGTGGGAAAATGGGATCATGGAATTATGTTGACATGATCCTCTACAGTTTCATGCTGTTTGTTTTTAGTATTGCCATACCTATCCTTCTCTCTGCCTTGAGCTGATATTTCTATTTTTGTCTACTTTTTTTAAAGTACAGTATACATTTAAAAATGTATTTTGACTTTTGCTTTTGACTTTTGAGAGAATGAAGACCTTCAGGGACAATCAGACTTGTCCTCTTTTTTCTTGACTTTAATATGTAACTCATCCTTACTTTGTCCATTTTCCAAATATGGCAGTCCCAAAATGTATTTTATAAAATACCAGTCCCACCAAATACTTTTTGGGAAAAGGATTCCATGTCGAGTATGTTTAGGAAATATTTATTTTATATCCCCCTCTCGAATTTTAACAAGCTGAGTCTCAGAGAAATCTAGTAGTAAAGACATGTTTATAATTTCATTTAATCCAGAGTTGTAAAAACTTGCTTGCCTGTGGAACTATTTTCTTCTAACATTTATTAATATCCTTTGGTTCCAGTGTGTCATCAAATCAGTGAGTATACATTATGTTTTTAAAGATTTATGCTTATGAGAATCGTAAGTATTGCAGGTAAAGGGAAGTTAACTTTTTCAAGGTGGAACTTCAATGGTAAGGCAAATGAATTCAATTTTTAGGTGTTAAAATTGTGATGGTGACATATAAATAGAATTTTACAGGATTTGAGTTCAATGAGATGCTGTTTTGTTTATCTATTGCTGTATGACACACCACCCTAAAAGTAATGGCTTACAATCATTTTATTTGCTTATAATTTTGCAATCTGGGCTTGGTTCATCTGTATGGCTTTTGGCTGTTACTGTGGGTTCCATGTGTGTGGCTGCAGTTATCTGGAATAGGGTGGGGGCTGGGGTCAGATGAAAAGCTGAACGGCTAGGTATTCTTTCTCTCTTTAGATGTAGCCTGAGAATCTCTCCCCCTCTGCCTGGTCTCTCCACATGGTGTCTCCTGTAGGGTGGACAGATCTTTTACATGGCAGTTCATGGCTCCCCATAGTACAAAAGTCATAGCTGCTGGGACTCCTAAAGGCATAGGCTCAGAGTTGCCCCTGCATAATTTATAATGAATTTGTAATATATAAATATCATAAAATGTATATGCAATATATAATTCATATGAAATTTATATATAACATAAACATTTATAATATATAAATAAGTTTACAACAAAATACTACATTTTTTGCTTAAAGCAAGTCATTAGCCTCATTGAGATTCAGGTGAGGGGACTGACTATGGAAGAGTGTGAATACAGGGTGCATGGTTGATTGGGGACCCCCATACAGCAGACTACCACAGATATCATGTGGCAAATAGAATAGAAAGTAGATCAGCTTGAGTTATAGTTTGAAAATCTCCTATTTAGTTGTCTATTTCTCATATTAGAACATTGAGGTACAAGGACTGCGTTTAGTTTACTAGCCCTTAGCACAGTACCAGGTACCTAAGAGGAATTCAATAAACTTTTGTTTAATAAATGAATATATAAAGGAGAAGAGCAGAAGGTTAAGTACTGAAACTTCCTTTAGAAATAAGTTGCAGAGAGGGTATTTAGGGAACAGTGAGAGAGCCAGCCAAAGGGACAGCTTCAAATGAAAGAGTAGTGGACGGTTGTATTAATTGTAGCAGAAAAGTCAAGGAGAATAGGGTAAAGAAAAGCTTATAGGCTTTTATTAGCATTCCTTGAAGTTGCAGATGGCATTGCTTATTCTGTTCTTTTGTTGGTTGGTTGAAATGTTTAGAGATTTCTTAGGTTTTAAAATCTCTAGCCAAATTTTATGCTTTTAGGTACTTTATAGTGTAATGGCTCCAGTAAATCTGTTTTATGGTAATTAGACTGAAAGAGGAGTAATATTTGACTTATAAGTTATAAGCATTTTTGTTAAATGTTATCATTTTGTAACATCTTTAGCAATAGGTAGGGAAAACAAAAGTAAAACTGGTAAGATAAAGAAAGACAATATACTCTAAAGTTACAATTAGAAATGAAAACCACATTCCATTTTTTTTGTTGTGGTAAAATGTACATTTGCTAAGATTTACCATTATAAACATTTTTGAATGTTCCAATTCTGTAACTTTAAGTACATTCACACTGTTATGCAATTGTTACCACCATTCACCTCCAGAACTTTTCCATCATCCTATACTGAAACTCCGTGTGTATTAAACAATAACTCCCATTCCCTTCTTCCCTCAGGCCCTGACAACCATCGTTCTTCTTTCTTTCTTCATGAATTTGATGACTCTAAGTAATTCATATAAGTGGAATCATATAGTACTTGTCCTTTTTGTGTGTGGCTCACTTGACTTAGCGTGATATTTTCAAGGTTTATTCATGTTGTAGCATGTATCAGAATTTCATTTCTTTTTAAGGCTGAATAACATTCCATTGTATGAATAGATTACATTTTGTTTATTCATTCATCTGCTGACAGAAATTTGGGTTGTTTCTATCTTTTGATTATTATGACCATTTTTCTGCATTTTTTTCTCCTTGCAGTCTGTTTAAGTTTTTCATATTCCCTTTTCTAGTTCTGCTCATTTAGGAAAATTTCTGGAAAAGTGCCCTGGAGAGATCAGTGAAAGACATATTCCCAGCTATAGGTACAAAACAAGGACATTCTTTTGCATATTGGGAGAAGAGCTTGAGCAAGGACTTGAGAGAAGAAGAAAATATTTGTCTGGGGATAGGGTATTATAAAAGGAAAGAGAAAGAATGTTGTCACTTATCTAGTTATGTTACCTTGGGCAAGGTACTTAACCTGATTTTGTCTCACTTTCCTCAACTGTAAAATATAGAAATAGTATCAATCTCACAAGTTTGTTGCAGGGATTCAATGAAAATGCTTGACTCATGGTAGGTTAATAAATAAAATGAAGTTTCTCTCTGTGTGTGTTTTTGTTCTCACATCATGGAAAACATGGCTGGTGGATTTTCACAAATTTAAGTTGAATGCTTGGAATTACATAACTTAAAACACAGGTTATGTCTTACTCACTCAGGGGACTGAAGGTGGTATAGCCAGAAATAGGCAGTCATCTTCCTATGTTGCTGATTCTGAGGTTCAAAAAGAGGCTGGTTAGGGGGTCAGATGATGTGTGCATATTAAGATGCTGTAGGAAGATAAGCAACAGGTTTGCAATATGGACCCCATAGAGAGGCATAAAGCCAGACTGCCTAACAGTAGGCATTGATTTTCATGATTTGCAGTTGATCTGTTTACCGCCTGGGAACTCAATTTTGCTAGATTCAGGGTGATTATCAGCAGGAATTTATTTACTGAGTTATGGTTAATGATTCTTCTAAGCACTACTGGATAGGCCAGTTAAAAACTAATGATAGCTGCTACCATTTATTATTTAGTATGCTCTAGACCCTGGGCTAAGTGCATTACATATGTCATCTCATATCCTGGCAGTCATTCTGTGAGGTATGTTGCCATTACCATTCTCACTTTACAGATAGAGAAATTGGTGGCTCACTCCTGTAATCCCAGCACTTTGGGAGGCCGAGGTGGGTGGATTATTAGAGGCCAGAAGTTGGAGATCAGCCTGGCCAACATGGCAAAACCCCATCTCTACTAAAAATACAAAAAAATTAGCTGGGCATGGTGGCACACACCTGTGGTCCCAGCTACTTGGGAGGCTGAGACATGAGAATTGCTTGAACCCAAGAGGTGGAGGTTGTAGTGAGCCGAAATCGTGCCACTGCATTCCAGCCTGGGTGACAGAGGGAGAGTCTGTCTCAGAAAAACAAACAAACAAACAAACAAACAAAAAAAAAAACAAAGAAATTGAGGTTTAGTGAGATTGAACAATTTGTCCAATATTGTACACTAGTAAGTGGTGAAGTTGGTATTTGAGTTCAAGCACTTTGACTTAACTGTGCTTTAACAGCTGCACAAAGATGAATTTTTCCTTTGTTTTTATTCCTGATAGCTGTATCATCCAAGGTTATTTGACTTAACTCCAATTACATTTACACAAAATTTATTAACTAAAGGAAAAAATCCCTCTACTGGAGATTTTGTACTATAAAGGTTTGCAATATTAAGAAAGACACGGTCCCTGCCTTCAAGGAGGTCATAGTCTGGTGATGAAAATGGACCAGCAAGTACTATAATAAAGCACAAGATTCTGGGCCCAAAGGAGTTAGCCCCCAACAGGAAAGTGGAGCAAGGAAAATCAGAAGAGAGAAAATCAGGTAGAAGCTGAGTTGCTTAAAGTTCCAGGGGAGTTTATTGAAAATAGAACAAATAAAAACCAAATGACAAATTTGGAAAAAGATTTGTAGCATATATGATACTCAAAGGGTTGATATTTTTAGTATATAAACCACTTTTATAAACAATCTTAAAATCAAATCCCTTAGGGATATGAAAGATGAAGTTTTAAAAGCACATTGTTATGTTCTTATGGGTAAAGAAAGAACAAGCAATTCTCAGTGGAATTACAAATAGCTGCAATGGTAATAAAAATTATAAATTTCTACAAAATTAAGATATATTTTTCAAATATCAATTTATTAAATATTAAAAGATTGATTATAACTAGTATTGATGAGGCAAGAATAAAGGGCAGGACATTATCATTCACTTACAGGTACAGATCTTAATTGTCTCATTCTTCTTCAAGGACAGTTTGACAATATGTATGTGGAGCATCAATTTCTTATGTCAGATAAATTTTACTTCCAGTAATTCATTCAAAGGAAACAAATAATCAGAAGTCTGGGCAAAATTATATATAGGAGTTATATTACAACATTGTTTACAATAGAAAAATATTAGAAATCATAATGGTTAATTAATATGTATGCCTTTATAATAATAGATTGATGCCCTGACATTGGCATTAGGTTGTAGAACAATTTTTATTTTTTTAATTGTTTATTTATTTGCAAAGCAAAAGCAAGTTTATTAAGGAAGTAAAGGTGTAAGAGAATGGTTAGTCCGTAGGCAGAGCAGCCCCAAGGGCTGCTGGTTGCCCATTTTTTTGGTTATTTCTTTTTTCTTTTCTTTTGTTGTCTTTTTTTTTTTTGAGATGGAGTCTTGCTCTGTTGCCCAGGCTGGAGTGAAGTGGTGTGATCTCGGCTCACTGCAACCTCCGCCTCCCGGGTTCAGGCGATTCTCCTGCCTCAGCCTCCCGAGTAGCTGGACTATAGGCACACGCCACCATGCCCAGCAAATTTTTTTTATTTTTAGGAGACACAGGGTTTTGCCATGTTGGCCAGACTGGTCTTGAACTCCTAACCTCAGCTGATGGGCTTCCCAAAGTGCTGGGATTACAGGCATGGGCCACCGCCCCCAGCCTTAAGAAGACTTTTTGAAAAGATATCAGAATATGTGCATGATGAATTGCTAAGTGGAAAAAAGAGTTACAAATATATACATTATGATTCTGTGTATGTATTTAAATATTGGAGGGACATATATTAAAATATATGCAGTGGCATTCTGAATGTGCTAAAACTTCAGGTGAGTTTTTCTTCTCTGTGCTTTTTGTGTTTTCTATGCTTTCTGTAATAAACAAGTATTATTTTAGGAGTTAGAAAAAATATATAATTTTAAAATAATGTCTTGGATTTATAAAATAGAACAATCACAGCGTAATTCAGCCAATGTTTTTCATTTTAATTGACATAATTAACGGAATTATAGCAATTTAAAACTTTAATATAGCCTTTCCTGATTTCACTGTTTTTTCTCTCTATTCTATATACTGTGTCCAAAGAGAATGTTTTATGGACATTTGTTAAGCAATATTGATATCGTTTGGCACTGTGTCCCCACCCAAATCTCACCTTGAATTGTAATAATCCCAACGTGTCAAGGTGGGGACCGGGTCGATGTAAGTGAATCAGGGGGGCAATTTCCCCCATGCTGCTCTCATGATAATGAGTGAGTCTCACGAGATCTCATGATTTTACAAGTGTCTGGCATTTCCCCTGCTGGCACTCATTCTCTCTCCTGCCACCTAGTGAAGAGGTGCCTTCTGCCATGATTGTAGGTTTCTTGAGGCCTCCCCAGCCATGTGGAACTGTGAGTCAATTAAACCTCTTTTCTTTATAAATTATCCAGTCTTGGGTATATCTTCATAGCAATGTAAGAATGGACTAATACAAATATCTACACATTAAGACACATGGCAGGCAATGTTCTGCTTTCTACCAAAGTAATTATTTTTTATTGCTCATACATAAATGACAATAGAAATATGTTTTATTCAGTGATAAGAATAAAAGGAAATGGGCTTAAATTATAGTAAAAGAATTACTTAGGAAATTACTTAGACTTTTTTAAATTTCAAAGAAAACAGTAAAAGTGTTACCAATGAAAAACTCTTCATTCTCTATTATGTCTAGAAATAGGATAGAAAAATCATCTGTTTTAGAAAGTTTAGGTGTTAAATCTTAATTGAGACAGGATCATTTGACTTAATAACCTCTTGCCATCTCTTATAATGTTGTAATTTTATAACCTAGAATGAACAATATTCTCTGTTTTTGGTGTAGAATAATTAATATTTTTTGGTGCAATGATTATAAAGTTATTGACCCAAATGGAGTCTAAATACATCTCTTGGGTAGAGTATGCGATGCATTAGTACTCCCTGAGGTTTGATAGTTAAGACTACAACTATTACATTATTTCACGTGTTTGTTCTCTAAATTTGTTAGGTAAAACAATTTCATAATCAATACTATATTTTGAAAAGTTGTTTTTAGAATTATTTCTTTAATGCTAAAGAATATTATTTTTATTGGATAGGAATTAACTAAAGTATCTCTTTTGGTGCCTTTATGTCCTTTCTTTAGTCTTCCATTTACAAGTAAATAATAACTTCTATTCACAATTTAGCTAATGTAATTTAATAGTTGGCTTTCATTAGTGGGAAAATCATGATAACGTTTGTCCTACCACAGATTATCGATTTTCTATTATGGTCATGTGCCATATAACAAATGTTTCGGTCATTGAAGGACTGCATATACCACAGTGGTTCCATAAGATTATAATGGAGCTGAAAAGTTCCTGTTACTTAATGGTGTCTTGGTGATCCTGACCCTGTGTTGGCCTAGGCTAATGTGTGTGTTTGTGCCTTAGTTCTTAACAAAAAATATGTAAAAAGTAAAAAAGAACAAAAATTTTTAAAAATAGATAAAAGATTATAGGATAAGTATATAAAGATTGAAAATATATTGGTACAGCTGTACAATGTGTTTGTATTTTAAGCTAAATGTTATTACAAATGAATCAAAAAGTTAAAAAAATTAAAATGTTTGTAAAGTAAAATTGTAAGCTAAGGTTAAGAAAGAAAGAGTTTTAAAAATAAATTTATTGTAGCCTAAGTGTATCGTACGGTGTTTATGAAGTCTACAGCAGTATACAATTATGTCCTAGGCCTTCACATTCACTCACCACTCGCTGACTCACCCAGAGCAACTTCCAGTCCTGCAAGCTCCGTTCACAGCAAGTGCTCTATATGGGTGTACCATTTTTTATATCATATTTTTACTGTACCTTTTTAATGACTAGATAAGTTTGGATTCACAAATACTTACCATTGTATTACAATTGCATACACTATTCAGTACAGTAACATGCTGAACAGGTTTGTGGCTTAGAAGCAATAGGTTATACCTTATAGCATAGGTGTGTAGTAGGCTATCCCCTCCAGATTTTAAGTACACTCTATGATGTTTGCATCATGACGAAATTGCCTAAGAACACATTTCTCAGAACATGTCCCTGTCATTAAGTGAGGCTGTACTTCATGTAATTAATACTGTAATTAATATTTGGAAATCATAATCTTTAAAGAAATAAGATCTTTCCAGATGTTATATTTTCTATTAATGCTTTTGGGCACTGACATTTTTTCCTAGTTAAATCAACACTTTAGTGGGTAAGACAACCATGCAATAAGCACAGCAGGCTCTTGGCAAAATCATGAAGCAAAACAAATATATCTTTTGAACGTTCACCTTGTCTTTTGGTGCATTTTCATTCAGATTTTTTATTCAGGTTCTCTTTTTGACATGCTCTGCCCTGAACACACCAGGCTCCCAGACTCCTCAAAACTTTTCTGTTCTCTGAAGAATATAGTGGATTCATGGCATATACTAGTGTTCAAATGAATTTAAAAGTTTCACTGACAGAATAGGAAAAAAGTTTTGCAATCTATTCATCTGACAAAGGTCTAATATACAGAATCTAGAAGGAACTTAAACAAATTTATAAGGAAAAACAACCCATTAAAAAGTGGGTAAGGGACATGAACAGACACTTCTCAAAAGAAGACATTTATGTGGCCAATAAACATATAAATAAAAGCTCAACATCACTGATAATTAGAGAAATGCAAATCGAAACCACAATGAAATACCATCTCATGCCAGTCAGAATGGTGATTATTAAAACGTCAAGAAACAACAGATGCTGACAAGGCTGTGGAGAAATAGGAACGCTTTTACACTTTTGGTGGAATGTAAATTAGTTTAACCATTGTGGAAGACAGTGTGGTGATTCCTTAAAGACCTAGAACCAGAAATGCCATTTGACCCAGCAATCCCATTACTGGCTACATACCCAAAGGAATATAAATCATTCTTTATAAAGATACATGAATGCATATGTTCATTACAGCACTATTCACAATAGCAAAGACATGGAATCAACCCAAATGCCCATCAATAATAGACTGGATAAAGAAAATGTGGTACATATATACCCTGGAATACTATATAGCCATAAAAAGGAATGAGATCATGCCCTTTGCATGAACATGGATGGAGCAGAAAGCCTCCTCATTAAACTAAAACAGGAGCAGAAAACCAAACACCACATGTTCTCACTTATAAGTGGGAGCTGAACAATGAGAACACATGGATATAGGGAGGGGAACAACACACACTGGGGCCTGTGGCAGGGTGTTGGAGGAGGGACAGCATCAGGAAAAATAGCTAATACATGCTGGGCTTAAAACCTATGTGATGGGTTGATAGGTGCAGCAAACCACCTTGGCACCCATTTACCTGTGTAACAAACCTGCATGTCCTGTACATGTATCCCAGAACTTAAAGTAAAATAATATTAAATTAAAAAAAAGAAATTTGAAAGTGGTGATAACCAAATTATGACTATAATATGGACATTAATTTGATTTCCATATGCATATAGACACTATATATGTACATATAGGTACATACATATCTTTTGAATTGTGCTTTAATTTCTGCAGTCAAATATGATGCAGTGAGATATAAGTATAAACTTTCATTATACATCAAGAAAATCAAAAGCTCATTTACAGATATAACCCAACAGTTGTATTCCCTAGAAAGTTTTGGATTTTATTTAGAAAATTAGACACTATTTTCCCATGGCTATAAAATTTAATATTGCCTTGAACACATGGAGATAGAGAGTAGAAGGATGGTTATCAGAGGCTGGGAAGGGTAGGTGGGGGTGGGGTGGGGGTGACGTTGGTTAATGGGTGCAAAAAAAAAAATAGAAAGAATGAATAAGACCTAGTATTTGATAGCACAACAGAGTGACTATAGTCAAAATAATTTAAATCCTTAAAAAATAACTAGAAGAGTATAACTGGGTTGTTTGTAACACATAGAATAAATGCTTGACAGGATGGGTAGCCCATTTTCTATAATGTTATTATGTATTGTGTACCTATATCAAAACATCTCATGTACCCCATGAATATATACAACTACTGTGTACCCACAAAAATTAAAAATTAATATTGTCATCATTTTAAAAAGTAAATAAGTATTATTGAGCTCTTATATACGCAATTCTGTGACTTTCAAGAAGCATAAAATATGGTTTCTGCCCTCAGGAGGGCAGAATCTCATAGAGGAGATAATCTTGTAGAGGAAACAAGTCTTCCATTCCTTTGTTCATCAAACATTTGTTGAATGTTTATATATTCAAATTAGAAATCCATTCTCTTGAGGAATTTACAGGTTAAGACACAAAACATACATGAATGTTATGAAACAAGTTTGTAAATGGTGAATGGACATAATAGAAGTTCAAATAAAATATTATGCATTTAGAGGTCATGTACATAAAAAGAAAGGTGTCCATGTGAAGTAGTGTAGGCTACATGTCAAATGAAAGAGGTTAATAACATGGAGCTTTAGAGGACAGATTAGTCATGTAGTTTGAGAGAAGTTGGGGAAAATTTTATTTAGGAGATATGACAAATTCTCCTTAAACAAAGAAAAGAAAAAAGAAAAGAAAAGAGCAGTGGAGTCTGTGGAAAGGACACCCCAGAAGGAGGGACTTGTAAGCATATGGTTCCACACGTTAGAATGGTTATATGATCCTCTGCCTTTTTATAAATTAGCATTTTTAAGAGATTAAAAATTTTTATGTAGATATATAGAAATATAAAATTAGATAATTATTCAAAGAAAAATATATAGGACTATTAAATGTTGTAATACATTTTTCTATGGGCTGAAATTTGGATTGTTGAGCATACTTGATTCACTTTATTGTGAGAATAATATTCCTTGTCTGCATGATTATAGAATGTTGTTATGGTGAGTTGCACCTCAAGTATTTGAATATAAGGTAGTTAGTGTTCCTTGAGAGAATTGAACTTTTAAGTCAGTACTTAACACGTAATATGAAATATTGTTTTAAAGAGACCAAATGACTCCAAGCCTAAAATAGCTTAATAAAGTCATTTTGAGTGTTAACGTTGCTAATGAAAGACTCTTCAATCAGGTAGAGGAAATGTCAGCAGCTAGGACAGCATGGATAAAGGCAGGTCACAGGGGCAAATGATGGCAGTATTTATCAAGTCCAATGTAGGGCATTGAGCACTCGATCTAAAAACCTCCAATGACTTATCTAGATATAGATGGTAGATTTTTACCTTATATAATCAGATGTTTAAATTTTAACTAACTCGTCCAAGTTCGATGCTACATTTGCTAAAGCAATTTTCATTACAATTTGACTTTCCATGGTGCTGTACTGGAGAGGAGTTAGCAGCCTTAGCAGCCATGTATCGTAAATTGACAAATCTTGGTGAGCAAAAAAAAAAATTGTATTGTTTTTAACAATGTAAAAAGGCAGTTATTTATTTTCAGGTTGCTTAAATTGAAACAATAAACAGTGTTTCACGGATGATTGCCATGTTCCCTTTTATTCTAAAGGCAGATGAAAGAGTGATTCTCTCAGAACTGGAGAAAAAGGCAAGTTCGAGTGTATCACTTTAAATTCTGTTATGATTTTTACACCTTAGATGGCCCCTAAATTACAAAACTTCTTTACGATTTCAAAACTTTAAAGGGAAAGGGAGCATCTTGGTTGTTTGCTGGCAGTATTGTTCTATACAGTTTGGGTAAACCCTGGGACAAATGCATTGGTCAGGAATTCCAGAACTACTGTTTATTTTAAATAATTTAAACTTTTTAGATATTAACTTAAAACAAATCTTATCCCAGCTTTCACTCAAACAAAAATATCCTCAAAAATGACAGAATAAAAGTGATGGTTAAAAGTATGGATCTGAAATTTCAGGTTTAAACTGTTGTCTACTTCCTAGAAACCTGTGGGCCAACTGTGCTCATAACAAGATCTCATCCAGCAAAGATTTGCAGCATTTTTCCTTTTTTGCTATATCTGGCTTTTATTTTTTTCAGTTCTATTGAGTTTAATTAACAAATAAATGAAAAATCAAAGTTTGTACCATTTGACCAACATCTCCTCATTTTCCCCACCCTTCAGCCTCTGGCAACCAGCATTCTACTCTCTGTCTCTACAAATTCGACTTTTTTTTTTTTTTTTTTTTTTAAGATTCCACATATAAGTGATATGTACAGTATTTGTCTTTCTTTGTTTGGCTCATTTCACTTACCAAAATGCCCTTCAGGTTCATCCATGTTGTCTCAAATGGCAGTATTTCCTTCTTTTTTATGGCTAAAAAATATCCTATTGTCTGTATATACCACATTTTCTCTATCCATTCGTACATCCATGGATGCTTAGGTTGTTTCCATATAATGGCCATTATGAATAATGCTGTAATAAACATGGGAGTGCAGATATCAAAATTGTGTTTCTTAGGGTGCAAGTTTAAGAGAAATACTCAAAACTTGGCACATTCACAAAAGTGTTGCCAATCATTGAGGTCTCTTCAGAGACAACTGACTTTTCCAGATTACAGCCCCTTTTCTTTTATTACTCACTTTACCTTTATCCTACAATAATTTTTTTGAGAACATGTGTGACTTTGATACATATCATTTATTATTTATGACCTGATATCATAGTTGCTTAGTATAAATAAATCAAAATTGTAAGGTCAGAGGAACAAATATTTGCATTTAGGGATTAATGATGGAAGACCTCATTAATTAAGACAAGGATTGAGACACCTTAACTCCCTCAAAACTTGCATGTACAGCTCACATGTTTGTGCTACTATTTATGCATAGGTATTTTTTTCCCCAGACATAACTTTATGCTGCTTAAGGCTAAGACCATATTTTACTTCCCTTAAACCTCACAATGTTAAAGAAGAAATACGATAAAATGTTTAATGAATGAAATTCAGAGACTACAGCAGATTGTTAAAAAAAAAAAAAGGAATAAAGCCTTTCTGTTTCTATATATACTGTACATATTTAAAGAGAGGAATTTACTTTAGAAGTAACAGGAAAAAAAACACCTGACTTTGTAAGGATCAAAGCTTTAGTGGAGAAACACAAGGGCATAACAAACTATTATGTTTGAGGCTAATGGACAGAATAATTCAGATTCTTGTTTGATTTACGTTCTTTGAAGAGTTGCTAGTTGGCTGAATTAATTTAAAACAGGCTTTAAACCTTAACCCAATTTTAAATTGAAATGGTAACCATCAGTCAACAGAAAATAAAGTTGCACAATTCTTTGGAAGAAATATTAACACATCCCCTTCAGTCATTATTATTTTAGTTTAAAATTACTGCTAGATGTTAATGATATTGAGATAGATTATTTCAAAAATCTTAGTATGTCAACATTGAATTTTTTTTATATCTTTGTGTCCCATAATCAAAGTTATTATGGCCTTAAGCTAAATGTCAACACTCCATTTAATTCTCCAGGTATCTATAAACAAAAAAAGACTGAATGTGAAATTGTAACTAAGCAAAAATATTTGTATATGTAAATATGATGTAGTAATTACTTCTTTTCCTCCAAAGATATTTGGAGTTCAACAAAATATAGACTGGATAAATATTATAACTTTACAATACAGAGAAATTAAGAATCTCTAGAGCCAATTGAGTAAAGGAGAAAATGGTTTTCAATCTTCCTTTATTCTGTGTTTCTGAAGTTTTCTGTTCTGTGCCATGGACTGAAACTGATTTTTAGCACACCTATAATTAGCATTGATTTTAAATATTATTTACAAATCAACTCTTTTTGCTGATGTTTCATTCATACCACTTAATTTGCTCTTATATACCCAATACTAGTTGTTCTTGGAGGGAAAGAGAGAAGAGTAATTTTAAAATTTCATTTTATTGAATTTTTGCATACTGTTGCATTTTCATCCTTCAGGAGGTACGATTTTAGAGATAAATTCTCCTTGGTCATCTTCTCAATCTAAAATTACACTGATATCAACTCTTAAGTGTAGTTCTTTGAAGACTTTAACCTACATATTTATAATCATTTATGTTTAACAAACCATTTATTGATTAGCATTTAGAGGCTTCTCAATATTGTGCTGTTACAAATTCTGTTGTTATAATGATCGTTGCACTTATATCTCTCTGCTCTCATTCCTTAGGCTATTTTATAGAATATCTTCTCAAGAGTAAGCATGTTCAAAATTATTATAGCTCTATTTACAGTCAGGCTTAAGAATCACTCTTTCATTAAACTTAAGAGCTTCTTAATAGGCTAATTCCTGCATTCTACGACAATAAACACTAAAGAGAACAATAATTCAAAGGAACAAATGTTTAGTGATAGCAGTTACCATGGCTACCTGACAATTATTTATTTATTTATTCATTTTTCTTTTTTATTTTTTTATTATACTTTAAGTTCTAGGGTACATGTGCACAACGTGCAGGTTTGTTACATATGTATACATGTGCCATGTTGGTGTGCTGCACCCATTAACTCATCATTTACATTAGATATATCTCCTAATGCTATCCCACCCCACTTCCCCCCACCCCACGACAGGCCCCGTGTGTGATGTTCCCCTTCCTGTGTCCAAGTGTTCTCATTGTTCAATTCCCACCTATGCATGAGAACATGTGGTGTTTGTTTTTTTGTCCCTGTGATTGTTTGCTGAGAATGATGGTTTCCAGCTTCATCTGTGTCCCTACAAAGGACAAGAACTCATCCTTTTTTATGGCTGCATAGTATTCCATGGTGTATATGTGCCACATTTTCTTTTTTTAAAAATTTTATTATTATTATACTTTAAGTTTTAGGGTACATGTGCACAATGTGCAGGTTAGTTACATATGTATACATGTGCCATGCTGGTGTGCTGCACCCATTAACTCGTCATTTAGCATTAGGTATATCTCCTAATGCTATCCCTCCCCCCTCCCCCCACCCCACAACAGTCCCCAGAGTGTGATGTTCCCCTTCCTGTGTCCATGTGTTCTCATTGTTCAATTCCCACCTATGAGTGAGAACATGCAGTGTTTGGTTTTTTGTTCTTGCAATAGTTTAATGAGAATGATGATTTCCAATTTCATCCATGTCTCTACAAAGGACATGAACTCATCATTTTTTATGGCTGCATAGTATTCCATGGTGTATATGTACCACATTTTCTTAATCGAGTCTATCATTGATGGACATTTGGGTTGGTTCCAAGTCTTTGCTATTGTGAATAATGCCACAATAAACATACGTGTGCATGTGTCTTTATAGCAGCATGATTTATAATCCTTTTGGTATATACCCAGCAATCCCATTGCTGGATCAAATGGTATTTCTAGTTCTAGATCCTTGAGGAATCGCCACACTGTCTTCCACAATGGTTGAACTAGTTTACAGTTCCACCAACAGTGTAAAAGTGTTCCTATTTCTCCACATCCTCTCCAGCATCTGTTGTTTCCTGACTTTTTAATGATCGCCATTCTAACTGGTGTGAGATGGTATCTCACTGTGGTTTTGATGTGCATTTCTCTGATGACCAGTGATGATGAGCATTTTTTCATGTGTCTTTTGGCTGCATAGATGTCTTCTTTTGAGAAGTGTTTGTTCATATCCTTCGCCCACTTTTTGATGGGGTTTTTTGTTTTTTTCTTGTAAATTGGTTTGAATTCATTGTAGATTCTGGATATTAGCCTTTTGTCAGATGAGTAGGTTGCAAAATTTTCTCCCATTCTGTAGGTTGCCTGTTCACTCTGTTGGTAGTTTCTTTTGCTGTGCAGAAATTCTGTAGTTTAATTGGCTCCCATTTGTCAATTTTGGCTTTTGTTGCCATTGCTTTTGGTGTTTTAGACATGAAGTCCTTGCCCATGCCTATGTCCTGAATGGTATTGCCTGGGTTTTCTTCTAGGGTTTTTATGTTTTTAGGTCTAACATGTAAGTCTTTAATCCATCTTGAATTAATTTTTGTACAAGGTGTAAGGAAGGGATCCAGTTTCAACTTTCTACATATGGCTAGCCCGTTTTCCCAGCACCATTTATTAAATAGGGAATCTTGTCCCCATTTCTTGTTTTTGTCAGATTTGTCAAAGATCAGATGGCTGTAGATGTGTGGTATTATTTCTGAGGGCTCTATTCTGTTCCATTGATCTATATCTCTGTTTTGGTACCAGTACCATGCTGTTTTGGTTACTGTAGGCTTGTAGTATAGTTTGAAGTCAGGTAGCATGATGCCTCCAGCTTTGTTCTTTTGGTTTAGGATTGACTTGGTGATGCGGACTCTTTTTTGGTTCCATATGAACTTTAAAGTAGTTTTTTTCCAACTCTGTGAAGAAAGTCATTGGTAGCTTGATGGGGATGGCATTAAATCTATAAATTACCTTGGGCCGTATGGCCGTTTTCACAATATTGATTTTTCCTATCTATGAGCATAGAATGTTTTTCCATTTGTTTGTGTCCTCTTTTATTTCATTGAGCAGTGGTTTGTAGTTCTCCTTGAAGAGGTCTTTCACATCCCTTGTAAGTTGGATTCCTAGGTATTTTATTCTCTTTGAAGCAATTGTGAATGGGAGTTCACTTATGATTTGGCTCTCTGTTTGTCTGTTATTGGTGTATAAGAATGCTTGTGATTTTTCCACATTGATTTTCTGTCTTGAGACTTTGCTGAAGTTGCTTCCCAGCTTAAGGAGATTTTGGGCTGAGATCATGGGGTTTTCTAAATATACAATCATGTTATCTGCAAACAGGACAATTTGACTTCCTGTTTTCCTAATTGAATACCCTTTATTTCTTTCTCTTGTCTGATTGCCCTGGCCAGAGCTTCCAACACTATGTTGAATAGGAGTGGTGAGAGAGGGCATCCCTGTCTTGTGCCAGTTTTCAAAGGGAATGCTTCCAGTTTTTGCCCATTCAGCATGATATTGGCTGTGGGGTTGTCATAAATAGCTCTTATTATTTTGAGATACGTCCCATCAATACCTAATTTATTGAGAGTTTTTAGCATGAATGGTTGTTGAATTTTGTCAAAGGCCTTTTCTGCATCTATTGAGATAACCATGAGGTTTTTGTTGTTGGTTCTGTTTATATGCTGGATTACGTTTACTGATTTGTGTATATTGAACCAGCCTTGCCTCCCAGGGATGAAGCCCACTTGATCATGGTGGATAAGCTTTCTGATGTGCTGCTGGATTCTGTTTGCCAGTATTTTATTGAGGATTTTTGCATCGATGTTCATCAGGGATATTGGTGTAAAATTCTCTTTTTTTGTTGTGTCTCTGCCAGGGTTTGATATCAGGATGATGCTGGCCTCATAAAATGAGTTAGGGAGGATAACCTCTTTTTCATATTGATTGGAGTAGTTTCAGAAGGAATGGTAGCAGCTCCTCCTTGTACCTCTGGTAGAATTTGGCTGTGAATCTGTCTGGTCCTGTACTTTTTTTGGTTGGTAGGCTATTAATTATTGCCTCAATTTCAGAGCCTGTTATTGGTCCATTCAGTGATTTTTATTTTATTATTATTATTTTATTTGAGATGGAGTCTCGCTCTGTCGCCCAGGCTGGAGTGCAGTGGCGCGATCTCAGCTCACTGCAAGCTACGCGTCCTGGGTTCATGCCATTCTCCTGTCTCAGCTTCAGGAGTAGCTGGGACTACAGGTGCCGCCACCATGCCTGGCTAATTTTTTGTATTTTTTTAGTAGAGACGGGGTTTCACTGTGTTAGCGAAGATGGTCTCGATCTCCTGACCTCGTGATCTGTCGGCCTCGGCCTCCCAAAGTGCTGGGATTACAGGCGTGAGCCACCGCACCCGGCCGACATTTATTATATTTCTCTTGTTTGAGTCACCTTTGAAATTGTTCTTTTATTTACCATAAGAGTAGCTTCAAAGGTGACTCAAACAAGAGAAATATGTTTTGAGTTTTGAAATAGCCACCCCGGCATAGAAAGGTAATTTTAATGGCCTGAAAAATGTCTTCATTTTTAATGATTCACAGCATAGTTTAAGCATATATTAAGTTCAAATGTTGCCAGTGTATTTATTAGGTGTGATGGAGGAATATGAAAGTGAATCATACATATGATTTGTCTTGAGGATCTTAATAATTGTAAATGAAAGACAAGATTAAGCCTAAAAGAAAGTGAAAATGTTTCAGAGTAGTCAGGAAGTTAAAATTGAGGATTAAAGGGCTTTGAGAAAGGGAGGTGGAACCAAAAGCATGTAATCAAGGAAGGTTTCATGGAAGATGTTCTTTGTTCAACTTTGATGGATAGATAAGATTTAAAACTATGGAGATGAAGGAGAGAGGCCTGCATTCTAACAACAACAAGAAGAACATTTATTAAGTATTTCTTATTTCCTGGATTTGAGGCACTATGAATTAAGCACTTTATAATTTTAGTTAATCTAATTTTTCAACAAATGCTATGTAGATAGATACTGTTATTATCTACACTATATTGATAGGGAAACTGAGGTCCACAGAAATTTTGTAACTGATAAAATATCCTAGGGTTATTAAATGGCAGCACTAAGATCTGAACCAAGATCAGATGTAATAGCATGAACAAAACTTGAGGCCTTAAAACATTGAGTGATTATTGGGAATGGTGAGCTGTTGGGTTTAGGTAGAGTAACTGACAATTAAAGGCCAGTAGTTGTTGATGAGATTGGAAAGATCTGTCAGGATCAGTTATGGAGGTCATCAAACACTAGCTTAGGAAACCTATAGAGAGTTTTTGACTAGCTAATGACATAGTGGTTTTGGACAGGTAGAAAATAAGACTAAAGAGAGGTTACTGGATTTTGTAACTAGGTGGTCATTCATATAGCCATCGCATTTATTCAGTAATTTCTTTGTCCCAGGATTGTGAGGCAAATGTTTCCAATGTTGAAAATAATGAGAATAGAGAAATGGCCATTGGATGTGGAAAGAAGAAGGAACTGATCATCCTTCGTTATGTACTTTATCTCCTACATTTAGCTTATCGACTTTTTAAATGATCCATTGGATCTTCCCTTAATAGTGAAGATGATAACAATAATAAAATAATATCATTTATTGAACTTATATTTGCTAAACTATGTTGATTGCCTTATGTATACTGTCTTCTTTAACCTTCAAAATAGCTTTATGAGGTAAAACAATATTAACTGTATTTTACAGATGAGGAAACTTAAGGTTGGAAGCTCAAGCAGCTTTGCTCATGGTTACTAATTGGTGAATCCAAGATTTAGTCAGTATTTGACTCAAAAGGCATCAGAATATAAAAGCTACGTTATTGCACTGCACTTTTTTTATATAACAGGTTCTGCTCTACGCGCTCTGTAGTGTCTACATTCTTATTCTCAGATCTTGGAAACTACTGCTCAGCCATGTATTTTGTGTCTGATTCAGTCTGATTATTTCATAATTTTAGTTTATACAGTTTTTTCTTTTTTTGATACTATAACAAGTTAATCTTTTTTAGAATGATAGTAGCAAAAATATATTCAGCAATGACTCTATGACACGCAGTGCGCTACCTGCTTCACATGTAATAATCACATTTAATCCTTGCACAACAATCTGCCTAGGGTTATCATAATTTTACATTTGAGAAAACTGAGACAGAAAGCATATATACAGATCCCAAGGGCAAAACCAGGATTTGAAATTGGTAGTGTGCCTCCATAGCCTGTTTTTCTAAGCACAGACATATGAGTCCTTTTGACAAATAAAGGGTGAGTTTTGAGGGTTTCTAGTTTTTTCTTTTAGGTGTTTTTTGCTGTTAACAATCTATTTATTTATGATCTGTGAACCTGTCTGTGTTAGAATTTAAAAAGACAAAACCTGTCTTTAGCTTTCATAACTATCACTTTAAGTACAATTGTAGTGTTGCCAAAATTGCATTTTTTCACTGCACACTATTTATTTTCATTTAACATTTAAAAATAATTGTAATTGATATATAATAGTTGTACATAGTTTGGGATATATTTGATATTTTGATCCAAGCATTCAACTGTAATGATCACATCAGGATAATTGGGATATCCATCACCTCAAACAGTTATCTTTTCTTTTGTTGGGAACATTCCAATTCTTCTCTTCTAGCTATGTTGAAATATGCAGTAAGTTATTGTTGACTATAATCTCCCTACTATAACAGTGAATACTAGAACTGATTCCTTCTATCTAATTTTATTTTTGTACCTATTAACCAATTTCTGTTTATCCCCCTTCCTTTTACCCTTCCTAGCTTCTCATAACCACCATTCTACTCTCTACCCCCATAAGATCCACATTTTTAGCTCCCACATATGAATGTGAAATCATCAGAGATATGCAAATCAAAACCACAACGAGATACCATTTCACCTCAGTTAAACTAGCTATTATGAAAAAGACAAAAAATAACGGACACTGGCCAGGCTGCAGAGAAAGGGGAATGCTGGTACACTGTAAGTAGAAATACAAAGTAGTACTGCCACTATGGAAAATAGTGTGTGGAAGTTCCTCAAAAACTAAAAATAGAACTACCATATGACTCAATTCCACTGCTGAGTATATACCCAAAAGAAAGGAAATCAGTATATTGAAGAGATATCTGCATTCCCATGTTTATTGCAGCATTTCACAACAGCCAGGATATGGAATCAACCTAAGTGTCCAACCACAGATGAATGGATAAAGAAAATGTGGTATATATAAACAATGAAATATTATATAGCCATAAAAAGAATAAAATCCTGTCATTTGCAGCAACATGGATGAAACTGGAGGTCATTATGTTAAGTGAAATAAGCCAAGATTGCATTTTAATTATAGCTAAGTTTATCAAAAAATTTCACTTAAGGGATTATTATTTCAATGGATTTTTTAAACAATGAAAACTTTTAAAGATTAAATACATTGCAAATGTTTGTTTATATTTTCCTATCATTTACTTAGCACTGGAATAGTGCTTGGAGAGAATAAGTTGACACATTAAAAAATATTGTCTTTACACATGGTATTTTGGAGACTTATTGGTGGCTTTTTGGTCCTCCCAAGTTATTCCTTGGCTGAAGGTATATCTGATAGTCATTTGGAAGGTTTCCTAAGGCTACAAAAATCTGTCTTTCTGTTTCAATGAGTAAAATAGCTTGCTCTGGGAAAATGACTCCCTCTCTCTAGGTCCACTCATTCTACAGATGTCACAGAGAAAAAATAAAGTCTATGTCTACATTTATCATTGCGTTGGTTTTCAATTAGTCTGCTTTGCCAACTTTTAATAACTTCTATTCAAAGAGTTGTTTTGCCTTACAATCCTAAGTATGTTCTCTATGGATCAGCAGTGTATCTTTGTCTATAAGCGTAGAAACAAGGACGCTTTATTTATCCTAAGTTTTTGTTGTTACTGTTAGAAAACCTACAAAGATAAGTCTATTTGGTTTAATTATAGTTAATTTAAACCTTTGTGTTAATGTATGCCTACCTTTCCTTTTCCATTTTCATATTAACTTTTTGAGACCATTTTTCTACATAGAGACTGTGTGATAACACAGTTTTGGCAAGACAATGAGTAAACATGATATTTCTATTGGAGACTGTAAATAGATATAACCCTTCTGGAGGGAAATTCAGCAATTTTTACCCAAAGCCTCAAAAACATTAACATCCTTTGATCTAGTAAGTTTACTTATTGGGGTTTATTCTAAGAAAATAGAGGATGTATGTAAGGCTGTGTGCACAAAGATGTTTATTACACTGTTATTTATAATATTGAAAAATGGAAAAAATGGGAAAGTCAAAGAATAGGAGATTGGTTCAATAAAGTATGGTACCTCTATTTGATAGAATACCAGTTAGCCATTAAACATTATGTTATAGAAAAATACTTATTGATGTAAGGAAATGTTAATATAATACTTGGTAAAGATTAATAGTTTACTATCATTTTAGGTGTATATTATTTAAAATACTAAAACTAAAATATCAATAATGGTTATCTCTGTATAATGAAATTTTATGGATGATTCTCCCCACTTTTTTGATCTTTATGTTTTCTTCTGTTTGTATAGATATGAAGCACTTTTGTAACTGGTACAAAAAGTTAGTCAAATACAAAATCAGTATTTTCTAGAAAATTATTACATCTCTTATTTTCCTCTATTGTGTGATCTCCTATACAGTTTTACTGATGATGAGGAAATTAGAAAAGAAAGGAATCTATTAATAACTGGAGTAAAAAGAAGAAATGATGTATTATTAAGGTTTGCTGCAGTCATTTGTATATTGAGAGGATACATATCTTTACCTGTTTAGGAAGGCAAAGTTGTTTTATTTGAGGCACAAACACTTCATCTGAACTGACCCTATGTGTTGTGGCACCCTACAACATCTGCCTCAACAGGCAGCATTGATTATTTGCCATAATAATTAGGATTTCAATAGAAATGGCCAGCCTCCATCTATAAGGTGTTCTTTCCTAATAGCTTTGCTGTACATTATACATACGTGGTGACCTATGCCCCCAAGTTCAACCATATTCCTTGTAAATGTGAAAATATGGTAGTTTCATCACTTCTCAAAAAAAGAGAAGTAGGTATTCTGCAGTACTCTCAGTGCTTTCTATTGTCCTGCTGTTAGTGAAAATCGCTTAAGATCATATCTAACTAACAATGATTAGTTAGACAAATAGTGTCAAAAATTATGTCATACAATTTTTTTCCAGTTTTTTCATATAGCACTAAAACTGTTGTGAGAGCTAATTTGTCAAAAACGGTCTGTACTAGCTTTAGCCCAGTATAAATAAAGTGTGAAAGTAAACAATCAATCACACACGCACATAATAAATAATATGCAAAGCACAGAAGGAATGATTTTTTCAAAGTTTAGTCAATGAAAGTAGATTTGAACATTTTTTATGAAATTAGACCAGAAATATGAGTACAACATTAGAAATATTGAAATCTGAAGCAAAATTTTTAGTAAAAAGAGGAAGCACATGAGAAACAGGGGTATTTGTTGAACTATTGAAATACTCCAAAGAAACTAGTTTCTATTTTTATGAAAAACAATGAAGTCTGTAGGTATATATTTATAAGATGAGTCATATTGGGAGCCATCTTTAAAAAATCAGACATTTTGTCTATTTCTTTTGTTGTATGTTTTACATAGTTGAGGTTGTACCCCACAAATATATTGGGATCTTGCTTTCCATTTAATATGCTATTATGCTATATATTTTCCTTTATCATTAACATCTTTTGTTCTTAATATTCAGTGGTTACATGGCATTACACTTTTGGTGTTCCATAATTTAATTAAACTTTCTCTTATTGTTTCTACTTTTTCTTTACTTTTAAATAATGTAGCACTAAACATCTTTGAGCATAAATCTTAATCTGCCCTATTGCCTTCAGACAGGAAATACTAAGATGAACGACTGAACATTTTTAAGACTCAATACATTTTGCCAAGTTATCTTGAGAAGATGAACTAATTTACACTTTTTAAAGCAGTAGTATGTAAAACAAAATGAATTACTTGTATTTACTGAGGTATTTGAAGCAAGTCACTTTTGAATACAAATAAAAGGTAAAATCTTTATGATAAAAGTAAACTTTAATATAGAAAACTTGTGATTCTTATAGTTTTTTTACTGTTTCTCAACCTAAAAATATTAAAATGAATGCTATTTGAATTACTAAGATATGGTATATTTATACAAAAATATAATTTCAAACAGTGACTTATATTGGGGAAAACTAGGAAACAGGAATTAGTAGGGCCAAGGAATTTTGACCTTGGCCCTACTAATAACTGACCTTGGGTATGTCACTTAACTTCCCTAGATTTTAGTTTTCCCCATCTGTAAAATAAGTGCATTGGATCACATGATCCCTTAGAGATGAAAAGCAAGAGCTAAATGAGTAGTAATTATTATAAAGAAGTTCTTGCTCTTTTTAAGATGCTCATCTTTTATTATTTGAGATGTTCTTATGTGCAGCAAGTCATCAAATAAATAGAGTTACCCTCAATGTACGCTTTTTACTCTGCTGTGGTCTGAATGTTCTTGCATCTCCAAAGTTCATATGTTGAAAATGTAATCACCAATATAAGGGCATTAGGTGAGACATTTGGGAGATGATTAGACCATGAAGGCAGAGACCTCATAAATTGAATTAGTGCCCTTATAAAAGAGGCCCCAGAGAGTTGCCTTGCCCCCTTTTCTTCCATGTGAGGTTAGAGTGAGACTTCTCAGCCTTGGGAGCTGTGAGAAATAAATATTTGTTGTTGTGGCATTTTGTTATAGCAGCCCAAATGGACTAAGATACACTCTTTTGGCTCTCTCTTCATTCAGTCCAAGGGTGTTCTGCTAGGTTTTGGCTACTCTTCATTTCTTTTATCAAATATTTGTTAAGGCTTATTAGGGCCTAAAGTCTAGAGGCATTCTGCTTTACTATTATGACCATATCTTAATAACACTGGTATGAGTAACATACTGTATGAGTAAATAATTTGTTTTAGAGCAATGGTTTTCTAAAAATGGGAGATCATAGTTTTTAGTAATTAATTGTGTTAAATTACTATTAAGAGGGTCAAGTAATAGATGTTAAGTAATTTTTTGGATTAAATAGATCTTATCAACTAGATAATAGAGAGATTAAGAGCTGCTTTGCACTCAGGTTTCATGTTTTTATTGCAAAGATCAATTGTGCTTACAAGAAAACACTGAAGGAAATTGGGGATTATATATACTAATTAATAACATCCAGAGAATGATAAAAATATCAGTGTTTGTATTCTTGCTGTGACAAAATACCTGAAGGAAAAGTTCAATTTTCTTATTTTTCATTATTGATTCATTTAATAACTTTGATATGTAATAGTATAGGAGATTAGGAATGAACCTTGCTTGATGTTTCGCTTTTCCTCATTTCTCACATTCAATCCCTGAATTCTATCTTTTTTCAATAAGATGTGTATCTGGATCTATTCATTTCTCTTCATTCCTATTGCCACTTCTTTGGTTCAGGCCATCATCATCCCCTGATTGAAATTATTTAACATTCTCCTGATTTGTCTCCCGTCCTCCAGTTTTGTTTTACTCAATTGATTGTCTATAGAGTAGCCGGGATATTTTAAACCTGATTATGCTGACAGTTTCTCATTTCCCTAAGGGTAAAGCTCACACTCTTTAAATGGCTCCTGACGCTTACCGTGACTGGGCCTCACTTCTCATCTCTTCCCTCTGTTCTTACACTTTATGGTCTAACCTATGTTGTATTTGCCATTCCTTGAATGTGACTAGATCAGAATCTTCTGTTTTAACAGTACTTCCCTAAGGAAATCTTTTCTGATCCCTAGATTAGGGTAGGATGCCTTGCTACGGCTTTCATGTCAACTTTTAATTCTTCAGTTATAACAAAACATGCTTGTTTGATTTATCTGCTTTCTGTGATGGCAGGTTTTGTGTTGTTTGTTATGGAGTCCCTAGCACCTATATAGTACCTGACACATAGAAGATATTCAATATTTTCTACAGGAAAGAATGAATATAGAAAGAGAGACGATGTAGCTTAGGAAGGCTTTATTGAGAAGATAGGTCTTAAAGGATGAGTACCTATTTTGATTATAATAAGAGGGTAAATACTACATAGATGGAAATATTTGTTTACATGTGATTTTTCATTCAGATGTGTTATAGTATACATACAGCAGAATACCAAGCTCTGTGTCTCCAACCTGTGCAGTTAGAGTCAGTAGTTTTTCTAAAAGTATAATTTGGATCAGCCCAGTTTCTTAAGACTCATTGTGACTAGTCTCCATCAAATGTTGTGAGTGAAAGAAGGGAAACTATTCACAGGTAAATAAAGTGTTCATAGAGTCGTGAATTCAGGCTATTCATAATGTGAGGGCTGTTTCAGGATAATATGTTGCACTTGGTGTCTTAATTTTGAATGTAGTTGAATTGACTATAATCTTAGTCTTTTTTTTTTTTGGTTTGTGTTTTCTTTAGTTATAAAACACAACCTTTTGTCACACGGTAAAGAGAAAGCATTTCCAATTATAATTTTTGAGATATTGATTCTATATTAGAACACTTTATCAATCTTAAAGTTCCCTGATTCTGCTATGTTGTGGTAAAAGAAAACAGTACTCAAACTTTAATAAATAAGACACAGTGAAAATCCATAGTAAAAATGCCAACAACTTACATAGGTTTCATTACTAGACTTAACCGTGCAGTTTTAGCATTTGATAATACCACATTATCTTTTGCATGTAAATTCTTTAGAAGAAGATATTAAATAAAAAGATAAAATGTATGTTGGTATGAAGAATCTGAAACATAAATGAAATCCCTGAAAATTAAAAGGTGAATATGTATTTACCTATTTACTATTTACACAACTATCAAAGATTGCCAAAATAAAAATCCTGTATAGGCGCTCATCATTTTGATGGGTGGATAAGTCGTGATACCCATAGTTTGGAAGGAAGATTCCTTCAAGAGAGTACAATTTTGCTTGGTAAATCTTTTGCATGTTAAACTTTTTAGAAGAAGAAAGTAAATAAAAATATAAAATGTATGTTGGTATGAAGAATCTGAAACATAAATGAAATTCCTGAAAATTAAAGGGTGAATATGTATTTACCTATTTACTATTTATACAACTATCAAAGATTGCCAAAATAAAAATCCTTTTTAGGCACTCATCATTTTGATGGGTGGATAAGTGATGATATTCAGAGTTTGGAGGGAAAATTCCTTTAAGAGAGTATAATTTTGCTTGGTAAGTCATAAAGCCTAAAGCTTAGTCACATATAGAGAAAGCTGCCTAATAATTAAGAGTTGACATTTTAACATGGTATTTGCAACAGACACATTGGATACTTAATTAAATGGAAAACTGCTTATTTTTAAAGGACTGAAAAAATTCAACTCTCCTTGGCAAATGAAGTCTTCATAGTATCAGAAATGGGAAATCTGAAGGATGTGGCTCATTCTCTGTTTCGATGATGCAGAATTGCTCTAAGCAGTAAGCTTACAGTTTTCAGACAGCATCAGCAAATACAACTGTGTCAGTCTCTCTTAGTATGGGGTGTTTGTAACTGCACAGGGGAGATGATAAATAGTATATGTGATTTGATATCTTGATGATGGCTTAAACAGATACTGATGGACAGATCTGTTGTTTGATATTTTTTTCACTAGCCCTGAAGATGCTGAGACATAGAGATGGCTGTGATTATCTTTTGTAAGACAGGAAATGCAGTCTTTAGGGGTTTCTGGAAATAGAAAGGTCATGCAGTCTGGAACCTGTGAGCCTTTTCAATCTCTAAGTCATCAGGTATGACCTCATGAATTATGATGATAATATTAGAATGTAGGGTGCTTGCTTTTTCTAGTTCTTACTCATTGAAAATATATTCATTAATGTAATTGTTTATTGTCAGACTTTCCTTAGGATATTTGAACAAGTAAGATTTATGGCAGCTAAACAATATGATTATTAGAAATGTGTGTGTATGTGTGTGCCTGTGTGTGTGTATGTGTTTAAATTTGTGTTTACTTTAGCTTTTTGGGGGAGAGGGCGGTAAAGGAAGAGATTCTTTGAATGTGATTAAAAGCAAGGTTTGGGGCACTTCAGATTTTTCCAGATTAAGCCTGAATAGAGTCAATCTTTATATTTTACTTCAAGTGATAAAAATAGTATAAATCGATCAAACTGATAAGGATACATCGTAGCTAGCTGCTTACAGATACTGATATATTGCAAATATTTTTATTATTTGGAATTTCTTAACCATAGAAACTGATGCTGCTACCATTGTAGTGTGCTACATAGCAAAGGAAGTTTGGTGAATAGAATCATCTTTGTCAGCATCTGACCTATAAACTAATTTCCTGAAATTTATGTTGCATTATCTGAACTGTTGTAAAGACACTGGTTTTAATCATTTCTCAGATCTATTGAAATATTGATGCTCTTGGTGCTTTTAAGGTAGATATATACTAACGTATTGTTCATAGAAGAAAGGAGACTATAAATCTGTTTTTCACAAAGAAAGCTTGTGACATTTAAGCTTGTTGAAGATTTTTTGACCCAGAGAGCTTCGTCCTTTGCTTACTTTCATTTTCAAACTGAAAATACTTGACTATGTTAAACATGCAAATGATTTGGATTTCGATGTCCATTTTGTACTGAAACTCTGCCATTTATTTTAAACTATTTTCACCCATCAAGTTATATATAATGCATTTAACTTTGATTTGTTACAGCATGTCCTCAGAATTATATACTTGGATAAGAAACTACCTATATTTGACATTCAGATTTTGAAGGAAATATATTTCATTTTTCAAAATATTGTACATGCTTCTGCCTCAATGTTAGAGAACTTTTCAGGTACTCCATATTAAATGATCAAAAAGAGAGAAATATATTGCAGCAGTTCTCAACAGCAAGATGGTTTTGTCTTTATGATTCTGTAGCCTGATTGTAATTTAATGCCTTATCAGGGTGAAATGACATAGATTAAAAAAATGAATATATTTAAGGAAGTCTGAAACAATGAATTGATTCAGTTAAGGGGTTTCTCCTTTTTAATTAAAAACACATTCTGCCTACTGATATTGACTATAATTTATATGTTATTCAGGCTACTTAGCCAGCTTATATTCTTATTAGTAGGGAAGATTGGCATATTCTTAAGCTTGATTAATTTTGAAATGATTTGAATATACCTTTTAATTGCAACAAAATATGTCTAATCTGTTAGAATTTATTTCCAGTATTTGCATGTATTAGTCATTATGAGTACATTCTGTTTCTTGGCATTGCTTTGGGATTCCTCTTGGTATTGGTTTCACAGCATTCTGCTATTTTTCACTGTATTCCTGACCTTTCAAGAGAACCAAACTGTAAAGATTTTTAGTTACTTTCTGTTAGTGGCATTTAAATGAGGATATCGATAATTTTGTAAGGTGGAAAAAAATTACTATTTTAGAATTGTCATTTCTGTCACAAATCAGAGAAATTTTTCTCTATTACTATTTCAAAATATACTACAATAAAAAGCAAAGACTGGTTAGAATGTAGTTAAATGCAATGTCAATCTTTCTTCTTGCATGGCAGGATAATCTTGATCTTTGGAATGATAAAACTGATTGTAAACTTGCCCAGTAATGATTGGTCATCTTCCTTACAAAGGCTGCCTTCGTTTATACTATTTTACATGCATTTCATTATACATCATAAAGGTTTTAAAGGTAAGCTGCCTATAAAAACTATTTGAGTAATTCTTCAATTCAGTAAACATAGTAAAGGCTGAGCATTGGATGATACTGTATGTATTTGGTGTTATGAGGAATGCAGAAAAGAAAAAGTCATTTCCTGCTTTCAAGGAGATTAGAAAATATATACAATAAATTGTGTTCACATTTTGAATTGATTTTTGATAGGCAGTATGCTACAATCAGTTTTAACTTAATCTATAAGCTGATGAATCCTAGAAGGAGTTACATGTAACCTTTTTTCCTCATGTAAATTTCTTGATATTAGATAAATGAAGGCTTAGGTCAAACTGTATCATTATGCATCCCATAACTTTATTGAAAATTGCATTAAAGACTTTTAGAGTGCATAGTTTCTCGTATAGGGCTTTATAAACTGTGAATCAGTAAAATAGCAAAATAGCTTTGCATGTTGTATAAGCCATCATTGTCAGTATGAGACTGAAGGTGCACCCAGTCCACTGGCAGGAGGCAGAAGTGTCAGCTCAACATAGAGACTTGATCAATCCTGTCTAATTCCAGGCTCAGTGTGGGTAATTAAGTATTATGGAAGGGGTTTTGACTTTATAGGGATAAAACTTGGAAATAAAGAGTAGCAAGTATGGAAGTGTCTGTTACTAACTAGGTCATTTGGAGAGTCCTTTGAATAAAATGGGGGAATAGGATTTACCTCAGGTTCTGAGAAAGCGGATCAGGACCAACTAATTATGGAAGTGGACCTTAGCTGCTGCTTGGTGAACAGTCAGGCATTACTCTCTTCTCTTTCATTCCAATATGTTTGCTGAAAGTTGCAGGAAGGTGGGTGGAGAAGATGCAAAGCCCTTGTTTCCCCAGAATCCCAAACTGGAACACGCTGCCTGATAGTGCCTCCAAAGTGCCTGTTTCCTTGTATTAGAGCAATAGAAAATTGATTTGCAAATTCTTCTGGTTTGTAATGGCTGGCTGCAGTAAGAGGCTTGTGCAATGGTTCAGTGTCTGGACTGCCATGTTCTCTGGGTTCAAATCTTAGCTATGCTACTTACTGGCTGCATGATCTTGGCTTGTTTCCTGATGTGTAATATAGGGATAATAATGGCACCTACCTCAAAGAGTTGTGGTAAACATTAAGTGAGTTAATGTATGTGAAACACTTATAAGAGTACCTGACATATATCAAACATATTATTGTCAACATCCTTTGTCGACAGACTTTGTTATAGACATTCTAAGAGGTTGGATGGGCTATTGGCAAGACTTTGTAACAGTCATCATGCAGTTTAGTTTTGTTCCCTCTCCCTTAATCTCTTTATCAAATAAGAAATTCAGCCAAAAATATATGCTACACTGAAATATAGTTATAAAAATGCAAACAAAGAACAACATGCTATATCTGATTCAATTCTAACATTTACTGACAATAAGAATTGTGACTTGATGAAAGATTTTGTGTTTAAACTTTACATCTACCTGCTAGGCTGATCCAAACTCTCTTAGAATTCTATGTGTGCAGATTCTTTGCTTCTCTGTATTACACCAACTACTTTATTCATGACTGAAAGATTACTAGGACTTTGGGAAAATTTAACAGCAACTTAAGGTCTTTCTTGTTTATTGTTTAAGACTAAAATTAAGGGGTAAAAAAAAGCCTTTCTTTAAAGGCTTAAAAAAAATAATAGGGGCAAATTTACCTAGCATAGATTTAGTGATACTTAGTCATCAAAAATGTCCAAGACAAAAAATTTTACCGAAAGTCAAACACAACTTGTTTTTAATAATTTTATTTCTTGGCATTTTTATTCTAGATGAAACACTAAATGAAATATATTATAAATAGAATGCTACATATATAAGTAGAACAATTCAAGTTCCCATTTGATAGAGTATAATATTTTGAATTGCTGGTGATTATTTAATGTAAAAACATTTATCTGCTTAAAATTCTCAATAAACTTCAAAGAGAAGTGAGTAATATGATATTTGGATTAAATTTACATGCTTAAATATGGCATTTTATTACATCTCTGAATTTCACTTCTCTTCTCTGAAGAAATTTCCTCAGTGTGCTGCTGTTTCCCCCAAATTGGCAGAGTCAGTTGAATCTCAGAATAATGCAATTTTTAAAAACAAATATACAAAATCCTACAATGTTCTAGAAAGAATTGTACTGGGCAAGGATATAAAAGTCTGTAGGTCTCTGCCTTCAGGAGGTCACAGGTAATGGGTTGTAACTACAAAATACAAGTAACTATGGCAGAATATGAAAGTAGTGAATGCCATGAGGTAGTCTTGAAGACTGGCCAACATAGAGAGAAAAGGTCATTTCAGGCAGAGGAAACAACATCATTAAAGGTAGGGAGGCAGAAAGCAAATAATAGAATAGTTCATTTTGGCTATAGCCTAGTGGGATAACTTAGACTTACCACAGGAAAGGTTTGTTGGGACCAGATAAGTGTAGAATCTTGAATGCTAGACTATGATTTCTAAACTGAGAACATTTCTTTGCTGATGTACGTATTCCTGGAAAAAATAAAATAAAAAAAACAAAAGAGCAGTACCTATATTTTGAAGTCATTTTCAGAGCTCTAACCCTCTTGAGACTTTGAGAATGAAAATTAAATTCCTGAGTAGATTTAGTAGTTAGTAGACAAGGTAGGGGGTAGAAACAAACTGAAGGATTTTAATAAAATTTTCTATCAAAATTGCACATGAGAGCATTTCTCAGTCTATCCACAAGCACTCAAAAGTCCTAGATTTCAGATCCTAAGAGACCTCCTGCTTGTCCGTGATGTAAACTCCATTTTATTGGTACGTAATCTGATTTAGCTTTGGCTTTGTTTTTGACATTTCCTAAAGCAAGGACAATCTAGTGGGATCATTTTAATACAATGAATACTCATGTTACTATGGTGAATAGTTGGATAAAAAGGACTTTGTCTTAGGGAAAATTGGAAATTAAAATTGCCATTTTGAATCACGGAAGTCGCTGAATATTTTACCTTTGTTCTCTGTTCATTTAAAAATCATAAAGTAAACCATGTTTGCAAATACTTTTAATATCGCCTTCTTCTACTCCATACACCAGAGGCATTTTAGTATTGCATGAGGTTAGTAAAAAAGCTGGATACCTTCCAAGAGCAGATTTCCTTTAGATGTGACAGCTGGGATGTGACTTTTGGTATCAGATGCAGGAAGACGTCATTTGTACATGGTAATTGTGAAAAAATTGGAACTTATTACTCTCAGTATAAATGATCCATAAAAAGTATGTCAGAAGTAAAACTCCTGGAATTCTACAGGGAGAGTTAAAATAAAACCAGACACAGGTGCTCATCTGACTCTATTTTTAGAACAATAGGAGACTCATATAACTGAGAATGCTCTGTACTTCCTGTATAAATCTACATTATTTGAAAGTCGTATTTTCTAGAAGTTCCTGTGAAGTTGTACTTATTAATCTTTGCAACTTCACATTGCCTAGGAAAGAGCCATTCACCTGGTAGGAACCCAACAAATTTTCAGTGCTTGTCTTAGAATCATAGTCCCATTTCTGAAAGAAACCTTGAATATCATTGGGCTTCAAGTTGTTCTAAAAATGTTTAAGCATTTAAACATGGTTTTCTTTCTCAAAAAGCAAATAGAAGGCATTTAGAGGAAAAGGACCCTTTCTTCACCTTAAGACTTTTAAAAATGGCAATATGGGAAGATTAATAAGAAGAATAAGTTAAGGGAGAATTCAATATTCCTCCATGAAACTACTCTTTCTAAAAGGCAACAGAGACTGGTTCCAGTGAAGCATATTATGATGTGTGGCGTGTAAATGTATATCATTATCCCTACTCATCTTTTTCCCCAAATTCAATTTAATCTCATAAGAATTTATTGAGGCTACTGTATAACATGGAGGAAAGCTGTATACCACAGTAGCAAGGAGCTAGGGCTCCAGAGCGGGACTCCTGTGTTATGATCCCATATCTTCCACTTTACTGGCAATTTTTATCTTAGGAAGTTACTTAATCTCTCTTTTCTTCAGTGTTTTCATCTGTGAAATGAGGACACTAATACGTTAATCTCTAGAGTTGTAATGAAAATCAAATAAAATAATAAATTAATACTTCAAACAGTGCCTAGAGTGTTTGATACAGTGCCTAGCTTTTGGTTATTATAATTATCCCCACTGAACTAGGTAAATGCTACAAATATGTATGTGTATATTTGTGTGTATACACACAAATATGCATATATGTACACACACATACTGTACATCCTATGTAAACACAATTTTAGTATGTATGTATGTCTATACATACGTATACATTCTACCTTAAGTATATATAGTATACTGAAAAAGAAATTTAGTAGTTTGCCCAAGATCAAAATTGCCTGCAAAGGATAGGACAATTTGAGTTTCAAACCCAGAAAGTCTAGCTCTACAGCTGTTGGCCTTAACTACTGTTTCATACTGTTTAGAGTATAAACACCTGAATTAGATAGCCATGTATAAATTAGCATATTCTAAATGCCAAATTGAGACTAAAGACATGAAGGTAAACTGAAACTACTGTGAAAGACTTAATGGAAGAATTGTGACTTTTATTTGATTTTAAGTTCTGGGATACATGTGCAGGATACGCAGGTCTGTTACATAGGTAAATGTGTGCCAAGGTGGTTTGCTGCACCTATCAACCCATCACCTAGGTATTAAGCCCAGCATGCATTAGCTATTTTTCCTTATGCTCTCCCTCTTCTCACACACCCCTCAGCAGACCCCAGTGTGTGTTTTTCCCCTGCCTGTGTCCATGTGTTCTCATCTTTCAGCTCCCAGTGAGAACATGTGGTATTTGGTTTTCTGTTCCTGCGTTAGTTTGCAGATGATAATGGCTTCCAGCTCCATCCATATCCCTGTAAAAGACATGATCTAATTCCTTTCTATGGCCACATAGTATTCCAGGGTGTCTATGTACCACATTTTCTTTATCCAGCCTATCATTGATGGGCATTTGGGTTGATTCCATGCCTTTGATATTGTTAATAGTGCTGCAATGAATATACGCACGCATGTATCTTTATAATAGAATGATTTATATTCCTTTGAGTGTATACCCAGTAATAGGGTCAAATGGTATTTCTGGTTGCAGGTCTTTGAGGAATTGCCACACTGTTTTCTACAATGTTTGAACTAATTTACATTCCCACCAAAAATGTAAAAGTGTTTCTGTTTCTCCACAGCCTCGCTAGCATCTGTTGTTTCTTGACTTCTTAATAATCACCATTCTGACTGGCATGAGATGGTATCTTATTGTGGTTTTAATTTGAATTTCTCTAATAATCAGCAATATTAAGCTTTCTCTAAATATGTTTTTTGGCTGCTTATATATCTTCTTTTGAGAAGTGTCTGTTCATGTCCTTTGCCCACTTTTTGATGGGTTTTTTTTTTTTCTTGTAAATTTGTTTATGTTCCTTGTAGAGTCTGGATACTAGGCCTGTGCCAGATGGATGGATTGCAAAAATCTCCCATTCTGTAGGTTGTCTGTTTTCTCTGATGATAGTTTCTTTTGCTGTGCAGAAGTTCTTTAGTTTAATTAGATCCCATTTGTAAATTTTTGCTTTTGTTGCAATTGCTTTTGATATTTTTGTCATGAAATCTTTGCCCGTGCCTATGTCCTGAATGGTATTGCCTAGATTTTCTTCTAGGGTTTTTATAATTTTGGGTTTTACATTTAAGTCTTTACTCCATCTTGAGTTAATTTTTGTAAAAGATGTAAGGAAAAGGTCCATTTTCAATTTTCTGCACTATTTATTAAATAGGGAATCCTTTCTCCATTGCTTGTTTTTGTCAGGTTTGTTGAAGATCAGACAATTGTAAATGTATGGTCTTATTTCTGAGTTCTCTATTCTGTTCCATTGGTCTATGTGTCTGTTTTTGTACCAATACCATGCTGCTTTGGTTACTGTAGCCTTGTAGTACAGTTTGAAGTTGGGTAGGGTGATGTTGCCAGCTTTATTCTTTTTTCCTTAGGATTGTCTTGACTATACCAGCTCTTTTCTGGTTCCATATGAATTTTAAAATTTTTTTTCTAATTCTGTGAAGAATGTCATTGGTAGTTTAATCATTGAATCTATAAATTACTTTGGGCAGTATGGCCATTTTCATGATGTTGATTCTTCTTATCCATGAGTGTGGATTGTTTTTCGATTTGTTTGAGTCATCTCTGATTTCCTTGAGCAGTGGTTTGTAGTTCTCCTTGAAGAGGTCCTTCACATTCCTTGTTAGCTGTATTCTAGGTATTTTATTCTCTTTGTAGCAATTGTGAATGGGAGTTCATTCATGATTTGGCTTTATGCTTGTCTGTTGTTGGTGTATAGGAATACCTGTGATTTTTGCATGTTGATTTTTTATCCTGAGATTTTGCTGAAGTTGCTTATCTGCTTAAGAAGCTTTTGGGCTGAGATGATGGGGTTTTCTAGGTATGGGATCATGTCATGGGCAAAGACAATTTGATTTCTTCTCTTTCTATTTGAATACGCTTTATTTATTTCTCTTTGCCTGATTGCCCTGGCCAGAACTTCCAATACTATTTGAATAGGAGTGGTGAGAGAGCATCCTTGTCTTGTGCCAGTTTTCAAGGGGAATGCTTCCAGCTTTTGCCCATGCAGTATGATATTGGCTGTGAGTTTGTCATAAATGGCTTTTATTATTTTGAGGTATGTTCCTTCAAACCTAGTTTATTTAGAGTTTTTAAGACGAAGGGATGTTGAACTTTATCAAAGTCCTTCTTCTGCATCTAATGAGATAATCACGTGGCTTTTTTCTTTAGTTCTGTTCATGTGGTGAATTATGTATATTGATTTGCATACGCTGAACCACCCTTGCATCCCAGGGATGAAGTAGACTTGATTGCGATGGATAAGCTTTTTGATGTGCTGCTGGATTCATTTTGCCAGCATTTTCTTGAAGATTTTTGCATTGATATTCATCAGGGATATTGGCCTGAAGTTTTCTTTATTTGTTATATCTCTCCCAGGTTTTGGTGTGAGGATGACGCTGGCCTCATAAAATGGTTTACAGAGGAGTCCCTCCTTTCCAATTGTTTGGAATAGTTTCAGAAGAAATGGTACCAACTCCTCTTTGTACCTCTGGTAGAATTCAGCTGTAAATTCATCTGGTCCTGGGCTGTTTTGTTTGGGAGGCTATTTTTACTGCCTCAATTTCAGAACTTGTTATTGGTTATTGGTTATTGATTATTCTTCAGGGAATCAACTTCTTTGTGGGTCAGTGTGAGGAGGGTGTATGTGTCCAGGAATTTATCCATTTCTCCTAGATTTTCTAGTTTGTTTGCATAGAGGTGTTTATAGTATTCTCTGATGGTTGTTTGTATTTCTGTGATATCCCCTTTATCATTTTTACTGTGTCTATTTGATTTTTCTCTTTTTTCTTCTTTATTAGTCTAGCTAGTGGTCTAGCTATTTTATTAATTTTTTAAAAAAATCACCTCCTGGATTCGTTGATTTTTTGAAGGGTTTTTTTGTGTGTCTCTCTCCTTCAGTTCTGCTCTGATCTTGCTTATTTCTTGTCTTCTGCTAGCTTTGGGGTTTGTTTGCTCTTGGTTCTCTGTAAATAGTTCTTTCAGTTGTGATGTTAGGATGTGGGTTTGAGATATTGCTAGCATTTTGATGGCAGCATTTAGTGCTATAAATTTCCCTCTTAACACTGCTTTAGCTGTGTCCCAGAGATTCTGGTATGCTCTCTTTGTTCTCATTAGTTTCAAAGAACTTCCTGATTTTTGCCTTAATTATTTTATTCACCCAGAAGTCATTCAGGAGTGGGTTGTTCAATTTCCATGTAGTTGTGTAGTTTTGAGTGAGTTTCTTAATTTTGAATTCTAATTTGATTGTGCCATGGTCTGAGAGACTGTTGTGATTTCAGTTCTTTTGCATTTGCTGAAGAGTGTTTTACTTCCACTTATGTGATCAGTTTTAGAGTAGGCACCATGTAGTGCTGAGAAGAATGTATATTCTGTTGTTTTTGGGTGGAAAGATCTGTAGATAACTATCAAGTTCACTTGATGCAGAGCTGACTTCAAGTCCTTTGTTGATTTTCTGTCGTGATGATGAGTCTAATATTGACAGCAGGGTGTTATTATCTCCCACTGTTTTTTTTATTATTATACTTTAAGTTTTAGGGTACATGTGCACAATGTGCAGGATAGTTACATATGTATACATGTGCCATGCTGGTGTGCTGCACCCATTAACTCGTCATTTAGCATTAGTTATATCTCCTAATGCTATCCTTCCCCCCTCCCCTCACCCCACAACAGTCCCCAGAGTGTGATGTTCCCCTTCTTGTGTCCATGTGTTCTCATTGTTCAGTTCCCACCTATGAGTGAGAACGTGCAGTGTTTGGTTTTCTCTCCTTGTGATAGGTTGCTGAGAATGATGGTTTCCAGCTTCATCCATGTCCCTACAAAGGACATGAACTCATCATTTTTTATGGCTGCATAGTATTCCATGGTGTATATGTGCCACATTTTCTTAATCCAGTCTATCATTGTTGGACATTTGGGTTGGTTCCAAGTCTTTGCTATTGTGAATAGAGCCACAATAAACATACATGTGCATGTGTCTTTATAGCAGCATGATTTATAGTCCTTTGGGTATACTCAGTAATGGGATGGCTGGGTCAAATGGTATTTCTAGTTCTAGATCCCTGAGGAATCGCCGCACTGACTTCCACAATGGTTGAACTAGTTTACAGTCCCACCAACAGTGTAAAAGTGTTCCTATTTCTCTACATCCTCTCCAGCACCTGTTGTTTCCTGACTTTTTAATGATTGCCATTCTAACTGGTGTGAGATGGTATCTCATTGTGGTTTTGATTTGCATTTCTCTGATGACCAGTGATGATGAGCATTTTTTTATGTGTCTGTTGGCTGCATAAATGTCTTCTTTTGAGAAATGTCTGTTCATATCCTTGGCCCACTTTTTGATGGGGTTGTTTTTTTCTTGTAAATTTGAGTTCATTGTAGATTCTGGATATTAGCCCTTTGTCAGATGAGTAGGTTGCGAAAATTTTCTCCCATTTTGTAGGTTGCCTGTTCACTCTGATGGTAGTTTCTTTTGCTGTGCAGAAGCTCTTTAGTTTAATTAGATCCCATTTGTCAATTTTGGCTTTTGTTGCCATTGCGTTTGGTGTTTTAGACATGAAGTCCTTGCCCATGCATATGTCCTGAATGGTAATGCCTAGGTTTTCTTCTAGGGTTTTTATGGTTTTAGGTCTAACATTTAAGTCTTTAATCCATCTTGAATTAATTTTTGTATAAGGTGTAAGGAAGGGATCCAGTTTCAACTTTCTACATATGGCTAGCCCGTTTTCCCAGCACCATTTATTAAATAGGGAATCCTTTCCCCATTGCTTGTTTTTCTCAAGTTTGTCAAAGATCAGATAGTTGTAGATATGCAGTGTTATTTCTGAGGGCTCTGTTCTGTTCCATTGATCTATATCTCTGTTTTGGTACCAGTACCATGCTGTTTTGGTTACTGTAGCCTTGTAGTATAGTTTGAAGTCAGGTAGCGTGATGCCTCCAGCTTTGTTCTTTTGGCTTAGGATTGACTTGGTGATGTGGGTTCTTTTTTGGTTCCATATGAACTTTAAAGTAGTTTTTTTCCAATTCTGTGAAGAAAGTCATTGGTAGCTTGATGGGGATGGCATTGAATCTATAAATTACCTTGTATCTCCCACTGTTATTGTGTGGGAGTCTAAGTCTCTTCATAGGTCTCCAAGAATGTGTTTTATGAATCTGGGTGCTCCTGTATTGGGAGCATATATAATTAGGACAGTTAGCTCCTCTTGTTGAATTGAACCCTTTACCATTATATAATGCCCTTCTTTGTCTTTTTCGATCTTTGTTGGTTTAAAGTCTCTTTTGTCAGAAACTAGGATTTCAACTCCTGCTTTTTTCTGCTTTCCATTTGCTTGGTAAATTTTCCTCCATCCCTTTATTTTGAGCCTATCTGTATCTTTGCATGTGAGATGGATTTCTTGAATACAGCACGCCAATGAGTCTTGACTCTTTTTTTTTTTTCTTTTTTTTCTTGATGCAGAGTCTTGCTCTGTCACCCAGGCTGGAGTACAGTGGCATGATCTTGGTCACTGCAACCTCTGCCCCCAGGTTCAAGTAATTCTCCTGCCTCAGCCTCCCAAGTAGCTGGGATTACAGGCATGTGACACCACGCCCAGCTAATTTTTGTAGTTTTAGCAGAGATGGGGTTTCACCATGTTGATCAGGCTGGTCTTGAACTCCTGTCCTCAGGTGATCCACCCACCTCGGCCTCCCAAAGTGCTTGGATTACAGGCATGAGCCAGGGCCTTGACTCTTTATCCAGCTTACCATTCTGTGTCTTTTGATTTGGGCATTTAGCCCATTTAATTGAAGAATAATATCTTTATGTGTGAATTTGATCCTGTCATCATGATGCTAGCTAGTTATTTTGTAGATTTGTTAGTGTAGTTGCTTCATAGAGTCATTGGTCTGTGTACTTCAGTGTGTTTTTGTAGTGGCTGCTAATGATTTTCCCTTTCATATTTAGTGCTTTTCTCAGGAGCTCTTACAAGGCAGGCAGGCCAGGTGGTGACAAATTCCCTCAGTATTTGCGTGTCTGAAAAGGGTTCTATTTCTCCTTCACTTATGAAGCGTGGTTTAGCCAGATATGAAATTTTGGGTTAGAAATTCTTTTCTTTAAGACTGTTGAATATTGGCCCCCAGTCTCTGCTGGCTTATAGGGTTTCCACTGAGATGTTTGCTGTTAGTCTGATGGACTTCCCTTTGTAGGTGACCTGGCTTTTCTCTCTGGCTGCCCTTAACATTTTTTCCTTCATTTCTACCTTGGAGAATCTGATGACTATATGTCTTGGGGTTGATCTACTCACGGATTATCTTACGGGGGTTCTCTGGATTTCCTGAATTTGAATGTTGGCCTGTCTTGCTAGGTTGGGGAATTTCCCTCGGATGATATCCTGAAGTATGTTTTCCAATTTGGTTCCATTCTTTCCATCTCTTTCAGGTACCCCAATCCGTCATAGTTTGGTCTTTTTACATAATCCTTATAGTTCTTGGATGTTTTGTTTGTTCCTTTTCATTCTTCTTTCTCTAATCTTGTCGCCTGTCTTACTTCAGCAAGATAGTCTTCAAGCTCTGAGATTCTTTTCTCCATTTGGTCTATTCAGCTATTGATAGTTGTGGTTGCATTGTGAAGTTATTCTGTTGTGTTTTCACCTCCATCAGGTCATTTACGTTCCTCTCTAAACTGTTTATTCTGGTTAACAGCTCCTGTTTTATCATGGTTCTTCACTTCTTTGCATTGGGTTAGAACGTACTCCTTTAGCTTGGTGAAATTTGTTATTACTCACCTTCTGCAGCCTACTTTTGTCAGTTCATCCATCTCACCCTCAGCCCGGTTCTATGCTCTTGCTGGAGAGACGTTGTGATCATTTGGAGGAGAGAGGCACTCTGGCTTTTTGAGTTTTCAGAATGTTTGCATTGGTTCTTTCTCATCTTCATGAGCTTATCTACCTTTGACCTTTGGGGCTGCTGACCTTTGGATGGGGTTTTTGTGGGGTTCTTTTCTGTTGATGTTGCTGTTTTGTTGTTTTCTGTTTGTTTGCTTTTCTTTTAACAGTTAGGCCTCTCTTCCACAGGGCTGCTGTGGTTTGCTGGGGGTCCTCTCCAGATCTTATTTACCTAAATCCCTTCCACACTTGGAGGTGTCACCAGTGGAGGCTGCAGAACAGCAAAGATGGGAGCTCTGTCCCAGAGGAGCACCAACCTGATGCTGGCCAGAATGCTCCTGTACAAGGTGTCTGGTGACCCCTTTTGGGGGGTCTCCCCAAGTCAAGAGGCATGGGATCAGGGACTCACTTAACGAAGCACTCTGGCTACCCCTTGGCAGAGCTGGTGCACTGCTCTGGGGAAAATCCCCTTTGTCTGGTCTGCCTGCACTCTTCAGAGCCAGCAGACAGGAAAGACTAAGTCCACTGAACCCACAAGACTGCGTCCTCTCCTCCCCACAGGGCCTCCATCCCAGGGAGATCAGATTTCTCTCTGTAAACGCCTGGATGGAGTTGCTGAAATTCTCACAGGGATGCCCTGCCTGGTGAGGAGGGATGGATCCAAATCCGACCTAAAGAAGCAGTCTGGCCACAATCTGCCGCAGCTGCTGGACTGCACTGTAGGGAATTCCTCCAGGTCCAAACTACTCAGTATCCCTAGCACTGGTAGGGGAAAGCGGCTGACTGATGCTGCAGTGATGGAGGCTGTCCCTTTCCCTCAGTTCGTCTTAGGCACTCTCCAGCCTGCTGCCCGTGGTCACAACCTGAGCCTGCCGAGAGTCCTCACAGCCCTGTGCTTGGGTCCCAAGGCACTAGTGGCATGGGTTCATGAGGGGATCTCCTGATCTTCAGGTTTCACAGATCCATGGGAAAAGTGTGGTTTACCAGGCAGGTACTACAATCACTCACCTCCTCCCTTGGCTGGGGGTGGGAGCTTCCTTTGCTCTGTGTGGCTCATGGGTTGGCTGTCACTCTACCCTGCTTTTTCTCGCTCTCCGTGGGTCACGCCAACTGCCTAGTCAGTCTCAATAGGGGAGCCTGGATACTTCAGTTGAAGGTGCAGGATTCACTTGTTTTTGTTCTCTGTGACTTGACTTTCATTGGTTTCATTGTACTTCCTTCTGGTTTCGTTTCCACTAGAAATAATATACGCACAGTTCCTGGCATAGCTTCTCAATAAATTGCAGTTATTATTATCATAATCTTTCTGATAATTTTGTCTCAATCTTCCTCAAGGTGTGCAGCCTACTGTTTGCAAAAAACAAATCTGATCTATATCCATGATTTAAATCGACTGTTGGTGGCTCTTAATAGTGACTATGCATCAGAATCAAATACGTAGGATTTAATAACATTGAATCCCCAAATTTATTTCAGAAGCACTAAATAAAATCTATGGAGATAGAACCCAGGCTTGAATATTTTCAAAAAACATTCCAAGTAAATATAATTAGCAGACAATGTTGAGAATTGCTGCTTTACATACTGATGACTTCCATATCTATAGCTGAAATCTATACCTTAACCTCTGTTTAGTGTTGTAGACATTGCATCCTGGTAGACATCTCTGCTCATTTGTCTTATAAATATCTCAAACTTGATATGTATCAAACTAAATACACTATATTCTCTTCAAAATGTTTTTGTCTTTCATAGCATGACAACCTGACAATCATCCTCAACTTCCTTATCGCAACCTCAAAACCAATTAATCAGCAAGTTAGGTAGATTCTTTCTCTGAAGGAGTTCAAAATCTGCCCGTTCTTTTCTTTCTCTTCACCTGGACTATTGTAACCATTTCTTAACTGGTCTTTTTCTTCCCCTCACCTCAACCATCCAAAAACCAATTCACTCACTTCTGAGCTGCCAGAGTACTCCTTCTAAAATGTAAACCAGAATCAGGGGTTTGCCTACTTAAACTCATTGAAAGGCTCACCATTACTTTCAAGATAATTTTTAGAGTTATTTTCATGGCATAAAGGCACTTAGTGCTTATTGGTCATCTCCTGCCACATCCCAAATATACCCTTCAATCACTTCATCTATACTGAGGCATTGGTAGTTTCGTCACATGTTTATTCACCACTTATTCATTTGCTGAACAGGTACTTTGTGAACATCTATTATTTCTTAAATGCTGGGGGAGCAGTGTGAACAAGATAGATATAATCTTTAGTGCAGCGTGCTATGGGAATCTGAAACAGGCAATTTACCAAATCTGGGGGTTGTCAAGAAAAGCTTCTCTGAAGTAGTGATTTTTAAACAGTCATCTTTAGTTAAATTTAGTCTTAAATTCTACTGTTTAGATAGAAAGAGGCAGACTCTCTCAAGCCTCTTAAAATGTGGTCCCTTCTGTCTTTAATGCCATTGCCCCCTCATTTATGTTTGTTTTTGTCTTGCTGACCTTTTCTTATTCCTTAGGATTTATTTACATTAAGTAGCACTTCCTTTTGAAACATTCCCACATCACTGAAACAACTAATTCTTAGTTGTTTTCTTCTAATGTTTTTCTGGATTCCAGGATTTACCTTAGTTGAAGCACCATATATGCATTATTAGAGTCATTGATTTTATTCTTTCTTAACTGTGAACTGTTTAAGGGCAAAGGCATTAAATACACATCTTTTATTTCTTTAAAGCCATAACTTATATGGTGCTTGGCACATAGTTACTGCTTACTAAATTTTTTGTTGAATAAGAAAATGAAGAATGAGAATGAAATGTTCATGAGCAAATATGGCCTAAATCGCTTTGAACACTAGTAGGAATTCATATTGGCTGAGGTATGTAAGTATGGCTGGGCCAGACTCTGAGGTGCTTTAAAGTGAAATTGAGGAATTTTAGATTTTACATTTAACTAATATATTACCTTTGTAGTATGGCACATTGACTAGAAGCATTGACCTGTCTTCAAACTCTTTCCACTTTTTGTAGCTGAGTGGTCCTGGGAAACTTTTTTCACCTCTTTAAGTCTCAGAATACTCATCTGTTTTAAAGATTTTTAAGGAGATAATGTATGCAAAGTTTTAGCATTGTTTCTGGCACATTGTAAGCCTTATGATGAATGTTAGCTATTACTGTAATTATATGCAACACTGAAAAAAGTAAGACAGCTAAGGAACTAACAGTTTCAGAATGCAAAGTCAGAATTATTCAATGATTAACCATTCAGATAACAGTCAGAAAACCAAAATTTCAGTTCTAGTTCTAGCTCTCCTATTGGCTTGCCTGTATCTTAATTTTCTCCTACAAAAAAATTACAGTAAAAATACTAGATTTATGCTCTTCTCACCCGGGTGGTGTAATCATTTGAGATGTCTAAAGAAAAAACTCAGTCAAATTTTAAAAAGTGGGGATTTATAACCTTTGAAATCAATTTTCCTAATGTATTGGCTTAATGGATACTGCCATCCTTTTGCCAAAGCCGTGCCATCTGTCTGGAATACCCTATTCACCCTGATCCTTTTTGTCCTTTAATTGTTGGTTTTAGCATAAGTTAGTGGGATTAGGTTCTCATTTATATATCCCTTAGAATACTAAACCTACTTCTGGCATAATATTTACCATGTATAACATTTAAAAGCACACATACTTGCACGTCTTCTCCCTTAGAATGTGAAATCTTAGAAAGCAAGTGTGTCTTTTAATTCAGTATTCTCATTACCTAGTACAGATTCTGGCACATGTTAAATGATTAGTAAGTATCATCTATTAATGATGTCTCAATAGATTATGTTTTATAGATTTAAGAATATTTAAAAATGCTTTAGGGCAACAAAAAGGAGATTTCTGAAGCTCATTGAGGGGTTGTTTACTGTGAAGTGGAGATTAGAAAAATAACAATTACAATGAATAATAATAGTAAGAGTAACTATCAAATAATAGGGATACAAATAAGTATTATTTTGGCTACTTACTCTGAAAACATAGTAGAATTAAAAATGAAGTAAAATGAGGAGGCTTTAGGTAAAACTAGCTAATACAACATACACAGCTACTTTTCCTATCTCCAGAAGTCCTGTTAAAAAGACAACTAAGGGAATTTTCTAAACCGCTCCTCTCCCCCAAAACTAAATGAATGTGGGGAGAATGTTAGAGGGAAAAAATTGACGAAATTTTGTAAGCAGAAAGGCAGAATGAAAATGTTAAGTGTCTTGGCCCACTGAGAAATCAGAATTATAAATTGGCAGTGGCAAAAGCTGAAATCCAATCCAATTTACAGTGACACAACCTGAAAAGGCACCAGGTACCTTTGTAAGAGAGAATTCGCCGGGTGCGGTGGCTCACACCTGTAGTCCCAGCACTTTGGGAGGCCGAGGCAGGCAGATCATTTGCAGTCAGGAGTTGGAGACCAGCCTGGCCAACATGGTAAAACCTCAACTCTACTAAAAATACAAAATTTAACTAGGTGTGGTGGCACATGCCTGTAATCCCAGTTACTTGGGAAGCTGAGGCAGGAGAATCAATTGAACCTAGGAGGTGGGGGCTGCAGTGGGCCGAGACTGTGCCACTGCACTCTGGCCTGGGCAACAGAGCAAGACTCTGTCTCAAAAAGCAAACAAACAAACAAAGAGACTCAAGTTGTTTAAAAAAGAGTATTGGATTAAAAGTTAATCACACTTCCAAATACTCTTTCTCCTCACTTCAGATAGCCATGCAAATCTCCCACCCCTACTCCAGCAGAATACTGGAATTTTATTCACTGGAGAGGGTTATTCAAATTTGCTTTGGACTATGTAACCCAGGTACAGTTAAAGGTGGAAAACACTATCTTAAGAACAGATGGATTCAGTGAGAAAGCTGCAATATCAACTCTATTCCTTCATCTTATTCCTAGAGCTGGCAGCCAGGCCTTCAGTTACCAGGCAGGATATTGCAGGATCCTTCCCTGTGGAATCTAACCAGCTCAAGAAGAAAGCCCCAAACATATTGAAATCAGTGTTCCCCCCAAAAAACAACTAAACCAAATACTTTACAGTGTGCTCAAAGTTGACAAGCTCAATCCACATTCTCAGGGCTTCTTCAGTATTTAGTTCACACTCTTAAATATGAGCAGATAACCAAAGATTATGCAATCTCTGAAGAAAACTTCCAACATAAAAGATAGAAGCCAATACATTAGGAAAAAGAAATATTTTGGGAGCAGAGAGTAGGATGGGAGAAAAATCTTTCCAAATTTTGTCATTAAAACCCTTAGAGAGGACAAGAAACTGAATCTATTAAATAAAAAGAAGGTGCTATTACACAGGAACATTGAGAGAACAAATAAGAGTTCTTGGAAATTGAAAACATGATAGCTGAAGTGAAACACTAAACACAATGAAAGGAAAATAAAGATGAGGTAATCTCCAAGAAAATTGAGAGGAAGGTGGAAAATAGAATAGAAAGAATGAGAAAATTAGAAGACACAAAGTCTAAAATCTGACATAACAGTTCCAGAAAGAGAAAACAGAAAATAGAAATAATCCCAACAAATTTTAAAATATTATGAGAACAAAAGGACCGGTGTATGATTTAAAGAGCTCACCAAATGCACAGCATAATAAATAAAAATAGTACCACACCAAGGGCACATCATCATCAAATTGCAAAAGACTGAGATTAAAGAGATTCTAAAAGCTCTGAGAAAAAGAACTGACAAACTTCTATCAAGCCTCATAAATAAAAATGAAAGTGAAGACACAAATTACCAATATCAGGAATGAGAGAGTGAATATTACTATAGACTCTCCAGACATTTTAGTATTAACAAGGGAATACTAGGAAAAGTCTATGTACATAAATCTGTCAACTTAGATGAATGGAACAATTTCTTGAAAATTATATACTACCAAAACTCACCCCAAATGAAATAAATTGAATAGTCCTATAACTATTCAGTCCTAAACTGAATTCACAGTTAAAAACAGTTCAAAATAAAAATATTCAGGCCAACAATGGCATGGTGGCTCACGCCTGTAATCCCAACATTTTGGGAGCTCAAGGTGGGCAAATTATCTGAGGTCAGGAGTTCAAGACCAGCCTGACCAACATGGTGAAACCCTGTCTCTACCATAAAATACAAAAATTAGCTGGGCATGGTGGTGTGCCCCTGTAGTCCCAGCTACTGGGGAGGCTGAGGTAGGAGATTGCTCAAACCCGGGAAATGGAGGTTGCAGTGAGCTGAAATCGCGCCCTGTACTCCAGCCTAGGCGACAGAGGAAGACCCTGTCCAAAGGAAAAAAAAAAATTCTAGCCAAGATTTTTCACTGGAGAATTCTCTTAAAAATTAATGAAGTAATAATGCCAATTCTACATAATTTCTACTAGAAAATAGAAGACAAAAAAGACACTTCCCAAATCATTTTATGAAGCCAGAATTAACCATGATACCAAAATCACACAAAGGCAATACAAGAAAATGTGCAAACTAATATCCCTCATGAACATCAACGCAGATATCTTCAACAAAACATTAGCAAATTAAGTCCACAAATCTATGAAAAGACTAATATATTGTGACCAATTAGGTTTTATCTTGGGAATGAAAGGCTGGTTCAATATTTGAAAACCAAGCAAAGTAATCCACATTAACAGAATAAGCAAAACCATATGATCATTTTAATTGAGGCAGAAAATGCATTTGACAAAATTTCACATTCATTCTAGAAAAAAAAAATCAGGAAACTATAAATAGAAGGAAACTTCTTCAACCTGAAAGGGCACCCCTCAAAACCTACAGTTAATGTAACACTTAATGGTGAAAGACTAAATGCTTTCCACATAAGATGAGGAATAAGGCAAAGATGTCAAATATCACCACTCTTATTCAACATCATACTAAAACCTAGCAAATGCAAAAGGCAAGGCAAGGAAAGAAAAACCATGAAGTTTGGAAAGAAATAAATAAAACCATTTATATCCACAAACAACATAATTCTCCCAAGGAATCTAAAAAACAAAGAACGCCTCCCCCAACCAAACTCATAAAACTGGTTTAACAAAGTTTCCAGATACAAGGTTAAACACAGATATCAACATACAAAAAAGTGTGTTCAGAAAGGTATAGCATAAAGGAATTTTTTGAGGTGATAGAACTAATCTGTATTTTGATTGTGATGGTGATTATAGGAATCTATACATGTGATAAAACTTATAGAAATATACACAAAAGTTTTTTTTAAAAAAAATTGTAGGAGAAGATCATACAATTTGTAAGATGCACTATAATAGTAATAAATGCAAAAATGTTTGACTATAAGTTTTAAAATAAAGCGAATTTTTTTTTCACAGAGGAAGTACACCTCTCTATTCCTTAAGAATAGTATTGTATCTGAAAAATTGTGCTCAGATTTGGGTCCTACGTTAAAAAAAGTTAGCAAACTAGAATTTCTAGAGAAGTTGATGCAAACAGGGAAAGGTTTAAAAGACATGTCAGATTAGGAACTTCTAGTAGGAAGCTGTTGTTGCCTTCTCATCACCTTTCACTAGGTCTTTTCCATAGGATGAGAAGTGACTTATTTGATTGGTGAGGCCACGTCAGTTTGGTTTTCACTGGTCCTCTTTTATTTGTAACACTGAGTTAATGTGGCTGCCCAAATCCATATTAGGTTTGCTGGAATATAAAGCCGGCCAAGATAAGGCTTCTTGGGTTACTGAATGCTCTGCAAACCCAAACAGGCTAAAATGTAGATCCAAACGCCTCAAATAAGAGGAAAGAGTGAAAAGAGCATTTTAGCCTCAGGTCTAAGCTGTACTTCACAGAACAATACATTAATTAATTAACAGCTGATAATTTAATTACTTTGTTGCACTTTTATCTCTGTCTCAGAGAGGAGAGGAGCATAATTCATACTTTCTCATTAGAAACTTAAACATGTACTTGACAAAGAGAAGACTTAGGACTAACAGTATTATCTTCAAATATTTAAAATATCATCAAACAGAGGAAGGACTAGAATTAGTTATACAGCTTCAGAATGGGAAAAAAATAAAACAAATGCATTGAAATAATAGGGAGACAGATTTTGGTTTCATTTGTCCATTCATTTGTTCACTCATAAAACAATCTATTATCTGTCTATTTATCTATTATCTCTCACTCATAAAACAACCTATTATCTATCTATTTATCTATTATCTATCAACCATCATCATTATCTTCTTTGTGATAAATCCTGAGAATGTAAGGTGGTCTCACATTCTAACAATATTTCTGAATATTATAATTTTCCAAAAATAGAGCCGACTTCCTTGTGTAGTAGTTAGGTCTCTGTCCTGAATTTGTTCAAACAAAGGTTAGTTAGGTGTGTCGTAGTTGGATATGGTAAGACATTGGACTAGATGACCTCTAAGAGTACTTCCAGAAAGCATAAAAGTGTAATTTCCCATTGGAAAATAAAGGAAGAACTAGTGTCAGTGAAATATAATCAGAACCACATCTCAAGGCAAATTTTGTTTTTCATAGATTATCCATTACACTATTGAACCTAATGTTAAACCATATTCATAACAACTGGTAAAGAGCTCTGAAGTTAACCACGTAAGAAGTAGCTGATATTATTTTTATTTCTCTTTTGCAGGTTGACCTATAGTATTTACAGTTAGATAACAACAATGAGATCCTAATTCCAATAACAATTGGTGAATCATGAAGATGTACATTTCTAGTCATTTAATAAATGTTGTTTTGAATTGAAATTGTACTAGTTTGCTTGTTTGAACAATCCAACAACGACTTCAGTGAAAGAAAAAGTATTGTTTTTCTTTTTATAAAATCATTGAATGCCTGGCACATGGTAGGTATTCTGAGAGTAAATGTGAATGCATGAGTTCTCCACAGATTAAATGAGAATCTCTTTTTAAAAATAATTAGGTAGTTGAATTTATCTGACTTCATGGGTTCAGTGTACCACTGGTCTTTTGAATATTTTCCTCTATTTTTTTATAATGCTTGTTAAAATGTTATATTTAGGGGGGAAAACTTTTGCAATGCTGCTAAAGTCATGTTTAGAGGAAAATTTATAGCTTAACATCTATATATTCAAAGATAAATAACAATAAACACATGTTATTTAGTGCTCTTTAGTAAGTAAATTTTAAACATTAGACACAAGAATTGGAAGTAGTTACTTTTAGGGAGGAAGAATTGTAGGGACAGTTTTCTTCATAGCAACACTGTGAAACTATTTGACTTTTAAATTTACAGACATATGTAACTTTGACAAAAATGAAAGTAGGAAAATAATAGATGCTTACAGCTTTAATTTAAACTAAAATTAGTTTAACTTATTACTCAGAAAGTAAATTTAGGTGAATAGGTGTCAAGAGATCTAATATGATGAATGGAATGAATCAGTCCTATAATTTGTTTCTTTCATTATAATCTCTGTTTTTTGATGGGTTACAAGCTTAACCCATGAGATTATACATGACTTAAAATTTACATCTTATTTTTAAATTTTTTACTCTTTCTGGGCTGTTTTCCTGTCAAAATTCCCTGAATATAGTTTAAAATCAGAATTAGACACATATCAAATCAGTAATGCAGACAATATTGAAAAGTTACTTATATTCTCTGATTTCTTATTAATTAATTATTGTATATATTTAAGGTGTATGACATGACTCCTTTATATTTACCAGTTTATTACAAAGGATATGGCAAAAGATACCAATGAAGAGATGCGTAGGGCAAGGCATGGAAAAGAGTGCAGAGCTTTCATGCCCTCTCCAGATGCAGTGCTCTTCAAGAAGCTCCAAGTGCTCAGCTATTCAGAAACACCCTTATCCCTGTTTTTTGGAGTTTTTATGGGAGCTTCATTACTAGCCATAATTGAGTAAATCATTGGCAATTGGTGATCAACTTAACCTTTGGCATCTGTTTACTCCCCAGAGGTTGGGGGGTGGAGCTGAAAGTCCAACCCTCTAATTCTGCCTTGGTCTTTCCAGTGACTAGCCTCCATCCTGAAGCTACCTAAGGGTTGCCAGCCATTAGTTAGCTCATTAGCATACAAAAAGATTCCCCATTTTGGAGAGTCCAAGGATTTTTGGAGTTGTATGCAAGAGACAAAGACCAACTATATATTTTACCATGTCACAATCCACCCCCTAGTCTTCAAACACAGATCCCTTACAGTAAAAGAATGTACAACTTAAAAGATACTGACACATTGCTAGATTTCCATTCAGTCACTAATACTTAGAACAGTACATCATCATATTTTATGAGTATGTCTCCCAGAGCAAGGCTATTCAAGTTTGCAGGCTTCCATTGATCTTATCACATCCCGAAAGCAGGAGTGAGCTCAAAATGTTGAAGCAACTTTGGAACTGGGTAATAGGTAGAAGTTGGAACAGTTTGGAGGGCTGAAGAAGACAGGAAAATGTGGGCAAGTTTGGAACTTCCTAGAGACTTGTTGAATGGTTTTGCCCAAAATGCTGATAGCAATATAGACAATAAGGTCCAGGCTGAGGTGGTCTCAGATGGAGATGAGGAACTTGTTGAGAACTGGAGCAAAGGTGACTCTTTGTTATGTTGTAGCAAAGAGACTGGCGGCATTTTACCCCTGCCCTAGTGATTTCTGAAACTTTGAACTTGAAAGAGATTATTTAGGGTACCTGGTGGAATAAATTTCTAAGCAGCAAAGCATTCAAAAGGTGACTTGGGTGTCGTTGAAAGCATTCAGTTTTAAAAGGGAAACAGAGCATAAAAGTTTCAAAATTTTGCAGCCTGACATTGAGATAGAAAAGAAAAATTCCATTTTGAAATTCAAGCAGGCTGCATAAATTTGCATAAGTAATGAGGAGCCGCATGTTAATCCCCAAGACAATGGGGAAAATATCTCCAGGGCATGTCAGAGGTCTTTATGGTAGCCACTCCCATCACAGGCTCAGAAGCCTAGGAGGAAAAAGTGGTTTCGTGGGCTGTCCCAGGGTTCCCAAGCTGTATGCAGCCTAGGGACTTCATGCCCTGCGTTCCAGCCACTCCAGCCATGGCTGAAAGGGGCCAACATAGCTCTCAGGCCATGGCTTCAGATGGTGCAAGCCCCAAGCCTTGGCAGCTTCCACATGGTGTTCAGCCTGCAGGTGCACAAAAGTCAAGAATTGAGGTTTGGGAACCTCTGCCTAGATTTCAGAGGATGCATGGAAATGCCTGGATGACTAAGCAGAAGTTTGCTACAGGGGCAGGGCTCTCATGGAGTACCTTTGCTAGGGCAGTGCAGACGGGAAATGTGGGGTTGGAGCCCCCACCCAAGTCCCTACTGGGGCACTGCCTAGTGGAGCTGTGAGAAGAGAGCCACTATCCTCCAGATCCCAGAATAGTAGATTATGGGAGTACAATTCAAGAAGAGATTTGAGCTGGCCAATTTGGCAGCTTGCGCAGTGTGCCTAGAAAAGCCACAGACACTCAATGCCAACCCGTGAAAGCAGCCAGGAGGGAGGCTGTACCCTGCAAAGCCACAGGGGTGGAGCTGCCCAAGACTATGGGAACCTACCTCTTGCATCAGCGTGACCTGGATGTGAGACATGGAGTCAAAGGAGATCAATTTGGATTTTTATGATTTGACTGCCCTGATGGATTTTGGACATGCATGGACCCTGGAAAACCTTTGTTTTGGTCAATTTCTCCCATTTGGAACAGCTGTATTTACCCAATACCTGTACCCCATTGTATCTAGGAAGTAACTAGCTTGCTTTTGATTTTACGGCTCATAAGCAGAAGGTACTTGCCTTGTCTCAGGTGAAACTTTGGACTGTGGACTTTTGGGTTAATGCTGAAATGAATTAAGACTTTAGGGAACTGTTGGGAAGGCATGATTGGTTTTGAAATGTGATGACATGAGATTTGGAGGGGCCAGGGGTGGAATGATATGGTTTGGCCCTGTGTTCCCACCCAAATCTCATCTGGAATTGTACTCCCATAATTCCTATGTGTTGTGGGAGGGACCCTGTGGGAGATCATTTGAATCATGGGGGCACATTCCCTACTACTGTTCTCGTGGTAGTGAATAAGTCTCATGAGATCTGATGGTTTTATCAGGGGTTGCTGCTTTTGCATCTCTCTCATTTTTTCTTGCCACTGCCATGTAAGAAGTGCCTTTTACTTCTTACCATGCTTCTGAGGCCTCCCAAGCCATGTGGATATGTAAGTCCAATGAAACCTCTTTTTCTTCCCAGTCTCGGGTATGTTTTTATCAGCAGCATGAAAATGAACTAATACAAAATGTATTCATTTATTTTGTACTCTTTAAATCTAGTTTTATCTATTTTTTATTTGAAATTATCTTAAAGTAACTTTTAAACGAGACACAATTAGTTTTAAAATAAATACTCATTTTATGTCTTTATAACTTTTCGTTTACCAAAAACATATCTTGTTTCTCTTTATATACTCTGTATATATATTTTTTTTCTGATATTTGGTAGTTTTAATTACATATTGATATTGTTTGGCTCTGTGCCTCCACCCGAATCATATCTTGAATTGTATTAATACCTCTATGTGTCAGGGGAGGGACCTGGTAAGAGTGATTGGATCATGGGGGTGGTTTCCCACATACTCTTCTCATGATAGTGAGGGAGTTCTCATGAGGTCTGATGGTTTTAAAGTTTGTGGCAGTTTCTCCTCTCTCTCTCTTGCCACCATGTAAGATGTGCCTTGCTTCCCTTTAAACTTCTGCCTGATTGTAAGTTTTCTGAGGCCTCCCAAGCCATGAGAAACTGTGAGTCAATTAAACCTCTTTTCTTTTTAAATTACCCAGTATCAGGTAGTATCTTTATAGTAGTATGAAAAAATATATATATTATACATATATATAATATACATATATTAATTAAAATTTTAACTCTTAGTAACCTTACTTTTTAGTGAAAACATAGGAAGTAAGTAATTTTGAACTGTTTTATATTAGTATTTGTAGATGAAAACCATCTTATAAGTTTTTAGAAAGACATATTAAAAAATTCTTTTTCATTAGCAAATCTAAATATATTTAGGTTTTTATACCATTTAAAAATAAATGTCAAAGTACATAAACTTAAATTTATTTTTGATAATTAATGTTTTAATATTTTTACTTATAAATGACTCAGACATTTCATGATTATCTATTACTTAATTTAATACAATATGATCTTAGGATTTTAAGTTACTGAAAATAATTTTGAAAATATGACACAAGTACCCTTCCTAATGCCTTCCCCAGTCATGCTGGGTCTTAAATAACTATATGGCATCCAGGACAGCTATGAAGGGCAGGGCCCATCTGGGTGCCAAGTTTATATACCAGGTGTAGAACTCAGGACAGAAGACAGCTATGAAGATGATGTCTGAAGGATCCAACCCTTCGTAGAATGGCCAGGAACCAAAGCTAATCCCAGGAAGAAGTGCCATACTCGGCTTGACTCTGTCCTTTAGCTGGTGATCAAAGCACTGAGGACATGTCCCCAGATCTTACCATGGCCAACTATCAGACCTCAAAATCTAGAGGTTCAAAACTAAAAATATAAGCTTACAGTCAAATTAAGTATCAAAAATATTAAAGAAGTAGTAGTTTCATGACTTTAAAACATGTATCAGAGGTAGTATAAAATTGTCTGACCAGTATATGCAGACAAAATGTCTGAATTATATTTAACTGACAATTTTGAAGTCATTTGTATTTCGTCATAATAACAATTTAAAACTAGCTTTATTTATCAAGTTTTATGTATACATAATACATAGAGACATAGACAAAAATAGATTTTATAGTTTTTATAAAGAATTTTTATTAATTGGCTTTTAAATATATATTTTTTCTTTTTAGATGATTAATCTTTTATTTATCTGTTTTATTGCCCTAAGTAATTGATAGGCAATAATTTGTTTTTAAAGCAATGACTCTTACATGAAACAAGATAAAAAATCTGTACCTTGAAAGCACAGAGCTGAGACTTCAGGCCTAAATATTGTGCTATTATTTGCTCAAATCAAAGAAAAAGTTTTTATATAAAATCCCAGTTAAGACAAAATGACCAGAAAAAGCTCATTAAACAAATGTAAGACTTTGTATTAGTCCTTTCTCACACTGCTATGGAGAAAAATCTGAGATTGGGTAATTTATAAAGGAAAGAGGCTTAATTGACTCACAGTTCTGCATGGCTGGGGAGGCCTCAGGAAACTTACAGTCATGGTGGAAGGGGAAACAAATGCATCCTTCTTCACAAGGTAGCAGGAAAGAAAAGTGCTGAGCAAAGGGGGAAAAGCCCATTATAAAACCATCAGATCTTGTGAGAACTCATTCACGATCATGAGAAAAGAATGGGGGTAACCTCCACCATGATTCAATTATCTCTCATTAGGTCCCTCCCATGACACATGGGGATCATGGGAACTAAAATTCAAGATGAGATTTGGGTGGGGACACAGCCAAACCATATCAGACTTGTTATGTAAATTTAAAACAATTGTAAGAGTTTCTAGTCACTCAGTCATCTCTCTTAAACATCCTTATAAATGGAAGTATTATTATTATTATTGTTATTATTGAGACAGGGGTCTCACTCTGTCACCCAGGTTGGAGTGCAGTGTGCAGTGGCACAATCATTGTTCACTACAGCCTTGACCTCATGGGCTCAAGTGATCCTCTCACCTCAGCCTCCAGAGTAGTTGGAATTACAGGTATGCACGACCATGCCCAGTGATTTTTTTTTTTCCATGGAGACAGTGTCTCACCGTGTTACCCAGGTTGGTCTTAAACTCCTGGGCTCAAGAGATCCTCCCACCTCAGCTTCCCAAAGTGCTTTGATCACAAGTGTGAGCCACCATGCCTGGCAAAATTTTCTCTATAAATGTAAATTTTTTTACAAAAGGGTTTTCATATAGCCAGCTAAATGTTAGAAGGGTGTACTTTGAACACTGATTTAGTTTAATAGGTGGTCTTTTTAACTTAGTTTTTGCCTTTTAGTTAAAATTACTGAGTTCAGTTTGGAACCCATCAGGGAATAGGGTAAAGAAACGATTCTCTATGTCTGGACTCAGCATAGATAGCTTTGAAAAAGAAGAAAGCCTACTTTTTATAAATACTTTATACAGAATAGCTTTTTTTTTTTGTCATTGGGTAGTAACAGCCAAATGTTTAGTGGATGTAGTTTTTCTTATTAATTAATCACTTGAGATTTTTATTTGTCTTTCATAAAGTCTTTTAAAAAAATAAAGAATAAAAATATTAAAATCTTTTTAGAAGCTTTTCTACATCAATAGGCATTCCTTCATGGGCCTAATTCAGGAGCCCTCATTTAAAAATGTACTTTTACAAGTACAGTGTTCATTTGGAATGTTCTACTGTAATTTTAAATTACTTTAGTAAGCTTTTTCAATTTCTATAAGCATTTGCTGCTTTTGAGGCCTAATATGCATGTAAACATAGGTGTAGCTGGTAGGTAGAGTGGGTAGAGTTCTTTAGAAATAAGGTTATTTGCTTTGGTTCTCAGATCTCCTTGATCTACTTAGTCAATGATTTTTTCCCCACCTAAACATGCAAGGAAAAGAAACAAAGGGGATAGAACACGAAAAACATGAATTTCTGAAAGCCAGAGTTGGCACATTCTGCAGCATTTCTATTTACTCTCAGTTTCTGCCTGACCTAGTCAGACATTTGAGGCCTCTAACTGGATCCAGGTCAGTTAGTTTTCAGGTTTATTCTGATCCTGGATCCAGACCAGTTTCTGTTGTGACTTCTGAACAAGTTTGGATTAAAAAAAATTGTTCAAACAACCATGGACAGCCCAAAACACAAATCTGTGGTGCTTCAGAATTTGAGAGAGAACTTATTTATGATCCCCAAGCACTGTAAGAAACCAATGGACAAAATGGGCTGGAAGGTACTTCTTTTTGTTACTTGATGATCCTGGGGGTCACTAGAAGCTCTACTTGGGATCCCACTTCTGACACTGACTGTTAAAAACTTTAGGCAAATTATATTTAACAGGATTTAATTTAGCAAAGAACAATTAACAAATTGGGCAGGCCTCTGAACCAGAGTAGATTTAGAGAGACTCCAGCACTGTCTCATGGTTGGAGAGGATTTATGGACAGAAAACAGAAAATGTTGCTCAGAAAATGGAAGTAAGGTAGAGAAACATCTGCATTAGTTATAGTTTGGTGTTTGTATTATTTGAACAGTTGTCTGCCTGTGATTGGCCAAAACTTTGTGATTTGTACAAGAACAGATTATATAGTTTGTTTACATGTCCAGTTAGGTTACAGTTCACTATGTATGGAGAAATTTTTAGGCCAAACCTACAAGAAGGAAGCTTTAGGCTAAACCTGATTTAACAAGTGTTACTGTAATATTGGATTTCCCTTAATTCCTTACTCGTTTAGTCATTCCTTTACCCTCAGCTTCTATTCTTTTTTCTCTTCATTTGTAGCCAAACTTTTCCACCTTTGGAGAGGACATTAGGTTTAGCCACTGTGCTTGTCTAGACTGCAAACAGCAGTATCAGTCTAGCAAATGCCTCCCTCTTAGTCCACTCCCATTTAGATAGGGCAAGGTTATGTAAGTGCAGAACTATTGGGCCATCTTCACTCTCAGGCAATATATAGCTACATTCACTTTTAGCCCCAATTTTGCCAGATGGGGTGAAGATATAAACCCACCTCTATCAGGCCCTCAGGAATTCTAGCATAAGATTTAAAAACACAGTTACACTTTCTTTTTTAGGAATAATTTATGTTTCCACAAACTGTAGTTGATCCTTGGCCCTAGGACCACTGCATCAAGTGGGTGGGTGGGGGGAACATGATATGGGGAGGAAAGAAAAACAGTAACATCATTATACTAGCATCCTCCTTCCTTGATAAGAATTGCATAGTCATACTTGCATCCTTCGCTACCCTCTTTTATCCAGATTAACCAGAAAAATGGAGGAAAATCTAGTGGGAACACTCTTTTAATCCCACTCCTGTTGAGTGTGAGCACACACTTTTGAAGGCATGTAAGCTAGTCTTTCATGCTTTTATCGCCTCCTATTTTGGCCAACCAATGTTTTAATTTCCCATTTCACTTCTCTATCAAACTACTACTCTAGGAGGAGATTTTCTTGCCTACTATGGGACATTATGGGCTGTACAGTGTGTTCCTTGGTTCCGTATGTCTAAAGACATATGGTTGGCCATCCAAATTGTGTAATATTATCTGTGTTTTTAATAGCACTCTGAACATTTGCATCTTCTACCAGGTAAGCAAAGCCCAGTCCAGAATCAGTGACTACTCCTATCAAGATCCATTTTTAGCACCCCCATACTTACCGGCATCAATCTCACCTACCAACTGTGTTTAGGGCTTCCCCAATAGGAGTGTAGCCCCATAGCCATAAGCAGTCTCTGTGTCTTTTGCTGGCAGACAGAACAGTTCTTATTGGCATTATGTGCTTGAAAAGTTGCAAAAGGAACATACTTGGATTGAGCTCATCTCTGCATTATTGCAGTACCCCCATTTCATGGACTCAGGTGGCCACCTTAAATTAGCACCTGCTGATAGCTGCTTGACTTTTAATCCTGGAAGGGGCTCTTTCAATGGACATGTTCTGCTTTAATGAACCTCTCAAATTTCCATAGGGTCATGCCTTATATGGGCATCCCTTCAATAGGCCAGGTTCCCAGCATCCTCTTGCCTGAGTGTATGACCAGGCCATTGGCTACTGCCCACAAGTCAGTAAAAAGCCAAAGACAGGCTTTTACCAGGGTTTTGATGTTCAATTCTTTCATACTGCTAGAAAACAGCGTGCAGTTCAGCCCACTGAGCTGATTTGTTTTTAACTTCTTTGATCAGTAGCATCCTTCCAAATAATATGTTGTCTGTTCACCTTGGAACTCCTATCCACAAACTAAGCAGCTCTTAATTGGTCAGTTGAAAGGTACTTATAGGGCACTGTAGAATCCATCAGCTCCTCACACAATTCCAGAGTCAGTCCTAGTACACAAGTCCAGAGTCAGTTCTAGCTCCCTGCTTGTATCACTTCCTTGCATTCCCAGGTAGCATGAACCTATATAGACCATTTCCATTTTATTATGGAACTCTTCTGGGCACTGTCATTCCCATTAGAGTATTTCTCTGACATCACCCAAGACAGCATGGGTATTTCTGGTTTCAAGATTATTTTATGTACTTCATTCATAGGGGTAGCTCTAATTAATGTTTGATAGCAAGGTATTAAATGCCCCTCAAATGGAAATTCTCTAGTCCAAAATCCCAGGAGTTGTTACTGGGAGGTGCTCATAGGCTTTTGCTATAAGCTTAGGCCTAGGCTCCACATAGGCCTATGGCACAGAGAATTTCTTCATTCTAGCATTCCAACTTTTATTCTTCACTATGTGGTCTTGGAAATCTTACTCATTCCCTTTTAGCATCTCCAATTAATATAGCTTAAAGGGCAGATTTACATGCTTGCTGTTTTATGATACTAGGTAGTGAAAACATTCCTTAGATACAATTTCTGTATATGTTTTAGGTGCCCAGTCAGGGACAATATCTATATATGTTTAAGATATATTAAGATGTTTTAATATACATAGTGAAATGCTTACTACGGTCAAGCAAATTAACATATTCACGAATATCCCTCACTTCAAATAGTTACCTCTTTTTTGTGTGTGGCAAAAGCACCTAAACGGCCAGGTACAATGGCTCACACCTGTAATCCTTGGCAGGCCAATGCAGGCAAATTGCTTGAGTCCAGGAGTTCAAGACCAGCCTGGACAACATGCTGAAACCGTGTCTCCACAAAAAATTAGCAAAGTGTTGTAGTGGGCACCTGAAGTTCCAGCTACTTGGGAGGCTGAAGTGGAAGGATTCCTGGAGCCTGGAGATGGAGGTATAGTGAGCCGTGATCATGCCATTGCACTCCGGCCTGTGTTACAGAGAAAGACTCTCAAAAAAAAAAAAAAAAAAGCACCTATCCACTACAGTCCTCCGCTCTACCAACTGAGCTATCGAAGGCTCCGCTAAAAAAAAAAGCACCTAAACTCTACTGTTAGCAAAATTTCAGTGTACAATACAATATTATTAACTTTAGTCATACTCTACATTAAATCTCTAGACTTATTATTCATCTTACATAACTGCAAGTTTGTTCCATTTGACCTACATCTCCCCACTTCTTCCTGCCCAGCCCCACTCCCATAACCACCATTCTGTAATGCTGTTTCTGTGAGTTTGACTTTTTAAAAAGATTCTACATTTAAGTGTAAAAATGCAGTATTTTTCTGTGTCTGGTGTTTACCTAGCACAATGTACTCCAGGTTCATCTGTGTTGTCACAAATGGCAGGATCTCCTTTAAATTTTTTTTATTTTTAATTTTTATGGGTACATAATAGGTGTATATATTTATGGGGTACATGAGGTATTTTGATGCAGGTATACAATGTGTATTTGGCACATCAGCGTAAATGGAATATCCATTGCCTCAAGCATTCATCATTTCTTTGTATTACGAACATTCCAATTGTACTCTCTCATTATTCTAAAACGCACAACAAATTATTGCTGACTGGTCACCCTGTTGTGTTATCAAATACCAGGTCTTATTCATTGTATCTAACTACATTTTTATACCCATTAACCATCTTCATTCCACCTTTCCCCTTACCTACTACATTTTCCAGCCTCTGGTAGCTATCATTCTCCTCTCTATCTCCATGAGTTCAATGATTTTAATTTTTAGCTCCCATAAATGTGTGAGAACATGTGAAGTTTATTTTTCTATGCTTGGCTTATTTCACTTAACAATGTTCTCAAGTTCCATCCATATTGCATCAATTCACAGGATCTCATTCTTTTTTATGGCTGAATAGTTCTCCATTGTGTATATATACCACATTTTCTTTATCCAGTCATCTGTTGATGGACACAGGTTGATTTGAAATCTTGTTTTGTGACTAATGCTGGAATAAACATGGGATTGCAGATACTTCTTCAATATACTGATTTCCTTTCTTTTGGGTTTATACATAGCAGTGAGGTTGCTGCATCATATGGTAATTCTATTTTTAGTTTTCTGGGAAACCTGCATACGGTTCTCCTTTCTTTTTTCTTTTCTTTCTTTCTTTCTTTCTTTTTTTTTTTTTTTTTTTTGAGACTGAGTCTCGCACTGTCGCCCAGGCTGGAGTGCAGTCGCTGATTTCGGCTCACTGCAACCTCTGCCTCCTGAGTTCAAGGGATTCTCCTGCCTCAGCCTCCTGGGTAGCTGAGGTTACAAGTGCACGCCACCAGACCTGGCTTTTTTTGTATTTTTAGTAGAGATGGGGTTTCACCATGTTGGCCAGTCTGGTCTCAAACTCCTGACCTCAAGTGATCCTCCTGCCTCTGCCTCCCAAAGTGCTGGGATTACAGGCATGAACCATGGTGCCCAGCTGGGTTCTCCTTTCTATACATCCTTGCTAGCATTTGTTATTGCCTGTATTTTGGATAAAAGCCATTTTAACCGGGATGACATGATATCTCATCATACTTTTGGTTTGCATTTGCATTTTTCTGATAATCAGTCATGTTGAGTGTCTTTTTACATACCTGTTTGCCATTTGTATCTTCTGTTGAGAAATGTCTACTTAGATCTTTTGCCCATTTTAAAATTAGATTATTAGATTTTTTTTATTGAGTTGTTTGTGCTCTTTATATATTATGGTTATTAATACTTTGTCAGGTGGATAGTTTGCAAATATTTTCTCCCATTCTGTGGGTTGTTCTCTTCACTTTGTTGATTGTTTTATTTGCTGTACAGAAGCTTTTTAACTTGATGTGATCCCATTTGTGTATTACCTGTTTTGGTTGCCTGTGCTTTTTGGGTATCACTCAAGAAATCTTTGCCCAGACTGATGTCCTGGAGAGTTTCCACAATGTTTTCTTTTAGTAGTTTCATAGTTTCATGTATTAGATTTAAGTCTTTAATCCATGTTGATTTGATTTTTGTATATGACAAGAGATAGGGGTCTAGTTCTATTCTTCTACATAAGAATATCCAGTTTTCCCAGCACCATTTATTGAAGAGACTGTCCTTTCTCCAATGTATGTTCTTGGCACCATTATCAAAAATGAGTTCACTGTAGATGTATGGATTTATGTTTGGGTTCTCTATTCTGTTCCATTGCTCTATGTGGCTATTTTTATGTCAGTACCACACTGTTTTGGTTACTATAGCTCTATAATATAATTTGAAGTCAGGTAATGTGATTCCTCCAGTTTTTTTTGTTTGTTTGTTTGTTTGTTTTTGCTGTGGACAGCTCTGACCATTCTTGGTCTTTTATGGTTCCATATACATTTTTGGATTTTTTTTTCTATTTCTGTGGAGAATGTCATTGGTATTTTGATAGGGATTGCATTAAATCTATAGATTGCTTTGGGTAGTGAGGACATTTTAATAACATTGATTCTTCCAATACATGAACATGGAACATCTTTCCATTTTGTGTGTGTCCTCTTCAATTTCTTGCTTCAATGTTTTGTCTTTTTAATTGTAGAAATCTTTTACCTCTTTGATGAAGTTTATTCCTTGATATTTTATTTGTAGCTATTTTAAATGGGATTACTTTCTTGATTTCTTTTTCAGTTTGTCTGTTGTTGGCATACAGAAAAACTACTGATATTTTATGTTGATTATGTCCTGCAACTTTCCTGAATTTTTTAAATCAGCTCTAGTAGGCTTTTTTTGTGGAGTCTTTACTTTCTTTCCAAGTATAAAATAATCTGCAAAGAAGGATAATTCTATTTATTCCTTTCCAATTTGGATGGACTTTATTTCTTTCTCTTGCTTGATTGCTCTAGCTAGGACTTCCAGTACTATGGTGAACAACAGCAGTCAAAGTGGGCATCCTTGTCATGTTTCACATCTTAGAAAAAAGGCTTTCAATTTTTCCCCATGTAGTATGATACTAGATGTGGGTCTGCCATATATGGCTTTTATTGTGTTCAGGTATGTTCCTTCTATACCCAGGTTTTTTGAGGATTCTTAACATGAAGGGATGCTGAATTTAATCAAATTCTTTTTCAGTATCGATTGAAATGATCATATAGTTTTTGTCCTTCTCTTTGTTGATATGTGATGTATCACATTGATCAATTTGCATTTGTTGAACTATTGCTGCATCCCTGGGATAAATACCAATTGGTCATGATGGATGAACTTTATAATGTATTGTTAAATTGGATTTGCCAGTATTTTGGTGGTATGTTTTAATTTTTTGCTTTATATTTGTTTTTGTATCTGTTGTAGGATTTTTTATTTAAAGCTACTATGAGGCTTGTAAATAACATCTATAACCCATTATTTTCAATGGATGACAACTTAACTCTGACTGTAAACGCAAACAAACAAAAAAAGGAAAAGCAAAGAGAAAACTAATAAAAACTCCACACTTGAACTTCATCCTCCTTGCTTTTTAACTTTTTGTTGTTTCTATTTATTTCTTACTATGTCATCTATGTCTTAAAAAGATATTGTAGTTTTATTTTTGATAGGTTTATCTTTTAGTCTTCTTACTCAAGATATAAGTAATTTACACACTTCAATTACAGTGTTGTAATATCCTGTATTTGTCTGTTACCAGTGAGTTTTGTACCTTTAGGTGATTGCTTGTTGCTCATTAACATCTTTTTCTTTCAGATTGGAGAATTCCCTTTAGTAATTTTTTGCATGACAAGTCTTGTGTTGACAAAAATCCCCCAACTTTGTCTGGGAAAGTCTTTATTTCTCTTTTATTTGAATATTGATATTTTTCTCTAGGTTTGGAAAGTTCTCTGTTATCATCTCTTTGAATACACTTTCTATGCCAATCTCTCTCGCTACCTTCTCTTTAAGGTCAATAACTCTTAGATTTGCCTTTTTGGGGCTATAGTCTAGATCCAGTAGGTGTGCTTCATTATTTTTTATTTTTTCATCTTCTGACTCCTCTGATTGTGTATTTACAAATAAGCTGTCTCAAGCTCACTGATTCTTTCTTCTTCTTGATCAGTTCTGGTGTTGAGAGACTCTCGTGTTCTTCAGTTTGTCACTTGAATTTTTCAGCTCCAGAATTCTTCCTTAATTCTTTTTAATTATTTCAATCTTTTTGTTAAATTTATCTGATAGGATTCTGAATTCCTTCTCTGTGTTAGCTTGCATTTCATTGAGCTTCCTGAAAACAGCTCTTTTGAATTCTCTGTCTGAAGAGTCATATATCTCTGTCACTCTGGAATTGGTCACTGGTGCCTTCTTTTGTTCTCTTGGTAAGGTCACATTTTCTGGAATGGTCTTAATGCTTGGGATATTTATTGATGTCTGGGTGTCGAAGAGTTATGTATTTATTCTAATCTTCCCAGTCTGGTCTTGTTTGTTCCCTTTCTTTTTGAGAAGCCTTTCCAATTATTCAAAGTGAATTAAGGGTTGTAATCTAAGTCTGCAATTGCTGTAGCCATATCTGCATTAGGGGAAACACCAAGCTTGGTAACACGGTGGCTCTTGCAGACTAAAAGAGGTACTGCCTTGGTGGTGTTGTGTAAAATCTCAGAAAATACCCTGGACTACCAGGCAGAGTCTCTTGTTCTCTTCCCTTACTTTCCCACAAACAAATGGAGTTTCTCTCACAACCTTAGGCTGAGCTGCCTAAAGTTGAAGGAGAAGTGATTCAAGCACTCCTATGGCCACCACTGCTGGAATCTTGTTGGGTCACCTCTGAAGCCAGCGCAGTACTGGGTCTCTCACCAAGCCCTGTGGTGACTATTTCCTGACTACTGCTGATGTTTGTTCAAGGCTTAAGAGCTCTTTAGTAAGTAGGTGATGAATCTTCCCAGGACTGGCTCTTTCCTTTCAGTGCAGCATGTTCCCTTCTGACCCATGGTGGATCTAGAAATGCCATCCAGGAGTTAGGGCCTGGGTTTGGAGGTTTAGGAATATCCCTGGTGATTTATTTTACTGGGGCTGAGCTGGTACCCAGGCTGCAAGACAAAAGTCCTCTTTACTTTTCCCTTTCCTTTCCTCAAGCAGAATGAGTCTCTTCCTGTGGCCACCACTACCCCAGGCCTGTGATGACTACTGCACGACTACTGCTGATGTTTATTCAAGGCCCAAGGACTACTTAGTCAACAGGTCGTAAATTCTGCCAGGCCTAGGTCTCTCACTTCAGGGCGCAGGTTCCTTCTGTCTGTGGCAGGTGTTGAAATGTCCTCTAGGAGCTGATACCTGGAATTGGTGACTTTAGGAGTCAGCTTCGTGCTTTATTTTACTGTGGCTGAGCTGGTACCCAAGTTACCAAAGTCCCTTTTACTCTTCTTTCCCCTTTCCTCAGCAGAAGAAGTATCTCCCTGTTGCCACCACAGCTGGGAATGTGCTGGGTTACACCTGAAGCTAGCATGGTACTGGGTCTTGCCTAAGGCCTAAGGAAACTGCCACCTGGCTTCTGCTGTTGTTTATTCAAGGCCCAAGCACTCTTTAGTCAGCAGGTGATGAATTCCAGGTCTGGGTCCTTACTTTCAGGGCAATGGGTTTCCTTCTGGGTCCGAGTCACTCTAGAAATGTTGTCGAGAAGCTACGGCCTGGAATGGGGGTTTCAGGACTCTGGTTAGTGTTTTATTTTGCTGTAGCTGAGCTGGTATCGCAGTTGCAAGCCGAGGTCCTCTTTACTCTTCCCTCTCCTCCCAGAGCTTCAAGCTGTGATGCCTGGATTTGGGGGAGGAGTGACACAAGCATTCCCTTGGCTGCCACAGCTGGTGTCTCAGTGGGTTACATGCACCCCAAACCTACTGGCTCTGAGCCCAGCACAGCACCAGGACTTGCTTAGGAATTGCAGCCCTTGTAGCCTAGACTGCCTTTCCAGTTTATTTAGGAGCCCAAAGCACATTAGCCCACAGTGGTGGGGCTAGCCAGAATTCAGGTTCAGACTGCAGAGATGGACAATTCCCTTCTGGCTAGGGCTGGTCTAAATGTTCTCTCTGTGGGTGCTGGCCAAATTCCGCCTTGTGTTGTTTTCTGCTGTGACAGGGCAGCACTGTGTTCCAATGCAAAGTCCCACAATCACTTTTCCTCCTCTAAGCATATAGTTTCTCTGCATCACACTGCACTGCCAGGGGATGGGGGAGGAGTTTTGTCAGCAATTCAAGACTGCTTTCCTGTGCTGTTCATTGCCTCTTTTCTTGGTATGATGTTAAAATCAGGTACTGTGATTACTCGCCTGATTTTTGGTTCTTATGAAGGTGCTTTCTTGTGTGGGCAGTTGTTCAACTTGGTGTTCCTGCGAGTGGGATGATCATTGGAAGGTTCTGTTTGGCCATCTTGCTCCACCTCTGTCTCCCCCACCTTTTTTTTCCTGGAAGACTGAATGTTATTCTGTTATTCTATTTCTATCACAAAACACTTAAGTTGTTTCCATATCTTGGCTATTGTGAATGCTGCAATGAATATAGGAGGGCAGATATCTGTTTGAGGTGTTGATTTTATTTTCTTTGAATGTACACCTGGAAGAGGGATTGATGGATCATATGGTAATTCTATTTTACTTTTTTTGAGAAAAGCTCCATACTGTTTTCCATAATGGCTGTATCAATTTACATTTCTACCAACAGTGTACAAGGCTTCTCTTTTCTCCACACCCTCACCAACATTTACCTTATGTCTTATGTCTGTGGATTGATATCTTATTGTGGTTTTGATTTGCATTTTTCTGATGATGAGCACCTTTTCATATATCTGCTCGTCATTTTTATGTCTTCTTTGGAAAAAATGTAATTTCAAATTATTTGCTCATTTTAAAATTGAGTTATTTGGGGGGTTTTTGCTATTGAGTTGTGTAAGTTCCTTATATATTTTGGAAACCAATCTCTTATGATGAGACATATGATTTTCAAATATTTTCTCCCATCCTGTGGCCTGCCTTTTTTATTGTGTGGATTGTTTCCTTTGCTGTGCAGAAACTTCTTAGTTTCATGTAGGTCTACCTGTTCATTTTTGCTTTCTTGCCTAAGCTTTTGGTTTGATATCTAAAAATATCACCAAGCCCAATGTCAAGGAGATTTTCCTCTTTGTTTTCTTCCAAAAGTTTTGCAATTTTAAATCTTACGTCTATGTCTTAAGCCATTTTGAGTTTGTGTGTGTGTGTGTGTGTGTGTGTGTGTGTGTGTGGTGTAAGATATGGTTCCAGTTTTATTCTTTTGCATGTGGATATTCTACCATTTGTTGAAAAGACTGTTCTTTCCACATGGTATCTTCTTGGTTGCTTTGTCAAAAGTCAGTTGAATGTGTATGTCTGGGCTTATTTCTGGACTTTACACTCTGTTCCATTGATACATGTCTGTTTTTGTGCAAATACCATATGGTTTTGATTACTGTAGTTTTGTAATATAACTTAAAATCCAAGAATTGTGATGCCCCCAACTGTGTTTTTCTTTCTCAAGATTTCCTTGGCTATTTGTGGTCTCTTGTGGTTCCATATGAATTTTAGAATTGTTTTTCTATGTGTATGAAAAATGCCACTGGAATTTTGATAGGGGTTGTGTTGAATCTGTATATTGCTTTGGGTAGTATAGGCATTTTAAGAATATTAATGTTTCCAATCCATGAACATGCGATGTCTTTCCATTTAATTGTGTCTTCTTCAATATTTTTTTAACATTTTATAGTTTTCAGTGTACAGATCTTTTAGTTCTTTGATTAAATTTATTCCTAAGTATTTTATTTATTTTGATGCTATTGTAAATGAGGTTGTTTTCTTGATTTTCTCTCAGATAGATTGTTTTTAGTGTAAAGAAATGCAACTGATTTTTGTGTGTTGATTTTGTATTTTGCTACTTTACTGATTTCATTTAGTCATTCTAATAGTTTCATGCTGTGGATTCTTTAGGGTTTTTACATATAGAATTATGTCATCTATAAACAGGGATACATTTTCTTTTTTCTTCCAATGTGGATGCCTTCTATTTCTTGTCTAATTGCTCTTGCTACTATTTTCAGTATTACATTAAATAGAAGTGATGAGAATGGGTATCTTTTTCTTGTACCAGATCGTAGAAGAAAAGCTTTCAGTTTTCCCCAGTTGATTATGATGTTAATTGTGGACTTTTCATAAATGGCCTTTATTATGTTTAGGGAATTTATGTGAGAGTTTTTATCATAAAAAGGATGTTGATTTTGTCAAATATTTTGTCTGTATCTATTGAGATGATCATGTGTTTTTTTATTTTTTATTCTGCTAATGTGATATATCACATTGATTTATCTGCATTGGTTAAACCACCCTTGCATCCCCAGGATAAATCCCACTTGGTTGGTCATGGTGTATAATCTTTTTGATGTGTCACTGAGTTCCATTTTCTAGTATTTTATTGAGGATTCTGCATGTATATTCATCCAAGATAGTGGCCTGTAGTTGTTTTTTGTTTGTTCTTGTGGTGTCTTTGTCTGGCTTTAATATCAGGGTAGTATTGCCTCATAAAATGCTTTTGGAAATGTTCACTCTATTTCTACTTTTTGGATGCATTTGAGAAGGGTATATACTAGTTTTTTGAATGATTGGAAGAATTCAGATGTGAAGCCATCTTGTCTTCTTTGTTGGGAGATTTTTGATTACTACTTTATTATCTTTATTATTGGTCTGTTCAAGCTTTTTATTTCTTTTTGATTTGGTTTCAGTAGGCTTTATGTTTCTAAGAATTTACCCATTTCCTATAAGTATTCCAATTTGTTGACATATAATTGTTTATAATAGTCACTTGTGATCCTTTTTATTTCTGAGGTCTGTTATAATGTCTTCTCTTTCATTTCTGACTGTATTTATTTGAGTCTTCTCTCTTTTTTTCTTAGTTAGTCTAGCTAGGGGTTTATCAATTTTCTATATTTTTTCAAGAAACCACTTTTAGTTCGATTATTTTTTCTGTCATTTTTGTTTTCTCTATTGATATATTGTTTGTCTCATCTTTATTATTCCTTCTCTCTGCTAACATTGGGTTTAGTCTGTTCTACCTTTTCTAGTCCTTGAGGTCTAAAGTTAGGTTCATTTGAGATCTTTCTTCTTTTTTAATGTAGGCATTTATTGTTATTAATTTCTCTCTTAGTACTGTTTTTGCTGCATCCCATAGGTTTTGCTTTATTTTCTTTTGCCTTGAGATATTTTTAAGATTACCTTTTGATTCCTTCTTTGTTTCAGTGATTATTCAAGGATATGTTATTTAGTTTCTACATATTTGTGGATTTTCTCATTTTATTCCTGCCGCTAATTTCTGGTTTCGTGACATCGTGGTTGGAAGATACTTGGTATAATTTGTCTTCTTAAATGTCTTAAGACTTGTTTTGTGACCTAACATGTAATCTATACTGGAGAATATTCTGTTTGTGCTTGAGAAGAATGTGTATTCTTCTGCTGTTGGGTAAAAAGTTGTGTATATGTCTATTGAGTTCATTTGGTCTGTAGTGTTAAGTTTGTTGTTTATTTTCTGGGTGTTCTATCTATTTTTGAAGGTGGGGTGTTGAAGTTCCATACTATTATTTTATTGCTATCAGTTTCTTCTTTCAGACATGTTAACATATGCTATATATACTTAATTACACTGACAGTGGGTCTATATATATTTATAATTGTTATATTTTCTTGTGTATTGACCTTTTTATTATTATGATACAACTTTCTGTGTACCTAGAGACAGTTTTTGACTTAAAGCCTACTTTGCTCTGAAATAAGTATAGCTACTCCTGCTTTCCTTTGGCTACCATTTGCATGAAATATCTTTTTCCATCCTTTCAATTTCCACTTATACATGTCCTTGAATCTAAATTGAGTTTCTTGTAGACAGCATGCGGTTGGATCTTGCTTATTTTTTGTTGTTGTTGTTATTTGTTTGTTCGTTTTCATTCAACTGCTCTCTATCTTTTCACTGGGGAGTTTAGTTCATTTACATTTAAATAATTATTGCCAAGTAGTATTTACTGTTGTCCTTTTGTTATAGGTTTTCTGTTTGTCTTGAGGTTCTTTTGTCCCTTTCTTTTTTAACTGTCTTTGTTGCATTTTGCTTTTTTTTTTTTTTCATATATTGCTAGGTTTAATTACTTTTCCTTTTGTTTTTGTATAACTTCTTCAGGTATTTTGTTGTGGCTTTCATAGTACTTACATGAAATATTTTATAGTTATAATAGTCTATTTTAAGCTGAGAAAAACTTAATTTTTCCTGCATGTAGGAACTCGCCTTTTATTCTCCCCTTGATTATATGCTACCAATGTCACAATTCTCAGAGGGAATTGATCATATATAGATATTTATTGAGTATATTTGTGGGAGGAGGGAAAGTCATAGACCTCCTATTCCGCCATCTTGCTGGCATCACCATCCTCCTTTTTTGGGTCTTTTATTACTATTATTATTGCAAATGCCTTTTTAATTAATCTAATCTCTTTTGATTCTGTAGAAAAATGTCGTTAAGTTATATAGGGTCCTCTTATCCTTTCTATTAAATGAAGACTTTAGTGTCATAGATTGGGTAAAAGAACAGATCTTCCAAGTAGGAGTTTTCTTAATTAAATAAATGAAATTCTATTACATTAAATGCATACACGTTTACTCAAGTACATCTTTATACAATCCTAACCTCCCTATGTCTCAGACCCTTTGTTAATAAATTGTATGAATTGATTAGTTTAGCTAGAGGCCTTAGCTAGTCATACATAAGATCAATTCACTTTTTCTTGCTCACCCATTAAAGTGGAAACCTTTTTTGCTGCTAAAGAAATGGAGGGTTGGGTTAGTATTTACCTTTGAAAAATCTGATTCTAATTGTTTATCTTTCAAGAAATATTAGTTAATTTCCAAAAAGGAAGTACATCTTGTGTTAAGTGCTGACCTATCTCACTTGAGTAGGTTTTACATGTACCTTCCATAATTTATTGCTTTCTGGCTCCAGTAAGGACCTATTTTACTTTATTTATTATTATTATTTTTTTGCCTTATCTAATTAATCCTCTCTTGAAGAAGAGGTCAAGAGGATGAAGCACTTGTATTTCTTTTGGCCCATGAAGAGCTCAAATTTAAAAAGCCTTGCCATATCCTTCTTAAGGTGATGAATGGTAGTTTAAAATCAGATGGCTCTTCATCTCTGAACTAAACGCATGGGCCTCTGTTTAAAGAATTTCTCACCATATGATCCAGCAATCCCACTTCTTGGTATATATCTGAAGGTTATGAAAGCAGTATGTCAAAGAGATATAAAATATAATTCTATGCTCATTGCATTATTCATAATAGCCAGGATATAAAATCAACAAATATGTTATAAACACACAATGGAATAATATTCAGCCATAAAAATAAAAAAATCTTGTCATTTGCAAAAACACAGATGAATCTGGAGGGCATTATGTTAAGTGAACTAAGCAAGGCACAGAAATACAAGTACTGCATGATCTCACCTATATGCGGAATCTAAAAAGTTGAACTCATTTAAGCAGAGAGTAGACTGGTGGTTACCAGAAACAGGAAGAATATCCTGGTGGACAGGAGGATAGATATATCATGGTGACTGTACTTAATAACAATCTATTGTGTACTTGAAAATTGCTGAGTTGATTTAAGTGTTTTTACCACAAAAAAATGACATATAAGGCAGTGTGTATGTTAATTAGCTTGATTTAGCCATTCCACAATATCTACATATAGCAAGATATGTTTTACGCTATAAATATATACAATTATATTTGTCACTTAAATAAATAAAATAAAATTAGCATCAAAAAGGAGGATAAAATGAAGTATTTCTCCTATGCAGAGAAACAATTTATTTACAAAGCATTAAATTATAAAACAATTCATAATCTTTGCTCATATGGCATAAAATATGAGTCTCACCATGATATTTATTATGCAGATATACTCTCTCTTTTCAGCTTCATTTTTATACTTTCAGTGGGCACCCTGAGCTTTAATAATCATATCAAACAATTGGAGCTCCCCAATTAAGCAATTAAGCTAAACTTTTTTCTGTGTCTTTATGTGTGTGCTGATCACACTGACTTATTTCCCATTCTTTACACTATTTCAAAAACTCTTATCTCTTCTTCAAAATAGCCTGACTCAATTTTTCTGAAGATTTAAATTTAGCCAAATAACATGGGTTTTGGAGTTAGGCAGATCAAAGTTCAAATTCTGCTTCTCCACTTACTGGTTCTATAACCTTGAGCAAGTTACTCAATCACTCTAAGCCTCAGTTTCCCATTTGTAAAGTGGAGACGATATCCTATGGGGTTTAGTGAGATGGAATTTGAAAAGCACCTAATATTGTCATAGCTATTAGTAGTAGTAGTGGTAGTAGTAGTGATAATCTTAACGTTTGATGAAAGAGTGACCGATGAAGAAATTATCAAACTTTACTTGTTATTTCACTTTCCTTCTGTAAACTACATACATCTATAAATTGCAGGCAGAGATTCTTACATAAAACTCTCAAGCTCTTAAAAAGCAGCCCTTTCATGAAACTTCAAGGTACTTCCATTTTAACAGCTCACTTTACTGTTAAATAACTCGAGTTATTTATTTATTTATTTATTTATTTATTTATTTATTTATTTATTTATTTTTGGGACAGAGCCTTGCTCTGTTGCCCAGGCTGGAGTGCAGTGGCGCAATCTTGGCTCACTGCGATCTCTGCCTCCTGGGTTCAAGTGATTCTCCTGCCTCAGCCTCCAGAGTAGCTGAGACTATAGGTATGTGCCACCACACTCAGCTAATTTTTTTGTATTTTTAGTAGAGTGTGAGTTTCACTATGTGGCCCCGGGGTTTGGCTAGGCTGGTTTTGAATTCCTGGGCTCAAGTTATCTGTGCCTCGGCCTCCCAAAGTGCTGGGATTACAGGTGTAAACCACTGCGTCTTGCTGACTTCTTGAGTTGTATTGTCGACTTCTAAATAGTGCAACCTCTAGTTTAATCTCAGGGACTATTAAATGGCCTGTAAATAGCCCATAAACAGATTTAGATTCCAAGTGGGAGGGTGAACATAACACTTTTTAAAATTGCAATAGAATTTTTCTATAAAACAGCTCTGTGACAAAATTAGGAACCATGAACAACAAAATTAATTTTTTTGGGCTGCTAGGGTAAAGGACTTTGGAAAAAACACTAAATATCAGACTCTGAGACATTGTTCTCATATGAATTATGGCTTTTTGCCCAAAATGTGTCTTCTTCAAGGCAGAAAAGGAATCAAAATTTCTTCTCATTTACTTGATAGGACAGTGGTGGCTAATTGCATCTGGCTGCTTGCCAATCATGTGATTGACTGAGTCACAAGGATGTAACATTTCTGTAGGATTTGAAGTCATTTGTCTGTCTTTGTTTTTCCTATCCCCCTTTTCTCCACATGATTAGGAATAAATTAGATATATATGCAATGCATTTGAAAGTATTATTTTTCAAGTTACTACTATGTAAGAAAATAAGGTATATTCTTATATATACTTTCATGCATATAATTTTTTATGTTTTATCTATTAAAAGAGCTTTTATTCATTGGAAATAGCAAGTTCATAAGGAACAGGATTTATTTTTCAATACTTCACATTTTTAATTACAAATGCAACTACTACCTGCTCAATGTTAAGGAATTTAGCCTGTCAAAAGCAGGCAAGTTGGCACTTATCAGATGCAGGTAAAAACTTGAACCTAGACACCAAAATAATATAACTGACAAAATTTCCATGTCTCCTGAACTTGTTCTTTTTAGTGTTCATTAGATATGAAAAATATCATTTTAAAGCAAAGAACTGACTCATACAAAAAAAATAAATTATACATCAGACTCATTGAACACAATTTTTGCTACAAGGAATTTCGCTTAATCGGTATGCAGTTTTCCCCCTAAATTTCTTCCAGATCTTTCCTCTAATTCTTCTTTGCTGTCATTATGGGCTTCAGAGAACTGTTTATTTGCCTAAAGGAAAAAAGCTTATATTCATATCACATTAATTCATTATTTCATTTGGTATGTGTTTTCCAAACTGAGATTAATTTCTTTTACAAACTACAGAAGACGGAGGAATCTGAAGGGGAGAAGAAATAGAAGCTGTGTTGTGTGACTAGCTGAGATTTTTGGCTTAACCTTTGGGAAGTTGAGTTTTCTCATCTTTAAAATATGGATCATAGATTAGGTGATTTTCAAGGGTTCTCCAGCAGCCATTTTCTAAGTCCATTTTTCTAATAGTTCTATCTGTTAATTTAAGCCAACACCACCCTCTCTTTTCTCACATACTCACAAATATCCCTTGGGAGCATTGAAAGTTTTCATTCCTTCTCTTCCCATGATACTGATCCTGTCTTTTAGAGATTTTACATTTGTTTTTCTCACAATTCCAATATCTTCATCCCTTTAGAATACTTGCTCTCATTTAGCTATTTCTGTGCCAAATACTATTTTCTTTACTGTCTGTTGTCTTAACTCGTTCCTTAAATTTTTTTTTTTTTTTTTGAGACGGAGTCTTGCCCTGTCACCTAGGCTGGAGTGCAATGGCGCAATCTCGGCTCACTGCAACCTCTGCCTCCCAGGTAAAGAGATTCTCCTGCCTCAGCCTCTCAAGTAGCTGGGATTACAGGCCTGTGCCACCATGCCCAGCTAATTTTTTGTATCTTTAGTAAAGACGGGGTTTCTCCATGTTGGCCAGGGTGATCTCGAACTCCTGACCTTGTGATCCACCCCCCTCAGCCTCCCAAAGTGCTGGGATTACGGGCTTGAGCCACCGCACCTGGCCCCTTTAAAAAGTTTTCAAAATGTCATTTTAAAAGTATGCTGTACCATTTGATTGAATTTTGATGGTGTACTTTTAAGTAAGTGTTCACGTCTTGATGCAATAGACACCAAAGATAGTAATTTATTTATCTTCTACATGCTTTTGTTAAATTTTCCAGTATTTAATCTCTACAAATATGGATATTGTAAAATTATTTATATTAGTGAGAAATTACATACAAATCTAAGTTGCCAATATGAGAGGAAGAATTAAACTATATGATATTAACCTGATGAAATAGTATGCAGCAATTAGAAAGTATGATTTTTGAGAAGTATGAATATGACAATGTTTGTTTTCTTATTAGTTAGGATCTACTAAGTTGTATTGCATAACAACTGTAAATTATCTGTTGCTTAATGCAATAAAAGTAATTTCTTGCTCATACTACATTTTTAGGATGAGTCAGGACCACGATTATGGACTTCTGTTCCACACAGTCACTCAGAAATCCAGGGTTACATAGATTTTATAGCTGCACAATTTGGGCCACCTAATCTCCTTGCCCACTGTACCTGGGAAGAGAGGAACATGGAGAAGTCAAACCTTCTTTCCTGTACTTTGGCCCAGATGTTACATATGACATCACTTTTGGTTATACCTCTTGGGTCATCACTATTTCTCTTCCTACAGTCCAGGAAGAGAAAGAAGACAGCATGATACTGTGAGTATTAATAGTATAAGCCACAATTGAAGTTTAAAAGAATCAAAATATATAACTGTATGTGCATATATATTCTTATAGACATCAATTAGGGAAAGATATGAAAGATTATAAGATTTCAGAAAGAGATCTGGAATGTTATTTTGTCTATTTAGAATTTTATTATTGCTAATGTTATTTATGTGGCATGTAAACGAGAAAAAAATCGCTAAGCTTTTGAGAAAATGAGGCAGTATGTGCACAACAGAAAGAAGATGAATTTTCAAGTCAGCTCACTTATAAGCAAAAGCTAAACATTGAGTAAGATGGACATAAATATGGGAATAATAGACACTGTGGACTACTAGAGGGTGGGGAGCTGGGTTAAAAAAGCTACTTAGAGAGTACTGTGCTCCCTACCTGGGTGACAGGATTCCTACATCAAATCTCAGCAACACGCAGTATTCCCATGTAACAAAACTGCCCATGTACCCTCTATATCTAAAATAAAAGTTGACATTAAATAAAGAATTTTGATTCAAATCCTGACATTGTTTCATCTTAATTGGGCAAGTTATGCTGTAATACAAGTCATTTAACCTTTTTAAATTAAGCTCCTGATTCTTCATCTTTGAAGTGGGGATCAAAATATTTAGATTCTAGAGCTCTTGGGAGGATTAAATAAGATAAAGTATGTTTATTTCACTAACACTAATATAGAACTCCCAGATAGCATTATAACCGTATTAGCAACATGTAACTCATTTACTCTTCATAACCATAATATCCAAGTAAGTAACATAATCCCAATTTTGTACATAAGGAAATTGAGGCACAAAGAACTTGCTTAAAATCACGTGGCTAAATAAGTAAGTGTCAGAACTGGATGTGAACCTTGGCGGTCTGGTTTCAGAGCTTTTCTTACTACCACTCTACTGCCTCTTATAAATCTAAGCTTAGTGCCAATTGAAAGTATGAATTCAATACATGGGAACTATTTGTAGCTACAATGCTAACTACAAATTAGTTTTAGCTGTTTCTATCATATGCTAAGTAGAGGAGATCAGGTTAATTACATATATTTTCAATAAATGAAGTTCTTCTAAATAGAAAAAATTCCATCATCTCAATTACATACAAACTTAACCCAAAGAATAAATAATTTTTGGTCTTGTGAAGAGAATAAATAATGTAGGAAGTTTAAGAAGTTATTAATCAAGAATCCTACGTATATTTTTACTCACCCATTTTCTATTCCCTCATGTCTCATTTCAAATCTGATTTCATTTTTTCCACGTTATTTTTATTTCCTCTTCTATATCTTTTGAAATTTGAGATATTTTTAGTATTTGTATAATTAAGAAAGTTATTTTGCTTAAAATTGCAATGAAATGTAGTGTCATTATTTTAGTAAATTACATGTATACTAATAGTTCTACTACTTTTTAAGTTATATGATAAAACATATCACTAATAAATAATCATTGAGGTTAAAGAACAATCCTGATTAGAGCTGTTACTTTGCTTTTTAAATTAATTATGTAAACACTACAGTTTTCATAACTTATACCTGAAATACAGTATTTTTTCCACTGCTTGTTTTCACTTATCATTGAAGTTCATCTCCTCATGTTTTATTTATCTCCCTCCTTATATAAAAAAATCTTGAAGTTTCCCAATTTGTTGAATCCATAAGCGTTTCAAATATTATTTTATTATTTCCACTCTGCTTTGATTTGTTGGTTTTACTTGTATCAGGAAACTTCTTTCCATCTTCATTTTGAAATTATTGACTGTTCAAATCTAATTTACCTGTAAATCATTAAACTAACAGACACTTTTGGCTTATGTAGGTCAACTCAGAACTGTCCTAATTAATGATAAGAAGGCTGAACACTGTGTAGTATTCTGATATTGTAGATTATTACAAACTTACAAAGGGCAACATTTTATTAATGATGGAGAGTGTAGAACTTGCTAATTGCATTTAAAAATATATGCATCTATCCTCATCCCCTTCTTACAATTGACATTTATGTCTCCTACCAGTCCATAGTATGTAAACTTTGTCAGGAATGGAGAAGGATACTGATATTTGGGAGCATTACAAATGATATGATCTTAGGTTGAAGCAAAGATAGGTACTTGAATACAAACCAAAATATGACCCTTACTTTCATCTAGAAAACAACTTAATTTAAAATTTCAAGTATTTTACAAATAAAAAGGATCTAACAATCATAAATTTGATTTTAAACTCATTTTATTTTATTTAGGTCCATCAATTTATTGGCTCAGCATTTCATCTTCCACCTTAGATATCCCTTCTGGGATCATTTTATTTCTTCTTGAAGCGTATACTTAGAAATTTCTTTAACAAGGGTGTCTTGGTTGGAAATTTTCTCAGTTTCTGTTTTATCAAGTGTCTTTCCCCAGCTTTATTGAAGTATAATTGACAAATAAAAACTGTGTATATTCAAGGTGTACAGTGATGATTTGATATACATTGTATAATGATTACCACAATCAAGTTAATCAATACATCCATCAGCATACATAGTTACGTGTGTGTGTTGTGTGTGGTGCGAACACTTAAGACCTACTGTCTTAACAAATTTCAAGTAAACAATACAATATTATTAACTATAGTCATCATGCTCCACATTAGGTCCCCAAAACTTATTCATCTTATAACTGAAAGTTTGTACATTTTGACCAATATCTCCCCATTTCTGCATGCTCCTCAGTCCCTGGCAACCAACCTTCTACACTCTGCTTATATGATTTTGACTTTTATTTAAGATTCTACATATAGGTGAGATCATATAGTACTTGTTTTTCTGTGTCTGGCTTATTTCACTTAGCGTAATGTATATCTGTTGATCATTTTTATGTCATCTTTGGAAAAATGTTTACTCAGGTCCTATGCTCATTTTAAAATTAAGTTCTTTAAAAAAAATTTTGCTATTGAGTTGTATTAGTTTCTTATATTTTTTGGATACTAACCCCTTACTCCTTACCAGATACATGGTTTGCAAATATTTTTTCCCATCCTATAGGTTGCCTTTTCATTTTGCTGATTGTTTCCTTTGCTGTGCAGATTAAATGTCTTTCTTGAATGATAGCTTAGCTAGGCATATACTTCTAGAGTAACAAAAATTTTTCCTAGAGTAACAAAAAAATACAGATATTATTTTATTGTCTTGTTTCTTCTGTTTTGTTATTTTGTCATTTCTTTGTAGGTGGCTTTTTTCCTGGATGCTTTAAAAATGTCTCATTCTACTGTTTCAAATAATGTGTGTGGGCATGAATTTTCTTTCACTTTTCTTGTTATGATTCCTGAATCTGAGGATTCATGTCCTCTATCAATTCTGGAAAGTTCTTACATATTATTTTAAAATAGCACTCCTTCACTATCCATTCTTACCTTATGCAATTTCAGTTTCTCATGTTAACCTCCATCTCTTTAGTTATTTCTTTTGAATTTTTTATATTTTTGTAATTCTGTGCTATGTTCTGTGTAATTTCTTTAGATCTTTTTCCTGGTTCCCTTATTCTTATATCATCTTTCCAGTTAACTGTTTTGCCCATCCATGGAATTTGCAATTTTAAGAATTATATACAAATACATATATACATATAATTTCTCAAAGTTCTACTTTTTTACATCAGGATTTTCAATCCTGTCCCAGGGTTTGAGAGAAGTTTTCTTTCCAGGCATTGAGATTTTAAGGAGAACCAAATCACTAGCTTGGCAGTTTAGCAGCAAATCTGTCTTGCTCTGGGTCCTGCTCATGTCTTTCTCCCTTTTTCAAATAACTCAGCTCTTGTTTTGATACTTATGACTAAACTATCACTTTTCCCCCTTGTCAGCCCAGCAAAGATTCATTTATCTTTTAAAAATCAGCTCAAGTGTCTCTTTCAGTGGAGCCTTTACTGACATTATCTGAAAAAACTAACAATCTTTATGATTGAGTGTCACTTATTGTATTTCCTTCATAATACCATTGTATTACTGCACTCATATCAAGTCTATAATCTCTCTGAGGATGGAACCGTGTCCTAATGGTTTTTGTGGCCCCAATAGTACATAAGAATATATCAATGGATACGTGGATAAAGAGAATGTGGTATATATATAACATACATAGGTATGTATCTATACACACACACCCCACACACACACCACATGCACACACGCAGCCACATTCCTGAGCCATATAAAAGAAGGAAATCCTGCAATATATAAATAATATTAAAAACAATAATAACAAACATTTATTGAAAACCTACTACATGCCAGGCAAATTCATACATTTTACATGTGTTAATGTCACTCAAGACAGAGAGATTACATAAAATACACAAAGTCACATAGCTAGAAATTTATTAAAACAAGACTTGCATCTAGATGTTATGTGGCTGCACACACATACAAACTGTTAGTCTCTATATAGCACTGGCTTTCTGATGCCTTCCAGAATGGGAGAATCGGCAACAGAGAGATAGGATACGCTAGAAAGAACGAGGACTTGGGCATCAAACTCAAGGAGTATGTGGCAGATGCTTAGGGAAGGACACAGCAGGACAAATAAATGAAGGCCTGCAAGACAGATGGAGCCTTGTGATAAGGCATTTATGAGCAAATTAACATGAAGAGAGTAAACATGGCATGGACAGGAATATCCTGTCCATGTTCCAATAAGGAAATCTAGTGGCAGTTAATATCAGGTTCTGGGTACAAAATTGGATTCATAGGCAGAATGGAGGCTCCAGAAGGACCCTCAAGAACAAGTCAGGAATCAAATATAGAATTAAAAACAAGCAAACCAGCAGGCAAAAATGCAGGTTTCGCTACCCTTTAAAATACTTTTGACTAATTAAAACTTTTCTTAACTTCTCAGATACCTTTTATCCTTTAACTAGTAGATGTTAGGCCCACTAGGAGAGATAGTATTCCTTAGGTCACAGCAACCGTCAGAAGTATAACACTATATGTTGTGATGGACTTAATCCTGAACCAAAAGGAGCTCCAGCATTGGAGGACTTTCACCTCTGAAACTTTGAACCCTGAACCTGACCCTGGGCTATTTCATTTCAACAGACCAGACCCTCCCTGACCTAACTGTGTGGTCCCTCAACTGGTCTTTCCATTTTGGATTGGTGGAGTTTTCCAAGTAAATTAAACACTATTCCTACATTAGAGGATTTTACCCTCCAATTCTTATTCTCAGTTCTATTTTTTCTTGTATGTATAAAGATGAAACAACACAATTGCTTTGCGTAAATAAATGAAACCTAATTTGGTTGGTTGGTATGCCAACACCCCAATTAGATACTTTAGAAAGGGACTTAAATGCTTCTTTAATAAAAATATGTAAGGAAAGAGAGAGTGATTTATTGGACTAACTTAGAAGAAATATATTTTATATGATTTACTTAATGCAGTAGATGAAACAGATTTAACTTGTATTATCATGAGATGGTATAGTCTATGTCATAGAATAAATATGAGTTTAAAAACCTAATTTCAAAGTAATATTCCAATAAATTTTATGGCACTATAATATATGTGGTGAAATTAAAAGTTAGGTTTGACTTATGCTTAGATTTCAATTCAGTTAGTATTTAAATTCTTGTAACACAGCAGTCTCCGAGCTGATACTCGTTTATATATTGCCCTATTTAAAGCAGTATGATACAATTAGACCTGAAGCAGTTGAGTCTTTCATATTTGTATTGCACTTTAACTTCCATGGTAATGAACAAATGGAATGACTCTAGGGTAAATAATGGATGCATATGTTGAATTTTAGCATTAAATCTAAATGTTAATTTTCAATTTTCTTAATTTTGTAATGTAACATAAAAGTAATAAGATGAATAAGAAAACTAATAAGTTAAAATCTTGCATCCATTATTTAATGAAACAGTAGTGAAACATTATTAAATCTGATCGTGAAAGTAATATGGTACGTGAGATGTTACAAGTTTGGAAAATTCATGTTTTAACATAGTGAAATGAGTAAAATCAACCTTTGTTTTCTATGAAGTATTTTAACGTTAATGAGAATTGAAAAGTTTGAAACCTTTGAAAATGAAAAACACTTAAAAAACTAGCTCTTAGGTCATGTTTATAAAATATATGTGTCCATATATTTTTACTGCTCCTTAAATTAATATCAGAAAATGTTTTATTTATATTAATGAAGATACTAACCCATAGATTGAGAGAGACCATACATTCCTTGAGTTATGAGAAAACTTCTTTGAAAGTGTTCCATACTTACATTTTATTAGTTATTCTTTTTTACTTCTTTTCACACATCCAGAAGTTTATTTTTATACCCTCTTTTTTATTTTGGGCAGAAATTAAACTTTTTTGAATTAATCATTCTGTTGAGCAATTTTTTATGATCCAGAGTTTCTTCCCTACCATTTTCTACTCTACCCTTTATTTGGCAATATTTTTTTGAAAGATGTTTCTTACTCAAAGTCGTGTACGTAGGTTGCCATCCTAATTACATGTCCATTTCCACACAATTTGGAGCCATGGAGTTTTAGTCATTAAAATAAACATGACACATGTGTATAGGTCAGAGTCACAGCAAGAAACACATGGTCACTCAAAAGGGGTGATAAAGAAAGTTTAATGAACGGACTATTTATAAAGGTGTGGGCATATAAGAAATAAAAAATACGTATAAAGATGTGGGCAGGATAAAGGGAAATCAACTAGGGTTCATGAAATCTTGGAGACCTGCAACAACAGGAATCTAGTACTACCCCTAGGCCTAAAGGAATGAGGTGTGGGAGCAGTTAATAAAAATTGGCAAGAGCTATAGCTATAAAGGAGTCATAGGACAAGAGCTCTGGTCTATGAGAGAGGAATGCAGCCACTGCCATACTATGGCCTAACAGGGGCTATGCCTCTCTTCTCCCAGGGTCCAACCCTCTGGCATGGTCTCTTCATGGCTGAACTTAACCAGAAGGTGGAAGGCAAAGAATCTGGTGATGTAGTTTATAAAGAGAGAGCATGGGGAAAAGAGTGCTAAGCAGATTTATAAGGGTTAATAGAGGATATATGGTACATCATACTGTCGTAATAGCTAATAAAAAGGCAGAAATGGTGGTTGCTTTTTAAAAATGATATGATAAATAAAGCAGGGAGATACAACCTTATGAAGGGGAATTTGGACCATCTGGCAGAATGGCAGATTCATCTAATCTTTGACATGGCAATCCCACTTCTAGGAATCTATCTCAAAAAATAAACTGGCAAAAATATAAAGTGATATATGTACAAGGTTATCCATTGCCAATAATTATAATAGTAAAAGAGTGGTGGCTATTCAAATGCCTCTCAATAGGAGACTGGTTGACTGAATTATGGCGCATCCATACCATGGAGTGTTATACAGCTATAAAATGAATAAGAAGGATCTCTACATACTGTAAAATAATTTCCAGGATATATTGTTAAGTAAGAAAAGCAAGACACAAGAAAGTGTTTCTAGCATGCTATCTTTTTTTAAAGAAAGGAGAATATATTAACATATAAATATAATTGCTTAGATTATCAAGTGGTAATAGTGGAAGGCTAAATAAAAAATCAATGAAAGTGGAGGTTTATTGGGAGAGGAAAGGAACAGAGTAGAATGACAGGGTTAGAAGTAGTTGAAGAAAGAATTCAGAATTGAAAATAAACTGCTTTGTCCTCTATTCATTCTAGAATGCAAAAAGAATTACTAAAAGGCTTACAAAATGGATATAACATATTTGAATTTTATAGCTCATGGCATTATTGTTAGTTTTATTTTGTAAAACTGGGAAAAACATATTTTGTTCAGACCATGGGCAAGAGTTACAGTAAATCAGAATAATGTATTTTTTTAACATATTCATAAAGAGATTAATGATATTCACAAACAATTCCAGAAGAAATAGTTGATATTTTTATGTGAACATTGTAACAATGAAATGCGGTGGCCCATATTAGCTGCTCTTCCATGAGGAAATGCACTGGTTCAGATGTGAAAGTTGAGCTAGAAACCTTTTTTTGCTATTGCTCTCTAATATTTGCTTAGTAAAATGTAACAATAAAAAAATTCTTCCGTTCCTAAACTTAGCACAACTGACACTTCTAAAATGGGAAAATGTTAACTTGAAAAGTAATGAATTATAGTTTGTTCATTTGATTAGAAGCCTATGTAAATGGACTTAAGGTGTGATTTCTGTCGGATTAGTTACTGTTACTCTGTTCCAGGGCAATAGTCTTTACCAGTGCTTTTCAACTTGCAAGTGAAAACCTATTAAGTCTTGAAATAAATTTAACAGTTAGTGATGAGTATTTTCAAATGGAGTAGAATACCATAGAGTAGAAAATATTGGGGTGCATTGTTAATAGTAAGTATTGGTTTGTGAAATTTTTGTTTTGTTTACACATATATAAGTATGTGACTATGTTGAGATATAAAATGTATTTCTCACTATGGGTCATGCCCAAAAAAATTTTAAAACACTGTCCTATATTACTTACCGGAATTGATTATCTTATAAATGTTTATCCAATGGGGCTGGGCGTGGTGGCTCACGCCTGTAATCTTAGCACTTTGGGAAGCCAAGATAGGCGGATCACCTGAGGTCAGGAGTTCAAGACCAGGTTGGCCAATGTGGCAAAACCCCGTTTCTACTAAAAATGGAAAAATTAGCCGGGCATGGTGGTGCATGCCTCTAAGCCCAGTTACTCAGGAGGCTGAGGCAGGAGAATTGGTTGAACCCAGGAACCCAGGAGGCAGAGGTTGCAGTGAGCTGAGATCATGCCACTGTACTCCAGCCTGAGTGACAGAGCAAGACTCAAAAAAAAAAAAAAAAAGTGTATCCTGATGGTGTACAAGGGTAGATTGTATTAAGGGGCAATGCAATATGTTTATGTGTTTTCTTCCTTACACAGTGCTAAAATTTGCTCCTAAATGAGCAAATACATGTGGAAATTAGGATGCATTAATGTGTTTGATGTTCAATGAATCTAGAGAGTAACTCAGTACAAAATGAAATGAAAATTTATCTTACTATGTGTTTGGGGTAACCAAAAGGCTGGCACCTGGTGCTGTATGTCCCTCTGCATTCCCTTCATCATACCCCATGTTTACTTGCTCTTGGTAACAAGGAGGAAGGGAAATGCTCTATTAAAAAGTTTTGAATAATATTGAAATGATCTTTCAAACTGTAACAAAAGTAGAGGACTTTTAGTACATGTATTAGTATTAATTTGTATCTTGGGATTTTTGTTTGCCTAAAAGAGTATACATTGGATTTTTCTGTGAAGCATCCAGTGAGTATTTAAAAGGCGTACTGTATATGAAGCTTCAAAATGAGACACTTACATTGAATTACTTTCATATTCTAGCTTCTCATATTTTTCTTTCAAATAAACATTACAATTCAGTCATTTTTACTTGCAACTTGTATAGGAATTAAATAATCAACTATTTCTTATTTAGATTCTACTGCTTCTGCTGTAAAATTTCACTCTCAGTATCTTTCCAACTATTTAATGGAATTGTGTTTTGGTTGAGGATAGCATAGGTGCCTTATATAAATAAAGAGAAAAATTATTTGTATAAATTAAAAATTGATTCAGGTTCTTGAAATAAAAATTAAACGTTTCACTGCTTAGGGGAAAACATCTTCTGGCCTTTTACACAAAGCTTTCCATTTTGCAGTTGTTTTTAAGAGACTGCCATTGTAAGACACAGTGGAATAGTGCTTGTTTTGACCTTTGAACATGGATACATGACTTAGCTTTTGGCATTCTGCCTAACAGCACCTCAGAGGGCAGAGATTCATTCTAATGTGACATATATTTGACTATGTCTTGCAAAAATAATAAATTTGCTTTGTAAATATATCAATAACAGAGTCTTAATAGGCTTCAACTTGTATTTCTCTGGTTTGGGAAAATTATATATACCCCATTTTTAGTTTTTTTTTTCTGTTGCTTTTATTGCTCTAACCAAGTCATTTTAAAAACTACTGAAGAGCAAAGCAATGGCTGTGAATCCTGTTTTATTTTCATTTTTAAAAATTTTTTTCCATTCATACATTTCTTTAACTCTGATTGCAAACACTTAGCCCTGATCTGTCTCAGCATATGTTGTCAGAAAGATATAAGACCACAGGCTAAAAAACATATCTTTCCACTATGTATTTTGCTATGTGTGATGCACAGGAGAGCTGACCTCCTTTGTTGAAATGTATCTATAATCCTTTACCTGAAAGTACTGATTTGTAAAACATGGAGGCAAAAATCTTTATCAAGGTTATGTTAAAGAATTAAGAAGCATATATATATATATATATATATATATATATATATATATATATATATGTGTGTGTGTGTGTGTGTGTGTGTTTTATTTATATATATGTGTGTGTGTGTGTGTGTGTGTGTATATATATATACACATATATATATATATACACATATATATATATATATATATTCAGGCTTTTTCACAGACATGAGCATTTTTAAACTTTATTCGGTATAAAACATAATGTGTGTTAGTTGTACTTATCCATACTTCAGACACCTGACTATAACTTCTTGTGTTTTAACACTGCTATTTATGCCATCCTCATAAGTAGTTAGGAAAACACTTAACCATATACCTCACACCTCATTTACCAGTTCAGTATCTAACTCCCTGAACTCCTTTCTAAGACAGCAGTAAACTAATCAGAAAAGCTAAGTGGAAACAGATTGTTAATGTCTAAGAATGGTGGAACTTGCTATACTCTGCTCTTATGGGGGTTTTAATTGTTTTTAATGTGTTATCCAAAGGAAGCAGAAAATATTGTGATATTTTTCTCTTACAATCCTTTGCCTTGGTCATCTGAAATTAAAACTGGTGGGAATAGTTATCTGTTCTGATTATCCACAAAAAGGCCCTGATAATGTCAACTAAAATATCATTCTTGAAAAGGATTTGGAATTTTCATGCTTCTCAATGTCTCAACTTCTTCATTTACTTGCTCTGTTACCATTGGAAGATGATATCGCCTCTCAGTTTGCCCCCCAAAACAAGGCCACCTAGTAGAAGGTTCCTCACCTACAATTTTCTTTGTTTGTTCAGAACATCTCTGAATACATAACAACCCTTCCAATCTTCCCCCAAAACCTCAGAAAAAAGGTGTCCCTATCTTTAATGCTAGTAGCTTAGTCCTTAGATCAGAGTCATATTCTTTTTTAGCACCTGGGCTAGGGGGAATTTTTATTTACTTCTTTCCTAGCATCTTAGTCTCTTCTATATTGACACCTTTCCTTTAGCCTTCAGATAGGCAAAGGTCTAACTGACTTGAAAAGAAAACAAATACTCTGATTTTGAAGACTCCCCAATTATAATCTATTTTTCTTTCAATTATTCATTCTTGAACTGAGGAAATAGCCACCAGATGTGTTCAGAAACCCACTGGATCCACAGTGAGACAGATTTCAGCCAGAACCTCATTGACTACCTGACATCCATAAGTCCCTACTCTGGCTGCTGAGCCTGAGTGACATTTTCAGTCTGTTCGGAATAGTGTCAGTTCAGAGACAGTGTCCAGTTATTTTCCCCAAAGTCCGATTATTTTCTTTTCCCCAGTGCACACTCATTCTGGTAAAAGATGGTAGGTCTCTTTGGGGAAGGCTGTAAGAAAGACTACAAATTTTTGGCAATGTAGCAAGATCCTTTCTCTAGTGGATCTGGCCTCTCCTTCATTCAAGAGGTTCTGGGTCTGTAAATTGGCTCAAGTACGGACATTTATAGAAAGACCATGACTCTTCTTATGATTCAAGTTAGACTTGTTTACTGACCTAGAACCTGACCTTTTTTCTTCTACAGATCATATAAGAATTTAGTAGACTTCCCATCTATTTCACTTCTAGTGACACCTTGATCAACTAACCAATACCATAGGTCTCTGAATCAGACTATTCTGATTACTGTTTTTACTACTGTTTATATGGTAACTACACCCATCTTTAGTGATTATGTGCTGTCTTTTGGCCCCTGTCCTGCCTGGGATCTAATTATCCGATTCCATTTTAGGATTCCAGTTTGATGACAGCAGTTCCCTTGTAATACCTGACCCACAGAGGAAAGAGACCATAGAGCTCTTCAAGGATGCTAGGGTTCCTATCACAAATTCGTTTCCCATAGTCATGGTGAAAGATGCATCTTCTGGGCCCTCCTGGTATGGGCGAGCAGGCCTTAAATTATAAATCTACTCTAACATTTCAGTTTTCCTAAGCCTTTATATACTTTCCTCTACAGTGTAACAAAGCAGTTCTGGAATTTCAACTTCATTTAGTATAGCCCATTTTTTTGGTTCTTGTTTTAGCCGACTAACCAAACTGTTAGAGCCCTTTCTAACCCCTTGAGTGACGACATTACATCTAGAATCTCTGCTTAGCGGGCCCATATCAATAAAGTCAGCCTGAGCCAATGTTATATTCCTTCCATTGTTACCTCAACACCCTTAATATCCATTCCCACATATGTTTCCTGTATTTCTGTCTGTATAAATTGGAAACATCTTGCAGTTATTTGGAATGTAGCTCAACTCCTTGTGGGTCACATTTTGTACCTCACCTTTCAAGGCCTACTGGAACTTAAGTCTAGTCAAAGATCTAAAAGCAAAGATATGCAGTGGGGGGTAAGCTAATGAGAATCAGCAGCGCTTTGCAAGGCAAGAACTATATCCTCTTTCCTCATTTCTTCATGATAGATCACCTCATTAGTTTTGCTTGATTAGATTTTGACTTTAGCATTTTCCTTATATGTTCCCCTCAGAAGGTTACCAATGATCATGTAGTCCAAGTTCAACAACATTGGAAAATAATTTTGCATCATTTTTAAAAATGTCTATATGTTGTTTGACATTATTGATTCTTCTTTCATTTCTCTTCTCCTTACTGTAATTCTTCATGTGCGCTATTTATAAGAATTCTCCAAGATTGAGATATTGAAATTTTTCCTCCCCCTCTCTCTGTTCTTTCCATGCTCTTAAATTAACAGTAATTTCTTTCTTTTCTGGATTCCCATGACTCTTGTATTCACTACTACATATTATGGCACTCTGTCAAAAGATTTCTTCCTTAATGGAAGAAAGGCAGGTCCCCAATGTCTGATGCTCCAATGTAGTTGCTGGATAGAAGAAAAAAATGTTTTTACATTTTAAATTTAATTTTTTAAAAAATTTCTTTTCAACATACTCTGGCTTTCAAAGAGGAAACAAAAACCTTTTTTCTACTAGTCATATACTGGAATAGACAGGAATAGATCTTGGAAGCTTCATTCACCTTTAGTATATCTTTTTATTTCACCTTTTGTGCTCAGTGTTCACTTTTAAGGTAATTTTTATAGAGGTGTGCACAGCTAGATAAAAGTTGGAAATATAATAGTTTACATTTTATTTCTTTCAGAATTTTGTATTTTGTCTATTCCTGCATTGTCAAAATAGATTATACTCAGCCCCCCTGCCATTATTTTTTGAGTACCAAATTAGTGGCTGTATTATTTTGAGCATGTGTTTAGTACTCAGAAGACATAGTCTCTATCCACTCATTCTAAATTGGCAAAAATATAGAGAGACACTAGAAGGTTTAATGCACATGATCATAATTTACTCTTTAGTTTCAATAAAATGCATTATACTGAAGCAAAGTAATTAGAGTTGCCTTTTATCTAATAATTGCTACTAATTGCTTTCAAGAGATTAGATCCCCCAATCCCATTTTTAATGACAGTGGAATTATTTTACCCTGCCATAGCATTAGTGGTGTTAATACTAATGATTTTCATATTTTCCTTGCATAGTTCAAAATGTCATCTTGTTAACAAGAATTCTTTATCAAGGATAAAAATGCATTTTACTAAATTGATAGAATAACTATTTTTTTTTGTTTTTCATCTCACTGACAAATGGTGCCAACTGGAATGTTTGACTGCCTCCAATGTTATAAAAAACCAGATGATATTTCTTCAAATATGTGGTCAAATTTATTTTACTCTTCTTTTTAAGCCAACACTTACTAATCAAATAGACTACTCATGAACAACTAGATTTAAATGACTGAATTAAGCCTTGAAATATTAAATTATATCAAGGTTTGTTTTTTGAAATTGAGATAATATGTGTGTTATCATTTAATCTTCCTTATCCTCATTTAACAGAGAAATGATGAAGAAGCAGTTGTGGATAGAGGTGGAACTCGTTCTATTCTCAAAACACACTTTGAGAAAGAAGATTTAGAAGGTAAGACCATTTTTCTTGGGATAGCTATTGGTGTGCTTTCCAAAAGTATTTCACAGATAAATGTAGTTTGTCACATTGTGAAGAATTGCAAAAGTTGGTATCAGAGTAATGGTAGCTTACTGGGGAGGGGTACATCTGATTGTTTTGGTACAGTTTGGAATGTCAATAGGCAGACCTGAAATCAATGAGAAGCATCAGTTCATCCAACAGACATTTATTGAATCCCTACTGTATTCCAAGCACTGTACTGTGTGTCAATCTTTCAATAATCCTTGCTTCATGTAATTACAATCAATTGAGACATGATGACAGATCAGCATATCAAGTGCTGTGTGAGAGGTGAATGTAGGACAGGAGGGGGAGGGGCATCTAACTCAGCCTATGTTGTCAGAGGTATAGTCACCATTTTTGTGTGTTCTCTTTAATGGGAAGAAGGATGCCTAATTCAACAGGGAGGTAGTATGGCCCGGTGGTTAACTGTATGGGTTCTGAAACCAGACTGCAGTGGATTCAAATACCAGTGCTGCCCCTTATTTGTCATAGGAACTTCAGCCAGTTACTTACCTTTTCTGAACCTCAGGGTCCTGAACTATTAAAGCAAGGATAATAATGGAATATATTTCATAGTTTTTCTATGAGAATTAAGGGAAAATTACTTAGAATAGTACCTGGCCAAAGAGTTGTGTAAATACTGTCAATTATTGTTATACCAACATTTAGTGTACATACAGGATTAGCTAATTGTTACTAATGAGAAATTGTTACTAATGAGATACAAGGTATAGTATTTGTCATCTTTTGATTGAAAAGTAAAAGCAAGGTGATCTTAAGTACAAGTCATCAGAGAGAGCTCCCAATAAACCACTGAGTTGAGAGGTAAGGGTTTTTTCATTTTAAACTTTGTAATGTAACCATTTACAGTACAATTAAATTAATTGCTCTTGGATCTTATCTTTAGTCACAACACTGACATAACAGGAGAATTACTATAATATTTAGAAACAACTCTCAACAACTATACCGACTCTTGCCTGACATTTTGCTTGTTGCACAAACATACTCAGATCTAAGAAGGTTATGCTTACTGGGGGGGCCTATTGATTTCCTATGCTATCCACATTCATTACATAAATTTAAGGGAGCAAAACCTTGAAAAATCTAGACTGGTAATGGATAACATAAAAATAATTTATCTTTGAGTTCGAAATGCCATTACATTTTTTAAAACAACATATTTACCTTCCTATTTATGTCATGCTATGACAAGCTATCCTTATATTTACTAAACACACACCAAGAAAACTAACAAAGCAAGATGGTAGCCTAGAAATATACTCAATTCCAAGAAAAAATCATCTTGATTTTAAAGATGGTGAATGGTCCTTTTTATTGGAAAATACTTAATAAAAAATAGCATTTACTGAGATCATTTTAATTGTTATACCTACATATATTACATATGCTTTGTTTGGCATAGTTAAGAAATACAGACAATGGTGTGCAATGCTTACTAAAAGAGATTTCTGATTGGTAGAGCACAACTGGATTAGCCAGATTTTGTTCTATTTACTGATTTCAATTATGGGTAATTGAATCCAATAAGCTAATAACAGTGATTAAGTCATTGGTGATTAAAATTAACTATAGAATGCAAATTAACATTGAATTTTACAATTTTGAAGGAAAACAGGAAAAAAATCTGGTTTATATTGACGTTCTAATATTTGTGTTACACACAGCCCATACTAAATAAACAATCTAGCATTTGAAGATGCTATTGAGGGTTCTGTTGTGATGCATGCAAAAATTTAATAGATCTACTAGTTGTTCTGGATCCATTAGCCAGAGTCAGGAAATAGTGAAAGAGTGAAGTGATGGGTATTGTAGTTCAGCAAGAATCAGCTGGCAGCAGAATATCACATGATTTTAAGTGGGAGAGCACCAAGGAGAAAGGTAGCATTATTGAGATAATGACTATGGTAATTCATCTTCTGTTTGGTGTTACTATAACAGAATACCACAGACTGGATAATTTATAAAGAAAAGAAATTGATATCTAACAGCTCCAGAGACTGGGAAGTCCACGATTGGGAGGTCCATATCTGGTGAGGACCTTTGTGCTGTATCATTCCCATGGTGGAGGATGGAAGGATGAGAGCAGGGAGTGAGATTGAACTCACAGTCTCAAGCCTTTTGATAATCCACATTAATCCATCCATTCCTGACAGTGGAGCTCTCATGACCTAAATACTTCCCATTGGGCCCCACCTCACAAATTGTTGCACCAGGGATTAAATTTCCAACACACGCCTTTTGGGAACACATTCAAATTGTAGTATCCTCCTTTTTTGCAATTTAAAGGAAAAGAACAAAACTCCAAAGAGCTTCTTTATTAAGGCAGCTAATACACAATAAATATTTTAAATACAATGGAGTTGGGAATTGCTATTACAGATAAACGCGTTTAAAAAAATAAACTCTTAAAATTTTACATTTGAAAATGAGTGTTTCTCAGGAGTTATGTGTATATATTTATTTAATGAAATTACTGGTGTAATGTAACATTCTGAGTACAGGTTGTAGAAATGCCAGATGTTTAAAAATATCTGTAAAGTCTCAGGTGCAATATATTTAATGGGAAATGATCCCCTGCTCAATAACAACAGGTTGGTATATTAGTTAATTTCTTCATATGTGTATTATACATTCTGCTAAATGATATATCAAATGTATAATTTTCTCTCTCTAAATCTGTTTATGTATATCTTGTACAATTTTATGTCTTTTCCTCCTATTAAAATAGAAAGAAAACTATCTTACTAGATTCTTCTATTAACCTCCTATTTTTGTAAATCATGCGGTCGGTACATTCTTTCAATCTATCTCAGTGGTGTCTCTACTCATCTCCTCTCCCTTCCATTCCCACTGCCACTGCTCTACTTCCCTCTCTCTCCTATGTACTGTGGACTGAGTCTTTCCCATTATACAGCCTCCTTAATACTGCCAGAGTGTTCTTTCTAAGCCTACTTCTGTTTCCTGCAATAAAAACGGTGAAGGGTATTGAATCTCTGTAATTAGACAACTTCAGGATTCTGAGTAAAGCAAAAATTCTTGAGGTTAAGCAATTTCTGTTTTTGGCCTCCCACATCAATGTGAGATGAGTACTATCTAAGTATAAGATTATAAAATGGGAAATACATTAATACCCTTAAAATTATTTCTTCTACTTTCCCTTTAACACATGTCAGATAAAACATAAGATGCCCAGATAAATTTGAATTTCAGGCAAATAATAAACAACTTTTTAGTATAGGTACATCCCATGCAATATTTTTATTTATTATTTTTTATTTGCTAAATCTGGAAACCTTAGTAGTGGATGTTACAGTGAACCACCAATATTCCCCTTTGAGGACTGAGGTATTTATTTCCTCAGTTGCCAGAGGTGTTGCCTGCTTGATGGCTTATACCTACGTTCCTCCCCAAGAATTACCTTCAGCTGAAAGGAGCTGCCTCTTGCCTATAGGAGCTGCCTCCCCTGTGGTTTTACTGAATGAGTACAACTCAATGAGTACATGACCCTGTAGTCAATGAAGGCTTACAAAAGCCTAGCCCCCTTGCCTCAATATGAGACAACTGTGAAGGGCTAGCCTAGCATCAGAGTTCCATGTGGAATCAGTTGAGACGTCTACTGCAATTGCACCATAATTTCAAGCTCTCCCTGTACCAAACAAATTCTGCTCCCCATAATCCTTCAGTGTTGTTATTGCTGACAGTTATCTTCAACAGACTCCCTCAACACATATCTCAGAATCTGTTTCCTAGGAAAGCCAATCCTCCAATTGATCATTTCCCTGTTCCCTGAATAGTACCGATAGACGTACTTGGTAGTTGGCAGGAGCACCACATTGGTTATTTAGCTTGTGGAGTTAAGAACTATTGTAGTGGCTTAGGGGACTCTAAACTACTTGATTTGAATATGATAGTATATGAAAATCAGTGTTGCATCTGAGGGAGAATGGCAGAGTTTCTTCTCAAGTTTCTGCCGCTTTTAAAGGCCTAAATTATGTGTCAGTGTGGCCACAACAGAAACTTGTCACATCCTAGAGGATGATAATGGACTACTTCAAATTCACCCAACTGGTAGCACCAATTGCAGCTGCCATATCAGATGTGGGATCTTGGCTACAGCAGGATAACATGGCCTCAGGAACATGGTATGCAGCTACTGATCTGGAAAATATATTTTTCTCCCAATTACTATCAAAAAGGAGTACCAGGGGTAGTTACCATTCCTGTGGGAAGTACAACAGTACATATTTATAGTCTTGCTCCAGGGCTATGTTAACTCTCCTACCTTCTATCATAATAGAGTCCAAGAGGATTTGGATGAGTGAATGTTATCCAGAATTTCACATTGTTTCACTATATTAACCCATTGACCAGGAAGTGGCAAGTGTGTTGGAGGTCTTGGTAAGAGAGACACATTTCGGTGTCTGTTTCTCAGTGAATCTGATGAAAAAACAATATGAAAGAGAATGCCACTCTATACTGAGCCTTAAACTCCAGGGTGGATGCATGAAGAGGTGAGGCGAGTTTCTATAGGGACTCAGTGAAAGTAACCCAGTGCCCCTTCAGTTACTCTTATTCACCTCAGTTCTCTCTTCATTGTTCACCTTTGTCCTGTCCAGGTTTTCTCAGAATGAATGATGGCACTTTTTAAAATTTAATGGATATTTTTTTTTCACGTATGAACATTGTTGTATCTTCTGCAGGCATAAGGGTAAATTAATGAAGCAAGTTACTTAAATAATATGATCTATTAACTACTTAAATGATCATAAAGAGAAGAAAATTTAATAGCTAAAGGTGATGTGCTGTAATTTCAGCCATTTTGAATGCAGTGATCAATTACCAATCAAGGAGATACTATTAAACAATGGACTGTTTATCTTAATTATTTGAAAATATTTTTATGTAGATCAAATAGGAATAGCATAAGATTTACTATCTTAAACGTTAGCTGAAATTGGTGCTACTAGTTAGTCGAGTTTGAAATAGTCCAATCACCCTCTAGGATGTGGCAAGTTTCTGTTGTGGCCACACTGATGCATACTTTAGGTCTTTAAAAGCAGCAGAACTTGAGATGAAACTCTGCCATTCCCCCTCAGAGGCATACTGATTTTCATCAGTAATGCAAGTGTACAGTTCAGTAATGTTAAGTGTATTCACATTGTTATGCAACCAATATCCAGAATTTTTTCATCTTGCAAAATTGAAACTTGCTATACAAACAATAACTCCCCTTTTCTTCTGCCCCCAATTCCTGTCAACAACCATTCTACCTTCTGTTTCTGTGAATTTAGCTACTTTAGATAATTCATGCAAATGGAATCATATACTATTTGTCTTTTCATGACTGACATATTTTATTTAGTATATAAAGTCCTCAAGTTTCAGTCACATTGTGGCATGAGTCAGAATTTTCTCCTTTTTTAAAGTTGAATAACATCTCATTGCATATACCACATTTCCCCTGTCCTTTCAACTGTAGAACTTTTGAGTTGCTTCACTATTGTGAATAGTGTGGTTGTGAACATAGATGTGCAAATATCTCTTTGAGATCTTGTTTGCAATTCTTTTGAAGATATACCCAGAAGTGGGAATAGTGGATCATGTGATAATTCTATTTTTAATTTTTTGAGGAACTGCCATACTGTTTTCCATAGTGGCTGCACCATTTTACATTCCCAACAAAAATGCGCAAGGGGTCTCCACATCCTTGCCAACACTTATTTTCTGGTGTGTGTGTGTGTGTGTGTGTGTGTGTGTGTGTGTTTTGATAGTTATGGTAATGGATGTGAGGTGATATCTCACTGTAGTTTTGATTTGCATTTCCCTAATACTGATGTTTAACATCTTTTCATGTACTTGTTGCTCACTTGCATATCAACTTTGAGAAATGTCCATTCAAGTCCTTTGTCTATTTTTTTAATAGGCAAGTGACTTGAATAGACACTTAACCCTATCAAATTTTTAATTTAAAAAAATTAAAATTAATTTTTAATTTAAAAAAGTTAAAATTAATTTTTAATTTTTTAAAAAATTTAATAGGGTAAAAAAATTTTTAATTATTATAGGTTAACATGGCTGTTTTATTGTTATTGAGTTGTAGGAGGTCTTCACATATTCTAGACAGTAACCTCTTACCAGATATATGATTAGTCAATATTTTCTCCTATTCTATATGTTGCCTATTAGATCTATTGGTTGTGTCCTTTGATGCACAGACATTTTTTAGTTTGATACAGTTCATTTTGTATATTTTACTTTTATTGCCTATGCTTTCAATGTCATAGCCAGGAAATCTTTGCCAAATTCAATATGATGAAATGTTTTCCTATGTTTCTGTGTTAGTCCATTTTCACGCTGCTGATAAAAACATACCCAAGATTGAGCAATTTACAAAAGAAAGTGGTTTAATGCACTTACAGTTCTGCGTGGCTGGGAAGGCCTCACAATCATGGAAGGCAAGAAGGAGCAAGTCACATCTTACATGGATGGCAGCAGGCAGAAAGAGAGAGAGCTTGGGCAGAGAAGCTCCCGTTTTTAAAACCATCAGATCTCCTGAGACCCATTTACTGTCACGAGAACAGCACGGGAAAGACCCACCCCCATGATTCAGTCATCTTCCACTGGGTTCCTTTCACAGCATATGGGATTTATGGGGCTACAAGATGAGATCTGGGTGGGGACACAGAGCCAAACCATATCAGTTTCCTTCTAAGAGCTTTATAGTTTTGGGTCTTGAAGTTTAAGTTTTTGATTCATTTTGAGTTAATTTTTGCATATGGTATAGGATGCCAACAGTTTTACTCATTACATCTCTTTGTTTCTTAACATTACACGTTATAACCTGCATTAGGTTTATACAGGATGAATTTCTTTTCCAAATCATTGTTATATAGACAACCTACTTAGAGAGAGAGAATGTTATTTCCCATGTTTTAGCAAGTGCTTATAACATAATTTCTGCTACTTTCTACAGTCTGAGAACATAGAAGTAGTATAACATTAGGAATATTATTACAGACTTTCTGTTCAAAAACTTTCTGTATTGTCCAATGCCAAATTAACACCTTCTCATATCCTTCATTTGCTAGTGTTTTCCTCTACACAAAAATAGAATGCTCATTCTGCCCATCCATTAGTGCTACCTTCTAAGAGCTATCATTTTTCCCCAGATAATAATAATAATTATCTTTCTCCTCTTAACCTCTCTTTATGAAAGTTTATGCCTTTTCTTATATAATTGTTTTACATATCTATATGTCTTTGTTATTGATTATAAACTCATTGAGGGACAAATTTTCATCTTTTACATTGTTGCATTCTCCCTGGGATCCAGCACTTTTACTGAAACTGGATAGGTACTAAAAAATGTGTTGCATTGAGTGCCATTCATATATATTTCAATAATATGTCACTGATCATGCAATACCTTTAATTCATAATGTAATTAGGTGCCTAATTAATGTTCATCAAATATTCAAACATTTAACACATAAATACAGAAGTTTCTAATGACATGCATATACTAAGATAAATCTGATTACATTTTAATCTGATATTCAGGAATTCATAAAAGTATAACTTTAATGAAAAAGTTAAAATAATAATAAAATCTTGGCCTGCAAATTAAATTTAAAGATACTTTAAAAAAAACTGTATTGCTTTTAGCAGATATTAAAATCTTTTAAGTCAAAAGCTTAGTGGAGAAAATAATGCCCCATCTTGATATTCTTTTACTCCTTGCATTTGGGCAAAAAGAATCAGCTTACTAGTTTATTTCCTTTTGGGGCCACATAGTACACTATAGACCTGTCTTAGTTTGTTTTGTGTTGCTATAACAGAATACCTGAGTAATTTATGAAGAAAAGAAGTTTATTTAGGTCACAGTCCTGTAGGCTGAGAAGTTCAAAAACTATGGCACCGGCATCTTCTTGGCTTCTGGTGAGGGCTTTTGTGCATCATCTTAACAGGGTGGAAGGTCAAAGTGGAAGTGGCCATGTGTGAAAGGGCAAAACTCAAGAAATATCCTTGCTTTATAACAACCTGCTCTTGAGGGAGATAATCCATTTTTATGAGAACTAATGCCATCTTGCAGGAGTGAAAACTCCCTCACTACCATGAGAAGGGCACCAAGCCATTCATAAGGGATCTGCCCTCATGAACTGAGCACCTCCCACTAGGCTCCACCTCCCAATACTGCCACATCAAATTTTAACATGAGTTTTGGTTGGGACAAACCATATCCAAACCATAGCAAGACCCAAAGTTCAAAGATAATATAAGTAAAGCACCTAGCACAAAGCTATTATACAACATAATTCTATCAATGGCAGTATTCTCCTGCTTTTCTCATTTCACCCAGTGCATTCCTGAGCTCTTAAAGATAACTAAAATTGTTTTCTAACTAGAATTATTGTAATTTCAAGTGTTTTAGACTAAAAAGCCAAATATAATAAGTGCACATCTCATAATTATAATATTTTGCAACTAAATTGAAAAACAGTTTTAAAAATAAAGAAAAGAAAAAAAGTAAAAAATTAGGGCTGGTCCTCTACTTTCTAATATTTTACCTCTAAAATCTTATGCCAAGGATATTAGCAAACAATAGCCTATTGGCCAAATTTTTTCCTGCCACCTTTATTTGCATGGCCTTTGAGCTAAGAATAATTTTTACATTTAAAAATGATAGGAAAGGATCAAAATAATATTTATGACATAAAATTACATGAAATTCAGACTTTAATGTTCATTAATAAAGCTTTATTGGAACATAGCCATGTTCATTAATTACATTTTGTGTATAGCTGCTTTTGCACTACAATGGTAGAGTTGAGTAGTTGTGACAAAGAATATATGTGGCTCCATCTTGGTTCACACTGCTACTCAGTGTACTACAAATCACAGTGAGTTTGAATGCCATTCATATTACTGCAAACGACATTTTATTTATTTTTATTGCCAGTGCATATCCATCATGTCAGAACAAGAAAATAAGAGAAAAATGAACTTTGATTGTCATGCTTTTATAGCACAGTGGAGTGTGAATTATTTTATTTAATTAGATGACAAAATATGTATTTATTATGTAAAGACTCTATAGCTATGCTAAAAGAATAGAATATATCTCCACATAACCAGATTAATCACTCATCACAATATTCCTGACTCACAAGAAGACAACAGTCATAAATATTAGAAGGCTTAAAATGGAATCTCTCATTATAGCAGAGTTTTCCTACAAAACAAAAAGGACAGTGAGACTTCAACCAATGTACATTTCTGAATGGCTCACTTGTTAGCCAAGTATGCCCTTATAAGACTGTGGCACTCTAAACAGGGCTTTCACAATGTCCACCCACACAATACCTGCCTTAATGAAAAGCTCAGTACCAGTTTCAGGCAATTTAAAAATCTTAGCCTTTATTATATTGAAATTAAGTCGAATTATTTTTCTATTATGATCCCTTTTGAAATAAGCTTTTACACATTTCTAATGCTTTCTTCAGAGCGGCTCATATAAATCAATGATTTTTTAAAAAATTCTTTCATTTCGATTTAATCTATTAATACTTTAGATCTCACTCTCAGGGAAAAATTACTTTATTGCATGTAAAGTAATTCAAATAGAATATAGTTTACAATTTTCTTCCAAATTAAGCTTGAGCCTGGATAAAAATATTTTTAAGTGCCCAACAATATTTAGATATTATTTGCCATGTTTCTATTTTCATAGGAAGAGATAATATGTTTAATAAAAAATACATATCTAAAAGGATAATCTGATGTTGTAAAATTATAAATTCTAATTTTCTGTCAAAACAACCCTGAATGTGAACTTATCAGAATCTTGTCTGTGTGACTGCAACCCCTCCCCCAACCTTAAAAAACATACCACCAGCCCCACTCTCCACCAGTGTGGCCAAACCAAGGGAAGTGAGAAGCAGGAACATAGCTACACAGGTCAGAGCTAAATATTAAGAGTAAAAATAGTATCTTGAGCTTTCAGAACCACAAATTTTCAAAGTGAGCCAGAGGACAGAGCAGCAGCTGCATTTTCAAACAGAAGCAACTACATTTTTCTAATCAACTGCTGTGTTATGGAACATGAACTGCAGGAAATGATGGACTAATGTCCTTTTATGTATCAGATAAGCAGGAGGAAGTATCAGTGGTGTGCTTTACTTGGTGAGTGAATCTTGATAAACATATTCAATAAATATCTTCCACTTATGTCCTTTAATTCAGTACAATGCTTTTTAAAAAATATTCAACTTGTGTGTACATCGACCAGAAAATGTTCTATATAAAAACTGTATTTTGCTTGGGTTTCGAGATGAATGTTTCATAAGATATCTATATATGTATTAAAATTATTTAAATATGAGGAAAAAGAACTTGTTTGCTGTTGGCGATGAAATCATGTTTAATTATAGTACTGAAAAAAATGTGCCAAGAGTAAACAAACTTGTTTAGTGCTGCTAGTGTTTAGGTGAGAACCATTGCTTGAAGAGTTGGGGACACTGGGAGCAACATAGATGGTCAATGAAAAAATGACAGAAGACTGATGTCACCAAAGTGTGGAGTAGGAAACCTTCGTCCCCACCACAAACACACCAATTCAGGAACAATTCACAGAAAAATTCCCTTTGTGGGAAATCCAGCAACTAATTGAAGGGCTCCTGCACCCTGGGTGAATGCAAAATCAGATCCATCGAAGCTGGTGAGGATATTCACGACAGCTGTCTGCCAAAATTTCTACCCCCAACGCAACACCATACAATTGGGAAAAGAGTCTCAGCTCTCAGCTTCTCCCAGAGGAGGTTTGTGCATCCAATACCCCAACTTCGATGGGGGCTACCCAAAGGACTGGCTTCTGTCTTCTCTGTCTTAAAGTGCTAATGGTGTGGAATTATCTAGCCACCTGGGGGAGAATAGAGATGGTGGCTTAGATTGGTAGCCACCATAGCTTTTCCTCCCTAGCTCAGAGCATAGAGCAAGCAAACAAAATCCCCACCTTTCAGCTTCTCCCTGGGGATGGAAAGAGTTGGTACATACATTAAACTTTCTGGGGGTTTTCCAAAGGATTGGCTGAAATCCCAAAGAATTCAGTCTCACTCATCCTGGTGCACTCACAAGACCTGGCAAACCCTAGACACCTGGGGCTACAAGAAATACACAAGCAAATAAGTTGAACAAGCATGAGGTTTAAGAAGCTTTAGAATCTCTTCCTGGACTTATTGGTGGGGATCTTCCATATAAGGCCAGCTCTTTGTGAAGACTCAGAGAGAAGTCTGCTTTATCTGATGCAAAGACACCAATGCATAGAGTCAAGTAAGATGAAAAAACAGGAAAATGTGTTCCAAACTAGGTAACAGAAAAATCTCCAGAAATTGACTCTAATGAAACAAAGATACACAATTTACCTGGAAAAGAATTTAGAATAACTGTCATAAAGATGCTCACTGAGGATAAGAGAACGTTGCATGAACAAAGTGAGAATTTCAGCAAAGAGATAGAAAATATCTTAAAAGTACCAAACAGGAATCATGAAGTTGAAGAATAAAATAATTAAATTGAAAAATTCACTAGAGGGATTCAACAACATACTAGATCAAGCTAAAGAAAGAATCAGTGAACTTAAGGACAGGCCATTGGAACTTGCTGAGTCAGAGAAACAAAAAGGACAAAATAATGAAAAAGAATAAAAAAAGCTTAAAGGACTTACGAGACACCATCAAGTGGATCAATATATGCATTATGAGAATTCCAGAAGGAGAAGAGAGAAGGAAAGAACCAGAAGATTTATTCAAAGAAATAATAGCTAAAAACTCCCAAGTATGGAAAAGGAAATGTGTAATCCAAGGACCCCCAAAAAGGAAAACTTAGAGATATCAACACTAAGACACCTTATAATCAAATTGTCAAAAGTCAATCACAAAGAGAAAAAGCAACAAGGGAAAAGTTACTTGTCGGGTACAAGGGAAATTTCATAAGAGTATAAGTAGATTTTTCTTCAGCAACTTTTTTGCAGATGAGAAGGAAATGAGATGATAGATTCACAATGCTGGGGGAAAAAGCCAACCAGGAAACCTAGACCAAATGAAACTGTCCTTCAACCAGGAAAACTAGACCAAATGAAACTGTCATTCAATCATGAAAGAGAGATAAAGTCTTTTCCAGACAAACAAAAACTAAGGAAGTTCATCACCACCAGACCTCCCTACAAAAAATGCTAAGGGAACCTCCTTAACTTGAAATGAAAGGACACTAAACAGCAACAAGATAGCATAAGAAAGTATAAAAGTATTGGTAAAGGTAAATATATAGACAAATGCAGGACCGTAATACTGCAATAGTGGTAGGTAGACCACTTGTAATTCAAGTAAAAAAGTTAAAAGACAAAGTAGCAAAATACTTTCAATAACTAAAATACTTTTAATAAGTAAAACTATGTTAATAGATACACAATATAAAGAAATGTTAACTGTGACAACAATAACAAAATGTGTATGGGAAGGAGAGTAAAAAGAGGCATATTTTTGTATGTCATTGAACTTAAGTTGTTATCAGGAAAAAATAGACTGTCATTACTATAAGGTATTATATAAACCCCATGGTATCTAATGAGAAAATACCTATAGAAAGGTATCAAAGATTCCCAACAAAAAAAAATCAACAAAACATGAAAAATGAGAGCAAGAGAGGAAAAAATGCACAAAATAATTACAAGGCTAACAGAAAACAGTACATGACAATAATAAATCCTTCTCTATCAATAATTACTTTAAAACTAAATAAATTATACTTCCCAATCAAAGACATAGGGTGGTTGAATGGATTAAATGTATAATGGAATCACATGCTGTTATCAAGAGACTCCCTTTAGAATTTAGGCTCAATGTGAAAGAATGGAAAAAAAAATTCCACGAAAATGTTAATGAAAAACGAGCAAGAGTGACTATACTTATATCAGATAAAATAGACTATAAGTCAAAACTCTCTCAAAAGACTGAGAAAGACATCTTATAATGATAAAAGGATCAATTCACCAGGAATATATAACAATTGTAAGTAGTTATGCACCCAACAATTAAGCACCTAAACATATAAAGCAAACATTGACAAAACTGAAGAGAGAAACAGGCAGCAACACAATAATAGTAGGATATTTCAATACCTCATTTTGAATGATGGGTAAAACATATTATCCATTACCCACGGGCAAAACAGAGCAAAAGGAAATAAAGGACTTCAACAACCTTATAGAAAAAAATGGACCCAATAGACATGAACATTTCACTCAATAGCAGCATAATACACATTCTTCTCAAGTGCAGCCAGAATATTCTCCAGAATAGATCACATATTAAGCTGAAAAGTATGTTTTAAAAATTTAAAGTGATCAAAATTGTACCAACTATTATTTCTGACTACAATGGAATGTGAAAGTAGAAATCAATAGCCATGGGAAAACTGAAAATATTATAAATATGTGGACATTAAACAAAACACTCTTGAACAACTAATGGGTCAGAAAGAATTCAAAAGAGACATTAGAAAATATCTTGAGAGACATGAAGATGAAAACATAATATACCAAAACTTATGGTATACAGCCAAAGCACTATTAAAAGATAAGTTTATAATGATAAAAGTCTATATGAAAAAAGAAGACAGATCTCAAATTTGCAACCTAATTATACATTTGAAGGGACTAGAAAAAAAAAACACACTAGACCCAAAGTTAGCTGATAGGAAGAACTAGCAAAGATCAGAGCAGAAATAAACAAAATAGATAATAGAAAACAATAGGAAAAAATCAATGAAATTGGGTTTTTTTTTAAAAGATAAAATTGACAAACCTTTGGCTAGACTTAGAAAAAAGAGAGGATTCAAATAAATATAAATCATATATTAAAGAGGAGGTATTACCACTGATATCACATAAGTTAAAAAGTTCATAAGTATCTATGATAAACAATTATATGCTAAGAAACTCTATGACCTTAAAAATGGATAAATTCCTAGGAACATAAAATCTACCAAACACGAAACAAGAAGATATAGAAAATCTGGACAGACAAATAACAAGCAAGAAAATTAAATCAGTAATAAAAGACCTCCAAACAAAGAAAATCCCAGGAACAGATGGCTTCACTGGTGAATTTTACCAAACATTTGAAGAAGATTTATGTCAAACTTTTTTTTATCTTGAAGAAGAGGAAATACCTCCAAACTCATTGTATGATGCCAGCATTACCCTGATACCAAAGCCAAAGACACTGCAAGATAAGAAAATTACATAATAATATCTCTGATGAACATAGATGCAAAAATTCTTAACAACAAAAACTACCTAGCAAGCTGAATTCAACAGTACATTAAAAAGTCATATGATATTTATTATAGGAAGCAATGGATACCCTGGGCTGGGGTTCATTATATACAAATCAATAAATGTGATGTGCCACATTCACAGAGTAAAGAACAAAAAATATATTATTATTTAACATCGTTTCATGATAAAAACTCTCAACAAATTAGCTGTAGAAGGGATGTAGCTCAACACAATAAAGGCCATATATGACAATCCTACAGTTTACATCATACTCAATGATGAAAAGTTGAAAGCTTTTCCTCTAAGTTCAGGAACAAGGCAAGGATGTCTACTCTTGCTACTTCCATTCAACATAGTACTAGAAGTCCTAGGAAGAGCGATTAGGCAAGAAAATTTTTCATGTGCAGATGAGAAAAAATGTATATTCTGTGGTCGTTGAATGGAATGTTCAGTAGATGTTTATTAGGTCCATTTGGTCAAGAGTGCAGTTTAAGTTCAGAGTTTCTTTGTTAGTTTTCTGCTTTAATGATCTGTCTAGTGCCATCATTGGGATGTTGAAGTCCTCCACTGTTATTGTATATCTGTCTGTCTCTTTTCTGAGGTCTAATGGCATTTGCTTTATAAATCTGGGTGGTCAGGTATTGGGTATAAATATATTTAGGATAGTTAAATCTTCTTGTAGAATTGAACTCTTTGTCATTATATAATGTTATTCTTTGTCTTTTTTTTAACTATTATTGGTATAAATTCTGTTTTTTTCTGATGTAAGAATAGCAACCTATGCTCTTTTTTGTTTTCCATTGTGTGATATACCTTTCTCCACTCCTTTACTTTGAGCCTGTGGGTGTCCTTTCACATTAGATGGATCTCTTGTAGTCAGCAGATGTTGAGTCTTGTTTCTTAAATGCAATTTGACAATCTATATCTTCATTTAGGTCATTTCTGTTCAAAGTTAATATTGACATGTGAAGTTTTGTTCCAATCATAGTACTGTTAGCTAATTGCTTTGTAGTCTCAGTGGTGTGATTGCTTTATAGGATCTTTGGATTTTGTACTTATATGAGCTTTTATGACAGGAGAGTATTGTCCTATATTCTTTTATGACATAAAAGAGTATACTCTTTTCTGTTCGAAGTTTATGCTTTATGACATAAAAGAGTATACTCATTTCTGTTCAAAGTTAATATTGACGTGAAATTTTGTTCCAATCATAGTATTGTTAGCTAGTTGCTTTGCAGTCTCAGTAGTGTAATTGCTTTTTAGGATCTTTGAGTTTTGTACTTATATGAGCTTTTATGACAGGAGAGTATTGTCCTATATTCTTTTATGACATAAAAGAGTATACTCTTTTCTGTTCAAAGTTTATGCTTTATGACATAAAAGAGTATACTCATTTCTGTTCAAAGTTAATATTGACATGTGAAGTTTTGTCCCAATCATAGTATTGTTAGCTAGTTGCTTTGCAGTCTCAGTGGTGTAATTGCTTTATAGGATCTTTGAATTTTGTACTTATATGAGCTTTTATGACAGGAGAGTATTGTCCTATGTTCTTTTATGACATAAAAGAGTATACTTTTTTATGACAAAGAGTATTGTCCTTTTTCCCCACGTTTACAACACCTTTGAGCATTTCTTATAGCACCAGTCTCATGGTGATGAATTTTCTTAATATTTGCTTGTTTGAGAAAGACTTTATTTCTCCTTTGCTTATGAAGCTTAGTTAGGCAGGATATACAATTTGGGGCTATAATTTTTTGTCCTCAAGAAGGCTAAAAATAGGCCCCCTATCTTTTTGGCTTATATGGTTTCTGTTGAGAAAGCCACTGCTAGTCTGATGGAATTTCCTTTACAGGTGACTTGACTGTTCTCTCTAACTCTCTTTAAGATTTTTTCTTTAGCATTGACCTTGGTTAGTCTGATGACTATATGCCTTGATGATGTTCATCTTATATAGTATCTTGCAAGTGTTTTCTGAATTTCTTTTATCTGGATGTCTACCTCCCAACAAGATCAGGGAAATTTTTCTGAATGATTCCTTTAAATATGTTTCCAAATTGCTTACTTTTCCTTCTTTCTCAGCAATACCTATAAGCTATAGGTTTGGTCAATTTACCCCCTATACCATCTTTCTCAAATATTTTGTTTATTTTTAAAATGCTTTTCTATTTATTTTTGTCTGACTGGATTAATTTGAAAGACCAATGTTTAAGCTCTGAAATTCTTTCTTCTACTTGGTCTAGTCTTTTGTTAATGTTTTCAATTGTACATTGAAATTACTTTTGTGAATTTTTTTATTTTCAGAAGTTCTATTTTTATAAATATAGCTATCTTGTCTTTCATTTTCTGAGTTGTTCTTCTGGTTTCTTTGTATTGGTTTTCAACATTCTCTTGGATATCATTGCACTTCTTTAGAATCCGTATCTTGAATTCCTTATCAGTCATTTTTTATTTTGTTTAGGATCCATTGCTAGAAATCTAGCCTGATCCTTTCAAGGTGTTAAAACACTCTGTCTTTTTGTACCACTGGAGTTCTTGCACTGATTCCTTCCCATGCGAAGGAGTTGTTGCTTCTAAGTTTTGAATTTGCTATTGTTTGAATGGGACTTTATCATGTTTATTCTTTTTTCCCTTGAGGGTATGACTGTGGTGTATGTTGTATGTGATTGTTTGGCTTCTTTTCTGGGGTTTCTCGGTGCCAAGACTCTGCATGGGCTCCTTGGTTATGGATAGCCTTTGTGTGGTGGCTTTCTCAAATGCTGCTTGTTGTAGACATGTATTGGGCATATGAGCCAACACACTATTTTCTGTGTGACTAGGAGAGCAGAGGTCTCAGTAAACTTATCTTGTACACTAGTACTATACCCTTCTGACAGTAGGTTTTTTATTTGGTGGTGCAATTCAGTCTTCAGTCAAGTAGGAGGTGCTTAAGAGTAAGAATCCACTCACCCTCAGGCAGTCTAATGATGAAGGAAGACAACTGTCCTAATTGAGGTTAGTGTGGGGAGCTTGTGTTGGAGTGAACTGGTCTTGGTGGTAGGGGCAGGGGGCCTGCATTAGCCCCTCATCCTGGGCAGGCAGGAATGTGATCCGTTTTCCTATCACACCTTTCTGTCACAGGGCTCATGATCTTCAGCATATAGACATTGTTCTTTGGCTCCCAAGCTGAAGTGTGACTGAGGTCTGGAGAAATGCCCCTTTGGTGGCTACCACCAAAATGAGCTCAGGGCAGAGCCTCTTCCCAGAGCCCAGAGCAAACAGTTTTTCAACTTGTCTGCCCTTCGTTGCTGGGACACTGCCATTCTGTGTTGGGATGGGGAGACAGGTCCCACCTTTCATGCATGCCTAGGTGGCATTGGCTCACTTTCAATGAGGTGTAGCTGCCACGAAGAGTGCTGGAAAGGCTGTCTCCAAGTGCAATCAGGTCAGCCCTCATCAGGAAAAGCCTCTGCTGCATCCACAACAGTGCCTGCACTGAGGGCTAGATTTCCATGGAACCTGCAGCTCCCCAGAGACCCGCCAGTCTCCTGTGGTTGCCAAAGTCAGAAGGGGTTCTGAGGTATGTTTGCAGGGGATCTTGTAGTGTGGCAACACAAGGACTAAGGTTCCTTGGACAGGGCACTGGCCCACAATGAGTGCACAACCAGTGTGGCACCTGCCATCTCAGTTAGGGCCTGAGGGGAGTGTGGGCACACCAGCACGAGCTGGCCACCTGAGGCTCCCACCCCAGAGAGTTCCCAAATTGCCACCAACTGCATTGCCTGGGATTTCAAGGGCAGAGGGGTTCTCTGACAATTTGTCAGTCAGCAGTTAGTCACAGGAGTGAGGGGAGCAGAGAAGCACCCCAACCTATCCTTTACATGGGACTCTGAGTTCCTCAGGAGTCAGTGTCTGCCAGACTTTTGCTGCTTTCCTTGTCTGCACCCCAGTTTCTTCCCATGGGCTCTCTGAAAGCTCGTGGCTCTCTTCCCTCAGCTTTCCATTTGGATCATGACCATTCAACTGTAACTTTGATCTTTCTACAAACTGGCGTCTGACATCTCTAGTCAGCCATCTTGAAAAAAAAAAGCTACATTAAAGTTATAAAAATAAAAGTAATTGCACTGTGATGTTACAAAGGCTACTATATCACTAGGTGACAAGAATTTTTCAGCCCTATTATAGTTTTATGGTACCACTATTTTATATGCGATCCATCATTTGACTGAAACATCATTATGTATGACTGTACATAACAAATTGCGAATAGAATTAGAAAGTGCTTTCTACTTCTGGAAATCAATGTTGTCTTCACAGAGACAGAGGTGGGCTTTGAAGGATAAATAGGAGTTCAGGAGGCAAAGAAGGAAGGATCTGTTATATTCTGGGAATGGCAAATATGATGTGGATAAAGCATTGGGATTGTGTCTGGGGGCATAAAATGTGACTGGATATAAAGTTTAAATCTTTACATAAGGTAGGTCAAATTGTGGAGAATGAATTAATCCTTGAAGTCACTCTATCTGATAAGCACATTATTATCTCCATTTCACAGATAAAGAAACTAAGGTACAGAAGATTAAATGACTTAAATAGGTCACCTGACTAGTAAGTCGTATGGCAGTGATTCAAACCCACAAGGAAGACTTGTACATATTTATTGACTTTTTCATGATGATTTTTAAAAAGTTGAGAATATTCTATTATAAAGCAATAAAGAATTTGATATTTAGTAACCATATCACAATAGTTTTACAAATGTTTTAGCAAAAGTTTGAAAGTTTTATAGTTAGAAAATTCCCATTGAACTAAGATTTATTCCCATAATTAGGAAAGCCACTCTCCCATTGGAGACTACTTTTATTATAGCCTCATGTTCTCTTACTTTAAATTATCTTCTCTGCTGTACCACAAAATAAAAAGTCTTATAATTTCCTTATTTCAAATGTTTTTTCTTTGAAAAAGAACCATTTATTTCTGGTATTATTAGTTGATTAATTTTTGTGCAACTTAGTAGTGTTGATATAGGATCAATGTCAACTGGTGGAGCAATTCTAAGGGTGTTTGCTCCATTAGTAATAACCAGTGGAGTTAATTAATTACACAGGCATTTGAAATTGTAGGTTTTGCCTGTTAAACACTGGATATTTCAGGATGAGAAATGTGGAGGTGGACTAATACTGAACATTTTATTTCAGAAAATACAGCCAATAGTAAATTTCAGTCTTTTATTGAGCTATCTTTGACACCTGTGCACATCTTATAATAAACTGTTCTGTTTTTCAATGGGTATCCTAGGAACAAGAACTAAATAAGAGACAATTATTTTAAAGTCTTCAATAATAGAATTTACTTTTGTGTGGGCAAAAGACACGAACAGACACTTCTCAAAAGAAGACATACATGCGGCTGACATAGGAAAAAAAAGCTCAACATCACTAATCATTAGAGAAATGCAAATCAAAACCTCAATAAGATATCATCTCACATCAGTCAGAATGGCTATTATTAAAACGTCAAGAAACAACAGATGCTGGTGAGGTTGTGGAGAAAAAGGATTCCTTTACACTATTGGTGGAAACGTAAATTAGTTCAACCATTGTGGAAGACAGTGTGGCAATTCCTTAAAGACCTAGAGGCAGAAATACCATTTGACCCAACAATGCCATTAATGTGTATATACCCAAAGGAATATAAATCATTCTATTATAAAGATACATGCACGCACGTGTTCATTGTAGTGCTATTCACAATAGCAAAGACATGGAACCAACTAAAATGCCCATCAGTGATAGACTGGATAAAGAAAATGTTGCACATGTATACCCTGAAATGCTATGCAGCCATAAAAAGGAACAAGATCATGTCCTTTGCAGGGACCTGGATGGAACTGGAAGCCATTACCCTCAGCAAACTAAAGCAGTAACAGAAAACTAAATACCACATATTCTCACTTATAAGTGGGAGTAGAATGATGAGAACACATGGACACATGAGAGGAAACAACACACACTGAGGCCTGTTGGAGGGTAGGAGGTGGGAGGAGGGAGCACATCAGGAAGAATAGCTGATGGACTCTGGGCTTAATACCTAGATGATGGGTTGATCTGTGCAGCAAACCACCGTGGTACACATTTACCTATGCAACAAAACTGCACATATTGCCCTTGTACATCTGAACTTCAAAATAAAAGTTGGAGATTAAAAAACGAAATTACTTTTGTTCCAGAATTAACTCTCAGATGTTCCATGTTTCATCACTTTATTTTTTCACATAATTTGTGTATGTGACTCACATCAATTCATTTTGATATATAATTGATTTCTGATATTTTGTTTGTTTGAAGTGAGAGGTAACTGGGTAATTATCTATACTCTGCTTTTACCATGCATTTTATTTCCAGGTAAATTTGAAAAATCTAAATTATTTTTCTAAATTTGATCATGGTTTATTTGACAGTTTACAAGTACTTGCAGGCATGTGTTTGCATGTGGATAATAACAAATAACTAAGAAATCTTACAAAAGTATAGCTTCATAATTTGGGGGTCCTGGTTATACATTTTACATCTCTAAGTTAGGAACTCATATTGTTAATCTCCCTTCATAGTTCCTTATAACTAAACTCTGTTTAGTATGAGTTTCTACTTATCAAAGGCATAATAACTCACTCACTATTTGGTATATTTGCTCTTTAATGTGACATGACATGTTTTCTGTGGATAAGGAGAACTGTGTATTTGTGCGTATATGTATATATAATGTTTTCAACCAATCACTATTTCAGAGAAAAAATGGATGAAAATAAACTTGTATTCATTACATTAAATATAATCCTATACATATTAAGAGGAAATTTTACAGCAGGAAATTGTTCCTTTAATCATTATTTTTCTTGAAAATTATTTAATACTTTTAAGACAAACCACGGATGACCAAAGTCTCTTAATATTTACCACATAGATTTATATTAACACTATATTTTTGTTTTAAGTTTTCTAGACATCTGAGACTTAAATATGTTCTTATTTAAAGACTTTAATAGTATGGCAGTTGTACCATGAAGGTGGCATAGTGAAGGAGATCAACTTAGTCTACTTTTTGACTAAATTCTTAAATCTCTATTTCAGCTGTCTTCCCCCTAGAACTATAGCTTAAAAGCTCCTCAGCTGCATACAGCACATAGCCTTCACAGGTTATCGCCTTTCTATAGAGTCCTCTCACAATATAAACAGGTGTAGCTACCAATTAGGACATGTCTCAAGAAATTGTTAACACTCACCAATATTAATTAAGTGCTAATAGGGTACTGAGCCAAACACTGAGGGTGCTGAGCCAAATTTCCATTTCACATTCTTCATTCTCCAAGGAGGTTTAGATACTGGTGCTGTCAATAGGGTGCTTGAGTTCTAGAACCCATGGGGAAAAATAAATTACTGTGGCCACTTTGCACATAAATGTTTAAATTTAAAATATCAATTGATATAAATACTGATAATAATGAATAAATATTAAATAATAATTGAAAGGGATGATGTTCTTGGTTTGGGGGATAATACCCATAATCTTAGCAGTACCAGAATCATTGCAACCCTAATAGGATTAATTCCATTTTGGAATATCAGTATTCTGAGATTACTATTTTGAATGTTCTCGTTTATATTTTCTTCAAGTAAACTTTTTTGCTTCTTCATTCTTTTTCAGAAATTTTATTATTTTTAAAATTGACAGATAAAATTGTATGTATTTATTATGTACAACATGATGCTTTGAAATATATATATCTATGCACTGTAGAATAACTAAATATAGCTAATTAACATATGCCTTACCTCACATAGTTATTATTTTTGTAGTGAAAATACTTATCCACTCTCACTATTTTTCAGGAATACAATATGTTATTAACTATTGTCACTATGCTGTACAATAGATCTCTTGAACTTATTTCTGCTGTCAAACTAGAATTTTATATCCTTTGACTAGCCCCTTCCTCAGCCCCCCAAGTGCCCCAGCCCCTAGTAGCCATCATTCTACTCTCTAGTTCTATGTGTTTGCCTCCTCGTTCTATCTTTCCTCTTCCTCACTACCTAGTCATTCCTAGTGCCCACAGTGTGTCACAACTGCTGAAAGCATGGTGAAAAAATATCTGTTTTCTTTTCTTCCCTTCTCTCTCTCTTCTTAATGCGTTTCAGGTGGGAAGATAATAAAAGAAACCAAAATGATTGAAATCATTATTAGCAGAAAGTAAAATTTTAATTTCCTGCTGGTACAATAAGCTTTTGTCTGGTCTCTGGGGCAGGAAGATTATGAATATTCTTTTGTGCCACTTTCAAACTGCTTCTAAATATCTTAGGTACATTTGTAATATGAAAATATGGCAGCCTTATTAGCAAAATAATTTCTAATTTTGAGCTAAATTGTATAAGATTATGCATGTTTTTCTTTTGCATAACTCAATTTGTTTCCTGTAATGATAATTGCCATGATTGAATTAGAAGATAATATAGCATAAAAAAATTTTATGACATCACAGTGATTAATCCAAAACTATCAGCATCAATGAAGTTAATAACAATATTGTTCATGAAAACAAAGGTCATGTTTATGAAATTGAAACATTGTTTATATGTGAGTGGCCTATTTTTCTCATGCTACTGCACTAATTTTATCTTAGGGTTTATAAATATGAATCCTAAATATTAAAGTAGTGCTATTTATCGCCAACTCTAGTGGCCTTCTGTCCTCAGCCTTTTTGAATTCACAAAATTCCTGTAAACTGTGGACTATTTTCCCCAACTTACAAATAAAGAAATTGAGGTTCAAAAAAGTAACTCGCCAATAAATAGGTTCTAGATATCTACTATACAGCATAGTGCCTATAGCTAAAAATACTGTATCGTATACTTAAAATCTTCCAAGAGGGTGGATCTTATGTTGTATTCTTACCACGCACATACAAATAATAATAATGATAGTAAAGGCATTAGGGAGCTTTGGGATGTGATAGATATATTTCCATGTGTAAGTGCTGTAAGAGTTCACAAGGGCATAACCCAAGTGCCCCAGATATGGCCCTTCTGTATTGAATATACCTAAGGTAGACACACTGAAGAAGATGGATATATGAAAAAGTCTAATATACTAGCCTTATTGAGGTAAATTGATCAGTTCACATTGGGTATAGAACATTGTCAGCAACTAGAAAAAGAAAATGAGGTTGTTCCGTCTCTATGTTCACACGAGGCATGAGGCAGCGACGTTCTAATAATCCTCCTGCTCTTCTCCCTTACCCTCCTGCCTCCTCAATAGCCTTAATTTGTAGCATTTTCCAATATCTGTGGTTAAATTCTTTCCCTATGGCCAATTTTATACCACTGAGGTGTTTTCCCTGAACATAAAGTTAGGAAGAGATGCGTGTAACTGGCACTGGTGAGCTGGGGTAAGCCAGCTCTAGCATACCACTGCTGCCAGGTTATCTACCGTAGAGTGTAAGCCATAGTTTTCATCAAAAGTGTCCTGCAAAAAAAAAACATTGAAAAATGAGAAACAGTTTCTGTATGTCAATATAAGTCAATTTTTATTGCAATGAATATTGAAGGAGGTAAAATTTTTTTTTACTTCCTGATGAAAACAGATGAAGTATGTTAATATATGTCCCTGGGCCCTCTGTGTTTCTGTGCCTCCCCTCACAAGGCATGCTATTTTTCTGTACCTGCCAATACATATCTTATCTTCCTTACAGGCCTCTCTCCTCTGTTTTTGACTATTTCAGCCTACTCCAGCTTGTAGTGCTGTAGAAAAGGCTTTAGATTCATTTATTTATTCAAGAAACACTTACTGAGCTTTTAATATGCCAGGTACTGAGAATATAAACATGATTAGACAGACCATGCTATAGCTTTGATTGTATGGCTTTGGGGCAATTGCTTTTTTTGTTTTTTAACTTACTGAGGGATGACTGACATGTAAAAAGCTGTACATATTTAATGTATACAACTCAATGAGTTTGGAATATACACCCATGAAATCATTACTAGCATCAAAGCCACAGATATATCTATCACCTCCCAAAGCTTCCTAATGCCTTTATTATTATTACTATTATTTTTATTATTATTAGTATGTGTGTGTGTGGTAAGAACACAACATAAGATTCAACCTCTTGGAAGATTTTAAGTATACAATGCAGTATTGTTAGCTATAGGCACTATGCTGTGTAGTAGATCTCTAGAACCTATTTATCGGAAAGTTACTTTTTTGAACCTCAATTTCATTATTTGTAAGTTGGGGAAAATAGTCCATAGATTGCAGCGATTTTGTGAAGATTAAATGAGAAAATATAAATAAAACACTTAGCATAGTAGATGGTACATTGTAGATTTTCTATAAAGGCTAGTTTCTTTTTTTTAACTCTAAACTCTTATAGCTATCTTAAGTGCCAAATGAATCGGCATTTATTTATATTCTGCCTTGGATGTTGCTTGCCTTCTCTAGTATCCTCAGCTTGTACCTTTATGCAGGTTCTTATACATAATTTGTTGTTCCTATCAACATTGATCACAATGTAGTATCAATACTTTCTGATTCTTGGTTCTTAATTTGCCTGCCCATTGAGATATTGGTCATAAGTTAACATTTTCCCATTATTTTCCATTTTGAATCACTTTCCTGGTACTTTCAATTTTGTATTTTATATCCTGTCCATCTGTATTTTATAATTTTAAATTTTTTCTTCCAAATAAATTTTAGCATTCAGCTATTGCTGTGTCACAATCCATTTCCAAACGCAGTGGCTTCAAACAGCAACATTTTATTTAGGTCATAATTCTGTAGGTTGTGAATTTGGGTTGGACTCAGCTAGTTAGTTCTTCTAATGTGAATCAGCTGGCGCCCGCTTCTACAATCAGCTGATGATTTCACAACTGAGGCCGGCTGGTTTGTGAAGTCCTCAGCTGGATGACTGCCAGCTAGGGCTTCTCTCTTCATGGTCTCTGATCTGATCCAGCCAGCTAGGCTGGGCATGTTTACATGGTGGCATGACTTCCAGAAGCAACAGCAGGTAAGAACCTATGCATAAGAACCCTTCAAACCTCTGTGTCACATTTGCTAATGCCCCATTGATCCAGATTCAAGGGTTGGAGGAATATATTCCAACTCTTGTTGGAACAAGCTGCTAAAATATTGTGGCCATTTTAAGAGAATCTACCACATTATCTATGTATTTTTCATTTGTAAACATCTATACAGAAATGCCAAGTGTTTTTATCTTTGATTTCAGATATTTTAATTGTTTCACAGTTGAATTTCATAAACTTTCCTCATGGAAATCTGTTTTTCTCCTCAGCAACTTCTCGGTTTTTCCAGGCAAGCCTTTCTGTTCTTAATTACTGTAATTTTCAGAATGAGCTTCTTTCTACATGTGCACATGTCTTTTAAATTAATATAATACAAAACTAAATCTGGAAAATTTTAGTTTTACATTTTTTTGTTCATCTCCTAACCTATTTCCCTGAAGCAAAGTGACAGGTCTGTTCAGAATTTATAATTTAATTAAGATGAGATTGGGGAGGTAAGGAAGTACCACTTTCTCTTTTGCATTCATTTTTTAAGGATCTCAGGACATATGTTGATCTATTTTCTTTCTCTTCCTTGCAAATTAAAACAAAATGTTTTAAAATAAATGTTTTAAAATAATAGTGAAATTGCAAGCTTTGCTGATTATAAAAATATATGCTCTATCTCATCTTGCCTTTTCTTCCCTGCTCTAATATGAACTTCACATTATCCCTTCAATTGCTCTTCTGTTTTTGCTCACGTTATCTCCTTTTTCTAAATTTTTCACTCCTCTGCTGATGTAAAACCTGCTTATTGTTTAAGAGCAACTCAAGTCCTACATCCTCCATGAAATTTTCACTGATTGCCCAGGTTATCCTTGATTTTACTCTATTGTGAACTCCTACAGCATTTGATGGCTGGTACCACACAGTAACATTTGCCTCATTACAGGTTGGTATTGTTTAATGCTTTTAATGTGTATTTTTAATTTGTATTGTTTGCTGCTGTTTTCATTGCTGGGCTTGATTCGTTAGCCAGTTTTTTTTTTTACTGATTTGCACTCCTGGCTCTCTAAGTGCTGTAAATGTCCAGGATTAAGCTGTTTTATAATATACCAAAATTGGGAGTTCTCAAGTCATTTTTTTTATAAGAAAACACATATTTTTAGGTTTCATTCACTTATTCAAGATATATTAAATGCTTATTATGTTTCAAGATTAAAAATAAACACTATCTCAAGACACAAAGTTAATTTAGTTGCTATGTTTTGCTCAAGACGGTGTTATAAACTTGTAAGAAACAGTATTTTTGAAAATGTGCCACAGTACCTTCTAAACTAGTAAATCTCAGTTAGTGGCCCTTTTGATGAGCAACTTTAGGACTTTCAAGATTTCTACTTTCTATCTAGAATAGTCATAGTCATGAAGCCTTTTGTTTTATAATGATTATAAATACCTTCCCAGGGTCAGGTAACTATGACCAGCACTAGTTTAACACTGTCTTTTTCTTTTAGCAAAACAACACAAGGAACAATGGCACAGTAGCCTAGTAATACCTCTTTGCTATAAACATACACTCACTCCCATCCTCTCAGTCTCTTTGTTTCTCTGTTACTCTCCCTTAGCAGAAATTTTCCATTGGACTTCTAGTGCTTTGATGTATTATGATCAATGATGACTTGTGTTTTCTGACTCTGTTAGAGTCTCCATGGAATTAAAGATTATATGCTTATTCAGCTTAATGTACTTGACCTTTTTGTATGATTGACACATCTAAATTTCTGTAGCAACTCAGTCATTATGCAACAGCTGTGTTATATTCATTTCATGTAAAAAGCAAAAACAAAAGACATAGAGTTCTCTTCAAGAGTAGATACCTTGACCCCTTCCCTCCCAGCTAAATAAAGAATAGTTTATTAATAACATTATTAATCAGTTTCCAAATGCGTCTCCTTTCCTCACCGCATTTTATAAACATTCAGTATACTGTGACCATAGTCACATCAAGAATCATTTCAATACTGATCCTTATTATATAATTAAAATATTCAATAATTCTGAGTCTGTTGAACATAATAATAGCCACACAACTTAAGTGTCAAACATCTAGGATTTGTTAGCAAGATTTGTGCTCAGAAAATAATATGTACAAACCTTTGATTTTCTTAATGATGAAACTGTATTTTGTCTGAATTGACATATGTGTCTTTAAGTTAGAGAGAAAAAACCTTGACATTTTTCTGTGACTTTTCCTTATCAACAGCTGTGTTCTACCTGCGTTTATTTTTCTCAGAATTCATTATGAATTCTGTATAGGCCTTCAGAAGGCCTATACAGGCTTTCTAACAGAGATTCTATAGGAAAAAGTTTTGGTTAACTGTTTGAAGTATTAGTTGAAGAAGGCATTCTAGATAAGGTTTTACAAGACAGAAGAAAAGAATCAATTCATTTTTAGTTCTGAGCCTGAATTGTGGAAACTGTACTAACTGCAGATAAACTCTGAATAAATTCTAGTGTTCTCTGCTTATCTCAAAAAATCTTTTCTTTTAATGATACTGTTCCATGCTCACTAATGTTTTCAAAACATATTCATATCTAAATGGTTTTGTATTTTTATTAAATTTTGGATTTTTTGCATTACATAAAGTTAATTTTGTTGACCATTTTATGAATTTAAGAAATGTCCACTTGAAAGGACTCGCTCCTTTAATTAAATTTTTGGCCTTTATTTATAAAATAAAAATTATTCTTTATATGTTCTTGAAAAGTAAATCAGATTAGGATTAATAATTGTCAAGTCATTTTAGAACAATGACATCTATCATTAAATTTCTTGAATTTTTTGCCTTCTCAACTGATAGCTATCCGGGTGAAAAATTCAATTATGGATATTGGAAAAATTGATGGTAATATTAATCTGGAAATGTTATTTCTGTACTATTCTTTACAGGACCTGAGGGGATTCTCTAGTTCTTTAGGCCAGTGTTATAATGTTAGGATTTACAAAAGTTGGTAATATAGAGAGAAACAGGAAGAAAATGAAATGGGACAGGAAAATATCATTCCTTCTTCTTATTCCTTCCTCTAAGTCACTGGCATTGTGAAGGGAAAAGGGAACTAACATGTATTAGTGTCTACCATGTAACAGGCATTGTCTTTCATATTTTATATTTATCGTATTAGCTCATGTAATCTTTGTGGAAAATCTCCTAAATCTATTAGTAGGTCTTTAATATCTATGTTTATTTATTTTGTCCTGAAAACAAATGAAGTTTTTGGATCAAGACAGAGAATTATTATTACTTATAGCAATAACCACCTTGGAAAGAAGGCACACAGTTATGCGCACAGGAGGGGAGCCATGAAATTATGAATCTGGGAATTTATATAGGAATTACTATATAAACTCTTTATATAGTAAATGGTCTTCTCCTGTCTTCTCCTTTTCTGAAAGAGGAAGAGAAAGTTTATCTCCGTTATATACAATAAGCAAATCTTTAGGGGAGAGAATGAGAAGGTCCTGGTTTAAACCCTTTGAAATGTAAACCAGTAGCTCTGGGATTTTGTTCTCTTTTGAAATGTAAACACAGAGCTGTAGAAAATAAGTGTCTGCATATCTCTGAGGGTCTCTGTCTATTCAGTCCACCTTTAATCCAGATTTCAGTTTGTCTTGCTTTATAACTCCTTAACCATGCAGAAGCATGAAAACATTTTCTCTGTAGTTCCACATCATGAATTTTAGCAGTTTTAGTACTGTTGCTAAAAAATTGTGGCTATTAGCTTGTTTCCATTCCTTTCATAAAGTGTTTAGTAGCATAATGCATTATTAGGTCTACTTTCTATCTATTATACTTGAAAACCATCCTCTCTATGTAAAATATCTATTTATTCAATGGATATTTATTGAGCACCAAAAACTGTCAAGCATTGTTCTAGGTATTTGGGATACATCAGTCGACAAATCAAAGATACCTGCCTTGCTTGTATTTACAAACTTTGGGGTTAGAATGCATAAAATTGAGATTATGGAGGGGTTGTAATTATTGCCAATGAAAAGCCTAGGATGAAAGATCACTGGAAGACTAAAGTTTAAGGAATTGAAAGGCCAGAATATCAAAAGAATCATCTATATGTGTTTTGAAATCTTATGAATTAAGGCAGTATCGAAGAGAATGACAGTATGCAAAGAGCTCAAATGGTTGAGTGGGAATTACCTGGACCTTAGTGGATAACAGCAACCATGAGGCAAAGTATGTAGTGAGTAATGTCGACCATGAGATTTAAATCTGAAGGATGTCAGGAAGGATATGGGGAAATGGTCTGAAAATGTCAGAATGGAGCAAAGAAATACCACTTTGCTTATTCCACTCACCCAACCAGAGGTCGCAGGAACAAGAATGACACCTTTCCATCTTGCATAAGAACTGTGGGAGAGAAGCAGCCATCACTGAGAGATTGTAGGGGAGGCATTGTCCTCCAGAGAAAGACAGGTTTATGTTTCAGCTAGGAAAGTAAAGGGAACACTTAGAAAATTGATTTTTGGCTCACTGGAAGGGTTTCAGCAGTTGGGAGAGAACAAAGGTAATTTTTACCAGCTTGTAACTTCACATGTATTAACTGTGTTGCAAAACTAATGAAACTTACTGTCTATTCTCTTGCTTTATCTGATAATATAGATAAGGGTGTCACCTGTAATCATTGTTACCATATTTCTTGAGGCCATTTTCTTATTCTCATTTAACTTTTCTACTTGTTTCTTCTTTATTTGTATTTTTCTCTGTTTTTAATCTTGCTCTTTTTATCATTTCTGTCTCTTTATATCCTACTTACCTCTTAATCTTTTTGCCCAACTTCTCTCTTAATATATATATATTTTTGCTCTTTACTATTTCTCTTATCTTTCTATTTCAAAATTACACTGTCTGCTGTTTTCTCCAACTCCCCACAACTCACCTTAGGTGTAGTTGGGACTATGCAATATGCCATCACACAGGTAGTACTAATTTTGACAGGTAGCATCTCTACTTCAAACAAAGAAAGCTTTAACCAAAAAGGAATTACAGGAGAGAAGACAGTATTCTCCCCAACTGATGCTAACATTGCCACCTACACTTTTGACGCTTTCTTCAACAGTTAAGACGTAGCAACTTATTACTTCCCCAAATTCCCTGTGCTCTGTTGATCTGTCTTAAACTCTAAAGGGAGAGAAAGTAGGTTTGTTCATTAGCTGTGGGACTTAAAATGTGACTTAACTTTTTTGAACCTTTTGTTTCGTGAATGATAAAAAAACACTTTCTGAATGATATAGCTACTAATATTTTCATTTTATAGATAAAGTGAAAGATAAAGTACTTTTTTTAAAGGTTGCATAAATATAAGTGACACACACTGATATGAATGTAAGCATTTGACTCAATCCCAGAGATCATGTTTTAATGAATACTCTATTGTTTCTCACATAATATAACTTAATATTGTGGTCAATAAAATAATAAATAGGACCAGACACATATATGTATTAATTCACTTCCCTTTATTTCCTTTTTCCAAAATTGAGCCTTATTGGTAAAGGGCTTTTTGTGCATTTTAATTGTCTATAATCAGGTACTTGAACCAATTATAATTTTTCACTTGCCTGCATGAATCCATACAGGACAAAAACCTGAATATAGAAACTATCTTTCAGCTTTCGGTTTGCCAGAGGATTAATCTATAATTATTTTTAGGATTATAAAAGATTTACATCCGTTCTTAAAATATACATAATATCGGATTTTTTTCCAGCAATAGAGGAATAACTAATTCTATAGTTTCATGCCAATCTCACCTCCAGTCCTTCTAGAATTTGGAGGTAATTTAACCCCGTGTATAAAAAATAAATATTTTCTTTTTTGCGTTTTATTGAAAAAATCACGTAATTTAAGTACAAATATATCCACTAAAGTAGGCAAATTTATTTTAGTAGAATTCAGTTATCCCTTTCAAAGAAACACTATCAGCCTAAGTGTTATACATTGGATATTTTAGAAATCTTACAATTTCAATTACATGTCTTCTGAAACTCATTATTGTAAGGCTTTGTTTTAGGCTTTCCTTGCTGTATTAGTTGACTGGGGCTGCCAGAAAAAAATACCACAGGCTGGGCAGCTTAAACTACAGAAATGTATTTTCTCACAGTTCTGGAGGCTGGGACACCTAAGATCAAGATGGCTAGCCAGGTGGGTCTCATTCTGAAGACTTTTCTCTTGGCTTTAGGTGGTTACCATCTCCTTGCATCATTGTGTTACCTCTTTGTGTGCTTGGACAGAGAGCAAGAGAGGTAGCTCTTTGGTGTTTCTTCTTTTAAGAACACTAATTGGATGGATCCAGCCCCACTCCTATGGCCTCATTTAACCTTAATTACCTCTATAAAGGCCCTATCTCTAAATACAGTCACATTTGGGGTTGGGACTTTAAAATATAAACCTCGGGGGACATAAGCCTTCATCCACAGTATTGCCATTATAATATTTTGTGTACTTTGGCACTTGAGAAAGTAAGATTTTTTTTAACCTAGTATTTTAATGTTTTCTTTAGAGGTTTTTTCCCTGATACAACACTCTCCTATACATGATCTACTTGGTAACACAAATATCCCTTTGTTTGCTTGTACTTTTGCTTCCTCATAAATTTTTCTGTAGCTACAAATGTTAACTTTGTTGGATAGGCTTTATTTTTTAGATCAATTTTAAGTTTATAAAAATACTGCACAGAAAGTTGAGACAGTTCCCATGTATTTCCTCTCCCTGCTGCACACAATTTCTTCTCTTATTAACATTTTACATTAGTGCAGTACATTTGTTACAATTGATAAACCAACATTAATAGGTTATTATCAACCAAAGTCCATAGTTTACATTAGGGTTCACTCTGTGTTATACAGTTCTATTGGTCTGGACAAATGTTTAATGACATGTATCTACCATTACATTATCAAGGATGGTTTGACTTCCCTAAAAATGCCCTGTGCTCCACCTGTTCATCCCTATACCTTCTCCCTGAAGCCCTGACAACTGCTGATATTTTTACTGTCTCTATAGTTTTAGCTTTTCCAGAATGTCATACAGTTGGAATAATACAGTATGTAGCTTTTAAAACCATCTTCTTTCACCTAGCAATATGCATTAACAGTTCTCTCATGTCTTTTTTGTGGTTGACAGCTCATTTCCTTTTCCAGTAGTCCCACTTTATCTGTAGAGGATACGTTCTAAGACCCCCAAAAGATGCCTGAAACCTCAGATAGTACTGAACCCTATATATACTGTGTTTTTCCTTTACATACATACCTATGATAAAATTTAATTTATAAATTAGGCACAGTAAGAGATTAACAGTAGCTAATAATAAAATTGAACAATTATAACAATATGCCAGAGTCGAAACTCTTGTGCCTTGGGACTTTTATTAAGTATAATAGGTGGCCAATATCAAGTGTAACATATAGAAATAGGAAAACAGAAAAACCTCTGTGGAATTTGGCATTAACATAGACCTTAGCGAAACCTGTTTTATTAGAGACAGTGATTTTTTAAAAACACTTAACTGTGAAGGGAAGGGATTTGATGAGATAACACAATTGTCTGAAGGTAGAGAGAATAAAAAACAATTTTTTTTCTAATGAGAAGAGTATAATTAAGCATGGGGAACAGACACATAGAGATTATAAAGGAAGTGATGATTGCAAAATATTTAACCAAATAATTAGTATTATACATGTTTGTGATAGAGCTATGGTACACTTAATTAGGTAAAATGCCAAAAGACAGTGCCACGCTCCAAGCTTTATGTATCATAAACATCAAAAATGACTTGCTGAATTAAATTAAATTGAGTCTCCATTAACATGTAAATCATCATATCTGTGCCCTGGAATAATTCAGAGTTTAATTTGTGGGTTTGCTTCCTTATGAAGGTCATCGAACACTATTTATTGGAGTACATGTGCCCTTGGGAGGAAGAAAAAGCCATCGACGTCACAGGCATCGTGGTCATAAACACAGAAAGAGAGACAGAGAAAGAGATTCAGGATTAGAGGATGGAAGGGAGTCACCTTCTTTTGGTAAGAATCCTTCTCCTTGTTTTTATTAAGTTAATTATTGTAATATACTTGCTTATACAATTATGATTAGGAGTAATACCTTATACTCATAAAATTGTTTATACTTTTATAAAAGACTTTGGGCCGGTTGGAGAGAAGTGGGAGAGATAAAGCTTGATCTTTGTTTTTCTCTTATATATTTGCATTGAGAAGCTGAGAATTGATGAAGATTTATGATATAGGAAATACAATTGAGTAAAGCTCAAAAACTCTTGATAATTTATACAAATAATCATCATTACTCAAAGTGGTTTGAAAATCCAGGGCAAAATGCCTTAATTTAGTTCCCATTTGCACTTTTACTGATAGTGCCCAAGTTTCAGTCTTAGGATGTTGTATTAGTCCGTTTTCACACTGCTGATAAAGACATACCCGGACTAGACAATTTACCAAAATAAAAAAGAGGTTTAATTGGACTTACAGTACCACATGGCTGGGGAAGCCTCACAATTATGGTGGAAGGCAAGGAGAAGCAAGTCATGTCTTACATGGGTGGCAGCAGGCAAAGAGAGCTTGTGCAGGAAAACTCCCCCTTATAATAACTATCAGATCTCATGAGACTTACTCACTATCACGAGAAAAGCACAGGAAAGACCTGTCCTCATTATTCAATTAACTCCCACTGGGTCCCTCCCACAACACATGGAAAATTCAAGATGAGATTTGGGTGAGGACACAGCCAAACCATATCGTTCCACCCTTGGGCCCTCCCAAATCTCATGTCCTCACATTTCAAAACCAATCGTGCCTTCCCAACAGTCCTCCAAGGTCTTAACTTATTTCAGCTTTAATTCAAAAGTCTATAGTCCAAAATCTCATCTGAGATAAGGCAAGTCCCTTCCACCTGTGAGCCTGTAAAATCAAAAGCAAGCTAGTTACTTCCTAGATACAACTGGGGTAAAGGCATTAGGTAAATACAGCCATTCCAAATGGGAGATATTGGCCAAAACAAAGGGGCTACAGGCCCAATGCAAGTCCAAAATCCAGCAAGGCAATCAAATCTTAAAGCTCCGAAATGATCTCCTTTTACTCCATGTCTCACATGCAGGTCATGCTGATGGTTCTCATGGTCTTGGGCAGCTCTGCCCTCGTGGCTTTGCAGGATATAGCCCACCTCCTGGCTGCTTTCATGGGCTGGCGTTGAGTGTCTTGTTGCTTTTCCGGACACACTATTCAAGCTGTCAGTGGATCTTCCATTCTGCAGTCAGGAGGACAGTGGCCCTTTTCTCACAGCTCCACTAGGTGGTGTCCCAGTAGGGACTCTGTGGGGGCTGTAACCCCACATTTCCCTTCTGCACTGCCCTAGCAGAGGTTCTCCATGAGGGCCCTGCCCCTGAAGCAAATTTCTGCCTGGGCATCCAGGCATTTCCATACATCCTCTGAAATCTAGGCAGAGGTTCCTAAACCCCAATTCTTGACTTCCGTACACCTGCAGGCTCAACACCACATGGAAGCTGCCAAGGCTTGAGGCTTGCACCCTCTGAAGCCACAGCCTGAGCTCTACATTTGTCCCTTTCAGCTATGGCTGGAGCAGCTGAAACACAGGGCACCAAGTCCCTAGGCTGTACACAGGATGGGTACCCTGTGCCTGACTGAGAAAACCACTTTTTCTTCCTGGGCCTCTGGGTCTGTGATGGGAGGGGCTGCCATAAAGACCTTTGACATGCCCTGGAGACATTTTCCCCATTGTCTTGGGGATTAACATTTGGCTCCTCATTACTTTTGTGAATTTCTGCATTTGGCTTGAATTTCTCCTCAGAAAATGGAATTTTCTTTTCTATTGCACTGTCAGGCTGCAAATTTTCTGAACTTTTATCCTTTGCTTCCTTTATAAAACCGAATGTCTTTAACAGCATCCAAGTCACTTCTTGAATGCTTTGCTGCTTAGAAATTTCTTCTGCCAGATACCCTAAATCATCTCTCTCAAGTTCAAAGTTTCACAGATCTCTAGGGCAGGGGTAAAACACTGCCAGTCTCTTTGCTAAAACATAACAAGAGTCACCTTTGCTCCAGTTCCCAACACGTTCTTCATCTCCACCTGAGACCACCTGAGATTGCCTGGACCTTATTGTCCATATCATTATCAAGCTTTTGGTCAAAGCCATTCAACACGTCACTAGGAAGTTCCAAACTTTCCCACATTTTCCTATCTTCTTCTGACCCCTCCAAACTGTTCCAACTTCTGCCTGTTACCCAGTTCCAAAGTCACTTCCACATTTTCAGGTATCTTTTCAGCAGCACCCCACTCTACTGGTATCAATTTACTATATTAATATGTTTTCACACTGCTGATAAAAACATACCTGAGACTAGGCAATTTACAGAAGAAGGAGGTTTAATTGGACTTACAGTTCCACATGACTGGGGAAGCCTCACAATCATAGCGGAAAGCAAGGAGGAGCAAGTCACATCTTATGTGAATGGCAGCAGGTAAAGAGACCTTGTGCAGGAAAACTCTGCCTTATAATAACCATCAGATCTCATGGACTTACTCACTATCATGAGAACAGCACAGGAAAGACCTGCCCCCCATGATTCAATTACCTCCCACCAGGTCCCTCCCACAACATGTGAGAATTCAAGATGAGATTTGGGTGGGGACACAACCAAACCATATCAAATGTGAACCTTTTACTATTGTGAATGCTCTCTCATTGAAAGCATATTCAGAATACCACAATAAGTGTTTTCGTAGTTGTTAAAAGGTTCTGAATGCCATGAGAGCCCATGTACATGACATAACTGAGAACCTGGCTCTCAGTTCCTTGACCATCCCATCTCTTATGACCTTCTCTGTCATTGCACTTTGTTCACCTTCTCAACCATATTCACTCCATCCCTGAAGTCACTAATTCATTTATCTTTCTGTCTGACCACAGCTTCACTCCTTTCTTGCTGTGCAGCTACTTAACCCCTCTACTTTTCTTCTATCCATAAGTTTGTCTTTATTTGTTTATCCTAGTCTGATTGCATAGCATGCAGTCTTAGGAATACTTTAGCATTACTAGTATTCCATTTGTATTACTAGTAGTCTATTTAGTAATACTAGTATTCTAAATATCTTAGGTTCTAAGTTTTAGTTTTCTTCATACCTTTACTGCCTCTTTTATTTTCATTTTTAATAGGAAGCAGCATTTTATTTAAAATGTTTTTAATAGATTTCTTAAAGATGTAAATAATCGAATTAAACTTAGTCTATATTACTTGTATGAATTAATTTACATTTTGTTCACATTCGTGAAAAATAATTTAGCTAGGTATGCAATTCCAAATTGACAAGTATTTTAACTCAGCACTTTGAACATAATATCTATTTATTTATCAATTTCATGAAGATGTTAAGAAAGGAGATAAAAATCTATTGTTGCTCTACAGTTAATTTGGATTTTATATTTTTATGAATTTAAATCATTTCCTTTATTTTGGTATTTAGTTTTACATTTATTATGATATTTTCAGACACACATATATGCCTTTTATGCTTTTCTTGGTTGATATTTAATGAGAATGTATATTATTAGTTCTTTAAAATGCTTAAACATGTCCTATTTTCTATTATTTTCTCTCCCACTTATTTAAATTCTTTCTTCAAATATTCATTAAGCATATTCCTTTCAATTTCATTTTCGATTTATTTTGATCCCTCTTTTATATTTTTTCATCATTTTCTCCTTGTCCTGACATTGAAGTGTTTATTTTAGCTAATTCATTTATTCATATTTTAGCTCATAGTTTTTGCCTTGCTCATATCCCTTTACTTTCTTTAAACATTTTGACTACATGTGTCTTTCACTTCTTTTACTTTGGATTCGGGGGCATGTGTGCAGGTTTGTTACATAAGTATGTTGTGTGATGCTGGGGTTTGGGATATGGATGGTCCTATCACCTAGGTAGTGAGCACAGAGTATAGTTTTACAACCCTTGTTCCCCACCCTCCTTCCCTGCTCTGGTGATTCCCAGTGCCTATTGTTCCCATCTTAATGTACATAAGTACCCAATGTTTAGCCCCACTTATGAGTGAGAACATGCAGTATTTGGTTTTCTGTTCCTGAGTTAATTTTTTTAGGATAATGATCTCCAGCTGCATTCATGTTGCTGCAAAAGGATATGATGTCATTCTTTTTATGGCCACATAGTATTCCATGATATATATGTACCACATTTTCTTCATCCACTTTACCATAAGGAAACCTAGTTGATTCCATGTCTTTGCTATGGTGAATAACACTGCAGTGAACATACCAGTGCATGCATCTTTTTGGTGGAATGATTCATTTTTCTTTGAGTATATACCCAGTAATGGGATTGCTGGGTTGAATGGTAGTTCTGTTTTAATTTCTTTGATAAATCTCCAAACTGCTTTCCACAGTGGCTGAACCAATTTATATTCCCACCAACAGTGTATAAGCATTCCGTTTTCTCTGCAGCCTTGTCAGCATCTATTATTTTTTGACTTTTTAATGTTCACCATTCTGACTGGTGTGACATGGTATCTCATTGTGGTTTTGACTTGCATTTCATTTGTTGACTGCTTGTATGTTTTCTTTTGAGAAGTGTCTGTTCGTGTCCTTTGCCCATTTTTAGTAGAATTATTTGTTTTTTGCTTGTTGATTTGTTTAAATTTTGCTTGTGGATTCGGGGTATCAGACATTTTTTGAATGCATAGTTTGCAAATATTTTCTCCCATTCTGTAAGCTATCTGTTTAGACTATTGAGATTTGCTGTGCAGAGGCTCTTTAGTTTAATTAGGTCCCACTTGTCAATTTTTGTTTTTGTTTCAATTGCTTTTGGAGACTTAGCCATTAATTCTTTGTCAAAGTTAATGTTGGGAAGGGTATTTCCTAAGCTTTCTTCTAGAATTATTATAACTTAAAGTCTTACATTTAACTCTTTAATCCAACTTGAGTTAATTTTTGTATATGGTGAAAAGTAGGTATCCAGTTTCATTATTTTGCATATGGCTTGACAGTTATCCCAGCACCATTTATTTAATAGGGAGTCCTTTCTGTATTAGTTATTCTTGGTGACTTTGTTGAAGAGCAGACTGTTGTAGGTGTTTGACTTTATTTCTGGATTCTCTATTCTATTCCATTAGTGTGTGTGTCTGTTTTTTGTACCAGTACAATGCTGTTTGGGTTAATGTAGCCATAGAGTACAGTTTGAAGTCAGGTAATATGATGCCTCTGACTTTGTTCTTTTTGCTTAGAATTGCTTTGGCTATTTGGGCTCTTTTTTGATTCCATATTAATTTTAGAATAGTTTTTCTAATTCTGTGAAAAACAACATTGGTGTTTTGATAGAGATCGTATTGAATTCTGTAAATTGCTTTGGGCAGTATGGCCATTTTAATGATATTGATTCTTCCTATTCATGAGTGTGGAACATTTTTACATTTGTTTGTGTTGTCTCTGATTTCTTTCAGCAGTGTTTTGTAGTTCTCCTTGTAGAAATCTTTCACCTCTTTGGTTAGATGTATTACATTTTTTTGTGTGCCTATTGTAAATGGGATTGAGTTTTTGACTTGGCTCTCTGATACAATGTTATTGCTGTACAGAAATACTATTGACTTTTGTACATTGATTTTGTCTCCTGAAACTTTACTGAAATTGTCAATTCTAGTTGCCTTTTGGTGGAGTCTTTAGGGTTTTCTATTTCTAAAATTATAATCATCAGCAAAGAGAGATAGTTTGACTTCCTCTCTTCCTATTTGAATGCCTTTTATTTCTTTCTCTTGCCTGATTGCTCTGGCTAGGTCTTCCTATACTATGTTAAATAGGAGTGGTAAGAGTAGGCATCACTTTCTTGTTCTGGTTCTCCAGGGGAATAGTTATAGCTTTTGCCCATTCAGTATGATTTTAGCTGTGTGTTTTTCATAGATGGCTCTTATTGTTTTGAGGTATGTTTCTTCAATGACTAGCCTGTTGAGGGTATTTTATCATGAAGGGATTTGGGATTCTCTTGAAGGCCTTTTCTGTATCTATCGAGATAACCATATGGTTTTGATTTTGATTCTGTTTATGCGATGAATCATATCTAGTGAATTGTGTATGTCGAACCAACCTTGCATTCCAGGAATGAAGCCCACTTTTCTCATAGTGAATTAGATTTTGATGTGCTGCTGAATTCAGTTTGCTAGTATTTTGTTGAGGATTTTGTGTCTATGTTCATCAGGGAGTTTAGCCTGAAGTTTTCTGTTTTTGTGTCTCTGCCAGATTTTGGTATAAGGATGATGATGACTTTGTATAATATGTTAGTGAGAAGCCTCCCCTCATCCTCAATTTTTTGGAAGAGTTTTAGTAGGATTGGTACCAGTTCTTCTTTGTAACTCTAGTAGAATTCAGCTGTGAATCCGCCTGGTTCAGGGCTTTTTTTGGTTGGTAGGTTTTTTTAAAATTACCGATTCAATTTCAGAACTTGTTATTGGCTTATTCATGTTTTCACATTATCCCTTGTTCAACCTTGGATGGTTTTGTGTTTCTGAGAACTTATCCATTTCCTCTAGATTTTCTAATTTGTTTGCACAGAGGTGTTCATAATAGTCTCTGAATATCTTTTGTATTTCTGTGGGATTGGGTGTAATGTCATTTGTCATTTTTGATTGTGCTTATTTGGGTCTTCTCTTTTTTTGTTAATCTAACTAGTAGTCTATCAATCTTATTTATTCTTTCAAAAAACAAACTCTGTTTCATTTATCTTTGTATGGACTTTTGCATCTCAATTTCTTTCAGTTGTTCTCTGATTTTAGTAATCTCTTTTCTTCTGCTAGCTTTTAAAGCCATACTTATGTTGGGGTTCCTCCATTTTTCCATTTTCTCCTTGCCTCCACAAGCAGATATACTCTGCTGGAAATCATCATTCAACAAGGCAGATTGTAACCATTATGAAGTTATGACTCAAGGAGACCTTCAACATCTCCTCCTAATTTCATTGTGTATCTTTTTTGACATTTGAAATAATTATTTTTCAACTTTCTTCGCCTTCTTCATCATTCTCCAACATCCTCTCTTTTCACCATTACTTGATAGTAATCTTGCTTTGTACTTCAGAGGGAAAATATATCATCAGAAAGAACTCACTTTACTTTCTTCCTGTTAAAAAGTTATAGCTGAAACCTTTCTTCCTATTAAACGGTTAAAACTGCAAGAAAATAAGGAAGTTTTCTTTTCCTTTATGTTTATTTTCTATTCCCTCTCACCACTCTGGAAACTTATGCCATTTCTAATTTAATTGACCTCTTCCTCTTGAAATGAATTTTTCTTATCATCTTTGAAACATGATAGAGTCTCCACCATTTTAAGCAGTTCTCCAACCTCCTGCAAACCCACCTTTAGTCATTCAGATATGTAAGTTAACTGCATATAAATGTTCTGGGTAGCAATTTTACTTTTAAATATCTCTCCATATTGCTTTATTTGGTTTATTCAATATCTGGCTTCAGTAACTATTGCAGATAAGTCTATAGTCTCTCTATTTTTATTTTTTAGGTTTATGTATTTTAATCCTGAATGTTTATAGACATTTTTCTGTGTCCCTTAATGAAGAAAATTGCTAAGATTGACCTAATGGTAGGTGTATTAAAAAACTTTTCCATCCCGCATACACGAATAGTTTTCCACCTAGGGAACATTTTCCTATTATGTTTCATTCTGTTCCATTTACTTTGATCTCTTTGTGAAGACTTTCTTTGCTCATATCCCTCTACTTTCTTCAAACATTTTAACTACATATATCTTTCATTTTTTTTTAACTTTGAATTTGGGGGTACATGTGCAGGTTTGTTACATGAGTATGTTGTATGATGCTGAGGTTTGGGGTACAGATGGTCCTATCACGCAGGTAGTGAGCACAGAGTATAGTCAATTTTACAACCCTTGTTCCCTACCCTCCTTCCCAGCTCCGGTGATTCCAAGTGCCTATTGTTCCCATCTTTATGTCCATGAGTACCCAATGTTTATCTCCCATTTATGAGTAACAACATGCAGTATTTGGTTTTCTGTTCCTGAGTTAATTTGCTTAGAGTAATGGCCTCCAGCTGCATTCATGTTACTGCAAAAGGATATGATGTCATTCTTTTTATGGCTGCACAGTATTCCATGGTGTATATGTACCACATTTTCTTTATCCACCTCACCCTAATGGTACCTAGTTGATTCCATGTCTTTGCTATGGTGAATAGCACTAAGATGAACATGCACGTATATGTCAGATTTCTGATTTCTGCTCTGTATCCTTTTCCTCTGTAGTTTAATGTTAGTCTTTTATATTACCATTTGATTATCTGCAGAATAAATTCTGCATTTTCCTACTTTTATTATGAGTTTTGGTTTTGCTGTTGCATTTTTAGTTTTCATTAATTTCTTTCTTATTTCATCCTATTTTCTTTACATTTTAGCCTGTCCTTTCCTGAATACTTTTTATTTTTTTCTGGTTGGTAGAGTGTATCCCCAGTGATTTCTGGACGTTTTCATTTTATCCTAAAGTAGACAATTTTCAGAGCTATGCTTTTCCTTTGGACTGTCAGATTATTTTTACTCTCCATTGATTTTTAGTATTTTTTATGGACTCCTAGGTTTTTTCCTTTTTTTCTCATTTTTAAACAAGGAAAGGTAGATTCCTACTATATCTACCTAGCTATATCTTAAGATTGCTTAATGAGGCTGCTGTCAGTATGCTCCATGTTTCCAACAGTATGTATAATAAGCATCACACTTATCCAAATGCCCTGTACTTCTGCCAGGGGCAGCATAGTTGTTGGTGGCAGAGTATGTAAAGAAAAGTACTCTAGGTATCCTGCACCACCATGATAAAGAAGGATGGTTGTCCATAAGAATGGGCAGATGGGCTGAGAGTGTAGGATATACTAAGTATCTTCTGCATTTTCAGATGTTGTCTCTTTCATGAAGGAACGTCTTAGAGTGTAAAAAAATGACAATTTGGCATATTTTTCTCATTCAAGTTCCATCTGCTTATAGTTAGCAGAGATGCCCTCTTAGACTGCAGGAATGGATTATCTGTAGGGCTATGCGCTAATGATGAGTTTTCATCATTTTCTAGTATTTGAGAAAATATATTTATATCATCTTACAAGTATTTCATGAGCAAATAAAAATAAGCTGTATTTATCATTTGTTTGTTCCCTGTGCCTCTTCTTTATTTTTCCCTAACTGGAGGCATTATGCCAGTTTTTCTAGAACAGTGGTTCTCAATAATGACTGCATTTGAGAATTCTAAAACCGTGCTAATGCTCAACCCGTACACCAACCAGAATCTCTGTGCCTGGGGCCTAAGCATGAGTATTTTTTGAAAAGTACCCCCAGGTGATTCTTCTGTGGAGCTGTTGATAGCTCCACAGAAGGTTGATATCCACTGTTCTGGAAACTTTGCTATTTAAATTTAGTTCATCAGGGGTCTAATATCCAGAATCTATAAGGAACTTAAACAACTCAACAAGCAAAAATCAACGTGATTAAAAAGTGGGTAAAGACATGAACAGACACTTCTTAAAAGAAGACATATAAGCAGCCAATAAACATATGAAGAAATGCTCAATATCACGAATCATCAGAGAAATGCAAACCAAAACCACAATGAGATACTATCTCACACCAGTCAAAATGGTGATTATCAAAAAGTTAAAAAATAACAGATTCTGACAAAGCTGCAGAGAAAAGGGTATGCTTACACACTGTTGGTGGGAATATAAATTGGTTCAGCCACTGTGGAAAGCAGTTTGGAGATTTCTCGAAGAACTTAAAACAGAACAACTATTGACCCAGCAATGTCATTACTGGGCATATACCCAAAGGCAAATGAATCATTCTATCAAAAGGCACATGGACACGACTGTTAATCACAGTGCTATTCACCATGGCAAAGACATGGAATCAACCTAGGTGCTCATCAACAGTGGATTGAATAAAGAAAATATACTCCATGGCATACATTGCAGCCCTAAAAAAGAGCAAAATCATGTTCTTTGCAGCAACATGTATACAACTGGAGGTCATTATCCTAAGTGAATTAATGCAGGAACAGAAAACCAAATACCACATGTTCTCACTTATAAGTGGGAGCTAAACATTGGGTAGTTGTGAACATAACGATGGCAACAATAGACACTGGAAACCACCAGAGAGGAGAGGGAGGGTGGGGAACTAGGGTTAAAAAAGTAACTATTGGGTACTATACTGCCCACTACTTGGGGGACAGGATCAGTCATACCCCAAACCTCAGCATCATTCAATATGCCCATATAACAAGCCTGCACATGTACTCCCTGAATCTAAAATAAAAGTAGAAATTATTTTTAAAACTTACCAAACGTAAAGAAAGAAACCTGTACTGCTAGCTTTTAAAAGTTATTTAATAAATAAACCTATTTTATAACAAAAATAGTAAAAATAAATTTCTACTTCAAAGTATAAAGCCAACAATATTAGCATTAAATTTAAACTTGCCAGAAATGCAGAATCTCAGGCCCCATCCAGACCTCTTGAGTCAGGACCTGTACATTAAAAATATATTTAGGTAACTGGTATGGTTTGGCTCTGTGTCCCCACCAAAATCTCATCTCCATTTATAATCCCCATGTGTTGAGGGAGGGACCTGTAATCCCCATGTGTCCAAGGAGGGAGGTGATTGGATTTTGGGGGCGGTTTCCCTCATGCTGTTCTCGTGATGGTGAGTGATTTCTCATGAGATCTGAAGGATTTATAAGGCAGTGTTCCCAGCTCTTTGCTCGCTCGCTCTTCTGCCGCCTTGTGAAGAAGGTGCCTACTTCTCCTTCCGCCATGATTGTAAGTTTCCTGAGGCCTCTCCAGGCATATGGAGCTGTGAGACAATTAAACTTCTTTCCTTTATAAATTACCCAGCCTCAGGGAAGCTCTTTATCACAGTGTGAAACAGACTAATACAGTAACGTATATGAATCTTAAAATTTGACGACAAGCGATGCTCTAGAACATTGCTTATCAAACCTTCTGGCACATTGGAATCACCTGAGAAGCTTTAAAAAAATTATTGATGCTAGGCTTCAACCTCAAGGATTTTTATTTAATTAATCTTGGGTGTTTCCCTAGGCACTGGTATTTTTAAAAAGTACCCCAAATTATTTAATAACCACTTAAATAATTGACCAAGAATCAGATTCTGAGAAGCTTCTGCCTCTCAATTTGGTGAAACTTGGAAATAAGTCGGGTGGCCCAGATTCTCCCTCTTATTTTTTGCCACTATTTTTGGATGCCACCTACCTTTTTCCTTCTTCAATCATCTGAGTATCTTCAGTGACATTTAGACCTAAATGTGGTTTATCAGTGACAAATGTTTGGCACTTGGTGGTTTCTAAGCAATGGAATTTTCTAGATTTCACTTTTTTCAGTTTCTCTAGTACTAATCTTCTGCCTTCATCCTTATTCCACACTCAGTTTATTTGCTATAATAAGTACTCAGTCACACACAGAGACTTCAACCAAACCCTAAACACCATCCTATCTGATTTGGGTTTTGATATTCTGCATAGTGAGAATATATGACATTTCCATGCTGAAGGCATTAAAGAAAATTTCTGCCTACTTAAGAAATAGTTATTTTACGTGGAAGCATTCCAAAGAAAATATTTTGAAGATATTTCTGCAGGTGCCTCAAAATTCTTTGGAATTCAACTTCCGAAGAAGTATAGGATAGAGGAGAATTTAAGAGAGTATCAGGTCTCTCTGCTATGAAGCTAGATATATGTTGTTAATTGCAGTATGAATCTGTGAAATCATGGAATCATTAGGGCCCAAATTATGAAGCAAGCATCAATTTAACAAAACGATTTTTGGAAAAACGTTTGAATTTGGGCACTCTTTTTTTTATTATTATACTTTAAGTTTTAGGGTACATGTGGACAACGTGCAGGTTTCTTACATACGTATACATGTGCCATGGTGGTGTGCTGCACCCATTAACTCGTCATTTAGCATTAGGTATATCTCCCAATGCTATCCTTCCCCCCTCCCCCCACCCCACAACAGTCCCCAGTGTGTGATGTTCCCCTTCCTGTGTCCATGTGTTCTCATTGTTCAATTCCCACCTGTGAGTGACAACATGCGGTGTTTGGTTTTTTGTCCTTGCAATAGTTTGCTGAGAATGATGGTTTCCAGCTTCATCCATGTCCCTACAAAGGACATGAACTCATCATTTTTTATGGCTGCATAGTATTCCATGGTGTATATGTGCCACATTTTCTTAATCCAGTCTATCATTGTTGGACATTTGGGTTGGTTCCAAGTCTTTGCTATTCTGAATAGTGCCGCAATAAACATACATGTGCATGTGTCTTTATGGCAGCATGATTTATAGTCCTTTGGGTATATACCCAGTAATGGGATTGTTGGGTCAAATGGTATTTCTAGTTCTAGATCCCTGAGGAATCGCCACACTGACTTTCACAATGATTGAACTAGTTTACAGTCCCACCAACAGTGTAAAAGTGTTCCTATTTCTCCACATCCTCTCCAGCACCTGTTGTTTCCTGACTTTTTAATGATTGCCATTCTAAGTGGTATGAGATGGTATCTCATTGTGGTTTTGATTTGCATTTCTCTGATGGCCAGTGATGATGAGCATTTTTTCATGTGCCTGTTGGCTGCATAAATGTCTTCTTTTGAGAAGTGTCTGTTCATATCCTTTGCCCACTTTTTGATGGGACTGTTTGTTTTTTTCTTGTAAATTTGTTTAAGTTCATTGTAGATTCTGGCTATCAGCTCTTTGTCAGATGAGTAGGTTGCGAAAATTTTCTCCCATTTTGTAGGTTGCCTGTTCACTTTGATGGTGATTTCTTTTGCTGTGCAGAAGCTCTTTAGTTTAATTAGATCCCATTTGTCAATTTTGGCTTTTGTTGCCATTGCTTTTGGTGTTTTAGACATGAAGTCCTTGCCCATGCCTATGTCCTGAATGGTATTGCCTAGGTTTTCTTCTAGGGTTTTTATGGTTTTAGTCTAACATGTAAGTCTTTAATCCATCTTGAATTAATTTTTGTATATGGTGTAAGGAAGGGATCCAGTTTCAGCTTTCTACCTATGGCTAGCCAGTTTTCCCAGCACCATTTATTAAATAGGGAATTCTTTCCCCATTGCTTGTTTTTGTCAGGTTTGTCAAAGATCAGATAGTTGTAGATATGCGGCATTATTTCTGAGGGCTCTGTTCTGTTCCATTGATCTATATCTCTGTTTTGGTACCAGTACCATGCTGTTTTGGTTACTGTAGCCTTGTAGTATAGTTTGAAGTCAGGTAGCGTGATGCCTCCAGCTTTGTTCTTTTGGCTTAGGATTGACTTGGTGATGTGGGTTCTTTTTTGGTTCCATATGAACTTTAAAGCAGTTTTTTCCAATTCTGTGAAGAAAGTCATTGGTAGCTTGATGGGGATGGTATTGAATCTATAAATTACCTTGGGCAATATGGCCATTTTCATGATATTGATTCTTCCTACCCATGAGCATGGAATGTTCTTCCATTTGTTTGTATCCTCTTTTATTTCATTGAGCAGTGGTTTGTAGTTCTCCTTGACGAGGTCCTTCGCATCCCTTTTAAGTTGGAGTTCTAGGTATTTTATTCTCTTTGAAGCAATTGTGAATGGGAGTTCATTCATGATTTGGCTCTCTGTTTGTCTGTTATTGGTGTATAAGAATGCTTATGATTTTTCCACATTGATTTTTGTATCCTGAGACTTGTTGTAGTTGCTTATCAGCTTAAGGAGATTTTGGGCTGAGATGATGGGGTTTTCTAGATATACAATCATGTCATCTGCAAACAGGGACAATGTGACTTCTTTTCCTAATTGAATGCCCTTTATTTCCTTCTCCTGCCTGATTGCTCTGGCCAGAACTTCCAACACTATGTTGAATAGGAGTGGTGAGAGAGGGCATCCCTGTCTTGTGCCAGTTTTCAAAGGGAATGCTTCCAGTTTTTGTCCATTCAGTATGATATTGGCTGTGGGTTTGTCATAGATAGCTCTTATTATTTTGAGATACATCCCATCAATACCTAATTTATTGAGAGTTTTTAGCATGAAAGGTTGTTGAATTTTGTCAAAGGCCTTTTCTGCATCTGTTGAAATAATCATGTGGTTTTTGTCTTTGGTTCTGTTTATATACTGGATTACATTTATCGATTTGCATATGTTGAACCAGCCTTGCATCCCAGGGATGAAGGCCACTTGATCATGGTGGATAAGTTTTTGATGTGTTGCTGTATTCAGTTTGCCAGTATTTTATTGAGGATTTTTGCATCAATATTCATCAAGGATATTGGTCTAAAATTCTCTTTTTTTGTTGTGTCTCTGCCAGGGTTTGGTATCAGGATGATGCTGGCCTCATAAAATGAGTTAGGGAGGATTCCTTCTTTTTCTATCGATTGGAATTTGGGCACTCTTAAAAAGTTTTATTACTCCAACGTATAAGCAACATCAGCAGAATCCTACTTTATTATGAGACCCAATCATAGAATACAGTGTTGTTAAAACATCCTAGTTGCATTAGTGTTGCATTCAGGTAAAAGAATAGGCCTTTAATATAGACGGAAGAGTTTATGCTTACATCATAGGAAAACAATGACTGGTTCAAGCCTACCATATGTCATGGTTGGGCTGTGATTCCTAGGTGAGTCTAAAGAGGAACTGGCTTTTGGTCTGTGTGGTAGTGGTGGTGGTGATGTTTTGCTCATACAAAAAACTTTTAATGCCCACAAATAAGTTCAACCTACTTTGGCTACTGTACTTAATAAATATAATAAATATATTAATTTGTTTAGATGAATGTGATGATGTTTAATTAATTCTCCTTCCTATTGCAATCAACTCCCCAGTAACAAAGCTGCTAAAATTTCACTTTTTTTTTTTGAGACAGAGTCTCACTCTGTTGGCCAGGCTGCAGTGCTGTAGCACAGTCTTGGCTCACTGCAACCTCTGCCTCCCTGGTTCAAGCGATTCTCCTGCCTCAGCCTCCTGAGTAGCTGGGATTACAGGCACCTGCCACCACAGCCAGCTAATTTTTTGTATTTTTAGTAGAGACGGGGTTTCACCATGTTGGCCAAGCTGGTCTCGAACTCCTGACCTCGTGATCCACCCGCACCAGCCTCCCAAAGTGCTGGGATTACAGGAATGAGCCACCGCATCCAGCCCACATTTGTTATTTTTAATGTCATCTTCTATTCTCTTTGTATAATTTGAAACTATATTTTCAACTGGGAACATGGATGAGCTGCTTTAAATTGGTAAGTTTGAAGCATAAGCTTGAAGTCAGTGAAAATATGAAAGATGATGAGGGAAATTTGTAACACTTCAACGTTTATTTTTTTCCTCAACCTCCCTGAAAAGAATCTAATAGAAAAGATGATAGGATTATGCCAATTACAATTAGCTAATGTATAAGAAGTAGAAATAAATCTAAAAGATACAGACTATTAAACACATGTTTAAAATATGGTACACAAAGATACTGAATAAATTAACACAGTCCTGGAATTATAATAGGATTTTGTCAGTCTTAGGTGGTAAATTGTGCACACTCTTTAGGAGAAATGAAGCAAATATAGAAAACATGACCTCAAAGAGCAATTTTTTGATGGACAGTGGCTTCCTGTTCCTATTTTAATGACCAATTAGGTGCTATATGAGAATATCAAGGTGTTTTTACAAATGTATTTTATTGTAAAGTATAAGACAAGCATTCACAAGTGTTAAAGCATAGAAACATACATATAAAACCCAATGAATTATCACACCAGAACATCTGTGTAATACCACCTTGGCTGGCACTCTAGAAACTCACTTTGTGCTCATTACCAGTCATTAGGTTTTCCATCCTCCTCAAAAGAATCTCTGGCCTTTCTTTTTACAATGGGTATTTTGCTTGTTTTTGAACGTTATATAAATGAAATCATATAAGAGGAATTAATTGCTCAGTGTTCTGTTTATGGAATTCACCAATGTTTTTGATGTAGCTTCAGCCTATTCATTTTCATTATTGTATAGTATGTTAATGTGCTTCTATATGCACGGTATGTATGCATTCTACTATTGATGGTCATTTGGATCATATGCAATTAGAAGCTACTACAAGTAATAATGCTGTGAACATTTTTCTATATGTCTTTTGGTATACATATGCATTTCTCATACCGATGAATGAAATTATCAATTGCTGAGTCATAGGACATGCATATTTTCAGTTTTGGTAGATAATGCCAAATAGATTTCCAAAATTGGGGTACATATTTACATTCCCACCAATAAAGTGTGAGAACTTATGTTTTTTTGCATCCTTACTAACACTTGGTAATTCCATTCTTTTAACATTAGCCATTCTCTTAAGGTATGTAATTATATCTTATTGTTTTAATTTATATTTCTTGATTACCAATGAAATTGAGTAACTTTGCATATGCCTTTGGCCATTTGGATATTCTCTTCTAGGAAGTGCCTACCAAAGTCATATTTTTAATGAGCTTTTATTGATTTGTAGAAGTTCTTTACATGTTATGGAAATAAGTCCTTTGTTAGTTTTATGTGTTTTAAATATCTTCTCACTATTGTGGGTTCTGATTTCACTCTCATAATGGTATTTTTTTGATGTGGCTACAGATTCCAGCAGAGTCTGCTAAGAGGCTGATACCTTTATTCTTTAGGCAAATTTTTCTATGTTATTTATTTCCATTATATGTTTTAGTATATATAGAAGCAGACCCATATCTTGATCTTCCATAATCTTGGCTGAAGTTTGTATTTCACTGCTCTATGGTTTCAGTGGCTATCATAAAAATAAACATCCATCAACACAGGAGAAATATTCTATTAACTTAGACAATTCTGCCAGGTGCTGTAGCTCACACCTATAAACCCAGTTACTTAGAAGGCTGAGGTGAGAGAATTGCTTGAGCCCAGGAGTTCAGGGTTACAGTGATCATGCCATTGCACTCCAGACTGTGTGACAGAACAAGACAGCATCTCTAATAAAAATAACAATTTTTAACAGGAAGATTTTTTCTGATTTTGATAGTACTGCAATTTACATGAAATATGTAATACTATTTTAAGGTGTCTATTTTTAATAGACATGAAAAATGGGTGTTGAATTACACATTTGGAAAATTTACTGTATTGAAACATAATCTTAATCCCTTTTTAAGATGTTAAAAATATGTTAGTAGGATGGTTATGAAAAATCTTTTGTGAAAATAACCTAATACCTATAAAATCATTTCTATTTTAAAGAATGAAGGCCTGATACAGGGAACCATACGTTATCTTGAATCAAAATAAAATATTTCTTGTCGCTGAATAGATGACCCTATTTCAATAAATTATTATTTTCTTTACCATTGCTGCTATCATTGTGTTTTAGGGAAGCCTTTTGAATACCTGACACCCTATCTCACACTTTCAAATACTCCTTATTCATAACTGTGAGGGTGTTATAACCACATGTTTACTTACAAATAGTATTTTAAAGGTGTGTAGTGAGTAAGCCTCATGCTTTATAAAAGGAAACACTAATAAGCCTTAAAATTAACACTCATGTACATAGCAATTGAGATTTGGGGGTTGGATGCATGGTATTATAGACATCCAGATTACTGATGAAGAGTGAACTGAAATAAGTCTTTGGAAACAGTGATGAGAGAAAATGTTTCAGAGACATGGGGACCCTAATACCAATGTGGAAGCATGGCTGCTATGAGATGTGACCTCTGAGAAGTGATTGGGTAGTCAGAACTGGTTGTCATGCAACACAAAATGACTATGTCTGCTCACACTGGGTCAGTCTAATGGGAATATTTAATTGATTTCTTAGTGTAACTCTAGAATCACAAATTGTGCTTTTTTTTAAATGGCTATTCAAAGTACTGATATTTTTTCTAGACCAACTAGTCTGAGAGATAACAGGCTAATTAAAAATGCAGTTGACCCTTGAACAATATGGGTTTGAACTGTGCAGGTCCACTTACACATAGACTTTTACATTTATATGTATATTATGTAGTTTTTGTATATTATGTATTTTTATATTAAAAATGTATGGGCCAGGCGCAGTGGCTCATGCCTGTAATCCCAGCCTTTTGGGAGGCCTAGAAACACAGATCACTTGAGGCCAGGAGTTGGAGACCATCATGGCCAACATGGCAAAACCTCCTCTCTGCTAAAAATACAAAAATTAGCTAGACATGGTGATGCGCACCTGTAGTCCCAGCTATTTGGGAGCCTGGAGCAGGAGAACTGCTTGAACCCAAGAGGTGGAGGCTGCAGTGAGCCAAGACAGTGCCACTGCACTCCAGCCTGGATGGCAGAAAGAAACTGTCTCAAAAAAAATTATGTGTATATATATATACTTTTTTTTTAGATTTGTGACATTTTGAAAAAACTCACAGATAAACTGCATAGCCTAGAAATATAAAAAAATTAGGAAAAAAGTATGTCATGAATGCATAACATATAGGTAGATACTAGTCTATTGTATCACATACTACCATAAAATCTACACAAATCTATTATAAAAGTTGAAATTTATCAGGCCTTATGTACACAAACACTTATAGATTGTGCATGGTGTCATTGGCAACTGAGAGAAATGTAAACAAGTGCAAAAAATGCAGTATTAAATCATAACTGCATACAGTTTACTGTTGTACTTAATGTACTACTGTAATAATGTTGTAGCCACTTGCTGTTGCTATTGTGTGAGTGCAAGTGTTTCCAGTATCCACTTAAAACACCTTGTGATGCTAATCACGTCTACCTGAGCAGTTCATCTCTTCAGTAAACAGCATATTGCCGTAAAAAGAATGATCTCTCATGGTTCTCACATATTTTTCATCATGTTTAGTATAATATTGTGAACCTTGAATATAACCACGGAACCCGTATGAAGTGCCACAGTGATGCTCGAAGTGCTCCCAAGAAGCAGAGAAAAGTCATAACATTACAAGACAAAGTTGAATTGCTTGACATGTACTGCAGATTGAGGTTTGCAGCAGTGGTTGCCCACCGTTTCAGGCAGATAACATAAAAAGATGCAGAAACTTATCAACAAATACAGTAAAGTACTGTAAGTGTATTTTCTTTCATTTATGATTTTTGTAAGAGAAAGGATATCTGCTTGAACAGGTTTTTAAAGCAGACGAAAGTGCCCAATTCTGGGGGGAAAATGCCACAAAGGAAGAGAACATCAGTATTTAAAGCAGAAAGGAATAGGCTAACTACTGTTTTTTGGCAATTGCCGCTAGGTTTATGATCAAGACTACCCTTATCTATAAAACTACTAACCCTAGATCCTTGAAAGGAAAAGATGAGTACTGCCTGCCAGTCTCTTGGTTGTACTAAAAGGCCTGGACAATGAGAATCCTTTTTCTACTTTGGTTCTATCGATGCTTTGTCCCTGAAGTCAGGAAGTACCTTACCGGTAAGGAAATGCCTTTGAAAATCCTTTCAATGTTGGACAATGCCTCTGGCCGTGTAGAAACCCAGGAGCTAATGTTCATGAAGGTGTTAAAGTGATCTACTTGCCCCAAAACACAAAACTTATAATCAGCTTCTAGATCAGGTTTTGTAAGGACCTTTAAGGTTCATTACACATGGTACCCTATGGAAAGCATCGTCAATAATGTGGAAGAGAACCCCAATAGAGAAGACATCATGAAACTCTAGATGGATTACACCATTAAAGATGCCTTCATTGCTACAGAAAAATCCATGAAAGCCATCAAGCTTGAAACCACAAATTCCTGCTGGAGAAAACTGTGTTCCAGTGTGCATGACATCACAAGATTTACAACACAGCCAATCAAGGAAATTATGAAACAGATTGTGAATATGGCGAAAAAGGTGGGGGTAAAAGGTATCAGGATATGGATCTTGGAGAAACTCAACAGCAAACAGAAACCATGTCAGAGGAATTAATAGAAGATGACTCGATGAAGATGAGTATTTCTAAACCAGCGCCAGAAGATAAGGAAGAAAACATTGAAAAAGCAGTGCCAGAAAACAAATTCACATTAGACAATCTGGCAGAAGAGTTACAATTATTCAAGACTAGGTTCAACTTTTTTTACAACATGGACCCTTCTATAATATGTGCACTGAAACTAAAATAAATGGTGGAAGAAGGATCGCATCTCATGGAAACAGTTTTAGAGAAATGAAAAAGCGAAAAGGTCAGAAATTACAATTTATTTCCATAAAGTTACATCAAGTGTGTCTGCCTCTCTTGCCTCCCCTTCTACCTTTTCTGCCTCTGCCACTCCTGAGATAGCAAGACCAACCCCTCCTCTTCCTCCTCCTCAGCATACTCAACATGAAGACAATGAGGATCAAGTCCTTTATATAATCCATTTTCACTTAATGAGTAGTAAATATATTTTCTCTTCTTTGTGATTTTCTTGTTTTCTCCAGTTTATTGTAAAAATACAGTACATAATACACATAATATACACATTATGTGTTAATTGACTATGTTATCATTAAGGCACCTGGTCAACAGTAGGCTATTAGTAGTTAAGTTTTGAGGGAGTCAAAAGTTATATACAGATTTTCAGCTGTGTGGGAGATCAGCACCTTTAAGACCTGTGTTATTCAAGAGTCAACTGTAGTTGCTTTTTTTTCTTTTCTACCTTGAACATCTTCCTGCAGATGCTCCATCATCTTCCTAGCTCTAGTTTCTTATCTCTAATGGAGGTAAAGCAGGAAAGTTCTTACTTCACTGCTACTGTGGCAAGTTAATGTCACACTCCTTAGGCTTAGCAAGAATTTGAGTTTATTCATTCTCTCCTGGAGGTTTTCTCACCTGCACTCTTTTCTGCGTTACTATTTATTCCTCTTCATCCCCTAGGCATTCAGTTATAATGATAGAGTCTCTCTGCTGAAATATTCTCAGTGCTCTGTGGCAGCCCAAGATGACTCTATATTCCACACCCTCTCTCTCTCTTCTCCCCGCTCCCCTCTCATGTGTGTGGCTTATGTATGATTCACAGAAGACACACACACACTCAGATTGAGTGCTCTGGTAAATACTGAAAGTGTGTGTTATTGAATGCAGCAATGTCAGCCATCAGCAGCTAGGCTGACTTTATGTTTCTCAGGTAAGAATCATACCCCTACTGCCATCCCTTTTAAGGAGAATAAGTAAATGTCAGACTCATGTTACAGCTCTTTCCGAAGAACTCTAAAATGTGTCTGTTTCATCTCATGATCCTTTATAGCCAGCCTCTGTGTGGGTGAAAAATTAGAGTCACATAACTAGGTTTTTAGAGCATGGTTTGCAAATTCTGCATATAATCTTATATCCCATGTGGAAATAAATATCTGTTCTTGGTGCTTCATCTGAAACATTCATTTTACCAATCTATTACCCTGTAATGAAATTACTAATTAGAATTGATAATATTATATTATTTCAATTATGTAAATGAATTAAAATCTAGAAATTTCAATGAATAGATTGTGCATGACATTCAAATACTATGAACACAATTTTAAAGTTCAACTAAAAATGGAAAATATTATTGAGCTTCAAGGAGACTGGAGACATAAATTTGGAACAGAACTACCAAACTTGTCATAATTTCATAAGATAGATTATCTGAATATGGATTCATCTGAACTATAACAAAGATAAAGAGGAAGAAAAGTGTCTGTGATTCAGAAATTCACAATGGTAAGCATTTTGTGAATCTGTTCTCTTAAGCTAAATGTCATAGTAACCAAGGCTTGTGTACTTCATGACAGCAAGATTACATATTAAAATGGAAGTTTTTCAATTCACTTCTGTCATTGTACTTGTAATGCTGGCATGATAAATATATATTCTCAACATATTTGTAAAATATTGTCCAGAAAGTGTCTAAAAAATAGAGTGCTTTTGGAGAGGGCCTGCAAAAGGAGAGTATTTTCACTGATTATTAGGAACTATCTCTTTAAGCCCTGGTTAATTAGTATGTGAGTTATTAAGGCAATATAAGTAATATAGCTAATAATGCAAAGATAGAAGTTTGCTAAGGAATTTGTTGTTTCCAGTTATGATTCTACAAGGGCTTTCCTCAGATAGCATAATGATTTAAATTTGATTTTCTTAACTAATTATTTGTTGAAAATACAGTCCATATTCCAAATGGAAATACCTTATTTGTCTATTTCTGATTATAACAGTAATAAATGTTCTTTGGAATTCCAGTGCTATTGAAAATTAGGCTAGCCAGATCTTCTTTCTCTTAACACAGTTCTCATTGACCACCCTACAACATCCAACATTATTGACTTCTTATTCTTTTTAAATTCTTTTCTACTTTGTTCCTGGTTATACTACTCTCTCCGTGAGATGTATGTTCCATGAAGGCAGAGGCTTTTTTTCTGTTTATATCTGTCTTATTCACTACTTAGTATGGTATCTGACAAAAGAAAGGTGTTCATTAAATGTTTGTGTAATGTATTAATCCTTTTACATATTTATTCCTTTTCCGATTCTTTTGTTAACTTATTTTCCTTCTGCCAAATCTTAAACCTTATTACTTCTCCAGTGTTGAGTCTTCTTCTCTCTCAAGACTTTCATTTTGAGTCATCATCATCATTGTAATCATGTGATATCTTTAGTTAAATGTTATCTATGTCTCTATCTCTGTCCCTGCTCTCTCTTCCAGAATCCAATCTCAAATCTCCAACTGCCTTATGACCTTCTTCATATGATGGTCCCTTAGTCACCTCAAAGTTAGCATATGCAAAACTTATCTTTGGAGCACCCAACCTACAATGCTGGCTCTCATTCTGACAACTCTCTTTTAATTAATGGCATGATTATTCTACCTGCTTCAATTTGTAAAGCTCTCTATTTCTGGTAGGTAATTCTATATCATCATTATAACCATCACCCCCTATCTCTAATATAATCATCAGTAATATTATGTGATTCTTTTTTTTTTTTTGAGACGGAGTCTCGCTCTGTCAACCAGGCTGGAGTGCAGTGGCGCGCGATCTCGGCTCACTGCAAGCTCCGCCTCCTGGGTTCACACCATTCTCCTGCCTCAGCCTTCCGAGTAGCTGGGACTACAGGCACGCCCGCACCAGGCCGGCTAATTTTTTGTATTTTTAGTAGAGACGGGGTTTCGCCATGTTAGCCAGGATGGTCTCGATCTCCTGACCTCGTGATCCGCCCTTCTCGGCCTCCCAAAGTGCTGGGATTACAGGCGTGAGCCCCCGCGCCCGGCCAATATTTATGTGATTCTTTATTGCTTGAAAAGTATTTTTACATCTATAATTTCCTCTTTTGGGGCTTGGTCCAATCTTCTGGGAGACTAATTCTGGCAGGTAGAAATATAAGGAGGCCAATATCAGTACATTGCTTATTCACCATTGCTAGCGTCTTACTCCTGGGTTTACTCTGACTTTGGTCCCCAGCTCTCCAGTGCTATTATTTCTTTGCTTCTTTCTGTTATCCATATTCCTGTCTTGCAACCAAGTTTCCCTTTAATGAGATATTCTATTTCACTCCAGTTTTCCTATGATGGAACCACTTTGCTAGACAAAGCCTGCGCATTTGGACTTGTGCTCATTACATGATGCAAACTAGTGTGATAAACCTAGTTATTGTATTTTATTAACTTCTTACAAAACAGTATTCATGACTCACTTGTTCCTTTACTTCTGCCTGCAGATCTGCTTTTTGGAATTTCATTTTTGTACTACTGACCCTTGGATTTGCTTACAAAACTAAATTACTGTTTTTTTCTTGAGCTTTTGAATTTTTGATATTGACTGCTTCCAGTTTGGTCCACACTAATTTCAACCAGTCATCAATTATTAAAGATATAATCCTCATTTAAAATGTTATATATCTCTATATATTTTAAATATGTAGTATAATTTTATATATGCTTATTTTTATTTGTATATATAAATATATACATATTATTTACCATATATTATATATACATGCATAGGAAAGGACTCTTTCTGGTTCCCTAGTATTGGAATTTTTGCTTTTCTTCTCTCTGGTATTTTTTCATCCTTGTTTGATTCAGACAACCTGGCTATTGTTTTACTGCTTACCCGGGATCTTAATGCTTCAGGTTCGGCTGGATTCCAGCTTTTCCTTGGTTTTAATTCTAATTCATATATATATATATATATATATATATATATATATATATATATGTATAATCTACATCTGCATCAAATCCCTCTCTAGAGCATGCAGTGGATTTCAGACCTGGGATTTCATCTTGAACTTCAGCTACTGAGATATTTTCTTGCATTATTCTATTTCTAAATTATTCTATTAGAATAATTCTATTAGAATTATTCTATTTCTATATTATTGTATTTCTAAATCCATTGCCTAAACCAAACCATTAATTTTGTCTCAGTAATCCTGGATCTTTTTCTTTTACCATATAGTCAAAAATATTATGTCCTTAATGCTGGTGTGGCCTGACTTAATCCCACCTCTTCTTGTGAAAACCTCCTTGACCGTGTAGCCTTCATTTGTTTTTACACCTCTTTACCCTTATAGCACTAAGCACCAGACATGTTAGTGCTTAATTATTATTGTCTTACATTGTCTGTTATTATGTATTCATCTTATTTTTAAAACCAGATTATAAGCAATTTAAGAACAATAAATATGGTATAGCATTTATGTGAACTGGAATAGATACTATCCTACAGTTAATGAATTGACCAAGCAACTATTCAAAGTACAGCCAGGCTGAAGACGGCAGTATGTTGTTTTTTTAAAAGATACTTTATTTGCTCAATAAATCTAGGAAGAAATCAGCCTCACATTTTTTTGAACTGCAACTTCTTTGCTTGCCATCATTTAATTAATTGCCGAGTTAAAGGACCCTCTTGGCTAATAAGATAGCAAAATTGTCATGGATTCTCATGAATCTCAATATAATTGAACTTACAATTCATCTAAATTATTCCACTTTGTTTTTTATACTATTTGCAGTAATTTCATTCCACTTGAATAATAAGGGAATGTTTTCTCATGTTCTGTAAATATATTATTTGAGGATATTTTACTTTTTTTCTATATTTATGTATTGGTCTGTTTTCATGCTGCTGATAAAGACATACCTGAGACTGGGTAATTTATAAAGAAAAAGAGGTTGAATGGATCACAGTTCCATATGGCTGAGGAGGCCTCACAATCATGGCGGGAAGCAAAAGGAAGGCACATCTTACATGGCAGCAGACAAGAGAGAATAAGAGCCAAGCAAAAGGGGTTTCCCCTTATAAAACCATCAGATCTCATGAGACTTATTCACTACCACGGGAACAGTATGGGGAAACTGTCCCCATGATTCAATTATCTCTCACTGGGTCTCTGCCACAACACATAAGAATTATGGGAGCTAAAATTCAAGATGAGATTTGGGTGAGGACACAGCCCAACCATACCAATTTCTTTCTATAGAATATACATTTAAAAATTGACATAAGTGTGCTAAGTGCTCTGCACATTTCAGCTCCCAAGGAATGCATATTGTAGGAACTAAAGCAAAAAAAAAAAAAAAATAACAACAACCAGGGCAGTTTTATTGAGTTCAGTAAAGAATATGTTTCCCTATATTTTAATAACCACATCTATTCTTATCTGATTTACTTTAAGAATCTATTTTCCTCTTTAATGCAGTTAACTAATACTATTTCTTATACAATGGCAGTTTGAAATATTAATCCAAACATTTTTACAATTTTTCCATCCATTTTCATAACATGCCAGTGTTATATTTAGTTTAATAGGCTAAGGTTACCTTTCATATTGATGGATTTACTCTGAACTTCTAGCTGCTCTTAAGGTAGTTGTGAGGTTTTTTTTTTTTCCTGTTATTGTAATTACAGTTACAGAATAAGACTGGAAACTTTGAGCAAGTTTATTTTCTGTTTTTAAAAAAAACCCAGAAACAAACAAGCTGACATGTTGATGAGATATATTTTATTACCCTACTTTACCCAGAAAGCTATGCATAAAGTTCATACAACAAGATAAAATTTTAAAAAAAAGCCAAAAGTGTACAAAATACATCTTGGCTTCATCTTTTAAATAAATTAATATTTGTTAAACCTTTGATATTTACTGAGGATATAGCAGTGAATAAAACAAACATGGTTTCTGCCCTTATATTTCATCCATTCTAGCAAAAAGATAGATGCAAAATCAATTATTGCACAATTAATTATTAGTTGCAATTGTGATAAGTAGATCAAGAGATGTAGGGTGCTATAAGTTAGGATAGCAGGGGCCTGATTTGTTTGTATATGAATATGCTTAGATGTGGATATGTATGTGTTCATATGTCTGTTTTACAAAGATGATTAGGTAGGTGTGCCAAAGTATACTACATTTAAGCAGAGAGTAGATGTCTAAGACAGCTACAAGATTCTGAGGTAGGGAAGAGCATGATATTTTTAAGAGTCTTAAAGAAGGCTAATGTACCTAGACTGTAATAGCAAGGGAAAGACTGGCAGAAGATGAGGCTAATGAGTTAGGCAAGAGTTACCACAGATATTTATTTACACAGAAATATGACACTATATTATCATTGTGTGTTTATTTTTCACCTTTGCCCTCTGAAATACTCTCAATTATGACTTAGTTGTAATCTAATTATTTCAATAACTTATTAATTGGTTTATTTTCATATATGAAATGATTAATATTATAGATTTCAGTAATTGCTCTATAGCTGTTACTGATTTACTCATTCTTTTGTGTTTTAAAAAGTTTAAAACATACCAGATGTTTTATTGAACTAACATTGAATTCATGATTTTTTTTTATGACTAAGGCTTCCTCATCATTCAATAAAGTTTTATAATTTTTATCACAAATATGCTACATAATTTTGCTGGATTTATTCCTAATATTATATTTTTCTTCTAAGGTAAATGAATTTTTTTCTGGCTAGACTAATAGTTTTTGCTGCCCTATAGGAATAGTATGGATTTTCTTTTTAAGACCTAGTAAAGATTTCTAGGTAAAAATCATATAATCTGTACAAAATATAATGAAAAAGGAAATAATGAAAGCAAAATCCCAAGAATTCTTTTTTCCCCCCTCAAAGAATGCGTTGAAGAATGGGCAAATAAAATCGGGAATATTTAGAGGTAGGAAGGTGGTGAAAAGGTTCACAAAGAAGTTTCAATTTCAACAAAAAGCTTTTAATTCAAAGATTTTTCTTTCTTTTTCTGAGAGTGATCAGAACATGAAGATGGCTGTTGGGAGACAAATCTCCATGTATCCTTTATGTTCCCAAACATCTTTTGGGCAAAGGCACTAAGTGCCTTTGTGCCTGTCTGTCTTTACAAGTATGTTTATATCGTGAACACACTAGGAAGATATAGATAGTGTCTCTCTCTGGAGCAAAGGGTAGGTTTTTTATCTTTATACAGTAAAGATAATGTCTCCTTATGGGGCAACAATCAGTGAGGATTATTGTCCATTATGAAAGACCTGAGTTCCTTACCTTGGTTCTCCCCTGTCACATATCCCGCTACATGTGCAGCATCTCCTGGCCCTTTGCACACCCTTCTGTGGGAGTTGGGGCTCAGAATGCAACACAAATGATGATACTCTAGGTACTACTATTCTGTGCATAATAAACCATCTTTTGTCTCTGACTCAAGAGTCTCATGGCTTTTGCTAGCATCCATAAAACTGGCAGGGCAAATCCTGATACCCTTCACAATTCTTGGCAGTTTTGGCAGTGAGGAAGGGATACTGACAGAGACATGGCTTTTGGAAAAAGAAGGATGATGGCCTCACAGCTAATTAATAGACTTTGAAAGAAGTCCATTGGTATTGGTAGCAAACTTGTGGACCAAATTGTCTAGTAAGCAGAGCAATAAATATTCTTCTACTCTATTGCTCATTAATGAGGAGGATTTGGGGAGGTAGTTGCAAGCTGAGAACCAGGCAACAGATATGATTTAACTGTCCTTTAGGCAGGGAGATTACAGTCTGGCAGTAGTCTCAGGTTCACCTATTGTAACAATTAGTACTTAGATTCATTTGGGCTGTGGGGTGGGGAGAGAGGAACAAGTTTGCATTTTCTTTTTTTGTTGTTGTTGTTTTGTTTTGTTTTGTTTTGTTTTTCAGACAGAGTCTCACTCTGTCGCCCAGGCTGGAGTGCAGTGGCGCGATCTCAGCTTACTGCAAGCTCCGCCTCCCGGGTTCACGCCATTCTTCTGCCTCTGCCTCCCGAATAGCTGGGATTACAGGCGCCTGCCACCACGCCTGGCTAATTTTTTGTATTTTTAGTAGAGACGGGGTTTCACCGTGTTAGCCAGGATGGTCTCGATCTGCTGACCTCGTGATCCGCCCGCCTCAGTCTCCCAAAGTGCAGTGTTGGGATTACAGGCGTGCGCCACCGCGCCCGGCCGCATTTTCTTTCAGACAACAATTTTAGAGATACATACCTACAGTGAGCATGAGAGGAAAATTTATGACTATTATGTACAGAAACCAGGCAAATTATTAGAACTTTGGCTGATTTTCTTGGAAAATGAGTGAGGTGGGTCATGGAATGTTGGTAATAGAAGAATGGCCAAAACTGGGATATCTTTTTTGCTCAGACTCTCCTACCATCATGCCAACTTGTAATCCATCTGGAGATGACAGTAGAAAGTCTTGGAATTTTCTGTAATGGGTTCTATCTGCTGTAAAATAACTTTGGCCCTTTTATGGAGATTTCTCTGGAAGAGACAAAATCAAGGGGAAACTATAGATGAGGCATTAATTAGTATTGCACTCTTACAGCCCCAGATTGGTTTCATAATGCTAATATAAGTGACCCCCTGGAGAATGAAAAGGTCATCAAAGAAATTTAGATAAATTCTTGTGGTCAGCCTGAAGTTCTAGAAAAGTTCTTTCACCCTTATGTTGGAACCAGGCAAGAACTTAATAAATGTTGTATTGATAGTAGGGCAGCAGGTACATCTATCTAGTCTGAGGATGTTGTTGCTGTTACAGCCAATTAGTTTATTCTAGACACACCATGTGACCCTTGAAACTAATCTATGTTATGTATTCAGATTTCTGAACCATTCACAGTCAGAGAGTCATGCACTTTTTAATCCCCAAAGCCATACAACAATTGGCTGATAATCAAGGTATGTGATAGACCTTCCACATTTCCTATCATCCATCGGCATCTGGTATTGTTAAATGTTGGAAGGGCTTCTTCAAAAATTAAAAAAAGTTTCCAACTCTGCCTCTCTCACCTCCTTCTGGTGCACACATATAAGTAAGATGGTTTGGTCACTGAATGTGGCTTCTGCAGAAACTGATCATCTCCTCTCAGCCTCTATGTGGATAATAAGATGAAAGGGTTAAGATTTTATATAAACTTATATTGAAAAATCAGTGTTCCACCATGACCATTTCTGGGCATAATGCGTTATTCTTTCTTATTACAGAAACCTCAGGCCAGCCTGATTGGTACATCCTCCAAATGGTAGTCCAGCTAAAGGGAGGCCTCAGGAATTTTTATTTAATTCTTGTATAGCTAACTGGATATGCTTGTTGGCTTCATTTGGTCCTACATTGTAAGAGTAGTAACCATTTAGTTGAGTACACAGCTTGCCAAGACCCCCTGCAATTGCCCAAATGTACCATTAATGTAGGGGACATAATGAGTCTCTGTAAATTTTATAAAAATGCCCTTTTCTCCCTTATTCTGACCCTTCCCAACAAAAGATTTGGGTATGATAGAGGATGGTTAGAAAAAAAGTGAAATTATAGCTACCGGAATGGAACACACTCTGCATTTCAGGTGCAGGAGTAAAATCAATGATCTTTCAGAACTTCCCCTGGAGCCTCCCACATAAAGAAAAGTCCTTGGTGTGAGTCTCTCAAACTGTGGTAAATGCTTTAAATGTAATTTCCTTCTGGCTTAACATTCTTCATCAGATGTCTCTGCCTGCATTTTGATCATCATTGCTTTTAACCTTGAGGAGAAGTTTATTAGAAACATCAGGGAAAGATCCTTTATCGCCTACACACACACACACACACACACACACACACACACACACACAAAACCTATTAACACCTTTGGGTGTCTTCTTTACCCCTCTTTCTATAACCATCAATCACTCATTCCATGGGGTGGATGAATGCCATGTAGTGGCTTGCATGGATAAATAGATCAGATTGGACTGACTGTCCCCAAGCAGTTTCTCTAAAAAACAGCAATAATCTCAATTATCTGAACTGAACTGAGAACCCCAAGGCCAACTAGCTGGCCTGGAGGCCCTGTTGGAGACATTGCCAATCTGTTTCTTCTAACTGACATCGGTCCATTTTTGGGGTCACAGTCATCGTAAATAACATGTTCTTTCTAGGACCATTGTGTGAACCCTTAAGACTATATGTCTTTTTTTTTTTTTTTTGAGACGGAGTCTTGCTCTGTCACACAGGCTGGAGAGCAATAGCGCAATCTTGGCTCACTGCAACCCCCACCTGCTGGGTTCAAGCAATTCTTCTGCCTCAGTCTCCTGAGTATCTGAGACTACAAGCACGTGCCACCATGCCCAGCTAATTTTTTGTATTTTTAGTAGAGATGGGATTTCACCATGCTGGCCAGGCTGGTCTTGAACTCCTGACCTTGTGATCCGTCCACCTCGGCCTCCCAAAGTGCTGGGATTACAGGCATGAACCACTGCGCCCGGCCAAGACTGCATGTCTTATGTCCAAATCATGCATTATTTTCCCTCCCTATCCAAAATATAGTGACTTGAACCACAGGGATGGTCATAAGAGACCTTTGAATGTTTAAGCAAACACCACCAGTAGATTATGTAAGCTTCAGACGATTTCGGAGAGAACTCCAAAATCTACACTTGGCTATGAGGATGAGCTTCCTGGAGGGATAATTGACTTATTAGTTTTGTGTGCCCTACAGGCAGTTATCCCTACAATGGTAATCATCAAATTAGAAAAATTGGTGAGAAATTTGCCCCTGAATTTAATCTAAAAGATTAATGATACAATTCCAGTCTTCTTTAGCCTCAGTTCATGGACTAACGTTTTTATGGATGATAGGATTGCCCTCAGCTACCTCCTTGTGGTCCAAGGAAGAGACTGTGCAATTGCTTATATATCCTGCTGTACCTGATCTAATGCCTCCGGCCAAGTGGAAAGGTTAATATAGAAACTTAAGGAGAAAGTCACATGGCTTTGTAAGGGAAACCTTTATGGTTTGGGGGATTTATTCAGTTTGTTGGGTTCAGCAGCTGAATACATCAGCAGTGTGGTTGAGGTATATACTGTAGATTGGTCCCATCCTTCTGCTTTGAGTCCTGTTGATAGTGACCTTAAGTAAAGACATGTATGAGACAAAGTGGATGAACTTTTTTCCAGCATCTGTTGGTTAGATTTATCCGTGACTGATGGCGTATTTATGGGAAAATTAGTCAGAGAAAAGATGATGTCAAGACAAGCTGTGGCTATTGTTGATGACTGTTCTCAGTTGATTCTGCTGTCACTATATCAGAAGCGAAGAGAAAGAGTATGAAGCAAACAGACAGAAAACTATGGAAGAAATAATTGAAGACAGTTGTGGTGGCTCATGCCTGTAATCCCAGCACTTTGGGAGGCTGAGGCAGGCAGATCACTTGAGGTCAGGAGTTTGAGACCAGCCTGGCCAACATGGCAAAACCCCATCTCTACTAAAAATACAAAAATTAGCTGGGTGTGGTGGTGCATGCCTGTAATCCCAGCTACTTGGGAGGCTGAGGCAGGAGAATCATTTGAACCTGGGAGGCAGAGGTTGTAGTGAGCAGAGATCACACCACTGCACTCCAGTGTGGGTGACAGAGTGAAAGAAAGAAAAGGAAGAAAAAGAAAGAAAGAAAGAGAGAGAGAGAGAAAGAAAGAAAGAAAGAAAGAAAGAAAGAAAGAAAGAAAGAAAGAAAGAAAGAAAGAAAGAAAGAAAGGAAGGAAGGAAAGAAATGAAAGAAAAGAAAGAAAAGAAGAAAGAAAATTTCTGGAAAAAAAAAAACCCCATAAACTTACACATTGAAGAAGCTCAGGGTTCCCACAGGATAAATGCTAAAATAAACAAACACCAAAACAAAACCCCAAATCCCAAAATTATTAAAAAGTATCATAACCAAGCTTCTGAAAACTAAAAACAAAGAAAATATTCTAATAGTAGCCAGAGAAAAATGCAACAATGATTCCAATGATTGCAGATTTCTCATTAAGAAATATGAGGGCTAAAAGGAAATGGAACAGCATTTGAGAATGCTGAAAGAACATTTAGTCCAGGATTCTATATCCACTGACATATTCTTTAGGCATGAAAGTTAAATAAAGGCATTCTCAGACAAAGGGAAACTGACATCATACTTATTCATGAAAGACTGTTTTCCCCCTGTGACCAGGAACAAAGTAAGCCTGGCCACTCTCATCACTGCCACTTAATATCGTACTGGAATTCTAGCCAGTATAATAATAAATAAATAAATAGAGAAAGAGCTTGGAAAGGAAAAAATAAAATGGTTCATATTCACATATATATGATCTCTACCTGGAAAATTCCGTGGAACCTACAAAAAAATTAGAAATAATAAGTAAGTTTAATAAGGTTGAAGGATACAAGGTCACATGAAAATAAATCACATTTCTCTACACTAGCATTAAAAATTGGAAACAAATTAAAAAATATAATAGCCTCAAGAAATGAAATATCTAGGTATAAATTTAACAAAGCAGGTAGAAGATCTGTGTTCTGGAAATTATAAAACCTGATGGAAGTAAATATTTTGAAATGAAAGAAGACCTAAATAAATGAAGATACACATAGTTTCCATGGGTTGGAAAAATCATTACACTTAAGGTACTATTCTCCCTAAATTGATCCATAGATTTAGTGCAATATCAATCAAATTCCAAGCAGGAATTTTGTAGATACAGAAAAACTTGTTCTAAAATGTATATCAAAAGGCAAAAAGATTAGAATAGCCAAACAGTTTTGAAAAAGAAGAGCAAAGTTGGGAGACTCATACCATCTGACTTTAAGAATTACTCTAAAGCTATAGTAATCAAAAAAGTGTGGTATTGTCAAAGGAATAGACAAAGCAATGAACTAAATGTTTGTGTTCCCCCAAAACTCATAGGTTGATATTCTCACCCCAATATGATGGTATTAGGAGATCGGGCCTTTGGGATGAAATTAGGTCATGAGGGTGAAGCCCTTATGATTGGGATTAGTGCCCTTATAAAATGAACCTGCTCTCTCAGCCTTTTCCACCATGTGATATTACAAGGAGAAAACAGCAGTTTGCAACCCAGAATAAGTCCTTCACTAGAACCTAACCATGTTGGCACCCTGATTTCAGACATCCAGGCTTCAGAACTGCAAGAAATAAATTTCTGTTGTTTATAAGCCACTCAATCTATGGTACTTTGTTATAGTATCCTGGACTGACTGAAATATAGGCCTAGATCAATGGGACATTTTAGAAAGTCCAGAAAAACAGTCCAAACAAATATAACTAATTGATTTTTGAAAACGGCACAAACCATGAAGAATATACTTTTTCTGTGTCTTTTATTTGGGTCTTTTCCATAAATGGTATGATATTGGAACAATTTAACATCCATATGCAAAAAATAAAAAAAAACCCTTGAATTAAACCTCATATCTTATACCAAAATTAACTCAAAATGGACCATAGCTTCAAGATGTAAAATATAATATATGAAACTTTAGAAGAAAACATAAAAGAAAATCTTTGTGACCTTTAGGCAGAGAGTTTTCAAATTTGATACCAAAGCATAATTTATAACACACACACACAAATCAGAATTTATCAAAATTTAAAACTTTTCCTCAGTGAAAGACACTGCTAAAAGAATATAAAGTCAAACTATAAATGGGGAGAAAAGACAAATATTGCAAATCATATGTTCAAAAAATGTCGTGTATCCAGAATGTATAAAGAAGTCTCAAAACTCGACAGTAAGGAACAGACAACCCAATAAAAATAAGCAAAATGTTTTCATAAACACTTTGCCAGAGAATAAATATGGATGTCAAATAAACTCAGGAAAAATTGTCAACAATAACCATTATAGAAATGTAAAGTAACACCACAATGAAATACCACTACATAGAATGGCTACAAAACAACTGATAATACCAAGTGCTGGTGAAGATTCAGAACAACTGCAACTCTCTTGCATTGCTCCTGGGAATGCAAAATGGTACAGCCATTCTGGAAAGCAGTTTGGCAGTGTCTCAGAAAGCTGAACATAAACTTATCATATGACTAGCAATCCTACTTCTAGGTATTTACCCTAGAGAAATAAAATTTATGTTTACACCAAAGCCTACACAAGAATACTTATAGCAGTTGTATTTATAATTGGGCCAAGCACTAGAAACCCAAATGTCCTCCAGCAGGTGAATGCATAAGCAAAGAGTGGTACATTCCTGCAATGGACTGTTACTCAGCTATGAAAAAGAATGAACTACTAATACACACAATGACAGATAAATCTCAAAATCTCAAAGGCATTTGCTAAGTGAATAAAGCCAGTCTCAAAAGGTTATATGCTGCGTTTCCACTTACATGACATTTTGCAAAGGCAAAGCTAGCAGCAGAGACCAGATCAGTGGTTGCTGGGGGCTACAAAAGGGAGGTAGGAATGACTACAAAGGAGGATCACAAGGGAGTTTTTTTGGTGAATAACATTCTGCATAGTTTTAGTATAAATGAATTTTATCATGATCTACTCTTCTGAATATTACCCATAAAATATACCATATATGATGAGAGAAAATGAGTATATGTGTCTGAGAAATAGAAATAGTCTCCATGAGTGTTAAAAATAATCCAAAATAATAATCATATTTTATTTATTATTTATTATATGTATACATTAATATATACATTTTACATATTTATTTTCCCCAATTATACTGGACTTCATGTAATGATGAATTTGGTTTTAGTTCCTGAGTTTGATTTGGATGAGTGTTGCAGTGGGGAGCAGGGGAGGTGTGAGCTTGGGGTGGTGCGAGCTTGGGGTGGTGCTGAAGGCAGTGACTGGGACATTTTAAGCTCAGGGTCGTGGTAATACATGTTCATGGTAATACATGTCTCTGATTTTTTAGACACCCCATCACAGAGGGTACAGTTTATTCTTGGAACCGAGGATGATGACGAGGAACACATTCCTCATGACCTTTTCACAGAACTGGATGAGATTTGTTGGCGTGAAGGTGAGGACGCTGAGTGGCGAGAAACAGCCAGGTGAGGATTTTTGTTAAAGGGTGAAGGTATACTAAAGAATTTTCATGTTACTAGAAAAAGAGATTTCTAATGCAACAATTTTGCAAACATCTATGATTGCTGCTGATTTTAGAAGTTGCTCATCTAGCCTGAGCATATCCTATAACGGGATATGGGTCAGAAAGAAATCTGAAGGCAGTAATTACAGTAAACGGTGATGCAGAGCCAGCAACAGCTGCAGTCTTAAAGATAAACAGTAACATAATTTGTGTGTCATCAACAAAACAAAAGAAATCTAAAAGTAGTTTATTTCTATTTTTTCAGCTGCTGGCTTGCACCTAAATTTATGATAGTATATGATAACTTGAAAGTGGGCTTTTTTTAAAAGAAAGGGCAAATATTATGATAAAATGCTTTATGTACAGTCCTGGATTTCATGTGCTCTTTCATGAGGATAAAAATAATTTGTAATATGTTTCTAGGATATGCATACATTTAAGCATAGTGGTTTTTAAAAATATCTTTTAAAATCACTTTTTCTATCATTTGTAATTAAGATTTTTACATTGCTATATAATTGATAGAGTTCTGTAAAGTTGGAATTAAATTTTGTGTTTACTTTTCATTCATTCTTTCTGATTTGCTCAGTTAACAAACATTTATGGAGTGTCCATTATGTGCCAAGTGCAATGGATATGGCACAACAACAAAAATCTTAGATCTTGCCTTTAGGGATCTTGCAGTCTAATTTAGACAAGAAAACAAAGTTGTAAATGCTGTATAATGAAAGCTGTGATACAGGTGTGCACAAGAAACTGTGGGCACACCCAGGGTTGTCATTTACCCACTTTTTCACAAATTTTAATGTGACTACCAATCACCTGGAATATTGTTTAAAATGTAGACTTAGTAGGCCTCAGGCATAGTCAGACCATGAGGATGTCGTGTAAAATGTTTTGGGTTTGAGAACCAAACTTTGAGTAGCAGTTATCTAAACCACGAGGTGAAAGAGAGGATCAGGGTAGCTTCCCTGGAGGAGGCGATTCTTGAGCTAGCTCTTGTGAGTTGGGTTGGAGTTAGCTAGGCAGAAAAGCAGAGGGGACAGTATTCTAGGCAGAGATAGCAGGACGTGCTTAAATATATCATTGACACAGGTTTAGTGTTTATTTATTTATTTATTTATTTGTCTGAGACAGAGTCTCACTCTGTCCCCCAGGGTGGAGTGCAGTGACGAGATCTTGGCTCATTGCAACCTCTGCCTCCCTGGTTCAAGCCATTCTCCTGCCCCAGCCTCCCTAGTAGCTGAGACCACAGTCATCTGCCACCGCGCCCAGCTAATTTTTGTATTTTTAGTAGAGACAGGGTTTCACCATGTTGGCCAGGCTGGTCTCGAACTCCTGACCTCAAGTCCTCTACCTGCCTCAGCCTCCCAAAGTGCTGGGATTGCAGGTGTGAACCACCATGCCCCTGCTGACACAGGTTTTATTGTTTTGTTAGGCTATCTCTTCCACTGTAGGACAGCATTATTATTAGAAAGACTTTATCTTAAGCATATTTATTAGTGGTCCTCAGATTGCAATTGCTGTCTGAAAGCCACAGTAATTCCATTGGATCATGTTAAACTTGTAGCTGCATTTATTCATTGACTTTACTCAGTGTAGAAATAAATGCTCAATTATGAAAAAGAATGTTGTGAATAACAATGGCCCAGTTAATTCTTGTTTGATATATTTTCAGTGGTCTTTACAGCTCTCCTTTATTTAAAAAACACTAAAAACGAGACAACCAAAATGGTTACCAACTAGTTTATCCTTATTAACATTTTAAAGTAAATAAAACTAATAACTGCCAGTATTTAAAATTCACAAGGTATAGGATGGCAGAAAAGTAAAAATACTTCTCTATGCTTATTCACAGTATCTCTTTTCAAAAGTAATCACTGTTAATCTTTTCTGTGCATCTTTCCCCCAAAATTTAATAGCTAAATCTGCGTGTAAATATATGCCCTTTTAAATTTACACAATAGGGATTATATAATATACAGTGTTCATATCTTATCTTTTCCACTTCATATATTTGGAACATTTTCCATATCAGCAATTCAAATTTATATCATCTATTTGATGATTGCATTGCATTCAATTATATGGATGAACTTTCATTTATTTATTTATCAGTTAGTCTTGATAGACATTTAGGTTATTTATTTTTTTCCATAAAAACCACTGCAGTGATTGCTCACACAAATATTTTGTCATTATTTTGTAGGTATTTCTGTAAAGTGAATTTCTAACAATGGCAACATATGTAGCAAAGAGAGCAGACATTTTTTCCTTTGATAAATACTGTAAACTTACCTTCATAAAATGTTTTTCTAATTTACACTTCTATCAACAGTGTATGAGAGTGCTTATTTCCTCCACATCCTTTCACAGTAAATTATCAAACTGCTTAAAATGTCTTTTCCAGTTTTATAAATAAAACATAAATCTCATTGTTTTAATTTGATTATTCAAATTATTAGTGAGGTACAACATCTTTTCCTATGTTTTTATTTTTTTCATGTGAACGAACTATTCATTTCCTTTATTTATTTTATATAAATCATTCATTATTTTCTTTATTTGCCTTTTGGAACACTTTAAATTGGTGGCATGTTATTCAGTATGAACTAACCTTTTTAATAAAATAATTTACATAAGTTTCCTCATGATGTTTTGTATTGTAATACTTTAAATATAGACTTAAATTTAAAATAGTTTTTATTTAACCTGGTACATATTAAGATTAAGAGACTTCTACCTTACTTTTTGTCCCAACTGCATCAAAAACTACGTAGTAGTTTTAAAAATGTGTAATATATGTGCTCATCTTCTTTATTTGGTGACAGAAAGGGAATATAAGATCATTTTTTCCACAGATTAGTGATATAACTTGCTCTTTTATGATTTTGATAAGTTAAAGTTCCTCCCTCCCTGTTTAAGACCAGAAGCATCTGTCTGCCACGAGTTACAAGGAACAGATGTTCCTATGTGACTTGAAGGAAGGCGATCTGGTGATTGTGATGACTAGACAGCTCTGGTTAGTTAGAGTCTCTTTAACCTATTGCTAAGAAGTATTTTGTTGAAGCATTTATTTTAGAGTTCCTTCTTTACCCTCATACTACATAATAGAGCTGAAAAGTAAAATTGGAATATATATTTGGGCAAGAGTAACTCACTTATTCTTACAGTGATTGGTGATTTTTCATCTTACAGATCAAATAGTGACCCATTCATTTTAACCAATAATTTCTTGTAACTTGCCCACTCTCATAAAGCTAGGAGATTGCAGAAGCGATACTAGAATATAGCACTCTCACTTTGTTACAGTTGAGCAGGTAGGTTTTTGTTATGCTCTAATGGATTAACTCAATAACATGTTTGTCCTAAACCATCAAAATATATTGCTGTTGATTTATAAAGAATAAAAAGATAGTCCATTTAATTATACACATTCTCTAATATTATTAGATGGACCTATGTTTGTAGCCAAGCTTCTAGAATCTAATGCATGCTATAGCTGTTTGAGCTTCAGGGAGACATCTGATGAGCAATGGAAATAATAACAGATATTGAAGGGGAGGGTAGATGAATTTTAACAGAGACACAATGATTCAGGGAAGGGCAGAACATATTTATTGAGGATTTCGAAAAGTAACAGGTTTTAAAGTGGCAGAAGTAATTTTGTTCTGATTGCCCTAATTCATCTAAAAACACTAATTTTTGTTAATTCATGACTCCATCTGATTTTTCACATGCAATTTAATTCTAGAAAATCATTAGCATCACCATTTAAAGCACTTCTTTCTTTTGATTAGTATTCCAGATGGGATTAATAATTTTCTACCCTCACAGCAGAAACAAAAAGATATTTTATCAGCTCATTCCACCTGTCACGTATCACATCTTGCATAATTTATGCCCACTGTCATTGCCAAGTAAAACTTAAGCAAAGTTTTAGGTTTTGAAGCTAAATTTTTGAATCATAATTATTTAATAAATGTTCGTAAAAACCAGCTGGTCACTTTTAAAAACCCTAAAAGAAGCCATATGAAGAGACTAATGAAATCAACACAATTACAATGTCCTGCTTATAAATAACATGTAATGTTATTAATAGAAAAGTGAGCAAAGCTACCACAGCTGTGCAGTTGTGGCGACAACATGTTTGACTCACTGTAGTTACCCTTTATAAAAGCTTCCCACTAATGAACTCAGAAGAGGCAAAGCAGGGGGTAGCGTTAGGCTTCTGATACATACATACATGGCAGAATAGAAAAGGATTATTACATCAGAACAATTTTATTGATGCTGTGAAGGCATTTGATCTTCAAAATTAGTAATGGTTTAAGTCATCTGGATTTTTTACGGGAAAATAATGTGGATTAAGAACAGGTGTGAAAATAATATGGATTAAGAACAGTTAATGTCTATAAACACTAGGTTTGGATGTATATCATTTCCCCTTAAGATGACTATAGGTATTCTTTGATTACATGTTATTCTCTAGCTCCACCCCAGCCATGTCCCCCAACTATCCTAAAAGAGGATGTTTTTTTCTTGAGACATCCATTATTTCCCCGAAGGCTATAATTTTGGATGATATAATAACTCCTTTTGGATGATAGACTTACTCTTTTTTTGTTTGGGTAGAATGAGAGGATTAAAAATCTTAGAAAAGTTAAACTGAGTTAGTGAGAATAGAACACCCAGAAAGAGTTAAGTTCTCTAGAAAAAACCTTCTCTAGAAGCACCTAATTGGCAGAATAATTTTATTCTGTATATTTTAATAGGAGTATTGTAGAGGAGATTATAATAAACTTAATCCTCAAAGAATTCATGAAACACCTATTTAATGTTGCTTAGTGGAAAGAGACTCCAATGTGCTAATCTTGGATGAAAACAGATCCAGACATACTGAAGGAAATGAAAATAATCTTCTCAGGGTTTAAATCCACCCCTCTCTCCCCACAGAAAAGGTCGTGCAATTGGCCAACAGTTTTATTTATTTATTTTTTAGCATTATCCCTCACATCTCATTCATGCTTTGAAACTCTTGTTTGCCTTGGTTTGCTGTTCAAACAAATGTCAGCAGAGTTTATTTGAAAACTGGAACAAATTGCAGCACTTTAGGTCATTAACTGCAATCAGGCATTTTGCAACTGACAGTATATTCAGTGATTACAAATCTTGAAACAGTGTCTGGTGTGCTCCCAGATCTGTTCATGTCTATCTTTGAAGGATGAAATGGGATTTAAAAGAACAGAAAAGAGAGATATAGTTATGTATTTATGTGTATGTATTATTTTTAATAGTCTCTTTAACAATATTCATTTAAATATCTCTTAAAGAATTGGCATCATTCTGGAGCTGGCATAGAGCACTGAATCTTGAAATGTTTAGTATCTTTAGTAACTTGATATTTGTAACATGTGGGCACCTTTTTATGGAAAGTACCTTCTGCCTCCTCCTATAATACTCATAAAACCTATGGGTACATCAAACCATCCATGCATATAACTTATATTTGGTCATCTTAACTAACAAACTGTTTGGAACTCCCTGAAGTTCCAAACTCTCTGAAAAGAACTCCATTCTTTTCTCAGAGAATTAAGCCCTCAACTTGAAGAAAATTATTCTAAAGGAAGGAAGAATAATTGGATTTTTTAAAATGTCATTTCAGACACATAAATCACTGGAACGGAATAGAGAACTAAGAAATAGACCAGCACAAGTAAAGCTTACTGATTTTTGACAAAAGACAAAAACTATTAAATGAAGGAAAAATAATCTTTTTGAAAAATAATGTTGGAGCAATTAGACACCTACAGGCAAAAAATTAGCCTTGATATAAACCTCACCATGTACATAAAAATTAATTTAAAATAGTTTATAGATTTAAATTTGAAACATAAAGCCATGAAATTTTTAGAAGAAAATATTAGATAAAATCTTCAGGACCTAGGGCTAGGTGGCAAGTTTTTAGACATAACACCAAAAGCGCAATTCGTAAAAGGAAATATTTATAGATTGAACTTTACCAAAATTAAAATGTTTGTGCTGTGAAAGATTCTGTTAAGTGGATGAAAAGGCAAGCTACAGACAGAAAGTATTTGTAAACCAGATATTCAACAAAAGTGTTATATGTAGAACATATAAAGAACTCTCAAAGTTCAACAGTATGAAAATAAATCAACTAGAAAAGTGGGCAAAAGGCACAAACAGACATTTCACCAAAGAAGAGATACATATGGCGAATAGCACATGGAAAAATGTTCAATATCATTAGTCATCAGGAAAATGCAAATTAGAACTGCTCTGAGATATTACTGCATACCTAATAGAATAGTAAAAATGAAAAAATAGTCATAATAACAAATGTTGGTGAGGATTTGAAAAAACTAGATCTTTCATACATTGCTGGTGTGAATGTAAAATGGTAGAGCCACTTATGGAAAACAGTTTGACAGTTTCTGATAAAACTAAACATGCATTTACTATATGATCCAGCAATTGGACTCTTGGGCATTTATCCCAGAGTAATGAAAACATGTTCACACAAAGACCTCTGCATGAGTGTTCACAGCAAATTTATTTGTAATGGCAAAACCTGCAAACAACCTGAATGTCCCCCATGGGTGACTGATTAAACAAACTGATACATCCATCTTTATAATGGAATATTACTCTGCAATAAAAAGGAACAAACTACTGATACACACAATAACTTGAATGTATATCAAGGGCATTATGCTTAGTAAAAAAGTGTCAATCTCAAAAGGTTGCAAACTATATGATTCCATTTATATAACACCGTCAAAATAACAAAAGTATGGTGATGAAGAATAGATTAGTGGTTTCCAGGGGACAGAAATAGAGTGAGGATTGAGAATATAAAGGTGCAGCACAAGGGATTTCTTTTGTGGTGATGGAACAGCTTCGTATGTTGATTGTGGTAGAGGTTACATCTATCTATACATGGGATAAAAATGCATAGAATGGAGGCAGGGCATGGTGGCTCATGCCTGTAATCCCAGCACTTTGGGTGGTCAGCTAAGGCAGGAGGATTACTTGAGGCCAGGAGTTCAAGACCAGCCTGGGTAACATAGTGAGACCCCCATCTCTATTAAAAAAATACAAAAAAAAAAAAGCCAGACATAGTACCTGGCTATGTAGTCCCAGCTACTTGGAAGGCTGAGGTGGAAGGATCATCTGAACCCAGGAGGTTGTGGCTGCAGTGAGCTGTGATTGCACCACAGCACTCCAGTCTGGATGACAGAGTGAGACTATGTCTCAAAAAAGTTTTTTTTAATGCATAGAACTGCACACACACACACATACACACACACACACACAGCAACACACAGAGCCCAAATCTTATCAGTATTCTTTTTTTTTTTCTTTCCAACTTTTATTTTAGGTTCAAGGGGTATATGTGCAGGGTTGTTTCATGGGTAAATTGTGTGTTACAGGTTTGGTGTACAGATAATTTTGTCAGCTGTTAGGTAGTTTTTCAATCCTCCCATTCCTCCACCTTACCTGATAGATATTTTTTGTCACCGAATAGGTAGTTTTCGATCATCCCACTCTCCACCCTCAACTAGGCCTCAGTGTCTGTTGTTCCCTTCTTTGTAGTCCATGTGTATGAATGTTTAGCTCCCACTTGTAAGAACTTGCAGTATTTAGTTTTCTGTTCCTGCATTAGTTCACTTAGGATAATGGCCTCTAGCTCTATTCATGTTGCTGCAAAGGCCATTATCTCATTTTTTATAGCTGCATATTATTGCATGGTGTATATGTACTACATTTTCTTTATACAGTCCACCACTGGTAGGCACATAGGTTGATTCCATGTCTTTGCTATTGTGAATAGTGCTGCAATGAACATACATGTGCATGTGTCTCTATGGTAGAACGATTTATATTCCATTGGTTATATACTGAGTAATAGGATTGCTGGGATGAATGATAGTTCTGTTTTAAGTTCTTTGAGAAATGTCCAGACTGCTTTCCACAGTGGCTGAACTAATTTACATTCCCACCAGCAATGTATAAGCATTCCCCTTCCTCTGCAACCTCACCAGCTTCTGTTATTTTTTGACTTTTTAGTAATAGCCATTCTGACTGGTGTGTGATGGTAACTCATTGTAGTTTTGGTTTAGATTTCTGTAATGATTAGTGATACTGAGCATTTTTTCATATGCTTGTTGCTACTTGTATTAGTATGTCTTCTTTTGAGAAGTGTCTGTTAATATCTTTTGCCCACTTTTTAAATAGGGTTGTTTGTTTTTTGCTTGTTGATTTATTTGAGTTCCTTAAAGATTCTGGATATTAAACCTTAGTCAGATGCATAGTTTGCAAACATTTTCTCCTACTCTGTAGGTTGTTTACTCTGTTGATAGTTTCTTTTACTGTGCAAAAGCTCTTTAGGTCAATTAAATTCCACTTGTCAATTTTTGTTTTTGTTGCAATTGCTTTTGGCATCTTCATCATGAAGTCTTTTCTTTGGCTGATGTCCAGAATGGTATTTCCTGGATTTTCTTCTAGAGTTTTTATAGTGTTTTTGGCCTTACATTTAAGTCTTTAATTCATCTTGAGTTGACTTTTGTATATGGTGAAATGTAGGGGTCCCGTTTCAATCTTCTGCATATGGCTAGCCAGTTATCCCAGCAGCATTTATTGAGTAGGGAGTCCTTTCCTCATTGCTTATTTTTATTGGCTTTGTTGAAGATCAGATGGTTCTACATATGTGGCTCTATTTCTGGGTCCTTTAACCTGTTCCATTGGTCTATGTGTCTGTTTTTATACTGATACCATGCTGTTTTGGTTACTGTAGCCTTGTAGTATAGTTTGAAGTCAGGTAGTGTGATGCCTCCAGCTTCATTCTTTTTGTTCAGGATCACTTTGGCTATTTGGGATCTTTTTTGGTTCCATATGAATTTTAGAATTTTTTTCTAATTTTGAAAAATGTGCACTTTTTTCTAATTTTGTAAAAATGTTATTGGTAGGTTGATAGGAATAGCACTGAATCTGTAAATTGCTTTGGGCAGTATGCCATTTTAATTTTGATTTTTTTCCTATCCATGAGCATGGAATGTTTTTCCATTTGTTTGTGTCATCTCTGATTTATTTCAGCAGTGTCTTGTAATTCTCGTTGCAGAGATCTTTTACGTCCCTGTTTAGTTGTATTCCTAGGTATTTTATGATTTTCATGGCTATTGTGAATGGGATTGCATTCTTGATTTAGCTCTCAGCTTGAATGTTATTGGTGTATATAAACATATACCATTTGCATATTGATTTTTGTATCTTAAAACTTTGCTGAAGTTGTTTAGCAGATCTAGGAGCCTCAAGCAGAGATTATGGTTTTCCTAGGTATAGTATCATATCATTTGCGAAGAGAGATGATTTGACTTCCTCTTTCTCTATCTGGATGGCTTTTATTTTTTATTCTTTTCTGCTTCTCTGGTTAGGACTTCCAGGACTTATGTTGAATAAGAATGGTGAGAGTGGGCATCCTTGTCTTGTACCAGTTTTCAAGGAGAATGCTTTCAGCTTTTGCCCATTCAGTATGATGTTGGCTGTAGGTTTGTTGTAGATAACACTTATTATTTTGTGGTGTACACCTTCAATGCCTAGTTTTTTGCGGGTTTCAAACATGAGGGGATGTTTAATTTTATCAAAAGCCTTTTCTGCATCTTCTGAGATGATCATGTGGTTTTTGTTTTTAGTTCTGTTTATGTAATAAATAACATTTATTGATTTGCATATGTTGAACCAAACTTGCCTCCCAGGAATAAAGCCTATTTGATCATGGTGGATTAGCTTTTTGATGTGCTGCTGGATTTGGTTTGCTAGTATTTTGTGGAGGATTTTTGCATCTATGTTTATCAGGGGTATTGGTCTGAAGATTTTTGTTGTGAATCTGCCTGGTTTTAGTATGAGAATGATGCTGGCCTCATAGAATGAATTGGACAGGAGCCCCTCCTCCTTGTTTTTTGGAATAGTTTCAGTATCCGTTCTTCTTTACACATCTGGTAGAATTTGGCTGTGACTCCATCTGATCCAAGGCTTTTTTCTGGTTGATAGGTTTTTTTTATTACTGATTCAAGTTTGGAACTCATTATTGGTGTGTTCATGGTTTCAATTTCTTTCTGGTTAGGCCAGGTACACGGCTCACACCTCTAATTCCAGCACTTTGGGAGGTTGAGGTGGGTGGATCACTTGAGCCCAGACATTTGAGACCAGCTTGGCCAAAATGGCAAAACCCTGTCTCTACTAAAAATACAAAAAAATTAGCTAGACACAGTGGTGTGCACCTGTAGTCCCAGCTACTTGTGATGTGAGGCAGGAGAATCACTTGAGTGCAGGAACAGAGGTTGCAGTGAGTCAAGATTGTGCCACTGCACTCCAGTCTGGGTGACAGAGCAAGACTCTGTCTCAAAAAAATAAAATAAAATAAAATAAAAATAATTTATTTCTGGTTTAATCTTGGGCAGTTGAATATTCCCAGGAATTTATCCATTTCTTCTAGCTTTTCTAGTTTGTGAGCACAGAGGTGTTCATAATAGTCTCTTAGGGTTTTTGTATTTCTGTCGGGTTAGTAGTAATGTCTCCTTTGTTTTCTGATTGTGTTTATCTTTATCTTCTCCCTTTTAAAAAATTAGTATAGCTAATAGTATATCAATGTTATTTATTCTTTCAAAGAGCCAAGTCTTGGTTTTGTTGATCTTTTGTGTGATTTTTCTCATCTCCATTTTATTCTGTTCAGCTATATTTTGGTTATTTCTTTTCTTCTGTTATATTTGGGATTGGTTGGCTTTTGTTTTTCAAATTCCTTCAAGTGTAATGTTAGGTTGTTAACTTAAGTTGTAAGTTTTTCTTTTTTATGTCGACATTTAGCAGTATAAACTTTCCTCTCAACACTGCTTTTGCCCTGTCCCAGAGATTCTAGTATGTTGTATCTTTGTTTTCATTAGTTTCAAGGAATTTCTCGGTTTCTACAGTTACTTCATTGTTTACCCAAATCATTCAGGAGTAGGTTGTTTAGTTTCCATGTAATTGTATGCTTTTGAGAGATCTTCTTGATATTGATTTATATTTTTACTGCATTGTGTTCTGAGAGCATGTTTGGTATGATTTTGGTTTTGTAAAATTTGTTGAGAATTGCTTTATGGCTAAGTATGTGGTCAATTTTAGAATATGTGCCATCTGCAGATGAAAAGAATGTATATTCTGTTTTTGTTGGGTGGAGTGTTCTGTAGATGTCTGTTAGGTTCATTTGGTCAAGTGTTAAGTTTAGGTCCCAAATATCTCTTGTTAGTATTCTGCCTCAGTGATCTGTCCAATGCCATCAGTAGGGTGTTGAAGTCTTCCATGATTATATTGCCATTATCTAAGTCTCTTCCTAAGTCTCTAAGAACTTGTTTTATGAATCTGGGTGTTCCAGTATTGGGTGCATATATATTTAGGATAGTTAAGTCTTCTTGTTTAATTGAACACTTTATTTTTATGTAATCCTCTTCTTTTTACTTTCTGAATGTTTTTGGTTTAAAGTCATTCTTTTCTGAAATAAAAACAGCAACCCCTTTTTAGCATTCTTAAAATTTAAAATTTTACTTTCAAAGGAGCCAAGATGAAATGATTTAGATGCTTTGTCACTTATTTAGTCATCTTCACTGTTATCCAGAAGTAAATTTTAACTATAAATTTTATTATAAGAAAGGGTTTTATCATTCTATATAGATCAAGAGGCCCAGGAGTATTTTAAAAGTGAATTTGTTATTAATGTTATTACAGCTTACAAACAATATTATTGTATGGGTAAGTTTATAGAGTTACACTTAAGTAGTTAAGAAACAATATGATTTTTTAGTAATGTACGAAGACTTTTCAGGATTTTGTACTTGAGTATAATTTTTGGAGATTACATTTAATTCAGTTTATTTATTTGTTCTTTTGAGGCAGGATCTCACTCTATCAGCCAGGCTAGAGTGCAGTGGCGTTATCATGGCTCACTCCAGCCTCGATCTCCTGGGCTCAAGCAATCCTGCCATCTTAGCCTTCTGAGCAGCTGGGGCTACAGGCATTCACCTCTACACCTGGTTAACATTTTTTATTTCTTGCAGAGACGTCATCTCACTGTTACCCATCGCCTCACTGTTACAACATTTTAGAATCAATTGTATAAACAGGGATGACAGAAAGTACCATAGTTCTAGAAACCTTAATTGAGGACATTTTCCATAGAGAAAAACCTGTATTTCCTTAAATAGCATTACACCCTTTTAAAACTCTAGGTTTTCTTTACCACCAAATAGACTAGAAAGTAAATTTCCAATTTAACAAAGTTCTTCAGTCAAAATAACACCAGCATACATGCTATTATATAGTCTCCCTTCCTTTTGCTCTTTTTATCTGAAATCCACAGCATATGTCAGTAGATTATAATTTAATTAGAAGATTTAATAAAAGTTGTATCCACTCCCCTGATGCCACTTCCTTATGGAAAGTTTCATTATAGCCCTTCCACAGAATAGTATGTTTGAGTCTTATTCACAAAGGAAAACCATCTATTTTTATCTAGCACAGTAGGCAATAAAGAAAACAAATTGGAATAATATAAAAGAAAAAGTGAGAACAAAGAACATTTTGCAACTTAAGATTGGCTCCAGACATGGATGAAAATTAAATGTTAAATCAGTTGTTTCTGCTATAAGCATTAGCATAAGATCTTTGAACTGAAAAGGACTATAAATTCAATTCAAATTACTATATTATGGTGGGAAATGGGCACAGGCTCTGGAGAAAAACAAAATTTTAAAAAAAACTTAGAGTTGGATCCTGGCTTGACAAGGTCACTGGCTAGGTGATCTTTGGAAAATTATTTAATGTGTTTAATTTGTCTCATCATTTTACCTGTGAGAAAACTGACCCAGAGAAGTTAAAAGACTTTCCTTTTATTACATGGTGGTTTAGCTGTATAGAAAAAATATAAATGTCTTTTTATTCTCAACTAGTTGAAGACACTTTATGTAATACTATTCCATTAAAATGTCTGCCAAGAGGTTGTTCCTTTGTGATATTGAAATCATAATGTGACTATGGCCTTATTCTCATATCTGACAAGAAATAGTAATTTATATTTATTAAAATCATATTTACTTTCACCATTAATTCTGATTAGGATTTTTATGCTGATATGATTAACGAAAATGGTGATCTATGTCAGTTGGGATAGGCTAAATTATGCTATAAAAAATACCCTGCAATCTCAGTGGCTTAAACCCATTTATTTATGGCTCACAATTCATGTCCATCATGAATCATTGGGGTTTTGCTCATCTGTTCATTGTATTAAATAGTGACTTAGAAACCTCAGCTGATAGATCAGTCTTCACCTTGAACTTTGCTTGTTGCATGTCAAGGAAAGGATGAGCTCCAGAGGATATCCTCTTGCCAATTAAATACTCCAGTCTGAAAGTGACACACACATAATTTCTGTTCCCACCTCATTTCCAGATTTAATCACAGACACATGGACTCACCCAATTAAAAGGGAGCCAGGTAGTGATGTTCTACACTTTCCTAGGAAGAGAGGGAGAACCAGTTATGACATGATATGACCATCACATGATCTATGAGGTATTATGGCCCTGTTTAGGACTGAAAAACTTTAGGAATAACTAATATGAAAACTTTCTGTGTAGACAAAAATGTTCTATAAAATTCCCAGCCTTGAAGAGATATACTGTTGGTGATTTGTGGCTTAAATGTAAGTTTTTTCAATATGGCATATCTATTCTTACCTGATTGTAAATTTTGGCAGGTATAAGTATTCTTTTCTATTGGCTTCCTTTTCACTTTCTGACATTTTTTTTTCTTTTTGCTTCCTAAACACTAAAAACAGATCCATAGCTTTCCTGATCTCTCTTACTACTCTGCACATTAATCATTCTGACTGTCTCTTTTGGTTAGTTACTTTTGGCTAATCCACTTGATTCCCTAACTAGTTACTCCCACATATTTGTTGTGTGTTGAAGGTGGATCATTTTATTACACAAAATAGTAAGATAATATAATATAGAGGATTTGAATGATATTGCTTGGAGAGAGAAATTGGGGTCAAAAATGACTAAGGAGAAAAGGAATGAGGGAAATGGTGGAGATGGAGGTAGGCAAGAAGATTTAGGCTAAGGTTCATTAGAAATGGTGAAACTAAATTGGTCATCTATTAGGATTAGAGACCAAATTCCTAAACGGATAAGAATTAAGTGGCTTGTGCCAGAGCAATAAAATCACTGGTTTCTCTTTATCTGTTCCATTTATCTTGCTTATAGACAATCTAGGTATTACTATTCATTTCAGTCCAAGAAGACAGTGGTCCCCCATTTGACATCATGACATCAAGGTTCTTCTCTGATTATCCATCCTGGCAGAAACACCCAGGGATGGGGTCTGAGCTCAATTCTCACATATTCAGTCCCTAGGAAGTGACTGCTATCACTAGCTTTCATCCAAGCAAGCCTAACAAGGATTTTTCCTATGCAACAGGCCCCTAATTATGCTAGCCTCCCTCAAGATCTTATAAGAAAATTACCAAGAGACTAAAATATTCAGGTTTAAGACCTCCCACTAAGGAAAAATAAGTATTCTTTCATTTTCTTTTTCAATTACCATTAACTTTCCATGAAGTATACACTCTTTATTAGTGCTACATAAGATTTTCTCTGACCACTGGTTAAACAATTATATTTAAATATTTCTTCAGAGTTAGACAAGTTAACAAAATAACATGAGTTTTCCTTTTTTTCAATTATTTTTTAATTGCAAAAAGAATATGAGTTAAATGGAATTAAAATGAAATAAGCCAAATGGCTTAGACTAGCTTTTATATACTTCCAAAACCTATGAACCAAGACACAATATGACTATTTTTCTATTTCAACCTTTTATTTTTGGTATAAAGGATCATTAACCTACAATATAATATAAACTGTGCTGATAATATTTGTTTGTATAGGTGGTTGAAGTTTGAAGAAGATGTGGAAGATGGAGGAGAAAGGTGGAGCAAGCCTTATGTGGCTACTCTTTCATTGCACAGCTTGTTTGAATTGAGAAGTTGTATTCTGAATGGAACTGTGTTGCTGGACATGCATGCCAACACTTTAGAAGAAATTGCAGGTATATCTTTTCCCCCTTAGTGTATTTTATAGGTACAGCTAATTTTTTGTTACTCTCTTTTCCTTATAATTCAATATACGTATGAACTTTGGAAAACTAATTCTCATAATCACTGCATAAGGTCTTAAAAGTCATTTTCTTTTACCCTGTTATTTGAGATAAAAGAAGTTGAATCTCAGAGAAATATGCTCTAGTTTGGCAGTGCCAAGTCTAGGACAAGAACCTAGATATCTTGATTCCCATTCACCATTTATTTTCATTATCATATTTAGACTCTCACCATTAGAAAATTAAAGGAAAAAACCTTAGAGCTAGATACTTATTTTCAATATTCAAACATATGAAATAACCAAATGAAAAAATTTCAATATACAGAAAAATGTTGGTTTAGAATGGACACAGAAAGGTACGGCCATTCATTTTAAACTTAATTAAAACCCTTGAATTCCAGAGGAAGCCAAGTGATACAGTTAGGATTCGTTTTGTAATTCAATACTATAAACTGATGAATGATTAGTATTATAATTCAATGATATCTTATAATACAGACAGGTATATTTAGGAAATGTTATTATTACAGAAATTGAGTCAAAGAACTCCTGTATCTTTTGACCAGAAGGCAAACATATTTTAGTAAAAACAAAATAATACAAAAAGACAGAAATGAATTTTGAAAGAGTATAAATGAAATAATTGATGGAGGTTTTAAAAACACAAACAAAGAAAAGAGGCAGTTGAAAAGTTATTAGTTTGGGAAAAAATAAAATTCATTCCATATGATTTGTATTTGTGAAGTGAAAAAACTTAATATCTTAATCATATTGTAGAGATGAAAAACTATATGTGTGTTTTTAATCATGTATATGAAAATAATATATTAGAAAAATAACATATCTACTTTAATCTGCAGAACAGCCCCATGAAGTAGATGTCATTCTCATTTTCCAATCACAAAATAGAAACTCTAAAATTGTCATGGCCTAGATTTCACCCAAGGGCCCCTGACTTTAAGCCTAGTGTTTTTTCTATTACACTACAACTGCTGTCTGAAGAAAAAGAAATGTCTTGAAGTGAATGTCACCCAAATTTTGATGGCACATTTATCACCTTAAAAATTATTGATTTAGTCATTGGTGCTGATAGGCACTGCAGTATGTGTGAAAAGAAAAGTAAGTACTGAAAGATACTTTGGCTTGAAATATTAAGCAAAAACTCCAAAAATACTAAAACACACACACACACACACACACACACACACACACACACACCACACTGCCCCAAATAGGAAAGATAAGCGGTCCTCTTCTGTTTCATGTAACACCTATAAAGAGATTATTCTTTAAGTTACATAGCTAGAGCCTGAAAGACTTTATAAAGTTAAACATAAATGTATAATTTTCAGAAATATCCAGGCTACTGTAGCTGCACTAAATCAAGAGAAAATAGAGAAAATGATTAACTCAGAAATAAGCAAACTCCCTAAGAATGCTGAAATAGTTAGCTATCCAGCTCAATTTCTTAGCTTTACATTATATGGTCTTGCTAATACCCAATAAACATTTTTATATTTTAATTAGGAATGAAACAGCAGGCTTTTCACAGTACTTTCAAGTATGGGAAGCTCTTAAGTTTGTAATTATCTTTTTAATGCTCAAACCTGGTTCTTAGTATTATTATTGTTATCCTTATTTAATAAAGAAAAAAACTAAGATTTAAAAGGTTAAAGGCCTTGCTCTAAGGCGTTTATTTCTGCCGCTTAAATCGATGATGGCGCTACCTTTAAAAATAGATTAATCCAAATACATTTTGAAATGGGAAACAAAACTGTCACATTCTACCACCTGGCAAAATTAGCCTCAGAACATACCCTTTATACTTTTACCAGTCTTCACATTTCTTAAATTATGTAATTTCTAATGCTTTCCTCAGAAAGTTATTCCTATGAAGAAATTTTCTCCCAGTAATTTGACTAAAACACTTCATTTTATCACTTTAGTTCACTTTCATTGTCCAAAATTATGCAAATTTTTCCTAACTCTGTCCCTGTTTCCCAAGCTCAATTCTGTAGAATATGTGAAGGTTAACTGGGTTAAATCTAGCCTTTTCAAGCAAATTACATTCTCTAAGTCTACCCTTACAGTGAAAGTAGTTCAGTTGACGTCTTGATACCCTAAATAGCTTTTTAGTATTCTTTCTGCTCTTCTAATTAGTGTGTATCTTTCTGACTTTGAAGTAGCCCAACCTGAATGTCCCATTTTTCAGTGTAGAACAGCCTGTAAAATGACATTTAGAATGTGTCAGTGGTTTAATGCTAACATCACAAAGAAAAATATGATTACAAATATTTGTGTTGATCATTATTACTTTAGATTCCTTTACTGTCATTACTAAGAAGAGATTTCCTCTCATTGAAAACTATAATTTGGCTAAATTTAAAAGTTACTTATTTATCCCCTCAATATAAACTCATTAAAATATTTTCTCTCTATAGTTTGTAATTATTTTCTTATTTTTTACTTCTCCTATTTTCATTTTATAAAAATTGAGGGGCATTACTAAGTTTGTAATAAATAAGCATGCTTTCCGTTTTTAAGACTTCTAACTTTGCAAAGTATTTCCACATAATTATGTTTTATTATCATAACAACATATAAAGTAGGAAAGAGACTATTTCACCATAAACAGATAAATAGAAAGTTCTTTATCAAAGATGACCTTTGCAGAAATAAAAATAATTTTTTTATTAACCTATAATCATAATATTTGGGGATGGGATCTCCTATGTTGCCCAGGCTGGTCTTGAACTCCTGGGTTCAATTGATCCACCTGCCTCAGCTTCCCAAAGTGCTAGGATTACAGGCATGAGTCACTGTGCCCAACCATAATTTTTGTTTTATTCTGTTTCATGATCATTTGTGGCCATAGTGATTAACAATCAGCCCTGAAACTTTTTCCTCAGCTCTTATTTACCATGATTTTTCTCTGTTAGCCATAATTCACATACATTAGTCACTAGTTTCAGTTTTACAAACGCTAAGTGTAAGAGCTTACCTTTAAGGGTTCTAATCCCTAGTACTTTGTGAATACACAGGCTTTACAGTATTGATGTTTTTCAGACATTTCCTACTAGATGAATATGACCCAGATATTGTTTTGTAATGATCAAGGATTTTTATATCAATGTTTTGATATGTTTTTAACAGACTCGGATAATTCCTTAAGAGATTTTTGTAGACTTAGTAGCAGAAAATCCCATTTGTATCTGGCAGATCTGTCAAGAATTTCTGATATAATTAAAGTAGGATTTTCTTTTGGCTAAGTTAATTTAAAATATATCTGTTTCCCAATGTTTCAGGAAACTCAATAAATTTAAACTTTATCCTTCAAAATATTACTTAACCTTTTCAAATCCAAAATTCTCCAGATATATCTTCTTACCACAATTTACTCTGATATGGAGATTAATTGTATTGAATATGCTTCTGAATTATATTCATATAAATTACAGGGAATTTTATGGTCTATGTTAATCTCTTTGAAATTAAGCATTATAAAGATTAATGATGGAAATATCCTCTCTGCAGTGTGTGTATACTTTAACCTAATTCTGTCAATGAGAGTTAGGAAGAAATTAAAACCAAACCAAAGTTGGTACCATGGACAGATTATCAATCATAGCTCCCAACTCATTTAAACAACCTTTGTTGTTTAAAATCTTTCATTGAAGGAAGAATCTACAGTTTGCTCCACTGAATGTAATCTGTAGAGTTGGGAGTATAGGAATAACCATATATTTTTTAACCTGCCTATACTGTGACAATCCTTGGTCTGAAAAGTAAGTATTCTATTACAGTTTACATCTTTAGTACACACATCCCTGTTAGTGCTGGCAACCAAACCACAGAATTTAGGAACTTCGTATCATATTCCCCCCCACCTCTCCCAATATCTTTTAAAGTTAAGACAATGGGTTTTCAAAGCATTGATATGATGATCTTCAAAAAGGCAGAGATTTATGTAGAATCTGCAATATGTCATAACCTCTAGGGGCTTTCATTCAAGATACATTATGATAAAATAGTTATCTGATAGGATGAAAAACAATTTTTCATTTTTCTGAGGCCTTTTTCCACAAGTGCTACTAGTTTTTCTTTTCTTTTCTTTTCTTTTTTTTTTTTTTAGACGAAGTCTCGCTCTGTCGCCAGGCTGGAGTGCAGTGGTGCGATCTCAGCTCACTGCAGCCTCCGCCTCCTGGGTTCAAGCAATTCTCCTACTTCAATCTCTTGAGTACCTGGGACTACAGGCACACGGCAACATGCCCAGCTAATTTTTTTGTATTTTAGTAGAGACGGGGATTCACCACGTTGGACAGGGTGGTCTCAAAGTGCTACTAGTTTTTCTAGAGTCTGCTTAGTGTTAGCAGAGTGTGACCTATTTGTCCTTTTTTTCTTTTCTTTTCTTTTCTTTTTTTTTTTTTTTTTTTTTTTTGAGGCGGAGTCTTGCTTTGTCTCCCAGGCTGGAGTGCAGTGGCGCAATCTCGGCTCACTGCAAGCTCCGCCTCCCGGGTTCACGCCATTCCCCTGCCTCAACCTCCCGAGTCGCTGGGACTACAGGCGCCCGCCACCACGCCCGGCTGATTTTTTGTATTTTTAGAAGTGACGGGGTTTCACCGTGTTAGCCAGGATGGTCTCTATCCCCTGACCTCGTGATCCGCCCGCCTCGGCCTCCCAAAGTGCTGGGATTACAGGCGTGAGCCACCGCGCCTTTTCTCTTATCACCCAGATCCTGGGGCAGAATAGACTGTATTATGTAGGCATAATAGCTTGCTGAGATTGCAGGACTTCACTCTGGACCCAACGTCATTATGGTCCGTTATTCTTTCACACTTTTCAAATTAATACTAATATGTATTGTAGTGGTGAAAAGAACAATGTAAGTGATTACTAATTCAGATTCCTTTTGGTACTTAAATGTCACCCTAGTATAAATTATATTCTTAAGCAAAATGAGTAATTTTTTCCAGACAAGTAGATATAATTTGATACAGTTATACTTTGGAGAAGTTTGCTGTGTATTTCTCTGTAACTAATGAACAGATGAGTGTGTTTTTTAATATTTACTTTTCTTTACATAACTGTTTCAAATAAAAATCTTATCTTTGAAAAACTGTGAAGATAGTGACCTATGGCTTTTTTAGTGTTCGAGCCTGGAAACATTGTGCTTTAATAGAAATTAAAAATCATAAACATATGTAGGGTTTATTATGTGATTACTTTTGATTCTGACTAGAATATTGAACTGGGAATTCATATCATGGCTTATATTTGGAACTGCTTTACAATAATATCATATTGATATTCTAATAACCTACTTTACAACTTCCATTATGAAGTATATGCATATTTTATATACATTTTTCCATCTTAGCAAGGTTTCAGTGTAATGTCATATACGTTGACAATTTATTATTTCCTTTATTTCAGATTAACCCAGGGGTATTATAACTACTGATCTCCAAAGAACTGAAAAATAGATTTAAATATTATTCTATAGTATCACACATTTTCAGAATTGGAAGGGACCTTTGAGGTAATTATAGTGACTGACTTTCAAACATTCCAGGTATATAATATGGGTAACTTCCAAATATTCTTTCTACCTCTTTCCATTGTAAACACAAAAATGATAGAGCACACTATATCCCACGTGCCACATATGGCCGACTGCCTGATTTTGTAGGGCATTTGAGCTAAGAATGGTGATTATATTTTAAATGGTTGAAAAATAATAAAAAAGAAGTTAATATGTTGTGATGTGAATATTATATGAAATTCAAGTTTCAGCATCCTTAAAAAAGTTTCATTGGAGCATAACCAGGCTCATTTGTGTACATGTTGCCTGTGGCTGCTTTCTTGCTACAAAGGCAAAATTCAGTATTTGTGACAGAGATCATATGGCCTACAATGCCTAAAATATTTGTTATCTGGCTCTGGACAAAAAGAGCTTGTCTTTCTCTGGTTTAGAGAATTAACTCTAGAGTGAAGCGCAGTTCTTGATTAGCCTGTCAGTCATATGAATACCATCTCCTTTGCCAGTGATTGGTTCAAGATGGGCAGGGCTATGTCAGTTAGACTTAGGATAATTTTTCCTGGCCAGGTGAAAAATAACTCATCTAAGAGAAAGTCACAAAAAAACAATATATTTCTCACTGGATATGAACAAAAATATATATTTCCTTGTTGCTGCTGGAAGCCACCTTATGACCATAAGGAAAATCAGCCTGAGGTTAAAGCTTACCCTAGAGGAGGAGGAAGTTAACAAAATCACAGAGAAGCAGAATTATAGCCAACCTAACTTTGATCTTTCTATTATGTGAGCCAATAAAATTGTTTTATGTAGTTTAATTTGGGTTTTCTGCTATTGATAAGCCCAGCTTTGTCTCTACTTGATAAGCTGTCACAAAATATGAACATATTGAAACCACCACAAATTTCAAACCAGGAACCCATAATCTACATTATGAAAATTACAAAGAAAATCTTGTTCTGGGAAATATTTACTGATAGCCTCAATATTCCAATCAGTGCATCAGGTGCCTTATGTCATTAGTCTTGGCACCAATATATGATATAGATATTATTATCTCCATTTTACAAATAAGGACACTTAGGTTATTCAACTTTGCAAAGTTGTCTAGCTAGAATGTCATAAAGTGGCCCAAATCTGTCTCCTAGTTCATTTCCATTTCACACTGAAGGAAAACATTGTTGGTAAGGGAGCATTCTGCTAACTTTGAAACCTTTATTGTACTCAAAAAGGCAGTGGAAGGCAGCTCATTGTAATCTGCTTTACATAAGATGTTAATGCCTAAAAAACAATTAGAGTTAATGTTTGATAATCAGAAAGCAGATTAATTACACAAACATCCATTGATGTGATCTTTATATCACTAAGAAACTTAAAATACCTTTACTTATCTATTTTACTGACATTTTTGATACTATGTATGGTAAATAATCTGCTTAATTATAGACTTCTGAAATCTCACCTTCCAGTCTTTGTTTTGCAGGTATAGAATATCTTTTTAATCTAACATTCTCAAGGGAGTGTGTTTCCAGCAAAGTTTGAGAAAGGGCTGATTTTCTATCCATATGAAACAGAATTGTTTACTCTCCAAATTCAGTAACTATATCACTTCATAGGCCTCTTTGCATCAGATTTTCACAGATAGACTTTTGTTCACTTAATGGGGAAACAAGGAAATTAGTCTGTACTAGAAAATGGGAAAAAAATTAAAATATAAGTATAAAACCAATTTTCAAATTCAAACACGTTATGAATTGTGAATTCAAACACATTATGAATTTTCAAATTCAAACACATTATGAATTTTGATATTATCTCTACAGCTATTCCTCCCATCAGTGTGGATAATAAATAAATAAAGAACTTTCTTCTCAATGCAACTATTCCCATTTGAAAAATAATACTTCATAAGAATTATATATTTAAATAGAATGGTTTATAATGAAAATTTGCCCAAATCTTTCTTATTCAACATTTCTACAATGGAAGATAAATTTCCATTTATAACAGCATGCTTAGAGATTTTTTAAAGAAGTTATTTCTATTTCAAGATGAATAATATTGTTTAGGGCTTGCATATTTGGACTCAGTGGTTCACGGCTGGCACACGTTCTAGAGGAAAGCTGTGCTTATCTTCTTCCGGCCTTTTCTCTTCAGATATGGTTCTTGACCAACAAGTGAGCTCAGGTCAGCTGAATGAAGATGTACGCCATAGGGTCCATGAGGCATTGATGAAACAGCATCATCATCAGAATCAGAAAAAACTCACCAACAGGATTCCCATTGTTCGTTCCTTTGCTGATATTGGCAAGAAACAGTCAGAACCAAATTCCATGGACAAAAATGGTAAATGTTTATTTATTGTGCTCTTTATGTCTACTATAGGTCTCTGACATATCAAAGCGCTTCTAAATCTTTTAAAACTTGTTTTATTTGAAAATGATTTTTTGAAATTCAGATTATTGTAGAATTCTTTTCACATGAGTATATATTCTTATTATCAAGCATCAAGTTGTAAAAATTTTAGAAAAGAACTTAAGTTTCCTGAAAGGTTCAGGAAAAAAATGCAAAGAAAACTAATATTTAATAAAAAAACTTTTAGATTTGGCTGCAGAAAACATAAACAGAGCATCTGTGGCATACCAAATAAGGTCCTAGTCTCTGTCCTGTAGCTTAAAAATGTAATGCAGGGCTTTGACTTACGCCATAGATGGTCTTTTAGTTTAAAGGAATCATGATCATCATCTAGTGTTTGTGGAAAAAAGATATTGGTTTCATGTTGCTCATAGTCAACAAATTCCATTAGAGAAAATGATTGAAAAGACCAGCCAGTGCATTGTTTGTGGCTTTACATACATTATGGCTGATTCCGGTTCAAGGGCTCATTGCTGTTTGTAATGCAGCATCTTCAACATCCATGGAGCCACCCCACTTACTATCTTCATAAACCAACATAGATGACCACCATTGTTTCCTAGCAATCAACTTACTATGATTTATGCTTCAGACTATTTTGTCTTTCCTGTATTTTTTGTTCTCTCCTTGCGTTTATTTAACCCCTCATCATTTGCAATAAGGAAGTTGCTTAGGAATCTCCTGTTATCATCCATCCTTTCTATTAGTCTCATGAGAGAAAATGAAGTTACCATGAAGATGATATGAATTTGTTAAACTTCTGTAGGCTTTAAAAGTTTCCAGTTCTAGGCCGGGCGCAGTGGCTCACTCCTGTAATCCCAGCACTTTGGGAGGCCGAGGCGGGCGGATCAAGAGGTCAGGAGATCGTGACCATCCTGGCTAACACGGTGAAACCCCGTCTCTACTAAAAATACAGAAAAATTAGCCGGGCGTGGTAGTGGGTGCCTGTAGTCCCAGCTACTCGGGAGACTGAGGCAGGAGAATGGTGTGAACCTGGGTGGCGGAGATTGCAGTGAGCCGAGATCGCGCCACTGCACTCCAGCCTGGGCTACACAGCTAGACTCTGTCTCAAAAAAAAAAAGTTTCCAGTTCTAAAAGATAAAAATTAATGAAAAGTATTTTCAAATGCTTTACTGGAAAGACTGATTTCCACGAATGGATGAAAGCACATGTAATGACAGCGTGAAATATCATGTAATCTCACCCTTATTTTCAAAAGCTTCAGAGATGCCTTAAATAAAATGTATGAAAATTAGTTTTCTTCAGATTTGCTTCATATTAATCAGTTTTCATGCTACTGTATCAAATATACATAAAAATATAGGGTAAATGCTTTATTAAATAGATAAAGATGATTAGATGTAATTTTGTCTCAGAATGTAGAACCAGTTCTTAATGACAAAATCATTTTTGAGATAGTTGATTTTTAGGGCTTTTCAATGACTGAATATAAGTCATTTTTGTTACATACAAGAGTCTATAGATGTGCACACTTAAGTTCAATAAAATTATTATGAATACTTTATGGTGAATACCAACTTGTGTTTGTAGATTCCACTGAACATTCTGAGGAGATATAACTTGCTTTGAATCAAATCATATATTTAAAACATATTTATATTCTAAATCACAATTTGCTTTAAAATATGTGATACATAAGATAACAAAACTTGAGGCTTTTATATTCTAAGAGATGTATTACAAATGCAGTGCTTTTGTTATGCTTATAATGCTAGTATTTATTTGGTATGGTAGTGTTAAAATAGACTCAGTTATTTACTAATTTTGGCTATGGGATTATGTCTACATGATTCCAAAAACTTTATTAGAATTAACTTCCTAAGAATGCATGCAGATTTTATAAAAATGAACTTTTACCTTCATAACTTTTGCTAGAAATCAGATAAGATATATGTCTTTAAGAAAGAGGTATGTTTCTTCAAAGAGGCAAGGATCTTGCATTTTGAACTAGTTAAAATTTATACCTTAAATTTCATTGGAGATAATGTTTACTATAACAATAATTTCATTGCATTTTTTTTTCAGGCAAGAGACTACAGAATTTATTGGAGCAATGATTTATTGTAATATGCAGATCTAGGCACACTGTTTGTTACTGCTTTAAACTTCTATTAAACATTAGAAGAGATGTTAGAATTATAACTGTGAATCACAAATCTACATATAGTCACAAGGTTTTCTGAGAGCCTGCTTTTTGTCTTATTTAGGAAATGGTTTAGTTTTCCCAAAAATCAGAATCTGAGTGGTTCTAAAGTGATTCTGTCACCATCTGTACAATCAGCCTTTATCTGAACACATACAAATCTTTTCGAGGCATACGTAAGGGCAATAAAAACTTGGAAACATTTCTAATAAGATTCATATACCCAATTAAGTATTGTTGTAGAGTATGCTGTCAGAAGTGGTTTTCTAAGCCTAAGCTTATAACACCTCCTTATGACTCTGTTTTGCTTCCTCACACACTTTGCATAATTATGTGTGTTGAGAATTCTGAAAATATGTATAGACTTCACCAATTTAGAAGTAAATCTCCTACCCAAAAGTGAAAAAAAGTACAAAAGACCTTTACTGCTAAGGTTCTTAATCTACTTATGAACTCTAAAGCCTGACAAACTCTAGATATATAAACAAATTGAAATTAATAGCCGTAAATGTAAATTGGAAATTCTGTTTTAAATATGCAATCAAGATTTAAATTTTTGTGCAATAGTTCAGAGAGATGCAAAAGGATTTCAAAACATCAAAAAAGTAAAGGTAATACTATTAATTTTTAAAAATCTCCTTAGTAAAATCCATTATGCAAAAAGATTGACTTTTTTAAAAAAAAGATTATAGAATAGAAATTAAATAGAGCAAAGATTTTTCCAGAAACTTTAAAACAGAACACATTTTCCTCCCTAAGCATAGTGGTAGAAATAAGTCCCCGTTTCTTGTTTAATGTGCTAAAATTATCTCAAAAACAAATTGAAGCTTATGTAGATAAACCTGAAAGAGTCATATAGAATAAAGTTTATACTTCCTTAATTGACTTGTGTCTTGAGCATGTTACCTTGTTAGTACTCTCCGGGGTTAAACATTCAGACACTGTATTTCAAACGGGGTCTTCCCCATTTTAAAGATTAGATTAATAAAATAGTGCATTTCCTTGCTCTTCTCCTTCCCAAGTCTACCATTCTTTGTCCATTCCTTTTTTAGTGATTTGTGATAATTTGTCAATCTCATCTCTAAACACACTAGTTCACTCGTTTGAATAATTTTTTTCTTCGTATTCCGCATTCTCTTCAGGGCTAATGTGAAGGATGCTATGGATTCACCATGCATTTTTAATGCCACCATGCTGTGTTTAACTTTCACTTTTCATTAAGCATCAAAACTGTGAGAATTAAATGTCTGATTCTGATGTTTCAATAAAAAGTGACAGTTACATTTGGCAAAACAACAGCAAAAATAATAGAAAAATAATATCTACTTTGACATTAGTACCCTGAAAAGGGTATGGGTGGTAAAGCACTCAAAATAAATGTATCGAAAATATTAAAATAATTATTTGAATTAGGAAGATTTTCTAAAACTAAAAATAAAACTTTTAAGGGATCTAGAAGACAAATTTTATCAGTATCTGTATTTATCATTTAGGTCATGTATTCAATTACCTTTTGAGACATTGGGATTATAAATCTATTATAAAATATTATTATCCTTATGATAATTTTTATATTTTTGAAGATAATTTGGGATTATTAGTTTTCTTAAGTATAGGATGTCTTTATTCTGCTCTATCCTTTACTAATAATTTCTAACTCTGTTCGTTTTCCTTCACATATCTTTTGTCTCTCCTAATCTGAATACTTTCCAGTTGTACCTTTTATTTAGGATCTCAAAAGGAGTTACAGTGCAGAAAGTCTCTAACTACTGTTCAACGCCATAAGTTACTGAAAAGCAGTTAGATTTGGGAGCCTGGGACATAAAGTTCACTCTTTAGGCCTGGGTAGATTTCAGCCCTTAAAGCAATGTACACATATGTATTGTGCATAATATTTATTTATGGTTTTGGAAATCAGACCTATTACATTGTAGTTACTTCTTTTACAAATGCTGTACTTTTAATTTTCAGATGCATGCTGTCTTTACGTATTTAGATATATATGCTTTCTTGCTTTTTTAATACAATGGTCTCATAAATAAGATATCCAGGATTTAAAATTTATCCCTCATAATGTTCTACCTTTGAAGAAAAAATAAAGCTAGAATAATAATTCTTGAGATTGCTTGAAAGAAAACTTATTAAAAGATTTGTGTATATTAAATAATTAAACATTGTTTAATAAATATGATATTTTCCACCGCTCCAAGAAAATCAAGATGACATTGTTGACACAACTGATGGGCCTGCCCAGAGGCTATATTGTCATTACAGTTTTGGAATGTCAAGACTAGATTTTAAGAGCAAACATAATTCTAGTATGAAGTGTTTGAATTTGTTATTTCTTATATTGCATTAATTATTTTCAGGCATACTAATTTTTCTCCGAGTTTAATTGTTTGCATACTTCTCATGTTTTTGAAGTGTAGCTCACCTAATCAGCATTTTCTAAATATTTAGCCCTTCTTTCTTCATGTTTTCTATTCCCATGAATAAATGTATTGTTACACATGTATGTAACTTTGTCATTCATCTTTATATTTCTTTATTTTGCTCTGTCTTGTGTCTGTCTCTAACAGGCTCATCTCATCTCTGTACCTCCCTCATCTCCTACCCTTTGGGTACTCTAAATGCGTTGAAGGTTTCTGAGGTAGTGTAAACCAGCTTGGTCTCTAGGTTAATAGTAATGTACCTCCATGTCTTCATCCCAGTTTCCTTCTAGTGCACGTGATTTACAGTGGATTAAGCAGTAGAAAATAATGATACATTTATGCAATATATTCTATTGATACGAATTTGGCCAACTATAAATTTAAAAGTTGCTAAGCTGCTGTTTTATAATACATATGTGCATACTTAAAGAAGAAGAGAACTATAGCTAAAGACAAATGAGTTAATATAATACTCAACAGGGTTTTTGAGAATATACCTTTTTTTCCAATAATGAAGTGTTTTAAAATACTGCTATTAATTAAAGTCATGAAATAGTACTTTTGATGTAATCTCATGTTCCTTCCTTTATGATAAAGAAACTGTATGATAAAGAAAATGACTTTACCAGTCTCACAATACACTTAGTGAAAAATTTATGGTGTAACAAGCAGAAAAACAGCTTCATTTTTCTAGTTAGTATTTACTCAAAATACTCTCAGTTTTCTCCTATGCTAGCCCCATATCTATTATAATTTGCCCTAGAAAAATTCATGGTCTATAATAACTTTTTATCTGACACATATGATCCCTACATGAAGACTCAAAGAAAAAAAAATGAATTTGTAACTCAAAGAAAAGTAATTCAAACAGGTGCTAATATGAATACTATATAATATATATCTTAATTGGTAAGATATCAAACAAATATTAGAAATTTTGATTTAAGGTGAAGAACTGTTGAGCTTAACAAGTCATAAAAATGTATTTAGTAAATAGCAGAGGAGATATTAGGTTTCTCAAATGTTTCCATTTACGTTTAAATAGTCACAGATACCAGTTAACCTTAGTGATATCTACTTTTCATCAGTTTTTTAATAACTTACCATGAATATAATAGATTACTCAATGTCTTTTTTTCATAGTCATCCTCATGCCTCAAAATTTTCTAGGTATTATAAAAACAGAAATAATTGAACATTGCAATGACATTCATTTATAGGAAATAATATGGGTAGTGATCAGTGGACAAAGGTAATATAAAGAAACAGGTAAAAAGCATTTGTTTGTAAGTACTGTGGTATAGCACTTTAAAAAAATTACAGTATACAATTAGCATTCATAAAGCTTCCACACATATATGAGTGCTAAATCCTAAACTTATACTAATTTTTTTCCGTGAGGGAAAAATATCCTAGCAAATTCTTTGTTATTCTATTAGGAAAATTTTTACTTCTGGCTGAAGGTAAAATTCTGTACCTGAAAATTGCCATTCTGTGAACCATTATTGCCTTAGACATCAGCAAGAAAATAAGAGATGCCCTTCCAAAATCTGAATTTATTGATTCTTCTTATGTAATAGTATTTCAGTTAATGAAATTAATTTTGAAATTTAATCCATCATCTTCTTTTGAAAGATGGTAATAATTGGCATAAACTAAATAATTGGCATAGAGAAAAATATATTTAAACAATGATTACAATTGATAATAGAACTATAAAATCATTTTTAATTTATGAGGTTTCAATTAGTTCTATATACTATAATTCATGCTTGAATATTGGTTTTATATATACAGCAAATAAAATGTTAAGCTTTTTAAAAGACTTCTATTTTTTCAAAATAACCCAAATCAAACTTGTTAGCTTAATTTTTAAATAGTATCTATACATCGTTCTATATACTACCAAGTTGTGAAAACTGCCTTGAGGATATACACATTTAATGTACATTGTTTCAACTTTAACAAATTAACTTACATTTTTAGAAATAATAGACAAGAAATAACAAGATTTGAAGTGCTACTTAAACTTCGCAGGACTTTTGATGTGATTAAATATATTTAATTATGAATATTAACGCCTATCATTTAACTACTGCTCTGAAATATAAACGATATACAATTTGTGGTCTTTATGTCTATGTCATAGGCTAGTAGTTTTTATGGCTTTTTATATTAGCATACATTCTATACACATACCTAGAATCTAGGACTAGCAAGAAGTTTACTGTCATCTGATGTGTCTGCTGCTAGTTAAACTCTCAACTAGGTCATTATCAACATCACTTAAAATATTTATAAAAATAGTTTCTAAATCCCTTCTTCATTATCAACCTTATAAAGTAATATTTTCTAAAATTGTTCTTGTTTTAGAACAAGAATAGCATACAACAATCTCAAAATATATTATTATAATTATTACATAAAATATTAATTATTAATTACTGTAATTATTTACAAGGAGAAATACAAGTATTAATATTTTAAACATACTACCTGAGCTGAAGGTAATTTATGAAATGCTCTGCTTAAAGTATACAAATGAAAACATAAGGTATTCAATTTCTTCAAATGTTAAGTTCCGCATATTTTCTATCCAATTCAAAATTTAATCTCTTCAAAGTTAATGACTTTGCACTGGGTTGACTTTTGTTTTGTATGTGTTTGGTGATAGAACTAAATAATTGTTCTTCCATGTAGATTTATACCACACGAAATGAATTATTATAAGAAAGCAGATATGTGTTTATTTAATTTATCCATGACTTGAGTTTCACCACTCAATTTTACAGAACATTCAATAAATTTAGTTTTAAATATATCTAATGTTCTAACTCATTAAAATATGGAGAAATGATGTGAAACTGGTGATTGAAGACATCTGTTGGTAGCACAAATGCATTATGTAAAAGATTTTTTTAAAACTACAGTTATTATTTTGAGAATGGTAAATTGAATGGCTGCTAATGAACAGTTCACAGTCATAGCTGCACATTGTGGTTAGAAATGGGAGAATGAGAATAATTTATGTAGCTTGTGTGACATTTATCTGAAGTTTATATATTTCCCTAGAATATGCTATACTCAGAATTTGTGAACATGGTTTGAGGTGAACTTATTTTAAAAAGTCATTTTATTTTCATCTTCTCCAAATATATTCTTTTACATTTTTTAATGAAAGTAGTGAAATCCTTAAGTTCTAGAAGAATATTAAGCCTATTACTTTCTGGCATTATAACAACTTTAAACCATAAAATTACTCCTATTAATAAATGACCCCTGCTTGAGAGGCTTACTAGTCCAAAAAGCAAACTTATAGTAATATTTGAAAGTAAATAATTAGTATTTTTAACCACAGTTGGTAATTTCTAGGTAACAAAGAATAAGTGGGTTTTCAGGAGAGAATTTAAGGGAAAGCGTTTTTGTGGGGTTTTTTTGCATTTACACTGGGAGTTTAGAGAATTTCAGTCAGAGACTGAAGTGATTAGAGATGACACTAAAGGTGAATTTAGAATAAAATTGGGATTTAGGTAGGTAGAGAGAAGAGCCAGACAGAGAGAGTATTTCTAACATCTACAACTGACGTGAATAAAAGCAGTATTTTGAGTCATTGAGTTATTATCATAAATATGAGCAAGGCTTCAGAGTTGAGTTGTCTTTATTCATTTCACAGAAAAAAAAAAGATGGGGAGATGTTTAATTTTCATTGCATTGCTAACTATGAACAAATTTCATATGACTTACTGCAAACAATGTTTCATATTTAGTGAATGATGGAATTTAACCTTTTCTAGCCATTGCCACACTCCCAGAGCTACTATCCACTTAATTCTCATCATCTTCCCTATAATAGGGAAAAGAACTACAAGATAATTTTGTTTTAATTTACTGTTAATGCAAAACTAATACAATTCAAGTTTTTATCTTTTCTCACATCACAGACTAGTACCAGTATGCTTATATAATAGAATAGTCAGAGGCATAAAATCATATCCATAGTGTTCATACTGTGTGAAATAAAGGTATTTCTAACTGAACCCCCTTATATAGAAAACTGTAAGAGTTATGGCCAAAGAAATTTTTTTCATTGGTTTGGCTTTTTAGATGCAATAGAACCTAAAAATATACTGTGTAATTTTCAGATAAATATCCGTCCTTTTTAATGCTTTACATTTTAAATTCTTCAGGCTGAGCTTACATCTTAACAGATGTCTATCTTGTCTTTTTATATACGCCATTAGTTTTGGTTGGAATCTAGAAATCAATGATGCTTCAAAATCCTGGTAACATTTACATATTTTGTAGATAATCCTTATTGAAAATAATCTTTTAGAGTTTTTATCTGAAAATATGTTTATTTTTTACTGAATTCTCCCATTTCTACCTGTTACTGATAATAAGAATGTTTGTATTAATATAGATTTATTTATATTGACCCTTCATTCTTACATCATAAATTTATTAAGAAACCTGTTAGTCTAGTTTAATTGAAGTGCCTATTTCACTCAGTATGTCTACAACTATGTAAGTAATTGTTTGTATTCTGTCACAACAATCTCTTTTAGCAGGTCAGGTTGTTTCTCCTCAGTCTGCTCCAGCCTGTGTTGAAAATAAAAATGATGTTAGCAGAGAAAACAGCACTGTTGACTTTAGCAAGGTGAGCTTTTCTCCCTCTCATCTAAGTAAGTTGCTAAATTACTACTAGAAATTACTACCCATTTTAAGAGGTGTTGACACAATATTTTGCATGCGCTTTTTGTTTCTTGTCAAAGCTTGATATTGTTACAGAAAATGTTAGCATTAAGTCCACATGTAACATTTTGCCTATTCAAAAAAAAAAAAAAAAACTGAACCTGTGAGTTTTATGCATAGTATTCATGTTTCAGCCACTTGGTATAATGTTATCTCTTCCAATAAAAAGAATAACTGGGCTTCACAGGGAATTTAACAGAAGTTTAATCTATTTTTGTTTGTTTGTGTTTGTTGTTCTTTGTTTGTTTGTTTGAGGCAGAGTCTCGCTCTGTCACCCAGGCTGGAATGCAGTGGTGCAATCTTGGCTCACTGCAACCTCCGCCTCCTGGGTTCAAGCAATTCTCAAGCCTCAGCTTCCCGAGTAGCTGGGATTACAGGCGTGCACCACTATGTCTGACTAATTTTTGTATTTTTAGTAGAGACGGGGTTTCACCATCTTGGACAGGCTGGTCTCGAACTCCTGACCTCAGGTGATCCGTCCGCCTCAGCCTCTCAAAGTGCTGGGATTACAGGCGTGAGCCACCCCGCCCGGCCAAGTTTAATCTATTGTTTAAAAACTTTGGCTAGTTTGTGTTCAAAATCACTTTTCTTCTATTTGTGGGAAAGCAAATCATAATATAAAACTGAATTGTTAATGTAATTAAGGAAAAGTCATTACTGTAAGGAAATCCTAGAAGGACACAGCAAAACTGAGCAGAGTTTTAAATAAAAACATATTAAGAACTGACTGTGTTGAGGGATACATCTAATTGGAGACAACTGAAGTGAAATCATTAACTTGAATGTATTCTTAGAAAATGAGTCAGTGACAATGATGTGATTTTGATTAGCAAATTCCTGACATTGTATATGTGCCATTGCAAGCTATGGCAAAGTAACAATTGAGTGGAAAAGAGGAGTTTCTAGCCGGGTGTGGTGGCGCGTGCCTGTGGTTCCAGCCACTTGGGAGGCTGAGGTGGGAGGATTGCTTGAGCCTAGGAGGCAGAGATTGCAGTGAGCTGAGGTCGTGTCACTGCACTCCAGCCTGGGTGACAGAGTGAGACCACATCTCAAAAAAAAAAAAAAAAAAAAAAAAAAGACAATGCAAAAGAGAAGGAGTTTGAATACTTGGTGAAAATACGGCAGGTTAACAATTCTCTTTATCTGAGTGGCTGAAATAGAAGTAACTCAGAGTAATATTTTAATAAAGCCCTTAGCACTGGCAATAATTATAGTAGTGGGAGGAGGTGGGAATGGATGGAAGCAGTAGAGGAAGTAGCCTGAATCAAGGTTCTGAAAAGATTAATAGTGATCAGCTCCTTGGACCTGTTTCAGAATCCCTCTGACAATGCCTAAATAATCTAGATCTAGTTACGTGCATGCTCTCCCTCTGGTGCCTGGCGGAGTCTCCGTGGGAGCATGGTGTACCAGCTTAAGTCTGTTAATTATGCGTGCAGGGACTGGGAGGCCAACAAAAGGGGCATACTAGTCCATGTGGGATGAAACAAAGGCATGAAAAAGGACCTCCACACCAGCAAGAGAGAGAGGTGAGGGCATACTCGGGCTCTATTTCTACAGTGGTTCAAAGCTCATTTCACTGTATGGAGGCATGTGATTCAAACATTAAGCCAGTTGAAATGTATTCCATCTGCCACTCTAAGAACTATCTTTTTAAAGCATTGCATCTTCATTCATCTGCAAGTTGGAAAAAGTTGTCACAAACTGCCATACATTTAATTTCTGATATTCTTAATTTGAAATGATCTTAAAAGCAATAATGTAACGAGCTGCATATTTATGTATAAATGCATTAACAACATAAAGAAGGCATATTTAACATCCTCAGAAACAATCATTATAAAGCACATAGCTCCTCCTTTCAAATAAATTGTGATTTAACTTTTTAAAAATAATATAACCTTTATACACTGATTGTGTATCTCCATATCATGTTGCTTTTGGTTGTGTGACCTGCCTTTGCAGCCTTCAAGAATACTTCATCACATATGAAAGAAAATGAAGATTGCCAGTTGTAGGCAGTAGTCTCATCTTCTGGTCCCCCCTCAAACAGTTAAAACTATGGAAGAGTCAAACTTCGATTTCCTTTCTTTTAATCCTTTTCTTTCTCTTCACATTTGCGATCACTGGCCCGTTTCATCTTTTAATAGGCAAGTTAAATTTCTAGAGCCCTCTACTTAGTGTCAGCTGTTGTTCATAGCATGGCACACTGGAAAGTCTCTTGTTCATAGCATGGCACACTGGAAAGAATGTGGCTTTTGAGAAACAGCATGAGATCTTGAATCCCAACTCTGGCATTATAAACTAGCTGATCTTGGAGAAGTTCTCTAAAGTTCAGCCTTCTCATTTGCAAAGTAAGAAAACTATTTACAATTTCGTTGTGAAGATTTAATGAGCTAATATAGAGGGAGGTGCTGGAACAGTGCTTGACTTGTAGCAGGTATTTAATAAAAGGTGGTTACACTTATTAGTGTGGTTATTAGTAGTAGTAGAGATAATAGTGTCAGAAATGAAACACCAGACCATAATTGAATGTTTTGGTCTCCACTGGGTCTTTAGTGCCTTGAATAGTATTTGGTATATATTTGTTGAATGAATCCTTCAAGATTCAAAATAATGTAAGCCCAGTTTTGGAATTTAAAAAAGACTAAGTAAGATTTTTTACTTTAAAGTCTGAGAGGGCAGAAAAGTAGAGTTTGAAAAGAGCAATTGTGATCTATCACTATGGAAACAAATTTTAGTGCCAGATTTTGCAGGTGCATGAGTTGATATTTTTTAGCCTTATGATTTTAGTTTAGTAGTGAATTTATCAGAATTCACCTAGTCTCCAGGTTAGTTCTCTGTTTTAATATTTTAAGTCTTAATATACAGATTCCAAAACCCCAGAATCTTAATATGCAGATTCCAAACATTTTGAGGTGTTAAGAAAAAAAAGGTCTTTATTCATCTTATATGATTTGATCATATTTATTCCATCTACATTCAACCTACATATTTGTAACCCTTCCAGTGGATAGACGTATCAAACTTACTTAAGGAATGATTAGGAAAATAACTGGAATTATCAGGTTTTAGCTTCCCATAATACTTTTAAAAAGCAGATGTGTCAAAGCAATATTTGTTTTTGTTTTTCAAGCTGACAGTGGAACGTAGGTATTTTATGTTGGTGGTGTTTTCTTTTACTTCAAATGACCCAGAGATGGCTTCACATAATTTTCTACATAGAAAGAACTTCCGTCTGCATCTAGCTTTAGTGTATGAAACATATTAGAGAGAGTTGTATTATTTAATCCTAGAACTGTAGGAAACCTTAGACATCTCCTCATTTAGTCAGCAAGAAAGCTGAATTATAGAGTGATTAAGAGAGCTGCTCAAGATCACTGGCGAGTTAGTGTCAAGACACCATTTCTTCCCAGAGAATCCCTATGAAGTTTCTTGTACTTTCTATAAGGGGCTGAAGGCTTAAATTTTCTCCTTAAATTTCCATCTGTTTTTCCTTTAACTCTTAGCGTGTAGTTTGCCCAGACACTTCCAATTTCACCTTGGTCTTCTATCTAATCTCATTCCTTGTTCCCTAGAAATGTAACTGTTTCTCATCCACAGATTAAGTATCAAAGGCCCAGAAAGAAATCTTTCCACTACCAGCATAAAGGTGAGGTCTGGGCAGCCCAGAAGCATGAGTGTAAATACAGACCCAGAAGAGTATAGCTCGATTTCTTCAAGATCCTATTCAGAGGACCAGAAACTTCCAGGATTTCCTTCTTGTCCATTCCAAGTGTTTGTGTTCACTTGACAGTTTTCTTAGGGATGTAGTTCAACCTAGATTCTCTAGAGCTGCTTTACATATTTATAATTTTATAAGAGGTCACATTCAGGTCTTTAAACATAATATTTTATTATATTAAAAGTTGCTTAGGGGGCCAAGGGCATGGTGGCTGACACCTGTAATCCCAGCATTTTGAGAGGCCAAGTCAGGAGGATCACTTGAGCTTAGGAGTTCGAGATCAACCTAGGCAACATGGTAAGACCTCATCTCTACAAAATCTAGAAAAAATCAGCCAGGCATGGTGGCGCACCTGTAGTCCCAGCTACTCAGAAGGCTGAAATGGAAGGATCAGGATGGCTTGAGCCAGGAAGTTCGAGGCTGCAGTGAGCTGGGATCGCACCACTGCACTCCACTCTGGATGACACAAGGAGACCCTGTCTCAAAAACTTAACCAAACCAAAAAAGATAGTTGGTTTGTCAAATAAGTTTCTTCATGAAGTATATAGTACACAAACACAAAATATAGGGTTGCCCCACGAATAATATAATATGTAACTATACATAATATAGAATAATATAATTAGATAATATATAATCGATTACTTCCCAAAGTATATGATTACTCCAAGAATAATGTAATGTAATGAGTATAATACAATGGCTACCCCAGATATGTGCTATAGTACTATAACTTATTCCATTTGAAGTCAAAAGATGAATTTGCTTATCCTGAATTTAAATTCTGTATATTTTAATGTTTTTTCTAAATAACAGGTATCAATGATATATTAGGTATTTTGTAAATTTAAAGATCATATGTAATGACCATATATTTTCTTTTACAAAATTTAACTATTTTAACATACTATGTACTTCTTGATTTAATTAAATTTCATCTTTAAACAGTTATTTCTATAATCACCAGTTGCCCGAGGCACAGACTTTCATAGTTAAGACAATGGCATTTGTCAAGCAATAAATGAGTTTATAGAATTTTCAAGGTGGAATTTAAATTTCAGGTATTATCAATATAATTCATATTATCAATTATGGATTTTAAAAAAAGATGTTTTCTCATTTTAAATTTTGTTCAGTATATTTATATTGTATCATTGTTCTTTCCATTGAGAGAGAAAACTTAACTGTTTATTCTTTTAGTAACAGAAAGGATTATGAGATTTATTATGTTTTCCTCACAGAGCTGATAGTATATGGGAAATCTTCTATTCCCTCCTTGGGAATTTTGGCATTACAATAAAAATGTAAAGCATTACTAATTTAAAGCATCTTAAATGTGTACATTTCTCCTAACTAGATAAATACCTACAAAAATACCACAATAAATCCCATGAAATTTAACCTTACTTATTATAGTAAATAAATACTTTTGCTATCTATAAACTAAAAGATCAGATTCCACAAAAGCAAAATATTTGCTATATAATCCAGTGTACATTAATTATGAATTTACAAATTTATATTTGGAGTACATTTGTAGCTTAAAAATTTTGGATGTATAATATTTGTTAGATATTTTTATAGGCAGTTTTGCTTTGTTAAATCATTCTTCCTTTCCTTTAAAATAAAATAATGATTCTATTTAATATTTTTGATGGAGTACTGTAGGATATTTTTATATTTAATCCTTGTGAAAGAACATATGCTTCCTATACTAGGTTATATATTTTGTGGTATCCTTATTCTTTGGAAAGATTAATTAGTTACAAAACTTACAAATAGCTGTACTATCATCTTGATTTCAGAAAGCAACATATTTAATGTAGTCACTAAGTATTACTATGGATTTTTTCATTTTAAATTTTTGAGAAAAATATTCTCAAATCATTAAACCTGCAAAAGAACTATCTAGGCTAAAAAAAATCTTCTCAGCCCCACTCATATTTGCCAGAGCTCATTCCTCTCTCGGCTATTCTCACTTTGATCTTTGGCCCTCATTTCATTAACATCAGAGCATAAGATCAATTACTAGAGCAGATAAATTCTTACTCCCCTAAAAACAGAGTTTCATAAAAAGCTACTCAAGTGAATTAGAAACAAGACATAGATCTTGTACAATTTACATTAAAGTCACTGCTTGTCTTTCACTGAGGCCCTATGCATAAAAATTGATATTTATTGTTAAGGATATTTTGCATTCATTTTTTAGACTTCACCCTTTATTCTTAGCATTTCTTCTCGTTAATGATCACTTTTGCTTTGTGTACATTCATTTCGATCACAAACATCTCATGTCAGAAATTCAACTATAGCTCTTCAGTAACTCCAAATGTTAATATTTTTTTCTTATTTTTTTCTACTGTGTCATATCTAAATTCTCAGATGAAAAACCAATATTGAAGAATTACCAGGCCAAGTATATAATGTGAAGAATATAGAACAACTAGAAAAGAGAAGAAGGTTAAAGTCATAATTTATACTGTAAAGAGAAACAGGATTATATTTCTTTTGACATAAGCATATTTGAGTATCAATTAAAATGTATTATGTACAAAAATTAGGTAATGTAGTATAAAATATTAAATCTGTTGGCAAATGCTAATTAAATTATGGTTAAAGAATAGTTATTTAACTGAACTCACATACTTTTCCCTGTCTAAAATTTCAAGATTGTTGAGGCTGGAGAAACTTCTTTTAAAAATAATAAATAGAAGTACCAGAGTACTCAGCTTATTGATGACAAGTTAAAATAATCCACAAGTAAAGAAAAAAGGTTATTATAGAAAAAGGGCAAATGAGATGTTTAACTGTGTGTATTTATTTAAACTATATTTATTCATGGATTACTATATGTGAAGCACTGTGCAAGAATATGATTTACCAGATTTTTCCAATTTTGATTTATCATATTTACCTGGTGATGCTTGCAGGTTGATCTGCATTTTATGAAAAAGATTCCTCCAGGTGCTGAAGCATCGAACATCTTAGTGGGAGAACTGGAGTTCTTGGATCGAACAGTAGTTGCGTTTGTCAGGTTGTCTCCAGCTGTATTGCTTCAAGGACTGGCTGAAGTCCCAATCCCAACCAGGTAAAAAGTATAAAAGCGTCTTTTGTATTTTTCTTAAACCATCTTTTCATGGAAAGAAAATGAGGATTCAATGTAATTTTCTGTTAGAGTTTTGACTAGAAACTAATGTGAAATCCACAAAACTACTATTAATTTTTGTTTGTGGAGGAGGGGAAAAGTGCTTTAAAAATTATTCTCTTCTTTCCTCCCTTCTCTCAAACTTCTGCTTCATTTTAGGCACATTCCTCATCTCAAGGTACCCTGAAGCCATATGAATCCTTTTTTTTTTTTTTTTTTTTACATTTTTGGTAAAAGAAGTGGTAACATGTTAGCTTTTTCTCAAAGATTGCATTAAATTGTCTGCTATAGAAAGAAAGGATCCTGTGCATGAGTGCGGTCAAACTCAAAAACAGCAAAGTTACTAAGGTTTGCTTACACTTGAATAAGAAGGCCTTCAAAATGCATGTAAGTGCCATCGTTAGGATAGCGTCAAATATATGTTTCAATCCTAGGCACAGTGGGCTTCCGACACACAGGGTCTGTAGAAACACTGGTAGAAGTATTATCGCAGTGTGGTTGGATGTGAGTTAAAGGTACAAATTTAATTTGATGATCAGAACTTGTTTCTCATTTAACAATAAAATAACAACTTAGGGATAATACAAACTGAATTATGCTTTTCTCATTTTTTAGAATAAGGCTATCCATTACTAAAACTGTAAAAAAAAGAAAAAGATAAAAAAAAGAAAGGAAACACAGAATATTGACTTTAGCACATTAATTTCCAAGCAATTTACCCAGGAACCTTGTTTTCTTCCATACTTCTACCATCAGTGTGATTCCAAAATGCAGATAGCCTTTTACTCTAGTCCTATTCCCACAGCAAAACATGTATATTTAGGGCCCCGTTCCCATATGGCTGGTGCCCTTTGTTTGATGCTACAGCTATCTCAAAAGCTGTTAGTGCGCCTCCTCTTCCAAACATTGAATACCTTAGCCAAGTTACTTGATGAAAAGTTCAGGTACTGTATCAACTGTAGAATATATGTCCTCTATGAATCTTTGGCCTTAACTCAAAATATAGCAGATTATATAACTCCATGCTTTGATTATGGATAAAATATTCTACAACTATGGAACAGCACAGCCAGGAGAGGCCTCATTTTTTAAGAGCTCAGCTGACTGGAACGGGATTCAGTGGTTAAGTACCTATGTCTGACTATGGTTTGGGGGAGGAATCTAGTTACTGTTCAGATTATAGAAAGAAGTCTATGTTTATCCTGTTTGAGAGTTACTGAGATGACTGATACACATCAACTTTTATGTACAAAGGGAAAGGATGAACTGAGCACATTAAAGTGGCATCTGACTGTGTGATTCAGGCTATATGTTTTCTATGGACAACCTGTAACCTATTCAAGGTTTCTGGGAGTCTGGGATTTATATCTAAGATGTTAAACTTGCTAATGGTAGAGTTACTATTATAGCAGTTTAAAATTTCTTTTCAGTCCTCCAAGCAGTGCATTTGTGTTCCACCACTTAGGAAGGTGTCTGGTGAACTATGAGCAAATGATGGCTATTTACGACAATGATAGTGCTTGTATTTCAAAAGAAGGAAAAGAAAAATTCCCATGAGTAGAAAAAAGCCGTGATGGGGTTATATACCCTTACTGTGAAAACTGTCAGGTTTAAGTGACCTTATTTCATACTGAGATAGCAAAATATGTGTAGAGAACAACGGAGAAAAAAATTAGGGCCACTGTAGAGCAACTGTATGAGAAAAGATTTAAAGACAAGACTATTTAGTTAGGAAAGGTGAAAAATGGAAGATTAGTTGGACAAACAAAATAAAGAAAGCCATTCAGGGTTTCTTATTATCCTTTTTTTGGGAAGACAAAAGGCATCCTATTAATACGATGGCAACACATAGTAGAAAGGTCAGAAAATAATCTTTTAGATCTTTAAAAATAGCCCATGGAATGGAAACCTGAAAAATAGCAAGATGTACATAGGTTAGGAAGTTTCTTAAAAAGCTATTATAGTTGATAAAGCACCTGCTACCGAATTAAACCATTCCTGTTTTTAATGTATACTGGACATTTCTACATAGTAGAAATTGGCTTGGGTTCAGTTGTCACTGGCACACACAAAAAATATTGTCATATCCTCTACAATTGTGTAATATTTGCCTCATGTAAAAACATGTACAATCTCTAAAGATTACAACTAAATGAGGAGTAGAATTATAGTAACTATTTTAGTACACCTTGTGAAGTCATTAGTCTTCATACTTAACAGCATAAACCATTTAACAAATTAACACCACAGAATGATATGGCAGAATATAGGGCATTCTTTAATTTTCAAAATTTCCCAGAAGGATTGACCTTCTCAGAGACAGGGCAATTACCAGTCTGCTAAAGTTAGAGTATCTATTGATTTCTTTAAAAGCACCACTTGTGATGATGAATTTGCCAAATGTTCGACCTAATATAGATGGAATATTATAGTGCAGATGCTATTTTTATTCCTCAGCATTATAAATAATAGATCATTAACTCCCCATTTTCTTCTACGTGGCTGATCTTTGATTCCTGACAATAATTTTTTATAATGAAAATTGCACATACACCTACTGTTTTTTGACTCTATATTTTCTCTGTTTTGCTACTGTGTTACCTTTGTCCCCTTTGAACTATTCGCCATTTTGCATACAAGTGAGTTTTCTTCCTTCCAATTTAGAAAGGTCTAATCAGATTTTACTTTTCCCACTTTCCTTCTCTAAGGATCATAGAATCCTTAAAATTCCCAATAACAACTGCACATGCTGTACAGATAACTAAACGGAGAAACACTGTGATAAAAAAAAAAAACACGGAAAACCATGCATTCCCATTGCTTGAGGATCTTAAGCATAAGGGTCAATCATGGTAAAATTTTTCAAAATAATAATGAACTATGAAAAACTATGGAAGTATTTGCCATCACAATCTCCATTTTCAGTAATTCCTTTGAGATGAGTGATTCTGTATTACTAAAATTATTTTTATATTTCTACCTTAAAACATTTTTTTTCTTCTTAATTACAGATTTTTGTTCATTCTTCTGGGACCCCTGGGAAAGGGTCAACAGTACCATGAGATTGGCAGATCAATTGCAACCCTAATGACAGATGAGGTATTTATTCAAGTTCTTTGGGAACATTTTCCCCCATTAGGTATACCTAAAACTTTTGGAGGTCCTCTTTTCATGACAGTTTGTTGTGAATCAGATTTCTCTGTATTGAATCCCATTCTCCCATGCTTCTGCTATAAAATCTCCTTTAGAAAAATGTTTCCCAAAGGGATAATAAATTAACACCCATGAATATAATATTTTAAAACTTCATAGTGTAAAGAAATTTTTTCAGTGACACTTAGAATATATTATTAATATTCCCTTTATGGTATATGTGCTACCAAAGTAAGCACCATTGTTAATATCAATGGAAATCTTGTTTTGAGTAAAGAATTTCGAAGTCTAAAGAAAAAACAATAGCAGTTTATCTGAATAGTATACATGACACCAAAATGCATGCAACATCTATCAACTCTCTACAGTTGCCTGAATGTAGATATTTTTAACCTGGGAGTCTGGGGACTATTAGAGAAGCTGTAGATAGATTTCAAGGAGCTTGTGATTTCTGTAACAGAGCATGTAAATTTTTCTATGTAAAAAATTTGTATGTAGATTTTTTGGGACTGGAAAAAGCTTTCATCAGCTCTTCAAAGAAGTGTATGTCTCAAAAATATAAGATCTTTAAAGTAAGAACATAAAAAGTAGCATCATACCACTATTTTCCTTTACTTGGGTTCTCCAACACATTATGGAAATTTGTTGTTATTGTTAACGGGAAGAGCAGATGCAGTAGATCACAGAAGGGGCATTAAATCAAAATTCAGTTGTAAATGAACAAATGGGATTATATACTTCTAGATTTCATCTAAATAATTTAATAATGTTTTTATTGAAATACATGGCTGCAGATATTTGAAAATTCTGTAAAAAGAGCCAATTAGTATTGTATATTACTTTTTCTATGTTTACAATAGCTAAAATTTGAACTTGTTTTGGGGGTTAAATATTATAAATTCTTCAATCTGTCCAAATTATGTTTTATAGTGTTATATGAATTAGTTTTTGATATTTATGCACAAGAAAGCAAAAGCAAGAAGAAAAACATTTTTTCCCTCAGTTTTCAAAAGGAACCAACTTAATGAGTGTATTAGTTTACAACGACTGCCATAAGAAACTACTACAAATTGGGTGGTTTAAAATGACAGTAGTTTGTTTTCTAACATTTTTGAGGCTAGAAGTTTGAAGTCAAGGTGTCAGCAGGGCCACAATCCCTTCGAAGTCTCTAGGGGAGGATCCTTCCTTGTCTCTTCCATATTCTGGTGGCTCTTGGTCTTCCCTGGCTTGTGGCAATAGACCTTTGTTCTCTGTCTCCATCTTCACATGGCTTTCTCCCAGTTGTCTCTGTGTGTCTTCTTATTTTCTGTTATGAAGACAGACATTTGTCATTTGATTTAGGGCCCATCCTAAATCCATCCAAATCATTGGATTTAGGGCCCATCCTAATTCAGGATAATTTCATCTTGAGATACTTACCTTAATTACATCTGCAAAAATCCTTATTTCAAATAAGGCCACATTCTGCGGCTCCAGGTTGATGTGTATTTTGGGAGGAAATTATTCAATCCACTGTAATGAATAACTTATTCTATTTAGGAAATTTGTGAGAAGACAGGAGGATGAAAAAAATAACTTAATGAGGGCCATACACCTGATTTAGCAGAACTCTCTCTGAGAAAACACTCACAGTATAAAAGCTCTTAGTATTTCTATATTGATTTGTATTGTTATTCTATGATTTAAGTATTATCACTTTCACATACATTTGTTTAATATTTTGTTATATTTCAGACAAAAAATGTTTCCCCATCTAAGAAATTAGGGCAATATTTTAAGATATCTGTGGGGCATGAGACACGTGATAATGTGAGAGGATCCTACTATGTCATGGGAAGTACATGTATATCAATGTATCTCTCTTCTCTTCATCCTCTACTTCCCCAATTGGGAATCAAGATTTTTCTCGACAGAAAGATGTCAGTTCCAAAGTTTTCTTGACTAACCAAGTGGACACAGAACAGGGAAACATCCATGTTCTATAAATTTCAGATTTAGGATGAGAACAGAGAAGGGGCTTCCACCTATTTCTTTGATTAGTGAGAGCTACCTAATTTGAGAATAAGCATCAATCACATAATAAAGACTGAAATTTGAGCATAAGCATCAGTCATCTATTTTTTCAATTATTTAGACTTGAAAGTTTCAGAGCATGGCTTTAGGTAATCATTGTAGATTATGGGATAGAGAAGCAGAAACTCAACCAGAAAGCTACTCTAAAAGATAAGAGCCATTAGTTATAATAGGACATGTTAATTACAACAGGACATTGATTGAATATCAAAGAATGTTTAAATATTTTTTAAAAGAGAAAACAGATTTGTATTTCTCAAAGCCTCGGTGAGGCAATTGTTCTGCTTATCTAATTGCTTTGAAGGCTATTGAATAATTGTACTAGGCCAGGTGTAATGGCTTACATCTGTAATCCCAGCACTTTGGGAGGCCAAGGTGGATGGATCACCTGAAGTCAGGAGTTCGAGATCAGCCTGGCCAACATGGTGAAACCTCGTCTCTACTAAAAATACAAAAATTAGCTGGGTGTGGTGGCAGGTGCCTGTGGTCCCAGCTACTTGAGAGGCTGAGAGGGGAGAATCACTTGAACCTGGGAAGTGGAGATGGCAATGAGCCAAGATTGCATCACTGCACTCCAGCCTGGGTGATGGAGCGAGACTCTGTCTCAAAAATAAATAAATAGATAAATAAATAAGAAAGAAAAAGAAAAAAGAAAAGAACAATTGTACTCATTAAGAATAGAATTTAATATGTTGATTCATAGTTTACTTTGGTTAAAAAAAATAGTGCATTGGAGTGCATTATCAAACATAAATTCCATGAGAACAGTTAGCATTTTAGCATTCAGTATTCGTTTTTATGACCTGATTCTTCCAAGTGCTCAAATAAATATCCATTGAGCTAAGTTCTGTTTTCTTTCCCTTCTCTGTACTTGGAACACTTTCTAGGTAGACTGTCTTCCTTTTGTATTTTTAGACTTATTATGAGTGTCTGACCCTCAGTCAGGGTTCAATAAATCTTTAGAACATGAATCAATTACTGAATATTCTAGACATCATACCAATATTCTATCTTGAATCAAGCCAATAATTTATTTTCTTCATTTCTGTTGAGCTTTGCTAGAGATAAATCATATGATTATGCTTATCAACACTGCTACCAATGTGTTGATCCCTTCACATTCTCAAAAATTACTAAGCACCCCAAAGAACTTTTGTGTATGTAGATATGTTGGTATTTACCATAGGAGAACTTAAAACTGAGAAATTTAAAAAGTATGTGTTAATGAATTCATTTAAAAATAATAATAGAACGGGTTCAGTGGCTCACACCTGTAATCCCAGAACTTTCAGAGCCTAAGGCGAGTGGATCACTTGATGTCACAAGTTTGAGACCAGCCTGGGCAGCATGGTGAAGCCCTGTCTCTACCAAAAAATTCAAAAAAATTTAGCTGCATATAATCCCAGCTGCTCAGCTACTTGGGAGGGTGAGGTGGGCGGATCACTTGAGCCAGGGAGGTGGAGGTTGCAGTGAGCTGAGATGGCACCACTGCACTCCAGCCTGGGCAATAGAGCCAGACCTTGTCTCAAAATAAATACATAAATAACAATAGTAAAGCCATTACATATTAACATAAATAATACATTTTAATGAAAACAAAAACAAACAAAATACTAAGCGAGGTGTTATTTTTCTTTTTCTGGATATTTGAGCTAACAGTTTCCTCTCTCTTCTAGATCTTAAGTGAAACCTGACAGTAAACATGCAGAACACATAGTAGCTACTTGGAAGAAATACACATGAAATGAATGTCCAGATTTACCCCATCCTTAAAAAAAATTATTTACTACTTAGAACAGTATGTACTTTTGAAGCACGTACTTTTAAAGAAGTGTTGGTTCAATCTGAATCTTGAGAGTTTTGAAGGAGTAGTCTCTACTAGATCCTGAATATTTTTAGACTCATTCATTTCTTATCATATTGCAGTCTGACTTTGGCACCGTCATTCTACTTAAACTGCTCTCAATAAAATTATCACTTACTAAGAATGTTATTACATGTTCAGTGTGACATTATTGAAAATCACATTTTTCTTTTTTCCCATGAAGAACTGCTAAATTTTTTTGTGTGCTTCGTTTTGACACTAAGTCTCTGAGATTTTTTTTAATTGAAAGAATTTATTTTTTATACAATTTCTAATGTTATTTAGGGTACAATCAGGAAGAAAAAAATTGTTTGGTGGCTGTCTCAACCCCCAAATCATCAATCTTAATTTTTTTTGTTTGATTTTTTTTGTATACTTTAAGTTCTGGAATACATGTGCAGAACGTGCAGGCTTGTTACATAGGTATACACATGCCATGGTGGTTTGCTGCACCCATCAACACGTCATCTACATTAGGTATTTCTCCTAATGCTATCTCTCCCCTAGTCCCCCACCCCTCAACAAGCCCCAGTGTGTGATGTTCCCCTTCCTGTGTCCATGTGTTCTCATTGTTCAACTCCCACTTATAAGTGAGAACATGCAGTGTTTGGTTTTCTTTTCCTGTGTTAGTTTGCTGAGAGTGATGGTTTCCAGCTTCATCCATGTCCCTGCAAAGGACATGAACGTGTCCTCTTTTATGGCTGCATACTATTCCGTGGTGTATATGTGCCACATTTTCTTTATCCAGTCTATCATTGATAGGCATTTGGGTTGGTTCCAAGTCTTTGCTATTGTGAATAGTGCTGAAATAAATATACGCAGTAGTACGTTTATATCTTTATAGTAGAACGTATCTTTATAGTAGAATGATTTAGAATTCTTCAGGTATATACCCAGTAACGGGGTTGCTGGGTCAAATGGTATTTCTGGTTCTAGATCCTTGAGGAATTGCCACACTGTCTTTCACAATCGTTGAACTAATTTACACTTCCACCAACAGTGTGTTTCTATTTCTACACATCCCCTCCAGCATCTGTTGTTTCCTGACTTTTTAATGATTGCCGTTGTCACTGGCATGAGATGGTATCTCATTGTGGTTTTGATTTGCATTTCTCTAATGACCAGTGATGATGAGCTTTTTTTCATGTTTCTTGGCCACATAAATGTCTTCTTTTGAGAAATTTCTGTTCATATCCTTTACCCACTTTTTGCTGGGGTTGTTTTTTTCTTGTAAATTTGTTGAAGTTCCTTGTAGATTCTGGACATGAGTCCTTTGTCAGATGTATAGATTGCAAAAATTTTCTCCCATTCTGTAGGTTGCTTGTTCATTCTGTTGATAGTTTCTTTTGCTGTGCAGAAGCTCTTTAGTTTAATTAGCTCCCATTTGTCAGTTTTGGCTTTTGTTGCCATTGCTTTTGGTGTTTTAGTCATGAAGTCTTTGCCTATGCCTATGTCCTGAATGGTATTGCCTAGGTTTTCTTCTAGGGTTTTTAGGGCTTTAGGTCTTACATTTAAGTCTTTAATCCATCTTGAATTAATTTTTGTATAAGGTGTAAGGAAGGGGTCCAGTTTCTGTTTTCTGCATATGGCTAGCTAGTTTTCCCAACACCATTTATTAAATAGGAATCCTTCCCCATTGCTTGTTTTTGTCAGGTTTGTCAAAGATCAGGTGGTTGTAGATAAATGGCATTATTTCTGAGGTCTCTGTTCTGTTCCATTGGTCTAAATATTGGTTTGGATACAAGTGCCCTGTGGTTTTTCCATGTAGTATAGTTTGAAGTCAGGTAGTGTGATGCCTCCAGCTTTGTTCCTTTGCTTAGGATTGTCATGGCCATACAGGCTCTATTTTTGGTTCCATATGAAATTTAAAGTCGTTTTTTCCAATTCTGCGAAGACAGTCAATGGTAGCTTGATGGGGATAGCATTGAATCTATAAACTACTTTGGGCAGTATGGCCATTTTCACGATATTGATTCTTCCTATCCATGAGCATGGAATGTTTTTCCATTTGTTTGTGTCCTCTCTTATTTCCTCGAGCAGTGGTTTCTAGTTCTCCTTGAAGAGGTCCTTCACATCCCTTGTAAGTGGTATTCCTAGGTATTTTATTCTCTTTGTAGCAATTGTGAATGGGAGTTCACTCATGATTTGGCTCTGTGTCTGTTATTGGTGTATAGGAATGCTTGTGACTTTTGCACTTTGATTTTCTATCCTGAGACTTTGCTGAAGTTGCTTATCAGCTTAAGGAGATTTTGGGCTGAGACAGTGGGGTTTTCTAAATATACAATCATGTCATCTGCAGAGACAATTTGAGTTCCTCTCTTCCTATTTGAATACCTTTATTTCCTTCTCTTCCCTGGTTGTCCTGGCCAGAACTTCCAATACTATGTTGGATAGGAGTGGTGAGAGAGGGCATCCTTGTCTTGTGCTGGTTTTCAAAGGGAATGCTTCCAGCTTTTGCCTATTCAGTATGATATTGGCTGTGGGTTTGTCATAAATAGCTCTTATTATTTTGAGATATGTTCCATCAATACCTAGTTTATTGAGAGTTTTTAGCAGGAAAGGGTGTTGAATTTTATTGAAGGCCTTTTCTGCATCTGTTGGATAATCATGTGGTTTTTGTCATTGGTTCCATTTATGTGATGGATTACACTTATTGATTTCTGTAAGTTGAACCAGCCTTGCATCCCAGGGATGAACGAGACTTGATGGTGGTGGATAAGCTTTTTGATGTGCTGCTGGATTTGGTTTGCCAGTATTTTGCTGAGGATTTTTGCATCAATGTTCATCAGGGATATCGGCCTGAAATTTTCTTTTTTTGTTGCATCTGCCACGTTTTGGTATCAGGATGATGCTGGCCTCATGAAATGAGTTAGGGAGGAGTCCCTCTTTTTCTGTTGTTTGGTATAGTTTCAGAAGGAATAGTACCAGCTCCTCTTTGTACCTCTGGTAGAATTCGGCTATGAATCCATCTGGTGCTGGGCTTTTTTTGGTTGGTAGGCTATTAATTACTAACTCAATTTCAGAACTTGTTGTTGGCCTTTTCAGGGATTCAACTTCTTCCTGCTTTAGTCTTGGGAGAGTGTATGTGTTCAGGAATTTATCCATTTCTTCTAGATTTTCTAGTTTATTTGCGTAGAGGTGTTTATAGTATTCCCTGATGGCAGTTTGTATTTCTGTGGGATCAGTGGTGATCTCCCCTTTATCATTTTTTATTGTGTCTATTTGATTTTTCTCTCTTTTCTTCTTTATTGGTCTGGCTAGCATCTATCTATTTTGTTCATCTTTTCAAAAAACCAGCTCTTGGATTCACTGATTTTTTTGAAGGGTTTTTGTGTGTGTGTCTCTGTCTCCTTTAGCTCTGCTCTGACCTTAGTTATTTCTTCTCTTCTGCTAGCTTTTGAATTTGTTTGCTCTTGCTTCTCTGGTTCTTTTAACTGTGATGTTAGGGTGTCAATTTTAGATCTTTCCTGCTTTCTTCTGTGGGCATTTAGTGCTATAAATTTCCCTCTAAACACTGCTTCAGCTGTGTCCCAGAGATTCTGGTATGTTGTGTCTTTGTTCTCATTGGTTTCAAATAACTTATTTATTTCTGCTTTAATTTCGTTATTTACCCAGTAGTAATTCAGGAGCAGGTTATTCAGTTTCCACGTAGTTGTGTGGTTTTGAGTGAGTTTCTTAATCCTGAGTTCTAATTTGATTGCACTGTGGTCTGAGAGACTGTTTGTTATGATTTGTGTTCTTTTGCATTTGCTGAGGAGTGTTTTACTTCCAATTATGTGGTCAATTTTAGAATAAGTGCGATGCGGTGCTGAGAAGAATGTATATTCCGTTGATTTGGGGTGGAGAGTTCTGTAGATGTCTATTAGATCTGCTTGGTCCAGAGCTGAGTTCAAGTCCTGAATATCCTTGTTGATTTTTCTGTCTCGTTGATCGGTCTAATATTGACAGTAGGGTGTTAAAGTCTCCCACTATTATTGTATGGGAGTCTCAATCTCTTTGTAGTTCTCTAAGAACTTGCTTTATGAATCTGGGTGCTCCTGTATTGGGTGCATATATATTTAAGATAGTCAGCTCTTCTTGTTGCATTGATCCCTTTACCATTAGGTAATGCCCTTCTTTGTCTTTTTTGATATTCGTTGGTTTAAAGCCTGTTTTATTGGAGACTAGGATTGCAACCCCAGCTTGCATTTTGCTTTCCATTTGCTTGGTAAATGTTCCTCTATCCCTTTATTTTGAGCCTGTGTGTGTCTTTGCATGTGAGAGGGGTCTCCTGAATACAGCACACCAATGGGTCTTGACTCTTTATCCAAGTTGCCAGTCTGTGTCCTTTAATTGGGGCATTTAGCCCATTTATATTTAAGGTTAATATTGTTATGTGTGAATTTGATCCTGTCATTATAATGCTAGCTGGTTATTTTCCCCATTAGTTGATTCCCTTCTGTTTCTTCATAGTGTCAATGGTCTTTACAATTTGCTGTGTTTTTCAGTGGAGGGTACCTGTTTTTCCTTTCCATATTTAGTGCTTCCTTCAGGAGCTCTTGTAAGGCAGGCCTGGTAGTGACAAAATCTCTCAGCATTTGCTTGTCTGTAAAGGATTTTATTTCTCCTTTGCTTATGAAGCTTAGTTTGGCTGGATATGAAATTCTGGGTTGAAATTTCTTTTCTTTAAGAATGTTGAATATTGGCCCCCACTCTCTTCTGGCATGTTGGGTTTCTGCAGAGAGATCCACTGTTAGTCTGATGGGGTTCCCTTTGTAGGTAACCCGACCTTTCTTTCTGGCTGCCCTTAACATTTTTCCCTTCATTTCAACCTTGGTGAATCTGATGATTTTGTGTTTTGGGGTTTCTCTTCTCGAGGAGTATCTTTGTGGTGTTCTCTGTATTTCCTGAATTTGAATATTGGCTTGCCTTGCTAGGTTGGGGAAGTTCTCCTGGATAATATCTTGAAGAATGTTTTCCAACTTGGTCCTATTCTCCCCACCACTTTCAGGTACACCAATCAAACGTAGGTTTGGTCTATTCACATGGTCCCATATTTCTTGGAGGCATTGTTCATTCCTTTTCATTATTTTTTCTCTAATCTTGTCTTCTTGCTTTATTTTATTAAGTAGATCTTCACTCTCTAATATCCTTTCTTCCGCTTGATTGATTCAGCTATCAATACTTCTGTATGCTTCACGAAGTTCTTGTGTTGTGTTTTTCAGCTCCATCAGGTCATTTATATTCTTCTCTAGCTGGTTATTCTAGTTAGCAATTCCTCTAACCTTTCTTCAAGGTTCTTAGCTTCCTTGCATTGGGTTAGAACATGCTCCTTTAGCTTGGAGGAGTTTGTTATTAACCACCTTCTGAAGCCTACTTCTGTCAATTCGTCAAACTCATTCTCCATCCAGTTTTGTTCCCTTGCTGGCAAGGAGTTGTGATCCTTTGGAGGAGAAGCAGCATTCTGGTTTTTGGAATTTTCAGCCTTTTTGTGCTGAAAAACTTTCTTTTTTTAATTGAACCAATAGTCTAGTTTGAGAAGGGGGTCAGGGAAGTCTGATATACACTGAAATCAGACTGTTAAGTTAGCTTGACAAAGAGAAGGTAGAAGAGGAATGTAAAATAATTAAGCTATTGATAACATTGGTGATAGGGAAACAATAGTAAGTACTATATGATTTAAAATTAAACAAATTATGGCATCTATACCTTTAGGGAGCTTTAAAATAACAGGAAATCTGTTGTCCTGGATGAATTTGGACATTCATCTACCTAAAACACGGTATAGAATAATGTGATCTCGCAAAGCAGTTTTCTAATTAAATGTGATCAAATTAAGAAAGATTTCAAGAGAGTTGCTACTAACAGGAAAAGAGTAGGGTTGCTAAACTCTCATTGAGGACTAAGAACTTTTGCAATCCTTAAGTATTCCAGTTAGGTCTCAGGGCCATGTAGCCATCTTTATAAGAAGCTTGTGGCATGGAAATCTATATTTTTAATATTAAAAAAAATCTCTTTCTCAAAATACAACTAAACCATTAATGGATCTTTAACATTTTCGTATTATCCTAAGCAAAGTCTGTTTATCAGACCAATAATGTTTTGTGACGTGTTCTTAGTTGGAAAGTCAATAAAAAGCTTTCTAAAATGATCATTATTACTTAGCAGTTTGTATTGAGTATCAAACCAGAAATGGAAACAAATGGTCTAAAAGTAAAATAGAATATTTGAAAGCAGAATTTTCCTGGCAATTTTGGGACATTTGGTCACTGTAATTTAGGCCAGCATAAAGAATAATATAGGAGTCCTTAATCTCAAATACTTGTATCATTTCATCCCAAGTAAAATTTAAAGTGTCAGAAATATTTATATTATATTCAGTGTAAATTAATTTTTTCTCTTCATCCTTATTTTTATTTTCCCCACTTACTATATTAAGTACGTAATTCCTGAGTATGATAAGATAAATTAGGTTATGCTGCAGGAATAACCAACTAAAATATTAATGGCTTAAAACAATAAGGATTTATTTCTATCATGCTAAACTTTCATCAAGATGTAGGAGAGAGGCTCTGCTCATTATAATCACTTAGGCCCCCTGTGCTTATAGAAGCTCTAGCTGGACCTGTGTTTTCTCAGTCACTAAACCAGAAAAAAAGCAATGTGATAAGTCACACATTGGTACTCATAACTTCCATTCAAAACTGACATATGTACACCCAAGTAGAATATACCTGATCCAAATAGCAAAGAAGGCAAAGAAGTACAATCTTACCATGTGGTCTAGAAGAAAACCTGGAATATCTGTGAACAGCCTAAATGGCTAACATAGCACATGTGTGCGGAGGGGAGGTGGAAGGGACAAGTATGAAATGTAACTCATACTTTGAGTGGAAATGAACTTTCTGCACTGTGTAGATATAATATATAGTTGGCCCTCTGTATCTTCAGGTTCTGCACCCTTGAACTTAACTAACTGCAAATCAAAAATATTTGAAAAGTCAGGGTGCAGTAGCTCACACCTATAATCCCAGCACTTTGGGAGGCCAAGGTGGAGGATGGTTTGGGGCCAGGAGTTCAAGACCAGCCCAGGCAACATAGCAAGACTCTGTCTCTACAAGAAATTTTTTAAAAATTAGCCAGGTTTTGTGGTACACACCTGTAGTCCCAGCTACTTGGAAGACAGGAGCTTAAGCAGGAGCTTAAGCCTAGGAGTTCAAGGCTGCAGTGAGGTATGACTGTGCCACTGCATTCCAGCCTGCATGACAGAGTGAGACCCTGCCTCTAAAAACAAAAATCAAAAATATTCGAGGGGGGGACAATAAAAAATAACAATGTTACAATAAAAATAATATGCATAAAAATTATACAGTATAATAAATATATAGCATATACATTGTATAGATATTATAATAATCTAGAAATGATTTAAAGTACAGATGCTCCTCAACTTTCAATGGGGGATTATGTCCCCCCATTGAAAATATCATAAGTGGAAACTATGTTTTTGACTTATGATATTTTCAACTTATGATAGGTTTATCCAGACTTAACCCCACTGAAAGTTGAGGAGCCTACTCAATGCATGTCACTTTTGCACCATCATAAAGTCAAAAGATTGTAAGAGAAACCATAGAAAGTAGGGGATCCTCTAAATATAGGAGTATATGCATAGGTTATGTGCAAATACCACTCCATTTTATGTAAGGAACTCAAGTATCCATAGATTTTGGTATCTGCAGGGAATCCTGGAACCAATCCCTCAAAGATACTGAGGAATGACTATATATCCAGAAAATACTAACATAACCTTAGTATTATTTTCAAAATGGAAACAAAATTAACCTTTTAAATTAATTTATTTATGCCAGGGTATAAATACTGCTGAAATTTCCAACACATTTTACAAATTTTTATTTCTATTTGTAAGCAAAGGCTTCCTCCAGAAACTGATTTTCCCATACATAAATAACTTTTGCCTAATTCTAGTTTAATGAGCTTCCTTTCATCCTCCTTTTTCTTTCCCTTACTCCTTCCCTCTAGAAATTTCAACATTCATCTGACATCATAAGAAAAATAGTTACCTATATGGATCCATAAAATAAATTATAATATTTTACAACATAAACTTCTTTAGAGTCAGAGCTGTCTATTTCTTCAAATTGTTATAATCACATGTGAGATAACTGAGTTGAAAACACTGAACACATTAATATTTTATAATTATTTTTAAGCTATAAATAATATTTCTATTTCTTCTAAAGGTATTTCATGATGTTGCCTATAAAGCTAAAGATCGTAATGACTTGGTATCAGGAATTGATGAGTTTCTGGATCAGGTTACTGTTCTCCCTCCTGGAGAATGGGATCCAAGCATTCGAATAGAGCCTCCCAAAAATGTTCCTTCCCAGGTATGTATATTTGAAGACATTCTTTGAAATTGAATTTTTTTTTGTCTTTTAAATGCATGTTTTATTTTATTTTATTTATTTATTTATTTATTTTATTATTATTATACTTTAAGTTTTAGGGTACATGTGCACAATGTGCCGGCTAGTTACATATGTATACATGTGCCATGCTGGTGTGCTGCACCCATTAACTCGTCATTTAGCATTAGGTATATCTCCTAATGCTATCCCTCCCCCCTCCCCCCACTCCACAACAGTCCCCAGAGTGTGATGTTCCCCTTCCTGTGTCCATGTGTTCTCATTGTTCAATTCCTATCTATGAGTGAGAACATGTGGTGTTTGGTTTTTTGCCCTTGCGATAGTTTACTGAGAATGATGATTTCCAATTTCATCCATGTCCCTACAAAGGATGTGAACTCATCATTTTTATGGCTGCATAGTATTCCATGGTGTATATGTGCCCCATTTTCTTAATCCAGTCTATCATTGTTGGACATTTGGGTTGGTTCCAAGTCTTTGCTATTGTGAATAGTGCCGCAATAAACATACATGTGCATGTGTCTTTATGGCAGCATGATTTATAGTCCTTTGGGTATATACCCAGTAATGGGATGGCTGGGTCAAATGGTATTTCTAGTTCTAGATCCCTGAGGAATCGCCACACTGACTTCCACAAGGGTTGAACTAGTTTACAGTCCCACCAACACTGTAAAAGTGTTCCTATTTCTGCACATCCTCTCCAGCACCTGTTGTTTCCTGACTTTTTAATGATCACCATTCTAACTGGTGTGAGATGGTATCTCACTGTGTTTTTGATTTGCATTTCTCTGATGACCAGTGATGATGAGCATTTTTTCATGTGTCTTTTGGCTGCATAAATGTCTTCTTTTAAGAAGTGTCTGTTCATATCCTTTGCCCACTTTTTGATGGGGTTGTTTGTTTTTTTCTTGTAAATTTGTTTGAGTTCATTGTAGGTTCTGGATATTAGCCCTTTGTCAGATGAGTAGGTTGTGAAAATTTTCTTCCATTTTGTAGGTTGCCTGTTCACTCTGATGGTAGTTTCTTTTGCTGTGCAGAAGCTCTTTAGTTTAATTAGATCCCATTTGTCAATTTTGGCTTTTGTTGCCATTGCTTTTGGTGTTTTAGACATGAAGTCCTTGCCCATGCCTATGTCCTGAATGGTAATGCCTAGGTTTTCTTCTAGGGTTTTTATGGTTTTAGGTCTAACATTTAAGTCTTTAATCCATCTTGAATTAATTTTTGCCTGAGGTGTAAGGAAGGGATCCACTTTCAGCTTTCTACATATGGCTAGCCAGTTTTCCCAGCACCATTTATTAAATAGGGAATCCTTTCCCCATTGCTTGTTTTTGTCAGGTTTGTCAAAGATCAGATAGTTGTAGATATGCAGCGTTATTTCTGAGGGCTCTGTTCTGTTCCATTGATCTATATCTCTGTTTTGGTACCAGTACCATGCTGTTTTGGTTACTGTAGCCTTGTAGTATAGTTTGAAGTCAGGTAGTGTGATGCCTCCAGCTTTGTTCTTTTGGCTTAGGATTGACTTGGTGATGCAGGCTCTTTTTTAGTTCCATATGAACTTTAAAGTAGTTTTTTTCCAATTCTGTGAAGAAAGTCACTGGTAGCTTGATGGGGCTGGCATTGAATCTATAAATTACCTTGGGCAGTATGGCCATTTTCACGATATTGATTCTTCCTATCCATGAGAGAATAAAATACCTAGGAATCCAACTTACAAGGGACGTGAAGGACCTCTTCAAGGAGAACTACAAACCACTGCTCAATGAAATAAAAGAGGATACAAACAAATGGAAGAACATTCCATGCTCATAAATGCATGTTTTACAATAGCATAACCCATCAAGAAGATTCAAATGATTTAAAGGATAGCCTCTAAGGCAGAAGGGGCATGAAGTTACAAGATCTTTCTTAGTACTACCTAACACACATTACTGAGAAACTTGGCAGTTTGATGACAACCTACTAATCAAACAGTGCCATATGCCTGGAAAGATTTTAGCCCCTACTTAAAACATATTATCCAAGAGGAATATTAAAATTTTAATAACAACATTAAATATGGCCTAAGAGAAAGCGCATTACTGTCCTTGTATGTTTTGATACATCACTTTGAAATTGGCAAGCATTAGGAAAATTCAAAGACATGACTTAATCATATTATATAGAAAACTCCATATTTATTACTGCTAATCACAGGAAATATTGGGAAGATTTTAAAATTATAATTCTTATATTTGTATTGCTTTTTTGTGAATGTATGATATAAAGATTTTTTAAATTTTGTTTATGAACATCTAATGTATATTTTACCCATCATACAATCCAGAAAGATAGAAATATAAAGCATTGCTATTTTTTAGGGTCATTTTTTAAATTGCAGGCATGAGTATTAAGAGTGATGACCAAATATTTGTTAAGCTCACTCCTCATACTGCCACCTCTATGCCTACTGAATCTGCCTCCCACAACCCTCCCAAATTGTTGTGTACTTAGTCTTGCCTTTGGCCCTTGCCCTGTGGAGTTCAGCCTTGCCTGACTCTGCTACCCTATTGGAAGCGGCAGATGGTCTAATTGACCCAGCCCTGGAATTAGAAATTTTCCTGCTTTGCCAGAGGTGGGCAAATGAGCAGTTGTACCACTCAACCATGAGTACTTAAAAAGGGTATCTCAATTTCACTGTCAATTTAAAGAAACTATATGGATACCTCATTTTTATATTTTCATTTTGAAATCATTTCATAATTATTAAAGACTATTTCCTTTTCTCAAAACTTACCATTTTGTGATTATGTAACTGCTACCACATATTTCAGTTGATCTACTATTAAAATAAAAAGTTGCCTAATAATTAATTGTAGGGTTTATAGATTGTCTCATTTCTGTACTTGTAGAATACATCTTTGTACTAATGATATTAGAAAAGGCAATATAATGCTTCCTGAGTATGTAGAAACTCTTTAATTAATGTTATTTGGAGAAATGCAGCAAAATATTAATACATTCAGAATGAGGCTTTAAAATTCACTGTAATACCCATTAGCTATTGAAACATTGAAGTTAAGTGTTTTTGAAAACACCTTTGTGAACAATAATGTTTTTGAGGCAAGTTGAGTGATGGGAGGCCAATATTGTTTATGATTTTATGACACCCTTTAAAATCGAATTAATTATTGGATTCTGGGTATTGAGAGGCAGTCATAGAAAGAACATCAAATTAAGAATCAAAGCATCCGAGTTCTGCAATTATCTATATGTATGACCTTGAACAAATGTTTTAACCTCTCTGTTGATGTTCTGTATCAGCACTGTCCAACAGAGTTTTCTGCAATAATGGAAATATTCTACGTCTATGCTATCCAGTAATCAAGCCACTAGTAAGCATTAGAAATGTTGCCATTGTAACTAAAGATCAGAATTTTTCATTTTAATTACCTTAAATGTAAATAGACATATGTAGTTTGTGGCTATCATATTAGACAGCATAGTTCTATACAACAAATTTGAAATTACAGATATGCTCTATGCTTCTTTTCAACATTCATGTTTTAAAAATATATGTTGTAATTGAATAATAGATAGCATGAGGCTATGTTTTCTATTAGACGGAGTGAAATGAGTTAATATACATTAAACATTCTGACCTCATACTCTTTCAAATTTTTTCACCATTGGGATCATTTCCATCTTTTTTATTCATTTGAAATGTGCAAATCCCAGCATTTTAAATATTTTTTCCCTTTCAGTTAAGAGAAGAATAACCTGTCACCTCCAGGGATAACCCTGAAAATGTTCATTAGAACTTTGCATCAGTCATTAAAATCACTCCCTTTTGTGTACCCTCAACTTATTTGCTCTTCTCTCATGTCGTGTACTTGCTTGGCAAAACCACAACCCTGTGAGAATCCAACACTTTACTCTGTACCGCACTGATGAAGCTGAAGCTGAAGGAAAACATGTAACCACACTAACTGGTCTCACATAAATTCATGACCACATACCTCAAGTGAGCCCTTTGTGTTGCAGGTTCATCATACTACACTTTCCTAGTCCAATCATTCTCACTTGATGACTATTTCACACTTATTCTTCTCTCCTCAAGCCTTCAGCACATCCTTTCTGACCCTCACTCTCATATGCTGATGTGCCTTTTATTTCCCTAAGAAATTTGAAACAATCAAAAAAGAACTTCTATAGATTGCTACATGCATCCACATACTCTGCCTTCCTGTTCATTACTATTGATGAAATAGCCAAAGTCAGCCTTCTACTTGTGCACTAGAAAGAACCTATCTCTTCACATCTACTCAAGAGCACAACTCTACCAATTCTCCTCTTTCTCTTCTATATCATCAAATCTTTTTTTCTGTATTTTATCACTTTTATTAGCATACAATACTATTAAATTTACCAATCTTAAATAAAAGAACTCTCTTGATACCACTACCCAGCCTGCCACTCTTATTCATTCCCTTTTATAACAAAATGCCACAGAAGAGTTCTCTGTGCTACTTGTCTCCAGTTACTCTCCTCCAATTCTCTTTTAACATTCACTCCAAGAGGCTTTTGCCCCTACCATTTCACTAAAATACATACGAGAACAATGATCTCCACCATGCTAAGTCCCATGGTCAATTCTCAGCCTGCATTTTATCTAATCTATCAATGAACAGCATTTAAGAGTTGATGACTCCCTTTTCCTTAATATATGTTCTTTACTTGGCTCCCAAAACATCACCTTCTGTTAGTTTTGTCATTATAAAATAGAGTTAATTTATCTAGTCAGTAGTATTTTCCCAGAAGACCACATAATAATGCTTGCTTTCTGAGACCTGTGAAAGCTATGAATTGTTTTCCTAGGTGATTGGGAAGTAGGTATTGAGGGAAACTCTTAAATCCCTTTATTAATGTATCCTATTTACCTGTAAAGACAGTTCCTTCATCAGTTGACAGATGCTTCTCTTTTATCTTTGAACTTTAGTCTTACTGCGTCCATCCATTTGCCTGGGAAAATTGTTAAAATATTAAGCAATAAACTTTCTTATATTGAGCATTTTTCAAAACCTTTTTTATGTTTTAAACCTGTATCATTCTATCTAAATGTCTCATGGTAAGTGAGATCAGTTTATAAGTCACTTTTGTTTTTCATGTTTACACTAATTCTATTTTGGAATGGTGGTCAAGTAAAAATCATAATTTCACCACTTAAGATTTTTCCTATTATCCTTTGAAGTGCTTTTGAACACATTGGTGTGCTCTAAGATCACCATAGGTAGGATTTTAGGTAGAACTTTCTGATTTTTTAAGAAATCATATTCACCAACAAAAGCAGGTGGAATAGACCATGGGAAAACAATACTTACCTGAATCTCTACTAATTTGTCATTGGTTAAATTAGAAGCCTCCTTTTACAACAGTCTTTGGCACTCTATGAGTTAGAAAGACCTATATTGTAAACTATTTACTGGGTAGAAAAACACCAGCTGGAATTACACAGAGAAATATACTTTAAAAATAGTGATGATGGTTACTGTTCTTTGAACAGTTAAACTATGCCACGCATATAACACCACCATACTTAACACCTCCTCACGCCAACCTACCCACATCCTGATCTCTCTCTTTGCCCCTTCCCTTACTTCATTTTTCTTCATAGCTCCCATCTGTACCTGATATTATAAGGTTATTGTCTCTTCACTAACAGAATGCTTTTTCTTGCCCACCTTTGCAGCTCTAGCATTCATTACAATGAATGGCATACACTAGGCACTCAGTTTTAGTTGAAAGAATAAATAAGTGCCCATCACCTCATTTAATTCTCTTAGTCACACTATAAGATAGATACTGTTGTTACCCCCAGTAAACAAAGGAAGAAACTAACACTTTAAAAGGCTAAATAACTTCCTGGAGGTCAAGCAACAAGTAAGTACAGAGCCTGGGTTCTCAGCTATTGTGCATATTGCTTCAAGGAAAAATGAACTGTTATTATTATTTACAATTAACACCTGAAATTAAAACAAAACAAAACACATGAACAAAAAACTCTCCACAGGAGAAGAGGAAGATTCCTGCTGTACCAAATGGAACAGCAGCTCATGGGGAAGCAGAGCCCCACGGAGGACATAGTGGACCTGAACTCCAGCGAACTGGAAGGTTAGTGAAAATCACTTCTATGGGACTTCAAGGACCAAATGACATACCATTCTTCTCTGTCAGAAATTGCTATTTTGGGATCTAATTTATTGTATACTTTTAATACCTGCTTTTTGAGGGTGAAAATGCCAATTAGTTTGATTTCTCTGAAGTTACTAATGATTGTCATTACTGTTAAACTAAAACAGTGGATACACCCTTCCATTATACTTTACCTAGTCTTTCATTTTGCTGTGCATAAAATGCATTCTCAGATTCTTAGAATGAAAAGGAAAACCGTCAATTGACCCTTCCAAAAGAACCCATTGAAAGCTTCAAGTTGAAGATAGAAATAAAACTAAATACCAACAACTCAGTCTTGTAGGCCCTATCTCATTAAATGCAAGTAGGATGTATATAGTGGTATTTTTTATTTTTATGGCTGTGATTTGAAAGAGCTATATGATTTATTTTTCTAATCACACATCTTTGAAGAGATGAAAGCTTCAATTTATTTCTTAAAATGGTGCTTCATGGTTTTTTTGACAGCTTGTCTCTCTCTAAGCAATGTGTGAGCAGAAAATCAGAAACCCTTGGGTGGGTCTCTCTTCAGGGAATATGTGTATAGCCTCCATTATAATTAAAGGCAGTTGCAAAGGCTTTGCAGGATTGGTGCTCCCCTCCCCTCAAGGCCATTTTCTGTACTGCTTGCAATGTGTCCTCTAAGCTGACTTTCCAGTTCCTGAGCACTCTGCATTTTAATTCTGTGTTCTTTCCCTTTATCTATGTGTTGTCTCTGAGGAAATGTCCTTTAATGTCTTCCTCAGGCTTGATACCTAATTTGAGATGGTTCAAACAATTTTTTCCTTTTCCCTTCACTGGAAGCTTTGTTACTCATTCTGTTTGCTTTCATACTTTCAAATGCTGTCTTTTTATTTTTGGTGGTATTTTTTTTCTCTTTCTCAGGTGTAACATGCCACATAGCTTAGATTTTTTTCGAAGTTCACTTTTCCTTACTGCTTCCTAAATCCTCCCAGGTCACCAATATCCGGTATCTTCGCTTCTCCAGAGTTCTTCCACAGATTCTGTTGCTGACATGACTTGAAGTATCCATTACTCATCTGCTCTCCTGGAGTTGCTGGTGTACATCTGGGCTGCTCTTGCACTGTTCTCTGTAATGAACTCCCACTTCCGGATTTAGATTTTTACTGCTAAAAGCACATTTATTACACAGTACTATAACAACTATTCAGACTAATGTATGCTCTAATAAGTAATTGATTAGAATCAATGGTCTAATATAAAGTGCTTTCAAAACTATAAATATTAATTACTAATTAATAGCTCATAACCACCTCAAATTCTTTTTGGGATTAGGTGGGATATAAATCATAAATGAATGCCTAAATAGACTGGTAGAGTAAATCTGTTTTGAATTGTGACTTTGATAAGTTAACAAATTATTCAGAAATGATCCCTAAAATAAAAAAAAGTGCATATGTTTTACCAAACATGGGTAGAGAAGCCTAAGGTGATCTTTATGTGTACAAATATTTCACAGGTTCTCTGCAAGCTTCTCTGAGTTTCAAATGTCCTTTTATTCAATTGAAGTTTCATTCTTCTCAACCCTCTCCTACTCCATAGCTCTCTAATGGAAGCAATCACAGGAAAATATAGTGATCTTATACCTGCATAATAGTAGAAGAGTTATTAATAGGTAACTATTACAGATAAATCAGATCAGGGAAATTACTTGGTAAAATATTTTAATTATTCATAATATGTACATCTTTTATTTCAAATTCTAAGGAGAATTTATTTCTAAAAAGGACAGTCCTTTCTGAGATGATTCTAGGACTGCCAAATGAATATTCCTATGCATAAAATAAATAAGAAAAATGAAACAGTTTTTTATGATCCAAGTATACTCAGCATGCTGGCAGTATATTGGAGCATAATAAGATTTTTCACCACTGACATTAACCTTCATGTAGGAACTTATTCATAGTCTTATTCATTTTTGCTATCACATCATTATTCCATGGAGCAAAACTTACAGTAGCCAAATGTTAAGTCTGCGTATTGTTATTAAATGTTCATAAAATGAGAATACCTACTTATTAATGCTCTCATTTCTTATAGATTTAAAAAAAGATCTCAAATTTCAAGCATAATTTCACAGTTTAATACTTTTCCCCCAAAATAATTATCTTTCAAGTGTTTCAACATGGTTTTGAATATATTTGGAGTAAATGAATTTATACCAAGTAAGGTCACTATTGTCTTGTGAATCACAGATGCTGGGATATGTTAACGCAATAGTGGATCAAAATTACATTTATCTAGTTTTATTATTATAAGGACTCCCTCCTAGTTTTCTAAAAATGAAAACAGCTCTGAAACCTATCTGTCTCTACTAAGTATTGCTGCCATCCAAAAGGACATTTAGATGTCTTCCTGCAACAATATCTGGTGAGGGATTTTTGTTTGTTTGTTTTTTGGCCGAGAGAGTAGGTAACTGGAGCCATGGTTAAACATTGCTTTTTCTCTCTAGGGTGATGCTCACTACTGGAGTATACAAAAGCCAGCTAACCCTCCCTCCCTCACTTCCTGCTATGCTAAATGGAATTAAACATTTAGAAATACTGCCAATGATTGAGGGTTGTAGGCCTGAGTTTAGGAGGAGTAGGTTGACGTAGAAATGGCACAGAGATTAGAGTAATCCTTGAATCTCATTATTTGGATTATGATTGGTAAACAGCTCTGAACCTTGTTTAAGAGAACCTGGGATTTTTGGTGGTTGACACGATATTGGGTTAGGAATTGAGGTAACGAACGTAGTTGTGCAGTGCCTCCCTGTAGATTGTTATAAGACAATGCAGCAGGTTAATGTGTGTCTCACCTCTGCTGATGGAAAACGTATACTGTGACCTGGCAACAAAGCAAATGAGCATTTTGACTTGTGTGTTTTTTATATTTGGGTTTCACTATTGTGTTTTCCCCCCTGTCTTAGGATTTTTGGGGGACTTATTTTAGATATCAAAAGAAAAGCTCCATACTTCTGGAGTGACTTCAGAGATGCTTTCAGCCTGCAGTGCTTAGCATCTTTTCTATTTCTCTACTGCGCGTGTATGTCTCCTGTCATCACGTTTGGAGGACTGCTGGGAGAAGCAACTGAAGGGCGTATAGTATGTATTATGCTTTTCTCTGAACTTTGAAACATAATCCATTTTTAAGATTCATAGTTAGATAAGTGAGCATTTAATTTTGGATTCTTTTCTGAGGAGAGATTTGAGATATGGTCTGGCAGATACACCTTATATGAATTTCCTGGATGGCTAGTGGAACTGGTAATCTGGGAGTGGAATGTCTCAGAATAACTAGTTCTGAGTCTTACAAAAGGTTCTCATCTGATGCCTTGCCCTCAGCGCCCCCAATCCTAAGCTAGGTTTAGTCTCCATTCTTGTCTCACAAGAGGTCCATTTGCTATGTACCCGGGCCATGTTTCTGTCCAGACACTAATCCTGAATACATTTAAACCTTTTGTAAGGCAACAGAGACGTGAGATAGGAAAGTGAAGAGAACACTCCTACCTTTGCTACTATGCATTTTCTTCTTGCTGTCAGCCCCTTTAGTCATCCTTCTACCCCACGTCTTGCCCAGGGTTGCTAGACTTTTCAGGGTGAAGCACAAAGCACATATCCATGTATTTTAAATGTCTTCTCCTTAGCTACAATGGCCTCCTGTACAGCTTAGGTAATTGAACCATTTATATCTCTACACAGAGTGCAATTGAATCTCTCTTTGGAGCATCCATGACCGGGATAGCCTATTCTCTCTTTGGTGGACAGCCTCTTACCATATTAGGCAGTACAGGACCAGTTTTGGTGTTTGAAAAGATTTTGTTTAAATTTTGCAAGTAAGTGTTATGTACTTTTTGGCCCTTAGCCTCTTCCTTTTTTCTTTACTGTATTTATACTTCTCCCAACATCACTTTTGGAGGTCTGTTGATAGAGACAGAATTGCCTGATTTGTTTCAGTTTATCATTTTTGCTTCATCATGGGAATAGAGGAAAAGTAAAATATTTATGTATATTTTTATGTAATATTTTTAAAAAGTAAGACTCAGTTATAAGCATCGATAAATCCCTTTTGATTTTGTCCCTTTAGATGTTCCCTTTAGACCGGTGGTCTGCAACCATTTTGGCACCAGGGACTGGTTTCATGGAAGACAATTTTTCCACAAAGAGGGTTGAGGGGATGGTTTTGGAATGAAACTGTTCACCTCAGATCATCAGGCATTAGATTCTCATAAGGAGCACACAATCTAGATTCCTCACATGCACAGTTCACAATAGGGCTTGTGCTCCTATGAGAATCTAACGTCCCCACTGATCTGACAAGAGTCTGAGCTCAGGCGGTAATGCTCACTCGCCTGCCACTCACCTCCTGCTGTGCAACCCTTTTCATAACAGGCCATGGACCAGGGGTTGGGGACCCCTGCTTTAGACAGTCTTGAGTTTAGATACTCATGGGATGTGAAGCTTATTTACTTTCACTTCCTGAATGAGGTTTATTTTCATTTGCTTAAAATGATAGCAAGCTGTTAAATGACCTTCTTTTCACTGTTCTTTCCTTTTCCTCCTCCCAGAGAATATGGGCTGTCATACCTATCTTTAAGAGCTAGCATTGGACTTTGGACTGCAACTCTATGTATCATACTTGTGGCCACAGATGCTAGTTCCCTTGTCTGCTACATCACTCGGTTTACTGAAGAAGCTTTTGCTTCCCTGATTTGCATCATTTTCATTTATGAGGCCCTGGAGAAGTTGTTTGAACTCAGTGAAGCATATCCAATCAACATGCATAATGATCTGGAACTGCTGACACAATACTCGTAAGTACCATTTCCCCTGCTGGCCTTGGGGCTTTTCTTTTGACAAATATTGCTATTGTTACAAGAAATATGAGGAAATTACTCAGCAGAGAATGTGCCTTAAGTTGATTCATGACCTAAATCCTGACTCTCAGAGTCGAACAGGATTTTAAAAGTTATTTAATCGGCCACTCATCTGCTACTTGCATTCTCATTATACCATCTCTGCCAAGAGTATCTTTTTAAAGTTCTATTTGTCCAGTGTTCTCTAAAATAAGTAGATAAGGAACCAATTCCATTTTAATATACACGAATTTTACCTTAGCGAAATATATGTTATTTGGCGTTATTTCAGGGTCTTTTTAATTTACAATAATCCAAAGAAACATAGTAATGAAAATATAAGATTTCAAATTTAGAGCAATAAGGTAAAATAAACTTATTGGGTCTAAATCTTAGTAGATGTTTGAAAGTGTGGTAAAAACATAAATCACTGAATGAAAATTTAATTTTGGTTTTGGCACTTGTGACATTTTGATGGAAATACTCAGATATTAGTTGTTGAAGTTGATGTTACAGTCCGGGATTGAAGATGTGATTGGATCTATTGCTTTTTCTAGTTTTGGTGTATCAACAGTCTGAAATGTCTCTAAGGCTTTGTCTGCAGACTATATGTGGCCATTAAATGACCCCATTATTTAATTGTAGAATTTTTTATTGTGCTTATATGCAGTTTTTTATACTGCAAATATCTGAAGCAATATGTTCTTTAGGAGACAGTTATAATCTCTGCATCAACCACCAATCATTTCCCTATAAACTGCTTAGATATGGCCTTGAACCCTTTTAATATTTTTTAATCTTTATTTACTATCAGAAGTTTAAATTGTTGAAATCAGACCAAAATAGTGCAATGTTATAATTTTGTTAAGAATGACGAAATGTTGGGAGGCCGAGGCGGGCGGATCACGAGGTCAGGAGATCGAGACCATCCTGGCTAACACAGTGAAACCCCGTCTCTACTAAAAAACACAAAAAAATTAGCCAGGCGTGGTGGCGGGCGCCTGTAGTCCCAGCTACGCGGGAGGCTGAGGCAGGAGAATGGCGTGAACCCGGGAGGCGGAGCTTGCAGTGAGCTGAGATCGCGCCACTGCACTCCAGCCTGGGCGACAGAGCGAGACTCCGTCTCAAAAAAAAAAAAAAAAAAAAAAAAAAGAATCACGAAATGATATTATGTTGAAAATAATGTGAGTTTTAGTACTTTCACTTTTATATTATATTTAGAGATAACTTTAAACAACTGACCCCTATTTTTGAACAAGAAAAATCAAAGTGGAAATATAAAATAATTTTCCCATTAAAAGCAAATAGTGAGAATATTGTAAACAGGGCTAAGAAAGGACTGAGCATAGGTGTCAGGGACACTCAGAAAACAGGCAAATGGGAAGAACAGTTTGATCAAAACCAGGGATAACATTGATACACGCCTTTTCATTTATCCTTACCTGAAAGAGAATCTCACTGAATTTGGATATCCTTGCTGGGATATGTAATTATCTCTGGTTGGATTTTCAAATCTACTACATGCCAGGCACTATACTAGGTGCTAGGAAAACCATGGTGAATCATATTCTGTCCTCAGTGAGCTTCCAGTTTAGTAGGGAATGTAGATAAACAGACAGCATAAGGAAATGAGTGCCGGGTTAAGAGGTTGGTACAGAATGCTATAGCAGCACATCAGGAGAGCACCTAACCCAGATTTGAGGTTCAGAGAAGGCTTCCTGGAGGAAATAATGTAGAATAAAAATGCAGTAGAAGTTAGGAAGGTGCTAAGGAATAGGGCAGAAAAGTAGTTCAGTCAAAGGGCATTCACAGGACTAGATGCAAGAGATGCATTCATGCTTTAAAATATTTGTCTGAAGTTATATAGATAGTGGTAAAACAAGAAATGGAATCCAGGTTTTATTACTGATATAATTTTCAGTACACTGATGAATACAGATAAACTCTCCAAAAGAAACTATGTAAAACAAATAAAACAGGTAAAATCAGAACTATTCTGTTTCAAGTGGTAGGAAGGCACCCATTGCCTACCCTCTCAGCTGTTCTTTGAACCTTCATGGTAGCTTCTTAGGTACTTCAGACTGAGGAACATAGTTTAAAGTCCCTTGGTCTAGAAAGGAAAAAGATTGGAAAAGCAAGGTCTGAGCCCTGAACAATTTTCACAGCTCTAAAGTAGAATGAGAAAAATGCAACCAATAGGCAAAAAATAAATAAATAAAAATAAGAAAGAAGCATCAGAAAAAGAGGAAACTATGGATAATGTCAGGTCGCAGAAGGCAAGAAACAAGAAATGTATCACAAAGTCTTTAGAGAGGACAGTGGCATGGACATCAAACAGAATAAGGAAAAGTGTTTGAAAAGAGATACCTGGTAGCTTTAAAAAATTCTCAGCAAACTATTGCAAGGACAAAAAACCAAACACCGCATGTTCTCATTCATAGGTGGGAACTGAACAATGAGAACACATGGACACAGGAAGGGGAACATCACACACTGGGGACTGTTGTGGGGTGGGGGGAGGGGGGAGGGATAGCATTAGGAGATATACCTAATGCTAAATGACGAGTTGATGGGTGCAGCACACCAACATGGCACATGTATACATATGTAACAAACCTGCACGTTGTGCACATGTACCCTAAAACTTAAAGTATAATAATAATAAAATTAAAAAAAAAAAACAACTGGTATTGGGTTGGGAAAGGAGGCAGAATGGGAAGCCAGTTTGCAAAAACTAACAAGGAAGTGGGTGGTAAAGAAATGGAGAAAGCTGCATAGGCCAGTTGGTGTCAAAGAAAGTGGGAAACAGAATGCCTTTTGAGGAGGGCAATGAAATCGTAAGATTGATAATTTGTGACAGAGAAGGACTATGTGTGTTTGAAAATGGGAGAATAGAGACTGAGGAAAGGAAGGCAGCAATGATGAAAAGAGTAGATAAACATGGGATTGCAACCTCCCAGGAGTCAAAAAATGATAAGATCAAGGGATTAAGTAAGACAAATGCTCAAAGGGTAATTTGAAAGCTAAAATAGCTTTATGTGGCCATGATCCCTGTCTGTCATGGTGATCAAAAGAGGAGTGACATAGGTGGGAATTGAACAATGAGAACACATGGACACAGGAAGGGGAACATCACACACTGGGGACTGTTGTGGGGTGGGGGGAGGGGGGAGGGATAGCATTAGGAGATATACCTAATGCTAAATGATGAGTTAATGGGTGCAGCACACCAACATGGCACATGTATACATATGTAACAAACCTGCACATTGTGTACATGTACCCTAAAACTTAAAGTATAATAACAATAAAATTAAATATATAAAAAAAAAGAGGAGTGACAGAGGTCCTGACTTTCTCCACATTTCCATCTCTGTTTTTTAAAAAGTGATCCCGCATGTTTAAGTTTTCCTTGGATCAATGTGAGCATCTAAAACCTAATTCTTTCAAGGCTGAACATGAATGTGTGCTGATGACTGTGTTCCATTGCCCAAGTGCCCTTCTCAACCCAGGTTAGGGAAATAGAAGGGATGGAACGACTGGTTCATCCTTATGGGCATGAGGTTTTAGTGCCACCTGGCACCTGAAATGGGTGTGTGTGACAGAAACAATGACAGTCTCATGGGAAATGGGGTCTGACTAGATTTCCTCACTGCACTGGTTCTTCACTCCAGTTGTTAAGCCTTGATTGGCTTCCAGTGCCACTTACACTGTGTACATGAATCTGATTAGGTATTTCTATCACTTGCTCCTTGGAGTAGCAAAATCAATCTTTTTTTTGCTATGCATAGAACGCATATATTTACTAGTGTACTTTTAGTTATGTTCATTAATGAAAATAAGTTATTGCTAATTACTGCTATTTTAATGTATTTTATAATCTCATACTTTTGCACAAAACATTTACTTTGGTGAATTCTCATGAAGTCCAGATGACACTTTTAGTGGCTTTCTTGTTACTGTGACCTTTTCACACTGAATCAGTGTCATTTATAACAATGTCCACCTAAAGTTTTCTACTTTAGATGTTGCTGGTCTCATATTTATTATAAGGTACTATGCAGGTTCATTAGAAAAATTCCTAGAAAATGTTATAGCTAGAACATAATATATCTGAGATTGCAACCTTTGCAAACAATATGCCTATAATGTGCATATTTGTTTGGGTATAAGATATTTGAAAAAAGTCATCATGTTTAGGATCTATATTTCAGATTTTTTATACTTAGCCTCCTACAATCAGATTTCCTTAAATTCATAGTGTATCAACCAAATAACAAGATGTCTTTGACTTTTTAAAGATATATCTAGCTACTCTGTCATCCTAACCTTATAATATGGTAATATACAGACCTTATATTTGAAAATATAAGCTTTTCTTTCATTATGCCAAGATCAAGTGTCAAGATCATCTATTTAGTTTTGAGAATACATACATTGCACCAGACGATCAAGCTGAATATGCCAAGTTAGCAATAAAAAACAAGTTTATGGGAATAATCTTTTCTTGGTTGCTTTGATTTTAAGAAATGGCAAAAATAGAATGAAATGTTTTGCTTGTATAAGATGAAATGTTTCTTTAAGTTTTGGGAATAATAAAGTTTTGAAAGACAACTAGCTAAAGAAAAATTGAGCATGTATTTATTAATGTTTTGTAATCGATTGGGTCAAAGCAGTGTGTAGGGTCTGATTATCTCTCTAGTTTCTGATATATATGTAGGCTAGAGTGAAATAAAATATAATGATTACCAAGCTGTTGAAGGAGTGTTCTCACCAGCAGGTTATGAGAAATTTTTTTATTTTCTTTTTCTCTTTTTTGTTTATCTAGCACCCAGCCCTGTACATAACCCAAAGTAGTGATCTGTTTTGAATAAATGTTATTTACTGACTGACATGCAGAAGAGTATCCTCTCTCTCATCTTCTCGACTAGATTTGAACCTCCTTTAAAGTAGAAAACATTTAACAATGAGAATTTCATTCTCACGGTCCCTAATTTTATCTCCCGTAGTCCCAGCATAATATTGTAAATATGTAAATAAACATACATTAAGTATCACTTAATATGTAAATAAACATTTAAAATATGTTTAAAATATTTAAAATATGTAAAAAATAAAATATGTAAATAAACATACATTAAGTATCACTTAATGATAATGGTAAGTTAAGTATACATTAAGTGATACTTAATGTATACTGATTAATGGAACATGTTGCAAAATAATTGACATTACTCGGCCAATCTTGTTCGCTAAGTAAAGAAAATAGTGCTTGTTTACATTATCTTTAACAGCACTCTTAAAGATTTTAGCTAGAAGTTTGGGATAAATTTGACACATTATGAAATTGTTAATATGCAATAAAGGTATATAAATTTGAATTCATAAAACTAATGATGATTGAAAATTTAGACAGGGTGCCAACATTGTGGAGAAATCATCTGAAAAAAAAGGCAAGAGAAACTGGAGTGCAATTTATAGCGGAACTCCCAAGGGTGATAGATGTGGGGAGAAACAAGATGAAACAGAGTAATCATACTGCATAAACCTTTTAGTACTCACTAGTCAAAAAATAGCGAATAAAACAGATTTAGAGAACTATCTGTTTCAACCTTTTTAAATCACATTTTTTGCGACGTATACACTTGACTAGATTTATCCAGAATTGCTTGCAACATAACATGACAATTATATTTTTAGGTGTTTACTTTATTTGTGTACCTTCACTAGATTAATCTTCATAATGGTAAATCATGGCTATTAGGCAGATCTATGTACCTACTGTACCTAGCAAAGTGCTTGGCACATATTGTATGAACATGTTTATTCATATTTTTACATTTCTGAAAATGCTTCTCACAACTGATGGGCACATTTCACATATAGTTTCCCCCCTAAAAAGCTAGATTGTTTGACATCTTAGATTAAAATAAATATAATAGTAGGCACTCAATAAATTATTTATTCAATAAATAAACTTTTAGCAACTCCTCACCTCATTCTTGATTCTTGATCCAAACACTTGCTATCCTTGTTTTCTGTTCCTGCTTTTAAAGTAAATTATTTTAATGATAAAGTCTCGTTTCCAGTAGCAGTAGTATCCAGTATAATAGTTCATTATTTACCTCTTTCATTCTCACTGTCCCTAATGAATTATGAGCCTTTTTGAACAGAATTTGTGTTTATCTTTCTACCTACAGAGAGCTAAGGGATTGGCAGATAGTAGTAAAGCTTTATTAAGTGTCTTTCAACTATGTTACTCTTCGTATCTACTTTCAGATCTTAAATGGAATTATCTTTCACACTTTCTTGTCAAATAGGTATAAAAAGGCAGCTATTTACATAAGAACTCAATATCAGAGGGCGAGTGCTAAGCAGGTAACAGTGGTTTCTTGGTTTCTTCCTTTAAAGAAGTTTAAATAGTTATGTGGCTATGTTTTGGTGAGATGTGATGAGTGTTCTCAAGGAGTTCACAATCTTTGAAGTGCTGACCCCATTTCTGTTTGCTTCCTGAACTGACCTAGATTCAAGGATATATTCTGAAATATTTTAAGTGGAATATAGTAATGTTTTAACTTATATTAAAATACCTCACCACAGACACTGTGGTAATATGTGTATGTTAGGTCAAGTTACAACCATGGGCAGCTAGTATTCTGATCAGGAGTCCTAGCTCTAGGAGTGGTCAGCTAGCATTAAAGTAGAGAGACTACACTCCAGAAAAGGCTACTACAAACCCTGAGACTATTAGCCATGTCTCAGTCAACACTGATGCTTTGCTGAATGTCAGAAATGGATTTTCATGGGCAATATCACTGACTTGTTAATCAGTGTACTGAAATGCATTGGTAAAATTAAATGTACTCAGGATATGTGGATTGACTGTGGCCTCTCTAGTTTTGCCAGAAGAGGATATAAGAATCTAGAAAGTGAATCACATAGTCTCAAGTCCTAGAGATATTCTAAGGCTTAATTCATAACTGATCCTATGTCCAGCTATTTTTGTGCCTGATGTCGCTAAAACGATACCAGAATCCTGCTTATGGAATACTGTCACATCATCCTTGAGTAAATCTTTCATGCAAGATGAAGTCAAAGTATCAAAAACAGGAGAGCTGGAACTTCAGTGAGCTAATGAAACAGATTATAGGAAGTGCTTTGCCCATATTTCCCAATAAATGTTTACTATATATGTATGTCTATGTAACTGAAAAAATAGTATACCTCATCTTTGCCTTTCTGAGACACACTGGAGTATAATTTACCTGTAGTCTGTGACATCATCCAGCTTCTTAATATTTCTTCCAAGTTCTAGAACTTTAAAATGTCTTTAAAGCACTGTTTCTCAACCACTAATACACATACCATCATTGAAAAGCAGTAGTTTAAAGAGTTTAAAGAGTTGTTTTTCATAATAAAAAGTTCTTCCAAAAATTTACTGGCTTTTTATATCCTTAATAACCATTCTAAATGAAAAATATAATAAATAATAAAGCCACTTGACAGAATAGACAGAAATACAATAGCTATAAAAAATTGTGAACCTTTGCTCTTATAACTATGTTGCAATTTCAGTTTCTAAAACATCAGTTAAAATTAGTTCATACTTCACCAAAGTTTTAATTCCAGAGAAAGTAGCACGTTGTCTTTTCAAAGTCCCTCTGAATATTTCTCTTTACATTTACTAAAATCTTCTGGAGCAGATAAGATCTATTTTATAGAACAAGTTATGACTTCTGACCTACCAGTAACCAAATGAATTATAGTGAAGAGTAGAACCCTTTTTTGTCTTCAATGTAATGCTTTTTCGAAGTAGATGGTGTGATCTCTTTCTTCCACTCAACTTCTTCTCACCTGTTGGTCATATTGTTATGGGATCTTTATGAGATTAATGTAATGCTGGCCTTGACACTTTGTATATGATTTGATAATTTTACATAGGATATCTGCCACTTCTATTGGATAATTTTCATTAAATTATTCTTGTTCATGTAAAATGTTGATACATTAGTCATTCATTCATCTCTACTCTGCTGGATGATGTAAGTGTCATTGCTACATACTTTATAGCATTAGTCATGCTAAATGAATGCTTAGAGACATTGCTAATGGAAGTGGAAGAAACATTTCCCTTTAACTATATAAATTAATATGTTAATCACCCTGAACACTATTCTTACTAAGTATGTATAGACCTAGCCAAATTTGGTCAGCTCAGCACATTTTTCTACTTATATGTGCAATCTTGATAATACAAGGTGTTCAGCTTATGCATTTTACATTTATTATTTAACATACTGGAAAATATCAAGTGAAGAAGTATAAATACAACTCTGAAAAAGAAAAGTTTAATTTATGAAAACATTCTGTGCTCATAGCTCTCAGTTTTAGGCAAGACAGTTTTTATATAACCCCCACCCCACCAAAAAAACTATCATTATTAATTCTCTCTCTACAAGACTGTTTAAATATTATGAGAAGGGTCACGAAACATGTTCTGTAAAGAAACACTCATGGCCAGGCTCAAAGAGGTTTGTGTACAGGCCAGTCCTTCTGCTTCAACTCCCCCTACTATAATATATCACTTCTCTCTTCATTACAAATGTAACTGGTATCTTCATGGTCTATAAAACTTGTTCTAAAGATGATCAATAGGAGGCTAATTTTATCTCTTCCCCAAATTTTGCATTTTGATATCTAAATGAATGAAGTACTCATGGAAGATTTTTTTTTTTATTATAAAAGCAGATTTTGGGGAGCTAGCAGGAATATTTCTCCTCACTCTGAAATGATATGACTCAATGTTATAGGCTGAATTGTGCCCCTCCCAAATTTCTCTGTTGAGGCTCTAACCCTCAGTACCTCAGAATGTGACTGTATTTGGAGACAGGACTTTTTAAAAAATGATTAAGATTAAATGAAGTCATATCGATAGTAACAGGAGTCAGAGAAATTCTAGGCAGACAGGGGTGAGTCCCTGGCAAAACCCCACTTTCGAGCCAAAAAGCCTGAAACCCGCAGCCCAAAGTGGTAACTTCCATCCCTGTGTGCCTGTTCTCTTCCGATTGGTTCTTTCTGAATAATATCTTTTTTACCAATCAAATGTTGCCTTTTCCAAAACTACCTAAGGCCCACCCAACACCTTATCCTGTGCCTATAAAGACCCCAGACTCAGCCAGTAGAGAGGAGAAGCAGCTAGACGTCAGGGAGAGGCAACTTGACTTCAGAGATGGTGGCTGGACATTGGAAAGAGGCAACTTGACTTCAGAAGAGAGAGGCAGAGAAGCAGCTTGACTTCAGGGGAGAGCAACCTGCCCTTCCTGTCCCCTTTCCATCTCCCCGTCCGCTAAGAGCTGCTTTCATTGCTCAATAAAATTCTTTGCATTCACCATCCTTCAATTTGTCCATGTGACCTCATTCCTCTTGGGCACTGGAAAAGAATTCACAACATGCCAAGTGAATTACATGACTTGAGTTTTGAATGAAACTTTTCAAAACTTTTGTGCCTGATAACTCAAAATTTTGGTACTCAAACAGGCCATCACACTGGCCCATTGCTCTCACTGATGGTGAGCAGCTTCCCCATACGATGAGGCAAAGGACCTAGCTGATAACACACTGCTGTCTGTGGATGGTGGAGATAAGAGAGCATTGTAACATGCCCTCTGGGTCCTTGGGGTCACAGGCACCCCCACCTGGACACTGCCACAGAGCCTACACAGAGTTTCCTCTTGCAGGCTCTAAAGCAACCAGCCAGTTCCTGCACTTGCTTGTTCTGGTTCCCACACTCATTCACTCATGCACTCCCTCCTGCAAGGGTTGAGCAGGGTGGGCTGAGTAAATGGGGCACCTTGTCACAAGTCCTGTGAAGGGAGAAAGAAAATATCCTGCTTCAATATGGGAGAGAGGGGTCCTAATCTAATCTTTTTGGTGTCAGTATAAGAGGAGAAAATTTGGACACACAAAGAGACACTAGGAATGTACATTTAATTATAGTTGACCTAAGTGCTATCATATAAAGGTATATGATGCCAAGAGAGTGAGAAATATTTCCAAACTTATAGAAGAGACCATGTGAGGACACAGCAAGGGAGTGGCCATCTGTAAGCTAAGAAGAGAGGACTCAGAGGAGACCAACCCTGTTGGCACCTTGATCTTGGACTTCCAGTTTCCAGAACTGTGAGAAAATAAATTTCAGTTTTTAAGCCAGCCAGTCTGTGGTATCTTGTTGTGGCAGGCATAGCAAACTAATACATTGAATAAATGTTTGTATTTTAGTCCATTTATGTTTGAAGTTATGGGCAAACTCTTGCAACTCTTTCCCCCTCAGTAAATGACAATCCCATCCTTTCAGCTGCTCAGACTAAAAAATCATGGATTTATTCTTGTCTATTCCCTTTTTCACACATCCAGATTTCCTAGCAAATTCTCTATATAGAATACAAACACTTATCTTCACTCTCTCTACCTCTGTAAACTCTTGTCTAGATTATTGCAATTGCCTTCTAGCTGGTGTCTTTAATTTTATGCGTACTCTTCCACAGACTGTTCTCTATGAAGCAGCAAGAATTATTCCTTCAAAACTCAAGTCAGGTCATGTCACTCTGCTTCTCAAAGCCCACTGATGGCTTTGTGCCAAAGCCAAAGGGCTTCTGTGACCTTTAAGGTATGGCTTCATCTGTTCCCCAGTGCCTCTCTTCTCTCTCCTCCTGCTACTTTGCCCTTCTGCTCCAGCCACACCAATATGATTTCCTGGCCCTTCTGTAAACACATTTGGCATGTTTCTGCCTCTAGCCCTTCACACTGTCTTTTTAAAAATATTTTTTGGCTTGGAATGTTTCTGCCAGATACTTATGTGGCTTCTTTCACTTCCTTCAAAATCACCTACTCGAGAACTTTCTGTGAAATGTTCAACTCCCTTCTCTCTGTCTCGCCTACCGTATATAATTTACTTATCTTTTTAAAGTAAAAATTATTGAAGGATCATTTATATACAATAAAATTTACCACTTTGAAGTATGCCCTTAAGTGAGTTTTGGCAAATAAATACTACCATAATCAATGTATAGTACATTTCCCAAAAATGTTTCCTTGTGCTCCTTTGCAGTCAATCTTTCATCCCCACCTCCTGGCAACCACTGATATGACTTACATTTCTAAAGTTTTGCCTTTCCTAGAATTTTACATAAATGGAACCACAGAGTATGCCTGCCTTCTTTCACTTACCATAATGCTTTTGAGATTCACTGATTTTGTTGCATGTATCAATTTATTCCTTTTTCTTGCCAGGTAGTGTTCTACTATATGGATGTTCCACAATTCATTTGTCCAATCACAAATGAACGGACATCTGGGTTACTTCTGGCTTGGGGCTATCTTGCTTCACATGCAGGTCTTTATTTGGACTGTTTTAACTTTCTCTGATAGTTAGATAGTGTAGATAGTGTAGATAGTTAGTGTGGATAGTTAGATAGTGTAGATAGTTAGATAGTTGTAGATACCTAGAAACAAGATTGCTAGGTTACATAAAAAGTGTATGTTTAACTTTATAGGAAACTGCCTTGAACCCCTGAGGTGGAGGCTGCAGTGAGCTGTGATTGCATGCACCACTGCACTCCAGCCTGGACAAAAGAGGGAGACCCTGTCTAAAAAAAAAAAAAAAAGAAAGAAAGAGAAAAGAAAAAGAAACTGCCAATGTGCTTGTAGCATTTTGTATTCTTAACATCAGTATATGAAATCATATTCCAATTATTCTGCATCCTCACTGTCACAAACTATTGTGCTGGTGTGTAGCGGTATTTTTATTTATCAATCTAATTTATTATCTCTCTCCTCTCTAGAGTGAAGGGATCATTAGGGTAGGGAATTTAGCCTGTTTTCATTACTGCTTTCACAGTGCCCAGATCAATTCCTGGCACAAAGTAGGTGTTCAATAAATATTTGTTAAACAAATGAATGAATTTTGAATGATTATCTCCTCTACTCAGAGCTAAAAATCGAACTGAGACTCAGAAAGCTTTATTGCTTGCCCAAGTGAAAGAGCTAAGGTAAACCCCAAGACATCTAATGCTTTGTCGAACACTCAACACTGCACTGCGTTGTGGGTCACTGGTTTGTACAAATTCATTTTATGATTAATACTTAGATTATAGGAGAATTTGCATACATTATTATTTTACTTAGGTCACTTAAATATCTTCAAGAAGTGTTTTTGTTGTTTGTTTTGTTTTCATTTGTTTTGTTTGAGACAGAGTCTCTCTCTGTCACCCAGGCTGGCGTGCAGCGGTGCAATCTCAGCTCACTGCAACCTCCACCTCCTGGGCTCAAGTGATTCTCCTGTCTTAGTCTCCTGAGTACCTGAGATTATAGTCATGCACCACCACACCCAGCTGATTTTTGTATTTTTAGTAGAGACAGGGTTTTACCATGTTAGCCAGGCTGGTCTCAAACCCCTGACCTCAAGTGATTCACCTACCTTGGCCTCCCCAAGTTCTGGAATTACAGATGTGAGCCACCACACCTGGCCTAGAAGTTTTAAATTTCAAATAGGAAATAAAAATATAAGAATAGAGGGATTTAAAACATAATTAAAATAATATTATGTGTATGAGGTTACATAGTGTCTTATTTTAGAGCTAATTAGCACATAATAGTGCTTATTTTGATTATAAAAATTCACCACTTATGGGTATGTGACAAGGAGGGCAAAATACCTTGGCTGGAGATGAGTTTTTCTGCATCACATTGAAGCCTACTTCACCTTGTTCCTTTAAGAAACTTGGTAATGATGGCAGCAGTGGCCCATCTGAAGTGGCTGCTGCAAAGATGCCAGCTGCAGTAGGGAGGCGCCTACTTGCTGCAAAGATGCCAGCTGCAGTAGGGGAGCTGCAGTAGGGGAGCTGCATGCTCTGTGGAGCAGGCAGGACCCAGGAAAAGGTGGAAGCCCCGCGCCTTCTGAGTTGGTGGGGTGGGAGCCCTGCGCTCCCTGGTGCAACTGCAGCTGCCCAGCCATTGCTGCAGACCCAGGCATCCCTGTGCTCTCAGGGCCTGGAAAGCCCCCTCCCCCCATAGGTTTGGAAGCACTTGCTCCTGCTGTCTGGCCTCTCCTCCCTCTGGGTGCCTCCTCTGATTTTGGAGCAAAGTTGTGGCCAAGCCTGGGTGCTCTTGCAACCTGGCCAGGTGTGCACACACTTGGGGTAGTAATGACACACCAGCCCCCTGCCATCTCAGCCCTCTCTGGACTTTGTGCACTGACAAGCATGAGATGGAGGCCAAGGTGGGGCTGAAGGTGGCTTGGTGCAGGCCTGCTGGCACCCCTTAGCACGAACAGCCTGGGCACAATGAATGGCAGAAGGAGGCAGACAGGCTCCTGGGCACAAAGGGGGCTGGTCCCCAGTGAAACCTCACCTTCAAGCCAGGGACAGCCTGAAGCCTGGGGGCCAGGCTGCCAGTTCTGCAGACTGGAGTGAGAAATATGGCACTTTTGCTGCTCACCCATGGCCACCCATGGACCAATCAGCACACACTTCTTCCCCTCTGGAGCCCATAAAAACCCCAGACTCAGCCAGAATCAGGCAGATGATGGGACCACCTGCCTGCAGAAAGCAGCTACCCTCACTGGTCTCTTCTTAGCTGAGAGCTGCACACTTGATGGGATGACTTGCCTGTGGGTAGGAGCTACCCACTTTGGGCCTCCTGAGAACTATACTGTCACTCAATAAAGCCCCTCTTCATCTTGTTCACCCTCTAGTTGTCTGCATATCCCATTCTTCCTGGATGTAGGACAAGAACTTGGGACTCACGAAGTGGTGGCACTGAAAGAACTGTAACACAAACAAGGCTGAAACACACCCCTGGCTCACCATGTTGCAGGTGAGGAGGAGAGAAGACAGAAAGAGGGAAGAGCTGCAGCCCTTCAGGAAGTCCAGACCTAGGAGTTCTCTGAGGCATGGCTGTGACACCCTCTTTGGGGCTCTGCAGTTCCTGGTGTCTCCAAGCTTCTGGGTGCCACCACGTTCCCCAGAGCCTGCAGTGTAAGTGGCTTGCAGTATGCCTGGTCCAGCCACAGCCTTGCACAGAGCTGGTTCCTGTGCCAGTGTCTGGAACTGCCTGCCCCACCACAGCAGCCAGCATGCCTGACTGTGCACAGTGGCCAGACCATATGCTTGCTCACTTATGCACCCCTCACCTCTGTGCCTTTGGCAGGCCTGGGATCCAGGCTGGTAGCACGAGCTGAGCACAACCTGCCAGGCCTAGTGGGCAGAATGAGCCCAGAGGGCCCAAGCAAAACTCAGGCAAAGGCACCACTGGCCACAAAGGCTTCTGGCTGGAAGAATGACACCCCGGGGACCTCATGACAGTAATAACTTGGCTTAAAAGGCTGGGATAGGGATCTATGACATTAACCCAATTAGTGGCCTTGGGTAAGTCCCTAAGAACAACCTCTAGAGACAATGTCTTAACTCAAGAAAAAAAAAGTAGGAAGAATATGGAAAATACATAGGGAATAAGAAGTCTGGAAGTATTGTATTAATACCAAACTTATAGTACTTAAAGGACAAAATAAAGGGTTGCAAAAGAGTTCACCTTGTTGGTGAAGGAAACCTTGTACTTTTTATTCTCTGCATATTTTGAATTGTTCAACTTGCACTGTATGCCTGCATTATTTTGTAATTTCTTTCTAAAGATGAATTTTGTGTTGGGAAATTCAAGTCCTGTGACAAACCATAGTATGAGCTAATCTGGGGGAGGTGGTGCTCTTCAAATTAGTTTCCATGTAACAAAATTTATTTTCAAATTCAGGAAAAGAGCAACCTACAAAACTCAGGAGTAAAATGGGCAAAATGTTCAAGGAATAATAAGTAGGTTTACTGTTCTGTTCATACATGTGCTTACTCATTCACTCACTTAGCTCATTCCTTCAACATCCATTGATCTTCCTTGTGTATGTCAGTGCTGATGGTATAAAATGAATACAATATGGTCCCTACTCTGAAAGACCTTAGTGATTATCAGACAGTGTCTGGAGATGTCCTTTGGACATGATATCCACTCAAATAGTATTTGTTGAATTAATAAATGAGGAGAGAGGCTAGAGGATACACAGTTAAATAATTGCAATGTGATATAACAAGCACTATACAAGGTGTCTGTATAATGGCCTAAGAGAAGAAGTAACAGAGTGCCCTGGAGAGCTCAGAAGCATTCATAGAAAAAGGAAACCTGAACTTATCTCTCCATTTCTGTTGTACCTGCCACATGAGTTTATTGTATGTGGCATACCTATGTTTCTTTCTCTCTCTCTCTTCATTGTACCTGTGAATTCCCACATGCAGATCATCACTAGATCTGAGAGTAGTTACGCAGAGTAGAATGGACCTCTGGGGACCAATTGGCAGAGAGCCTTAAAAGTTCTAATAAGTTTTATCTGGTACAAAGGCCATCATGGATCATGACAAGGCTCTGGGAAGAATTATGTGACAATAGGTTAGAAGGTGATCACAGGAAGCAGAGCAAGGAGCAATACCCTAGGCATAGAATGTTTAAGTCCTGACTACTGGCTGAGACAATGGTAATGGGAAGAAAGCAAAAAAACTAAAAATGGAAAAAATGAAAAACAAAAATTATCCAGGATTGATTCACTTGTTCAACAAGTAATTGTGGAACAGTGTCTAATTTCTAGGAGCTATTATGAAAACTTTGCCTATATGACTTCATTTGAACCTCACAAGAACCTTGTGGGACAAGTATTATCCCTGCTTTACAAACAATCAATCTGAGGCTCCAACAGGTTAAATAATCTTCTCAATATCACATATACAATAAACGGTAAATGGGGGTAAACCCAGGACCATTTTGTCTTAAAGCTCATAAACTTTCTGACATATTAAAGTAAAAATAATAGCAAATGATTGCGATGATTATAACTCCTTAAAGGTAGGGACTACGATATATGTCTATGTATCTCCAGTAGGACTTAGCACAGTAATCTGTATAAAATAATTTCAAATTGTTAAATCAGTCAGTTGTCATAAGGCTGCCTGCTATGGGCCAGGTGCTTGCTTAAAAAAAATGAATGCATAGACAGGATTCCTTCATGGAACTTATAGTCTGTTGAAAGAATCAGACATTAAATATTACACAAAATTACATTATACAAATGACGTAAGTGCTATCATATAAAAGTATAGGATGCCAAGACAGTGAGAAATATTTCCAAACTTATATATTTAGAGGCTAAGGAGAGGATATGTCTATTTGAATGAAGATAAATTTGAGATGAGAAAAAGTTTAAGAATTTAATGGAGAGAGTATTTAAATTTTTAGTGTTAGCTAATTGTGGTGGTGTTTTACAAAGCTACGATGCATATTTTTGAAAAGCTATTTTCCTCATAATATATTATGGTTATATACTTAGTGATATCTTAGAAAAGTATAAGTACTAAGCAAACCTCTTCAAATAATAAGCTCAAAATATGGAAATAGGTGTATTCATAAAAGGATTGTCTCTATATTATTTAAATAGTCATCTTAATAGTAACAATTTAATTAAATGATTAATAATCCAAGAATAAGTTATGTTGTATCCCTTACAAATAATGGTTCTGAAGGGTAATGTAGCAATAGGAAAATGCTTGCATTCTAGTGCTATGTAAAAAAGGAATAAAAATATTGTATGCTCATAAAAACATGTTGAAAATATACATAAGAACTACTGAAAGAAGTATACCAAAAATTTGTAGCAATTATGGTAGAAAGACTATGAGAGATACCTTTTTCTTTTTTTATTTTGTAAATATTCTGTAGTGTGATTTTATTATCATTGCAATTAAAAATACTTTCTGAAATAGAAAAAGAATAATCATAAAAACACATTTGGCTTCTATGGATAGATCCTGATTTTCTGATTGTATGTTTTGTATTAATACCTGACTTGGTACATAGCACTCTGGGAGATAATCAAGTCAATAAAAAGACCTGAAAAATAAATGAATCACAAACCATAACTGTTTAGTGCACACAGGAAGGTACTATTAATAACTACAAAGGCAAAAGGAGAGCATCTGCAACCCAAGGACTAAAATTAGTAATAATGTTGAAGGGAGTTCTACCAAATTATGTTTTCCAGAAGACAGCCGCAGGCTCTTCTTGTGTAAGGAAGACAGATCACCTCCATTAGCCTTGAAACAAAAGCAAAGACTTCTGGATGAGGGCATTTAATTATAATGTTTATGTAATCACTCTGTAGCCATTTATATAAACAAGATCGCTTAGAGCACTTGCTTTTCTGTGGGCAGTAAAGGGTACTAAAAGATGTATTTTATAAAAAGTGTATTTTAAGCCAAATAATTCAGCACCACAAGTGAAAATTATTGGCATTTTATACTGGTGTTTTTAAACATGTAGAGAAGTGCAGATACAACCCTTTTTCTGCTTTATGATTGTTGGACTTTTCAGTCTATGAGCTTGTGATAGTAACAATAATAAATAACCAAAATGAGATACCTAACAATCTCTATTTACTTATGTCAGGGCCCATTCTAGGACTTTTATGTATATTAATTCATTTAATTTTATAATAACCCCTAGAAAGGACATGAACTCAGAAGCTGGAAACCATCATTCTCAGCAAACTATCGCGAGGACAAAAAACCAAACACTGCATGTTCTCACTCACAGGTGGGAATTGAACAATGAGAACACATGGACACAGGAAGGGGAACATCACACACCGGGGCCTGTTGTGGGGTGGGGGGAGTGGGGAAGGATAGCATTAGGAGATATACCTAATGTTAAATGATGAGTTAATGGGTGCAGCACACCAACATGGCACATGTATACATATGTAACAAACCTGCACATTGTGCACATGTACCCTAAAACTTAAAGTATAATAATAAAAAAAAGAAAAAAAAATAACCCCATGAGGTTGATTATTATCATTATCTTCACTTTATACATAAGGAAACTGAAACATAGAGTGATTAAATGGCTTGTCCAAGGTTGCTCAGCTAAATGCTTGGATTTGAATGAACATAGGAAACCTGGCTGGAGACCTCAGTGTTCTAAGCATACACTATGCTATGCATCAAAAGAAACGTTTTGCATTAATACTCCATCTTATTGCCAGAGTCACTAGAAATTATTTTTGATGAGATTAACAAAAAAGCTTGTTCCAGACTCATATTCTATCTCCTCACAGTGCTATTTCCATGTTTCTTTTCTCTTTCTTTCTTCTTTTTTCTTTTTCATTTATCTTCTTTAACTTTTTGTAGTTTTAGAAATAAGTTCACCAATACAGAGGAAGACAGGAAAATGGGATTTTTTTCTCACATTTTTCTTGATTGATTTATTTAGCATATCTATTTTTGATATGTAAGAACATAAGAAGTAAGTAGTCAGAAGTCTTCTTTGAGCCACCAAGAGTTGGTACGGAGATATCAAATGTCCTTACACAACTGGGCAGCCTCTGAGAACTGTCTGCTGAGATTTTAGATGTCAGAGGTGCAGACTCAAGAAAGAACAATATTTGCTTGGGTATACATGATATCTGTGATTTTATACATATATAAATACAAATAAATCTTTAACTTATTTATTTTTAAATTTGAATTTATTTATTTATGTCATATATAAATCTTGTATATTAAAAACATATTTTCCACTTTGGAATTGATTTATAGGTGAGTAATGTCATAACCTAGAGATAGCTTTGACAGGGAGGCACGTAGGTAACTAACGTCCACTTGTAGACTCAACTCTTCAAAAAATGTCTCTCCTATGACATTGGTACATCAAATTTCTAACTTAGCATTTTCAAAAAGTCACGGTTAAAATGTAAGTACACTACCAGGAATGGAGTAACACATGCCATTGTATTCACTAACACAGTATAACCACTTTGGAAAGCAGAGACCATGTTCTTGAGGGAGTAGTAAAGCAAAATGAATGGAGAAGCCATATCATCAGGTTTCGATGGGGTTATAGGAAACTGGACAGTGGGGCTGAGGAAAATGTGGATGGTGTAGTTTTCATGATAGGAGGGCAGAGCTACAGGTGTTTTGGAAGAATACCTTATAGGAGAGAAGTCTTGAAAGTGGAAGCTAGCAAACTACACGGTGAAATGTAGATTACTTCATTTGTTCTGGAGTCATCTCACTCTTCTGGCTATCTTGATAGAAACAGCACCAAGTCACATATTGAGGCAGCATACAATAGCTAAAAGAGTAGGAGTTTCCATCTGGTCCTGGACTCTTTTTGGTTGGTAAGCTATTGATTATTGTCACAATTTCAGAGCCTGTTATTGGTCTATTCAGAGATTCAGCTTCTTCCTGGTTTAGTCTTGGGAGGGTGTATGTGTCGAGGAATTTATCCATTTCTTCTAGATTTTCTAGTTTATTTGCGTAGAGGTGTTTGTAGTATTCTCTGATGGTAGTTTGTATTTCTGTGGGATCGGTGGTGATATATATCCCCTTTATCATTTTTTATTGTGTCTATTTGATTCATCTCTCTTTTCTTCTTTATTAGTCTTCCTAGCGGTCTATCAATTTTGTTGATCCTTTCAAAAAACCAGCTCCTGGATTCATTAACTTTTTGAAGGGTTTTTTATGTCTCTATTTCCCTCAGTTCTGCTCTGATTTTAGTTATTTCTTGCCTTCTGCTAGTTTTCGAAGGTGTTTGCTCTTGCTTTTCTGGTTCTTTTAATTGTGATGTTAGGGTGTCAATTTTGGATCTTTCCTCCTTTCTCTTGTGGGCATTTAGTGCTATAAACTTCCCTCTACACACTGCTTTGAATGTGTCCCAGAGATTCTGGTATGTTGTGTCTTTGTTCTCGTTGGTTTCAAAGAACATCTTTATTTCTGCCTTCATTTCATTATGTACCCAGTAGTCATTCAGGAGCAGGTTGTTCAGTTTCCATATAGTTGAGCGGTTTTGAGTGAGTTTCTTAATCCTGAGTTCTAGTTTGATTGCACTGTGGTCTGAGAGACAGTTTGTTATAATTTCTGATCTTTTACATTTGCTGAGAAGAGCTTTACTTCCAACTATGTGGTCAATTTTGGAATAGGTGTGGTGTGGTGCTGAAAAAAATGTATATTCTGTTGATTTGGGGTGGAGAGTTCTGTAGATGTCTATTAGGTCCGCTTGGTGCAGAGCTGAGTTCAATTCCTGGGTATCCTTGTCAACTTTCTGTCTCGTTGATCTGTCTAATGTTGACAGTGGGATGTTAAAGTCTCCCATTATTATTTTGTGGGAGTCTAAGTCTCTTTGTAGGTCACTCAGGACTTGCTTTATGAATCTGGGTGCTCCTGTATTAGATACATATATATTTAGGATAGTTAGCTCTTCTTGTTGAGTTGATCCCTTTACCATTATGTAATGGCCTTGTCTCTTTTGATCTTTGTTGGTTTAAAGTCTGTTTTATCAGAGACTATGATTGCAACCCCTGCCTTTTTTTGGTTTTTTTTTTTTTTTTTTTTTTTGGTAGATCTTCCTCCATCCCTTTATTTTGAGCCTATGTGTGTCTCTGCACGTGTGATGGGTTTCCTGAATACAGCACACTGATGGGTCTTGACTCTTTATCCAATTTGCCAATCTGTGTCTTTTAATTAGAGCATTCAGCCCATTTACCTTTAAGGTTAATATTGTTATGTGTGAATTTGATCCTGTCATTATGATGTTAGCTGGTTATTTTGCTTGTTACTTGATGCAGTTACTTCCTAGCATCGATGGTCTTTACAATTTGGCATGTTTTTGCAGTGGCTGGTACCAGTTGTTCCTCTCCATGTTTAGTGCTTCCTTCAGGAGCTCTTTTAGGGCAGGCCTGGTGGTGACAAAATCTCTCAGCATTTGCTTGTCTGTAAAGTATTTTATTTCTCCTTCACTTATGAAGCTTAGTTTGGCTGGATATGAAATTCTGGGTTGAAAATTCTTTTCTTTAAGAATGTTGAATATTGGCCCCCACTCTCTTCTGGCTTGTAGAGTTTCTGCTGAGAGATCCGCTGTTAGTCTGATGGGCTTCCCTTTGTGGGTAACCCAACCTTTCTCTCTGGCTGCCCTTAACATTTTTTCCTTCATTTCAACTTTGGTGAATCTGAAAATTATGTGTCTTGGAGTTGGTATTCTCGAGGAGTATCTTTGTGGTGTTCTCTGTATTTTCTGAATCTGAATGTTGGCCTGCCTTGCTAGATTGGGGAAGTTCTCCTGGATAATATCCTGCGGAGTGTTTTCCAACTTGGTTCCATTCTCCCGGTCACTTTCAGGTACACCAATCGGACGTAGATTTGTTCTTTTCACATAGTCCCATATTTCTTGGAGGCTTTGTTTGTTTCTTTTTATTCTTTTTTCTCTAAACTTTCCTTCTCACTTCATTTCATTCATTTCATCTTCCATCACTGATAACCTTTCTTCCAGTTGATCACATCAGCTCCTGTGGCTTCTGCATTCTTTACGTAGTTCTCAAGCCTTGGCTTTCAGCTCCATCAGCTCCTTTAAGCACTTCTCTGTATTGGTTATTTCAGGACATAGGCATGGGCAAGGACTTCATGTCTAAAACACCAAAAGCAATGGCAACAAAAGCCAAAATTGACAAATGGGATCTAATTAAACTGAAGAGCTTCTGCACAGTAAAAGAAACTACCATCAGAGTGAACAGGCAACCTACAAAATGGGAGAAAATTTTCGCAACCTACTCATCTGACAAAGGGCTAATATCCAGAACCTACAATGAACTCAAACAAATATACAAGAAAAAAACAAACAACCCCATCAAAAAGTGGGCAAAGGACATGAACAGACACTTCTTAAAAGAAGACATTTATACAGCCAAAAAACACATGAAAAAATGCTCACCATCACTGGCCATCAGAGAAATGCAAATCAAAACCACAATGAGATACCATCTCACACCACTTAGAATGGCAATCATTAAAAAGTCAGGAAACAACAGGTGCTGGAGAGGATGTGGAGAAATAGAAACACTTTTACACTGTTGGTGGGACTGTAAACTAGTTCAACCATTGTGGAAGTCAGTGTGGCGATTCCTCAGGGATCTAGAACTAGAAATACCATTTGACCCAGCCATCCCATTACTGGGTATATACCCAAAGGACTATAAATCATGCTGCTATAAAGACACATGCACACGTATGTTTATTGTGGCATTATTCACAATAGCAAAGACTTGGAACCAACCCAAATGTCCAACAGTGATAGACTGGATTAAGAAAATGTGGCACATATACACCATGGAATACTATGCAGCCATAAAAAATGATGAGTTCATGTCCTTTGTAGGGACATGGATGAAATTGGAAATCATCATTCTCAGTAAACTATCGCAAGAACAAAAAACCAAACACGGCATATTCTCACTCATAGGCGGGAATTGAACAATGAGAACACATGGACACAGGAAGGGGAACATCACACTCTGGGGACTGTTGTGGGGTGGGGGGAGGGGGGAGGGATAGCTTTAGGAGATATACCTAATGCTAAATGACGAGTTAATGGGTGCAGCACACCAGCATGGCACATGTATACATATGTAACTAACCTGCACATTGTGTACATGTACCCTAAAACTTAAAGTATAATAATAACAGAATAAAAAAAGTATAATATATAATAAAAATATCTTGAAAATTAAAAAAAAAAACAAACTTCTCAATGGCTGTCCCTCTCATTCAAGAGCAAAAATAAAATCATAACAATCCTTGAAAGCAAAAAAAAAAAAAAAAAAAGTAGGAGTTTCAGGTTGGGACAGACCTGGATTCAAGTTTATTTCTATCAGTGTAGCCTTGGATAAGTTATCAAACATTTAGTTCCTCCCATCTATAAAATGTAGCAATTAAACTATTAAACTAGAAAATCCACTATATGCCATGCGTATAGCAACTGTATGCACGCCATACCTATAGGCATAGATATACAGTAGCTACAGAAAACATATATGTATGTATATACACATATACATTTGTACATGGAGGTATTCACATATCTACGATAGTGCTATCTTTCTCCCTCGTTATGTTACTTCTGCAAGAAACTTGCCATATTTTCTCTATTTTATATTTTTGTTTCTTATGTATGGATTTACTTTTAACAAATTTTCAAAATATGCAAATAACTTTCTGTTAAACTATAGTACTGGCCCTTTTATTTCTGAGGTAAACTAACTGACCATCTTAGGGAATTCTATTTGTTAGCAACCAAAAAAAAAGGATGTTTGCCACTTAATAAACAGATTCAGACAATATATTACTAATTTACTTCAACGAGAAAGAGACTCTTGCTTCTAGTGAATGATATTACACAGTTTGTTTTGTTTTGTTGATAGCACTACTGTGCAATGGTCACCTGTGATACAATTATTTGAATTCATGACAATGCTGGGTTAGGAACCGAGGCAGATCCACTATGCTTCTTTATGTTCAGATGTTTTAAATCAGAATTATAGGACTATATCTATGTGCCTAGGCAAATATCTAAAATAATTATTCCATTCTCTGCTAACAGCTTAAACACGTGTTGTAATTCTAACAGACTTTAGAGAGCATATGGCAGTTTCAACAAGTCACACATATTTTTACATGCACCTAAGCTAGGGACCCCTGACCAATGAGTTGAGCATCATCTATCAGGATGCTCCCGATAGATGACAGATCTTCAACCAGCCAGCTAGGTCATTTCTGCTTCCTCAATTCCACATGTTTAGTTAGTTGGGATTCCCAGTCGGGAGGCAAAGCAGGTAGCATTTGGGCCCTCCCCTTACTGTGCTCAGTTCAGTTTATTGATGGAAACATCTCCAAGGATCTTAAAACTTTAAAATAGAAAATATCTCTTCCTCACAAAGTTGGAAGCCCTGAACCTGAGCCTTAAGAGATTTATTTTTACATTTGTTTTCAAATTCTCACAATTTATACAGAAAAAAAAATCAGAGTATCCATTCTGGTTTTTAATTTTTTTATTTCTTGCCATAGTATTATATATCAAGAATATTTATAAGAAGGAAGTAGTTAATACATATTTGTTATCTAAGTATAATTTGGGACACTATATAAATCTTTTAGTTTGTGAGTTACTTCTGTACCCTGTCATCTCCTAAGCTACCTGGTCTTTCTTGGAATAATAAATATACATACCTTTTAGGACCAAGATCTATAGTTTCACAATATTCATAGCCATCTGGTTCTGCTACAGGGTAAATTTAGACTGGAAATAAGGTAATATTAAGTAAGAGAAGCTTCGTTTGTTTAACCTACCTCCCAAAGGCTCCATTTGTAAAGAGTGCAGACCAGAAATCACATGCACTGCTGGATTCTTTCCATGAGAAAAGCCTGTGTTGAGCTTTAGTTTCTTCATTTTCTTTAAACAGAACAAAAATCTCTCCTACCACTCAAAGGAGTGATTTGCAGATTTAATGCAATTATATCAAAGTAGTTTATAACCCATAAAACACAAAGTTATATGACCGTTACTTTGTATTGAACATCCATGAAACTCTAGGAATAGTACTAGAAGCTTTATACACCATTATATATAGAATGGTGTCTCTTTTAATTCTCAAGAAATCCTGTCCAGTTGTTATAATTATACTTACTGAATAAATTATATTAATTTATATTATAATTATATTAATTAGTTATATAATGAATTCATAGAAACTCAGGGGTTGGGTGATTTGCTAAGATCAATAGCTAGAAAGGGGCAGAATCAGTATTCAACTCAATATTACCTCCAAATGGAAGTAATTCAGTATTAGTGAGTATTACTAATTATAGAAGTAATACTTCTCCTTTCTACTCAGAGCTAACACAACAGCATTATCTAATGTTGTTAAATGGTAGGTGGAATTAAAAATTGTAGGTAAGATTAAGAAAGGAGGGAAATCACTGAATAACCTGCCCTTCCAGCAAAGTTGACAAAGTAGATAAGATCTCTGGTAAGATCTAATCTTCATCTCATTCTGCCACATGTTTTTGTTTTGTTTTGTTTTGTTTTGTTTTGTTTTATTTTGTTTTTTAAGACGCGTCTCGCTCTGTGGCCCAAGCTGAAGTGCAGTGGCACAATCTTGGCTCACTGCAACCTCTGCTTCCCAGTTCAAACAATTCTCCTGCCTCGGCCTCCTGAGTAGCTGGGATTACAGGCGTGCACCACCACGCCTGGCTAATTTTTGTATTTTCAGCAGAAAGGGGGTTTCACCATATTGGCCAGGCTAGTCTCCCCATGTTTTTTATCGAAGTCCCTGTGTTCTCAATATCCTGAGATGATTGGCTGATTGGCTGTTGCCACAGCCATTGGCTTCAGCCACTCTTCTGGCCTGGACATCATCCAGTGCATGTCAAAGACAGGACTCTGGCCTAGCTTCTTTTGGGGACTTTCTACCACAGAATGAGCAAAGGTGATGTTCGGAACAAAATACCTATACGTTTCATCCAGCTGCAAATAATCAGCTCCAGCTTCTGGAGTTACTTGGTACCTAAATTGGCCAGGTTGCTGTTGAGGATGAATGGGCCAATCTTACAGCTGAACACCATGATACTGGTTCCCAGGAGCCAAGCATTGCCCCAATCCAGCCTTTTTTTATTTATTTTAAAAATGTGTTAATACTTTTTAAATCTTTAAGTAGTGACTAATTTTCTTTTAAATAAAGATTGTTTTCCTCCAGGATGCATCAGAGTAAAAGCATAAAATGGAGCTTTAAAAAAATTAATTTAGAATCAGTTGTGTCTTCAGTTTACTAATCCACGCTTCAAATGAGTAGAACTTACAATTTGCTCTGGTTTTGTTACTTGGGTGGGTAAGATAACTTAGAAGAGCGACAGGGATTTTGCTAAAATATAAAAATGGGATAGTTTTAAATCTCTATTGTTGTTACCGTTGGCAGTAATATAAAGGAGATCAAAGAACTAATGTGTTTGTTCCCAACCTACCTTTAAATAAAATTGTTTTATAGATGTTATAAAAGTATACCTATATACACTTTATGTACACACACATGCATTTCATGTATATATCCACTATAATGCTAGTTCTCTCTTATTATAACACTCCTGCAAGAAATTTGCCATATTTTCCCTATTTTGTGTTTTAGTTTCCTTTTTGTCATTAATAAATATACTAGGTTTTCAGAGTATGAAAATGTTTTCCCATCAAACTCTTATGGTGTTGGGCCTTTTTTTTCTGAGATAAAGTAACAGAGAAATCAATTTGGGAGAATCTTCTCATTAAGGGAGCATACTACTCCTTACTAGTGAACTGGCTTACAGACTGAGGTTGGCAGGTTCAGATATGTATGAGCAGAACAGTAGCAAGACATTTGCAGACCTATGATCCTTGCTTGTTCACCTAATTCTTTTTACCTAACACTGCCACTACTGTAAAACCAAAGCAAGACATTCAGAAAAAGACATTGCAGACCAAATTGACACTTTGAGGGAGGCTACCATGGGTATAATGTATAAGCCTCCATTTGGAGCAGGATCCAAGATCAATATGGATACATTAGATTCTACTTTTTAAAATAAGCACTCATCTCATTTCAGACTATGGACATGCTACTGAGCTTTACTATCCTTAATCCTTAGTCTAGTACCTCGGTATCTTCATTAAGTATGAAAGGTTATTTCTATTAGGACTTGCCTCTGAGTCCCAAACTGGGACTCAGGATCAGATCATGGAGGAACATGAAACTCTTATGTGGATGATGACATGGATTGGGCATCTGTGGTGGTTCTGGAACTTCAGGATTCACCTGATCTGCCTCCTACTTATCTTTGGAAAAATGTAAAGTATAGGATCTTTCTACCACAATCTTTACTACTGTAGGGAGTTTGATCCACTGACTCTTTTCAAAAGACCTCTCAGTGTTCAAGTACTTTTCTTTAATGCCATTTCTTGAGAGTTGGAGCTACAGTTGCTCTAGATGTGTCTAGGTCTGATCTTTTCTCCCCATACTCCTTGAGCCCCTGATAACCACCATTCTACTTTCTATTTCCATGAGTTCAGTCTTTTTAGATTCCCCATATAAGTGAGATCACAAGGTATTGGTCTTTCTGTGCCTGGCTTATTCCACTTAACATAATGTCCTTGAAATTCATCCAAATTGTCAAAATGACAGAATTTTGTTCCTTTTTAAGGCTGAAAAGTATTCCACAATGTATATATGCCACTTATCTTTCTTTCTCTTTCTTTCCTGCCTGTTTTTCTTTCTTTTCTTCTTTCTTTCCTCTTTCTTTCTCTTTCCCCTTCCTTCTTTTCTTTCTTTCTTTCTTTCTTTCTTTCTTTCTTTCTTTCTTTCTTTCTTTCTTTCTTTCTTTCTTTCTTCTTTCTTTCTCCTTCCTTCCTTTCTTTTTCTTTCTCTTTCTTTGTTTCTTTTTTCTTTATTTCTCTCTCTTTTCTCTTTTTTCTTTCTATTCTTTTCTTTCTCTTTCTCTCTCTTTCTCTCTTTGTTTCTCCCTTCCCTTCCCTTCCCTTTCCTCTTTCTTTTACAGGCTCTCACTCTGTCACCCAGTGAGTACAGTGGCACAATCATAGCTCACTGCAGCCTGGAACTCCTGGGCTCAAGCAATACTTCTGCCTCAGCCTCCCGAGTAACTAGGACAACATGCACATGCCACCACATCTGCCTAATTTAAAAAATTTGTTATAGAGACAACATTCTTGCTATGTTGCCCAGATTGTTCTCAAAGGTCTGGCTTCAAGCAATCCTCCTGCCTTGGCCTCCCAAAATGCAGGGATTACAGGCATGAGCCCCCACACTCAGCCTCAATGCCATGTTTGACTTATCCTTTCGTCCATTGATGGGCACTTAGGTTGATTCCATATCTTGGCTACTGTGAATAAATGCTACAGTGAACATGGGAATGCAGATATCTCTTCCATTTACTGATTTAATTACCTTTGGGTACATATCCAGTAGTGGAATTGATGGATCATATGGTAGGTCTATTAATTTTTTGAAGAAACTCCGTACTGTTTTCCATATGGCTGTACTAATTTATATTCCCATCAACAATGTGAAAAGTTTCCCTTTCTCCACCTCCTCGCCAACACTTGTTCAGACACTTTCATCTTTAAAAAAAAATTAATTTTTAATTTTGTGCACACAGTAAGTGTGTATATGTATGGGGTGCATGAGATATTTTGATACCGGCATTTTGATGTGTAATGATCACATCAGAGTAAATGAGATATCCATTACCTCAAGCGTTTGTTCTTTCTTTCTGTTACAAACAATCCAATTTTGCTCTTTAAATTATTTTAAAATGTTCAATCCATTATTGTTGACTGTAGTCACCCTGTTGTGTTATCAAATACCAGATCTTATTCATTCTACCTAACTATATTTTTGTACCCATTAACCACCCCCACTTGCCTGCCCACCCCTCATTACCCTTCCCAGCCTCTGATAACCATCATTATACTTTTTATCTACATGAGGTCGATTATTTTAATTTTTAGCTCCCACAAATAAGTGAAAACATGCAAAGTCTGTCTTTCAGTGCCTGGCTTATTTCACTTAATATAACGACCTTCACTTCTATTCATGTTGACACAAATGACAGGATCTCATTCTTTTTATGGCTGAATAGTATTTCATCATATATATGTACCACATTTTCCTTATTCATTCATCTGTTGGTGAATACTTAGGTTGCTTCGAAATCTTGGCTACTGTGAGTAGTTTTCATCTTTTCGATAATAACCATTCTTATAGATGTGAGGTAGTATCTCTGTGGTTTTAATTTGCATTTCTCTGATCATTGGTGATTTGAGCATTTTTTCACATACCATTGGCTATTTGTATGTCTTCTTTTGAGAAATGTCTATTCAGATACTTTGCCCATTTTTAACCTTGTTTTTTTTCTTACAGTTGTGTTGAGTTCCTCGTATATTTTAAACATTAATCTCTTATCAGATTTATGGTTTGTAAATATTTTATCTCATTCCATAGGTTGTATATTCACTCTGCTGATTATTTTCTTGGCTATGCAGCTTTTTAGTTTGATGTAATCTCATTTGTCTATCTTTGCTTTCCCAGTCTGTGATTTGGGGTTAAATCCAAAAAAAAATTATGCAGACAAATGGCAATGTTTTCTTATAGTGGTTTTAGGTATTTAATCCTTTTTTAAATATGGTGTGAGATAAGGGTCTGATTTCATTCTTCCACATGTGGATATTCAGTTGTCCCAACACCATTTGTTGAAGAGACTGTCCTTTCCCCACTGTGTGCTCTCAGCATCTTTGTCGAAAATCATTTGACCTTAAATACATGGATTTATTTCGGGTTGTCTATTCTGTTCACTGGCCTCTGTGTCTATTTTTATGCCAGTGCCATGCTGCCTTGTAATACAGCTTTGTGGTGTATTTTGAAGTTTGATATTGTGATACTTCCAGGTTTGTTCTTTTTGCTCAAGATTTATTTGGTTATTTGTTTTTTGTGGTTATACAAAGTTTAGGATTGCTTTTTTCTATTTTTGTAAAAAATGTCATTGGCATTTTGGCAGGGATTATATTGAATCTGTTGATAGCTTTTGTTAGTATGGATATTTTAAATATCAGTTCTTCCAATCCATAAACACAGGATATTTTTCCTTTTATATGTGTCCTCTACAATTATTTCATCAATGTTTTATAGTTTTCAGTGTACAGGTCTTTCACCTCCTTTGGATTAAATTTATTCCTAAGTATTTGAAATTTATTTTGGTAACTATTGCAAACAGGATTGTTTTCTTGATTTTATTTTTCAGATAGTTTGTTGTTAGGGTGTTAAAGTGCTACCCATTTTTATGTGCAAATAAGGATAATTTTCTTTCTTTCTTTCTTTCCAATTTGGATGCCTTTTATTTCTTTCTTTTGCCTAATGGCTATGACTAGAACTTCCAGTACAATGTTGACTAAAAGTGGCAAGAGTAGGCATTCTTGTCTTATTCCTGATCTTGCAGGAAAACCTTTCAACTTTTCACCATTGAATAAGATATTAGCTGTGGGTTTATCACATGTGGTCTTTATTGTGTTGGGGTACATTCCTTCTATGTTTAATTTCTGAGAGTTTCTATCATGAAAGAATGTTGAATTTTGTCAAATGCTTTTTCTGTGTCTGTAGAGATGATCACATGGTTTTTGTTCTTTATTATATTAATGTAGTGTATCACATTTATAGATTCGTAAATGTTGAATCATCCTTGCATCTTTGGGATATATCTCACTTGATCATGATGAATTATTCTTTTACTGTGTTGTTGCATTTAATTTGCTGGTATATTTTGAAGGTTTTTGCATTTATGTTCATCAGGGATATTGACCTATAATATTTTCTTGTAATGTTCTTGTCTGGCTTTGGTATCATTGTAATGCTTTCCTCATAAAATGAGTTTGGATGTACTTCTCTTCTTCAATTTTTTGAAAGAGTTTCAGAGGAACTGGTATTATTAGTTCTTCATTAAATGGTTGATGATTTCAGCACTGAAGCCATCAGGTCGTGGGCTTTTCTTTCTTGGGAGAGGCTTTTGGTAATTGATTCAATCTCCTTACTTATTATTGGTCTGTTCAGATCTTCTATTTCTTCCTGATTCAACCTTAGTAGGTTATATGTGTCTAGGAATTTATCCATTTTTTTCTAGGTTATTCAATATGTTGGATAATAATTGTTTATAGCGTTCTTTTATAATCCTTTGCATTTCTGTAGTGTATTTTAATGTCTCCTCTTTCATTTCTGATTTTATTTGTTTGAATTTTCTTTCCTTTATTCTTGGTCTAGCTCAACATTTGTTGATTTTGTTATTATTTCAAAACACCAACCTTTAGTTGAGCTGTTCTATTGTTAGATAGAATAGAATAGAATGTTCTATTTCAACAATAAAATGTTGAGCAGTTCTATTGTTTTTCTACTTTGTATTTCACTTATTTCTGCTCTGATTATTATTTTCCTCCTTTTAGTAACTCTGTGCTTAGTTTCTTCTTATTTTGTGTGTCTTAAGGTACAATGTTATAGGTTGTTTGAGATCTTTCTCCCTTTTTGATGTAAGTGTTTATTGCCATGAACTTTCCTCTTAGAACTCTTACTGTTGCAATCTACAAAAGTATTTGTTTTTGGCAAGTTGTGTTTCCATTTTCATTTGTCTCAATACATTGTTAAATTTATCTTTTAACTTCCTCATTGTCCCACTGGTTGTTGAGGAGTATGTTGTTTAATTTCCACATATTTCTGCATTTTCCAAAATTCTTCCTGTTATTGATTTCTAGTCGCATACCATTGTGTTAAAAAAAAGATACTCAATATGGTTTAAAGTATCATTTCAGTTAATGATCTGGACCTTAAATGATGGCAGCATAATCAATGTTAATCACAAACCAAAGGCTATTTAGTGTTATTATTTTAATATGCAATATACTTACCAGGCCCCCCAGCACTCAGTCTGCACAGTCTAGACCCTGCCTATCTCAGATCCATACCCCATCTCTTCCTCCACCCCTTCTGTTTCAACCAAATTAACACTGTTTATTCTCTGTAGTTCCCCACCCTCACTGCCGTGCCCACACTATGTCTTACCAAATTCTGTCCCTCTTTTAGATCTCAGTTTTCCTTGAACACCCAGACTCAAGGTGTGGATGCCTATTTGTTTATCTTTTTAGTAGCCCAGACTTTTTTATAGTACATTTTACAGATGTAGTCAAATAATTGTGTAATTGGCTACTTAAGATTTCTCTCCTGCATTTAAAGAAAGCCCCGAGATTATATCTATCTTGTCCAACTTAGCATGCTGTCTTGCATGACAATCATTAACTTTTTATTGAGTTAATTAAGCATTGTGCAGAATGCCTAGATGCCTAAGCTTTCAATGTTACCAAACATGTGGAACAAAACTTACTGCAATCTAGGTTCCCCTGAAAACATAGCCTAAGGTGGAGGCTTACTTGAAGGTTACCGTACCTTAAGGAGGAGAAGTAAAGAACAGGAAGTTACTGTTATAGAGTGAATTTTTCTCCATACCCCACCCAAATTCATATGCTGAAGCCCTGTTGACTAAAGAAAAAAAAAATCAAGCTTTTAAAGTATCAGGCCAGGTACGGTGGCTCATGCCTATAATCCCAGCACTTTGGGAGGCTGAAGCAGGCAGATTGCTTTAGGCCAGGAGTTAGAGGCCAGCTGGCAACATGACAAAACCCCGTCTGTACTAAAAATACAAAAATTAGCCAGGCACGATGGCGATCATCTGCAGTCCTAGCTATTCGGGAGGCTGAGGCACGAGAATCGCTTGAACCTGGGAGGCGGAGGTTGCAGTGAACCGAGATCATGCCATTGCACTCCAGTCTGGGGGACAGAGAGAAACCCTGTCTCCAAATAAATAAATTAATTAATGAATTAATTAAATAAAGAAAAGTTAGCTTTATTTGGAAGTCTGAGGACTATGGACCAAGGCCTATTGCCTGGGATCAGTTCTGTTAGACCATTCCAATGCAGCAATTGAGTTCACAGTTTGTATACAAATGGTGAGGATTCATTACATGCAAAATCACATCCGAGTTCGTGTATAAGAGTTGATATTTATAGATTATTATTATTATAGATTATATTATAGATTATACATTATTATCGATAATAATCTATTATCGATAATAATAATCTATAACCTATAACATGCTAGGCTGCCTTCTGCTGTTGAAAATAATCCAAATATCTTGGGCATATAATTATCATTGAGAAGGGCATGATATGTACAAGAGAAGTATTCAACTGGTTTCCCCATGATCGCAAACCTTTGGAGCTTATAGAAGAGAAAAAAAAAAAAGAGAGACAAAGCAAATATAAAAGAGATTTTGAGATAATTTGTACACTCTGAAATGAGAAAGCAAACTTAGGGCTGACACAAGAAGAACTAATTATTTTTTTCAAGTACATTTTATTGTTATCAAAATAGTCCATACATATCCTAGGGAAAAAAAACCCCACAAATAGTACAGGAAGATTATAATTTAAAGCACCAGTTCACTCAAAGGCAACATTTTTAACAAAATTTTTTAAAATTATTTTTAGTGATCCCTCTAAATTTCTAAATAATATGCTTATATTTTTTTCTTGTTTTACCCATGTTAAGTGTGACAAATTTACTTTTTGCTCTTATAAATATGGATTTAGCTAATTTTATTTTTATTTTATTTTATTGAGACCAGTCTCGCTCTGTCGCCAGGCAGAGTGTGCAGTGATGCAATCTCTGCTCACTGCAACCTCTGTCTCCCAGGTTCAAGTGATTCTCCTGCCTCAGCCTCCTCAGTACCTGGGAGTACAGGCACTTGCCACCATGCCTCCCTAATTTTTGTGTTTTTAGTAGAGATGGGGTTTCACCATGTTGGCCAGGATGGTCTCGATCTCTTGACCTTGTGATCTGCCTGCCTCTGCCTCCCAAAGTGCTGGAATTACAGATGTGAGCCACTGCACCTGTCCAGATTTAGCTAATTTTCTACACTTATCCCCAACCTTCCTCTTCACTCTACCTCCCTTTTCAATACGATAATATCACATCTTAAGTTCCATCATCCCTGTAACCTCTGTAGCTATAAGTATATAGCCACAATTAACATATGTAGATTTCCATTTCTGATTCTATCAGCCATAGGTAACTGTCTTTACATTCCACTTTGTAAGAGGAGATGAATAATTCTCACCTTTCCTCCCAACTCTGTGTTCCTCCTTCTACCTCCCCACCCCCAACTCCGTTGTAGCGGCTATTAACATATATTATTTTGTAACCATGGGTAAGTGTTAAGTAATTTGCCTAAAGATTGATTCTAAAAAATTTAAAAATATAGAAATCTATAAAATTCTGTAAATTTTAGATTTTCTATAATTATAGAATGTAAAAATATAGATTTTCTATAAACATAGAATGTAAAATTCTATAAAAATATAGAAATCTTTATGTAATTATAACTGTGTAAGTATTATTTACTGTAGAACCAAGTAATGTGCAATGCTTCCTTCTCCATGGCTCCAGTGTCATGACATCTATAGTACTTTACAAATAATGTTATGAGTATATACTTCCAGAATGGTGGTAAAAGAAGCTCTGCAGACCCTCTCCCCAGTGAAACAACCATACTGGTAAAAGTAATTTTAAAAGGCAATCATGAAAAGTCTCTGGAAATTTTCTTAAGGGTATACAGCAAATGAAGAAACATTTATTCCAAAAAGTGTACTAAATCTTGGTAAGAACAATGAGTCCAAGGCACCTAAGTCACAACCCACTTCCCTTCCTCTCCTCCCAGCTCAGCATGACAGAAGCTTAACTCTGGACAAGAACACAGGGCTTCCTCAGCTTCCAGTTGAGGCCAACTGTATGTTCCCAAGAGGAGAAGACCAACAGCGTTTCTTGTCTCCCTTCACCCTTCCCCTCCAGAAGCTAAATTCTGGCTAGATGAATCCAAGATATTGGGGCTCCCTTCTCTCACCCAGCTCCTACTGGTAGGGTGGAGGTTCAACCTCAGGCCTGGAACACTGAGAATAGTATGGGTTCCCAATTATTAATGAGACTCTGATTATTGCCCATGCTCAGCTCCCTGCTCCTACAGCAGAGGAGTCACTTACAGAGAAACACAATGCTGTCCCCATCCCTAGCTCTGAAGCCGCGCGTCAGAGATTTTCCCCAGTGGGAGCACTGAAGCTCTTTGCAAAGGAACTGACTTTATTTGAAGCAGAGTAAAGGGAAGTTCAAGATAAAGGTATTCTCAAAAATAATGTAAGTTCTGGTGGAAAGCAATTAAGGGGAGGTTGGTAGCTTCGTGAAAGAGACAAGCTAAACCAGATTAGCTAGTGTATGAGAGAGAATCAGGAAAAGAGATAGCTAAGAAGAGCCCTCCTGGGTCAGAACAAACCTCAAGCACTGACCACAGCAGGCAGGGCACTGTGGCTTACACCTGTAATCCCAGCCCTTTGGGAGGCTGAGGTGGGAGGATTACTTGAGCGCAGGAGTTTGAGATTAGCCTGGGCAACATAACAAGACTCTGTCTATATTTTAAAAACAAAAAACAAAAGGCTACCACAGCAAAAAGGCTGGAATTTAGTTGGAGCAGACCCCCAGAGCAATTTATGTCCCAGGACATTGTAAAAAATAACAGAACAATCTAGAACAGAATAGCTGGGTATATGTGATAAGCCTTAGAGCAACCACTAAGAAAATAACTCGAAAAATACATAGTGAAGGAAAGAAAACAACAATGTTCCTAACATCACAATCAAATGAATTCTCCTTTTCAACATTTCACCAGAGGCTCAAAATCATTCCACGTTTAAAATTTTTTTCTCTTTATAATGTCTACTGAAAAAGTAGCAAAATCTACTGAGGAGAGCTTTATTTCTAAAAGGGAGTATCACAACCTGCAAGTGGGAAATGGAGCCTCTGGTTAAAACTGAAAAGCAGGTGCTTCGAAGGAGGAAAAATGAGACAGGAATTCATACTAAATGGATTGGTTTAGCATACATATTCAACCGGCTATTGGAGGAGCTATGAATATTCATGAAGGGGCACACGTGTAGTAAGCTAACATGTCTATTACATATGTCCCATGTTCACTTTGGGGTGGAAAAAGCATTTAAATATACTAAAATTAAGCTCTATATGTCAAAAGGTTAAGCAGAGGACATGAAGGGACTCAGCATACAGTCTCTGTAAACTGGCCAGAACCACTCCATGTTCAGTGTTCTCTTATTGGGAAGGAATGCTAGCCAGTTGCTGTGTCGAAACTACAAAAAGCAAGGGGCAGCGTAACATGGTTGGTTGAAATCAGCCATGGAGCAAGTCTTTCAAAAGAGCTTGTTTCTGTTTAACCCTTAGGAACGAAAGCCTACTGGTGGTTAACAAGGTAGGGGGTGTTACAGGGTGTGGCTGACCTACTGTTCCATCATAGACAGGAGCTCAGTTTTTAAGGTTTCTCTGGGGTCTCCAAGTGAGCCTCCCTGGAGAATCCTCCAATTTCCCTAGTGAGAGCAAGAACCATATCTGTCTATACTGCCCAACTCAGTTGTTTTTGCAATAATAGACAATAACTCTTTAAAGAATGAATAAGTGGTGGTGAAATGAAACAGAGTAAGTTCCTGATGTAGAAGGCAGAAGGGAGACTGTTGCTTAGGCAGACCAAGTAGAAACTATACGATATTTTCTATAGTAATAACCTTAGAAATGGCAATTCGGTTCTATAGTTCAATTAATATCACTAAAAGAGCTGTCCAATGAACTTACAAGTTATGTGGTATATGTGGGTTAATCTGGGAGACCAACCACCATTTATGAAATTCTTCTCTATGAAAATGCTTTATGAAGGGCAAATAGCAAGTTTACAAATGAATTTTTGGAAAACAAACTGTAAATTGAGGTTAACTTCTAAGGCTGTTAATTTGTGGGTATCTTTGTCTATATCTTCTTCTCACTGATATATCCTCAGGTAGCTAGAGTTCTCCTTTCAACTAGCCTTAATTTTGAATTATATGCCAGTTATAAATCATCTTCAGAATATGAATTAAATACCCCTTTAATTTTAATTGATATGATTTTACAATATTAACTACATAGTAACAATGGATTTGGATATTTATCATTTTTCTATTTGATTTATAATTTAGGGCCAAATGGGTGTCATAAGGGGCTCTCATTCCAGGAAACACTGTAGAGTAGTCTAGTATCCTAACAGTCTATCCATCTTGATTTTTGAAAATAGTCTGTTGTGGAGTAGTTTAGGATAACCTAACTACTTGTCTGTCAAATAGAGGAATGCTGTGACTGGAGAAAATGGAGCCGTTATACATTAGTCTTCGGTACAGTCACAAAAAGCTACTTATTTCACAAAAGACACTATTTTGCCTTTTCAGGTGTAACTGTGTGGAACCGCATAATCCCAGCAATGGCACATTGAAGGAATGGAGGGAATCCAATATTTCTGCCTCTGACATAATTTGGGAGAACCTAACTGTGTCAGTAAGTAAAACACTGAAAAATAAGTCATACCTAAGAGCTTTTGTTGACATTTTGACTCAATTATTGCCATTACAGTAAAATTTTTTTGAATGCATAATATAAAACTAATAGTTGTGTTTTAATTTTAATTTCATCATTTCAGATGCTCATCAGTAAACTGGGGTTATCTTTCATTATTAAGGTTGTTCTAATAGAAGACCAGAATTGCTCAAATAGCTCACTTATACAGAAATATGTGACCGAGATGGACTGAAAGCACATTAAATATGAGTGGTGTTGACCTAAATGAAACCATATGGCAGAACTAAGTCTGCCTTCTGTGTAAAGAACTCAGAATGCTCTTACTTTACTCTGTAATGCTGCTCCAGCTGTTCCGGATCTGCTGGGGGGAAAGGGATGTTTCTAATATTCTAGTGTCAATACTAAAGTCTTTGGGAGGAACAAATATCACTTTTCTTCACAAAATTCTGGCACCTCCCTCAACAAGATCTTTCTTTTTTCCATTTTATTCTTATCTCCCACTCAAGAAAGAGCATGGCAACATATTTTTCACCTATAACAGTTCAATCCTGTGCCATTGTCTTATTTCCTTTGACTTTTCTCTACTTTGTGATTTCTTTTTTCTCATACCTGCATTTCTCTATTTTTCTGAATCTATTCTGTGCCTCCTTTCCTATCAATACTTGCATTCTATGCTTCTGGTTCAATAAAATCTTGTAATTTGAAAATGTGTTCTACTTTAAATAAATATTAAAATCTGAGTAGCCCTACTTTCTTTTCTATTCTTCCCAGCTATAAACATTACAGGTTCAAACCTTCTACCACTTTACCTACCCATATAGGCTCAAGTTTTATTATGACTATCAGCACAAAACTATTGAGTTCTAGTTCATTTGATCAAATGCATACTATTTTAGTAAGTTGTCTAGTTAGTGAGCATAGAAATCTTTTTTGTTGTACAGATACTATAAAACTCTAAACATGATTCTTGTAAAGAGCATATGATCTATTGACTATATTCTTGATTTTCTCTATTGAATATGTTCTTTCAAAATTGAAATCAAATTACTTACTCTTTATTTAAAATTCTATCTTGACCTATATTTTACTACTTCTATTCTTACCCTAGCTGTGTTCTGTAGAATAAGCCTTCAGTTACTCTTATTGTTTTCTTTTGTTATTGTTAACATTTATTCTGTTCCACCTATTTTTCCCTAGAAAAATAACATTGCCAGTCTGCTTCCACTCAAAGAGCCATTTAAACTGAACAATAAAAGAATTGATGAGCTGATCAAGAAAAAACACTATAGTTATTCAGAATTTAGACATGGGGTCATGATTAATGAAATCATTAGTGGGTCTTCTGTCTACACTTTCTTTGGTAAACTATATTATGTTTACAGAGCCTCTTGATGTCTTCTTCAATATGAAAACCCAAATGATCCCATCTCTAAGTTATATAACATGATAATTTACTCTATATGTGTTTTGTATTATGTGAATAATTTAATACTAAATAATAATATTCCTTCTATGTATTAGCAAATCTTGAATTTTGAGAGTTCTAAGAAGCAGACATACAGCACAGTTATCAGGCTAGCTGTGAGTTAGATACCCTGAGTTTTGAGGTCAAGTAGAATAGTGAAAAATATTTTGCAATTAAAGCAAATACAGCATTGTGGGGTTGTTGGTTTTTTTCTCTTTTTTTTTGTCATTTTAAAAAGTTTTGTACTAGGTGTTAACATTTGAGCAGAAAGTTTCATATTATTTTTCATTAGTTAAAAGCAGTTTTTGCAATGGATAATTGCTAAACTTGACCAGAAACAGTCTTTATCACCAGAGGGAATACTATATAATGAAAACAATCTTGTAATTTTTAAGTCAAAAAAAGACCATTAAAATTTTTGTCTAATTGTTATGCTGAATTTTTTCCTCAATATATTCATAATGTCATCAAAAATATTTTATTAATAAAGCACTGAACTAGTGGCTATCACAACTAATTTTGTTAAAATAGTGACATAACATTTAATTTACATATTATTTGTTTGGCAGGTCCTGTAATGTTTTATTGAGTTGTTTGTTACATATCTCATGAATTATAATTTATACCTTGCCAACTCAGCAAGGGCAAAGAACTTTAGTTTTCTCTGATTCTCCCAAACTGCTCTATGCATAGTAAGTGTCAAACATTTGATAGAAGTACTTAATGTCTGTTTGAAACAGTTTCATCTTACTATTTAATGCAAATATTTATGGCAAACTGGAGTACTTAAGTTTGTGTGTATATATATATATATATATATATATATATATATATATATATATATATATATATTTGTCAGTATCTCAAAAATCAGCCTTTATAAGAAATCCTTAGGCAAGATTTAAAATATTCATAAGCAGTTAACCAGCATTTGGTGTTTCAGTGCCTGAATTACATATTTAGCTTGTACATATATAAGGGGCAGGACACTAATGCCAACTTTAATTTCTTATTCTAACTTAATTTTTGCCAACTTATAGAATTGCTGAAACTTAGAATGTGTTTGAAGAGTAATTAGTAGAAATCAGTTTGTCAACAAGCATTTTTTGAGTACCCATTGTAACTGAAACCATATGTTAGACTCAAAAAACGAGAGCAGGATTTGGATTTGGTTTTCATTTCTAAATTTCAGGACTTACTCTGTGTGTATGTGTGCATGTATGTATGTGTGCATGTGTGAGTGCCTCTGTGTGTGTATTGGGGATACAATTAGTATAAATCTGAAAATAATTGTTGAATTTAGCAGGTCACAATTTTTCTCTTTTAAAATTAGCATTTTGTTTCCTCCCAAAGAGAAAATAAATAACATTTTCAAATATGCTTTGAATTAATGTAATTAGGCAGACCATTGGCAAATTATAGAGTGTAAGACAGCTAAGGAACCCTTTAAATGTCATCTATGTTCTTAAGAATTGAGAACAAGATCCCGCCAAATGACTTTTATACCTGCAGAAATGACAAAAGATGCTCACAAATTTATAGATAATGTGTTTATCATGGAACTTTTAGCTCCTTTTTCTATGTAGCAATTTTGCTACCCATTATATTGCTTAATAATTGCTCTGCTAGCATTTCTGGACAGGTGCAGAAGAGGATGAAAAACACAAGGATTCATTTTTGCCACCTTATCTATTTTTAAAGCATTTTGAAAGAAGGAAAATTAAAACTTTAATTAAGGCCTGGGGGATTTTTCTGTGGTTTTTCAATTAGCCAAGTTGCTGTGCTCTGTATTAGCTTAACATGAATAATTGGAATTTAACTTTGCCTATCAAGGAAGATGTTTGCAGTTAAATTAGAAAAGGAGACAGATTCTTTAAGACAATAATAAGGTGTATTAACTATATTTCTCAAGACTCTCAGGCTTAGGGTAGCTAGCAACTCCAAGTAGATTTTACTAGTTGTTTGTTTTCAGATGACAGTGTAGCTATTTGTAATTTATTCTACAATCTTTGGAGTGTATTTACTTTTTGCTCTACAAAGATTTCAGGCCTAAAGTTGGGCAGACTCTGTGTTTGTGATCAATCTATCAGTTCATATTTGTCTCCAAGATCTCTCTGCAATTCAATTTATGTTCAGGGCAAGAATATCTCAAGGACTAATGAGATCACTGGATCATTTAAACCATTATTTCCTGTTTTGAAATGTAAAAATACTTTAGTAATCTAATTTTTAAATAAGATAAACCAAAGTAAGTTTAAAATAACTTTTTTTCATTCAAAATATTTGTTTGAAATGCTCAGTTTTTCCTGGAGGAAAAAAATTTTTTTGACTTTGCTGCCACCTCATGGCTAAGGCAGTAATTAGAAATAGTTCTTCAGGCTCTTACAGAACTACAGTTGCAGAAGAAAAAATAATCCATGGAGAAGTCATAGTAAATATGAGCTTTGCCTTGCTCATGTAGTAATTTTATTTCATTTGTTCTTTAGTCCAAGTTCGATAGTCCCATCTTTGACTTACAAGTTCATTTCAGTCATTGTATGTCATAGTTTTCTTGTTGCCTTTCTCATCTTTCTTGGCAGCTTTTGGACTAGATAATTCTACAAAGTCATTGTTCTTAGTCAATAAGCAATAATAATCTCACTGCAGAAATCGTGTTTGTATCACAGCTCTGCGGCCACCCACCAGTGGTGAGGCCACAACAAATTATTTAACCCCTTTATGCTTCAGTTTCCTCAGACATGGAATATTAATAATAGCATGAACATATTTTATGGTATTGGTGTGAAAAGTAATTTAAATGATGTATTTAAATAGCTGGGCATAGTGTCTGACCTTAGTAACCAATCACTATTACATATGTCATATTTTCAATATATCTCGTGTTAGGAACTTAGTAGATATTAGATTTAATACATACTAATTAATTGGTAAATCAATCGTTTTATACATTTAAATTTAAAAAGCAGTTCATGTTCAAATTTTTCATAAACCTTTGCATATTTCTCACCACCCATCCAAGTTGAACTTGAAACTCGTAATGTAATGCCTGCTAAATCATTGTGAGAGCCATAAAGGAAAAGCCTCAGCATCTGAACTACAATTGATCAGAAGGTGTTAGTTTTCTGCAAGAAATGTGTCCGGTTTTTTCTTAGTAGCTCCATTTGTTTTACTTCCTCTGGCAGGAATGCAAATCATTGCATGGAGAGTATGTTGGACGGGCCTGTGGCCATGATCACCCATATGTTCCAGATGTTCTATTTTGGTCTGTGATCCTGTTCTTTTCCACAGTTACTCTGTCAGCCACCCTGAAGCAGTTCAAGACTAGCAGATATTTTCCAACCAAGGTACTTAGACTATTTCTTGATCTAAATGTAAAATAACATAGGACAAAAGAAAGAGTAATTGATGTAATAAAAGGAGCCACTGAAAGGCTTTTGTGTGAGTGAGCTGCCAGGTTAGTTGTGGAGTGAGATGAGGGGCTGAAGAGAAAGAATTTGTGATGCAGGTGCTGGGAGTGCATATGCAGGCTTTTCTCCTAACTGCAAACCCCACGGATCAACTCCTACTTTCCTACTGACGTTTTTGGAAATTCACAGCACACACTGCATTACTGATTGTCACTTTTTTGCCCAGTGAACAGTGGGAACTATTCCAGCCTGACAGATACCTCAGAGGAGCCTATGTTACATTCTCTAATTGGGGAAGCCCCGGCAAGACTCATTGGAACAATATTCTCTTTTTCAATGTTTAAACCGTCAGTCCCTCCCCCTAACCCACCACGTTTGCATCTGCATATTTGGAAAGGAAAGTAAACAGAGAAACAGCTTAGTTCAATATTTAACACTGCAAAGTAACACCTATAATGTCTGATTCCGCCAAAAAAAATTTAAAAAAAGGAAAAGAAACAAGGAAACAAGCTTCTGAGGGATGAGCTATAGATTATGATCAAAATTCCACTCTGGAAAAATATTTCAAGAACTGTTCCTTCCGAAGGGGGCTTCTTTTTTGTCACCACTTTCTTCTCTAAGGTGGAAGATTCATTTATTTCCCCAAAAATCTTAGTCTGATTAATACAAAAACATTTTTCTAAGCTGAAACAATAATCTTAAGCATTTTGTGTATGCTTGTGTGTATGTCATAAAGGCATCTTAAAATAAACTAGATCTGGATAATAATTATATGTGAATATTTGCTCAGAATTGGCTTTATAAATGAGAAATGGCTTTAAAAATTGGCTCACATAGAATAAATTTTAAATTTGCCCACTCTGTTGTGTACATTCCCAACTGTCATGCTTATATTCTAGATAAACTAAAACATTATGTTTCTTTGATAAGAACAGATAATTTTATTTTATGATGCTTCAAGTTTATCATATTAAAGTGTTACCTGTGTGAAAGAGATCCCTAAAATCCAGCCAAATTCTGCCCATGCTACCTTATTCTGCATTCTGAATATTCACATGCATGGGTTCATCATAAAGTTAGATTTTAAATAAACATTGAAAACAGCACAACCACGATGTAGCTATTCCATAATGCCTCATTCTGGAAAGGTTGAGTGTGTACCAATCTTAACGACAGTGATACATAAATATATATTCAGGTTCTGACAGAGCTAATGGTAATCTTATAGTATGCATAAAATATAATATTATGATATTATGTCATAAAGTGTTTATAAAGTGTGACTCTAGATTATGTTCCTGAGTATTCCTTGATATTTATAGCTACTTTAAGTGACAAGTGTTTTCATTATTTTTAGGTTCGATCCATAGTGAGTGACTTTGCTGTCTTTCTTACAATTCTGTGTATGGTTTTAATTGACTATGCCATTGGGATCCCATCTCCAAAACTACAAGTACCAAGTGTTTTCAAGGTACTTACTATCTCTCTCCCTCTTCCCATCTCTCTCGGTCTAATCTTCATTTAGATGATACCTATAACTCTAGTACTTAGGATTTTCATGAAAATATGAAGAATTTAGATTAGAAGACCAGTAAATGAAATGCACACAGCATGGCTAAAATTTAGGTCTAATATTTAAAAATATAAGAATTACAAAATATAAATAATTATAAATATAAAACTTGCTTGAAAAAAATTTCCTGTCAATTCTGCCAGTTGAAATACCTATATATAACATTCTTAAAAGATAAGGAAGCATTTGAAACTAAGAGAAAAGGATTATCTTGGCAGAATTGTACAGTGAATAAGGCTTGGAAAACAGATAAAAATAGATTGGGAATAGAATTCTGACCGTGTTACTAATGGGGTACAGTTTGAATATTCCTTATCCAAAGTGCTTGGGATCGGAAGTGTTTCAGAGTTCATTTTTTTTTCAAATTTTGAAATATTTGCAAACACATAATGAGATATGTTTGGGGTGGGGCCCAAGTCTAAATACAAAATTTATGTTTCATATATACCTTATACATATAACCTGAAGGTAATTTTATACACTATTCTTAATAATATATGTGACCTATCACATGATGTGAGGTGTGAATTTTCCGCTTGTGGCATCATGTGAGCGCTCAAAAGTTTCAGATTTTGGATCATTTCAGATTTCAGCTTTTCAAATTAGGGGCACCCCTTTGTTTTCTCTGTCAAACAGGGCTGGGGACTTCTATATAGGGCTCTTGTCAGGATGAAATTTTGAGAATCATCTCAGACAGCAGCCATGTTTGGAATCCTTCCCTGAGCCTCTGCTGTGACCAAGTATCTTTTTTATCATTTTCACTCAATAGCCTCTGCACATCAAAAATAACAGTTACAATACCATAATGATGTATTTTGTTTAGATGTCTGTCTCTGATTCTAAACTGAAAGAAGCCTCTGATTTATCTTTGTATCTCAGTTCTAGCACAGTGGTCAATGTGTCAATATGCTATTTGTAAATTTCAATACATTTTCCAATAGTAAATAGTAAATATTAATATCATTTTATTTAATACAGGTATTGATTAATAACACAGATTTTTCAACAAGTCTGTCAGAGTTTAAATCCCATCTCTACCACGTACTAGCTTTGGGATCTTGGGCAAGTTACTGGATCTCTCTGTGCCTCAATTTTCTTATCTGTGTCATCTTTAGAGTGTTGTGAAGAAAAAAAAAATGAGTTAAAATATTTAAAGCACTTAAAATGGTTTTAAGTGATTTATGAGTATTATTATTATTTATTATAGGCCACTCAGCTCCTCTGTTTATAATTAGGGCTTTCCTAGTAGCATCTGTAAGACCTAATTTGATCAAGTATTCATTAATCCAGTTCATAACTATGCACATTCTTTACTTTATACAGCCCACTAGAGATGATCGTGGCTGGTTTGTTACGCCTTTAGGTCCAAACCCATGGTGGACAGTAATAGCTGCTATAATTCCAGCTCTGCTTTGTACTATTCTAATTTTTATGGACCAACAGATTACAGCTGTCATCATCAACAGGAAAGAGCATAAGCTAAAGGTATATTTTAACATCCATTTTAATGTAAATAATTATGACAACTGATATCAACTGATGTTCATTTGACTTCTATATTCTGTATTCATTTGCACAGTGAAATATATAAAATAATGTTTTTAGATGTATAATTTTTATTGTCTTACAAGATACTTGGTCTTACAATGAGATGAGAATTTACTTATTTGTAGCACTTGGCTGAGCTCACGTCTGAGAACTCACCTCCAAGGCATAAAATAAAAAACTGTCAAAGTTTTAACTTTTCCATACTTAACATATTTTAATGAAATAACAATCTGTTCTGGTGAAGTACAACCATACCAACTTGTCTTACATCTGAGATTCCTCTATTCCTCTATTTAACCCTAAATGTATCTATTACATTGAATTCATTATCAGAATAAATTACAACTTCAACTATTTCTCATTTTCTTTAATTATTTTTCTGTCTGCCTGTAACAACAAAATCCAGACATAAACGTCACAGTTTAGAAGTGACATCTTTGAGTTTTATTGCAGATTTCACTGTCTCTTTTATAAAAAGAATAACTATAGATGTGTCTTAGTTACATTCTGACCTTGCCATTTTGCAATTGTGAATAATCGAAATTGTTCACTGGTATGCAATTTGCCTGAGATATGTAATGTAAGCACTGTCACTTACTTACAGGAATATGTTAAATAAAATCGATGAAATCATTAAATGGTTAAAAATAATCTGCATCAAACCTTGTAAAAACATAACATGCACAATCTTGTTTTTGTTTTGGTATCGTGGGGTAGTTGCCAGCTATTTTCACATACCCTTTAAACTCTAGGAGAAAAAATCATTGTCAGAGCAACAGAAATCATGCTTTATAGAATTTTTTTATAGGAATGTTAGAAAGATGAAAAATATCTCTGATTAAACTCTGATGCAATATATTGGGTCAATGCAAAAGTAATTGCAGTTTTTGCCATTACTTTTAATAATAATAATTACATAAATGTAAGAAAGCACACTTATTTGCAATAAATCTTATGAAGAAGGAATTTTGAGTATATGGTGGAGAGAATGTGTGTCTATCTTAAAGCAAAGGACATTTTTCATTCTCTTTGTAGAACGTAAGTTAAGAATTCTCACAACTTTATGTATTTTATTAAATGATACATTTTAAAAAATCAACTAAAAAACCTGTTTTAGGAAGAAAGTAAGCCATATAATTATTATTTACCTTTCAAAAAGATTTTTTTAGCCTTTATAATTAGGCAGAAATTCTAGTGTGTTCACTGAAAAATTATCCTCTGTAAGGGCCATCAGTTAAATGGATTCAGGCAGCATTTTTTTCTTATTGTAAGTGGAATCATATTAAAACAAAGTGTGGAAGTGAAATGTGTGCTGAGATTGATATTACCTTCCTGGCCATTCTGAATCTTTGCCCTTTCAACCTTATAAATCACATGACACTTGCTCTTACTCCTTGTTCTTCATGAGCCCTTGACATTCACAGCCTTTGTAAAGCTCCACATTGACAAATACACTAATTTCCCCCTTCACATATACTGTGGAATAACAAAAATGTAGTAAAGCATTCTTTAAGTGGTCCTTTCAAGTACTTGCATTTATAGAATTAAATGCAGAACTAGAACTATTTTTGTCACTGAAATAAACCTGAGGCTACATTACTAAATCTGTTTTATTGTGCAAATAAATGATTATGTAGTCAAAAGTTGTGTATTTTTGCCCCTTACTACTCTGGATTTAGTAAATGATACAGCAAATCTGGCTTAATCATAAACTCTGCTATATGGCCACAGGCAGAAGAGTCAGCCTGTTCTTGGCCACTGTGAATCTGAACTCTCCATCCTCCTTCTTAGATATGAATACTTTTAAAGCAAATTTCTTCCAGTGAAGATGTATTTCATCTACATTGAACCCCTATTGGGCCTATAACTCTTGTCTCCTATAAGCTTCTATAGAGTGTGGTCTGATGCTACTGGTTTTCCCGTTAACAACAACAAAATCACCTTCTCAGAATGTTATTTACTCAGAGTAACGGTTTGTTCCATAGTCCTTCTCCCCGCCTGTTGCTTCATTGAAATGTTTGCAAAGTCTCCTGGCTTTGACTTGAACCACATTTTCACTAAAAGATGTGTTTCTTGAGTATATCACCAGACCACAAGCTAACCACTTGTGAAAGCATTTTCAGCTTTTACTAATTTTCTTTTCTCACTTGAAAACCCATTTTTGCCTTGGTTGGAGCATTCCCCGAAATTGTTTAATGAATCATGTTTTGTAGTTTATGTATCAAACACTTGGTAGACTCCACATCATGTATCTAAGTCTACATACACCCAAGTCAACTCAGAATTCCTCATTTCATTCTTTATCTCTCCCAAACATATTTTAGATCTTTTTACTTTTTCTTCACCTCTATTGCCAGAACTAGTAGCTGGTTTTCTTTTAGATGATATTTCTCCTGCTGATAAAAATGTTTTTATTGGCCAGGCACAGTGGCTCACGCCTGTAATCCCAGCACTTTGGGAGGCCGAGACAGGTGGATCACGAGGTCAGGAGTTAGAGACCAGCCTGGCCAACATGGTGAAACCCCATCTCTACTAAAAACACAAAGATTAGCTGGGCGTAGTGGCGGGCACCTGTAATCCCAGCTACTCAGGAGGCTGAGGCAGGAGAATCGTCTGAACCTGGAAGGCAGAGGTTGCAGTGAGATGAGATCATGCCATTGCACCCTGGCCTGGGCGACAGGGTGAGACTCCGTCTCAAAAAAAAAAAATGTTTTTATCATTTCATGAGTGTCACTATTTACACAATAAAGCTGTGTTGCACTGCATAGGTGACTTACTACTCCCGAAGAATGGGGGAGCTCAAAATCAGTAAACCTCGAACTCATTGCATCCTATGATCCTTTGGATGGCTCCAGAGTGAAAGAAGAGGCAAATACAAAAATTTGAGAATGTGAAGTATCATGTATATTATACATAAATGTACATATAAATCCATACTCTCTCTAGCATTTGTTTGTTTGTTTCTCCCTTAGAGAAGTGGATTAGGCATAAGTTAACTGAATCCTTTTGAAAAGCATTAAAAATATCTACTTGGGTTTTTTAAAGCACATTCTCTAAATGTGAAAAGAGAGATAAAATCTTATAAAAAAGAAAGTTTCTGTTAAGATACAACTGTGGGCTTTTCTACATGTTTCTGTAGACAGTTCAGGCTTCTTTTGACATCATTTTTAATAAACAGCAATACAATCCCGGATCACTTGAGTAAATGAATGCATTTGCAACATTCATTTGGCACCATATTCTCTTGATGATTATGGCATTTGATATGTTCTTTTTTGCCCTCTTTGTCAGCCTGGTTCTTCATGTCAATCTATAGTCTTTTATGTGGTTAACTTGACAGATGCAGGAAATTGCTGCCAAGCTTTGAAATGAATTTTTTCAGCAGTGGCATCTGGGTATCAGATGGTCCTCTTGGCTGGCCTCTTGTCTTGCTGCATGTTGGTTTTAGTGGGGTCTGGTGTAGCATCACCTGTTGCTATGCTCCCTTTTCCTCCCATATGTCCATTTCCTGTGATTCATGGATGAATGTGAGAATAAAAGCTCTAGCTCTGTCTTTATTTGAGAAAAAAATCTACAGAAATATGTTAGAAGGTGTAGAGTTCTCTGTCTGACAAAGGGATACTTCTCTTTGGCTGGCATGCCTATCAGCTAATAATTTTGTTACAAAGTCCAAGTTTTTAAAGACATTTTAAATGAAAGGCAAGAAGGATACTGGTTAGTTAGGGGAAGAGCAAGAACTGCTTTATTTATTTCCTTTGGTTTACATTAAATCAAGATGCTGCCATTGTTGTACAGCATAATTAGGGGAAATTATATTTTTGTTTTTGTTATATATTTATATATTACAAAACTAGCTTTATAAATTTAGAAAAGAAATTATTTCCTCTGAAAGAATTATTTTGCCTACTTCCTGCAATTCAGAATCCCACTGTTTACATTTGTATCATATTTTTAAAACATTCAATAAGAGCTATTGGAAATCACTATCGCGACAAAGATCTCCCTCATATTATTGAGATGTAGTGAATGTGGACTCTGAGAAAGTCCAGGTGTGCTAAAAAGTACAAGCCTGACTCTCAAGGCCCCCTGTCTTCTGCCCTCCTCTGATGCTCATCTCACAGCCACCAGCTCCTCTTCCATCTTTTGATTTCTCTTAGCAGTACCATAATTTTGCAAAATAGCTCCAAGGGGGCACCATTCACATTGTACTCCCTCAGAGGCAGAGGCTTAAGTATGAGGTCCTTCCCTGTTCTACATCCTTCTCACTCCAGAGTTGCTAGGACAAAACACTTCTCAAACTGCTTAAGACATTGTCCTTTAAAGGGACCAAAATCTGAGTTCTATTCTATGGAATTACATCTTCCAAAATGTTTTGCAAAAGGGCCAAGGGATGATATTATGGTCCTGGCAAAACTGTTTCCTATGCTTTTTTGGTTATGCTGACACCAGGCAGTTTCTCTTCCTACTCTTCAACTCTTACTAATCAAATTCTTTCTTGAGTTACTTGCAAAGAAAAGTTTCCAGAGTCATATTCATTCAGGAAATTGAGTTAGATATTTTGGTAAATTGTAGTATTGCCCCAGTAAGCTGAATCAATGAAGGGTACCATTGCTTTGGTGTCAACATAGGAGGAACAGGTCCTTAGGCACATAACTCTCATTGTCTCCTCACTATCATCTCTTGCACTTTTATAATTTGGAAAGGATGAGCAGAAAGGAAAGAAAGTACAACTGACTTTAAGAACCTTCTTACTAAGAAAACAAGAAAACAAAATCACAGAGAAAAGACTACCATGACAAATATGCAACAAATACTCAGTGTGTTTCACACTCCAGGCTATAAGAGCTCTCATACTGACTACAAACTGCTTGAAGTTATATAAAACTACCTCTAAAAAAGACTATTATTCTCCTAGAAGAATTGGTAATTTCTGCTCATGGTCATAATAACAAATTTAACTGCTGTATTTATTTTAAAATTACACTTACTAAATTTGATTCTGAAATGTTTGATGCGTATTTTATTTTCAAAAAAGTCAATTTGTAACTTTTATTGATTGCTTATTGTGTGCCAATGATTGTGCTAAAAACTAGAGGAAATACTGAGAAATTATATAAGTTATCTGATCTTAAGAAACATATTAATAGTTTTATTAAGGAGCCTTGAAACCTAATGAGTACAAAAGAAACATTTATTGTTTAACCACTAGAATATAATAGTACCTAACATTTTCTGATTGCTTTCTATTCAACAGATATTATTCCAAATGATTTACAACATCAACTAATTTAATTATCACAACAGCCCAGTGAGGTGCCTTCTACTATCATCATCATCGTTTTTCAGATAGGGAAAAAGAGGCACAAGAGCTTAAGTGATTTATTGGTTGAGCTAGCATTTCATTCCAGGCAGTCTGACTCCAGAACTTATATTCTTAACCACTTTATTATACTGCCTCTCATAAAGCAGTCACTAAAAATTAAAAATAAAAGGTGGAACATAAAATAGGCCATCCCTTTGGCTGCTTCTGAGGCTCTACACTTCGATTCCTGCAGGGTATGGAGGGAGTGCTCTTCCCCATCTTTGATTTCCCTCCTCAGAGAGCACCCTGTCTGTGCAAGAGGGCAGTTTTCACACACCCCATTGCACCTATTTTTCCTCCTTTACATTTCCTACCTGGTCCTAGGAGGCACTTAGTTTGCAACACCTGGAGATCAGTGACAGTGGAGTAGCATAACAGAGGAAATAGAAAACAAAAAACCGTGATTTCTAAGGAGGGGCTTAATTTGTCTAGTGCTGAAACTGAAGCAAATTAGAACAAGATAGCACTATATTAAGGAGAAAATGACTATACAGGGGAGCTTAGGCTCCATGATATTATTTTTTCTAATAGAAGTCACCCAATGAGACAAACGAGGGCAATTGGAAACTGAGTGTTTGTTTAAGAGTTACTCCAGGAGATCTGATATGAAGGGCTTGTTGAGTATCATCAGGAAGTGGTTTCTATTCGCAATCAGGCCACCCTTAGCCCTGTTATTGACACAGTTTCTTTCTCTCTTTCTTTCTTTTTTAAACAGAAAGGTTGTGGGTACCATCTGGACCTATTAATGGTGGCTGTCATGCTCGGTGTATGCTCCATCATGGGCCTGCCATGGTTTGTGGCTGCCACAGTCCTCTCCATCACTCATGTCAATAGCCTAAAACTGGAATCAGAATGCTCAGCTCCAGGAGAACAACCCAAATTTCTCGGCATTCGGGAGCAAAGGGTTACTGGGCTTATGATTTTTATTCTTATGGGTTCATCAGTCTTTATGACCAGTATTCTGAAGGTAACAAAATCTGTCTTTATGAACTTGAGAGAAAGAATACATTTATCATCATTTAAAATTTTCATTTGAATCTGAGCCATAAATTTGCAAATATTGTGTGGCATGTGATGAAAGTGATGAATTTCTGAACCATGTTTATATAATTCTTCATAACCTAAGGGAGGGAAATTACGTCCTATATTTTAAAACCCTTAAATACATAAAAATTTAGTCTGGCAAAGTAAAATTTGATGAGTAAATTATTGTAACAATTTTGAATCGGTGATCAAGCTATGGGAAAAAGTCACTCATTGTTTCTGACTGACTTGTGACCCGAATCCATTACAGGCATTCATAAAGATTCTATTTTCTTGTCAGTGGATAAATATATTAGCAGTTAATATTACTTACTATTAATAAGAGATAGAGGTGAAGGGATGAGCCTGGTTATAGTCACATACGCAGTTTTCCATTTTAAGTGCTCTGTAAAACCACTGTCTGGACATCATCATTGCATATAGTGATTTTTTTTTCACACAAAACTTGAAATCTATTTTTAAGAGGATTAACTAGTAATTATTTTGTCATGTAATTTTGTCAGATATTTCCAAGGTGTGTCAATTGCGCTATAAATTACAACACATTTTATTTGCCTATAATTTGACATTTTAATTAAATTATTTAATGATTTACACTAGTTTACTTGTATTTGATCATTAACACAAGTACCTTTGCAAGAATTAATCTCTGTTATATAAGTAATTATGTTATAGACATAAGATGATGTGAACTATTCCAATAAAAAGAGAAAATCTGAATTATCCATATATTTACAAATACCTGGTATAATACAGGAAACACATCTAAATGTTAGCTTCATTTTTAATCCACCTTTAATCCAAATATCTTATCTTTGTAAAGCAAAATTCAAGTTGTCTCCAAAGTAGCATAATAATAATATTATTGTTCATTATATACTACATGGTTTTTAAAAATAGATTTTGACCTATTAAATAATTATAACAACCCTATTGTTATCATCTCCTTTTAGATATTGGGAAACTAAGGCACAGAGAGCTTAAGTAACTTACCTAAGGTTACACAGCTAAAAATGCTAGAGCTGGAACTTGAATCCTTGTCTTCTGAATCTGTACTATACTGTTTCTATTCAAAAATGCCTTTTTTCCCTGTTTTTTTCTTTGATAAATGCAAAACCACAATCTATTTGAAAATGATTTCTGCCTTTTCTCCAATTGTTCTTTTACAGTTTATTCCCATGCCAGTGCTATATGGAGTGTTTCTTTATATGGGTGCTTCATCTCTAAAGGGAATTCAGGTAAATTACTTACAGTACTACAGGCACATCTGTGATGACTGACCTTAAGGTCTACTGATAAGTCATGTGACAGCTGAGAAAATGCCACCACCTGAGGAACAGCTTTTAGACCACAATTAAATTTCTTCAAACTTGTCAGAGTTACAAAAGTTAAAGAAGATTCTCTCCAGCATCTAAGGTTCATAATCTTATGGTACTTTTCTTTATCATAAGTATATTAAAACTGTAAGAGGCTTAGATTTTACAGCATTTTTAGAAAAATCATAGTAGTATATTTCAATATATATCCAAATATTTATAATATTTGACACTTTAATCATGTGTATGGACATCTATTGGTAAGAATAGGAAAAGTCTTTATGCACGAAGATGTTCATTGTAACACATACTATTAAAATATTGGAAACAACCCAATTCTCTAACTGCAGTCAAATAATTAGGTAACCTATGGTATATTCACTGAAAATTGATAATTATAGGAACCACAAAAGTAACATGGCAAAAATGCTTACAACATAATACAAAGTAAGAAACTATTGACCATAGGTTTATAAAGCTATGAGTTTGAGCTGGGTTGTGAAGGAAGGTGTAGAAATAAGAACAATTTGTTGAGATAGTGATATCCCGGGGGTTTTCCCCCTTGTTTTGTTTGTTTTACTGTTATATTTATAGGATTATTTTTAAAATTAGACTAAAATAAAGATATAAGCAGTTTCAAGTATAAGGGGAACTTTATGAATTATTTAAGTAAGTATTGGTTAAATAAATATTTTAGGCATGAATTTGGCAACAGATCAGCCAGATGGTTCTGGTTCAGGATGTCCCATGTGGTCACTGTCAGGGTGTGGACAAGGTCCACAGCATCTGAAGGTTTGATAGTGCTGGAGGATCTGCTTGCAAAATGGCTATTCCACAACTGTGGGCATGAGGGCATCAGTTCTTTTCTACCTGTTGGTAGGATGACTCAGTCTTTTGCCACAGTGGCCTCTCCATGGAATCCTTAGTGTGTCCTCAAACCATGGAATGTGACTCCTTCAGAGTGAGCAATATAAAAGAGAGAGAGAGAGATAGAGGAGAAAGGAGAGAAGAGAATGAGAAAGAGGATGAAGTGCTTTTTGACTTAGTCTTCAAAGTCATACATGGTCTTTCCATGTTTTCTATTTGTTAGAGGCTATCCACTACTAAGTCCAGCTTGCACCCAAGTGAAGGGAAAAGGGAGACTATCTCTTGAAGAGAAGAGTATCAAAGAATTTGTAGACACATTTTAAAACCTCCACAAGTGTATTCTAAATTTTTACAGAAGCTGTAGGCAAATTCTTCCCACGTATTTCTTTGATGATACTGTTATTGGTTGAATAGTGAGTGTTTCCTGAAAATTTATGTCCACCTGGAGTCTCAAAATGTGACCTTACTTGGAAATAGACTATTTGCCTATGTAATTAGATATGGGTTTCAAGACAAGATAATCATGGATTTAGGGTGGGCCCTAAATCTAATGACTGTGGTCCTTATAAGAAGAGAAGAGGGGTTGAGTGTGGTGTGGCTCATGCCTGTAATCCCAGCACTTTGGGAAGCCGAGGTGGGCGGATCATGAGGTCAAGAGATCGAGAACATCCTGGCCAGCATGGTGAAACCCCATCTCTACTAAAAATATAAAAATTATCTGGGCATGGTGGTGGGCGCCTGTAGTCCTAGCCACTTGGGAGGCTGAGGCAGGAGAATTGCTTGAACCTGGGAGGCGGAGGTTGCAGTGAGTGGAAATTGCACCACTGCACTCCAGCCTGGGAGGCAGAAAGAGACTCTGTCTCAAAAAAAAAAAAAAAAAAAAAAAGAAGAGGGGAGAACACAGAGAGACACAGGACAGGGAAGAAGGCTATATGAAGATGTAGGAAGGCCAGGCACGGTCAGCTCACACTTCTAATGCCAGACCAAGGCGGGTGGATCACCTGAGGTCAGGAGTTCGAGACCAGCCTGACCAATATGGCAAAATCTAGTCTCTACTAAAAATACAAAAATCAGACGGGTGTGGTGGTGCATGCCTGTAATCCCAGCTACTCAGGAGGTTGAGATAGAAGAATTACTTGAACCCGGGAGGTGAAGATCGCATTGAGCCGAGATCATGCTACTGCACTCCAGCCTGGACGACAGAGGGATACTCTGTCTCAAAAAAAAAGAAAAAAAAAAAAGGGAGAAAGAGATTAGAGTTTTGTTGCCATAAATCAAGGGTGCTAGGAGCCACCTGGAGCTGGAAGGGGCAAGGAAGTTTTCTCCCCTAAGACCTTCAAAGGGAGTGTGGCCCTGGCAATATCTTGCTTTAGGCTTCTGGCCTCCACAAGTGTGGAAGAATATATTTCTATTGATTTAAACCACCAAGTTGTGGTAATTTGTTAGGACAGTCCTAGCAAACTAATAGATTTCTACTTAAATTGTCCCTTGAAAAGTCTTGTTTTATAATTTAACATTATTTAGCCCAACACTCCAATGTTCTTGAAAAAGAGACTAGAGACTTATTCATCATATAGTATTTTGTCAACTGAAAAGCAAAAATAAATTGCAGCTTTTTCTATAACACAGCTAGACTCACTGATGTTCATAGCATATAAGAGAATAGTTAACCTGCAGGACAGGCAGCACGGGATCTCTGTTCCTGAGCAAATGACTAACCAGCTTCTGACTTTGGGAGAAAAAGCAGAACTTAGGCCTTAAGACAATACTGGCTGCCAGTCTGGGGGAAACTTAAGTATGAAGTCATTGCAGGTCACGGAACACCCAAAGTTGATAGTATGACTGACTCTTCATCCTGACACTGGGAAAAATGAACTGGGAGAGGGAGATGGTTGAGCCATGTTATATGTTTTAATTTTACTCAAATTAGATTTAATTTGCTCATTTAAAATTTCATGTATGAAAAGTGTAGTTTGATAGAATTTGTTTAGTAAGCCATTAGGGAAGAATATGGAAGAGGTTTTGTTTATTTGTTTTTCTTTTTCCCTTTTTTTTTTTTTTTGCCTTTGGCAAAAGTTCCATGAGTACTAATTTCATCTGTAAGTGAAAAGCATTTATTATTAGGCCCCAGGCTCACATAAATACAGCAGCAGAGTTTAAGAAACAATGTAAAATCATTTTGATGATAGGTTTCAACAGATTTTCTCCTCTAATTCCACATGATTTTATACTCATGAGATTTAGAATTGAACAAGAACGTCAAGTTTTGGAATTATTTGGGGTGTGAATCTTTTAAATGAAAATTGAAGAAAACGTTATCAAAAGCCCATGAGTTAAATATAATGAGTTTTAAAGAACACAAATGAAACATCAATCTGGGGCACATGTTGATGAACAGGGTCTCACACTGAGAAACAGTGTTCGTGAAAATTTAAGTGAGCCCCAAGAGCAGGCAGCTGAAATTCCTATTTGGAATTGTAGCTAACTGGGTGGGGAAATGTGATATTGATACTAGGATATAATAAAAACCAAATGTAAAACTCAGAATACATTTATCATGATGATGATTATTATTTAAACATATGCTAAATATAATCAGTTCCAGCAGCACGTTACTGTCTTACCCTATTGAAGGAATCTATGTTACCTGCTTGTTTGGCAATATTAAGAAACTTATTATCTGGGCTTCTCACTGTGAAACATGGCAGAAAAAACAGATCACAGTGTTCTCATGAATGCTGTTTCTGCATTCAGATATATACCCACATCTATATTCATTCCAACACTTCAGGAATCCAAAGTAAAGCAAATGTGCCATTTAAACAATAACAATTGAAGCACCCACACACTGAAGTACACTTATGCAATAACATAGCTTCACAAATGGAGAAATGGTGGCTGGGAAAAACTAGTTCTATAGAAAAGGAAATATTCCATTGTAAGCCAGAAGATTTTATTTTATTTCTTTCCTATTCCTACCTCTACCATGCACCAAGTTTTTGTTTATTTAATGACTTTTAAGTTTAAATAATATTTAGGAAATAGAAATTTTAAAACTTAATGACATGTACATGGACAGAATGGAGAGACATTATTCAGGAATGAGTTCAGCACTTAGTAGCCTGCATAGAATGTTTCAATAATATTTTTGGAATATATAAATGAATATGAATAAATGAATGGTCAGGGAATGAACTAATATATGTATGATTCTTATTTAGATAACTGAGGAAAGGAAGGCCATGTCATGCCATAAGACATAGAACACAGAAGGGAAGATAGGTTTATGTTGAGTTTGAGATTCCTATTATGTATACAAGCAGGTCTTGGTAAAACAGGGTGTTTTGACTCTAACATTTTGACTCAATGGACAACTGTTCCTTTGCATATTAATATGACACATTTGATGAGAATTGCCTACAGTTTTTAAAATAAGTTAGTTAAGAAATAAAATCTAATATTACTTTTTGAAAATGCATAATGGATGTTACTGTAGAGATGGCATGAAATAAAACAGTGACTGACAGTGATTGAAACCATTATTTTCTAAATAATCGCCTCTAGTTGGAAACACTGAAAATTGCAAAAATTGGCCGAAGAACAATAAACCAAATAATCTATATAAAATAAAACTATCATGCAGTATGATTTGTTAGTAAATAAAATGTGATTAAAGATTTAAGCTTCCTGTGTGCATTTAATTTATAAAATTCAAAAAAAGAAAAATTGGTTTGCTTGATTAAAAAAGCCCTCAAAGTCAAAGCTGTAACATAATAGTATGAAGTACTATAACAATAGTGTTATGTAATACTATGTACTATCTTTATGGCAAGATTGAAACAAATAACATTGATTGAGATGAAAATAATTTTAATAAAATACAACTGAAAATATATAAATGACGTGACAGTGCTGTATATAAAGTTAATCAAGAAATTAAATAGAGTTAACAAAATTTGCTCTGGAACATACTTTATTAACAAAATTTATTTAGGTTAAATTTTTATGGTTAAGATGTTTGTGTCCATAAAGACAGCATCTAAACTTTTGTTGGGGATTAAAGGGACAAAGTCAAAACAGCAGAGTCAAAATAAGGAGGTTAAAATACCGTACTTAGCAGCTGGATAAGGGTCTAGAACTCAGGAGAGAGCTAAGGCAGAGACGTAGGTCCGTGAATCATTAGCAAGTCTGTGAAAGTCAAAGCCATGGGTATGGATGAACTATTCCAGGAGAAAAGAAAACAGAGAATGAGAGTCCAGGAATCCCAATGTTGAGGGGCAAATAAAGGAAGAGATTGTGTTGTGACAATGAAAAAGAAGATGGTTAATTATGTTTTGCTTCACAGGGCTCCACTCTTCAAGGTAGCAATATTTAACATTGGCTTTCTATTTTTAAACTCTTCTAAATTGTAACCCGTCTCCATATTCAAGAAAATGTGGGCTATTGTTTAACTGAAATTGTAGTGTTTCAGAGGGTAAGCATAACAATCCCATTGTCTTGATGCCGAGATATCAACTTAGTGTTATCCAGGTATGTCATTTAACCCAAAATTGTGGACCATATTAAACATCAACTTGTCCTACTTTTATTGTTGTCTTACACCTAAAAACAATTTAGTCTGTTTAATCTTTTAGTTCTTTGATAGGATAAAGCTCTTCTGGATGCCGGCAAAACATCAACCAGATTTTATATACCTAAGGCACGTACCGCTTCGAAAAGTGCATCTCTTCACAATTATTCAGATGAGTTGCCTTGGCCTTTTGTGGATAATAAAAGTTTCAAGAGCTGCTATTGTCTTTCCCATGATGGTATGAAACTTCTGTCAACTATTTTTCTCTTTCTCTGATTTGCTGGTCTCTTTGGAAACATAAACACATGAATTGAAACTGGAACAACAGAGTCATTTTGAACAATTATTGGAAAATATAAGTTTTGGCACTGAAAGTGTGACTAAGATAGGGTTTAAGAATGCCTATGAATTTCAGTGATTCCTATTAGTTTTGTCTCTATCACTCTGAATGTTTGTGGTAGTCTGAATTAATTGAAGCTGGATGGAAAAATGCATTCTTCCAAAATTTAACATTAAAGATACTAGCAAATATGAAAAATTAGGATTTTTAAAATAACATTGTATTAAATGTTTCAGGCAAGTTTCAAATACTTCAAAAACTATAGTGAATTTGAATGACTAAATAATTTCATAATTATTAGTATAGATAAGAATGTTCTCGTGTTCATTTAATATAGTATAAACTATTAACTACATGTATTTAAGGAAACATAGTCAAATACATTTTATAGGTTTTTTAAAATAGCTTATTTAATAGACTCCCATATTGGTTAAAATCATAGTCATTATTGTGGTGATGTAGTAAGAAAAGAAAATGAAGGAAGCAGAAGACTAGACAATGTTTTATACATATATATCTTTAATTTTTACTTTAATCTCAGGCCTAATAGAAATTGTTTCTACCAAAAACCATACAGGCAAATCTACACCTCTCGTTTTAATTTTTTTTCCACTTTAAACTAGTTTATTATTTACTTCAGGTGTTAGCCCTGGTATTTGTAAGAAAGTTGATGGACTTGTTGTTCACGAAGCGGGAACTCAGCTGGTTGGATGATTTGATGCCCGAGAGTAAGAAAAAGAAACTGGAAGATGCTGAAAAAGAAGTAAGAGCAAAATCAATGTTTTATAAAGAAAGAAAAAAGGAACATAGTAATATTTCTTTGCAAAACTAAATTATTGTTTTTATCTTTAGACAGTTTTGTCTTTAGACAGTGATCACTAACAACCACAAGTAGACTAGTTTGGAAGTTTAATGTTTAAAATCATAAAGATTTGAACAGAGAGAGAATGAAGATCTTATAGGAGGAAACCAAATCCTAATGAAATATGGAAATACTTTGTACTAAAATACCCTCCAAATTGTAAGGCTCATTTTTCTGATTCCTCTCCTATGGATGGCAGAAACTTGCTAATACTTAACTATTTCCAAATTATGATCATGCAGTGATTGTTTTTTTGTTACATATGTGAGAACAAAAAGAAGAGACATTATTACTGTTGGTATTTTCCTAGGGAACAGAGTTTTAATCAAAATATTCTAATGAATAATTATTTATTCTTGAAATAGGTGAAATGTTTAGTAGGAAAAATGTTGATCTGATTTGCTTTCAAAGTGATTTAAGATTGAGTAGATGTTGCAGAAACTTCTGGAATTTATTTTTACAGGCTACTTATTTATTTTATTCTATTTTATATGGTATAACAATGTATTATAAGTTTCGTGGCATATTTAAAGTTTATATGTAAGCCTGAGTCTATTTTGAAAGCACTTAATCAACATTTTTTTAAGTATATAAAAACTACAAAGAGTGTAAATGAGGGAAAAATAACTAGCGTAACATTTAGCAGGATGATTGAGCCCATACAATGTAAAACACAACAAAGTTTTCACATAAATAGAAATGAGATTGAAATAAAATATTTGATGAGAATTATACTATTTTTCTCTATAAGTAGTCAGTAAATGTATTCAACTTTCTATTTCCTCAAACCATAGATATATTTCCTATTTCCTTTGGGGAATTCATTTGCAGATGTTTCAGAGGTCTTAGTCATTTAATGAGGTCAGATCAGGCCATAAATCAAATGAGGTTTTTTCTTTCTCAGAAATTTATACCAATATGGTTACGTAATGTGTAATTGGTAATTCCCTTACTCTACATGGTGTTCTATCACTAACAATGGATTCCCACAGATAGAGATTCATCATGATGATGTGTCTTAATCCTGTAAGAATGTTTCAATTTTTCCAAATATTGTAGAAGGCAATACTTAGACTCATACTTCTAGTAATATTAATGTTAACACAAAAAATGATATTATACAATTGTTATTATTTATTTTTCTGTTTGATATATTTTTATTTAAATATTAGTGCTTTTTTAAAAAATAATACTTTGAGTCAGGCGCAGTGGCTCATGCCTGTAATGCTAGCAGTTTGGGAGGCTGAGGCGGGCAGATCACGAGATCAGGAGATAAGACCATATTGGCTAACATGGTGAAACCCCGTGTCCACTAAAAATACAAAAATTAGCTGGGCATGGTGGTGCACACCTGTAGTCTCAGCTACTCAGGAGGCTGAGGCAGGAGGATCACTTGAACCGGGAGGTGGACGTTGCAGTGAGCCACTGCACTCCAGCCTGGTGACAGAGCGAGACTCCGTCTCAAAAAAAAAAAAAACAAAAAACTTTGACTAGGATATTTTGATAGTCTCTATTTCTTTTTAGGCCTTTAGTAAACGTTTGCTTTCATCCTCAGATACTCTTCAAGAAAATATGGTATAATTTGGCACAAGTTAAATTTAAATAAAACGGACACTAGAACACAGAAATTCTAAAATCTTAAGTTATCTATATTTGATGTAAATAAAATTATTGAGATCAAACACAACACCCAAGAAGGTTTAAATTAATTTAATTTTGATGAAAAAGCTCTTGGCTGTGAGCTTGCCTTTCAGTCTTTTTGATAATGTCAGTACAGCAGACCCTTGAATAATATAGCATTGTTATAATGTTGATGAGAAAAGAAAAAAAAAATTCCCTGGCCAGGGCCACTGTCTGTAGGGAGTTTGCACATTCTCCTCATATCTGTGTGGGTTTTCTCTGGACACTTCGGTTTCCTCCCACATCCCCAAAATGTGCCCATTAGGTTCATTGGCGTGTCTACATTGGCTCAGTGTGAGTGAATGTGGGTGTGTGTGTGAGTGTGTGCTGCAAGGGAATAGCGTCTTGGCCAGTCTTATTTCTCATCTTGTACCCTGAGCTGCCAAGATAGGCTCCAGCCACCCTCGACCTTGAACTGGAATAAGTGGGTTGGAAAAGGAATGAATAAATGAATACAAATGACTGTAAAATAAAAATTCATCAAGTATACGATAATCACACAAATGTACGACAACAATTTGGTATGAAAATGCTCAGTGAACCCAGCCATATTTGCTATTGTTTTTGAACTGCTTGGTGGTAAGATGTGCTCCTTACAATTTTCACTTTGCAAACATTTATTCCTGATTTAATCCACCCCTACTATGGCCTCAGTCACTCTCTCACTCACCAGAAATTTGGTAATTCAATATCTTACTTGCTTTTATTAACTTTTCTTACATGTTTGTATAGCTCACATTTATTTCAATGTTTAATATTAAAAACATTTTGGGTCTTTAGTTAGAAGTTTGGTGATGTTTTTGTGACCAGATATTGCCATAGGAATTTAACTCTTGTTTATATCAATTAGCCTATGGTAAAATTGGTTTTATTTATTCTTAATGTCACAGTCTCCGAGAACCTATCAATAACTTTATGTGAGCACTTATTGTACTATTAATTATACTCAAGCAGTAACTTACATATCTAATTTTGCTTTATTTTTCTGCTTTTTTTTGTTAACTGTCTTTACTGCTTCTGGAAAAAAAAAAAACGAACACAGCCCCAGACATATAATCATCTCTTTCACAGTATTCTCCTTAGATCATACTCATACCGTGAAACATTCTTGCCTTTTAGAAGTTCACAAAATGAAAAATGATATGTAATCTATTATGTAATGTTTAATATTTCTGTGACTGTGATTCAAAGATAATTTCAGATTCTCCTTTTATTTTCTGTGAAACAGGAGAGAACAAGTTTAATAATAATTGTAAATTTATTAGAATTTGCCATTCCCACTGCCCAGAACCACTCACATAGCTATGCATGTATGGTACTTATATGTGTGTGTGCCATATGCCCATTTTGGAATTTATGAATCTCATAGGGCAGAGAACATATGTAATCAGTGTCTAATCTTTTTATATTATATACCCACTGTACTTTAATGGGCATTTACTGTTCTCTGATTATGAAGATAAAGATTTTAAAAGTAACTAAATAGCACTAAATTTCCTAGAACTCATGCTTTCTGAAAAGATACAAAAATGGATTAAAGATTTCCTGGGGCAATTTTACTGCTAAATCCTTCATATCCAAGTTAGAGGGAAAAGCCTTGCAGTACATTAACTAGGCAGGTTTATAGATCCTTAAAATCTCAGATGGGTTAATATGATGATACTTTCATGTGATCCTCAGTACATGGAAAGAAACAAGAAAATCAATAATACAGTCAAGAAATAATCTATAATTGAACAATAAAATATAGCTCTGACTAGTGCAAAGACAGCTAATTCTCCATCGAACAGGAAAGAAAATAGGAAGTTTAAAGAGGTTCGCTTTCTAGCTTAGAATTAGTATTAAAAGAGTATGGTCACTAAAGACATTAGGAAGATTTAGGAATAATTATACTAAAAGTTAAATTCCTGGTTGATTTGTTTGCCCGGATCTTGGTATTCTATTTTCTTGAGGCTTACAGACTCAGTAGAAGGATGTGATCTTACTGTGGCATCTTATACTAAGGCCCAGTCTTCTAAGAGATTGTGTGTTAAGGTGGTAAACGGACAAGTTCTCCAGAAATGTTGCATTTCTGCAATTGCTCAAATTAATTGAGTAACTTTGATCATGAACTGGCAAGATGGTAAATAGCAGAAATGTCTCAGCTCCCTGAGACTTGAATTTAAAGTAGGCTCACCTCTTGTCCTTTTGATGATAGATACAAGCTTTTACCTTTAGCCTCCAGGGTTTTCCTATCAGTAGCCCATTTCTGGTCTTATGGCACTGAGAAAACATTCATTTGACCTTAAAATTCAATAATGAGTTAAGCAGAATAAATAGCTACACAGGCCAGTCCAAGGTCGCAGAGCTTCTGTTCCAAATTTTCATGTACTTCATGCATATGCATATGCATATGCTTCAGTTTTTAGAAAGAAAGGATTATAATCAGGGTAGAAATGAATATTGGAACCCTGACATTTTGCACATTGCTCTGTGTAAAGGGAAGACTGCAGAATCAAATTCTGGATGTCCAAATGTGCTCAGAGTACCAACATGCCTTCCTTCCTACTTAAATATTCTCTAGGCCATTGTACACATTTGACAAAAGGCTACTTACTGTTAAAGGCAGAAAATCCCAGCAGAATGTTTGCTCCTGGGTAGGAGGAAAGGGGGTTAGTGTTGGATAAATCCTAGAAATTCTACTCTGTGGAAGTGATCATGATAGTGATACTTCTTGATTTACTGGGGCTTCACTCTTAACATATACACTATAGGAGAAAACAAAAAGAGGGCAAATGGGACCCTGTGATCCCAATGCAGGATCATGAAAAAGGTCAAGAAAAAAGCAATCTAAAAACAAGTGCAACTAAACAAATTACAGAGGACGACTTACTGCTAAGATAGGTCAGAATTGGTTATGGATTTGGGAAGCATGGCCAAATTATTACACAGACAAATGTCATTTCTAGCTGAATCTTAGAGTGGGGCAAGCATATTCTTCTTCCATAAGCAGTGGTTGCCCAAAGTGTGGTTCCAGAACCACTGCCACATCAGCCAACACCTGGCAACCTAGAATGCAAATTCTTGGGCCCTACTTCAGACCTACTGAATCAAAACTCTGGGGATGGGGCCAACCATCTCTGTTAATAAGACCTCTGGGTGATTCTGGTGCTAAAGTTTGAGATAAGTCCTTTCCTAAAACCACAGAATAAAATATAGTCTTCTAAATACAAGGATACTCTATCAGAATTTTTTACTTACAATAATTTACATGATTACTTAGAGACACAGAATCTAATATTCTGATGAAAAATATGTTACATTTATGTACTGATATGAACTCTATATAGACTCTCCATTTTTCCTTTTCCACTCTCATTGTTAGTTTTATGTATTGGCTCTTCTATCCATTGGAAATCATAAGTAATACCTATTATAAAAATAACACTTATGGTTTTCAAAGATTATATATTTATGTAATGTTTGCAGCATTGTCTATTCTATTAGTAGTTGAGGAAGAAAATGGTTTGACACTTCTACTTTCTGTAGACTTTGTTTTACTCTTGGGCAAAATAAAAGGATTGAGCTTGATTTCTGAAGAGTATTCCATTTCTTAAGACGTGAATTCTAAAATTGCTGAATATTTTCCCTCTCTAACACTCTAAGCATATTCGTGAATATTGGTCTCTGTTGCCGTTGTTTGTACTTTAAGATATTTGAGGGCTCCTACATAGATACACACTTTGCCTGAAAATGGATGTAGTTGTAAATGAACCTATTTCACTAAAGGTAATTAAAGGATAACTATCTTTGTTATTTGTTAGGTATCGTGATATATGAATCATAATTGTAATGCTATCACTAAATACAATTCAAACTCATGATGTAATTCGATATATAACACCCTGTTATCAAACCACACCAGGATTTGACTTCAATTTATCTCTTCCGCCTCTACTCAGCACAGACTTTTGGCTCCAGCCAAGCTCGTTGTTCACTGTCATGCAAACACATCTTATTTATTCCTCATTTTATGGTTGGCCTACATTGTTTCTTCCCACCTGGAGTTTCTTCCCACCTGGAGTTTCTTCCTTGCTACAACCTTGACTTTGGTACTTTTCATAATGATCACTTAAATTTTCTGAGAGTCAAGTTTATAGCTTTCTTTTCATTATTACATACCTAGTACCTAACAGACTACCTGCCATTGAATGGATTAATTAATAGCCCCTGGATTATTCTTCTTGTTAACTGTGTGCATAGCACATAATACATGCTCAATAAATATTTGAGTGTTCTGGAGTAGATTTGTTTTTCTAAGCCTCAATTTTCTTGTCCTGTACTGGACATAGCATTAATTGTCCTTCACTTATTTTATATCTGAAAACTGCTTTGGCTGTCTTAATTAAAAGGTGGCATTTAAATCATAGCATAAACGTCCCTCTAGTTAAATCAGTGAACTCTCTCAAAGGTTCTTGGGTATTATGTATTATTCTACCTTTCATCATCATCCCTGTAACATCTTCCCCATGTTGTAGAACCCAGCATGCTTTTAATGGGTCCTATGTAAATTAAGAGCTGAATGAACTCATTTTAAGGTATTTTTCTGACTTCTAAGCTGGCAACTACTCAGTTAGCTTTATGCTCTCGCTGTCTCTTTCTTCTCTGATCTGATTGAGATAACCTAGGTTGTGGCTGTCGTGACGGCTACTGCCTGATTTGACTGCTCCTCCTCAGAAAGCCTCAATTTTTGGCTTTCTCACAGTGCTGCCGGGATGCAGCCGGCCCTCCATCCCCGCGCTCCGGGGCCCACCCAGCTTCCTTCTGGCACTGAAGGCAGCGGCTGCTCTGCCACCCTTCTCTTCAGATAAGCATGGCTTGGAAAAGCTATCTTTAGAGGTGATGAGTTTTTGTTTGGATAGAATTATGACTAGTATAAAGCCCACACATGCTAACAAGCCACAGAGTGCAAAATAATTATTGAAAGCAATTTGAGAGAAAAGTGGAAAATCATCTGAAGAAAAAACAAAATTTTTCCCAAGCTTTGGTCCAATTTTTTGCTGTTAGATTGAATCTTGAACATTCGTTTTCTGCTGCCAGGTAACCTAAGCACTGACGGCACTGTTCTTCTCTTCAGCTTTTTTGCATTTTACTCTTTCTTAAACCATTCTACCTTGCTTCTTGACATTTTACTCTTGATTGGCCAGAAATGATATCATATACCAGGCTTCACCTTTCAGTGGGCAACCAAGAAAAGAATTGCATCTTTCTCCTATCTTGTCTTACTTAATGTAGCTTTTGGTACCACTGAGTGTCTACTTTTTATGAACCTCCATGTACCTTAAGATAACCTTTCCTAAGGAAAAAGGAACCTTTTCTACCTGAAATGATACATATGCTCTGCCCCTGACCGCCAGGATGTGCCTACAATATATATTATGCATGTAATATATTTCATATATTATGACTAACTCAGCTGTAAGGCAAGCCTCAATCTAGGCTGCAGATCAGCTCTGCTAAAATGCTTGAATGAGTAATTTCAAACCAATGGTAATCTCCATTCACCTTGATTTAGTTCTAATAGTGTGGCCAAGTGACAAGGAGAATAGGCATAATATACAAGTAGAATACATTTGATAGGCCCTAAAAGAAAATTTTTTCCTTGAAGAACAGCAAAGAGAGAAAATAAAATTAGTTACTGGAATGCAAAAGGGTAATGTACATGCCATTAGCCTCACAGAAAACAAATACAATATAGAGTTTCTGGGGAAAGCTTCTAAGCAGGGAAGTAGCAGAGCTCATGCAGTCTCTGGCATCTCCATTATCCCGAATCATAGGGTGGGCACAGAGATTCTGTATGCACCACAGCAGAAGTCCCAGCAGAGAGGGGCTTTCCTTGGCCAGCATGGGAGAGTACTCCAAGAGAGAAATGAGATCTGCTCCCACATTGCATTGTATCTTCATAGGTTAGCTGAAGAGGCACTAGAAAACACTTGTTTCTTTAGGTAGCAAGAAATGTGGCATGGAATATTCAGACTATGGGATATCTGAGAGCGGGCCAAGGTCTGTTTACCAAGGACACTAGGAAAAGTCTTGCATGCCAGGAATAATAAAATCAGCCAAAGGTCAAGGTGTTTCCGGAAGCTGGGTCAGGCCAGCTTAGCCCTGCTAAGCTACTGAAAGAGGAAATGAGCCTTCAGGGCCATCCCTTTTTTCTTTCATCAGTTTCCATTTGGGCAGGGGGTCAACTAGTTTTTTATGTTTATACATCTTAAAATTCCATTTCTGGGGTTAGAACCAATAATTCTAACATTTTTAAATGGCCTGAAGTATTTCTTTGAACTGACCCATTTTTAAATAAATGTATTAAATAAAAGCTATAATCTATGAATAACTTTCTGTTTTTGTTTCATGGAAAAAGTTTGATGATAACATTATTTGAAAACGAAACCAGAATTTTCCAGTATGGTGGCCATAAGATTATCTTCATCCCAAAGATTTAGTTTTAAAATCCTATGTATGAAGAAATGCATGTATAAATATAAAAATCATTTCCACCCTTTGAGGAAAGATGGAATATTGTCATTATAAGAAGAAATTTGAAGCATAAAACAAAAGCCTAAAACACATCCAAATGGAGTCAAACCTTCCATTTCCTCCTCTCTCAAGACACATCTGTGTTTTGATCCATACAGGAAGATATTAATATCTTCTACTGTCTCTTTCCAACTCTCTAGAGTAGTGGTTCTTTAAATATGGTCACCAGACCAGCATAATCAACATCACCTGGAAACTTGTTAGAACTGGAAATTCTTATGCCCACTCTACTCCAGACCTATGGAGTCAGAACTTCTGGGGGATATTGCTAACAAGCCCATCAGGGGATTCCGATGTAAACTGAAGTTTGAGAAACACTGTTCTGAGTACATCCCTCATCCTCTCCTCATAGAGCATTCTGGGAATATAATTTCACCTTTATAACAATAAAACTGATTATATCACCCATACTTTTTTCTTATAAAATTTAGATTAATTTTTAAAAAATATGCTTGGAAATTAACATGTTTTTTATTGAGTGACATGAAGGAGATTGTTGTTAGCATTTAAATTACTTTGTGTTATGAGACTCTCATTAATTACTTATGTTCTTGGTAGCTGATACTTTATTGAAAGGACCTGTGCTAACATTAATAAATGCAAACAGAGTGGAAGGTCTTGAGGTTAATGAGATAATGAAACATTAATCTGTGTTTCTTCTTTAATGTAAAATGGAGACTCATCAGGTTCACTTTATATACTTTACATTTGTCTTTTCAGGAAGAACAAAGTATGCTAGCTATGGAAGATGAGGGCACAGTACAACTCCCATTGGAAGGGCACTATAGGTAAGACATAAATTTAAAAACACATCAATTAAAGTAATGAAATGCATTGTTATATACTTTAAGAATTTCATACTGTGTAGATCCTCAGAGAGGTTTCTTGAAATTGTATAAGAGTAGAAAGAACGAAGAGTTAGATAACATGGGTCCTACTGCTAAGTTTTGCCAATAATAGCCGTGTGACTATAATCAAATTGCATTAAATGAAGTGAAGCAGGAAGCTGTTGTCTGAAGTTTTTCTTGCTCCTGTTTTATAATGTGTATGAAAAATCCCTTTCATATTCTCAGAAAGTAGCACCAGAAGACAGATCAAGGTTCCTTTTTTGTATAAGTGACTAGTTATTCACTAAGTTGATCACAGGTAAATGTTTTAACTCTGGGAATTTGCCGCTAAAAGTGGAATTTCCAATGACATAATCTATTTCTTAAGTGATTCAGTTGTATCAGTCATTTTAGGATATATTTATGCAATTCTCCAAAATTTTCTAATCTTCTTTATGTACAAAGACATAGCAAAAGAAAGCAAACTACTGAAGTTATAAAGAAAACATTTGCAAGCATTTGGCCCAGAATTCTCCCCTCTCTCTCTCTTCTCTGTCTCCCTCTCAATATAGTTTAGTTTAAACGGTTATCTTGTACAATTCTAAGTATCAATTAGTGCCCAATTTTATAGTCTCAAAGTCTTTATGAATAATTTAAGGTTATGCCAATAAAAATACAGAGAATACTTTTTTATGAGAAGGGAATTTGTCATAGTGTTAAAAACCAAAATAGGAGAGAATTTTCTAGATCTTTAGGGTCTGACTCTAAGATTATATTCCCTAGAATTTAAGAAAATGTGATTACCTCCCTCTTAAGAGGGGGCACAACTATAAGATGTTTTATCTTTTTTTTCTTTTTTACAACATTTAAATTTTAAAATCCTGTTGATTGTTTAGCTGAACCAGCATATTTCCAAGTGTATTAGGTAGAAACCTAGTCTTGTGTGATACCACTCTCGAAAGGGCTGTGTGGTTAAATAAGTTTGAAAAAATGTGCCAAACTGCATTCCAGTTTGGAGATTCACAATGCATATTAGCAAATGAAACAATCTAAGTAGTACTGCATTTTAAAAAATTGTATAGCTTCGTTCAATCAAGTATTTAAAAAAATCTTTTGCTCAGAAGACTCTTCCTCACATAATATCATGAAAAATGTCTATTCCACATGATGCTTTTTTTAAGAAAGTAGTCAATCTGGTGCTTTGAATTACCAGGAAACTATCTTTCTAGGAAGACCAAAACAGCTGGAGGGTTTAGAGGAACTGAAGAACACATTTCCAGATTGGGCAAGAGAGGGAGACCCAAGGTTTTGTTCCTCTTAAAAGTTGCATTTGTTCCTCTCCTGTGACCTATCACCAATCAGGGTCATATGAAAAGGCGGCATTTGAACAAAGAAGGGGCAAGGTTGCTCCATGTGAAGGGACATGATAAGCAGAGGGAAGAGCAAGGACAAGGCCCCCAGGCAGCACCATGCCCATTGTGTTCCAGAACAGTCAGGAGGCTACTGAAATGGGGCTGGAAAGGAGTGAGCAGGGATGCAGTGGCAGGAGGTGAAATCAGAGTGAGGTGGGGACAGAGCCTTTAGGCCATTATAAGGACTTGGCATTGACTCTGAGTGACTGGGAGCCACTGCAAGGTCTGAGCAAAGGAGGGAAGTGATCTGGTTGCTATGATGTTAGGGGCAAGCGTTTAAGCAATGGACATGCGGAACCCATTCTCTGTAATTTGAAATGAATTAAGAATACCACAGGCCAACTCAGTATCTATTCAACTAGAATATTTTCTTTAGTTTTTTTATTTTTCACAGATTGTTTTCAATAATTGAGAGAAATATTCAATACTTCTTCATTTTTAATTATCAAAAATATTGTACAATAAACAAAATGGGGCATACACATACAATGGAACATTATCCAGGTTTAAAAAGGAGGAAATTCTGACATATGCTACAACATGGATGCACCTTGAGGATGTTGTACTAACTGAAATAAACCAGTCACAAAAAGACAAATACTGTATGATTCTGCTTATATGAGGCACTTAGAGAAGTCAGAAACCTAGAGACAGAAAGTGGAATTATAGTTGCCAGGGACCGGGAACAAGAGGAAATGGAGAGTTGTGGTTTAGTGGGTATGGAGTTCCAGTTTTATAGGATAAAAAGAGTTCTGGAAATGGATGGTGGTGATGGTTGCACAACATTATGAATGTATTTAGTAACCCTGAACTGTACTTTTAAAAATAGTTAAGGTAGTAAATTTTATGTTATGTGTATTTTACCACAATTTAAAAATTGGGAAAAATATTCTTCATAGATATATGATTGCCCTATATTTAGTTTCTGTCATTGAAAAACTGCAGTTACTTATGTAATGTTTATTATTTCATTTGGGGAAACTCCTGTCTAGAGATGATCCATCTGTGATCAATATATCTGATGAAATGTCAAAGACTGCCTTGTGGAGGAACCTTCTGATTACTGCCGATAACTCAAAAGATAAGGAGTCAAGCTTTCCTTCCAAAAGGTTTGGATTTTAAAATAATGAGAATTTATACTAATTCCAATTGTTTTTTGACATAAACCATAAGCAAAAGAATAATATTAGTTTCCATCAAATTTAGATATAAAATATTCCAGAAAATTCTTTCCAAAAGTGGGTAGAAATTGTAATTATTTCAAATGTTGGTATGTTTTTCATACCAACTGTGGTATGGGGAACTGTGCTAGAAATGAGTCACAATGCATGACATTTTTGGACATTCATCTTGGCCTACTGTTTTTCAGTATGATTTTATTTTATTCCCTCATCACCCACTTCCCCCAGGACCCCTTTAGACATCTGGCCACATTTTGCACTCCTTTATTTTCCCTTTTTTAGACTGATATGCACTGTGTGTATTTTATATTTATATTTTATAAATATGCATAAATATTTATATTTAGTATAGTTCTAGTCCTGACTCCAACCCCCTGAAAGTCTTCCCTAAACTTCTTATCCCAAAACTTTCAACTCCTGAAAGTTCTATCCATTCTTTCTTCTCTGTGTGTAAATGTACAAACAACTCCTGTAGTTGTGGATGGTAGTTTTAAGTGCATGCTGGAGGAAGAGTGTGTCCCTAAATATCAACAGTCATCAAAGGATTTCCAAGTGAATCTTCTAGGATTTATAAATAAGAGTTCAAGTCACCCAGTCTTCTTAGATGCTGATCTGAAGAAAGAGGAATTCCTATGTTATGCTAATATCTCTTTTTGTTAGAGAGTGATTGAGGGAATTGGGACAGTGTTTACTATAATTATAAAGTTCCTTTATTTTCGTAACCTTAAATTAACTTTTTCTACTTAATTTTTATATTACATTTTTGTCATAAGCTCCCCTTCCTAATCACTCTAGAAGCTGATTCCCCAAAGGTAAGACCCTCTCCCTCAAATCTATTCCTTGGTTGCATTTCCTTATGTTAAATGGTGTCTTCTAGAAACCTGGTCAGTCTATGTCCTCTGTGTGAGTTTTGGGGAGGCAAAAGGCATGGAGAGTGTTGGGCTCAGATCCAGTAGCAGACTGAGTTTGATGATATATCTGTAACAACTCAGCTCTTTAAGTTAGTCTGAAACTTGAATAAACTTTATTCCTTCCTTGATTTATACAGATGCATCATGTATAAATCAACAAGTTTCACAGAACTGTAGTTAGTAATGGCATCAAATTTCTGGATAGGGAAAATTAAATTTGTCCCTGTAAGAAATTGAAAAGCTTGCCTGGTGTGGTGACTCATGCTTGTAATCCCAGCATTTTGGGATGCCAAGGTGAGCGGATCACTTGAGGTCAGGAGTTCGAGACAAGCTTCGTCAACATGGTGAAACCTTTTCTGTACTAAAAATACAAAAAAATTAGCCAGGCGTGGTGGCGGATGCCTGTAATCCCAGCTACTTTGGAGGCTGAGGCAGGAGGATCGCTTGAGCCCAAGAGGCAGAGGTTGCAGTGAGCTGAGATTGTGCCACTGCACTCCAGCCTGGGCAACAGAGAGAGACTCTGTCAAAAAAAAAAAAAAAAAGAAAAGAAAAAGAAAAAGAAAAAAGAAAGAAAGAAATTGCAAAGCTGAGAGCCTCCATTATGTACCACCATGCCTCCAGACTGGCAAGCCGTATCTCACTTCATGAGACATCACTGGAAACATGGGCAAGAGAAAGAGGCTACATTAGACTTAGAGAATATATCTCTTATTGCTGGTTTTTGTCACCCCAAAATGGCATGCTGCTTCAGTGTCATCTCTATACCAAACAGTATAAACAAGACGAGACAAACAGCAAGTGCATAGAATCTTCATCCCCGAAGCTGGGAATTAGTTCTCTCTCTCTCTCTGTGTGTCTCTCTCTCAACCACCTTTAATATTTACTACAAATGAAGATAATATATTAATAAATTACTCAATGGGCTCCCTCTCAAAGACTTTTGGTTGGTATTTTCTGTCTTAATAGGACTTTAAAACTTTCATGTATTTCTTTGCTTGGCTCAGGACAAAGTAACATTTTATTCTAAAACATGCTTTAACTTCCTTTCTCAAAGATCCTTGCTACAGTCTGATAAATATTTCTCATAGTAATTCTCTGTTTTGCTAGTACTTTTGAAGAAAATCAGAATTATGAGAAGGGCAGTTTCTCAAGCCCATTGAAATGTGTACTTGTCACATGAAAAATACGACATTTCTCTGATTTTTTAGAAAATGTTAAATCCAGGTTTATGAGCTCAAAATAAAATGCCCTTGATGGTCAATGTGTTGAGAATTTGAAACAAACCTGTAAAAAATTTTCTTCCTGTATTATATGGATTCAAAGTCCAAACTTTTCCTCTATTTTTCTTTGGTTCAAGCAAAAGTCTTGTGACGTGATATTTTAGCTACTCCTTAAAGTCAAGTGATACTTTTCACCAGAAAAATCTTTTTGTTTTAAAAATATATATCCAGATGACTTCACATAGTGGGTTGACTCTAGTGAACAATATAATGTGCTTTAAAGCAGGTCCAATTTTCAATAGACTATCCTTTATATTTAGATATAACCACTTGTTTCTTATTCTTTAAATGTACTTTCACTGACGTGAGGTTCAGACTATTGTGGAATGAAAGTTTATCCAGCTTTCCTTACCTTTTGATGTGATCGCATTTGTGGTTTTCCATGTGAGAAACATCTTTTGGTTGGTAGTTAATCTCTTTTATCCTCATTACAGTAGAAACTCTGGCAGAAAGTGTATGACTTACAGAATTCTAAAACTACTGATACTAATAAGGCTCCCAAAGCCACTTCCTTTTTGTGGTATCTGTTAAAGGCTTTAAAGCATCATGACCAGGAACTGTGAAAATTTAGTACGTGGTAGAGTATCCATTGGCAAAAAGAGACCCAAAGAGCAGGTTACTAAGGTCTGAGTCCTGAGCTGGCACCCATGCAGCCTTTGACACCCCCCATTCTGAGTTATTTTCCATCCTGTGCTGTAATGTGTCAGAGAAGCCTAGAAACCCTTTTTTCATGGAATTTTGAATAGAAATTATATTTTCTCAATTATATCATTCACTTTTTGTTGTCAAAAATATTTTATCTCGTTTAACTGACAGTAGAATCTAAGAACTAACGGCAAATTCTGTCTTATCTGGAGGATGTCTAATTTTGATCCTGATGTCATACATGCATGTGACAAGAGCCTCTGCAGCTTATTAAATGGGCTGGTGAAAATAGGGCTCATTAACGACCACATTGCATCAGAATAGGTTAGCAACTGCTACGTTTTTTAAACTGATGCCCAAGATCAGTGTGTCTGGAGGTCCTTGGCAATGTTAGGAAAAGCAGCACTTAGCTTTGCCTTGGTGACAGAGGCTAGTCTCTGGGACTATCCGCTCTACCCCCCAACACCCACCCCTGCACTCCCCCACCACCTTTTTCTATCCCAGATTCTTTCTTTGCTCTGATTGCCTAGGCTTAGGCTCTCTCATGACTTCTTGGAAATATTATTCATAAAAACAACTTTAGCCTGGGCGTGGTGGCTCAGGCCTATAATCTCAGCACTTTGGGAGGCCGAGGCGAGCAGATCACTTGAGCTCGGGAGCTCAAGATCGGCCTGGCCAACATGGTGAAACCCCATCTCTACTAAAAATACAAAAATTAGTTGGGTATGGTAACGCACACCTGTAATCCCAGCTACTCAGGAGGCTGAGGCAGGAGAATCCCTTCAACCTGCGACGTGGAGGTTGCAGTGAGCCAAGATTGTGCCACTGCACTCCAGCCTGGGCAACAGAGCAACACTCTGTCTCAAAAAAAACAACCACTATTTTAGTGACATTAAAAAGTAATAGTTTCATAGTTTACTTAGCATCATGACAGTACCAGGTCACTTTTTGCCCTCTTGAAATATTACTTCCTTATATTTTAAATTTTAACTCCTCAGGGACAGGGACACTCTTATCTATCTTGTACTCCTAGGTCATTATGGAGTTCCTGGCATATAATAGATATGCAACATATGTTTATTACAATGACAGATAACAGATGCATAATACATGTTTGTTACAATGAAAGCTTAAAATTGATTGGCCTCCACAAAAGCGAACTTAACAAGTAATTCCGAACAATGGATCCTAGAGGTCTTGAGCTGGTTATAAAATTTCTGCTTCATAGTTTGCTGAAATCTAATCTGATACCAAAACTATGGTTATGATGAAGAGGGAAAAAAACCCAGACATTTAATAGGTTATTGTTTTGTAACCAAACAACCAAAGCAGAGTCAGGAGGAAGCACATCTATGGATCAAGTTGATATTATGAATCTTTTTATTTATGACTTGGTGACTAATAGTGCCACTTGGCACACATTCATTTATCAAAAGGTTATGGAACACCTCCCACGTTTCAAAGTATTGTGCACACAGTAATTGCACATGTGTAGAGACCAGTATATCTCTGTCCTACAATCTCCTACATATAGGATCTGTTATTCTATCTTTCAAAAAATAAGAGTTCATTGGAATTGGGAATACCAGCCTCAGAATTCTGGAATTCTCACTACAAGAGAGCCTAGAGGCCATCTAGTCCAAAACCAATTTTACAGATGAAGAAACCAAGTCTCAGAGAGATTAAATAACTAGTCCAAGGTCATGCAGCTCATTCTGAGTTTCTGAAAACTGAACCTAGATCTTCCAACACCAAGCCCAGTGCTGCCCTTTTTCATTGACTTTGTTTGGCAAAAGAGACTGGAAGGCAGGTAGAGCTTAAGGAAAAGTTAATTTGGAAAGCAGGAGAGCATACACTTGTCATATAAAAGGAACTTAAAGTAGAAGAAAGTGAGTCATACAGATAGAGGAGTTAAAAATACGAGTTAGGGCTCTCAACACATCATGTGCACACTGTCATCTTTTCTCATGGAAGGAGAAAAGAAAAGGGAGGAAAGTTGCTTTGCTCTGACCTGTAAGTAGTATGTGCTGAGAAGTGTGGCAGGCACAAACCCGGGCGCCATAGACACGCGCTCACACCAGCTCTCAGAGCTGGCAGCGTGCCACAGATGGCAGAAGCTCCGGCACTTCTTACCTGATGGTGCCGGGTGGTGGTGACAACTGAGAAGGGCTGTTTCTAGCTTGAATTGGAGGAAAAACAATTTAAAAAACACACTCTTAGAATGTGTCTAAGTTATTGACCACTTAGAAAGTTGTACAGGAGGCCCCATAGAAAAATGGAGTTTTATTACTTTATTACTTGGAGAAGAGTTATAAAACCAAGGGTGCGGTCCATTGTCAAGTGTTTCATAAATTTATATTAAGGGCCGAAGTTAACAGTAAAAATGTATGGATACTTACAGCCCAGGGCCTCAGTAGCTGGCTATGGGCTGCCCTTTGTGTCAGCAGTGGGGAGGGTCACATAGAAGCCTCAGATGAGGAGGGTTTTGCTGTGTGCTGCAAGTATCAGGGAGAAAGCATTTCTGCCCTCTCTGGAACATGGTGTGAACTTCATCCCTGTAATGATATTGTTTGAATTTTCCATGAAAAATTGTCAGCATGAGAGTAAGAAAAGTGTACGATGGGAAAATATTGAACCAAACAGACAAAAATGGTAGAGTCACATGACCAGTTTACTCATTGGTAAAGTTAATGAGAGGGTGAGATTAAACAGAAATTGGTAAAGTTAATGAGAGGGTGAGATTAAACAGAGGGTGAGATTAAACTTGGGAATGAGTTTGTCTGAGGAGTGAGGTGAAGCATCATTCCTCTGATGCACAGGGTAAGGGTTTGTCTGTAAAGAGATAGCACAGGTGTCTGGAGAGCAGCGTGCATGGTAACCTGTCCTCCAGGCCAGTGGAGCTGTCTGTCTAACCTGGCCAAGGTACAGTCTTCATCAAAGGTCAGGATCCAGTCCATGCACAAGGGAGGAGCCATTTGCAGCAGAGCCCAGAAATGCCTCCTGCGACATCTTGTTTGTGTCATTTACTAGAGTTGGCACTGTCTTAAGATGGGGGCATGGCTGACATTTTCAACTATCATCAGTGAGTCACTTGCCCAAATGAGGACCATGGTATTAATCTTGCATGTTTTTGGAACTGTTTAAAAAATGTCTGATTTTTGTTGTTTAGTGTCTGTTTTTGAATTTCCCCTTCTCTGCAGTTCTTGGTTTCTATCTCACTGAGTGCAGAGGATTTTAATTGTTGCTGTCTATCTGTGCTTCGCAGCATGAGAGAGCAATGCCTACGGGCTCTTGTGGTGCTTTGGGGTTGACGGGTTTTATGTCTGAGCAAGCAGATGTCATAGTAGCCATGCTGGATTGCAGTAATAAATGTGTCCTTTTTTTCCTTCTGTAGCATTGAAAGCCGAAAAGAGAAGAAAGCTGACTCAGGGAAAGGTGTTGACAGGGAGACTTGTCTATGACTCGATCTTCAATTTATTTTTTACATATATATGAGAAGAGTGTCACAATTATTAATAAAACTGCTTTGATCATGTATTGTAAATTCTGTCCCTCAACCCAAATCCACCTTCATACTGTAAGTAGTGCAATACTTGTTTCATTTCTGTGTTTAAACTTCTGAGCAGTGAGACATCCCTGTGAGCAGATACAATAGCCAATGCAAGAATCTGTGTGTTCCTTGCTGTACGTTAGACATTTGTAAACTGGATTCTGATTGTCAGTTTTATGAGAGCAATAGCTTCCTTAAAGAGATAAGTCATATTTACCTAGTTTGTATTTTCCTACTTTAGTGACCTGAAGATGCCTGATAATTTCATTCAGAAGAATTTTTGAAAGGTAGTCTTACTTCTTTTTAGTTTTTATAGCTTAGCATTAGTGACTTATTTCAAAAGACCCAAATCAAAAAGTTAGTTTGAAAGCATTTTTTAATAATTGTATTTATGCATTTCCTTGATTTAATATGATAAATTTAATACTTAACAATTTATATGTAACTAAAACTTAAAGTCATTTGAAAAATATATAGAAACCTATTTACAACTTGTTAAGGACAATCAGACATAATGCAGAGTTAAGTAGTATTTGCTTAAAATTCAAGTTGTGACTAATGATCAAATACTAGGCTTGTACGAAATGCTTTAGAAAAACTTTGTAACAGTTTTGTGGGATTTTTCAATATAAACCTTTATCAGAAATATACTAAGTTTGTCTCCCACTGACAACAGATGTTTTCCAAATAAACATATTCTATACATACTTGTGGAATGCCACATGGTGAATCATTGTATATGAAATTCCACTCCTGTACAGTTACTCTGCAGCTAATGGTCATGCACTGCTTAATGCTGGTCCTGAATCATGTTCTCATGTTAGACCAACAGCTCTCCAATTGTCATTTTTTTTCTGCAGAGTTTTTTTTTTCCACTTTTAAATTAAATGCATGTTGTGGAAAAACAGTCTTTTAAAATGAAATTTCAGATTCCATTTGAGAAGGTTCTGTAGATATTTCAGTCCATATAAAATAATACATCTTTACTAAACTTATATAAGGGGAGAGAAAGTTATGAAGTTTTGGACATTACTAAAAGTACAGTATTTGATTTCACTTTCAATGAATGTGAAGTTAATAAAACTAAATCTCATAATGCTCTTGGTTCCTAAGAATGAGTAGTAATCATCAACTTTATAATACTCCAATATTCCGTTTTATAATAATTCAGAGCCCTGTGGCTTTTACACACCGTTAATTATGTACTCTGTTGGAAGTGCACATGAAAAGTGAAGAAAAGTTCCTCTTGTGATTAAACTAATGGGAGGAAATAAATCAACAAAGTCTCCATTAAGTTCTACATTTTGAGACCTTTTAAAAATTCCCCTCACAATTCTTTAAGGAGCCCCCCTTTTTATGGAACATGAGCCTAAAAATTATAGAAAGAAGAATTTTAAGTTAATAAAGTTTGTATTTATAAATGCTGAAAAAATACAGAAACTTTCTGTTCCAAATGTGTTGCCTTTGTGTATTTTATAATACAGATACTACATTGTAAACATTTCCATTGTTTTATGATTTAGCCAGTGATTCCCCAAAGCAGCCTCTTAGTGTTTTAATATATTAATAACTGTTTTGTTAAAAATGATCATAGTGAATTTAAATCTTCACATGATCACCTATTTGAATAAGCAATCATATCCAATGAAATTCTGTATTTCTGAGTATTTTTATAGTCATTTTGTTCTTGTGTGAATTTTAAAGCTATCCCTATGTTAATCCTAATATTTTGAAATCATATAAAATATAATAAAAATGTAGTATTATATATTTACTTCTAATTTCAGATTCCTGGTCAAAATTACTAAATATCTTGAATGTAATTTAGTGCCAAGTTTAAATAATGTGTAAATGTGACTAGGATATTGTGTTTTTCACAATTAAGAAATGTTATGTGGAAATAAATATTTATCCTAACTTCCTTGCACATTTTAAATTGTGATACAAAGTGTCTTGTCTTTTTTCTTTGTTTTAATTAGTAAATCAGTGTAAAACATTTTGATTGTTTGAATATAATATTTAAATTTAGACAGCCCCAAAGCTAAGAACTCTTGGTGATGTAAACAATTTATGAGTATGTTTCAAGAGTAAACAATTTGAACTTTATGAACAGAAGATTATGAGAACTATATAAAGATATATTTACTCATTTTTCCAGAAATGGGTGCAGATGACACGGTTTCTTATGCTAGGAAAAACCTCCAAGGTCGTTAGTAGTAGTATTCCTCATTATTAGAACTCTATTTAGACTTCCGTTTTTAACTTCCATGGGGAAAGCATTGCCTAAAATTTGTCTCCTCCCTGTTTCTTACAAAAGTCAGATGGGACCATTATTCTTTGGTAGCCATCTGGCAGTGTGTTGTGGAGATAATTGCATTCAGAATTCTATCTAACCTACTGCTTGGTATTTTTCTCTTGACTAGTGAGTTTACTTTGTAATTGCTCCTGTTTCACAGCCTACAATATTGGAAAGTTTTTTTCCTGTATAATATAATATAGGAATATATATATTCCTATGTATGTATAGGATATCCTATATATCCTGTATAGATGAATGTCTCCTTGGTATAGTTTAAACCCGAGTTTGAAAGAAACTCTCCACTGATGATCCAAAAGCAACTTGTATTTCAACATGATTCCTAGATCTTTTTGGATTTTTCTTGACTCTTAGAAGTGTGACTTACCTGTTTTCTATGGCACTGACCTACCTCTGTTTTGGTTTAACTTTAGCCTATTAGCTCCTGGGCACTTGTCTATTTTACTATCATTGCAAGATTGCTCTCTCATTTTTCCAATATATTAATATCTATCTCATATATTCACACAATGAAATGAAATGAGATTACATCCATTTGAAAGTTTTATGAGAGTCATTTGGATAATATGATGGTTCTCTAAATGTCTACATCAAGAGGCTAATTGTAGTTAGTCCCCTTGAAGAGGCTTAATAATCAAAGATTACTGGTAATACTTTATTTTAGAGATCTCCTTCGATGTTCTTCATGGAATGCTGTGGCTAACTGATACAACTGTCACACCAATTCCGTTCCTGTTGGTGTACTGGGTACTATCATTTCTGCTGGAACTTTGAAAATAGGACTATGATCCTTGCTTCTAAGGGCAGGGTGGATACATAGCTGTAAATAATGTGATATGTGCTGAGTTGGCCATATGAGTAAAGCCATTTTTTGAATAGGGCAGAGTTTGACGAAAACATTATAGTAGAGGTAGCATGTGAATTAGAATGGAAATGGGGAAGGAAATGTACTCCAGATGTTGAAGGAACCCCTGCCTACTAGGCCTCTGGTCTAATGAAGTATGACCAGAATGACTCCATCTTGAAGTGAAGAGCTAGAACACTCTTAAGGCACCTATAAGATTAATGCTTGTGGTCTGAAAATAGCCACTTTCCAAGCTGGCTACAACCTATTATTACAGAATATTTATGACCATACAGAGCATCTCCCACCATGCCTGCAGAATGTCCCTATGTCCTAAGAATTCAGCCCTCCTTACTTAGAGATAACGTTAATGAACAAGCTTAGGTTAAAAGATTAAGGGTCATGTAATATCAATGACACTGAAGGCCCCTGCCTTTAGTGAGCACATAGACACATTCCAAGTTTAATTGTAGCTCTTTGTAACTCCTTATAAAAGTAGAGGCGCTAACAAAGGACAGGGCATTCCTCCTTTTGCTTTCAGAGGATATCCCACACTGTAACGAAACGGTTTCTGAAAAACTTACTTCTTCCACTATGCTCTGTGGCTTTCCTTGAATTCTCTCCTTTGCAAGATCCAAGGACCCATTTTTGGGGTCTGGATCAGGACCCCTTTTCCAGCAACACCGGAACTACAAAGATTCTCAAACCTATGTCGGTATTGAAATAAAGATGAAATTTAAAAGTAAAGCTATATGGCATAACTAGAGCCTGGCATATTTTATGTATGGCATATTTGGAACCCAGCAAACAGCCCAATATGGTGGAGTGTTAGAAGGGTAGTGAAGACTTGTAGGAAAAGACAGAAACACAAGTCAGAGACATTACAAATGATGTTAAATTCTATCCTAGAACTGTTGGAATTTTACCCATTAAAAGTTTTGAGTAATGAATTTTGAAATGATTAATAGAGCAGCACAGTAGAGAATATAGTGGGGAAACAGTGGAATTGCCTCCTCAGGGATCTCCCTTCCAGGATGACTCTCAGATGACAAAACTAAGTTTTCATGATCTATAAATTTCTATTAGGATAGAAACGAAACAGGCTCAAGTATACTCCTTAGGTACCTAACCCGTAACTCTAGACACAATAGCTTAATTATAATTACTTTTATGTAGTGCATTCCCTTATATATGGAGATTTTATATATATATATATATATATATATATATATATATATATATATATATATATCTTCATAACAATGCAACAGTTCTGTAAGGTAGGTCTTTTTGTACTTTTTACAAATTAAGACACTGGAGTTCAAAGAGCCTAAGTATTGTTCTTTATATATATATATATATATAGCACATATTTGTGTATATAGTTACATTTGAAAAAAAAAAGTGTTCTGAAAAGCACAGTGTCCACAGCAAGCCTGAGACTGTTAAAGAAACCTAAGTGTGGTGCACAGTTCAGACAATGACTGCTTCATAATAATCCAGAAACCACCTTCTCTCCGCCCAGCCTTGAATCCTACCCTACATTCTTACCCTGGATTCAGTTTTCTGTCTGGATCCTCTTGCCTTCCGGTGTGTGTAGAGTTAAATATTTTTTTCATGTGACTTCTTTTTTCCATTTATTTATAAACTCCTTGAAGGTAGGGATGGTGTTTGGTGTTTTGCCCCTCTTTTGTAACTCTCCAGAGCCCAGATCTGTGCTCTGCTGTTTACCCAGCCAGCAAAGGCTCTTGATATAATAAGTAAAATATACCAGAAGATCCTGCTGCTCAGTTTATTAAGAATGATTAAAAGTCCAAAAAGAATTGTCACGGACATGTCAGTATTGGAACACAGCAAATGCTTAATGAGTACCTTCAAGTGCCCAGCACCTGAGGACACAGAAGACTAAGGCAAGAATCTGTGTAATCTATGGAGCCATTAAGAAGCAGCTACATGGTTGTGACTAGAAGGAGGGAAAAGGTGAAAGGAAGGTGTCAGGCATTGTATCTATGTAAATCTTCAGAGCAATGCAACCAGTTCTGTAAGGTAGGTCTTTTTGTACTTTTTACAAATTAAGACACTGGAGTTCAAAGAGGCTAAGTATTGTTCTTTAAATGTTCCCCATTAGTGAGTTGGTGGTACTGAGACTCTAACCCAGGTCCAACTGACCTCAGCTGCAGGGCACTGTGTCTCCAGCAGGAGGTGAGATGTGACCGCCTTCCTCCTTATCAGGTTATTCATTCTGGCTCATGGAACCAGAATCAGGTTATGATGATTAATATTTCTGCTTAATATGTTACATTTTCTTTGCCACCAATCTTTCTGTTATTAACACTGGAAACCAAACTTACCCAGTGAAACACCTTTTTTGCTCATGAGTCACAAATATCAGGACCTTGGATAGAAGAAGCTTAAAAAATAAAAAGGGTTTTTGATTGTTGGATGGTCACACTTCACACCACACTCACACATGCTTTTTAAATAATTTGAAGAGTGGGTTCAGATGAAAGACTATATAGAATAAGAATTTTTATCGAGTTTGTTGAGGCTTAAAGCCTGTAAGCACCAAAAAAAAAAGTTTTCTCTCAATTAAGGAAGTTAACTATTAATTCAAATTCTTGGGTGTAAATGTTAATATTGTCACAGAAAGAAGACTGTGCAGAAAGATGATACATTTCTATGGGCCATAATATTGGTCCATTCATACCATGCTCTGAGCTTTCCTCATGGGATAGTGATGTTATACTTTGTTTATGTATTTATTTATTTATTTTGAGATGGAGTCTCGCTCTGTCACCCAGGCTGGAGTGCAATGGCGCGATCTCTGCTAACTGCAACCTCCGACTCCCGGGTTCAAGTGATTCTCCTGTCTCAGACTCCCGAGTAGCTGGGATTACAGGAGCACACCACCATGCCTGGCTACTTTTTTGTATTTCAATAAAGACGGGGTTTCACCGTGTTACCCAGGCTGGTCTCGAACTGGGCTCAGGCAATCCACCCCGCTTGGCCTCCCAAAGTGCTATGATTACAGGTGTGAGCCGCCACCATGCCTGGCTGTGATGTTATACTTTATAACCCACACTTGTCTATTATTCTCAACCATCTGTATCCCTCAGACATCCTGAATACACACTCTAGGTCACTCAGGATGTACACAAAAGAGTTCTTGGACGCTGCTGAAATAACTGCCACAGAGTTGGCCAACAAAATCCTCTTACTTTATGGAAAAAAGTCATGCTTATGTTTTGTTGTGTTTTCTATTTAGAGTTTATTGAATCATAAATATTGTACAAATCTAGTAGTCTTATAAATCAGTATTCTCACATCAACTTCGAGCAAAAGTAGCAAATGCCAAGAAGTGGAACTGGTAGCCTCAGTGACTACCTGTGAATAAGAAAAGAAACAGAAAATATGCAGAATGTCACGAAGCCCAGTATGTTCATTAACTTTTATGGTAGTGGCTCTGAGTTATCAAGAATGCATTGAATTATATTCTGTGCCTGATATTTAATAAAGTATGAAGGTATGTACTCATATTTAGCAAAATTTCCAACAAACATGTTAAAAAATAATTCATAGTGATTTTCTAAAAATCTTGATAGAAACTTAAAAAACCAACCCTGTATCCATAGAAGAGATGTAAGCCATTTCTCCCTTCTTTTCGTGTATGTGCCTCTGGGCACTGGTGTACTCTCACAGGTTGTTATGAAAGGAGTCTTAGCCATTCCTGTGTCTGCAGAGGCTGCAGCTATGAATGTCAAGACAAGTCTGCACATCTTAGTGGTATGACTGGTTCCTGTATGTTTTAAACTTATTCTCAGATTAAGTTTATCTCTAACTTATTTGTCCATTTTCTTCTTTTTTCCATAAGCTAATTTAAAACTCTCATTGGAAAGGAAAACTTGTCCTATGAGGGTCAAATGAAAACTACTTCGACTTTACTCACATTATTACTTTTTGCAGCCTTCAATGCTTGAAAAATATGTGCTGGGATTACCTCACTCCAGAGAAAATACTGCACATGCTTAGAAACTAAAGAAATATTAATCCATATCATTTTGATATTGTATAAATATTAAATAGTATCTGACTTAGATATTACGATTATAATATCTGACTTGTATGATATATGATGTTGTACAATATCTGACATTGTACAATGTCTGGCTTCAATTAAGATAAAAGGAGAATTTCTATTTAATTTGCTTTTATGACTATTAATGCTGTCCAGGATGTGAACATATATTACTACCGCTTCTTGATATACAATTCTGCAAAGATTGATCCAGCTACTCACAATGATTGAACTGTATTAAGAAACAGAATTTTGACAAGAAGAGTCCTACAGATTGGAAGGTCAGTTTGTGGTTCCAATGGAGGAGTGGGAGTTGAGATTTAATTAAGGTGAAGTGACTCAATGGCATGCTCTGAAGCTGTAGTTGAAGATGGATTTCACAATCCTCTGTCCATTCCTATGCATGACTCACCAGTCTCATGTTCAATTGGTAGATTTTTTTTTCCATTTCTTCCATTTTTAGGTTTTTATGCTGTAGCTCACCCTGTCTGGGAAAACTTTGTCTAGCAAATGGTCTGAAGCTAAGTTTAAACTCATAAAGTCAAATTTTTAAAAATGAGGCTGTTTTGCAAATAATTGAAAAAAATGATGTTTTCTGTTATCTGGATATTGCTTTGCTAGGCCAAATTCAGCATTTAAAATTATTGCTTTCGGTCAGATGTGGTGGCTCACGCCTGTAATCCTAGCACTTTGGAAGGCCAAGGCGGGCGGATCACCTGAGGTTAAGAGTTCGTGACCAGCCTAGCCAACAGGACAAAAACCCATCTCTACTAAAAATACAAAAATTAGCCAGGCATGGTGGCACGCACCTGTAATCCCAGCTACTTGGGAGGCTGAGACAGAAGAATCGTTTGAACCCAGGAGCCGAGATCATGCCACTGCACTCCAGCCTGGGCAACAGAGCAAGACTCTGTCTCGGAAAAAAAAAAAATTTATGCTTTCTTTTTTTCTTTTTTTTTTTTTTTTTGAGACGGAGTCTCATTCTGTAGCCCAGGCTGGAGTACAGTGGTGTGATCTCGGCTCACTGCAACTTCCGCCTCCCGGGTTCACACCATTCTCCTGCCTCAGTGTCCCCAGTAGGTGGGACTACAGGCGCCCGCCACGATGCCTAGCTAATTTTTTGTATTTTTAGTAGAGATGGGGTTTCACTGTGTTAGCCAGGATGATCTCGATCTCCTGACCTCGTGATCTGCCTGCCTCAGCCTCCCAAAGGGCTGAGATTACAGGCGTGAGCCACCATGCCTGGCCACTTTCATTTTTATAGTAATGTCAACCACAAATAGTCAACCACTTAAATAATTGACTACTTCTACTGAGCCATAAGAACTGCCAGAATGATATTTCTGATCTTATTCGTTCTTATATAAGCCTCATCATAGTTCCCTGGAATAAAATTATAAATTGTGTATGATATAAGTAACTAAAATTAGTTTAAGTTGATTTCTCAAAAGCTGTATGTATTTATGATAAGAGAAATTGCACATTATTAGGCAAAAACCTATGAACTGTTTAGCTTAACACATTTTTATATATCTAATTTTTTTACCAAAGCTGAACTCTTTCCATGTTTACAAGGTAGTCTGGGATTACTAACAAAATAAACAAGAGCCTTTCTAGATAAATGTGTCCATATGCCAGTGCGGTTTAGGTCTTATTCAAGACACAAGTCATTACTTCTGAAAAAATGAAGGCACATTTATTAAATGACTGGGAGAAATTCCATAGTATGTAGAATGGGAATAATAATACATAACATTGTATTTTATGTTCCATTTTTTAAAATGAGTCCAAGGAAGTTAAAATATTCTTTTAATTAAGACACTCAAAGAAATGAAATAAGAAAAATTGATGCAAGGACTCCTTCAAGTTAAGATTTGTGATACAAATATTTTCATCTTTTAACAGGGCAAGCTGATGTGTTCACATCTCAGTTTCAAGCTGCCTCTTTCACTAGGAACATCAGTATTTTTTTTTAAAAGCACATTTACAATGCTTTCCCATCACCCTTGCTGTGTTTTTGTAGCACCTATAGCCATAACTGGCACCTGGGGGCCTGCGTTGCTGGCAGTTTCCCTTACATTTCTTTGGAGTCTTTTCAACTGCTGTGGTTTTACTTAGAAGTCAGTGCTTTGCATATTTGATTTCCTGAGACTGTTTGAATAGTCTTTCTCAGAAAACTGTGCCAGTCTGGCTGTGAACAGCTCTTCTCCGAGGGGAGCTGACAGTAGCCTGCTCGTGTTGGTATGCTTGGACTTGGGTTCCCAGCCATGCCCTGCTATCTTCTCTCCCTAATCCCTCTTATCCTGTCCCTGCCCTAGTGACATCACTGCCCACATCTTGCCATCCCTTTAAAGAAGAGAACAACATTTGAACCAGTCCAGTTAGAAAAAGATTAAAATCCTGCTCAGGGAATCTATGCAAAGCCTCCATAAAAACAATTCCTATTTGTTGTTTCAGCAGCTGATGCAGAAATGATTTTAAACAATAAAACCCGACCGGATAATTCAAACTTCTGTAAGGTAATAATCTGTTGTGAAGACAGAAGTCCCTACTTAAGATGATAGGTATGAAATTTGGGAACAAAGGTAACCTTAAGTTTCTTGATTTGAGTGTGTATTTTAAAGATCATCATCATCTTGACAGTGCAGTTTTGAGATAATGAAAACAAAAATGAGTTTTAATAAGCTTTAAATGGCATGGTATTTTGAGGTGCTAAGGTAAAGAGAAACATTGTTTTATGAAGTGGCTCATGTGGGTATATATATGTTGGTGTGCTGTGCTGCTAGCTATTCCATGGTCTTCATCAGTATACCACTAGAGAGAGAAAGAAAAGAAGTTAGAATTAGGAAGTCAGTACTCTTCTTAAAAAAAAAAATACGTAAATTCAAATGAGCTCTCACGAGCATACATGGTATAAAACAGAGTGTTTTAATTCCTGAGGCAGTTTATAAACTGAAACGGGGTCAAAGAGGGGGTCTAATTTTCCCCCAGAGCTTTTCCAGGGCACGTTGTTCTGTCCTGCAGAAGTCTCTGATCCTCTTTTGCAGGTGCTGAGAGAACTCACTGTGAATTTGGCTTTATTGAATAGTGCTTTAAAGATACGTACATTTTAATTAAAACACCCAATCCATTTCCAAATTTGACTCAAAGGGCGCTTACACAGCATGCATGGGAAGGAATGATTATCCCATTAAGCCCACTTGTTTTAATTAAACTGTTATCAAGTGTTAAATTTCTCTGTACTCTAGTAAGATAAACTGTATTAAACTAAATGATTTTTTTTAAAGCAATATTGCCTAATATATAGCACCTAGAAACTGGAAAAACTCTATTTCAATATTACATATATATGTTTAATAGAAGTGAAGTCAAAAATCAGATGTATTATTTGTAAACACTTAGATTTTAAACTGGTATTTTAAGAAATCTGTGTATTTGACATTTATGTAAAAGGAATTAATGATCTGGGACAAAAATTTATTGATTCATACCTTGTTAAATAATTGGGAAGTCATTACCGGGCAAACATAAATTATGGAGACATAAGTTAACTTTAAAAAAAGCTTAATTAAAGTAGCATTTGTCTTTTCTTTGAATAGTAGAAAAATAAACTTCAACCTCTTATAAAACACTGACCCAAAAGATAGCCAGTTTTTCTCAGTATCAAGTAACTGTCCCACTCCTGTGCATTGGGCACCATTTGAACTGAGCACAGAGCAAATCATGTGTGTTAGAGGACACATAAATACATATACATACATGCACACATTAAAAATACGTTTTCCTTCATCTGAAAATCTCTAATGCAGAAAATGAATTTGACATAATACGTAGAAATATCCTCTGCATAGACAACAACAGCTCTAGCCATTCCTGACTTTATAAAACAATCCTAATTGTTTATCGCCTGTGGTTATTCAACAAAAGATCACCTTGTAATTGCAAAAACTGAAGCATGCTGATTATTAAGATCCCACTGTTGTTAGAATAGCTAGTAATACATACCAGACAGAAATGGATTTTCATATTTGAGCTGAGCTATTATCATGCTGGTTTCACTTTAGAATTACTCTGCCACACATTTACTGAACAAGTGATTACTTTTGAATCAAAATAGGGAGAGACTGAACAATCACATGAACAGGAGAGCAGTGTCTTGATACTCCCAGCATATGCGATATTGTGCTTCTTAACCCCAAACTCGCTAATATTATTGAGCATTACTCTGTGCATGGCTGAAGGATACCACTCTTCTGACTTCACGTTGAAAAAAAAATTTTTAATGTTTTTATTCTGTCCTGTCTGTGGCACTGCTAAAAGAATTAGCCCAGAAAGAGGAAACTAGACCCCACCAGCAACTTCCCTCCCCTTGCACAAAGTTTTTCTATACCATTGCCTGGAAATCCACTCCAACATCGACCAGGGCTTTGGAGATCTGAGCTGACTGCTGAAAGTGAACGTTATCTGCAGGGAGAGAAAGGAAACATAAAGTAGCTAATAGCCACTCCAGTTTTCTGGTACCAAGGGGTGGGAAAGGCACAAGAAGAAAGGGACTGTTTGAAGTTCTAGGACTCAGCATCCCATTTAGCCCAAGACAAGTGACTTGTGGAAAGCAACACTGTTTTATTGAAGTAAATGTAACAGTCTTGCCCCTCATGCTTTTGTTTTGTCAGTAGTGAAATTGCAAACCTGTCTGTGATACTAAAAAGTCTAATTAACTGAAACTCACCATCTGCTGTTCCATGAATAAGGAGGTACTCAACTTGTTTAAAATTTTCAGCTCTGCTCATGACTGTTGAATTCTGGAATTGGGAGAAAGAATGTCATTATTCAAAAAAGGATCTGCCATAAACTGATTTTTCACTTCAGTTTACAAAATAAAATGTTTTCAGCTGGGGCCCCCTTTGATACAAAATATAGCAAACCGATATTCAAGCAAATGCTGTCTCCATGCATGGCAGAATGCACAGCATGCCCTGTGCCTGGGAGACAGGACTGGAAGGGAGGATGCCACATCTTCCCTGAACATGCAGGAAGAGGGCACCTGCCACCCAGCCTGCATGCAAAACCCCTTGAGTCCCAGATCCCAGATTGGCTGTGTCCTATGCATTAGCACAGGGCAGAGTCTCATATTAGTAATGTATGTTCCATGGGCTTCTGCTGTAGTTCAGCCAAAAAGTGTATTGCCATGGCAACCATGTGTCACATGGTGCCATACATGCTACATTTCAAAGAGCCTGTACATAGCATTTGCAACTAAACATACTCTGCAATATGTCATGTGAACTTTGGTCCACATTGCTGAGCTCTGAATGAAAAGCAAATATTACCTCTTTGGGAACAGATGTTAAAAACCTAGGCAAATGTAACATATGGGAGGGGAAGGGGGTAAAAAAGATCAAAAGTGGCCTTAGAAAATCAGTGGGTTGCTGTTGTCTGCCTCATTCTGTCTATTAGAGGAGATACTATTTGATCAAGTCATACCCAAATTAGCCAAGAAATAGGATAAAAAAAAAAATTGGGAAGTCAGCTTTTTGAGACTGCTATGTGGCCTGAGCCAGGGCTCCTAGAATGAGGGTCAGGAGTCTTGGATGAAAAAGCCATTTGAAATCATCTAAAGCTGGTCATCTAATCTGAATTTGAGGATATTTACCAAAGTTGGGATGAAGGTAAAAATGCCATAAAATACTGTAGTGCCTTTGGGAGGGGGTGAGCTAGAGTCTACTTTGATGGTCCTGTTATGTGTTGGGCAGGAAAGGGGCAGCAGCATCTCCATGGGTTTAAAAGCAGCCAGCTCGTCCTGCAGCATCTTGGTGAATCAAATTCAACTTTATGAAAGCCAAGGTTTATATTTCACAGATATCTCTGTAGCTCATATCAGCTTATATTTTTGATGGGAACCTTGGTGGTCTGGCAGGAAGGGGATGGGGCTAAAGTAACAGTGTTTGTATTCAAGTTCCAGTTTCAATATCAGTGAGCTATGCAACTGGAGGTATGCTGCTCCTTGAGCTTTGATTTCTATAAGATTGGAATAGAGTAGTCCCCGCTTATTGGCAGTTTTGCTTTCTATGGTTTCAGTTACCTTCAGTATAGTACAATAAGATATTTTGAGAGAGAGAGACTACACTCAATTAACTTTTATTACAGTTTATCATTATAATTGTTCTATTTTATTATTAGCTATTGTTAATCTCTTATGGTGCCTAATTTATAAACTTTATCATAGGTATGTATATATGTAGAGGAAAAAAACCATAATGTATAAAAGGCCTCGGTACTATCCACAGTTTCAGGCATCCACTGGGGGTCTTGGAATGTATTCACCTTAAACAAGGGTGGGCTACTGTAACTCCTCTTACTCCATCACAATAATAGGAACTAAGAGGCATAGCAAAAGCATTTTTAGGGGGTTAAATTTCTGATGCTGATGTGAGAATTCTTTAACAGTGTTTCTGGAAAAAAGACATTTTATCTACGACTTTCAGGACAGAGCCACCCAAAATGTTTCAGTCGAATGAATGTCCCAAGGTCATCCTGGCCTAGTAGGCTTAAAACAAATGCCCTTCCTCTTCTGTGCAGGCTGGTTCCCACTTGTTCTGACCATATTCCATTTCTCACCCAAATTGAAAATTTTACTCATGAACTCTCAGAATAAAAACCTGAGTGAGACTCCTTTTATTTTTGAGAAACTTTTTTTGTCTGGTAAGATGTCTCAGATAAATACATCTAAATATAAATCCATCTGTCCATCCATCCCAACATCACCATTTATCCCTCCGTTGATTTTTTTCATCTAGTCAATCAATATTTACTTATTATGTACTCCACTAAATGATAAGATCCATAAGAAAAAAGATTTGTCTATATTATGCATTACTCTTAACATCTAATAGAGTGCAAAATATTTATCAATTAAATGAGTAAATGAAATAAATGATCAAGCACTTGCAGTGTCCACTATATTTGGTACTAGTTTTGCAGAATCAAGTGTTATCAGCTGGAGTGGGCAAAATAAAATATGCTCATTCTGAAATGTATTGAGATATATTTTGCCCACTTTCTATCCATACACCATACCATTCATGATAATAGCTAACATTCAATTGAGCATTTACTCTGTGCCTGTCGCTGTGTTAAGCATCACATATAAATAAGGGTTTATAAAAGCACTGCTATATCAAATCCTTGCAATATTTGCGTAAAATAGGTCTAGAACAATTCTCCTTTCAAGATGGAGGCACCAAGACTCAGAAGGTGAGTAACCTGCACCCGGTCACAACTACAGCAAGTGTCAGAGCTGGACAAAGTCTGACAGCAAGCCCTTTTTACTTCCTACATTGCACTGCGTCTCCACTAAAATTCCAAGCTGCTTATGATGTGATCTTCTGGCAAAGAAACAGTGTGAAATAAAATGTTAATTAACTGTCCTGGAATTTGAAGTGCATAATAATAATGGGTATCCTTTGAGATCCTCCTAAGACCCATGCCGTCTCAGACTGCACTAATCAGAAGAGAGATTGCTCTGCACAGCCCTGGGTGATTTGGGAGGCATACTTTGTGACTACGCAAGTGACGTATAGCCTAATGGGGCAATAGAACTCTGAGCAATTTTCTGTCCTTCAGAGAGGAAAGGGTCAAAATAAATCTCCCTAAAAGACAGTTTTGCGCAGCATTCAAAGCTGGAGACAAGAAAGGCTGAGGCTTGAGTACTGACCGTAAACATTAATTGCCTGAATCGCAGGCTGAGGTGCCCCCATGTGAGTCCTCTTTGGTGATCCTTTCCACTAGCCATGCTCTCAGCCTGCACTGACTTCCTCCCTCCTTGTTGCTCTCCAAATTAAATTTAGCTCTTTGCTCGCGGAAGACAGTCAACTTTAACACTCAGACCTGACCCAAATATACAACTGTGCCACCTCACCTCACCTCCAAAAGCCTCATGGGCCTGCCTTGCTTGGCAGCTTGAAAAGCAAAAGCTGCTCCTACAACCTCCCTGAGCCATGAAACTGAGAAATGTCATTGAAACATAGAGTAATAGTTAGGAGACATATAAATACGCAGGACAGTTAGCAAGGAATGTGATAACTACTGGAGTTTGGACCAAAACAGTTTCTGGCTGCCTTTTTTTTTCTTAAATGGAGTGAATACAGGCTGAAAGAAGACAATTTTTATAAACAAGTAAAACCCTGAGCCTAAGATAAATGTTGTGATGTACACACTGTAGCTGTGATGAACTAGACATGGTGAGAAATGCAACATACTGAGAAAAAGACGAAAACTGTGATAAAAGTGTCATGATGCAAATTGTTTTACATTAACAATATTACACTACAAAGAAAGAAAGACAAATACTTTAATGCAGCAAGAGAAAAATAAAACAAAAGCTTCCCCTGCAACTGCAAGATAAGTGTGCCATTTCAAATGCGCACTTCCCCTGCTCACTGGGAGAAGCCTCCAGAGGGACCTCTCTGTGAGAGGGAGAGAGGCAGCTGAGAGACATACACCCACTTTAAGGCTCTCAGGCTACACAGAACATTTTTTTCCCCAGAAAAAGGCAGCTGTGTCACCTTGCCTCTGGAACCATTGATCATTCCCTACTCAACTGTGCACCCTGGCTTCTCAATTAACACCCTTTACAGTCCAGTGTATGGCACACTTTAAGCTGTAAAGATAACATACAAAGCCAGAAAAAGAAATAACAGGCATGAATTTAAGGTATGATTAATGATTAGAAAAAAAATTAATTGTGCTATTTTAACCTACCAAAAGAGGATAATCCCTCTTTGCCTATCCATGGAAACAGAAATAAAAAAGGAAATGGATGACTAAGTTAGAAGCCGAATAGTCTATCACCAACTACTAAAAAGGAAACTCAGAGTGATAAATGGGCAAGGATGCAATGGTGGTGCAGTTGGCACTCTCCTGAGGCTAGAAACTTCCGGAGAGCCCCGCTGCCAGCAACAGCCTGGCAAGGAGAAGTGGGAAGGATCGGTCCAGTGGCAGTGCCGACTCCACAGCATCTCTGAGGAGCTTTTCCTTCAGTCCCCAAGAAGAACCATCTGTAGCTGCTCGTTGGATCATGCTGGTTCCTCAGTTACCTTCCAACAAATAAATCTTTGTATTTTTGAATTAAAAGAGAGAGCTGATAAGAGGAGGAGAGTACTATGAGAAACAGAAGGTATAACAATTTTTAAACTACCCCTAGTGCCATCTAGGAACCATAAGGACAATTTGCTTCCTGGAGATAATAATGGTGGCAGCTGCCATGTTTTGAAAGCTTCCTTCATGGCAGGCACAAGCACCTCATTTAATGATTTCAATAACCCTGTGAGGTAGGTCTGATTATCCCATTATCCAGATGAGGAAACTGAGATTCAGTAAGGTTAAGTAGCCTCCTCAAACTCATACTGCTGGTAAGTGGTTGAAACAGAAATTGCGGACATGTTGGCCTAACCCCAAAAGCTCATGTCCCTGACTATCATATTCTACTGGCACTTGACATCACAACCAAACAACTCATCCCATTTATAAGATCTTATAGAAAGAGCACACAGTCATTGGGTCTAACGGACAGCAACCCAGCACTTCAGTAAGATACGACTTTGGGTTTAGCGGCTTGCTCTATGCATTCTCCTACTTGTAACCAAAGCTGCATAAATAATATTAAATGATGCCATTTTGGGAAGCACCATTAATATCACAACAGGGGCCACAGAAAATGTTTAAGAAAAGAATGACTTCAACTCACTAAAACAGATGTTTTACTTATGTACATCTATCAAACAACTGTACCCATGGGATGCCAAGGAGAGAGCTCCCATCAACCCCAGACAGGGGGCTCCACCTCAGGCCTCACCAAGCAACACTGGCTTCTTTAAAGATCACACAGCAGTCAACATTTTATCAGCACTCAACAAACAAGTTAAGGTTTGGCTTAAATCTGAAGGTCTCTCTCCCTTTGGCATATTCTGGGATAATAGAACAAATGTCAAATCAGTACAAGATGGCATATTTACAAAATTGCACCCTGTTTTGCATAACCTAACGATGCAGCAGTTCTTAAGGATTGAACATTTCAAATCTGCTAGCAGAAGACTGCCAAATCTATGACTGTTTCATACACTTGCCAAAAGCCTATCAAATTTTGAGCAAAATGCAAAATAAATCTCCTCTACAAGTTAAATCAGTCCCTTCTGTGTGTTCCAGGCTGCCCTCTTCTCTTGGCAACAAGGCTCAGGACTTGGGTCCTATTTCTCTTGCCCTTGATCTGATACTTCTCTCTGTGTGTATTCATAAATCTATCCCCTCCCCAGGCTTATGTCCTGTCTTCTTGGCCAGCATTTGGCCTGCTCTACTCAGAGCCCTTCTTCTGTTATCCCTCAGTTCATCGGACCTGCTTCACACATCGCCAGAAAACCACTCTTCCTGCTATTCATTTGTCTACTGTGCTGATCTGCCTTCCCCCAATACGTAACCTATTGAGAGCATCATGCTCGTCCTCCCCATCTTCCGAAATCTTTCTCTAATGATTCAGATAAGTGCCCTCTCTCCCTTTTCTAACCCTCAATATCAATATGTTGCATAACATTTTTGTGCCTCAGTTTGTGTGTCCGTAAAATAGAAACACAGTACTTGGAGGATCTGGAGGAGAATTAAACCTGATAACCCATGTAAAGAGCTTAGAATGATGACTTGCCATAGAAGCACTTAATAAATGAATGAAAACATGAATGAAATAAATGAAACTAGACCCCCTCTGGCTAGGGAGCAGAGAAGGGGAAACTCTAACTTCTTGGCCACTCCCCTTCCCCTCCCTACATGCTCCTAAGGTATAGAATTCCTGGGGCTTCATAGTCACAATTTGAAAACCACAAGTCTTTTTCACACATATTGGATACTTTGTCATATTCAAATTCATCTTTTATTACCTACTCTCTTTTATTTCTCTTCCAAAATACTGTTTTTTCTAACTGACAAAGAATAAACTTCCGAATGATTAAAACGCCAGGCACCTTGAATGGGTGAATGAAAGTCTACCACGTTAACATTTTTTACAAGTTTGACTAAAAGACCTGTGACTGACCACATGAGAGACCATTCCTCACTGTTAGGAGCCCACTCCACAAGGTGTGGCTACAGCTGCTGTCTGCTGATTGACATTGGTTTTGAGGGTTGCCTCTTTGGATCTGATTCCTTTGCTCAAATCTGTCACCATTTCTGTCTGCTGGGACTGAGACATATTGCAGAAAAGATGTTTCCATAGAGCTATACTACCCTTTAGCTCAGATTTGTCACCCCTCCACTTTGGCTGCCCATTTAGAGCTTCCGGTATCAGCTCCTTGAGGTGGGGGGGATGAACATCTCCTTTCATCTTTGAGGTCTGGATATCCTTTAAAAGTGCTTCTCCCTTGCCTCTTGCCAGTAGTTGGATGATTATCTTCAAAAAGAGTCTTATGGACTCACTGCATTGGGTCTAGGCCTTAGTCTCAGGGTCCCCTAATCCACATGGCAGCTTTGAAAGAATAGGAAAGGGTGCTCTGTTTGGTTTGACACAGCCCTGGAGGTGTAGGCCTTAGAAAATGGAGTATGGTCTGGCTTTCAGCAGGGCACAGGCTGAACAACTGCACAAGGCATCCCCGCCTGTTCCATTCATGTATGCAAATGGCTCTTCTAATTCCCTTTCCTCAATGGTGAGTAGGACTTTGATTTAACGACATGTGCTTCTCTTGGTGATGTGGATTTCTCTAAATTCTTCCAAATCCAGATCAACAATCACCTAATAATAAATCCTTTACTTATTTGAGTTTTATTAAAAACTGCATTTTCTTCCAAAGGCTGTAATTCTGTAAATAGCCACGTATCAGTGGCTATTTAGCTGAAAACATGGACTAAGATCAAGGCCTTACTTGTTACACACTTTGGTCATTCCTAATCCTCAGTGTACTGAAAAGAGTCACTGATCCAGACTAAACGTGAACCGCTTTAAAAATATTTCCTTCTGATCCACTGAAATGCACAGGGTGGTGAAATCCTCTAAGGAATTGTCTCCTTTGTCTTTTCAAAAAGGATGTGAGGAAGAGAGAAAGGGAGAGAAGGAAAAAGAGGAAGAGAGAGAGAGAGAGAGGAGAGAGAGAGGAGAAAAGAAAAACAACCTGGGAAAGAAAAGTAAAAGATGGGGTCCAGAGGGGCAGCTGGGGCCTTGGAGGAAAATAGAATCTTTGAATGTATTCCTGCCAGAGACAAAAGCACAGGCTCATTTAAAAAACAAAGGAGGGCAGCTTTATTCTAAAGCCTGCTGTGCACCAAAAATAGGCACTTAGATTCAGTTCTCCACATAGATTCAGTTCTCCACATTTCGGAGGAAGCAACTTACCACGGTGGAGACAATTCAGTTAGTGCATTTGCCTCACTTGTATCCTGCCCACCTTAACTATCGCCCTCCCAAATAATTCCTCTTAGTAACACATTGGGAACCTTTAGCTCCCTGGTACTGGCAGTTTTAATGTGTCCATTGCCAGCAATGAATTTTGTGCCAAGAAAACCCGACTCCTGGCGTGGAAGGATTAAACAGTCCTCGGGTGCCATCTGTGCAGTGAAGTGAAAGAGTGACTTTGTGCACCCAGTGTGCGTGTGTTGCCATTGGCAGGAGGAAGTGACTTCTATTTACATGACTATCTCATGCAGCGAACACCTAAAGGGGGAGATGGAAATGGCCACCGCAGTCAGGGGTAGAGCTGGAGAAGAGGGGGAACTCGGTGGGAACGAGGAGCCTATAGGAAAGACTGGAAATTTATGCAGGTTGAAATGGCAGACTACAACTAATTATCCTATCTCATTATATAGGGAGGGCTGGATGAAGAGGAAATACCCCATTGGCTGATGTTATTTGAGGAGGTAGGGTAGGTGCCATGAACCTCCTTAGATGTCAAGGTTGGGCTTGATCTTGTGCTTCCAGCCTCCACTTTTTAAAATATAATTTTTTAAATGAACGTTTTGGATTCATCATACACCATGTTCAAGTGAGGGATTGGGATCCTAGGCAGTTGCACCTCTAATGTTTCGGGAACTTTCAGAATCTTGTAGGAGAAAACTCTTTGACAATCAAATTTAAGTATTCTGGTTGGGTCGTTAACAAGAAAATTTGAACTGGAAAATGAAAACGGTGATGGAGAAATTCTTGTATAACAATGTTTCCCTTCAAAAAGTTTTTAAGTTAAATCAGGAAAGGTTATACTTCCTAAAGGCGAAGGCAAAGAATACAATGTTGAATAGCTTGTACACCTTGAATAACTAACAGTACTGAAGAGGGGAAAATTCAGTACAAGATACCTATTAGTTCAAGGTGGAATAAAATGAGGATTCAGAGATATACAAGGAAACTATCAAAAGGGGATTCCAAAGGGGATGCTACTCCACTGAGAGGGCTGTGTAAGTTTCTGAATGGGTGGAGATGGAGGGGAAATGACATTCCACGTGGAAGGAGCAGAGGGCAAAGGCACAAAAGGGAAAGCCACAGAAACATTCAGAGAACAGCAAGCATTCCAGACAAAGTAGGCTACTACAGGAAGGGTGCCGAACACCTGGGTAAAGAGTGAGGACTGGGCTTAGTTGAGTACACAAGAAGGAACCATGAACATGTTGTGGGTGGGAGTTAATCTCCCAGCTCTGTGAACAATAGACTGGAGTGTGAGAAGACAAGATAAGGGGAGACAAATCGGGTTATTGTTATAAAAGGAGATAGGTTATGTGACAATAGCAATGTGGTTATGAAGAAGGAAATGAGTGTCTAAAGCAGCTTATGGGAGGTGGAGGAGAAAGAATGGGAAGAATTGAGCCCTAAGTATTAAATGGGACACTTAGCAGAAATGGGGACAATCTAATTATGGGACTGTTTTGCAGGGGTAGATGATTTGTGCATCTCACTTTGCAGATTGTTACTTTTCTATCTTGACTGAGAAACAGACATGAAAACCGTCATACAGCCACTAACACAAAAATATTGCTATCACAGCTCCCTGCACACACACACACACACGCACACACACACATACACCTTACTCATTAAGTAAGCTGAAAGTAATTGGTAAAACTAAATTGTCTATACTTGTCTTGCAAAACTAGAAACTTTTGAGTTTTACTGTATTTTGATCAGATGACTTCAGCATCCATAGTAATAGGGATGACATCTTACAAAAACATATGGATATTGCTCAGAGCAATGTATTAATATGAAGTCATGACACAGATGAAAAGAAATTGTGTTCTTAAGTTATTCTTATTGTTTTTCTTTCTCTTTAATTCACTGTCTTGTGAAGAATTGTGAACAATCTTTGAAAAATGTAAACATCATAAATGATTTACCTTGTCAGCTGTAAGTTTCAGGGTTTTAAAAAAATTTTTTTCAACCTAACATGACAAACAGAATCAGCAAAGTTTTGGAATGATCAAAGTGCCAGAAGGGTCCCTAGTACTTATGCTAGCACTTCCAGCTGCATCAATGTGGCACCAGAGACAATGCTCTGGCTTTGCCGTGGCATCCACACTAGCACATGGGGGCTGTCAATGATAGTTGCACCCACACCATATTTTAAATGCTATAGCCCATCTGCAGAGCAACCTGCCCACTGGTTCTTCCATCAGGCAACCAGCCTGTTGGATGCTATTCAGTGATTTAGGTTTAGGGCTTTTTAAGGGTACTGCCCAACTGTACCTACCTCTCACCTGCTTTACTTAAATCTTTGTGAAAAAAAACTGTACATAATTGGCTATGAGTAAGAAAATTATAGTCTCGTATATATATCTTACTTATGATAATACTGTAAGAAATTTCAATATATAGCTAAAGGTTTAGAGAGTCTTCTGGGCTCTAAAGGAATATGTTGAATTTCTAATAGGTTTTCTTAACTGAAATTTTATAATTAAAGTAATTATCTGATGTTGCTTTGTATTTCTAAATGAATGCATATTGTGACCTATATAGCATACGATAAAGACTGTAATTATGCAGAATACAGTAAGGGAAGCTATTGGAGTATCTCTAAACCACCTGTGTTATTTCTTTTAACAAGAATTTTGTTGGAAATAAAAATATGTATTTTCTAGAATAGATACAATTAAGAAGGTTCTTAAACCACTTATAAATAGGTTATAAAATAGGTATAGGTCCTCATCTCTTACTCTGTAATGGTCAAGGTTGTCTTCTGGAGTTGGGAGACCCATGTAACGTTCTGTGTACACTGAGTCTGTGAAAGAAAAAAAAATAAAAAAAAGTTTAATTCATACAATAACAACTTTTCTTGCTTTTAATGGGCCACTTCAGTGTTTCCATATGTATTCACTCATGTATAGGAATATAGAGTTACTCTCAGAAGTATCTCTATGTGGTTATGAAGAAGGAAAAGGGTGGCTAAAGCACCTTATGGGAGGTAATTTTTTACTTGGTTTGCTAATATAGCCAGAGATGCTAATTCCCAGATCCCTGCATACTCATACCTTTCCACACTCAGCCCTAACCCATTCTCAATTTTCCCTTACGATGGGGCAAAGGGAGATCAAACCAGATTATCTAAAATCCAATCAATAATCCACATGCAGAAAAGTCAAATGTGAAGTGCTAAGGGGTAAGGGATCTTAACATTATCATATGACCCTCTCAAAGAATTTTAGTTAGGAAGTCACTTAATGCCTCAATTGTGTTGAAATTTTTTGGTTATAATACAAGTATGTGCCCTGATTTATGATCATCTATTTCCTTTTGGAGACCCCTAACAATGTTCAATTACTAGTTGCTGATTTAAATCATATTTTATTTTGGAGATCAGACTGGGATTCACTATAATAAAAACAAATAATTCAGTTATCATTTATTTGCTGTATATCCCCATATTGGCTCAGCTACTCCATCATGATGCAAGTTTAACATTTGTTTTCTCTCATTTTGTGGTGAAGCCTCAATTTTTGTGGTATAACAGTTGAGCACTGTGAAACAGATTACATTAATATCTGTCTGCTGAAATGACATAAGCTCTTTTATCTATAAATATGGTTGAAAAACAGGTTGCATAATTGGTTTGGTTATTTTGGATAGTTAAACATATTTTGCCTGATTTTAAAAAATTAAATGATACATTATATATATTTGGCCTAAAATATCAGTAAAAAAATTATTGAGGCCAAATTGCAGTAAAACTTTAAAAATCTGACATAACTGCTTTGAAAACTGCCTCCTTAAGTGACCAGATTACAGTTAAAGAGTCTAAGAATTTTATCTTGCCATTGTGCTATCTAGGTTGGTGGCTTGAATTTCACTAAAATTTTACAAGTATTTCAAAACTGATTTCATTAATTTTAAAAATGGATATATTATCTAAATTCAACATTCTAACACTTTTTGAATGACTGGTATTGTAGATTACAAACTACACTAATGAGTGTTAGTTGCTCCATATGCATACTTTATGCCATTTCTATGAAAATCAAAATATTGTCCTCCAAAATTACTAACAGTGATATTTTATCATTTTGATTAACATGAATACTGACTATGCATAATTTTATATATTTAAAGGACACTAATATAAAAATAGAATATTTTAAAAGACACTTTAAAATATGAGAACTTCATAAAATGCTCATATCTCTTTTAACTTTAGCATTTAAATATTAATATCTTAGGTTGTACGTTAGATGGGAAAAATGGCTTTTAAGGGCGAAACACATTTTCCCCTAGGTAGCTGCAGACTTTAATTCTGCTTGTCATAGAACACAATACTCCTTTCTTATTTATGCTAACCAGATTTACATGTATAAGAAGATCTGAAATTTTAAAAATAACATTTAAAAAATATTATGCATAACTGCATAATACAATTGTAAACTTTTAAAAAAATATGCCTTGAAACACCATTTACGTATTCCTTTTGTCCCATCTTTGAATAAAATTGTTTAAATTTACACGTATATAAGAACTCTAGACAACTTCTATGTATTAGATTGGTCTATATACATTAAATGAAGTTTTCTTCTCATTTCATATTTTTAAACTTACAAAGATTTACTCCATTATTTTATTGACCACTAGAGGTCTCCAAAAACAAGCCATCCAACAGAACAATTAATATCAAGCAGAAAAATATTATGAAAACAAATTCATTGTGTGTAGATCAAATTATAACTGTGCCCTCCAATTTTCTTAACAGAAAGATATAAATGTATTTTTACATTGGTTTATCTTGACTGGGAGAGACTTTAAAGAGTCTTTTTCTCTGGGTACTACCATATTTCTGGATATAAAATATTTAATAAGCTATTCATCATCAGCCATTCTTTTCTTACACTAGACAGAAGACTTGAGATGGGGTTAGAAGAGGTGCAGGAAAATCAATTACCTCCTTACCACTTCTGAATCCCCCCTCCTCCCTCATCTTCCATCGCTTACTCCCTCCCCTTTGAGAATTGTAGTCTTAGAGGTAGGTGTATGATGCCTTATAAAATAATACTCTCTCGATGACAAAGAGCATATTCTAGAGTAGCTTTCACCTATTAAGAATGAAAAAAAACAACAACCCCCCAATGGGTGTTTCCACTGTTCCTCCTCTCCTCTTCCCATCCAAAGCCCTACTTGTATTTGACATTTAATTGATGGGAAAGAGATACATACTTCTCTCACTCTGCTAATATGTGAAACCCAAGAATCAAATCAGAGTAAAGATAAGGAATGATTTATCTGTAGAAATGTAGCATGGGGCTATTTTGAAATTCGGAAAACAGAATTTGTTGATAAAAAATCAAACGTGTAATAAAATATACCACCCAGCCTTGCAAAATAGCAGAATAAATGAGATCATCTTATTATAGGTATCCAAAAAGAACCTCTAAGATGAATCAGCCTATTATTCGCTGTAAAAACACTGAAACTCAGAAAGGAATGGCTTTGTTACTGGCATTTTGAGGTCAACACTCCGTATCTCTTTGTACCTGGCAGCAATTACATACCATAGTACTCCCACCGGGATACAGGCGCCACGGCTATTCCACACTTGAACACGCCACTTCCCGATCCCAGGACCATTGAGGTTACGTACCCTCCATATGACTAAGGAATGGAAACAGTTATTTTTATGGAGGTAAAAGAATAAGGACATATGGTAAGCGAGTCGCAGTTTCCACATTTCTCACATCTTTATATACTGTGCCTCTTTAGAGATAAAAAGCATGGTATAGGAGGCTTAAATTGGCCTTAATTGGACAGTATCTTTAAAGACTACACTTTCAGAGCCCTGATCCCTTTCTTGGTAGGTATATGGGGAAAACTACGGAAAATTTGCTGACCCTAGTGACTGGGTGGTACCAATTATAGAAGATTTAAAAACAATAACACGAAATCTTTACTGACTGATGCATAAGAAAAAGTCTCCCTCCTTCCTTCCCTTCCCTCTTCCCTCCCTCTTTCACTCCTTCCTTCTTGCTCTTTCTACCTCACCTCCCTGGCTCATCATAATAAACAAAGGTGTAAGCCTAACTCAGTGGAGATTCTGCAGAGTTACTGCCCAGAGACCTAAGACTTGATAGATGTGATTTTCACCTCCAAATATGTATATACAAAAGATAAAGTAACCTGCTCTGAGTGATATTCACTAACGAATGCATACAGATTCATCAGTCAACTACTCACCCAGCCCCAAATTGCAATTCGTTTGTTGTCCACAAATCCCATTTTTGAAAATTGTCTAAAACACAAGGAAAAAGTCCACAGATCAGTACTGCATTGTGTATAGAAAACTTAGATGAGGCACAAATGTGAAACCCTGCCATTTGTTCTCTGCTTCATTCTATTAGAGACTAAAAATTGCTGCCAGTAATCAAATAAACACCTGAGATAAATATCTATCATTTTAACCTAAGATCCAGATGAACATGGTTTACTTTTGTTGGAGTTCATAAAAATTGTGTGTGTGTGTGTGTGTGTGTGTGTGTGTGTGTGTGTATGATTCACAGAAAACAAATCCTGGCAGTTTTTTTCACAGTTTTATACAAAAATTTGCAGCCCAGATGCACTTTTCTTTACATAATTGAATTTAAATCTCTCCAGATGTTTTTCAGTTTGGGAGAGTCTGCCCCTGCAATGGAGAAAGATAAGGGCATGAAAAACTTCTGAGTAAGGGCTTAGAAATGTCTCCGGGCCCCCTACCTGAGAACTTAAACACCATTCTCTAAATAAATCCCTTCTTATGCTGGGTGTTGATTAGTTAGCTCAGTACCGTGCACTCAATAGAAATAAATTTTTCCTTGATGGATTAAGAAGTCTTCTTTGCCACAAAACTGTGTTCAGAGATGGAATCCAGGTAAAGAAATAAGAAAAATATTGTATGCACCTATTTCTTAATATTAGCCTGACATCAAAAGAAATTTTTTTTTACTTAAAAATACCTGACAAATGGAACTCAAATTTTTAGCATTGTGGGTGGTTGCAGACCTTTGCATTAACCTATCTTGATTTTGACAGTCTTTGTGTTTTCATGTAATATGTCCTAGGTTGCCCTAAGTTAAGCAGTGCTAGAAAAAAATTAAAATAGTTTTCAACTCATCTTTTCCACGTAAACTTTGTAAAATTGAAGGAGGCAGACATACAGCAATGTGCAACAGATCATTCATGTATAATTTGATCAACCTTTACAAAGTGAATGTATCCTTGAAATCATGGCCTGTGCATATTATCAGAAGCCTCTAAGGCATTTCCCTCTTTGCAAAGGGACAAAAGGAAATGTTTTTCTTTTATTGAATTCCATAAAAATTTCACTGAACTTTTGCCTTGTTTTTATCTTTACATAAATTGCATCTTGCAGGATGTACACTTTTGTGTCCAGCTTCTTTCATTCAACAGTATATGCAATTCATCCATGTTGTTATGCTTAGCTCTTTTTAGTTGCTGCAATAGTGTGTGCCACTGTATAAACGCACTATTTCTCAATACTTATTTAACTGGGGTTGTATATAGTAGATCCTTAATTTTGTAATTTTAGGACTTTTGTTGGTCAGATTTGAGAGACCCTGGAAACTATGCCCTCTCTCATAGAGGAGCGATCTGGATAGATACAAGTTTATTTTTAAAATATCAAAGCCTCACTCTCAAACAAATGTATCCCCTGTTTATTCTAAATCTCTATTTTTTAATTGTTAAGGAAAATAGCTAATCATTAACTTTAGTAAAAGAGAATTTCTTTCCTCAGGAATCCTTAATCAATTGTCATCTTCTCCTCTCTCCATCTATTTCATCATTCATGGATCCTTCTGCATTTCCTAGTCTATGATTTCATAACATTATTTTCAACCACCCTCCCTATTATGCTTCCCCAGACATCCATGCTGTTGGTTACAGAAACTCAAAGTTACATTTCCCACATACCAGTTGAATGTAATTAAATATAAGAGTCAGAATGAGACTGGATTCAAATCCTGATTCACTTTGGCAAGCTACCTAACCTAATAGTCTCTATTTATTTAATTAAAATATGGGGTAAGAACACCCACCTCTCGGGGCTTCAGCGACAATGCCTGCAGGTAAAGCACTTCTCATGCAACATGCATCTTATGAGTAACCATCATTGATTGTTAACATCTCTTGAGCCAGATCACATCTAGTTATAGTCCCATAAGTGAAGAGCACAAGAATGAGATGTGGTTCATACGTAACAGAGCCCTTATACATAGTACCGATGATGGTTGTGCTCCACAATTTTCCCAAAATAGCAGAGTCACCCTCATCCAGACTGTAGGAGCTACTCCTAGGACTTCAGAGTTGTCACTGCCTATGACGTAAATGTACACTGAAGGAAATGTACACAGTATCCTTGACTGTGAAGGAATGGGCTTGGCTTGTTTAGTCAGATGTTTACTAGGGTACATTTATTCCTCAGTTTGTCCCCGAGTCTGATGAATTTTGATTTTCTGTTCTTAGAATGTGGTAGGACATATGCCAACTCCCTTTCTAGAGTCTCATACAGAGAGGAATTTAGGAAATGCTTTTTTTTTGAACTTCATATCAATCTATAATGTAATATATTGTTATTTAAACATAACATCTTCACTAAAACCTACCGTAAGGATAAAAGATTACAAATTCATCCCAGAACACTTTAAATTATTTACACTTTACAGCTTTAAAATGTAAATTTTAAAGGGGAAAAAAAATCAGATGACCTTTGACTTCATCTCCTAGTCACTCACCTGGCTGCTTCAATTTGATCTTCAACTTCAAATGTTCCCAGTCTTCTGTTGATTGCATGCATGATCTTATCTCCTTGGTAACCACTTCCTCTGCCATCAAAGCTAGCTACTATAATGTTTTCTGTGCTTGCAAGGTAAGTGGCCCAGTTCAGTCTGAAGACAGTGTCTGCTTTTTGACTACATGGGCCTGCATACCTATGAAAAATACCAAATTGTTAGCTTTCATGGTTTTCTGGAATCAAATGAGGAATGCTTACATTTCTCTTCTCCGTGGAGAAGTATGCATCCTTCCCAATCATGAGCCTTAAACTGTGCCAGCCTATGGGGTGTCCAGAATGAGTCCTCTAAAACTTAGCAACACAACTACCATGGTTGTATATTTCCTTCAAAGATACTTGTCAGTTTTGTCTTTGAAGATAGTTATCAAACACAGACTTCATAGGCCAAGATTTTAGAAGTATTAATGTAATCTTGGAAATCAAAGAAATAATTTCTCTAATAGTTAAGAAGGGGGAGTTGTGGTATAAAAAAAATGATGATGACAACAATAAATGCAGCTTTGGATATCTTTCCATCTCAGCTTAACACAATACTCCTGGACTGCAAGTTTATTTCCTTCTTTAAGGACTTTGACTTCTGCATCATATGCTTTGCATTTCCCATAGCACCCGGCACAGTCTTGCTCACAATGACTGTAAATCATTGTGGAATGGACTGCAGTATGAATGAATGCTAACATTTAAAACTTCAGAGGAAGAAACAGGTTGCATTGGAAAACGGGCATGTCATTGGGCATTCTATATACTAACAAGTTTAACTCCCTTGTATCTGCAATCTTCACAGGCTACCATCTACCCTACACAGAGCTGTGTGCACAATCTCTGTAAAGCTCTGTAAAGCACTCTCATTTCTGCTTGTTAATCAAGAGGAGCTCCTTATAGCTCATCTCAATTCATTTAAATATGTCATCTTTGCACCATCTACACAACTCCTGGACATGGATACTCTCCAATAACTTATTCCCTCCCCAGCCCATCTCTCCACTCATCTGCTTACTGTCCCTGCACAGGATAGGACAAGTTCTGCTTACATGCCTTTGCTAATGTTTTCCTTCTACTTAGGGAGGTCAGTCAAAAGAACTTTCGTTTTAAACAAAACACTATAACATTCTAACTTTAAACAGGAAAATGCATTCATGCATTTCTTGAGCTAGCAAATATTTTTTCACATGTGAAATGCCTTGCTCCTCTCAATTATATTAAATTTGGTAGATTAAGAGCTTGCCTTAATATTAGGTATATATATCAAGTTCCCTAACCCCAAGATTAAACAAGATTATTTTTTAAAATAGAAAAAAAAAAAAGACCCTAAAAGAGAGGAAAAGGAAAATAACTGAACAGAAATATGTATTAAATTTACCATTTTTTAAAACCTTTTCTAATGGAGATCAAATCGTTACTTACTAGGAAGTCAAAGAAGATAAAAATATCACTCAAAAGGATGCTTTTTTAGCATTGGAGCCGAAGCCTAAAACAAATTAGTGTCACGAATGAATTGACTTCATTTGTTACAATTATTTTACTTGAAAAGAAATCAGATAACACATCTGGAATTTTAAAATATGTATCTTTTCCTTTCTTTGTGCTTTTATGTGTGGTTTTCATGAAACTGTGAATATAGTGGATCAAAGCTGTGTCTGATACTAATATCTGGGTCCTGCCTTCCTCTCCCCACTTTTTTTTTCTCGCTGGTAACAACAGAGACATTATGTCCCTGACCTTCAATGTCTTTTTCCGTATAATGGAACAACAGAACTTACTATATGGGTTTGTTGTGTGAATAAAATAAGGCAAATGATGCCAAGCACCTGGCATTCGGCAGGTCCCTGCACTAGTGTTGTTTCATTTTGTTTTTAATATAGGAAATGATGCAAGCCAGGACAGGAAGAGCCTGACATTATGGCATCATGGGTGACGCTAGGGCAATTTTAGAAAAATTAAAGTAGGGTGTATTCCTAATGATTATAAAAAATATTTTACAAAGCTGTCATATTTGGAATTCATGTGAGTTCACATTCACTATTCAAAGACTTGTGACTTCCTAACTTTCTCAAAGACTTGAAGTTTTTAATAGCGAACGCTCTCCTCTATCACTTCTCTTCACCAAAAAGGGGAATAGAAAATAGCCGGCAGTAATATTTCAGGAACTAAAGGAAGAGAAACATGAGGCAGCCAGTGGGAGCTGGGGTAAGGGAACTGTCACGACTGTTAATGCCCATCTCTTGCTTGTTAAAATGTCCAGGAGGTTAAGGATGAAAATGCAGACTTAAGAATTCCTTTGAAATTCCCTTGGAGTTCAGAGAAGCAAAACAAAAGAAAATCTATACACCATTATGTCAGAAAAGGAGTATCTCCCTTCTCTATTAAGAAGATGTGAGAAAACACAGGTTGGGTTTTGTGGCTGTACAGTGAAAGGAGGAAATAGTAAACAGTGATCCAGGAAGAGGGAAAGGACGCATTTGGCTCCATTTTTCAGTAAGCTGCACTGAGAAAAATATATATGACTCAATACTTCTAAATTGCTCCCTTCTCTTGAATACTTACACATCTAATAGTAGAGGATATTTCTTGGATTTATCAAAATGAGGAGGCAAGATCATCTGATACCAAAATTCTAAACAAACAGAAAGATTAATTAGTGAGGTAAGAAAAATTATTAGCACAAGATTTTGTTCCTCATGTCCGTCAGTAGCAAGTCATTTCTAGAGTTTAACAATTTGTTAAATGAGAGTAGAAAAGGAAAATGAACTGCTTGGATTCAGCACATTTTTAAGATATAACATTTTCTTTCAGGTTAAAATACTAGTTAATGTTAAAACATAAAGTTGTTTCTAATGTATCTATTAAATACATTGGTGCCTAGTAACATAAAAGTGCATCTTAGAATTTCTAATGTTTTGTTTTTATGATTCTGTTCTTTGGCATCCGATCTACTTATCTAGTTTGTTTATGGCTTATGTTCTAAGTTTTCCTCCAAAATGTTTTCCTCTTCTTGAATTTCCTTGAAGCTGTTTAGGATTTTTAGTTGGCCCCAACTCTATTTTAGAATTCTGATTTAATAACATTTTTGTAATTCTTATTGCCATCCCAGACCGCAAAGCTGAGTTCCCATTTTCAGCTCTGTGTTTCACAGAATGAGATCGGGTTTATATGGAGCAAACTGTTGCGTACATTCTGTATGATCTCCCACGGGTCTGTCTCATTCTCTGTGCTTGATTTAACATCAGTTTAATAAAATTTGTCCCTAAATAATGAGTCAGTTTCCTTCGTTCCCAAATAAAAGATGAGTTATACTAATAGATCTATAAAAAAGTGTTTTTCCACATTTAAATAAAATTATTCCAGATTCAGTAGATTTAAACTGTAGGCAAAAAAATTCTTATCTCTAGAGCTATTTTTATCTAACATTTATCTTCCTTTTTGTTTATGTTTGTTACGATTATTTTACTTGAAAAGAAAAGAAAGATTTGGGAGTAAAATATATAGATAGATTTATCTTCAATTTATATTTTGCTGACTATTGTTATGCCTTCTGATTAAATGTGCTTGTAAGAGCAAAATTTAAGTCTCTATTATAATTTCAATAGAACACCAAACTATCAGTTGACCATGATATTTTTAATGAATATGCAAAACCCATCATTTGATCTCTGCTTTGTTTGAATTGGCATTAGTTGATGGGAAGGTGTTTTAGTCCCACTTTTTTGGAGATGTATAGTCTTTGGTTTGGGGGGTTCTTTCTATTCACAGAGTCCCACCTTCCCGGCTCCCTCCTCCCTGACCTACCTTTCATCCCTCCTTTCTGTACTTTGAATGGCTATAACCACCTCCCCATCCCCACAGCTCCATCCTACATCCTGTCTCAAGTCACCCGTCTACTAATGTGGCTTCCGTGACCCTAAAACCTGCAGGGGCTCCCCAGTGTTCATGACTGAAATAGAATGTCACATCTCAGTATTCAGTGCCTTCTGTACCAGGTTGTCAATGTTAGCTCTGGAAAACTCTAAGCTCTTGCCCCTCACGTGTGGCTCAAGGGTAAGCAGCACTAGCATCACCTAGAAGCTTAATACAAATCCAGAAACCTGGACCTTCCTTGACCTGCTGGGTCAGAATGTGCATCTTAATATAAGATCCCAGGAGACTCACATGCACATTCAGTTTGAGTAGCACTGATGTAAACTGTTTTTCACGAGGATGCTATACTTTCCTGTGCTTTTCCTGATATTTAAAATTAGATGTGTTGAATCTTTTCTATTATCCTAAATTTTTTTAAAAGCCTAAAATGAATCAATCCTAATATAACAGATTCCTCCCTCCCCTATAAGCTGTTAGCCCTTAGTGGAAAAAATAAAGAAAAACAAACAATAAATAACAAGATTTTCTACTCAAAGAAACCCATTGTTCTTACTGGTCTCTGAACATAATCCATGATTACACAATCAAGCCGGGACCACACTATGGGAGGTCAGCAGGGTTTGGAAAAGTTCAAAATTTATCTTCTGAGACTGAAGTTTCAATATTTTATAGCCAACACGAATTGTTTTATACAACTATCTCAGATATCCTTGACCTCTTTGGGTTAAAGGTGAAATATGCTAGGATGTCATTAAGTTAAACACACAATTAATATTAGTAGAATAATAGAGTCACTAATGGGATAAAAGTGAACTAACGATAGAGCATGTTCTCCAAATCCCTTCCTTTTTGACAGAATAAGTTTTATGTAGAATGGTATTATATTTTAAGACAAAAGGATGTAAAATTAGTATTTCTTGTGACAAAACATTTCATGGAGAAATAACCTTTTAAATTAGATTTATATATAATATGAAATACATATTTTCAGATCGAATTACTATAGTTAGAGTGCATTGGTGTTTCCATGAAAAGTACTATTCCAAAGGAATTTAACTTACTTGTTTCATTCAAAATAATGAAGTCCAGTTTTTTGGAGGGCATCTGGACATTCTGCAGCATTTTATCCAAAGCTGAATTGTCTTCCAGGACTCTCAGCCCTAAAGAAATACAGGAGACAGCAGTCATTCATTACAATGTGAAAAATGTGGATTATGTAGTGCAATAATGAGCAAACATGAAATTCACTGATCGGACTACACATACTTCAGGTTATAAGGCTTGTGTTCAACTCATTGTCAAGACACAAAGCCAAAGAAAATCACACAATGCTAAGTACATGTTAGACTTATGCAACACACTTTCTTAGAAACAAATGAAGAGTAAAATATGAGAAAATACCTTTATCATTCACGCTGCTGTGTAGAGTATAGAGGGGCAGACCAGGACCTGTTAACACAATGGGGGAAAAATGTTTTGGATGAATACTTTTTTAGAAAAGATAGTATAGATGACTTTTCAAAAATACCATTTGTTACCATTTAACTTTGATAGAATATATAAATATTATAATGCATAAGAAGTTTAATACATGTTAGCTGTTTCTCCTCCCCCTCTCTTTAAAATAGTTGCAATTTCAGTGTAAGAAGTATTACTGGAAAGGCACAGGGCTCAGTAGAATGAAGTAGGAAATGAATCTGTGCCCTGCTGGGCACCTTGGGCACATTATCATCTCTGAACTTAATATACTCATCTGCAAAGTAAAATGTGAGCTGACATCCTTCCCCACTCTAAATCCGTGATCCCACAGGGTTTTTCAGGCTCTGCCCAGGTGGGCTGCAGAGCCCTGTAGCCAGCCTCCCTAGGGAGGGACAGATCTCCCCCCGCTGCCCCCACTCCCATGGAGTCCCAGAGCCAGGCGGCACATCTGCACAGTGCCTGACTTGGATAAGCGATTCCTTTCTGGCATGCAAAAGTGTTTTTCTCACAAGCCCATATCGTCACTGTTTATCCCAACTGTGGTAGTTGCAGAGTGGAAGGTAATGTATAGAAAAGCTATTTTGTGAGCTCTTTAATTTTATGTGTTTGGATGATAATATTAATTTTTATACTGGATTAGAAAGAGTGAAGGCACTTTCCATACCTGGGGATGAATCCTGGCTCACTAGCTCTGTGACTTAGGACAACAGAACTGTGCTTTGATTTCCTCACATAGAAAATGAGGATAATAATATCTACTTGATAGAGATTTCTTAAAGATTAAACAAGATCATGAATATAAAGCTTTTAGCACAGTGCTTAGAATAAAGCGCATGCCCAAGAAATAATTGCTAAAAAAAAAAAGTCAGTCATAGTAAAGAACCATAAAGAAAAGCATAATAATAAAATATACTAGTGAGGGAAGACTCAGATAACTGGTTTGAAAACATTTATTTATTTTTGTGCTATGGACAGTTCTTTTCAGAATATCCAGATCCTTTCTCCCATTTTGAGAAGTAACCTGGCACACTGTTTAAAAGGGATGGCTCGGGCGGCAGAGGCCTGTTTTGAATCCTGTTGTGCCTGTAACTCGCTGTGTGACCACCTGCATAAGTCACTTGGCCACTCCTTGCCTGGGTTTCTTCATTTGTAATTAATAATAGCAACAGCAACAGAAGATGGAGCAGTGAGCATGTTGGGTGACACGCACCAGCCACATACATTTTCTCATTGAAAGGGACGAGTGCATAAAATAATCATTTAAAACCCCACAATATGTATGTATTTAACGCTGAAGTGCTTCTGTTATACACAAGGGTGTGTGTTTGTGCATGTGTGAGTGTGTTCGGTCTAAGGCAAGCTATGCAAGTCTCTCAGTGATAAGGGGAAGAAAAGATTGTTTATGCTCACTACTTAAATGTGAGTGGAGAGAAGGGGACTTAGGTGATTTCAAGAGCTCCTCAGATTCAAAAGGAATAGAGGGAGCTGCTTCGAAGTGAGTAACAGCGGCGACTGCCCTCCCTCCCAGGGAGCTCAGACTTACCGGAACATCTCAGCTGATAATACTTCGCCTCTTTACTGAATGACACAGAATAGTACTGACACCTTTCCGGATTCAGCTCACAACTGAGGCATGTCACTTTTGTATAGTCACTAAGTTGGATTCTGTAAAACCAACGGTGGAAATTAAGTGCTTGAAGAAAAGATAAGTGAGAGGAAGGAACTGAATAAAGCCATATTCTAGTTTCAAAGACAGCAGCATGCCAACGCAATCTTTAGGACTTTTTTTTTTTTAGCATGAAATAAATACATGAATTAATAGTAACCTCAAACCTTCCATTGTTTGGAAATATCACAAAACATCGAATAAAGCCATTCTCTCTTGTGGACATGTAGATTGATTTATGAAGGAATAAAAAGTGCTCAATAGCAATACCAGTTTAATATTAGTTAGGACAAGGCAAAAAATAAAAATAGAGTTCAGAAATTGTTCGTCAGCTAAAATGACTCAAGTCAACAACTTGACAGAGCTCTTACTTATAAAGATTCCTTCCTCCTGGCATTCCTTTATATTCATTACTAATGTAGTATCTAGGAAGAGAAAAAAATGAAATATATATTAATTATGTTTTTTAAGAAGTCAGAGGCGATCCACCGCACTCAGACCCCAAGCCTAAGTGTGCACGGAGCGCGCGCACGGGTGCCCGCCGCCCTCCGCCATCGCTTCCGTGTCCCTCACCCCCGAGAAGCCATTTTTCTCCGTCATCTCTACACATAAAGGTCTTGTTCTTAACAGACTAAAATATGTAAAACCAGAGATTTCTTCCTTAATTAGAGTGACAAGTAAAAACACAAAAGAAGGCTTCTGTCAAAAAAAAAATAGGACTAGGCAGCTAGCCTGAAATTGAGACCCCACTCATTGATCCCGATCGTTGTATTTTCTGTCTTATAACATAAGCTACTAGATGGCAGGAGCCCCATGTTCCTGAGAGCAGCAGAGCCACTGCTAAAGAGGGGCTTCAAAAGCTACTTCGGGCGGCGGCAAAATTCCTCCGCGATTAGACCAATAAAGAATCATAAAAGTGCCTCAGATTCTAATGAAAAATAACACCCCCTTTTCTACCAACTCATATATGGCAGTTAGCCTCTGCAAAGCTTTCCATTTTGCAAAGAGTAAGGCCGGGACATGGACAGATAAAATTGCCTTTCCAAGCCTTCCAAAAAATCAGTGCCAGCTGAAATTTAACAAAATGCCCCTCATTGCTAGTTCGGCGTTCCACAACGTTCATGTAAAAGAGGATACAGCTCTTGTAATGTAAAGCAGGTAAGAGCAAGAGGTAGAGCTGCCTGGTGGCATGGTATCAAATCTGCTAAGCATATGTGAAAATCATTAAGGCTTCCGTATGTTAAAAAGAAAAAAAGTATTGAACACATTCCAAAAAGACTACTCTTTATTTGTAGGAGATTTTTTCCCTACTTCTGGGCAAAGAGGGCATGATTATGACAAGTAGGTTTATATCCTATCAATTGTTACAATACTCACAGATAATCACTGGTTAGAGCTTCTATCCCGATGACTTCCCAGGTGCCTTTTGTAATAAATGTGCAGTCCTGATGGTTTTTTTTTTTTTTCAAAAAAAAAAAAAAGATTGATTAGAGACTCTCTCTGTTCAAAGTGGAGGATTAAATCATTTATATCAGGAATTCAAATAACCTTGGATTTTCTTGTTGGGTTTCCCCACCTCGTTCCACATGACACAATACACCACTGAGGAGTTTAAATTAATCTGATTTTTATACACATTGATCCACCTTACCAAATGATTTCCACTTCAAGTTGGTTTCCAAAAAAAAAAAAGAGGTCAACATGAAATAAAATATGTAAGAATACTCACTTTTTTATCTATTTGGAAATAGCAAATGTGTCTGTAACCTTCTTCATTGCTGATGATCTTGTAGAAGCTATTACCATCAAGGGTAAAATGAGGTTCTGAAGGCCTAAACTAGAAAATAATAGAGAACAAAAGAACATTAAAGCACAGTGTCTCATCTCAGTACCAACTTTAGTTTTAGAAAGTCCTGTCCAATACCTACGCTCAAAAATCCATGCTCCATTTATATGCCAAATTAAAATTAGTGTCTCAAAAAGAAAATTATCTTTCTATAAAATGTGAACAAAAACACCATACTCATAGGTAATTTTCGTGAGCAGTAAATGAGAGAATGTATATAAAGAGGCTTGTAGAAAACAATAAATAGAAGTTGTTGTGATTTGGAGACATCTTTTCTCTATGGATGATAACTATGACTTCTGGCTGCAAGCACCTGGAAAATAGCATTAACCTTTCAGTTTGGAGCAGTAAATTTCCTCAGTGTCACAAATGTGCTCTCTTGAAACAGACATATTATTTTATATTGTTTCAGGTTGGGGGTGGTTTGCAATTTGGGGATATTTTTCTTTCCTGTTTTTACACATATTTCTTTTTGAAACTCAGACTTAGTATTTAACCATTTCTGGACTACATACTATAAGGAATGTCTGTTGTATATTTCATATGAAAACATTCATATAGTTATTATTATAAGCCTTTTCATTTTGTTAAATATGATCAACAATTTACAAAAAATATTTGTATAGAAATATAGAACAAATTTCCATTTTTTTACAGTTCAATAAAAGATAGTACTCAGAACATAATGCAGTTTAAGTAGAAGAGAGTCTATCCCAGCCTGAAAGGAATATGTTGGTTTACGATTTTGATTTCCTAGCTACATTTGAGAGCAGGTAGGAGATGGTCTTTTAAAATTGTTGGTTCACTTCGCCCTCGATGTTTCCTCTCTCATCAGCTCCCATTTTGGGAAGGAAGAAAAATGCTTCCCTCTTCTATTTAGTGATTCAAAGCGAATTCATTTATGGAGCAAGCTGAGGCGTGCGGTACACTTGGTGTTCTCATTACAGAGCTTTGAAACACATTCCCCTCTCTAGACCTGTGTTCACAGCCTTATCTTTTTAATACATTTCCCTGTTTCCCCTGGATGGAGTTGTGCCTAGTAGAAATGTGTGAAAAGTGGCATCTGTCTGGTTAAATACAGAGAGGAAAAAACATATTTTTTTCAAAGAGTCGTGAGGAAGTGTAGCGTGTCTCTTGCCATGGAGGAAACCACTTTTCATGTTGGCAAACCTCTCCCCTCTGCCCAATCAATGCCTGAAGAAAAAGGACGTGTGAATGCTGCCGGAGCTCTGAGCCCAGCTAGAAGGGGTTGTCTTCTTGGACTGGGGACCTCACCTCTATGATCCAAGAGGTATAAAATCTTTACATTTTGGGGGTCACTTTATTTCCCTCTTAAAGGGGGCTTAATAGAAGTGATCATAAAAATTAAGTGAGATTCATTCCTCATCTACCATGCAAGGTGACATGATGACTGGAGTTCCTTCATCAACTCATTACATTCTATGGCCATAGCAATCTGGGTGGTAATTCTGTGCAATGTGTATATAACTCAGTGGGACTGAGAAGCATGACAAGTCCCTGAGGGTCACCACACTTTCCTGGATAAAGCTCTGCATCTGGACGCCTAATAAAGCATAAGCCTGCAAGTATGATTTCCTCCAAAGAGAGGTGCATAGTGGGCACTGTGTGGTTGCTGCTGAGTTTTTCTGCTTGTTATAGTGACCTCTCCTTAGGTAACTGTGCAGGCTGGGGACAGAACCTGTGTTTTCTGTCTTTAAAGCACATAACTTCAAATGTGAGGTCACTGGATACCTTGGCCAACTTTCAGCCATGGTTACCCTTTAACTTGCTGGGAGTTACAACTTGCCAGGAGTGCGCTATGTTTTGTCTGCTCTGCTTTTGATTTTTCACTTGTCCCCTTACTTTTTCCAACTGTGTGTGTTATATATTCTCTACAAAAAGATATCTTTATAGGGAGCATTTACATATTTTGAGAAATAGGTTAACTAATATTGCTATTAATAACGTATCACTTAGAGCCCTAGTTTTAAATAGCTGCATATCAAATAGCTGAGTAGCTGACTCATCCATAAAACCCCACAACTTATAACACTTACTCTTCCAACCCAGCCAGTAGTACTCATTTCAATGTGTTGCCGTGCCTAGGAAGGGAAAGAGACAATGACAGCATTTCAAAGAGAAGTCAGATGAAATCTATAGCCATAATTTGTGGTAATATAAATAGAGCTGTACTTATAATAACTGAGAGCTATCTCCATTCATATATTTCTATTTATGTTAGTATTTTTCAAGTCATTACATTAGATCATTTGACTCTCTTGCCTAAAGTTATATCCTGGGTCCTTCTGGAAGCTCCACTGGTGTTTTAAATCCAGCATGCACAAAACTAAAGAGAATTTCATTTGTTTTCCTCTGTCCCACCAGCCTGTTCTACTCCCTCATTCTTCTTCTAGTTAGTGGCACCTATTCACCCAAGCCAGAGACCTGGGGGTCATTCTAGATTCCTGCCCTCCTCATAATCACCTCCTTCAGCCCCTGTCACCTAGTTCTTTGACTTCTCTGTCCTTCTCTACAGCTAAGGGCTTTGTTCATGTCCTCAGCAGGTTGCCCAGGGTCTGTTGCCAGAATCTCCTTGTTGGAGATCCTGCTGCTCTTCTCTGCTGACCTTAGTTAGCAATAGATAGGCCTGTCCCATTGTGATAGTCTTTTCTTTAAAACCTTGAAACAACTCCCCATTTCTTACGAGATAAGTCCAAACTCCAGGAATGGCACCTGAGCCTTTGCCTATATCTCTAGCCTCATTGCTCCCCACTACACCTCTCCCCCAGTCCCTAGTTCCTGCATGTTCCAAGCTATTCACACTGGATGCCTTTGCACAGCCCTCTGCTTCTATGGCGTTCTGTCCTTATCTGCTCAGCACACGGCAACTTACCCCAGGCTACTCTATAGCTCTCCCACATCATCTCCTTCCCCAGTCTGCCTGCCCTTAGTAGAGCTGATCATCTTCTTTTGCACTCTATTCCCTCTGTACCTTGGTTGAACCCTTTTTAGGGTACAATGAGGTATTATGAGGATTTCATTGGCAGCAAGCAAAGAGCTTGGGTTTTGCAGTTTGAATTCTGACTGTGCCCTGTGACCTGCGCTAGCTCCTCAAACGTTGATCCTCAGCTTCCACAGTGACTTGTATACCATAAGTGGCAGCTTTTATTATTTACTTTGATAATATTCCCAACTAGAACAGAAACATTTTGGGGGCAGGCATGCTGACTAATTCACTTTTTAAAAAAATCCATAGCTTAGCACAGAGCTTGGAACATAACAGGAATTCCATGTTTGTTACATAAATTAATAAGTGAATCAAGTTATGTGAGGCTCCAGGTCTGGGAGGTGAGAGTCTGCCCTGAGCCTAGCCAGGATGAGAGCAGGGATGGTAGGTGTGTAGGCAGAGGGTCTGTGACTAGATAAGGGGGATTGGGGAGGTATCCTTGGCATATGCCAGCAAACCTCTTCCAGGATCCACCCCTCCCAGGCTGCAGGCTCCCAGAGGGACTTTAACTTTGACCGTCATCCTAGTTGGACCTCATGGTCTCCTGGCTAGAAGCCTCCCAGCACCTCAAGGTTGGATGAACAGAGTTGGCCTCAGGATTGCCACCCTCTCAGACTGGCAGTTATTTATTTCCATTCTAAAGCTGTTTCCTGCTTAAAGACAGTGACAGTATGGTAATGGGTTTGTGGCCTCATGTATTTGTTTTGTTTCACACACACTCAGCCAGTTATTCCCCATTCCCTACATTATCTTTATTAAAACACACTCTGTTGAGCTTGCAGGTGCTGGCCCTCTTTGGTTTTTAAAATATTTACATCAGATTCTATCTTGTGGTCAGTCACCCCCTCTCCACTTCCCAAGTGATAGTATCCATAACTAAAACAGTATGACTAGTCAGTGTAGGAGAAATAGAAGCACCTCGGGATGGCAGGTTATCTAGGAGTTTTATTCAAGATTTTATTGCCTCAGGATCAGACAGAGTCAGAAAGAAGAGAAACTCAAACTTCATTTCCTGATTCCCAGCCTTCACTCTCCCCAACTGCACAGACCCTCTGATCACATGTTGCTCTAGAAGCAGAACATCCCCATTCAGTCTCACCACTAAGCAGTTCCATCTTCCACTGGATTCATCATAGTCACAAATATCCATGACCGAATAGTTCTGAATCCTCCTGAGCCACTGCAAAGAAATTCTTTCTTGTGTTGCCCATGTCACATCACACAAGTAGTGATCCCTGGAAGGAAGAAAGAAAGGAAGGACAGAGAGAGAGAATGAACATGACTATTGCCAGACCTTGGTACAAATAGACATTTTACTCAGTGAAAAGAAATCAATCTTAATGGGAAGTAGAATTATAAATGGTTAATGAAACCATTTAATATAATATTTCACCTTTTCTTAAAGCTTAAAGTGTAATTTAATTTGGAATGAAAATTAAAATATATCCAACAGGAAAAGCAGCAACAATATTCTACAGTGGCTTAACATGCGTGACTCAAACCACGAGCTCAGGATTTATCAAGTCTTCAGCTTGGCCTTTGGTAATGCCAGGGAGTCAAGGGTAATGTTTTCGCATCTCCTTTCTGCTGTCTTGAGGGAAGTGAGGCCACAGACACTGGCTAAGATTTGACTGTTTCTTGTATTTTACATGCTTCTCCAGAAAATTCTTTCTATTAGGGTGAAACTACAGCTAACCCTTTTCTCAACTTCATTTTCAAAGGGGAAAAAATTGACTCACACCTCCAGAAACTTTGAAAATCAAAGAAATATATTCTAAAAAGACATTTCTCAAGAGTCAAAACATGAACTCTGCAAAGAAATGAAAAAACCCTGTGGTATTTTCACATAAATTTATGTAAACAGAGGTATCTCTAGTAGTGCATCCTCCCCAACACATACTTAAAAAATTTTTGGAACCACCTTCTGATTTATAGTGAAGTGCATGGAATTCATTGTTTACTTTTCTGCTGGCCTCCCTCACATTATTGGCAATGGATAGTTTATGCTTTTTCTCCCTCCTCCTCCCCGATTGTGGTTTTGGATTACTATTCACAAATCCCTGCTCTCGAGTGTCTGATTGCAGCCTTGCTCTTTTTTGTCAGAGAGTTCCAAATGAGTGTGTTCATCTCCCTCTTCCCGCCTGGTCTGGTGGCTGTATCTCCTCCCCATCCCAAATGCTCTCACACAATCCACTTGCCCTCTCCTTCACAGGCTGGACCTGCCCCTCTCCTTGCTTGACTGCAAGCTCTTTTACAGGGTGTCCCCAGGGCCTAGCAGAATGCCTGACTCAACACAGGCACTAATTATATGTCCGTGGAATGCAGCACAGAAGAAAGCAAAGCCCTCTCCTCACCTGTGGGACCTGTCATATTGTCATACTGAAGGACCATAGCTTTGTCCTTCTTCAGAATTCATAGATCAATTTCCATCTCCACTCCCTTCGCAGACACCTAATCACACAACAGACATTTACTGGGCACTCGGGATGGATTAGGTGCTGGATAAAGCCCTTTAAGCCCCTCACAGCTTCATCATCCCCATTTTACAGCTGGGAACACTTAATGTGCGAATGTGCCTGGTGATACCGGGCTTCCATGCTACCCTGCTGTAAGGCGCAGGTACTGAAACAGGACCGAACCCCTTCACTCAGCCGCAGAGCACTGCATTTCTGTAAATTGGGGTCCCTTTTCACTTCAGTCCTTTTACTTGCTTCTGAAGAAACTATATACTACCTAGTCTGGGTGGCTGGTATTCTCAGGAACACACCATGAGTTTCCCCAGTTGCCCCCTCTTTGTTCAGTCTTGCTCTTTAGCCTGAAGTGGCTGCCAAGCTCTAACTTCCTTAGGTCTTGGCCTAAATGTCCCCTCATCCACGATGTCTTCTTGGAAACCTCCTTCTCCCACACCACTCTGCCAGGTCTCATTGCACTCATCACAAACCGCCAGGCTGCAGGGGCTGAGAGTGCAACTGCCACTTTCCATGCCGGGAAACAGAGACATCTCATCCAGTCTGACGCTTCTGCATCTGCCCAATGCAGGGGAGCTAAATGAGAACCTGGAAAGGTGAATACACTTTACCCAAGAAAGGCAATAAATCTGTGCAAAGAGAATGGAAGTATGAAAAGCACAACAGAAAAATGAAGCTTTCTGAAATTAGTTTTTTAGACCAGACGTTGGAAAACTTTTTCAATTAAGGGTCAGAGAGTTAAGTATTTTAAGCATTGTGGTCCACATCTCTGTCACTACTCCACTCTGCCTTTGTAGCACAAATGTAGCCAGAGACCATAATTAAATGAATGAGTTCATTTAATATTCCACTGAAAAGCTAAAATTTGAATTTCATTAAACTTTCATGTATAATGAAATATTATTACTCTTTTGATTTTTGTTCCCAACCACTTAAAAATGTAAAACCTGGGCAGATCACCTGAGGTCAGGAGTTCAAGACCAGCCTGACCAACATGGCAAAACCCTGACTCTACTAAAAATGCAAAAATTAGCCAGGTGTGGTGGCACACACCTGTAATCCCAGCTACTCAGGAGGCTGAGGCAGGAGAATTGCTTGAACCCGGGAGACGGAGGTTGTGATGAGCCAAGATCAAGCCGCTGCACTCTAGCCTGGGTGAGAGTGAGACTCGGTCTCAAAAAAAAAAAAAAAGTAAAAACCATTCTTACTTGTGGACCACACAGAAATGGGCAGTGGACTGCATTTGGCCCATAAACCCTAGTGTGTTAACCCCTGTCCTGTATCAGTGGTTACTATTTTTTCAGGCCAAAAACCATTTGGACAATCTGATGAAACTGATGTACCTCTCTCTAGGTGGGAAAAGCCTCTCCACTGACATACATACAACATCTGAAAATTCCATGGGCATAGATTAGGAATTTGGGCTCCAGCAATATTCTTCTTTTTAAAAGTGCTCTGGTAGAGCGAAGGGGTATGTGATGGGGGGAACAACTTTTTGACAATAATTAGTGGATCACCCAGTACTAAATAGCTTTATCTATTAACAGTCATAAATTAAACATCAGGTTCAGAAATCAGCAATATAAAAGCAACCTTTCCCCATTTGAAAACATTGAGTAATGGAATTTGGGAAGTCAGCCAGGAAACTCACGTGCATCAGTCATCTTCCCTGCCCATTTTCAGATCAAAGGTTTATGGTCCTGGACTCTGCATGGCCTGGGTTACTCTCCATGACCCCAGGTGTACTCTGCACCCTGTGCATGCTCAGCAAGGCAGTTCACCCGTGGCGCAGACAGGAATTTTTGAATTTTCTTATAAACATACTTCCCTTCAGTGGCAGCCTTGAGCCAAGATTATGCCAGTCTGAGATGTCAAAGAATCATTTAAAAAAAAAAAAAACAAAAAACTGCCAGGTGCAGTGACTCATGCCTGTAATAGCAGCATTTTGGGAGGCCAACACAGGTGGATCATTTGAGGCCAGGAGTTCGAGACCAGCTTGGCCAGCATGGTGATACCCTGTGTCTACTAAAAATACAAAAATTAGTCAGGCATGGTGGGGCGCATCTGTAATCCCAGCTACTCGGGAGGCTGAGGCAGGAGAACTAATTGAACCGGGCAGACAGAGGTTGCATTGAGCCGAGATCATGCCATTGCACTCCAGCCTGGGTGACAGAGTAAGACCCCATCTCAAAATAAATAAATAAAGCCAATGGCTCAATTGTACTTTTTACTGAAAAGTTTAAGTCCCACTTAAAACCAGAAAAATCCAACCAGCAGGATTATCATCTATGCTTTGCATACTGCATGCTGCTTTTATTCTGCAAAAACAGGCCAATACTGAGTAGCTTTCTTATGTAATGGTTTTGGTGGGGTAGAAGAGGGACCACCCCTGCAGTCCAGGCCTTCCTGAGAGCCTGGACAACTTACCCAGGTTAGACATATGAGCCAGCAAGCTCTTCTACCTTCTGCAGCTGGATTAGTCCAACGGGAATATGGTTGATTTTAATACTAAAATGACGGAGTAATTTCTGGATGTAAAATAATAAGTTCACACCCATGTGGAGTCTACTATGTGCCAGGAACTATTCTAAGTGCTTGACATAAGCTCATGACCACCCTATGAGGTGAGTACTGCAGATCATGCTCTGCAGACAAAGAAACTTAACAGCAGAGGATTTAAGTAACTTGCCCACTATCGCCCAACTGGGAAGTGTTGGAGCCGGGATTCAATTCAAGCTGTTGGCTTCAGATTCCCAGTTCATACTCGCTCCCTCTATGAAACCTCCACCCATCCATTTGGAAAATGTTGCTAGCTAGCTTCACCTTCTTGTTTCTTTTCAGCATAAAGTTCCTCACTTAAAGAAATCTATTCCTAGAGAGCTTGTGTGTAAACTAAATTAATTTTATAAGGCAAATTATATGTGAATGCACTGAGAGAGACTTGTTGAAAATCACACAACAGAGAATCCCCTTGTAAAGTGACCACCTGTCCCAGCATAATGCCTTGCAAACAGTAAGCATTTAATAAATGTTTGTTGGGTAATATTAATTCCCTTAATTTGTGTAAATGTTTCTTTTGGTACATTAAGGATACTTAAAATAAGGTATTTATCATCAACTGGAAATCATATTGGAGGGAAAAATGCTACAAAGAGCAACTGCAACCGTGGAATGATTAATTCAGTGAATCACCCGAGGAAGCGGGCATACTGCCAGTGCTGGCCTCAGGCTCCATGCCACCCTCTGCTCTGATGGGGATGCCAACCCTCCCAGGTTCGCTGACAAATCCCTCAGGAGAGGAATGGGTGGGATGAGATGAAGCAGATCTGAGGGCTGCAGCACCCGTACACCCGCACAGTCGTAGCATGCAGGTCCTAATGTGCAGATGTCACTAGCTTCCAGTTTATTTATATCCTGTGTGACAATCTGAGGCTTTGATGTTGCAGCTTTATAGGCCAGGGGTCGTAACAGTTCAGAGAAGACACAGCAAGACTTTATATCTATTGTGTCATCCAGGAGCAGAGAGAGCAGGGATGGGGTATGTCATGAGCTGGGTGTGATGAGCCCCAGAGCCATTCAACAGATGTTGGGTGGGGTTACTACAGTAGAACATGCCCTTTCCAATCCCCTAGATTCAGGCCACAGAATTTTTGGCAGAGAGGAGATAAAAGGAGGGATTTCTATGCAAGGTCATTTTGAAGTCTATCCATAGTGCTGGCAGCGTGAACCACTATTCTATACACACAAAGCCATCTAGATAACTTACTCATCCATTCATCCATCCACCCATCCATCCATCCTCTGCTTATCTATTAGTTTATTCTACAAATATTGGTTGGGCATATGCTATGTCGCAGGCACCCTACTACACACTGGAGATACGATTGCAGGATTGGCCTCTACTGCGTAGAACCTGTCTTACTTCAGTCAACAATGAATGTACTGCTCTAGATAAAAGTTAGGAGATTTATGATTTTACATTATGTGCTGTTTTCCTTCAAATTTTTGAGCTTTCCAGTTCTCATTATGAACAACGAACACAAAATAGCATCATAACAAATCTAATCAACTTTAGCACTAAATCAATGCAGGCAGCAGGGAGACTCACCCTGGTTCAAGTTCAGGCCTTAGTTGTTGGAAACGCAGCCTGGCTGCCCTTCTCACTTATCAGAGAAGCAGGGCTTCCACCCATTTCTGCTAATTCCTAACAAAGTCACAAACCAGCCTCATCCTCCTGTGGATTTCACTTGCTGCAGGCTCTGTGGTGAAGGGATATGGCCTAACAGGAAAACTAATGAGGGTAACATGGGCAGAGGAAGGAGAGGCACTGATCCTGGCCAGGCTTCCCACTCCAGGAACTAGTAAATCACCAGGTAACAGGCTGAGCAGGTTACTAAGAGGCGTAACTCACCTGGTTTTGCTTGGCCCTGCTGGATCTTTGCATGAGGCCAGAAAACGGTGTATCATCATGTACTAGAGCATTTTTCCCAGAGAGCATCTAGAGTCTAGTTCTAGAAAAACCGCAACCTTACCAGTGTTAACAGAGACCAGAGCTATATTTTAACCGCAACCTTACCAGCGTTAACAGAGACCAGAGCTATATTTTAAACTCCCTAAAAAACACATTCCTGTGGCATTTCCAAAAAAACAATATTCTTTGGTAATATACATTCCACACAAAATCTCCATAGTGAGTCTTAAGTGTGACTTAAAGAACTACTGAGAACAAGAACTTATTGACGAATTCACATAAGGCCAAAAATCCGTCCTGAGAATTGCTTGTTTCTTGAGCCCAGCACTTCACACAGCTGTGCCTTGGAAACGGATCTGTAAGTGGGAAAGACTTCGTCTCTTTGGGGAATAAATGAGACAGCAAGAGCAGAGCACTGAGCACAGTCCCAGCCCATGAGAAGGACTCAATACATTTTTAACTAACTTATTCAAATATTTTGGTCCAGCAGGCATAGGCCTTGGTCCTATTCCCACCTTCCACACTAACTTGCTGTGTGACCTTGAGCAAATGACTTTACCTCTCTGAGCCTCGGTTCTCTCACCTGTACCTCACAGCGGTGTTGTGACTGTGTCCTGGAACCACTCCAGGTTCTGTCTAAGCTCCCAGGACTATTGCGGGAAGGAGGGAGGACAAGGACTAGACCTGCCAAAACTGAGAAGCAATCTCCCATTTGCTTTCTGGCCATACACTTCTATATTATATCTCACTTGAACAAAGGTTTCCAGGTCCTTAAAAAGTTTATAAACCATTGATAAGTTCTAAAGCCCCTTTCCGATGGAATCTTTTTCAGAGCAGGTGCTCATGGCTCATCCTCCCTACAGGCAGATATTGGTGACAGACCAAAAGGCCACACCAGGCTCTGCTGGTCTTCTCCTGGGAAGCACTGACTTTTCCATACTCTGTTTTTTCCGCCTCAGTGTCCTTCCTCCTCACTGCACCCTGCTGGAAGCCAACCTGCTCAATCTGCACATTCTCCAGGGGGTATTTTTTGTTCCTGGGGTCGTGAAAACCCCATGTTCTCCTCCTCAGAATGCCTCCATTCTATTGCTCGTATCTCTCTTATCACTCCTGGGGGCATTTATCTGAATGTTTTCTATCATCTACTGATGATAAGCGCTACAAGGGCACAGGCTTTCTATGGACATTTGGGAGTAGAAACAGAGGCTGCCCATCAATGATGATGATTAAAGGTGGCTGGATGGAATCGAAAGGCAGACTTTGAAACCTTTGGGTAAATTTTTACTCCATTGGACAAACCCAGAAACATTTTTAAAAACTTACTAATCGATTTTCCCCCTGAATGAATGGGTTACTACAGACATTTCTAACCAAAATAATGAATTACTAACCACGGAGCACAGCCCACAGCCTTCCTGATGTACTTAATGCAACTCCAGAGAAAATGGATGCTTCCGTACTGCTGTGATGGTGCCTTCAGGAATCTGAGGGCACCAGCTGTAATCACACAGAGGGAGACACGAAGCAGTATCTAATAGCTTGTTCGTTCAAGCCAGAAAGTCAGGTTTGAATATAGATTCGTACTTGGTCATTTTCTTAATCTGTAGGCCTCATTTTCTTATCTGTGAACAGGCACACGATGACAGTTGTTGGAAAGACAGACTGACTTTAAAGAGTCCTAAGATAAAGCATGTGATAATCCCTGTGTCTGGTACATGGTGAGTACTCAATGTATGCTAGTTGTTATTTAAAAACAGCAACAGGCCGGGCTCAGTGGCTCTCGCCTGTAATCCCAGCACTTTGGGAGGCCAAGGCGGGCAGATCATGAGTCAGGAGTTCGAGACCAGCCTGACCAACATGGTGAAACCTCATCTCTACTAAAAATACAAAAATTAGCCAGGCATGCACCTGTAATCCCAGCTGTACTCAGGAGGCTGAGGCAGGAGAATCGCTTGAACCTGGGAGGCAGAGGTTGCAGTGAGCCGAGATGGCATCACTGCACTCTAGCCTGGGCGACAGAGCAAGACTCTGTCTCAAAAAAACAAACAAACAACAACAACAACAACAAAAAAAAAAACAGCAACAAAACCAAATAAATAACAGAAATGAGTAAATATGGAGCTATCAGAGAGCCGTAAATTGTACCCAGTATGTTGGTTCCTTTACAGGAAAATAAACAAGGGGCTGAAGGTGCTCCATGGCGGAATTTCAAACCACTGACATGATTTCAGGAAGTGAAGTCTTGGAGCACAAAATGACCGTGGAGCTCCCTAAACTTAATCCACAGATTTCCTGCATTTCTCTAGGCCTTACAAGGCTCTTTGGGACCTGACCTTGTCCCTTCCACTCTCTTCTTCAGTCAAAAGGCTCCAGTCACCCCAACCTCCTTGCATTTCCTCCAACACCCCAAGCACATCTCCTCTGCAGGGCCTTTGCACTTGCTCTTCCTCTGCCCCCTGCTATTGGTGTGGATGGAGCCCTCCTGCTCTTCACATCACTGCCACAGTTCATTTTATCCATGAGGATTCCCTGACCTCCCCTCATCGGCCCCATCCATTTTGCTCTGCTCAGGTTTTCTTCACCACATTTATTGCTACCTGGCATATTACACTGCTCTTTTTTTATCTGGTTATTGTCTGTCTCCCCCAATTTGAATGTAGGCTCCATAACACCAGGGGCTGGCTGCTCTGTCCATTGTCATCCTCATCTCTAGAGTTGTGCCCAGCCTGAGGACGTGAAGATGCTCAACAAAGAGTTGCTGAAGGAAAGAATGAATGACTGTCAGCGGGGATGACACAGTGGGAGGCTGTGATCCACTTTGCCATTCACTTTTGAAAAGTTCTCCCTAGAAAGTGTAAAACTGTTTACAAGCCAAGCATTCAGGACAAGAGTCTTACCCTATCAACATAGAAGCAGGAGCAGTGATTTGTATGGAAGTTGCATTGGTGACTGAGCTGAGAGAGTCTGTATTTACAACAAAGAACTTTACAGTTGGATTCACAGCTCCTGCCTAGGAAAAAATAATCACAGAATTGGTATTGACAAAAAAAAAAAAGTAACATCGTTGCACACATTTTAAAACTGCACAAAAACGTCTGCATTATGGTCATAAAATTATCACAATCAGACATGTTCCAACAATTTAATATACATAAAATGAACATAAGGGAGAGTCATGAAATGCAACCTTTTCATGGTCAGGCAGAAACAGAATATGTGTATATATATATATATATATATATATATATATACACACTATATAAAACTTGAAGGTCCAAAGCACTTCTGTTTAAATAATGAATGTTTATATCTTTATAATTTATCACTTTGTGCAAGCAAGGATAAACCTCTTAAAATCAACTTTATTATTTGCAAATATACCCTGTCTCCCTGAGACCAAAAGTCTTTGATGCCTGTCAGTATGAAGAACACCTTGGGTTCTGCCAAAGACACCATCCACCAGAAAAATCAGTTTACCTGAGTCAACGGTGTCAATTAGGAAGCCATCATTTCCACTCTAAATTCAGGTTCACTATGTTGGAGCTTTACAATCAATATTATGACTGAAACCTATAAAACCTTTTTAAATATACACATAGATCTTCGATTGACAGATTAGTTAGAAATAATATGATATTTTTAGTGAGAACACTTTATGGAGTTTTTTTTGTATGTGCCAGTTTCGCTCATCAAAAAATAACATTCCACTGAAAACACATCTCCATATTTAGTCTCTGATCTTTTTTTTTCTTTTAACTTCCTCTGTCTTCCTAAAATGGCAGCTCTTCATAAAGCAAATTGAGTGAGTTGGTAAAAATAAAAATCCCCTTTTCCAAATTTCTTACAGAAAAAACACTTTACTATTAGATTCTCCTGCAGACAATACTGTAGCCATTATTATTACGGTACTAGTGAAGAATTCCTGGTTCCCTTCTAAACCCCATCTCACCCGGCTTACGCTGCTTAACAAAGCTCCTCAATTTTAGTAAACACGCAACCCTGACGAGGAGAACAGCTTTGAAAACCAAGACGTGACACTATTATTCCAAATGTAGGACATGAAAAATTTACATTAGTGCCAAATCTATAATAGAACCACTAAAACTAGTCATGTATCCCGTTAACTAGTAATACAATCTGATATATAACTGAGCTTTGCAACTTCGTCGAGGGCACAATCCAACTTCTACAAATGAGACGAGCTTCTAATTCAATTATAGCCTCTCTTTTCCTCCATTCAAGCATTTTCATTCCCCTTATCTCTTTCTAAAGCATTTTCCCCATTTTTTCTGCTTGTCATTCCTCAAAGTTTTTGGAGAAATTACAAAACCTTAAATCACACTCTTTCCTGGGATAATAAAAATACTTTAAAATTGCCAGATGCTGTTGACTTCAGCAAGAGTAATCACAGCAAGCTGTTGAAGAGAGACTGACAATATTTTCATTAGCAAGAAGGGATTAAATGAAACCATTCTCTTCCCATCAAATCATGGAACCACTGTACAAACAGGAGCACAGACCTTTGGATATGGAACCCGTACAGTCTTTGGGTACTGCAGTGACTCATCAGAGTAGAAGGAGTATTCAATAAGTGGGACTTCTGTGTCGTTAAATTGGGCATATGCTAAAAAAGTGCCGTTTGGAGACCACCACAGAGCAGAGTAGGCACTGAAGACTTCCTCTGAAAAAAGACACAAATTGTTCTGTTACAAGAAGTAGCTGATAAATTGGCTTTGGCATTCAAAATATTGTTCTCATTAGCTTTAGTAATTACAGTAGAGTTCAACTAATGAACCACTTTGCATTTGCTGGGCTTCCAAAATCAGAGTAATACAAATGAATAAAAATAAAATCTTCAAGGATATATCTGGATTGTAAAAATAAGTAACCCGTTGGACCATTTTAGAATATTTTAGCATGCAATATTTAATATAAGCTCTACATTTTTTTCTTTATCTTATAATCCTCTAAATTTATGCCTCAAAACATACTAAAAGTAAATTTCACACAGGAGGCTGATTCTCCTTTCTAATTTTCAAACAGTCAACATGCCAGCATACTCTCCCCAACTGGGCTCAGTTTGTACTGAGCCCGCAGGGTACTGGTGGGTGGTGTGTAGCTCCAGGCTATCAAACCAATATGGTGCCCAGAGTTTACTACTCTTGGCACAAACAAGGTGTGGGAAGGATAGATTTAGAATGGCAAGGAACTCCATTGAGACCCCTACTGAGAAACATCTCCTTGCCCAGCCCAGAAACTGAAAACTCCCTTAGATTAACACACTGCTCTGGTGTATATGCTGATGGGTAAGAGAAGAGGGTCAAAGAGGGAGGCAAATAAAAGACCAGATCTTGCTTTCCAGTACATTGTCGGGCTTCTTCTCAATCTCTGGCAAAGATAGCTCTTCCCTATGATTATTATGGGGTCTATACATGAGATATTCAATCACTGGCTCTTAATATGTTGAAAACTCCTTCACCAACCGGGAATGGAGGAATTAAGTGGACTGGGTGGAGACGCCTAGATATTCCACAAGTCTCATGTAAGTGTAAATGTAAAAGCAAAAGCATAGAAACTAGAATCTTAGGGTTGGGAAATCATGCATTCTAATCAGTTTTCAGATGCCTGATACCTCCTTTCAAGTTACTTCCAAATGCTTTTTTTCAACAACAAGAATAATAGCAAAAATAATTACTGTAATAAAATGTAATAATAATTATTGTGATGAGCAGCTGACATTCAATGAGTGCTAACTATGCGCCAGGTATTGATAAGCAATTGACATCTATCATCTCAGTTAAGGCTCACAATAACCCATTGTATTGATAAAGTGAGACAAGCTTGAAGAGGATCAGAAATTTGTCTAGGATCACATGGCTAAGAATTGGTAGAATCAAAAACCAACCCAAATCTCCTTTGACTCATGCTTTTCATCTCAGTGCTATACTGCCCTTTCCTGCCTCTATTTTAGTATTTCCAGTAATAGAAAACCTACTTCCGGGTTAAGCAGCCTATTCTTCCTTTGACTGCCTCATATCTATATCACTGATCTATACACTCTTATGTAGCAATTTAGAATTTACAAAACATATCATATTTAGTCTCTGGGTGGTGATTCATAGCTCATTGCACAAAGAAGGAAACTGAGGCATGGAGCAATCCAGTGAATTGCCTGAGACAAGAACTAGAACCCAGCCCTTATGACTCCAAGTCATGGTTTCTATTATAGTAAGAACTTGTTCATATACTGAGTTGACTTCTCATTCTTTGCAACTTTTACCCATTGATTCTGGTCTATAACACAGCTGCAATTACATAAAATCAATATAATCAGACCAAGATTTTGTTTTTTAGAATTACTTGTAAGTGTAATTAGCAGGTAGTGATGTTTGTCTTGAATTAGTGGTTATTTGGAATGCAGGACATATTTTTCTGTATTGACAATGTAGTAATTTCCTTCTAGGAACTGAAGCTATTAGAGAGGCCCAAATTGGAGCTGTGAAGCTGTTCTGCATGTGAATGGCCTAGTCGTGAACATGCAAAAGACTCCCTCCAGCAATTATCTACTTTAGAAAGAATGAAAGTGTTAGCTGCCCTCTTATCTTCCAGAGGGCCAGCTGTTTCTGAGAGAGGGTCACAGCTTTGGAAAGAGGCCACTCTTGTCAAGGATCCTGGAGGCTGGGTTGTGCTGTCCAAGGGTTAAAGAATCTCTAAGTAGCTAGTGCTAGTAAATTTCATTGTAAGTTTTAGTCAAGCACTTATTTCTAGGACATGAAAAGTTATCTTTCTTTTAATGTGATTTGTTGTTGTTGTTATAATGAGTCAACTAAACTTGACTTGGACTTGGTAAGAACTAAAATTAAGTCATGAAGAAAAATTATTTTTTTAAACTACAAAGAAGAAAAAAATAATACGATGAAATACAGATAAGTCTTTCTAATAAGTATGAGGAAACCTTGTGAACAGTTTGGAGCAGCCTCAAAATGCCTTTTATCTTGGCAAATACAGACACAAAAAATGTTTTTCTAATATTTTCTAAGTTTCTAAAATGTGTTCCTAATAGTTTCGACAACTCTGTATCCTAAAAGGGAGAATATTCCTTTTTAACTTTTTTAGTTTTATTAGTCACTTTTTCCTAAGCCTTTCTAATTGCTTTTTTATTCTTAAAAACAGGAAATCATAATTTGTCCAAGTTCAAATAAATACAAATCCTCTATAAAATAGGCATTTTCTTCCCCTGTACTCTCCAACCTGTATATATTATTTTATCATCTTCTCAATGTGATGGGATTATTTAGCTTTCCTTAGTAACTTTCGGGTTAGGTAGGCTTAATTAGAGAAATATCTGATGTTAATCTGGAGGCTTTTATGTTCCAGTAAAGGCAGAAAAGGTCTACCTACACAGAAAAGCCCTTTGTATCAATATAACAGAGACAAGAGGAGTATTGTCAGGCAATGAGGACAGAGGAGTGCTAGGAATAGTTAAATTCTTGGTCAAGGAGACATCTGGTGCTGTGAGTTCTAAGAGAAATCTGATGACATTTTAAACAATGAAACTTTTTTTCAATCTCATTTAAATTTTCCCATTGCAAAAGAAACATTTAACTATTTTAAAAGCTTATAGATTTTCTGATTTGAAAAAGCTTTAAAGTTTCTACCTTCATAAACCCAGTCAGTTATTCCATTATATATTATATCTTCTTTCCCCGTCCATGTGATTCTGTAACTTGGTAAATTTGGTTCAATTTTAACATAAATGTCATTGTTCCAAACATATGCCTAGAAGGAAAAAAAACAAGCATTGATATCTATAATACATGTCATATTTTTATCCCGGAATTGTAGAAACACTTATCTATTGCAAATGTAAGGATTACCATAGTCAAATATTCCATTCAAACAGGAAGAGTCATTTACTCCTTCCCTCTCATTCTTAAATTACAAGTGTACAGCCTATAATCCCAAAATAATCCTAAAACCATTAATAATGTGTTAAAAATGAGAAGTACATAACTACCACTATTTGAATGCTAAAGTATATGAGAAGACCGAGAAGGCTGACCACTTCTACAGGATGATATATGCTTGTATATTTCTTTATTGGGAGAGTGAGTAGAGAGAAGGCAGTTGCATTCTGGAAGAGAGAAGTTCAGCTGCAGACAAACATTAGATCCTGGGCAATAACACTATGTTCTATAGTGAAGTATTGAGTTCCTAAGATGTCTGCTTTGTATCAGGGTTAGTAACTTCTGCCTATGAAAAATTTGAGCCTATATTTTTCTGACAACTGGAGAGACTCACTAACCAATTTATGACCCACTGGTGACCATGTGACCCACTGTGTGTTGTTTGGAATCCTCTCTTCTGTAATCAGCTGCCTGGAAAAAAGATGAAAGGAAATATTATCAAAAAGAATAACTCACATTGGGGTTTCCTTAAAAATATGACAGTAGGAAAGCCTAATAGATTTTATTGGGAAGTCACTGACCTTTTATTTAAATCATAAATGTCATATGAAGCTGTGTAGGAATGCCTCCATTGCTATGAAAGAAAACAGACATTTCAGGCTTCTGTGATACTTGATAATTTGGCCACTCACTATAGGAGACCAAGATGATAGGTTTGGTAATATATGATTGTATAATTCTCACATGTTATCATATCTTATAATTTCCTCCGAGAATTTTGGGATTCAGAAGTATCCTAGAGATCATCTCATACAAACTCCTCTGGAGTTCATCTACAACCTAGCTCTGGCACCACCTCCTCCAGGACCACAGTGCACCAAAAATGTCATTTTGTACAAACATTATCCCTAGCACTCACCATAGTGTGCTAAGATTGCCTACTTAGAAAAATGTAAATTTTCACTTTTCACCTACTTTATTGGCAAAAGATTTAAACGATATATGATGCTATTGCTGATGGTGATGTGAAGAAATGTTTAACTTCATACACTGATGATGAAAGGTAAAGTGTTATAAAGTTTTTGGAAGCCCCCTGGCAAGATATATTAAAATTAAAATACATATATCATCAATATTTTAACAACCATCTCAAAAAGCTAGAAATGAAAGTCAAATTTTCAGTGACTGCAGAAGCATAGGGAAATAAAATTTTTTTTTAAAAAGGAAGTCAAACTAAATCCAAAGTAATTAGAAGAAATGAAATAATAAAGGTAAAAGCATTGATAAAGTAGAAAACACATAATAGAAAAAATCAACAAAGCCAAAACTCAAGTCATCGAAAAGACTAGTAAAATTGCAAACATAGTAAAACTTAGGAGTAAAACAGCACAAATGACTGGTATCAGAAAGGAAAAATGGGATATCACAACAGACTCCACAGATGTTAAAAGATCATAAGAGGCTATTATAAACATTTTTTTGCCAATACATTTTAAAAATTAGAGAAAAGCAAAAAATTTCTTGAAAAATAATTTCTTAAAAGTGAGAAAAATTCTGAATAGTCTTATATCTAATAAACAAATTGAATCCAGATATAAGAAACTTTACATAGAGAAAACTCCAAGGCAAAATAACTTTACCAGCAAACTTCTTGTTATTTATTCAAATGAGTTGAGAATTTATGCCCACACAAAAATCTACACACAAATGTTTATAGCAGCTTTATTCATAACTGCCAAAACTGGGAGGCAACTAAGATGTCATTCAACAGGTGAGTGGATAAACAAACTGTAGTAGAGATCCATACAATGGAATCTTATTTAATGATAAGAAGAATGAGCTATTAAGCCACAAAAAGACATGGAGGAATCTCAAACACATATTGCTAAGTGAAATAAGCCAATGTGGTAAGGTTACATATTGTATGATTCCAACAATATGAGTTTCTGGAAAAGGTAAAACTATGGAGAGAGTAAAGAGATTGGTGGTTGCTTGGAGACTGGGGGAAGGAAGGGATGAATGGGGGAAACACAGGGATTTTTAGCACAGTCAAAGTCATCTGTATAATACTATAATGGTGAAACATGTCATCATACTTTTGTCAAGAGCCATAGATTTGTCAGAATCCACCATAATGGTAGATACATGCCATATATTTGCCAAAACCCACAAAGAGTTAAGCCTAATGTAAACTATGGACTTAAATTAATAATGATATATTAATATTGGCTCATTTGTTATAACAAATGGACCACACTCATGCAAGACATTAATAATAGGGGAAAGTGGGGGAGGGAGGATAAGGGAGTATATGGGAACTCTCTGCTTATTTTCTATAAACCTAAAGCTGTTCTGAAAAATAAAGTGATATTAATTAAAAAAAAATGAATCAGAGCTAACCAGATGACTTGAAAGGAGTTTCACATGGTATCATTGAGTGAGAAATGCAATTTACAAAAAACTATAGGATTTTATTTTTATAGACCAAGCAATAACTAAAAACATCCCTATATATTTTCAGAGTTATATGAACAAGAAGAAAAATATAAAAATATGGAAAGATACATATTAGACTTTAGAGAGCCAAGTGAAGAAGGGAAGAAATAAGACCGAAGATAAAAATGTATATGATCACATATTTGCATTTATGAAATATTATGTCTGAATATAGATGCATATAAAAATTAAAGGTATTTTCAAATAAGTTACTTGTCTATACGTCTGCCTTCTTTACCATACTCCTAGAGGTAAGAAATTGTATCTTATTTATCTTTGGATGCCTGGAGTCTATTCTAGTGCAAGCCACATAGTGAGTGTTCAAGAAATACAACAAATTACAATAAAATTCTAATTGTATCAATGAGGATGAGACGGATGAAATAGGTATCCCAAGGACACCTAGCTATATAATAGCAGAGCTGAGATACAAAGTCAGAGTTCCTAACCTTAACTATTTATCACTTCTCTCCCTTCTATGCTCTCATGTCAACAAATATTTATTAAATTCTACTTTTCGGGAGTCATACATTCCTTTCTTGAATCCTGGATTATTTTGACACACCCCATGCTTGTTTCTGGGCAACCTCAAGCAAAATATTCACTAAAGCCAAAAGGTGTGGTACCAGCTAAAACTATTAAGATGGATTGAGATCACTGAGCATGACAAACCACCATGGGTTGTAAAAGAAAACCCATGATGTTTGGTATGTTCACTTCATCTTTTGAAACAGATTCATTATTCTATTTAGTTTATAAACACTGGCAGCTATCATCTATCAGACATTACTGGATAACACAGAGTCCCTCCCCTGGAGCAGCTTATAGTGGAATGGAGGATATGCAATAGTAAATGACAATAAAATAATCACAATAGGATGTGCCAAGAGATATAATGGAGGTGGGTGGGAGAGGCAGGAATCATAAATTAGGCCTTGGGGAGGCAGAGAGGATTATGGAAAAGATGATTCTTTGGCTGAGGTTAGTGACAGAGGGTGACTGGGAAAGAGTAAAAGAGCATCATAGCAAAGAGAAGCCGAATGCAAAGATAGGAAAGATCACATTTAAGAGCAAAGGCTTTGGAGTCTTCTAACCTGGATTCAGGCTTTCACTGTGTAACATGAAGCAAGTTTCTTTCTAAGCTTCCATTTTCTTTTTAGACAAATGAGGATAATGCCGGCAACAATCTCAGATGCATGAGAATGCATGAGAAGCACTTAGCAGGGTTCTGGAACATTGTCAACATAGAATCGATGACACAACTATTATCTCTATTTCCAGAGCACTAGGCAATGAGCAGAGATGCTAGGAGAACATTCATACCAGACTGTGGGGGTACTTATCCACTCACTCACTCACTTGCTCATTTATTTATTTGTAGCCACAACTTGGAAGTGATAGCACTAACTCAGTCATGGAGAAGTCACATAGTAGGATCTAAAAAACACTAAAAGGTAGACCTCCAAGGAAATGTAATCAAATTAGACTTTTCTTTTTTCTAGATACATTTCATAAGAGTCACTTAGTCAAAACGTATATGCTGTACAGAAAATTCTACTGGACTCTCTTGAAAGTAAAAAAAAAAAAAGAAAGAAAAGTAGTAGAAGATATAGATCCTTAGTTTCAATAGCTTTATAATTTAGCACTTTGCAATAAAACATGTATTCATTTAACAATGATGTTCAGCATCTGCTATGTGGCCCTGTCCTAGGCACAGAGGTGTGGCAGTGAATAAATCACAGGGAAACTGGCACCAAATAAGGCAGGCAAAAAATAAGCAAAGAAATCAATGACAAAATATCACAAAATGTTGTGATGAAACTAAAATGGGTTAACGTGACAGAGACTGATTTGTGGGGTGTGGGTGGAAGAGCATGGCAGGGGACAATGTTTGACAAAGTGACCCAAGAAATCTGGACCTGAGTTAATAGAGAGAAGCATATGATGATGGAGAAGCTTCCATGAGGAAGCAATAGCAAGTGATTTTGCCTTTAGATGGGAATGAGGGTGATGCTTGAGAAAAAGAAAGAGCTGTGCAATTAAAGGTTCTCAACTCAGCATCATGGAATCTCCAGGAGGCCCACAGCTATGCTGAGTTAGTTGCTTTAGGGTAGGCCACAGATATCCGTGTTTTTTCAAAAGCTCCTCAAGTGATCCTAAGGTGCAGATGAGACGAGAAGCTCTGGCCAAGCATGCCGAGTGCAGGAGAAGCGGGTAGGAGATGTGTTCAGCCGGGCAGACTGTGTTCAATCACACAGGCCTCAGGATGCCAGGGTTAGAGCTGGTGTTTTATTTTGAGTGTGATGGGAAGGCACTGTAGGTGGCATAGGTGTGGCATAAACTAATTTAGAATTTAAAAGTAGTACTTTCGATACTGTCTGAAGCATAGATGGCAGGGGGAAGGGGACAGAGTGAAAAAAGCAAAAGCAGTTAAATACACGGGTAAACTCCAGTGACACAACAAATACAAATCTCCAACCGTGGCTGGCCAACTAAGGGCCACCAGGGGAATACACGCATTCGTGCACATCAAATGGCTTTTGTTGAACCTGGCTATATAGTAAGGTGAGCTGGTATTACCTTTCTGTTTCTACCTTACCTTCATATGTTAGTCTTTAACATGGACAACTGTTATTCAGGGGTTCTCAGCCCTGGTTGCCATTACAATCACCTATGACAGTTTAAAATATACTGAGGCTCATCAGGCACAGTGGCTCATGCCTGTAATCCTAGCACTTGGGGAAACTGAGGTGGGAGAATCGTTTGAGGACAGGAGTTTGAGACCAGCCTGGGGAACACAGTGAGACCCTATTTCTAAGAAAAAATTGAAAATTAGCAGGGCATGGTGGTGCACACCTGTAGTCTCAGCTACTCAGGAGGCTGAGGTAGGAGGATTAGTCAAGCCCAAAATGTTGAGGCTGCAGTGAGCCATGATCATACCACTGCACTCTAGCCTGGGTGACAGAATGAGACCTTGTCTCAAAAAAAGAAAAAAAGATACTGATTCTGGCTTTACCCCAGAAACCTCTGTTTACTGATCTGGGGATTGAACCTGGACACTGGGAAGTTTTAAAAGTTTCTCAAGTAAATTAAGTGAATGTATTCTATAGATAGAAATAAGAAGCACTTAATTAAACAAACAATAATCCATTAATTGGCAACAGATGTGTCAAAGTTGGTACAAGATTCCGATTCACTTACAGTTAATTTTAACAGAACATAGAGTCTTCATGTCCAGGAGAGTGAGCCCAGCCCAGCAAATCCAGGGTAAATATTACGATTAACAGTCACCATCCTGAGATGGTAAATGCAGTAGGGAATGGTTTGCTTGGCCTGAGTACAGCAGTGTTGGTGTGTGAGTGTTGGTGTGTGAGTGTTGGTGGGTGAGTGTTGGTGTGTGAGCGTTGGTGTGTGAGTGTTGGTGTGTGAGCGTTGGTGTGTGAGTGTTGGTGTGTGAGTGTTGGTGTCTCCTCAATATTATTTATCCTAGAAAAGGAAGATCAGGGGTGGGAATCCCCAGCTTTGTATTTTGCTTGCAATACAGGGTATCTTTACAAATTTGTAATCTTCACTACATGTCTCAAAACTTCCTATACTTGAACAACTTGTCAAATCCATGAGTAACCAAAAAGCTGTAGTTAAAGTTATGGCCACCCATATCCATCCTAAACATGAAGAGGATGTATGATTAAGCTGTAACCTTTCCTGAATGTGTGAGGATGTGGAGTTGAGCTGGGTAACTGGGGAAAGCTGAGTGCTCTTGATGGAATCTTTACGATCTGTGGTGAGGCTCTCCTCCTTAGAATAGTTTGTATATGGTGGGGCCCGAAGGTTGGGAGATGGTCTGGGCCATCTTGCGGAATCTTTTCTGGAGGATGGAAAGTTTAACTCTTCCTTTTCTTTTTCTTTCTTTCTTTCTTTTTTTTTTTTTTGACGGGGTCTCACTCTGTCCTCTAGACTATAATGCAGTGGCACAGTATAGGTAACTGTAGCTTCCAACTCCTGGGCTCAAGTGATCCTCCTGCTTCAGCCTTCCCTCCTAAGTAGCTGGGACTATAGGTGCATGCCACCATGCCCGACTTTAACTCTTTTAAAAACACATATCTATGGAGGCTCTTACTATACATAAAGCTGTGACAAAGGAAATAAAGGGTTCTGTCATTAGGTGTACAAATCAGACATGTAAACTTACTTTTAAATATGTGTGTAAGTACAAATTTTTATTGACTTATGTTATTAGTATATATTAGAACAATATAATATTAACTGTGCTTTCTAGTATTTGAAAGCACTAAAAATGAATTTCTTTTAAAACACTGAACTTGTCTTTAAGAATGAGAATGACTCTGATTCTGAATTAATGAGTTTTAGTGCCTATTACATTACTTAGATATTAATCTTAAGTATCCATACACTTGAAATCGGTTATAACATAGCATACTCTTGGATTATTTAAATGTTACAGTAAGAAAGCATTTATTTTACCTTCACGTAGTTGTATTCTAAGAGAATAAACTGCCCATCAGGAGATATTGAATAATCATTGATAGAATGTCCAAACTCATCCTGTCAAACAAGAAGAACAAAGAAAAATTGAACAATTCCATTTCATTGCCATCACTGTGCACTTACTTCATAGGGGGTACTGTTCTAGACATGTGGCTTGTGCTTTGGGAAGTCCTAATCTAGCAGAGGTGGCATATTCACCCACACAAATGACCGTGATGCAAGGTAGGTGGCGATCAATGTTAGAAAGCCAGAAAGGGAAGGATTAATCCTAAGAGGAAAGATGCCTGCGAGAGTGAGGATGAGGAAAAGAAAACTTTCTCAACAGTGGGAATAGCGTAAGCAAAATGCCAGGCATGGGAAAGGACGTGGATGTTTAGAGACTCTTTAAGGGTCATGTGTAACCTGAATATAGTTTGTGGGGGGCGCTGGTGTCAGACAGAGTGGAAGGTGAGAGGACAACAAATTAGAAAAATAGCTGGGACCTAAATATAAGATGTGGAACTAGATCTATTTTTTTGCATGTGGAAGTGATAGAATCATATCTATCTTTTACAAAGATACTCTGGTGACACAGTGGCTGAAATGAGAGGGAAGAGCGGAGGGCTGATATCAGCCTAGATATGGGGAGTGCAGTGGTCTGGTGTACAGAATGCAGATAGGGACACAAGTTAGAGCACTCATTACCACAAGATTAAATGAGGGTTTAAGCGAGGACTGTCCAGTGGAAATGGAAACTGAGAGATACCTGACATGCAGAGGGAGAATTGTCGCCAACTATGGGGGATGACAGGAGTCAATGATGATTCTGAGGTTTCTAGCATAAGTGACTTGGAGGAGAATTAAGTAACTTTTACCAATACTGGGAACTCACAAAAAAGAATAAGATGCTTTCAGTGTGCTAGGACAGTGGGGGAAAGATAACCAGTTTAGCTTGGGATTTTGAGTTTGAAATCCTCATGTAGGAACCAGCAGGCTACTAGAAATTAAAGTTTAAATCTGGGAGAAGGTTAGCGTTAAGTGTGTGTATACGAGAGTCAAGCCAGAGAGGAGGGCAGTAATGCTGTGGGGTTGCATGAAATTCACCAAAGGAGAGCATGCAAAGTGAAGAGGGAGGCAAATGAAGATGGAGCCCCAAGGAGCACTTACATTTAAAAATATGGGCAGAGGAAGAGGAATCGTCAAAGGAGACTAAAAAGTAGCCAAGGCAGGGAGCATTTCAAGAAGGAGAGAAAGATCCACTTTGCCATATGCTGCAGAAAGAGTCCAACAGGTTGAGAAATGACAGTACTCGTGATTCCAAAGGTAATGAAAAAAATCCCCAGAATTCTATGCATGAATTAATTACGTGATTAAACATACAAATGTACTGTTCTCCAAGAAAACTGAGCTGTTTCCATATTCAGCATTGAATACCAAGATATTATTTTCTTGTTTGTAGAGATATTCATGATCTAAAGAGAGAAAACACCCAGATCAAAATTTCAAGTTGTTATTAAACATCTTCATAAGCTGAAAATTACAGAATACAGTTTAAGCTCACAAATACCAAATAGGCATTTCTAAGTTGAGAAAACATGAATGATATTATACTAACATTCATTCATTTTTTCATCATTATTGTCAAGGTTTCAATTCACATTTAATTTTTTATTATACATGTCAAAGAAATACTTGGGTTCCTTTCAGTCTTTCTCCCTTTGCACTTCAAGTAGAAAAAGAAAAAAAAAACTCTCTATAGAATTTTTAAAAACAAGGATTACCTCTTCTCAGTGCCATAAAAGCCCACATCTCGACTTAACTAGAATGAATGTAAGCATAAAATCTGCCCTACCCCAAAAAATTCTTACCTGAAATCCATCTTAAGGAGTATAACTTCAGTCTATAAGTATTTTTTAAGTAATCAGTTAGAGTGTAAGTTTTGCGACTGTCAGCTGTAGCATCATCTGCTGGTTGAAAGAAAGAGCCAAATGTTCATTTCAGTAAGATGGAATAACCTAAGTTTTGGATAAAATAAACAAATGGATCTCTACAATATACCCTGCTCAAAAAATTCAGAAATATACTCACAAAATGCAAGACACATTTTAAAAGACTTCAGACTGAATGGATGGAGTAAACATGCATTTAACTATGAAGTGTGTGAGAGTGTGTGTGTTTCACTCTGCTGTATTATGCTATATTAGTGGGCTTTACTTTGAAGGTCTAGATCAGCTATGTCCTATAGAAATAGAATGTGAGTATATTTTCTAGAAGCTATATAAGAAACAAAATTTTAAGGTAAAAATAATTTTAGTAGCACATTTTATTTAGCCCAATACATCCAAAATATCATTTTGCCATGTAACCAATATTTAAATTTTATGAGAACTTTCATGTTCTTTTTTTCATTCTAACTCTCAAATCTGATATGTAGTTTATACTTACAGCATATCTCAATTTGACTAGGTACATTTTAAGTCAATAGTTATGTGTGGCCAGGTGTTCAACGACTACTGTAGTGGATGGCCTGGAGCTAGATCATCCTTTTCAGAGGCTTTGGGGCCCAGTTTCAGGCCCTCCTGCTTCTCAGAGACCCTTAGGACATGCTGATCACCCAATTCAGGGAGCTTCATTAATATCATCACTTTTCTTTGAAATTAACAGAATTTGTGTGTTTCTATATTCTACCACTGGTGACCCAAATTCAAAGTCTGAAAATCATTTTTGATACTTCTGTCTGTTTTTCCACCATGCCCATCTAATTGACCCTCTTGATTATTCCTGGAAATTTTTTTTCTGGGTATCCCTGACATTAGATTCTCCCAATTCTCTCCCTCCTCTGCACCACCACTAGAATAATTTTTCTAAACCACTACTTTCATTCTGGTGATCCCTTCGCCAAAAGTTTTCAATATTTCCCCATTGCCTACAGGAACAAGATTAACACTCCTTAGCCTGAAACTCACAGCCCTCCACGACCGACACAAGACTGTCTTATGTCACTCTCTCCTTGCAGGGACCCTCTCATTCACTCTTATGACCAGCCCACTGAACCCAGAAGATCTTGGGCTTTTCCACCTCTGCTCCTTTTTCTAAACCACTTCTCTGCAGTGTCTTCCCTGCTTTCCTGGTTGTCATAATCACTACCCTCAAATTCCCATCTCTTTCATGAAGACTAGTTCTGCCCCCTCTGACTTTTGCCCCAACACTACTCATTTCGCTCTTGTCATTTAATGACAAAATAGTTGACAACTCTTTTGCTCTGCCTACCCATGTGGTGTCCTCAGTTAGGCCATGTAGTCTTTGAAGACAAGGCTTTGCTGTTTGTTCGTTTTAATTTTTACGTCAACCTTTAGCACCTAACACAGTTCAATTCCACAGTAGGCACACACTCAAAGAGTTTTTATTGGTTAATGTAGGATATCATCCTAGAAGCATAATCAAGCCAACGTGATTCCTCTTCTCCAATCCCAGAGTATGTCCACTGATAAAAGAGCTTAAAGTATTTTTTCTCAAATCCTCTACTTTTTCCACATACACACAAACATACACTCACAAAATCAGCCACCGTTATAAAATTCCTATAACTGCAGTTCTTACAATTTGGGGGACTGGGAAGCCAGTAGCCCTGTCCCTTGTTAATTTTCTTGCAGGAAATGCCTTCCTTGTAATTTTCTTACAGAAAATGCTCTTTCAAACAATGTTCTTAAGATTTTATTTCTTCAAATGTGGTACACATACACCACGGAATACTATGCAGCCATGAAAAGGAACAAGATCATGTCCTTTGCAGGGACATGAATGAAGCTGGAAGCCATTATCCTCAGCAAAGTAATGCAGGAACAGAAAACCAAATGCCACATATTCTCACTTATAAGTAGGAGGTGAACAATGAGAACACATGGACATATGGCGAGGAACAACCAACACTGAGGCCTGTTGGGGGTGGGGTTGGGGGTGGGCAGAGAGAGAGCATCAGGAAGAATAGCTAACAGACTCTGGGCTTAATACCAAGGCGATGGGTTGATCTGTGTTGCAAACCACCATGGCACATGTTTACCTATATAACAAACCTGTACATCCTGCACATGTACCCTGGAACTTAAAATAAAAGTTGAAAGAAAAAAAACAGATAAGAAGACTTCTGAGGTGGGCCATTCCCTCAGTTAAAAATGATAAAGCTTTCTGCTTTCATCATTATAAGTAAAGATAATAAAGAAAATACAGGTTCAAGTTGTAGGTTAATAAAAGATTTTATTTCTTCAGATCTTATCTGATAATAGCCTTGTACCTGCCTAAAACAACTTTGTTTCAAGAAATAAAAATGCCACATTTCACTTTATTACTTTATTGATTTTATTTAAACCTTGTTCATTTAATAAGTTAAAGAGAGCTTTAAAAAAACTAAAGTATTTTTTTTTGGTCAATTTACTCCTGCATTTCATCCCTAAAAGTTAGTAGGAGATTTGTGTTTGCTAGTAGAAATATAGCAAGCGGGTAAAATCAGTCCTTGAATTTGCCAACCTTCAAACAAGGAGTAAAGCCTTATGCTACAGAAAATATTTGAAACTCATATTGAGAATAGTAACTGGATTTGTTCACAAAATGCTCTCAATTGCTTGTATTCATCCAACCACTCTTTCATGCATCAAATAGTTAAAAAGTGAGTACTATTTGAAAAATACTATTAAGGAGTTATACTCTGTTATCAAGAGGTATTAGTTTAAAAAGTACTTAAAACACACCCTAAATTAGTGTAATTTGAAATATAGATGGTTATTTGAAATAGATGTAATTTGAAATATAGATGGTTATTGACATCCACAATCCTCACATCTGTGAGCCGCTGCACCAGGCCTAGTCCACAGTTTTTGAAAACCCATCATCTCTACCACATTCAGGCTCCCTTCTGCTCATGATGGCTCCCTGTGAATTGGATCCATAAGCTCATTTCCCAGATATCAACTCTGATGCCACACTTGCTAGAGCCCAGGACATCCCTGCAAGGCCCAGGCTTACCCTGGTCTGTGTGAGGTTCACTCGGCTGCGTTAGAATAACCCTGCAACCCAGTTTCCACATATTAGCTGCCAGTCCAAGAGAAGAGCGGCTAAATTGGAGCAAGCAGAGCAACACAAATGTTCCTTGTTTTTAGCCTTGCCATTTGATAAGCAGGGCACATTGGAAGACGGTTTTGAAACATCTAGATAAGCGAGTTCTGTGAGACAAGAGTGCCAACTCCAGGTTTTGACCTTTAGCAAGTTCATAGTTGGCTGCCAAGTTACAACCTATTTTGTCAAACTCTTATGAGACATGCTCATGATTCGTCTTCCTTGTCTACTTGCTCACTGACAGGGCACTGCTGCGGCAGCAGATGAAGGTCTTTGGCTGCTTGCATGGTTTTCTTAGTTCGGCCTGGGACATGTTCATTTGACTTATCAGTTCAAAGCATTGTGCAGCCAAGTAAAGCACTTAATCATATGTTACCCATCAGCTTATACAGAAACTTGAGTTTCAAATCTTTAATTTAAAAATAAAAATATAGATTTATAATTTTATACTTTTCTTCTTTAGCTAAAGCAACTATTAGCTTGAACCGCATGAAAATACCATTTTTATTAGTTAAAAAAGGTAGAATAGTGGCATTTAAAATGGCTCAATCTAATAATAAATTCTTATCAAAGTGTTAAGGTATCTTAATGAATCCTTGCTGTAGTGTCAAAATCATTTCTGAAAAACAATAATTCCAGAATGATAAAATCCAAATAAGAGAGTAGTATAGTTCCACGGGATATCCTTGCTTTGATCAATTGCTTCTGTATGATTACAAGATATTTTGAATATTGTCACTCATTCATACTAAACTTTTTTGTCTGTACTAAATTGACATATAATGTTTCCACTCCACAAAAATAAACTGTTTTGGTAAATAAATGGCTAATGAAATACATCTCAAAAGAAATGTGCTCGTTACGGCACATAACTGTGGAAAGTTGTTAAAAACAGGCAAAAGAGTTATCTGGTTATAAAGTTCCTGTGTTCCATATGGTAATCAGCTAACATTCCATATTGATGCTTGTATCTATGATGGGTATAAAGAAATAAAACGAGTGTTACTCCAAAATTTGCTTTAGCAAATTAACAGCCTTGACACAGGGGTGGTGGAGGAAAAATCAAGGAGGTAAAAGAAGAAACTGACTGAATGTCCCTTCATCCTGTGGCTATATTCTCCAGCAGCACATGCAGGCTGCCACCCATCTCCATAGATTCAACAAACACCACTCAAGGGATTGAGCAGCTGGTTGCTTTGAATCAGAGAGCCTGGATTTGAAACCAGGTCCATTTCTTGCCTTGGGGCCTTGGGAAAATTACTGAATCTTTGCTATGATTTGAAAGATGGTGTCCCATCCAAAACTCATGTTGAACCTTAATATACATTGTGGTAGTGTTAAGAGGTGGGGCCTTTTTGGGAAGTGGTTAGTGCTTCATAAAAGGGCTGGAGGGAGGCCAGGTGCAGCAGCTCACACCCGTAATCCTAGCACTTGGGAGGTCGAGGTGGGCAGATAACCTGAGGTTGGGAGTTCGAGACCAGACTGACCAACATGGAGAAACCCTGTCTCTGCTAACAATAGAAAATTAGCCGGGCGTGGTGGCACATGTCTGCAATCCCAGCTACTCAGGAGGCTGAGGCAGGAAAATTGCTTGAACCCAGGAGGCAGAGGTTTTGGTGAGCTGCGATCACACCATTGCACTCCAGCCTGGGCAACAAGAGCGAAACTCCATCTCAAAAAAAAAAAAAAAAAAAAAAAAGTGGAGGACAGGGGCGCTGGAGGGAACTCGCTGCTGCCTTTGTGACCCTCTACCTTTCACCATGTGGGGATGCTGCCTGGAGAGACAATGCCTTCGATGGGGTGGGGCCTCACCAGACACTGACCTGCCTGCATTTTAATCTGGCACTTCTCAGCCTCCAGAACTGTGAGAAATACATTTCTGTTCTTTAAAGGTTACCCATTCTTAGGTATTTTGTTATAACAAGACAAATGGACCTAGAAAGAAATTGGTACCAGAGAAATGGAGTGTTGCTGTTACAGATACCTAAAAATGTGGAAGTGGCTTGGAACTGGGTAATGGGTGATGCTGGAATAGTTTTGAAGTGCAGGCTAGAAAAAGCCTAGATTACATCCACAGAGTGTTAAACACAATTCTGGCGAGGGCTCAGAAGAAGAAGAGAGCTGTGGATAGAACCTCGGTCTTCTCAGAAATTATCTAAGTGATTGTGATCAGAATGCTGGTAGAAATATGGCAGTAAAGGACCCTTTTGATGAGATCTCAGATAGAAATAAAGATCTCATTGGAACTAGAGAAATGGCCTTTCATACCAGAAAGTGGCACTCGGCTGAATTGTGTCTGTGCCCTTCTGGAAGGCAGAATTAGAGGATAAACAAGGATATCCGGCAGAAGAAAAAAATGTATTCAGGTTGCTGAATGGTTTCTCCTGACATCCTATAGGAAAATGTGAGAAGAGAAAAACAAATTATAGACAGAGTTCATAATCATAAGGGAAGATTTGGAAAAGTCTCAGCCTGGCCTGATCCTCCCCAGGTTGTAAAGACTAAAAGGCAAGTTCAGAGAGAAAACCCAGGGTGTGGCCAAGCAATGTTTAAGTTTAATAAGGAGATTAGTATGGAGAATAGGAAGCCAGATGCTATTCATCAAGACAATGGAACAACAACCCTGAAGGCATTTTGGAGATTATTGCTGCTGTCCCTCCCATCACAGGCCCAGAGTGCCACGGCCTAGGCCAGGGGTGTCCAATGTTTTGGTTTCCCTGGGCCACGTGAGAAGAATTGTCTTGGGCCACACATAAAATACACCAACGATAGCTGAATAACTTTAAAAAAAAAAAACAAAAATAACTCATAATGTTTTAAGAAAGTTTACAAATTTGTGTTGGGCTGCATTCAAAGCCGTCCAGCCACATGCCGTCCGTAGGCCACAGGTTGGACAAGCTTGGCCTAGGGGAAAGGACTATGTCAAAAAAGGAGCCTTGGGCACCCATGGGACCTCATCATTGACTCCCCTGCACCTCCTTGTCTCTGCTGTCAGCATTCTGGTGCAGCACTCTTCAGCTGCCACATATATGACTCAAGCAGGCTCAGCTGCCACTCTAGCATGTATAAGCTATAAACCTTGGCAGCACTCATGTGGTGCTAATTCTGCAGAAGCATAGAGTGCACAAGCATGGGGACATGGCTACCTCCACCTAGATTTCAAAAGATTCCTCAGAAAGGCTAGCGGCCCATGAAGAGAACTGCCACAGAAGCTACTGCAGAGTCCCAGCTAGGGCAATGCTTAATGGAACTGCGGGGCAAGGCTACCCTTGAGGCCCCACAACTGTAGAGTCACCAGCATGCAATGTCAGCCGGGAGAGTCACAGGCACAAGACTTCAACCCATGAGAGCTGCACCATGGGCCGTGCCCAGCAAAGCCTTACTGGGGGGGTGGGGGTGGTCCTCTGAGGCCTTGGGAACCCAACCCCCACCCTAGCATGTCTGAAACATGGGACATGGAGTCAAAGATTATTTTTAAACCTCAAGATGTAATGTTGTTTACCCTGTTGGGCTTTAGATTTATTTGGCACTTATTAACCGTTTCTTGCTATTTCTCCCATTTGGAATGGAAATATCTATCCTAGGCCTACCCCACCATTGTATTTTGGAAGCACACAACTTATTTGATTTCACAGAGTCACAGCTGGAGAGCAATTTGCCTCAGGGTGAAACTTACCTTGGGTTTCACCTAATTTAGGTAAAAACTAATTTAGATGAGACTCTGGCCTCTAGCCTTCTGAGTTGATGCTAGAAAAAGTTAAGATTTGGGGGGCTATTAGGATGGAATGAATGCATTTTGCGTACGAAAAGCACATGAAGTTTGGGATTCAAGGGTGAATGCTATGGTCTGAGTGTCCCCCAAAATTAATGTCTTGAAACTAAATCTTTGTTGTGATATTAAGAGGTGGAACCATTTGAAGTGATTAAGTCATGAGGGCTCCCCACTCATGAATGGTTAGGTGCCTTATAAAAGGGCTGGAGGGAACTAGTCTAAGCCTTTTTGTCTTTCTACTCTTCTGCCGTGTGAGAATGCAGCAAGAAGGCCCTCACCAGACCCTAAATGCCAATGCCTTGATATTAAACCTCCCATCTCCAGAATTGTGAGAAAATAAGTTTCTGTTGCTTATAAATTACCTAGTCTGTGGTATTTTGTTACAGCAGCACAAACTAACACACCTTTTAAAGTTTCATTTTAAAAATCTATAACATGAGACTAATAGCCCATGGGGATTTTCAATGATTAAACAAGATAATGTATGTCATATGCTTAGCTCAGGACTTAGAACTTAAGAAGCACCTGTAGATATGTTACACTGCACATTATTGTTTTGTTCCAAGCATATGTTAGGCAACCAGAATACAAAAAAGAATATAAAAGAGTCTTTCCTCTGAAGCACCTAACGGTGAGATTAAGAATTTAACTGCAATAAAATAACAGCCAGTTAAGTTTCACTACGTTCATAATGAAAAATGATCCTAATAAAAAAGCATGAAACAATTACATTGAGAAAAATATTTAGGATAAGTGCAATCTAATCATTTCCTAAGTGCCAGTGAATATCACTTTCTCCCTTCTATTAATACATGCCTAACACCATCCATAGCCTCCATATTGGAAGTCAGCAGTTTTCAGTATGAAGGGAAAATATTGGACCTAATGGAATTAGAGAATGTCTGAAGACTGATGTTTCTCTGATTACTATACATAAGGGACATTAGCATATAATCACAATAGCAGATTTACCTTGTCAACAATAGAACACTGTGGTACAGCTGGGTGCAGTGACTCATGCCTGTAATCCTAGCACTTTGGGAGGCCGAGATGGGTGGATTGCTTGAGCTCAGGAGTTCGAGACCAGCCTGGGCAACATGGTGAAACCCCATCTCTACTAAAATACAAAAAAAAGTCATCCTGGCATGGTGTACCTGTAAACCCAGCTACGCAGGAAGCTGAGTCATGAGAGGTTGCAGTGAGCCGAGACTGTGCCACTGCACTCCAGCCTGGGCAACAAAGTGAAACTCTGTCTCAAAAAAAAAAAAAAAGAACACTGTGGTACATCCAGGGGCATATGATAAATGCATTGCCATCTAGCTGGAGGCTGTAGAATGTTGGGACTGCCAGGTGACCAAACTTTGGTTAGGGACATAATCATTTTCCAATGTGTCCACCTGAAATAGTATAATGCACATTTCCTAGAATAGCAACACTTCGAAAAAAATAAAACATCTTAATGGGGTTTAGTTCCCCCTCCTCCTATGCCTCCTTCTCCTCCTCTTTTGCCTTTCCACTCCATCCACACTGGCCACCCAGTGGCCAGACACACCAGGCTCATGCCTGCCTCAGAGACTTTGCACTTGCTATATGCTCTTCCTGGAATGTTCTTCCCCCAGATATGGCCAGTGCTTCCTTCCTCACCTCCTTCAGGTGTTTATTTAAATGCTGCATTCCTTCCCTGGACTAGCACTGCAGCCTTCTTCCCCATGGAATTCTCTACTACTCTTTCCAGCATTACTCATTTTTCCCTTAGCAATGATACCATCTAACTGATTATACATTTTACTTTTTTATATTGTTCACTGTGTGCCTCCCTTAATTGGATGTAAGCTCCGTGAGGGCACTGATTTTATTTTGTTTCATTCTGTTTACTATTATATTACTACAGCCTAGAACAGTGCCTGGTATACAGTAGACACTCAATAAATAGTTGTTGAATGAAAACATAAAAGTCAGACAATCTGAAAATAAGCACCAACAGCTCCAAGTACAATATGTGAACTCCAAGTGGCTGTAGTGTAGGAAGAGGAGTGAGCTTAGCCAGATAGGACTAGACAGAGTGAGCACAGGAGCCTCTGAAACGGCCTTTGCAAAAATTATGACAGTGAGAGAAATCTAAACTAACTGACTCCATCTTGCCTCTAACCTCACAAACTAATTACCTTTGCTCATTACTGGGTGCAGGCCAAGCAAACTATGGAAGGAATTTAGTTTATAGTTTAACTTTGCAGCAAGGATGGTAATAGTCCCTCCCAAAACTGACCCACTCTGAGGACTGAGATTGCCTTTCTAAGACGAAGAAAAAGCCACACAGTGAGGACTATAGGAGGGGCCTGAATTCTGCCAAGATGTAGGCTAGTAGTTAAATGATAACCAGCCATTATTCCAGAGGTCAGAAGATTTGTAACTTCTCCAATTGTTCTTATAGATAACATCACTATTGTCAAGTTGTCAAGACCTAAGACTGGTCTTTGAGATATTTTTCAGACTTTTGCATTCAGTTGGACCTGCTGACTCCACCTGGACCTGTGACTCATACCAAGGAACTAAATCAACCAGTCCTGTGACCGTCACCCATAAAATGACTCAGTGCATAAAGACCATTTTGGACAGTCCTATGATTTCATCCCCAACCAATCAACAGCACCCATTCCCTAGGTCCCTGCCTGCCAAATCATCCTTAAAAACCCTAACCTCCAAGCTTTGAGGGAGTCAATTTGAGAACTGTCTCCTGTCCTTTCACTTGGCTGTTCCTGTGACTATGAAATTCTCTATTGCAATATCACTGTCACAGTGAATTGGTTTTATCTGTGCAGTGGGCAAGAAGAACCTGTCAGACTATTACAACTCAGGTTCTAGACCACCACTAGCTACTGTTAGGTCAGCACACTTCCGTAAGCCTGAGCCAGTCACCTACTGGCTTTCACCTCCAAATATACATACCCTTCCTTGCTCAGTAATTCTGGGGAAGGGCTCTACAGCTATATTTCCAAGAAGCCTCATCTGCAGGATTCTTGCTAGGTTCTGTTAATAGGAGAAAATAGAGAAAAAATTGGATGGCAATTAGAGAAGAGGAGGGACTCCTCCTTTCCTCCTTCTTGCTGACAGCATGCACCCAGCAGTAGCACCTGCTCCAGCCTCTAGCTTCCTTTGTAATATCCAGAACCTGCTTCATCATGCCTCACGGAGGTACCAGTAGCAGCTAGGGGGATTATAAACCTTAGAGCTTTGATCTGAGATCTTCTGTGTTCCTCCTTCCTGCAGTTACACTTTCTCAGTTACCTCAGAGTTTCTCTTTTGCTCTTTTATCTGTGTAACCAATTTTCATATTAAATCTCTCTGCTGAAATATCTAGTGTGATTTCTTTTTTTTGAGACAGAGTCTTACTCTGTCACCCAGGCTGGAGTGCAGTGGCACAATCTTGGCTCACTGCAACCACTGCCTTCCAGGTTCAAGCGATTTTTCTGTCTCATCCTCCCAAGTAACTGCAACTACAGGCATGTGCCACCACACCCAGCTAATTTTTGTATTTTTAGTAGGGACGGGGTTTCACCATGTTGGCCAGGCTGGTCTTGAACTCCTGGCCTCAGATGATCTGCCTGTCCCGGCCTCCCAAAGTGCTGGGATTACAGGCCTGAGCCACCATGCCTGGCCTCTAGTATGATTTCCCTAACTGGAGCCACCACGCCTGGCCTCTAGTGTGATTTCCCTAACTGATATAAGAACTGATTCATCTTACCTATTGTGATGAAATTAAATAATTAGAACTTAAATCTGTTGGAACTTTAGGTTATTTTGAGCCTTGAGAGGTATGTGGCCTGAGTCACATACCATGCAGCTGTAACTTCTGCTTTTTCCTGTAAATGACCAGAAAAGACCCTGTGGTGCCCGAGGTAGGAACCCCTCAGATCATCACCCCTGCTCATGGAATGTTAAAGAAATCTTAGTTGGAATATAGCAATCTGTAACCAACAAAATCACTGTAATATACATACTGACCTTGTATGGAAAATGTTGCAACCCTGTTAACTGCCTATATGAGTGAAACTTTCAATTCCTCACTTGGTAATGCTAACCCCATTTGTCTGGAGTATGTTTTCCAAGAGGTCATCCTCAAGCTTTGCACTTGAATAAACTCTATATTTAATCGTTTTTCTGAATCTCGTTATTCAAGTTAGACATTATAACGAAAGTATTTTTAAGTGGTAAGAATACAACATCTAGACCTGGAGTTGGCAAACATTTTCTTAAATAGCTGGTTGGTCAATAGTTTAGGCTTTGTGGGCCTTATGGTCTTTAGTTTCTGTTATAACTACTCAAGTCTGCCATTGTAACTTGCAGGCAGCTACAGCCAATCTGTGAGTGAATGGGCACAGCTGTGTTCCCATAAAACTTTCCTTTTAAAACATCAGGTGGCCAGTCCTGACTACAGTTTGACAATCTCATCTGGACATTCCTCAAAATTGTGAGCACCATTAAAGCAAAAACAAAAACTGCTCACAAGACTGGACTTGAAAGACAAATGTTGAGACTGAAACTCCAATTACCCTGAAACAATATCAGCATACGACTCCAATATATGTAGCAGAAAAGTAAAAGTGGGCAGAATATGTATGTCTCAGTATTCAAGTATCAGATATCTATTTTCATCTTAACCCAAATATGAACATGTTGGTAAAGAAATGCAAGGCTGGAAGGACTGACCGAACTAAGCCGAGTTACACTGCCTGGTTCCCTCTGCTATCATGCAGAGTCAGGAAGCTCTACACACACAGGGAGCCAGCACTAAGCAAGGTGGCAGGACTGCTTTATCCCTTTCTGAAATGAATTTTTTTTTTTCTGATTATAGTCACTCCCTCTTTTCTTGATAAGACTTTTCTGGGAATAAACAAGACTGATACAATAATGGCCCAAACTAATACGTACAGGGCTTCTATGCCCCATGAAATTGACTGGCATTAGGCCGTGAAATCCGAGGTGATGATAAACACTTGAAAGGTGGAAAGTTCTTAAGTGTATGACTAAATGACTCACTGGCCCGTGAAACATGCAACTATTTTAGCAAAGGGCTAGTTTCTCTTCACATATACTTAAAAGCAGTTGCAGTGAGACTTCAGTGGAGGGTATTATAGTGCAAACTAAGAAAGATCAGCTCATGTTTAAAAGAAAACTGAGTAAAGGAAATCTGCATTTATGGAAACTGAAAGCTCTAACACTGACTCATTGAAGAAGTCTCCCGAAGATTTATAAGTGTAATCAACAAGGCTACTCTTTGTGACAAGCATTTGTCATCCCCGATATAAGAAAAAACAATTATTGGAAAACAAAACTGCCACAGGAATTGCCCCATTCCCAGTATTTGCCAGGCAAAACATTCAGCAGTATGGGGCAAAAATTACTATACTACCTGCGTCTGGAGCTGTTAAAACAAACAAACAAAAAATGTTATAAACATATAAAGAATAATAATTACGCATTCTTATGGTGTTCTTCTAGTTTGCTGGGTTGTTCTAGGCAATGTAGACTTTCAACCCACTTATTCTTCTTATGCTCATTCCCATTTTACAAATAAGGAGACTGAGGCACAGATAGGCACAGCCAGTAACTAGACTAAAATTCTGTGATTAGTATGCACCAAAGCCACATTTGGACCAGGCAATATGGCGCCAAAGCCTGTGGTTACAATCACTCTTCTAAACCTCTCTAAATCTTTGGAACAGTGATTGCATGTGGTAAATGCTTTCTTGGCATTTTTTTGTGAATTGGTGGAGATGAATTAGGCTTTATGGAAGTGTTTAAATTCATGGTTTGCAACTATTTTAAATAAGCAGGTTGGTAGTATCCTTAGGACTTGGGTCAGTTGAAACTTAATTTGTTCTGCTTCAAAGTCAAAAGAGTGCAAATTCAGAAAACTCTAGAATTTTCCCTCTGGACAGTAAGAAGGATGGCAACTCTGTGGCTTCCTAGAAGGTAACTTCCTAGAAAGGAAGTTTTACCATCTCTATTCTCTTTTCCATGGGAATACCCAATAACTTTCATCATCTTTTTCCTGAACTCATTAAAAAGTAGTCACGTAAGCTTTAAAATAGGTTTGTTTTCTTCCCTTTTTTCATGTTCTCTAGATTTTAAATATTATACAATGCTGAACAACTCAGGTCCTGCAGTATACATTTTGAAAAAATTATAAAATTAGCCAACAAAAAAATTCAATGATTCCTCCTTTACAGCAAAAGCTACCATAGGAGCTTATTTTCTACCAAGCTCATCAGTTCTGTGGTATCTGTCCCTCCTGCCATTGTTCAACTCTTTCCTTAGAACTCTGAGGGAGAGGTGAGCTTCCTCCCCGATCATTCCACACCCCAATCTATGACTCAGATGCTTGTCCTCTTGTTCCCAAGGGATTTTTTTAAAATCTTACCTTTTCCCTCTAAAACACAAAGCTCCTTCCTTCCTTCCTTCCCTCTTTCTTTCCTTCCTTCCTCCTCCCTCCCTCCCTCCCTAGCTTCCTTCGTTCCTAGCTTCCTTCCTTCCTAGCCTCCTTCTTTCTTAGCTTCCTTCCTTCCCTCCCTCCCTCCCTCCCTCCCTCCCTCCTTCCTTCCTTCCTTCCTTCCTTCCTTCCTCTTTCTCTTTTTTACTTGAAACAGGGTCTCACTCTGTCACCCAGGCTAGAGTGCAATGGCACTATCATGGCTCACTAAAGCCTTGAACGAACTCCTGGGCTCAAGCGATCCTCCTGCCTCAGCATCCCAAAGAGCTAGGATTACATGTGTGAGCCACTGTGCCCAGCTGCATCTTCAGTTTCTTTCCACTGCTCACTTCTGCTCTGTGGTTAAGGATGCAGAGTGTGTACTGATCTTAAAGAAATACTTACCTGATCCTGCTGCATCCCCAAGCCATCTGGACAAACTTCTCAAATAAACAGTCTACATTCATGGCCTTCATTTTCCCACTATTCCTCTTCATGTCTCTTGATCTATCCCTTACTACTTAGTCCACATTCATTTCTCTCTCCTCATCTTATTAAAATGTTTATTTTCTGTACCACATATTTTGCCAATTAATCAAGTAATTTTATATCTATTTAAGTACTTACTTTAACAGTCTTTTCTTAACCAAACTATTAATAAGCCATGAGGATAAACGTATTCTATCTTTTTTCAAACAGTTGCTAGCACTTACAAATTGTAGGTATACATGATTTAGTACTGAGTGGTTTATAAATATAATAATTTTATTCAGAATTACAGCAATATTAATAAATGTTCATTAAAAAAATTTTCTTGCCTGAGCTCCAAGATAATTTCTTTAATTCACCAAATATTTACTTAGCACTTACTGTGTTATTCAGTGTTCTAGGCACTAGAGACATCACAGTGAATAAAGCATGAAAAACTCCTGCCCTTATGAAGCTTATATTTTAACTGGGGGAGACATAGGAACAGATAATGAGTAAGCAATGCCATATGCTAGGTGGTAACAAGTGCCATGGAGCCTTCACAATGGAAAGCCAATGAACGATGTTAAGCAGAAAAGGACATGATTTGACTTATGTTTAAATGTGGTCGCCAGCCTGGGCATGGTGGCTTACACCTATAATCCCAGCACTTTGGGAGGCCAAGACAGGCAAATCACCTGAGGTCAGGAGTATGAGACCAGCCTGGCCAACATGGCAAAACCCTGTCTCTACTAAAAATACAAAAAAAAAAAAAAAAAATTAGCTGGGCGTGGTGGTGCACACCTATAGTGCCAGCTATCTGGGAGGCTGAGGCGGGAGAATCGCTTGAAACTGGGAGGCAGTGGTTGCAGTGAGCTGAGACTGCATCGCTGCACTCCAGCCTGAGCGACAGAGCAAGACTCCATCTCAAAATAAATAAATAAATAATAAATTAAAACAATTTTATCACTATATTATTAATGGTTTTCTATTGCTATGTAACAAATCACCACAAACTTAGTGACTTAACACAGCACACATGTATCAGCTTAGAGTTCTAAAAGTCAGCAGTCCAGCCCATTTTGCTGAGTTCTCTGTTCAAAGTATTGTGAGGTTAAAATCAAAGTTTTGGCTGGAATGAGTTGTCAGCTGGAGGCTCTGGGGAAAAATTACCTGCTCCCAGGCTCACACAGGTTGTTGGCAAAATTCAGTTCATTGAGGTTGTGAGAGTGAAGTTCTCATTTACTTGTTGACTATAAGCCAGGGCTGCTCTCACCTCCTAGAGATGACCCACATTCCTGGCCATATGGCCCCTCCATCTTCCAAGTCAGCAATGGCATGTTAAATCCTTCTCATGCCTGGGATTCCTGACTGCCTGTTCTGTGACTAGCCAGAGAAACTCTGCTTTTAAACAGTTCATGTGATTCAGTCAGGCCCAAGCAGGTAATCTCCCTTTCTTAAAGCCAACTGTGCATCATAACGAAACTTAACTACAGGAAGAAAATTCATCATATCCACAATCTCAGAGATTAGTACACAGGAGCGGAGGAGAGGGTTCTTGGGGGTCACCTTAGCATTCTGCCTACCACAATCACCTTGTCTGTTGTGTTGAGAATACACCATAGGGAAGTAAGAAAAAAAAAAAGAGAGATGTTGGCAATAATTTAGGGGAAGGGCAATTGTGTCTTTGACCAGGGTAGTAGGAGATGAGGTGGTGAGGTAGGGTCAAACTCTGAGAGAATATGAAGATACAGATGATAAAACTGCCGACACATTGGATGTGACTTGTGGATGAAAGAGAGGAGTTGAGGAGAACTTGCATGGATATTGGCCTCAGTAACTACAAAAATAGAATTGCCATTTGCTGAAATAAGATGTACTAAGGGAAGACAAAGAGTTTTGGAAGATGTCAGTATGAGATGCCAATATCACATCCAAATGGAGATGTCCAGTAAGCAGTTGTATACTGCACCTAGAGCTCAGGAAAAGGTCTGGTTTGCAGGTAAAATTGGAAAGTTGCCAAGTTGTAAATGGTATTTGAGGCCATGGGAGTGGATGAGGTCATCTAAGGTGAAAAAGGAAAAGGTCTTAGGATGGAGCCCCAGAGTAGTCCAAGGTGAGAAGTTGAAGACATCAGGAAGAATACCTAAGGAGGCTGGGAAAGACTGCACAGTGAGGTAGAAGGACAACCAGGAGAGAGTGAGAGCCCCGAGGGGAGGTGGAGAAGAAGGATGACTAATTGACAGGCACACGAGACACAGAGTGAGAAGCAACTCCCAATCTGCAACACAGAGATTAGGGACCTTGACAAGAATACAGCTGTTTTAGTGGTGTGGTGGGGATAACCCTTATTCCAGGAGGCTTAAGAGAAAAAAAGGGAGAGGGGTAACAGACAGTGATAATAGAAACTCTTTAAGAAGTTTTGTGGTAAAGAGAGCAGAGAAAGGGAGTGGTAGGTTGGCAGGGATGAGGGTGGAAAAAGACAGTTTCCTTCTTATTTTTTAAGAATATGAGACACTACTGTATGTTCATGATCAAATAGAGATGGAAAAAATGATGTTGCCACATGCAAGGGGACAGCTGGAGCCTAATCTTTCAGTAGGCAAAAGGGATGGGACCCAGGGCACAAACAAAGGGCCTGGTCTTGGGTAGGAGCCTGAGCATTCATTCCTCTAACTTGGGAGGGGAGCCGATACAGGTGAATGCACTGATGAGCCGGTGAGAATTGAAGTTCTCTTCTAATGGTTTCAGTTTTCTTATCAAAACAGGAAGCCAGGTCCTTAGCTATGAATGAGCATATGGAGGAGGTGTTGGAAGTTTGAGTGGAGAGGAGATACCTGGAATAGTTCACCAGAAAAGCAAGCGAGTGAGCAGACAGGGAAAATAGGGCCAGATTGCCAGGAAGGAATAAGGGTCCACTGGCTGCTGGGTTCTGGGTTCTCCTTTCAGTACAGCCAAACCCTTTTCATTTTAAGAAAATCATTACCATGCAGAGTAATTTTTTCGCTGGAAATTTTAAAACAAAGATTTGAGTCATCAATTAGATTTTTTTTGCCCATGTTAGATTAAATTATAGCTTCTGGACCTTGTGAGGTTATTTTGTTTGCTTTTGTTATTTACTATTTTATTTTTATGGCCATTAATTATTTTAAGTCCTACTTTCCTGGGTTAACTTTAGCAGATCTAAGTTTTACCATTTTTTAAAAATTTTGCCCATCTTATTTTATGTTGACTATTTCTACCACTTTCTGCTATTATGAACTGGATGAAATGTGACAGTTTATGTGGATTTTCTAGAGGTAAATTGTCAGTAATTCCCCTCAGATGTTTCTTACCTGCTCTATTATCTCAGATTTATATTTTAACATTGCAATTCAATTATTTTCTCCTCTTGATCACTTTGGATGCCAAAAGAAAGAAAGGGCTGAGGTCAAAATGTCCTTGAGATCAGAAAGGCAGCAACAAAGCACACTGATTTGCAATAAACCCAGTTAGGAAAGAAAGTGAGGAGAAGGAAAGGAGAGAATTACAGCTCCAGATTTTTGGAGATCAGAGCTGGCTTGATGTCTGTCCTCTTTTGTTGAAAAATTAAATCTTTCTAACGTAATGAAAAGAGAGCAATAACCAAATACACGATATGCCTACATAGGCCGTCTCCCCGATTTCTGTCTTTCAGAATTTTCAATTCAACTTAGGTATTTGCCCTTCTCCTTCCATGTGCTAGCAAAAGAAGATACTTTCCAACCTGAGAAAGGTGAGTCTTGAGTAGTCTGGTTCAATCACGGCAATTCATTCTCCTTGCCGGTGATTGGTTTGGATATGGACAAGTGACACAAATGTCGCCAGTAAGATCTGAAAGTTTGCATCTGGTCAGAGGACTTATGGAAATGGTTTTCCTCCCTGATACAGCAGAACATGAATGAGGAAGAGCATCCTCTTCTGCCCTGTGAATGAGCTGTATGAGCAAGTGCTGGGTTGAGCTGCAGAAGCCATGCTCAACCATGAGATGACATACTGGAGATCAAAAGACAAAACTCCAAGGATGGCAGAGCTGAAAGGTGGAAAGGCCCCATGTTCTTGATGTGTTCAGGCCATTACATTAACAAACCCAAGAACCACTTTACTTCTGCACTTCCAATTATAAAAGATGCTAATGACAATACAGTAATAAAACGCTATCATTCAAATAACTTTTGGCCAGGTATTGGGTTCCTTGAAGCCCAAAACATCCTGATACAATCCTCATACAGCATCAGGGGGCTGTAAGTCAGTGAGGATGGACACGGAGGTGCACTGCATGCCTCAGAGCCAGTTTGGGGGCTGAAGGATTGGAAGGATAATATTAAGACCCATTAATTATTAATGCTTTATGCTTGGTTGTTTATGTAGAAACTTCCTGGGGCAGCATTTATCATTTGGTCACTAGTGCTTCCATAGCACTTTGATCATTTACTAGAAGGGCACTTAGCTCTTTTGATTGTAGTTAATGTTTATGTGTCTTTTAATGCTGTCAATTATTTGAGGACAAAGGCCATATCTATTGTCTTTCTATCCCTAGGGACCCACAAAGTACCTGGCATATAGAAAATCCTCAATAAATATTTGCCAAGTTGGAGAATTACCTTCTGTCAACAAATCTGTGCTGGGTGAATATGAAGTAGGAGGTGTTCCTGAGCACATCCTTGAAAGGGGAAGGCTGATCCAATAGGAAAGGGGAGTTAAGCCAGAGGAACCTCTGCAGACAAGCTCTGATAAAAAGGAAACAGCCAGGAGGCAAGAGAAATTCTTTACTTAAGCTATCTAGCCAGCTGTCCAAGGAGCCATCCTTACCTTCTCTCCTTCCCTCACTCTTCACATGCCTGCACATTGTCTTACCTCCAAAATACATCCTGCGTTTCTTTTTTTTTTTTAAACTTATTTTCACCTCCAGTGCTACCATCCTTCTCCAAGCCACCATCATTGATCACCTGGACAAACCACACCAACCCCAAACTACTATCCACACAAGAGTCAGAGGCATATTTTTGAAATGTGAAAAGATCATGTCACATTCATGCTGAAATCCTCCAGGAGCTCAAAATCATACTTGGAATAAGAGAGAAACTCCTTTCTGTGTCTGCCGGTCCTCTCTATCCCACTTGATTTCTGTCATAGCATTTATTACCATCTGAAATTATTTCTGCACTTGCCTATAATTTGCCTGCTCTATGAACTGTAAAGGTCCAGTGGAACAGGGACATTATCTATACTGCTTAGGGCTAGATCTTAGCTCATTTTGTATTGCTATAAAGGAATATCTGAGGCTAGTAATTTATCTTTTTAAAAGATTATTTGGATCATGATTCTGGTGACTGGAAAGTTCAATATTGGGCATTTACATCTGATGATGGTCTCAGGCTGCTTCTACTTATAGCAGAAGGTGAAGGGGAGGCTGGCATGTGCAGAGATCACATGGTGAGAAAGAAAGCAAGAAAGAGGGAGGTGCTAGGCTCTTTTTAATAATCAGCTGTTACGGAAACGAATAGAGCAAGAACTCACTCACCCCTGTGGGAGGGCTCTGATCCCATTATGCAGATACCTTCCATTAGGCCTCACCTCCAACACTGGAGATCAAATTTCAACATGAGGTTTGGAGGGGACAAATACGCAATCATAGCAGGCCATATCCCCCATACCTTCAATAACACTTGACATGCAGTAAGCATTCAATATATGTTTTTGAATTGAAAAATATTGTATTTAGCCACTGTTGGACCTTGGCCCTGAAGAGGTTTTAAATCTCATACTGAAAGAGTTTTATGCCTGGAATCAAATAATGGAAGAATATAATAGAGAAATAAGAGTCATCCATGAAACTTATGGACATGAGTTTGAGCAGGGTGGGCTTTAGAACAACTGAGGAAAACAAGAAAAGAGGGTTCCAGCCTCACAGAAATGGTATTAGGCCACAGAGGCCACTAAGCTCAGTTTTGGGGTCCCCAGTTTTAAGAAGTCAGGGAAGGGGTGGATGATAAGACCTGCTTGATACTCACCTCTCCTACTCCCTCTACCTCAGTTATACATCCTGAGCCACCATGGCTCCTAGAGTGCCATGAATAAAATCTCTAGTGGCTTTGGCTCTGCCTTACATTACCTCCTCTTCTAGGACCCTGAACTCATAGGTCTACTTTCTTCCTCACTGAACCAAATAATTAAGAAATGTGCACATTAATGCCCCCAGTTAAAGAAAGCACATAGTTTATCTTTAAATTTGTAAAAGCTTCCTAGGAAGTTATAATTTTGAAGAACAATATAAAACAATACAATGCTTGGCAAATAATAAAACAGTTAGTTCTAATTTCATGGTTTCAGGTTACTCTCAAATTGAGAGACACACCCTCTTTTGGAGGTCATAATGGAGCTGTGAAGACTAAAGTTAAAAATATTTACAAGATATTGATTTACAGCAATGAAAGGATTAGCATCCAACCATAAAGTAATGATTAAACATTAACTCAGAAAAACTCTCACCAAGGCATTTCTATAAATTAGCCATTCATGGGAACCAGCAGGCTCAGGGAAGGTTGGTAGTCAAAAGATTTGGATTCCCAAGATCCAGTACTTACTTGCAAACCCCTAAACTTTCACGTGTAAAAAGTCAAGATATTAATATATCTCTCTAAAATGAACTTCTCTGTGAAGATCAAATGAAATAATGTAACTTACATCAGAAGCAAAGCAAGTGTAATTTAGTGCCAGTAGGTAAATCTGAATCTATTATTACTACTAATACTAAAAATCGAAACCATTCAAAAGCTTGAGATGTCAGTCATTGCCTATATACAGCTTTATATGAGAATGAAGGCAGCAGCAGTAGGCTCTTCCTCAGGATACTTAACACATAGAGATTAGAAGCCATGAAATTATAATATCGCTATGCAAATGAGAAGTTATAACAATTATGCTAATATGGCCAAGTTGATTTTATACTTGATTACAAGCTGACAGAATGATATGGAGTTGAACAGTACTGAGTATCAGCTGTAGAGTCACATTGCCTGAGTATGAATCCCAACTTTGTGGAACTTTGAGCAAGTTCCTTAACTTCTTTGATAGTCATTGGAGCCAGCCTCCATCATGGTTCCCAATGATCTCCACCTCCTGGTATTTACACACTTGTGTAGTGCCCTCCCACATTGTATCAGGGTTGGTCTGTGTGACCAATAGTACACAGCAGAAGGAATGGTATACCTGCCACTTCTGAGGCTAGGTCATAAAAGGCAACTCAGCTTCCTGCTTAGTTCCTCTCTTGGATCCTTCATTCTAAGGGAAAGTAGCTACCATATTATCCTAAGTATAATTTAGTGCAAGTAAGTAAATCTGGACCTATTATTACTACTAATACTACTAAACAGAACCATTCAAAAGCTTGAGATGTCAGTCATTGCCTGTATACAGCTTTATATAGGAATGAAGGCATCCACAGTAGGCTCTTCTTCAGAATGCTTACGACACAGAGATTAGAAGTCATGAAATTATAATATAATTCCCACATGGTGGGGAACTGGGGCCCACACACTAGGGAACTGAGGCCTCTAGCTAACAGGCACATGAGTGAGCTTGGAAGGGGATCCTTCAGCCCCAGTCAGGCTTTCAGATAACATCTTGATTGCAACCTCATGAGAGACCCTGAGGCAGAACCACCCAGCTAAGCCACTCCAAAATTCCTTATACACAGAAACTATGAGATAATAAATATTTATTGTTTTAAGTTCTGAGGTAATTCATTATGCAATTACAGATAACTAAAGTACCCTCTCAAAGTTTCTATAAATCTTCTGTAGGAATGGAGAGGGTAATAGTACCTCTCTTTCAAAGAGTTGTTCTAAGGATTAAATGAAAAATACATTGAAAGCCCTCAGCCCCAAATTTAGCACTTAGTAAATGCATATTGGCTATTATTGTAGCTTGCATGCCTTCTCTTCCTCAAGCAAGGCGCTCCTGCATGTTATTTACAGCCACATTCTCCATGGGCCTCAGTAATTTCTTAAGTCATAAAATTTGAAAGACACGATCCAGCTCCAGTCTTTTTATATTGTCTTTCTCTGACCATCAACTGAGTAGTCTTCATTTTCTCTCTCTTTGTGATCCCCTTTGAGAAGAGAGGCAGAGATTTCTAAGATAGAGAAACTTAAGGCATATGCTATGGCTAGGGAAGCAAAACCCAAAATAACTGGCCTGAAAAAGACTAACCTGCTGACCTCATGAGCATTCCACAAAGGTTGACAATAGTTAACTGAGCAAGCTGGAGTCAACTCCAGCTTTTACAGAGCATACTGTTTAGAAATTGTCCCCTGAAACATACAAAGCTTTCATTCAGGCGCATTTCTGTGCTTTAAACCTGGAACAGATCCTGGACTTCCTCAGGCAAACCTCATAGATGCTATCTTTTCTCTCTGATTATTCCTGTCTCCTTCACATTTGGGTTTTCTCTTATTACTGATGGATGGGTGAGCAGTCAAATTTCCTTTCCACCGAAAGAAGGTATAGAAGAAATTTACCACTAAAGCAGTGAAAGGAGCAAAAGAAGAGATATACTTCTTTTCCATAATAAAATTCAATAATAATAAAACTATTTGACAAATAACCAAATATTTCAAATTTCAGCATATAATATAGTGTAAAAGAAAAAATAAAGGAATCATAAATGCTGCATGTGAATTTTATTACCACTAAGCCATGAAGAGTTCTACAATTCCATACAAGTATTTTTACGTATTTCTCACTGATTCTTGGGGAAACTGAATGCTTACATATGCAATATCCTCCTATAGTAGGATGATTGAAAAAAAATTTAAAACATACAATCATTTATTATATACACAGAAGAGGGTGAACTTTTGATTGTGCTTGGTGAAATGAATAATATGACTTCAAGGAGTTTTTATTCTTAAATATATGACAATAGTATTAAGCCTCTCTCTCTCTCTCTCTGGCTCCCCATTCACTAGCCCCCGTCCTGTTCTGGGTGTGTCTAGTTTTGCTAAAGTAAGCATTTCACATGGAAATGCTTGACCTCTTAAATCAACCTCTCAGGGGATGAACTTGGGTTTGCTCATGGCTTCCTCCTTCCTTTTGGCTGTTTAATTCTTTAGTTTCCACGTAATTTAGGTCTTTGCTTTGTTTTTCTATCAAATTCCTTTCCTTCCTTCCTTCTTCCTTTCCTTTCCCTTCCCCTTCCCTTTACATTTCCTTTCTCCCTACTTCCTTCCTTTTTCCTTCACTCTATTTGTTTACTTGAAAGCTTGATTGACAACATGGAGGGCATTTCTTGGGTGATGACTTTGACTTTTTTGTAAGGAATGCTGACCTTTATTATGGCACAGCCCAGGAAAGGTATTGCTGATTTAGTGAAAATGCTGCATTCCTGAGCTTTTATCTTTATTCCTATGATAAGGCAGAAGTGTTAACAAGATGACTTCCCTTTTTTCCTTAAACATACATACATACAAGTTAAGAAATACAGACAAGAAATTACTAGAGTGGTAAATAAATAAAGCCACCATGAAACAACATCTCCACCTGGTTGTCCAAGAGGTATCCTTAGCCACCCTCTCCTTTACCTCTCTCTGTTTAACCGGTTACCGAAGTCCAGTCATTCACATTTCTGAGTAGCTCTGGAGCCTCCAAATTCTGACCTGTACTGTAAGTGTCCTGGGCCATTTCCCTCACTTCCCCCTCCAGTGTTGCTCCATTGCAACTCACCTTCCCACTGTCATGGCCAACAGTTCAGGCATGCTCAAAACATCATTCACTGCATCATCTCCAGCTTAGAATCAAACTCTTTTGCCTGTTTCCCACCCTCCTCTGGGGCCCTGGATCCTTTTATAATCCCTAACACAGGATGTGATCTCATGTCTCTGTGTTGAAACACAGGGCATTTGCATTTTCTGGAATATCTTATCTCCAGAAACTGATGTTAACTATTCAAGCTTGGCCCACAAAAGAAACCTCTTATAAGAAGTCTCTCCGCCGGGTGCAGTGGCTTACACCTTTCATTCCAGCACTTTGGGAGGCCAAAGTGGGCAGATCATGAGGTCAGGAGATAAAGACCATCCTGGCCAACATGGTAAAACCCCATCTATACTAAAATACAAAAAATTATCCGGGCGTGGTGGTGTGTGCCTGTAGTCCCAGCTACTCGGGAGGCTGAGGCAAGGGAATCACTTGAACCCGGGAGGGGGAGACTTTCCCAGAAGTGTTCCTTCTAACCTCCAGAGCAGTCTGCTCAAGCACCTCTAAGTTATTTTTTTGAATCATAAGAGTAGTTATATGGAAACAAGTTGAGTCTCTCAGGAAGTCCTCCTCAAGAGAACATTCTTGAAATGTGTTCAAATTTCATTTGGAGAAGATACCAGGTGCTATTTAGCAGAAATGGCAAAACAGCTCTTCCTGGCCTGTATACCCTACCCAGCAAAACAAAATTCTCAGAGTTAACTGCAGCAAGCCTCAGATCCCTAGGCCTTTTCACTGGCCATCTCAAGTGGCTTATCAAAGTACAGTATTCCTTCCAACTTGCTTTAACGGAAGTTCTGATAATTACAGTTTTACTCAAACTTCCAGCGATGCTGTGATGCCTCAGTGATGTTTTGGAGAGAAACATACAGATTATTTCTATTTATATATGTGTGTATCCACACACACACATACACACATATATATGTAAAACAAGTCATATTTGTTTGCATGTTCCCACTAGCTTATACAGTCCTTGAGGTCAGGGCCTTTATATTTATATTTACAAAATTTAATCTTTGTATTTGCAGCAACTAACGCGGTGCCTGGAACATAATGTAAGCCTGTAAGCCCTATATTTATCAATTGTATGACTAGCACATTCTTCTCCCACAAGGCTTTGCATGTATGGTTTACACAAAGAGTTGCTTTATGAAAATAGTTATATTTTAACAGTCCACAAGAGTCAAGCTTAAGTGGACTGTCATTTAATGGTATAAAATAGTAGCAACCACTGGTTTCTTCAAATTTCATTAGCAGTAGGTCAACCCATTCAGTTATTTAACCTTTGGCACATTTGCCCTGGCCTTGAATTGCACAGCAAGCATGGTTTTCATAGCTCTACAATCTAATTCTGAACTGTCATCCTAAAATCTAGATAAGACTCCTTGAGTATGCAAGCACTGACTATACATTCCTCAGTTGACTAAATCTTCCAGAGAGAATGCTTTAACTGGCTGACTAATTTATAGTGTGTAATGCTGAAATGAAAGCAAGTGTTTAAAAGGAAAGTAAGGCCAGGGGAGACTGAAACTAGTAGTTCTCACTTGCTTGCATCCTACAGTGAGTATTCCATTATGTGAGTGTTTTATACATTTAGGCAAGCTAAAAAGACATGAAAGTCCTTAAATAAAAGAATCCACCAAAACATCACTGATTCCAGACCCTTCTTAAATATTATCGTGTATACCAGCTTTATTATTTAGCTCTGCAATACTGCTAAATTGGTCAATTACTTCCCTGCCTCCCCACCCTCCAACTGAATTCTCACCACCCTTGAGGGAAAACAGTCTGGGTTCCCTGTGGAACATCATTTCTCAAAACTGTATTTTGGGGCTTGCTTTCTCATTTTTCCTTTCCATTTCAGATATCCTTACTGCTGTCTTTGGGCTCTTTAAACACTGCCTTTTTTCCTTTTTCGATCACACCCAAAAACTTTTCTCAAAAATTACATGTAAATTTAAAAATTTACAAATTAAATTTAAAATTGAAATTTTAAAAATCCCGACTCTCCCTAATTTCAGGAAGCATGCATTTATTATACATAACAAGACGTGAAAGCCGCAAGAGTTTCAGCCTAAACACTGAAGACCCCGCGAAGTGAATCCAGCTGCTGCTCTACAAGCAGCAACAACAACTGGGAAGCCTTCTCAGCTACACTTCGGGGCACTGGTCCAACCCCACGCAAAATCCCTCGTTTCCCTTAGCGTGGTAAGACGGAGCCTGACCTGAGCTCCAACTGTCCTATCTTTTTCAAATGTTTCAAACTTACTGCCTTTGTTCAGCAGAACCACGGGCACGGTGATGATGGTGACAAGCGCAGCAGCACCCAGCAGTCCCAGAAGAACCTTCCACGGTGTCTGCAAGCCGAGCAGATCAAGTCCAATTAGAGGGAAGCGTGTGGCCCCAGTTTCCGTAGGAGGGTCGGGGCTGCTCCAGAGGCAGCAGGATTTGCAGGTGGGAGTGCGTTAGAAGAGGGAGACCGCGGGCTGGGGGTGGGGGTGGCGTCTGGAGTGCGCCAGTTGGAGTTCTCTAAGGCGGGTGCCCTTGAACTTGTGCCTTCAGAGCACATTAGCGTTGGTTTCTCTACCCCTGCCCGGGTTCGGGCGTGCGTTCTGTGAGTGGCTCTCCGGGACATTCAAAGCTCGACGCCAGGGTCCTAGCAGAAGCCAGGGTCCGAAAGCTAAGCGAGAGCTCTGGGACGTCCCTTCACCTGTCAGAGGGTGGCCTTGGGGCTTCCGCCTAAGGGGAGTCCCTGGTCCGGTTTCGCCAGCTTTTGGGCCATTTGGGGAGTTTGGCGAAGAGGTCCCCACAGCTCGCCCCGGGGACGTACGTGGCGCGGCACTCACCTTCATCGTCGGCGTCTCCTCGGAAGTGAGCGTTCAGAGAAGGAGCGCAGGCAGAAGTCACCGCGGGCGGCGGAGACGCGCGTCCTGCACCGCTGCTCCGGGCGGTGGAGTCACTCGCCGCTGGCAAGTTTCGGCCCCGAGTTAAACATTAGTGAGCGCCGAGCCCGCTGGGTATAAAGGCGCCGCGGGCAGGCTGCAGGGCAGGCGGCGCGGGAGCAGGCGCGCGTGGCGCGGGGCACTGGCATCCCGGCCGGGGGGAGCCCGCGAGGGCCCCCTGAGGGCGGTGTAGGGCGCTGGGCGGCAGCCGGGGCGCAGAGTGCGGGGCCCGGAGGAGCCGTGGGGGAGGGGAAAGGGCGCGCGGCCTCGGATGCGCAGACCCTGGGCCGGCGACTCGGGGACCCTGCTCCCTCTTAGCTAAAAATGACGTCGGCGTTCAGCTCCTCCAACCTCACGTGGACAGGCGAGGGAACCGAGACCCAGAGAGGGCAGGGGACTTTGGCAAACTCACACAGCCCACCGCAGGCAACTGGAACTGAAACCCAGGACTCCGTCTCTTGCCAGTGAAAGTTATGTTAGGAAGCAGTGAGGGGTCTAAAGCAGTATGAAAGGCAAAGAGAAAAGGTGATTGTTCCCTCTTGAATGGCCCTTGGAAGCTGAGTATCTGGATTCACCCTCCCTAGGGAATTTCCCGATTGTCTTGCAGGCTTACACACTCATCAAGATGACAAAAATAATGACAGTAACACTTATGTGGAACTTGACTTTTTCCCAGGTGCTGCTCTAAGCATTTACTGTGTTTGTTTTACAGGAAGGAAGACTGTACACAGAGAATAAATAACTTGGCCAAGCCATTCAGCTAGGAAGTTGTAGATCCTAAATTAAGAGTTCAAGGTCTTAATGGCTACTCTATGCGGCCTCTCATAGTCTTTTCAAGGGTTTTGGAGAAGAATAAAAGATCAGGTATGGCTTCTCCCTCCCCCAGCTCTCTATTGTTCCCTAAAGGATTATTCATTCGTTCATTCATTCCTACATCCTCCCATTTATTCCAGTCATCCACAGATGTTTGAGTGGTTACAATGTGCCAGCCTCCCTTCTAGGTACTGGAGATAAAGTGGGACAAGAGAGGTGAGGTCTGGACCCTTGGCACTTTCACGATAAAATACACAGGTAAACATTTGCCTTTAGGGCCCCCTGTGATTACTTCCACTCTTGCAGATAAGAGGATAAGGCCTCTTCAGCTTGTTCACAGCAGCTGAAAAGCAAAGCCTCTCTGTCAGTAGAGGTAAAAGATTAAGAATGCAGAGTCCGATGGGGCATTACCACATGATTATGAATTAATGCAATTTTCCATCTTTTATTTCCAATCCAGGCATTGCTTTTGAACTCAGTCATCTTTTCCCCCTTGCCCACTAGTTGCTTGTGATACATCAGTATCCTCACTCACCCCCAACTCCAGAGGCTGAAACTAACTCTCCTCCTCCCTCTTCCAACTGCTGAGGAAGATGAGTCAATGGTGTTACTGGACCCTGTGAACTGATGCTGTGAAGAGAGGCCATTTAACACGGACTACGGGGAATGGTGCCACAGGGGGCTCAGTGCTGCCCTTCACTCTCAGCATTTTGCTCACTCAGCATTGGTAAGCCACATCAGCCTCGGTGAAGGAAGTCTGGAGAGTTAAGCCTGTGCTTCATCTCCATGCCAGCACCATGGCACTCATTGTACATTCAGCAAGCCCCAAGGAAGCTGGCAGGAGGCTGGCTGACATCTACGGGACAGGTCAATTTGTTCTCTGGAGGGCACTCCATGAGACGCAAATATCTTCACACCCTGTGCCCATTTCAAGAGACTCTCTCACATGCCTCCCCCACCTTGACCTCTGTGTCACCAGTCTTTCAATCTTGTTTTTTCCAAATCCTTAAGGTAGCAGCTGGCCAACACATTAGCCACCACTGATGAGTCAGTGTAGATCTTACATTGGGCCATCTCTTTTTTCTTGCAAAATAGAAAAGCAGATGTTCTGCTCAAAGTTCTGTTTGTCAGTAAGATTTCCCTTTCTGCTGTGTTTCAGGACATCCCTGGGAGGGACTCTGATGCAGCAGCCATCTACTTATTGCTAGTGCCAGCTTACTTTGCATAACATTGACTCCTTTCCCTCATCTGTTGCCTAGTTGTAGGAAACTCCTTGTGAAGCTATAGGTGTGCACTGAGGGAGAGACATTGAGTCAATGGGAGCAGGCATCATAGAGTCTAAGTTTTCTGCTAGTCTGAGTTTCTTGTGCCTTGTGGACCTGGTGGGCTTATCTCCTTTATCATATAGATACAATTTTCGCTTAATAATAGCATGCTCCTGCAAATGCCCAATTTTATCATGTGGTAGATTAGGCAACACTCAGTTTATTAGGGTAGCTAGGTTGTGCAGTTACTTGATGTTATGGATTGAATTGTGTCCCTCCAAAAGATATATTAGAATCCCAACCTTTAGGACTTCAGAGTGTGACATTATTTGAATATAGGGTCTTTACAGAGTTAATCAATTTTTTTGAATCTTATATAGCTTTTATTTCAGTGATCAAAAGAATGCAGTAAATGGAATCTACACTAATTAACATTAGGCATGCACCTCTACCTGAAACTGCTGTTAGCTTATGATTGGCCTAAATCTTTATAACTTATTTAGGCACATCATTGAATTTTTTGTACCCTGATATACAGGGTAAGTTAATTTCTTCCTTGTGGCAGTCTAGTAATAAGAATTATGTTCACTGGCTAGATTCCTTTAAAACTAAAGACCTCTAGACTCTCAGGCTGCCTACCTTACCTTGAGACTATACTTAATATGGATATTTAAGCAAATCATCATATAGGAAAGGGAGATCATCAAGAAAACTGAAGTGTACTGTATAAACACTCTTACAGATATTTTTCTCCAGCATTGATAATCAAACACTAGATAAGGATACTAAATTATTCTTCCCCCACTTCTGCCCTTTCTGAAAAACACAAGGATCTCCCTTGAAATCGAAATGACTCCACACAAATGAGAGATTTTTATGTATGTGGTCCCACTATCAAAATAATAGGAAGCAGTTAATGGGGCTTTGAGAAAAGCATAGTCCCGTGTACAGTAATATGCATCTAAATAGAGTTTTCCATTCACCTGTCAATTATTTTCACAAGATTAGCATTAAAAAATACAAGCAAACATATGACCCTTAAGCTTCACACACAAAAAATTGGTCTTTGTTCATTCTCAGATGACAGGATGTCCCAAAAGTAACAAAAGATGGGAGCCAGTCCTCTCATAGCTGTTTCTTCAATCATCCCATCAACAGCTCTTCATTTATTGAACTACCTTCCTTTTCCAAAGAGGTAATGCTGAGATCAGTCAGAAAGGCTTTCTGAGAAAACTGGCTTGGATTTCTGGGTCTGTTGCAGTCAATTCAAGATGAACTGGCTTGTATCAATGAAGCGCTCAATGCAGTTCACAAAACAGGCCTCAGCCCGACTGTCCAACTTTGGCCCAGGCTTGTCCATGCACTTCTCCCAACAAAGTTCAGTCATCTGGTGCACCAGCTGCTGGAAGCGCTGCTTTTGAGTCTCTACCTCAATGAAAATGCTGCAACTGCGGGTCCACTGCACCCAAACCCGCCGCAGAGGAAGAGCAGGAGGAATCCATCCCAGGACAACCATGCTTGCAGAGACGAACTCCGCACCAACCTTCACGTGTCTCCACGACCTAGTTAATCAATTTAAAATGAGGTCACTAGGGTGGGCCCCAATCCAATATGACTGATAACTTTATAAAAAGGAGAGATTTGGATACAGAAAGAGACAGAGTGAAAACCATGTGAAGAAACATAGGAAAAGATGGCAGCTACAAGCCAAGGAGAAGCTTGCAGTGTGTATTCATCTGTTCTCATGCTGTTAATAAAGACATACCTGAGACTGGGTAATTTATAAAGGAAAGAAACTTAATTGACTCACACTTCCACATGCTGGGGATGCCTCACAATCACGCCTGAAGGCGAATGAGGAGTAAAGTCATGTCTTACATGGTGGCAGGCAAGAGAGCTTGTGTAGGGGAACTCCCCTTTATAAAATCATCAGATCTTGTGAGACTTATTCACTATCACAAGTACAGCACAGGAAAGACCTACCCCCATGATTCAATTACCTCCCACTAGGTCCCTCCCACAATACATGGGAATCATGGGAGCTATAATTCAAGATGAGATTTGGGTGGGGACACAGCCAAACCATATCATTCCATCCCTGGTCCCTCCCAAATCTCATGTCCTCACACTTCAAAACCAATCATGCCATGCTAACAGTCCCCCAAGTCTTAACTCATTTCAGCATTGACTCAAAAGTCCACAGTCCAAAGTTTCATCTGAGACAAAGCAAGTCCCTTCTGCCTACGACTCTGTAAAATCACTAGCAAGTTAGTTACTTCCTAGATATAATGGGGTTATAGGTGTTGGGTAAATACAACCATTCCAAATGGGAGAAATTGGCCAAAATGAAGGGGCTACAGGTGCCATGCAAATCTGAAATCCAGCAGGTCAGTCAAATCTTAAAGCTCCAAAATTATCTCCTTTGACTCCATGTCTCACATCCAAGTCATGCTAATGCAAGAGGTGGGTTGCCATGGTCTTGGGCAGCTCTGCCCCTGTAGTTTTGCAGGGTTCAGGCCCCCTCCTGGCTGCTTTCACAGGCTGGCGTTGAGTATATGTGGCTTTTCCAGTTACACGGAACAAGCTGTCCCTGGATCTACCATTCTGGGGGCTGGAGGATGGTGGCCCTCTTCTCACAGCTCCACTAGGCAGTGCCCCAGTGGAGACTCTGTGTGGGGGCTCATATCCCACATTTCCCTTCTGCACTGCCCTAGTAGAGGTTCTCCATGATGGTTCTGCTCCTATAGTACACCTCTGCTTGGGCATCTGGGAGTTTCCATTCATCCTCTGAAATCTAGGCATAGGTTCCCAAACCTCAATTCTTGATTTCTGTGCACCCACATGCCCAACACCACATGTAAGCTGCCAAGGCATGGGGCTTGCTTCTCTGAAGCAATGGCTTGAGCTCTACATTGGCCCCTTTTAGCCACAGCTGGGACACAGGGCACCAAGTCCTGAGACTGCACAAAGAAGCAAGGCCCTTGGCCTAGCCCATGAAACCATTTTTGCCTCCTAGGCCTCCTGGCTTGTGATGGAAGGGGCTGCGTGAAGTCCTCTGACTTGCCGTGGAGACATTTTCCCCATTGTTTGGTGATTAACATTTGGCTCCTCATTTCTGCAGCCAGCTTGAATTTTTCAGAAAATGGGGTTTTCATTTTAATTGCATCATCAGGCTGCAGATTTTCCAAACTTTTATGCTCTGCTTCCCTTTTAAACATAAGTTCCAATTCCAAACCATATATTTGTGAATGCATAAAACTGAATGCTTTTAACAGTACCCAAGTCACCTCTTGAATGCTTTGCTGCTTAGAAATTTTTGCCAGATACCCTAAAGAATCTCTCTCAAGTTCAAAGTTCCACAAATCTCTAGGGCAGGGGCAAACTGCCACCAGTCTCTTTGCTAAAACATGGCAAGAGTCACCACTGCTCCAGTTCTTAACAAGTTCCTCATCTGCATGAGACCACCTCAGCCTGGACTTTATTGTCCATATCACTTTGCCTGTTACCAGGTTCCAAAGTCTCTTCCACATTTTTGGGTATCTTTACAGTAGCACCCCACTCCTGGTACCAGGTTACTGTATTAGTCTGTTCTCACGTTGCTAATAAAGACATACCCAAGACTGGATAATTTATAAAGGAAAGAGGCTTAATTGACTCACAGTTCCACATGTCTGGGGAGGCCTCACAATCGTGGCTGAAGACAAATGAGGAGCAAAGTCACATTTTCCATGGTGGCAGGCAAGAGAGCTTGTGTAGGAGAACTCCCCTTTATAAAACCATCAGATCTCATGAGACTTATTCACCATCATGAGAACAGCATGGGAAAGACCTGTACCCCATGATTCAATTACCTCCTACTGGGTCACTCTCACACCATATGGGAATTATGGGAGCTATAATTCAAGATGAGATTTGGGTGAGGACACAGCCAAACCATATTACAGTGGATCTTTCTTTGTCTCATAGTCCTCAGGAGGAACCAATCCTGTGATGTATTGATTTTGGACTTATAGCTCCTAGAACTGAGAGATAATAAATTTCTGTTGTTTCAGCCACCCAGTTTGTGGTACTTTGTTATAGCAGCCCTAGTGAATGAATGAATATACTTGATCCATGATCATGCTTTCAGTCTCTACAGGATCCCAGTAGCAAGAGAGATGCCACTTTTTAAGTAGTGAATTGTCACTGGTTATTGTAGGCAGCCTCCAAGATGGCCCCTAAAGTTTTGGAAGTAATTTATTATGCAACAGTAGATAACTAATAAATTGGCAAAGAGTATATGACTTTTCTCTAAGAGTCATATATCTTCTGTGATTCTCTCACTGGGTTTTGCCAGAGGCTTCATACAGTGTCTCCGGCTGCCACATACATTTTAAATAAGTATTGTGCTTGTTAGGTCATAAGATCCAAGTACAACTTGCACTATAGCCTAAACATGCAGAGCCTTCTTTTGCTTCAGGATCCATTCAAAACAGGCAGCCTTTAAAGTTACTGAGTAAATGATTGGAGAAGTATAGCCAAGCATAGTATATGGTGTCTCAAAAATCCAAAGAGTTCTGGCAAATAGTGCTCCTCTTCATGGTGGATGTACAAGGTGTAGTGACTTGTCTTTCACATTAGAAAGGATACCTTGACATGTTCCAGACCACTGAATCCCTTGAAACTCTGCAAATTTTCCACGGATTTTATTCTCTACCCTGTGTCCACATTTGTCTTACTAAAGCATGTAAGGAACTTGCTACTTCTTGTTCATCAAGTCCATGTAGCATAGTTATCAATGCAGTGGACTAATGTGGGTCTGTGGGATGGCAAGATGCTCAAGGTCTTGGGAGATTTTAATATGACAGAAAGCAAGACTTGACATATCCCTGGAGTAAGATAGTGAAAATACACTGCTGTTCCTTCCAGGTGAAGGCAAAGTATTTTAGATACTTCTTACTAATTTGACTCAAGGAAAAAAGTGTTTGCAGGTGAACAGCTCAGATGTCCATGTTGTTTGATTCAGTAAAGTTAAACATCTGAAATGGCAACTGAGTTATTTTCCATAATCCATCCTAGTTTTGCACAAGCTAAATGGGAAAGTTAATTAAGTATGGGATGGGGGAAATAGCACCTCTGCATCTTTCAGATTTTTACGTAGTGGCACTAATTTCTGCACTTAGAGATGCAGTATTACTTTTAGTTTTCCATATTGTTGTGCAGGGACAGTACCAGGGTCTTCCACTTGGTCTTTCCTATCTACCTTAATGTCCCTTCCTGGGTCAGGGGATAAATGAGCAAAGAAATGTAGGCAGGCTCTAAGAGCTGGGAAAAGCAAAGAAATAGATTCTCCCCTAGAGCCTCCAGAAGGAACAGAGCCTTGATGATGCCTTGATTTTATCCCAGGAAGACCTATTTCAGACTCTGACTTCTAGAGCTGTAAGTTAATAGATTTATGTTGTTTTAAGCCACTCAGTTTATGGTAACTTGTTACTGTAGCAGATGGAAACTTAACATAAAGCAGGACAACAGTGATCTTTTTAACTCCATCAAAATTGGCATAAACCCAGGGCCCATATTTAATAACTCCAGGGAGGTCTGAGAATGTCCCTTTTCATGGGGCATTTTCAAACTTGGCTATAAGTCACATGTCAGGTGTGTACTGTGACAGCATTTCAGAGTCCCTCCTGAAAAAGATCTGACCTCCATTTCAAACAAGGTTTTCTGGGTCTATTAACTGCTTTGAGTCTGAGAACTTGATGAGAGTCCATTTATTACTACTATGAAAACTTAAGTCAAATTTCTGCCCATTACACCTAGAATTCTTTTGATCATTTAAATCAAGCTATAATTTAGAATGCTACCTATTGACTTCATTCTTAAGTATCTCGTGATAAATGAGCCACCACCATAGAAGTCAAAAGCCCTGATTATCATATTGTTCCTGCCACTGTTTATGGCAATATCCCCTTTTGAGAACCTGAGTCCTGGAGTTGGGGTTACCTAGGGTGAACTCTAGCCTTGGAGGGATACAGCCACTGCCAGATTGCAGCACAATAAAGCAGATAAAAAGCTTAAGGAGTAAATACCTCAGTCTCTTTCTCTTCTCTCCCTTCAGTATCTTGCTCGTTCCTCCCATCTGTTGAGCCCAATAAAGACAGAGGGCTAAGGAGCCTGGCTAATAGCAAATGTATATTCAGGGATCAACCTGCAAGGCTGTGCAATGCAGGGAAGAGAAGGGTGGAGAATGGATAGAGGGAGGGGGAACTTGAAAAAGAGCCACATAACCAGGCAACTCCATATAGTACTTATTATTTGCTAAACTATCTCCTTATGGAGACTGGAAACATTCCCTTTATTCCTTTATCTTCTCATCCATCATTCTCTCCAGTGCCTAGTAAAGTGCCTTAAATATATTAGCAGTCAGTAACTGTTGGTTAAATAAATTAAAAAATGAAATGATAACTGAAGAAAAGTTAAGATCAAATCTTTCTCTGTGTTCTTGGGGGCTGCAACTAGAAGACAGAAAGAAATAGGATCTCATATGTGGAGAGATGGCAGGGTGGAGGGTGGGGAGGTGAGGAGTGGTGGGGAACAGGGATGGAAAGGAACAGATTTACTTCTTGCCCTCAGTTCTGAAGGTTATGTAAAGGACAATACAAGGGTACTTATTTGTTCCTTTGATCAGTGGACATTTGCCCTCCACCTAATCAGAGAACGCTGCTCTACCTGTGTGGGAATGACTTCCTGCTGCCTTAGTGCCAAACCCCACATTTCATATCCTTTGGACTGAAGATCAAGTCTCACATCTTCCAGGTTATCTTCACCGTCTGTTTCTGTTTTATTTTCTCTTTTCCCTACCAACCATACTTGAGAAGATTACCCTGCTTGTGTTCCAGGTTGAACCAACCTTTAACAAAATTTATTTCTACAAAGAGATACGTATTAATAGATGACAACTAGCTGGCTAGATCATCCTATGGATTTTGATAGATGAAAGGAAGTTTCAGGCCCAAGGGATAACACACATAAGGGCTTGAGTAAGAAAGCTGGAAGATCTTTAGGGAATATGTATTACTTGCATTTTGCCAGGATATAGAGTATTCCAGAAAGTATTGGGAAATGAAAGTTGGTCATGAACATATTCTTGTCTTAAGTTCAATATTCAGTATATACCAAGGAGCCACTAAAATTTTACCTGGGAAAGAAACCCAATCAGACTTATACTTCAGATTTAAAAAAAAAAAGGCAATAGTGTCTGTTGGATGGAATGAGAAAGGGAAGAACTTAAACTGGGGGGAGAGTCAGTAAACTCTTGGTCTTAGAAAATTAATTGGGTAAGTGCCTCTCTGCAAAGTTTGTTGTACAAGCATGTAAACCATGCTTATTTATTCTTGTTAAAATATAACTCTAAAAACTTTTTCTCAGCTATGGTCATGGTGCTTTCCTTGCCCCAATTATCAGTAATACCAAATGAGGGATTGTTCTAGCACTCAGCACTCCGTAAAGGAGTGCTTTTTCTACCTTTCAGACTAGAACCAACCCAAGGGGTAAGGGCACTTTTGTGCTCCTCTTTGGATGGTATCCTTTGGATATTCTGTGGGTTTTTTAATTTGAAGAATTTGCTTATATTAGCCCCTGACTTAAGAAAAAAAATATGACTTAATGAAGAGAACGTGTTTGAAACCCATGGAGCCTGATTCTCACAAAGTGTCTGTAGCTACAATGATGTCTCCTCCTTAGTGTTCTCCAAGCTGTGAACATGGGCTAGATGTGGTGGCAGGGTAGGGGAGCCAGAGATCACCTCCAACCCCCCTGTAGCTCTTATGTAGCTCTTCTAGATTCAGCCATAGAGCTGAATCTAGAAACCAAATTGATATCAGGCAGATTAACAAGAGAAAAGTAAACAGATGTTATTGGTTTTTCATGTACATGGGGATCTTCATAAGAGACTGAAGTCTGAAGTGGCCAAAGCAAGATACTTTCATACTTTTTAGACAAAGAATGACAAATCTGAGAAGAAATCACAGGACAAAGGGAATCTGACTAAGAGCAGTACATTTCTAGGGGAGTCACTAGGAGATACATGAGGGTAGGGTGTAAACCTACTGGAAGATAAGGACTACTTCATTAAGTATGTTTATTCAGGTTCATTGCAGCCTCCTATCACCAGTCTCTGTTGACAAGGGCTATTTTCTTGCTCCAGTAAGAAAATATTCCTCCCACAGTAAGAAATATTTCTATTTTCTTGCTCCAACAAGAAATATTCTTCCCAGAGGAATCTATGGCTTGCCACAAGCAGGAAAAGACAGGCCAACTAACCCTTACTGAGGCTACAATTCTCCCAATGCTTTCAACTTGAAATAATCAATATACCAATTTGGCATATTTTGGGATGCCATGTCTTTCATTCCTTCATTTCCCCTGTCTGAAACTTCACTAGACGTTTCCAGCATTAAAAGCTGAGGTGGTGGCTGTGGAAAGAAATGACAAGTTAGTAACTGTGTCATAAAGGATTTGCAAACCAGGAAACAACCAATCTAAACATTGTTCCCCACACTCCATTAAACCAGCCTCCTAATCCTGGGAAAAGTTCTATCCAATAAAATGGTTTAGCCTTATTTATTTGGTGAAGAATATTTGTCTTGTCTTTTAAATGGTGCAGATTAGGCTCTATTTGTCCCCAAGGATTTACATAGAAGCACTGTTCTTCTCCAGTGTTTGTCAATGCATCCAGGACGTGGGGATTCTGAAATATAGCTGTGACTAAATGTCAGCTTCTGACTGGAGTGCTTTCAGTGCTTTCATAGAAATGTTGAGCTCTCATTCTATAACTATGGAAAGATTTAGAATTGCTTTTTTAATCTCATAAACTCCAATGCTTGGGAAAAAAGCTCTCAATATTGAAAAGAACTTGGAGTTGTGATATAAAAGTGAGTTTTGAATAGTACATCTAGTATGTTTGTATGGTACCACTTTATAAAACAAAAGAGCCCAAGTTTGTAATTTGGCTAGCATTTACAGTAGGGTACCTGGAGACAGAGGTGTTAAATATCTGAGTCCACATTGCCTGGGCTATCTAGGTGGGAATTGTTTATATACCTTGTTACCACACAAGAAAAAAGGCCAGTATTTTTCACAAATAAGGTCAGAGTGGAATATGTGACACCACAGGTTGGGGTTTATTGCACTTTGTCTTCTAGCATATTGACATCTGCTCATCTCCATCCTCCATGAATTCTGTCAGTCCATAGGAATGCAAAAGGTTGTGAAATATCTGATATAGGAGGCCGTTAGTTCAGTTTGGGCAGATATAAGGCTTAAATTTATTAAGCCAAGTCAGTCTAGAATTTTGATCAATCTATTTGTAATCTTTGGTGTCTGCTAGCCTAATGAGTTTTCCCAAGTTACACAAGGCTGACTCTGGAAGTTTATATAACATCTGGTGATTTGGCAAGTGTTTGTACCATAAGAGTCAGTGTCAGAACTGCTTATGACCTTCGTGAAAGGCTTAAGGGTGCCATGGGTGGAATCAAACCACAGGCTTTGACTGCAATGCCTCATTGATATGTTACTTAAGAAAAGTCCAGCATTATCTCTGCTTATACTGGAGAGGGAAAAATTCCTTTCTAATGACTTTACTAGAGCAAGGACAGTCTTCGAGCTCTTACAGAGATTCCTCTGTGTCCAACTGACTCACTGAATGGAAAAATAATGTGTTGTTGTTGTCTAGGTGGTGAATGCCATACCTTGACATACATTCATTCTCCAAACTTGATCCACTGGACACTTGCATTGGCAGGGACAAAAATAAGTTCAGGGTTTTTCTTTGCATAATCTAGATGTTGACATAATCAATAGTCAGATTGATTAATTATCAGAGCCAGGGTTTGGAAGACTGGTACAAAGGGATGCTGAGTCTATGCCTGACCCGTTGGAAAAATAGTGAGGGCTAATCAGAGCGGACACAGTTTGAAGAAAGGTCATAGTGGAGGAGCAGAGGGAGAATAGTTAGAGGGAGACAATCTTCAGTCAGCTTTTAAAGTAGGCTACCAACAAATGGGGATGGGAAGCATTTGTCACCAAAAAAGAGATTTTTGTATGTTTGCTTGTTTGTTTGTTTTCAGGAAGAGTATTAGGGAGACCTAAAAGGGGGAGAAAATAGGTGGAAGTAAAATTTCTTCGTCCCTGGTCTTGGGAAAAGCTCTCTACTTTGAAAAAATGCCATCTGCTTCTGGGGCCAGGGAATTAGCCCTGGTAATCCTTATTTTAAGGTCACCTGTAGGGGTGATCTTTCAATTGACTTGGAAATGCTGATCAGGATCTAGTTTGGTGTTGCTTGTGTGAACCCAGGAGGGTTTTTCTTTTAATGGCAGCATAGATATTCAGCTGTACTTCATAAGGGCCTTCCCAGTGAAATGACAGTGTGTGCTTTTCTCTAAAAATGTTGATGGACTCACAGTCTCCTGGTTGAAAAGGATAGCAAGGCTTGTCAGTTGGCAGAGGCCACATCCTTTTTACCTGATGATGATATGCTCCAAGTATATCAGTGAGTTCCTGTACATAGCTAGACACAGCATCACATTGTTTACTTAAATCCACATAGAGTCTATTCAACCTAGGAATTGGAAGGTTTAGAGATGCCAGTAGGCATAGGGTAGCCAAACATTATCTCAAAAGGGGTTAATCCATATCTTCTATTTGGAGTATTTTGCATTTTTATAAGGGCCAGAGGTAATGCTTCTGGCAATTTAAGTCCAATTTCTCTAAAAACATTTCCTAAAGTCCATTTAATGTCTAGATTTGCCTTCAGGATTGGGGATAGTATGGGGTATGAAATTTTAGTGAATACCTCAGAGTTTTTGCAAGCAAGTGGTTTATCTCTGCTGTAAAATGAGTTCCTTAGTCTGATTCAGTCCATAAAACGATGCCAAAGCAAGGAATAATCTGTTACTCATTTCTTCACCATTGTTGTGGTGTTAGCATGTCTGGTCCAATAGCATTCAGTCCACCCACTACGCATACAGACAATAACCAGAGAGAAAAGCCTAAAGCTGGAAGTGAATCTATAAAGTCTATCTGGAGTTCTGCAAGGGAAGTGTGCACCTTGGAGAACTTGCTCAGTAATGTTGGTTTCCTCCAGAGATTTGGTGAGAGTTACAAGTAATGCACTAGAAAATAGTGCTCCCAGGGCAACTGTAGATCCCAATTATCTTTTAGAACCTTAATCATCCTGTATCTGCACATATCTATATGTCCCATCTGATGATCATTAACATCAGCCAAAGATAAAGGCAAGTTTATAAATTGGGTGGAAAAAAGGATTGGGGGCCTGTTTTTGGCTGCATAGTTAACAGCCTTGTCTGCCCTATCATCTCCTTAAGATACACTATCAGTGTCCTTAGTGTGGGAGGGACAATGAACATTGGCCATTTTAGTAGGAAGATGAATAGCCTGTCATAAGGCAGCAAGTATATGTCCATTGGCAGTAGGCGCACCAGCATAGGTTAGCAGTCCACAGGGTGGCCAGGTTGTGCCAACAGCATGGCAGACTCTGAGAGCATATCTGGAGTCAGCGTGGATATTGGCCGTTTTTCCTTTTGCTGGTGTGCACATCCTTCACTTGTTCAGTAGTATGTGTTTATAAGATAGGGATTGGGGTCAGGGATGGAGTGGTGGGGCTGCACTGTAGTTGCCATGATTTAAGGAAAGAAGTAGCAAGGGCCAGTAGCAAGGACAAGAACAGGGCTGGAGGCAGGCCTCAAACTATACTAAAAAGAGACAGCTAATTTGCCAAGCCAGGGAACATTTACTTTTTCTTGAGGGGTGGATCACATAACCAGAAAACCATATGTAAGAGGACCTCTTAATTTTTATGTGTGCTGATTTGTGAATAACAATAATCAAGGAAAAAAGTTCATGCTTATTATTGGATTAGAGTGAAAAATATCTGTCATCCATTTCTTTTTTAAAAAATAGTGGTGAAATACACATAACACTTACCGTCTTAACCATTTTTCAGTGTAAAGTTTTTTTTAACCAGAGTAATCTAAAGCTTATAATGTAATTTTACTGAATTAAACATAGAACTTAAAATTATTCATCTAGGACTCCCCTTTTTCTTGGCAAGATGGCAGAGTATGACTTAACTACTCACATCATATCTCTTTTAAACTGGCATTTTGTTTCTGCTGCTTGAATTGCTCTTCATAAAGGAGATATAAGAGGGAAAACAATAAATACATGGGAAGTTGGGTCTTCCTAGTGACACCGCATAGTAGCTTTTGCTACAGTGTATGCAAATAATACCTTTATTCTGGTGAGATTCCTCATGCTTTGAGAGAAGAAATGACAATAGTTGTAGTCCCTCAAATAGAAAAAGAACCAATTGGAAGGATGTTTGGAGAACCAGAAATTACAAGGCAAATGCAGTCCAATGGGAATGGTCAGATACTGTTTGGCTTCTCGGCTGAAAAATATAATTTTGGGTGGAAGTATTTACATAGGTTCTGCAGGCTGTTTCTCAGGGTTTCTTTCTTTCTTTTTTTTTTTTTTTTAATTTATTCTCTACACTAACCTCCCTGACCCAAGCATTTTTCAAACTTTTTTCTCCTACTCATCCTCCATGAAATTTTAATACCACAGATATACTATATTGTATTTATGTTTATGCACTATCTGGAATATATATATATATATATATTCTGTGCTTCACTTGTAGGGAGAGTGATGCTTTTGCCCTCAATAACCAATTTTCATTCCTTGGGGGCAATATTGCCCTTATTCAGAATGCATGCTCTGGAGACACACGCACTTCCAGCATGAACGTGTCAGTGACTCAGGATCAGCTGAGTATCACTGCTCTTTTAGAGTGCTGCTTCCAGCACATGATAGAAATACCGAGTTCATTCTGGGAAAGCTCATCTCTGAAATCTTTTTTTTTTTTTTTTTTTTTGAGACGGAGTCTCACTCTGTTGCCTAGGCTGGAGTGCAGTGGTGTGATCTTGGCTGACTGCAATCTCCACCTCTCAGGTTCAAGTGATTCTTTGCCTCAGCTTCCCGAGTAGCTGGGATTACAGGCATCTGCCACCACACCCAGCTAGTTTTTGTATATTTAGTACAGATAGGGTTTCACCATGTTGACCAGGCTGGTCTCGAATTCTTGACCTTAAGTGATCTGCCTGCCCTGGCCTCCCAAAGTGCTGGGATTACAGGCATGAGCCACCATACCCAGTCTCATCTCTGAAATCTTAATGCTGAGAGACTGAATATGCAAACAGTCAGTGACCAGACTGTACCTGACAATTGGACTCTGCCCCACAACCTCTGCTGCAATCAGCCCAGAATAGTCAGGATTGTAAACTTTGCTTCTAACTCAGGACCAGAAAAAGATTTCTATCCTCCCCACACCAATCTCGTCAGATGTCCTGCTTTTAATTAGCCTACCTCCTGTTTCTTATGCCAACAGGCTTTGATCAGAGCACACCTGAAGCCTTTCCTGTTTTCTCTATAAATCTTTCCCCCTGCCCTTCCTGCCTTCGAATCTCTGCTAAGTGATGGTGACTGACTCCCTTGCTACAGTAAACCTTGAAAAAATAATCCTGTTTGTTCTCATTTGGGTGGTTTTCATTTATTTCCACAATGCGAAATGGGGATGCAGCCATGGACGATCTTACACATTTAAGACACCATTGATAATAATTGTTCCACTCCGGTGTTTTGGCAACAAACATGTCTCATTCATCGGTCTCTGTTGTTTTCAACCACCCCTACAGCTGTGTTACCATTATTTATCTCACCTTTTTCAGCCACACTATTTTAATAATTCAGATGATGTGTCTCTGCTATTTGACTACAGTAGCCATAATAGTCAAAGATGCTCGGAAATGCAGGAAGATGGTAAAAGACCTAGCCAATGTCTTTCAAAAGAAATCCTACACATAAAAACCCTGTTACTGAGCTGGTTGAAAGCTTTTACTTTGATGGGGACCAGAAAAAACACCCATGCTCCAATGTCTACTTTTTGAGGATTTCATTAGAAATATTTGTATATTTATATTTAAGACTCTCTGATATATCCACCGGAGTATTAGCATTAGTATGTTGGCAGATACACTAAAAGTGATCTCAGGAGAAGCTGAAGGATGACTCATACTTATTGAGAAGTTACTAAACCAGGAAATGTCCTGGGAATATCAATTTGAACAAATAAGGAACATCTCCAGGATTACAGTTTACAAACCAGTTTACAGTTGTTAATCCACCTGAGCTTTCTAGCCAAACAACACAAGACTAAGTCTGAGATAATTAGGCTTTACTGCCCCCAACCCCAACCCCATGTAAGCATTTTCCAGAGGAAGCTGAGGGAGGAGATTAGAATTCCTGGAGGCTAATCCACTGGGCTATGGATCTGATGTTCAGAGTGTAGTGGTCCTCCTGGCTCCATGCTGTAAGTGCCCTGTTTCCCTCCTAGGCCTTGTCACCTCTTTTTCAATGTCTCTTCTATGCCAAGAATCCCCTTCTGTAGTATTTCCTTCCAAACAGTCCCCCTCCAAAGGCCCAACCTCTTCCTCCCTTTCTCTGCTATCAAATTTCATCTATTCTAACCTATTTCATTTTTTTAAGATTCCATATATAAGTGACAGCATGCAATATATAGAGATAGAGACTAAAACAGTGGTGACCAGGTTTGGGGATGGGGAGAAAATAGGGAGATGCAGGTCAAAGGACATAAAGTAGCAAATGTAGGGTGAACAAGTTGAAAGATTTAATATACAACCTGAGGCCGCTAGTTAATACTGGTGTATTGCATTCAGGATTTTTGCTGAAGGATTAAATATAGCTGCTTTTGCCATGATGGGGACTGGTAACTATGTAAGATGAAAGGATATGTTAATTTGTTCTGCTAGAGTAACCATTTCACTATATGTATGTATCTCATAATATATTGTATACCTTTTATATACATAAAATTTATTAAGAAAGAAAACCTTCGTCTATTCTGATATACAGACTTGATGGAGGTTGATAGGATTGACATATGCATTTTATCAGGACTTTTGAGGCTGAGAAGCCCTTCCCGATTCTCAAAAGTTTTCCCAAACGTGTGCCCTGCTCCCATCTCCTTCACTGCCTTGAGCATATTTTATTAAAACAATCTGTTAAGCTTCTGTCTCTCTGACCTCGCTTTGAGTGTGGCAGCCATGCTCTATTGTTTGTATTTCTAGAAACTACACCAGCTCTGGGATAGAGTAAACTCAGCCATGTGCCAAAGCTGGCAACATGGAGACAGCTGCTTCTTGCAGCCATTCACCAGGCCACCTGCAAGGCCGTAGGGAGAAGACAAAGGAGCGAAGACTTTACGGTTAGACAAGCCTGGGTCTGCAATCCAATTATATGCCCTTGGCTGTTTTTTAAAAACCTTTATTATGTGCCCTTGGCTGTTTTTTAAAAACCTTCTTCCCAGAGTTGCAGAGATTTAATGAGATAAGAACTGAGTCATCTCAGTTACTCCCAAGCCTTCAAATGTATCTCTATGCTGATGGTTTCTGCTTGTATTTCTCTAGCTGGGATCTCTCTTCTGGAGTCTGAGCCTCCGGAAGGTCCCCACCTGGATGACTCATAGGCCTATTAAATCTAAATTAGCCAGAGAGGGTTAATAATTACCAACACTACTCCCCTACCCACTAGTCACCAAATTAGGTCCTTCTGCATCATGCTCTCCCTCCATGAGAGTATCGCCACCACATGGCCCAAGCCGGAAACCCAGGAGTCCTCCTTGATACCTGCTCACTCCTTATCCCACACACAGACCTCTCTAATCTCCCGTTTCATTGTCCACATCTCTCTATGGTCTCTCTTCCACCTTTGCTCAGGCCTTCCTTTCTTCCAGACCAGGTCATCGCCCAGCCCATCTAACTGGCCTCTCCTTTTGTCATTTCTTTCCATGGCAGCGTTTATTACTTTCCTGCTTAAAACTAGTGGCTTCCCCTGCTGCAGGATCAAATCCAAATCCCTTATCCTGTTCTGGTCTCTGCTTAGCCTTCCTTCTCATGGCTCCTCCCCAACATCCCGCCACCTACACACTAAGCTACATGCATTCATTTCTAAGAATTGAAATGCAATCTCTGTTTTGCTCTCTCTTTTGCTTTTGAAACTTCAAACATAACGTTTCCTCCACCTGGAGTTCATTCCCTTTGTTTTTCATTTGGCTAAGGTCCTAGTCAATGATCGCAACTCCAGTGCCATCTCATCCAAGAAGCTTTGCCCACCCACTGCCCTAGCAAGGTGCATGGCTTCTGTGCTCTCAAACAGACTTGTGCCTCACTGCTTTTTAACAAAGCACTCATCACTCTGTAATGCAATTATCTAATGTAATAATTGCTAAGATTCATGGACCCCGTGCTAGGTGCTGGACATTCAGGTAAGCTCTTTACTTGTAATAGTTCATTTAGTCCTCATAACAGCCCCATGCAGTAGGTACCTTTATCATCCCTGCTTTGTAGATGAGGAAATTGAGGTGCAGAGGGGTACATACTCTTCTCAGTATTACACAGCAAGTATTTGAACCCATGAGGCCTGACTCCAGAGCCCTATAATTATCTACTATTATCCAGTAATATTCAAGGATTTTGTCTCTGTTGTTCACTGATATACTCCTAGGGCCTACACTAATATCTGGCACAATAATAATTGCTTATTAAGTGTTTACTGACTCACTGAGTGAATAAATGCTGATTCATTGTGTCATTTCCTTCCTGATGGGCAGGGATTAGGCTTTATTCCATTTATTTCTAGCAGCTAGCTTGGACCCTGGACATATGAAAATTGTTAAGTTTGTTTCTCTGCATAGGGTCTTTGCTACTCTGTGAGATCCATGATTCTGTTTTGCCTTTGTGGTCTTCTGAGACCCTGTATTCACCCTGCCACACCACAGCACACTTCGCTGCGTGTCAATTTTTAGTGCATAGAAAAAAATCTGGTCAGCTGCTGCTTGACAGCTGGAAAAATAGAGCTGTACCTGAGCCAGTTTTGTACCTCAGAAAAGCAAGGGGGAGAGTCTCCTGCCTCACGCGGTGTGTGGGTGGAGGGCTGAATCATCAAGTTCTTTGAGTTCCTTGGGAAAAGATAACTCAAAGGAATATTACACAACATGGAGAAATAGGAGGAAAATAAGCAGAGACACAAAAATGACTCAAGTGTTGAAAAATATGATCCACGCAACTAAAAATACATTGCAACTGAGTTTGAAGAGGAAAAGACTGGGTGTCAACATTCCAGTGGCCCAAATGGCTGTGCATGAATGGGCTTTGGTTCGAAGGATGGTGAGCAGATGGTCACCGGCCTCACAGAGAAGAAGGTTGTGCAACAGGGCCTGGAGGCCCTCTGAAGATCTGAGACAAGGGGAAGAGGACAACTTTACCAGGGACAAGACAGCCTGAGCTTCAGCAAAACACTATAAAAGAGTATCCTTGGTTCCATATGACCCAGGCAGAGGGAGGAGTGATGGTAAATCCTGTCGGATTGGTGTATTATGCATTTTTCTTTTCTAAATGAGCACTTAAAATTCCCTGTAGATTAAAAAATTCTGTTGTAGATTTTTTCTAGAAACTGAAAACTTTGGGTGGGAAGGGTGGTTCAGGCTTTCATGGACATGCAAACAATTTTCATGTTCCATTCTCTGGCTTCTCTGGTAACTGACATTTGAGAGACATGTTGGTGTAGTAGATGGAACATGGACTTGAGGCCCCTACTGTTCTGTAACCTAGGGAAAGTTGCTGCTTCAGACTCTGCCTCAGTGTCTTTTTTGAGCAACACTTTGCAAATAACATTGTAAATACTAAAGAGGTATAGAGAATATCTAAAACACTAGTTCAAGGGCACATGATATGCTTAATGAGTGAGAATGAAGTTGTCATTAATATAATTCTTTACCAGCTTTATTTTCTTAATTTCTGAAGTATTGCCCTATCATAAAAAGATTAAAGTAGATCCCAAAATCAGAAGAGTTCTTGATTAGAATGAAGGACCCGAATTGGTTTTCCAGATGGACTCACTTGTTAAAAGGGGATTGTGACAAGTATTTATTCAACAGTTTGTTCTACAGCCGGTGTTTGGGCTATTGGAAAGGAGGTGCTATATAAGTGTATTGTAATAATGAATGCCCTTAGGGAAGAGGGGAATTGTGTAAGGAGATGTATTCTGTAATTCTTTCACGTATATTCATCTTTTCTGTCCAAGTAGAATATACACCCTTTATGGGCAAGGACTACCTCGTCTAATTTGTATTTATAAACTTTCTTTTTTCTTTCTCAGGGTTTTCAAGGACTGAGAATGCACATATGGATAGAACAAATCTAGAAATTCAAGCTACTTCTATTGCTAAACAAGTATAGAGTTTCATATAAATATAATTCATAAAAGGTATAAACGGCAAGAGTTTCTACCCAAAGATTTTGTGAAACACCTGGCATTCTAGCTACAGCAGCAAATTATGGCATCCCTTAGCCCCTCAGAGACCTCTGTCCTCAGCAGATGTGACCGCCTTCTTGGATCTCAGCAGTGCAAGGGTTCAGTGTGCCAGCATCTCTACATCTGAGGTCTTGCTGTCTTCTGCAGGCCTTCCAGCTGCTTTGAGAGAGAAGTGACCAAAGTATTCTCACTTTTGAAGGGAGTGAAATAAAACCTGGACAAACCAGGTTCTCAAATTAAAATTCATGGATCTTCCTATTTTCCCAAGAAGAGCCTGTTTTTTTTCGTATACTCCATTGAAGCCATTGCTGGTGGACAATTTTCATAGCATTTTCTTCTCTTTTGTTTTGAAAGGCATTGATTAGTAAGTAGGACATTTCTGTTCAGCAATTGCCCTTTGAAGTTTTATTCAAACACAGAATTTACTGTAAAACAGACCAGTCTTTATTCTTTCTTTTAGTGAAAATTATAAACTCTTTTTATATATATATATATATATATATATTTTTATTATACTTTAAGTTCTAGGGTACATGTGCATAACGTGCAGGTTTGTTACATATGTATACACGTGCCATGTTGGTGTGCTGCACCCATTAACTCATCATTTACATTAGGTATATCTCCTAACACTATCCCTCCCCCCTCCCCCCACCCCACAACAGGACCCGGTGTGTGATATTCCCCTTCCTGTGTCCAAGTGTTCTCATTGTTCAATTCCCACCTATGAGTGAGAACGTGCAGTGTTTGGTTTTTTGTCCTTGCAATAGTTTGCTGAGAATGATGGTTTCCAGCTTCATCCGTGTCCCTACAAAGGACATGAACTCATCATTTTTTATGGCTGCATAGTATTCCATGGTGTATATGTGCCACATTTTCTTAATCCAGTCTATCATTGTTGGACATTTGGATTGGTTCCAAGTCTTTGCTATTGTGAATGGTGCCGCAATAAGCATACGTGTGTGCATGTGTCTTTATAGCAGCATGATGCAAATCGTAAACTCTTAAGCATATACACAATCATATTTCTGGACCTTGAATCTACCCAGGCACCCCTGTGTGAAGTTAATTCTTAGGGATTGGTGAACTACTTTTAACGAGAGTTAAAAAATGACATTGGGGATAACATATGGGGTATATACTATATGGATGTTACTTGGTTTAGGCATTTTACTTAATGATTGGGTGGCAGTGGTTCCTGATAATGGAAAGGGATTTAAAAAATACATGGAAAGATTATATTTGAGCCATATGAAACTGGTGATCCTTGACCATTTTTGACCTACAAAAATAAATATTTAATGTAATACAACCTAATATGTTAAGGTTTGTTCATAAAACAATACAGTCTATATTATGTCAAATATAAAATTGACATTGGAATAGTGGCACAGTACACTTAAGAAGATAAACTCGAAACTGTTTTAAATACAGCTATAAAACGCTGTAATAAACCAGTCGTTGATGACATAATTACATTATTTTGTACCCAGTAATTAAATAGAAGCCTTATAATTATGGTAACTGATATAAATGAATGTATTTATATTAGTTTACCATAAGCCTTGGAGTCAATAACATTTTATGAAACAACTCTTAACTGTGTTCTACGAGTCAGAGGCAAACTGTGTAGAGGAGGTTTAGGAACGCTTCCTTTATCTCACCGGAGACTATACATTTGTCATACTCAGTTCAGGCTGCTCTAACAAAGTACCATGTACCGGGTGGCTTATAAACTACAGAAATTTATTTCTCACAGTTCTGGAAGCTGGTAATCTGAAGTCAGGGTGCCCACATGCTTCAGCTCTGATGAGGGTCCTCTTTAAAATTGCAGACTAGGACTTCTTGTATCATCATGTGGCAGAAATGGAGCAGGTTAGCTCTCCGGCTTCTTCTTAGAAGGGCACTAATCCCATTCATGAGGCTCCCCCTTCATGACCTATTTTCCTCCTAAATATCCCATCTCCAAATACCAGCACATTGAGATGAGAGTCTCAACATAAATTTTGGGGAACACAGACATTTAGTCCACTGCAATATTTCAATGAGAAATACTGTAAGAAAATTAAAACTACCCTGCACGTGAATAAAAAGTGCTAACATGTAAAATTAATGAAATATGGCTGATAATAATTTGGGTTGACTGTTATAATGAGAACTCCAAGAAATACATGAAATATTTTTGTTTTGAAAAGGTTCTGGCTAATGTCCAAGAGTAACCCCTCCCCTGTTTATATTTTGGTCCCAGGTACAGTAATAATTTACAACTCTGAATTATCCAAAACAGTGAATGCTCTTCTTCAGTCTGTGTGCATCTCATAGACAGTCTTATTAATAAAGGAACTAATTAGTAGCTCATGGCATGGTGCAGCATAAACATAAGGAGACACCTAACAGGCTCACTAATCTAGGGGTAAATCGCATCCTGTGGGAGGCAAGAAAATGCAAAAATCATAGAATGACTGCATCTTCACTCAAGAGAAAAAATGGATTTCCCCTCTGTCAATCCCAGGGTGCCAGATTGAAACTCCCCAACCCCTTCAAAGATAAATGTCTTAAAATGCTTGATTATTTCATTATTAGAGATTTTCCCTCTGGATGCTGCAGTTTTTGTTTTTATTTTTTCAATGGAAGAGTTATACTTTAGCACTTATGAGAAATCTTTATTTTAATCACTGGAGAGTGGTCATTTAGAATTGTTTCCGTGGCCGGGTGGGGTGATTCACACCTGTAGTCCCAGCACTTTGGGAGACCGAGGTGGGCAGGTCACTTAAGGTCAGGAGTTTAAGACCAGCCTGGCTAACATGGTGAAACCCCTTCTCTACTAAAAATACAAAAATTAGCCAGGTGTGGTGGTGTACACCTGTAATCCCAGCTACTGGAGAGGCTGAGGCAGGAGAATCACTTGAACCTGGGAGATGGATGTTGCAGTGAGCTGAGATCATGGCACTGCACTCCAGCCTGGGTGACACAGCGAGACTCCATCTCAAGAAAAAAACAAAACAAGAATTGTTTCCCCTTGGAGTTCTGCGTGATGGGATTTGAGCTGTATCAGTTGTCTCAGTGTTTTCCTTGCAATATTTCTGAGGAACGTAACAAACCTTCCTAGTAGCCTACAGTGTGTTCTCCCTCCATCATATCCAGTCGCCAGACTCGGCCATCCCACATCCCAGTCCCTAGTGCCACTTAGGACTGCAGGTTACCAGCACTTTTCTTAGCTGGCGTGCTGACTTCCAGGATTCTTGCCCACCTCATTTCCTACTGCTCCATCAATTCTCTGTACTCTGCTCTGTGAGACTGTCCTCAAATCCAAATGGGATTCTGTTGTTTCCAATCCCTTAAACATGTCTGTAAATTCCTCCACAACATCGTCTCCACTCCCTGCCACCTTCTTGGTCCTGACCTTTCCTTCATTCTAGGCATTTGCTTATTCAGGATCCTCTTTCACGAACACTGTCCCTGAGAGCACTCCCAATTGCCTGCACCTGTATAGTCCCTGTTTGTAAAGCTTCTGCTTAGATGCTGCTTCCTCCAAGTTACCTTCCTAGACCTGGAAAATCTGAGTGTCCCTGGTACCTTTACCCCCCTCCTCCTAGAGCACTAACTGCACTATATTTCATTGTCTTTTTGCTTTTCTGCCATCCTCTGAAGTCTGCAAATATCACTATTTTATTCCCAGGGCCTAGCACACTGCCTAGCTCAGAGTAGTCACTGAATGTAGGCTTGTTGAATGAGCAAATGAATGAATGAGTGAATAAGAACAGGCATAGAAAATACACAATGGTGCTTTGAGCAGAGCTTCTATTTTTGAAGAGATTACAGTCTGCTTTACTTTCTGTTTATTGGATGATTATGTGGAATAATAAAAAGAGTAACTTTTTAATTAGACCTGGCTTTACAATTTGCCAGCCCTGTCAATTTGAGCAATTTATCCAATCTTCCTGAATCTCAAAATATAAATCAGTACAGGGATAAAAGATGTCCTCCTGGTGGGGTTCTTGTGAGCACTAAGGTAAGCAATGTTAAACATGTGCCATAATAGGCGCTCAAAGATGCTGGCTCCTCTCCTCTCCAACGCACAGCTCTGCTTCCACTTAACTCACACCCTTGCTCACCAAGTCAGTGAGCTTGAGATGCTCCTCCATCATTTATGTGACCATGAGCCTACATAATTTTAAAAATCATATGAAGAAAAAATTAAGATAATTTATATTTATTAAAAACAATGTACATGCATATAATATATTAAAATTACTTGTATATATCAATAACTTATAAATGTTTAAAGCATTGTATGTCAAATATCCTATCCTACTGAACAGGTTAAGTAAACTTAAAATTAGATTTCAAGTCCAGGTGTGGTGGCTCATGCCTGTAATCTCAGCATTTTGGAAGGCCAAGGTGTGTGGACCACCTGAGGTCAGGAGTTCAAGACCAGCTTGGCCAACATGGTGAAACCCCATCTCTACTGAAATTACAAAAATTAGCCGGGTGTGGTGGCACGCGCCTGTAATCCCAGCTACTCGAGAAATGGAGGCAGGAGAATCGCTTGAACCTGGGAGGTGGAGGTTGCAGTGAGCTGAGATTATGCCATTGCACTCCAGCCTGGGCAACAGAGTAAGACTTGGTCCCTACCCCGCCTCCCCCTCACCAAAAAAAAAGATTTCAATAGGCAGAGCTAGGTTCTATGATGTAGGGTTCAAATTTTAGGCTGCTACTTAATTTTACAGTGCATTATTTTAAATATCATTGCAACTAAAAAATACTCTTACAATTTTATATTTTCAATGGAAATAAAATATATAAATTGGAGTTGTATTTTTATACATGGTAACTAATGATATAAATTTTAGTCTACATTTTTTCTCTAAATAATGATAGTAACTATCTGCTTTATTTCACTATGTAATGAATTAAGAGACGTGCAGAAAAAAAGATAGAACTTCTTCATTACTATTATTTTTCCAGTGAAAGTATATACCCTAAACCAGGACACAACAGAGTGTACTGAGATAGCTTTATTTCCACAAAATTTACCGCCCAATGGCTAGTTGTGCATGCTTTTCTCACCGGCTGGATTGTGGCTAATCATGGCCAAGTGTTTTGATGCTGTTGGTTTGGCTCTTAAATGAAACTGGATCCTGACAACAAAGTTCAAGAATTATTGTCGGCTTCTCTGCATAACTTAGAAGCATCTCCAAAGGCATATGTACTATTGCCCTGGCAGACATATATACACGAGTGCAGTGTAACACCTCTATTCTCCATGCTTGGCAAGTTAATGTGGATGTTCATTTTTATAGCCGCTAACTTATTAGCTGTGGATTACGTTGTCACTTTGTGTGTTACATTTCCAAGCATAAGAAGTGTGAGTGAGTTCTAAGACATGTGAAATGAAGGATCAGCTCGCAAAAGCTGGTCTTGAAGGCAACAGAGAGTAGGGATAAAGACTTCATCATGCAGTTCATAGAGCCTGCCAATTTCTTGATTGACAGCTCTCTGTATGGCAAGTCTTGAGGGATTGGGTATTTAAATCTTAATTACAAAAAAGTGTTACAGAATACTAAAAATCATTCAAGGAAACTGGAAAGCTTATAGCGTAGCATTCCTCTATTAATCTCTTATACAGAGTAGATTTGATTGACAAGATCCATACAAATAGTGTAAAGGAATTTAGAAAATCAGTACAAAACTGAAGGGAAAATTTAAAACTATGTGCCATAAACGTGTCCTATTTTATAAATTAAATTGCTCCACAATCATGTATGCAAAAATAAAACAGATTAAAACATACTTTGTTTTAAGATGTAATTCTAGCTGGCCTAATAACTAAAATCTCATTAATAAGACTTAAACAAATAAAATTACAATATAAACAGCTGCTTTGCTTAGAAAAAAAAATCACAAGAACTTAATAAAGAAAAAAAGACTTTGATTTCAACAGATAGAAATAAACCAACTACAAGGAAAAGTCATTATAATAAAATTGAGCAACATTCAAGGACACATCCTTGCATATCCATGTCATTCTTTTGCTAATTCATTAACTTAATTTGTTAACTCAACAGACACTAATTAAGAGACCTTAATTTAGGAGACCTAAAGTAAGAGTCCAAGCCATTGCCAAGTGCAGAGAATAGGGAGATAACAATGTCAGGGTCATAGTCCAGTGGAAAAATACTCATGAAAACAGGTCATAGCAATAGAATGTCATTGAAGTATGAGTTAAAAGTCTGGATACTTTTTTTCTCTCACATCCCTGTATCCAGTCTCCATCCTTCTCACCTTTGTGCTTTTCCTCGGGGAGGCTGATTTATATGACTGTATCAGTGGGTTCTTGTATTAGTCAGAGTTCTCTAGAGAAATAGAACCAATAGGATATGCAGTTGACCCCTGAATGCGGGGATTAGGGGCACTGACTCTCTGTACCGTCAAAAATCCATGTATAACTTTTGACTCCCCAAAACCTTAACTAATAGCCTACTGTTGACTGGAAGACTTAACATAAACAGTCAATTAACACATGTTGTGTATTATATGTATTATATACTGTATTCTTATGATAAAGTAAGCCAGAGAAATGGAAATGTTATTAAGAAAATCGTAAGGAAGAGAAAACGGACTTACTATTCATTAAGTGGAAGTGGATCATCATAAAGGTCTTCATCCTTGTTGCCTTCATGTTGAGTAGGCTGAAGAGGAAAAGGAAGAAGAAGAGCTGGTCTTGCTGTCTCAGAGGTGACAGAGGCAGAAGAAGAGGTGGAGGAGGTAGAAGAAAAGGCAGGAAGGCAGACAAACTCAGAGTAACTTTTACGGAAAAAACCAATGTATAATCTCTCTCTCTCTCATATATAAATATATGTGTGTGTGTGTATATATATATGTGTGTGTGTGTGTGTGTGTGTACATATATATATGCACACACATACACAAAGGCCTGAGAACTCTGAGAGTAAGTCCTAGTCCAAGTTCTGAAGACCTAAGAACCAGGAGTGCAATGGCCAAGGGCAAGAGAAGATGCAAGTCCCAGCTCAAGCAGAAAGCAGATTCTTCCTTCCTCTGCCTTTTTGTTCTAATGTGGCCATCAACAGACTGGATGATGCCCAGCTGCGTTGGTGAAGGTGACCTTTTCTATTCGGTTTGCTGATTCAAAGACTCATCGCCTCCAGAAACATTCTTATTCTGTTTCTGGTAAAACAGTGAGAAATAATGTTTTACCAGCTATGTGGGCCTCCTTTAGCCCGGTCAAGTTGACACATAAAATTAAACATCACGATTTCTTTGCCCTTTGGCTTCTAGTTGGGTTCAGCCAATGGGGACCCTGGTAGCAGATAAAAGGAAAGGAAAAGTGTGAGGTGGGATACTGAGTGTGTCCTCAGCTTCTTCCACAACCTATATCTGTTCCTCAGAAGTCACAATGCCTTTCTAGTAATGTCCTTCAACTACCCATTGGAACGTGCAGTGTGTTTCCTGCAAGGCTCTGAGTGATACATTGTGGGAGCATTAAATCCTGCAGGGATTCCAGAAAGACTTCACAGAGGAAGTAGCACTCGAGCTGGGTCCTTTTGGAGGAGTAGGAGTTCCTGAGGGCACAGGGGAGAAGCTCCCGGGGCTTGAGCAGAGGGCAAGTAGATGAAAGGAAGGAAAAAACTAAGATGATTTTGGGTGTGGATTGGAAGAGCTGTTTGGACTTACTATAAAGAATATATGCAATAGGGTATTTTGGTGAATTTTTAAGCAGAAGGTTACTGACAATAGTAAAAAGTGGTGTTTCTCAAATATAATTATTATGTTAACCCTTTCAATGAAAATATTTTTTGCAGACATTTTCAGGATTGACTTAAATTGTTTTTATTGTAATGTGTATCCTGTATGTGTCAGTTTTAACTAGTTATATATAAATTCATTTTCCTTATAATTTTTACACAACTGAAGAACCAAAATTAACTTACATAAAAGATAAAAACAAAACCACATAAACTCTAAAATCCAAATTAATGTTAACTTAATGCAAAGGATGATGTTTTGCTGAAATAAATGTGTGAAAAAATGATTGAGTTCATTATTCATAAAGGAGTTTAACATGCCTGTAATACCTTGTGTTTTAGGGTGATTCACTTCTTCCACGTCTTTTCACGGCTGTAACTTTTGTGTGTCTTCCATCTGTACAATGTGCTGTGATGTCATTTGACCTTCATTTAATTTATTGTCTCCCTCAAAAGTTAGCTGCTTAAACAACGACTATATTATGCTTATGGATTCTGTGAGTCAGGAATTCAGACTGAGTGTAGTGGGAATGGCTTGTCTTTGCTCCATGATATCTGGGGCTCAGCTGGGAAGACAGGTGCTTTGATCCTGACTGTCACTGGGGACCTCAGCTGCCACTGTTGCAGAAGCCTCTACACTTGCCTTTCCATGCAGCATCAGCTTCCTCAGCATCGTACCCTCAGGGTAGCCAGACTTGGCTCCCAAATGTCCCAGCTCACAAAGTAGAACTCGCCTCATGTCTTCCATCCTTGCTTCAGAAGTCACGGGATGTCACTTCTGCTGTATTCTACTGGTTACAGTGAGCCACAACTCAACCCAGATTTAGAGTGAGGGGGCATGGACTCCACCTCTCAGTTTCTTGATGAGAAAATGGTCAAACGCTTTTTTGCTACTTTTTAAAGCTATCATAGTCTGTGATAATTTATCTTGTTAGACACAAATACAGATTTAGGACACTAAAAAGCATCTTCTTTTTTGTAATGTGGTGACCATGTGAATGACCCAGATGCTTATACTTATTAACAGTATCATAGTTGATTTTTTCCTTAAACTTTAAAAATGGTAATTAAGACCGAAAGCTGAGGACAAATGTGGTGGTAAGTATTTCCCAGTTAAAAGGGCTCATCATTAGGCATTAAGTACACCATTTACGACATAAGAGGAACAAAATGACAGCTTTCTCCTTTCTCATGGAAGAGAGAGAACAATGAGGTCTGCATGGAGAAACATACCGTGCTTGTTACTCTGCAAACCTCACTGCATGGTCACATGACCAAGGTGGCACTCTGCCATCTGGACATCTATCTCCTTCACCAGCCAGTTGCAAACCACTCATTCTGGCCAAGGGCCAATATTGAACAGCACTTGCAAATCACTTCAAATCCCCTCAGTCTACCTCTTCAGCCACTGTCGTGGTGAACAGTTCCACACAGACTTAGCAGCTTCCCTCAGGTACCACTGGACAGCAGCTTTCCTTGAGACAGCTTTCCTCCCATGTGCCTCTTTCTTCCTGTCCCACACTTCTCAGGTGCCATGGCTTTGGGTTCCAGTGAGGACCAGCTTGGCACTCATGCATGCACAGCCTGGAGGTGTGGGGAAATGGATGCCTACAAAGCCATCTATGATGCAGGAGGTGGAAACTGATGAATCAATGCTTCCCCTTTTCATTACGTGGCAGCATTCTAAGATATATTTCAGAAGAATCCGGAAAAGGTCCTGTGGATTGAACATCAGTCACCCATAATGGCAGCCAGTTTGTAAACACATCCTTTGATTGATTCTCCCTTTTTCTTGTTTCACTCTCCCAGGTCCTAACCCCTGCACTCTGGACTCATTTCCCAGATAAACTACCCACATGCAAGCCTTTATTTCAGGGTCTTCTTTCTGAGATCCAGAGTACGCTAAAGTCCATGGAGCTGCTGGTGGGAATTCATATTATAGGTGCCCAAGGAACAGTGCTCCAACTCAAGGCCAGCAGTCAGGGGAAAGAGAGGGCACCAGGAAAGCTAGGCTGGGGCTCCTGTGACCTTAAGGCCCCAGTCTCTGTGTTCACCTGTATTGCATATCTGTCTGTTTCTGGCTGATGTGCTCATTAGTGGCATGGAAACTAGACAAGGCGGCTACTCTGTAAGGCATAAATGTGTTCTGTAAACTAGAACTTCAATATGATTTAAAATACTTAATGTGTGTGGTAATTCCCTTCCAAGGTGGACTCTAATGGTTCTTGTCTTCTCAAAGTCATGCCCTACAGTCCCCTTCCACAGTGGACAAGGCTCACTGGGTAATCAGTAGGATATTGCAGAAACAATATTGAGTGGTCTATTCAAGACTAGGTCATGAAGGATACTGTAGCCTCCACCTTGCTCTCTCGAATCCCTTGCTCTGGAAAAACCAGCTGCTAAATCACAAGAACATTCAAGAAACCCTGTGGAGATGTCCATGTGGCAAAAAACCAAGGCCTCCTGCCCACAGCCAGCAACAACCCACCAGCTGTGTTAGTTTCCTATTGCTACTATAATGAATTACCACAAACTCAGTGGCTTAAAACAGCACAAATTTATTATCTTACAGTTTTGGGGATCAGAAGTCTAAAATCAGTCTCACCAGGCTAGTCAAGGGGTTGGCAGGGCTTCTGGAGACTCTGAAGGGAGAATGTGTTTTCTTGCCTTTTTCAGCTGTTTGAGGCCACCTTCATTTCTTCCCTTGTATCACTCCAACCTTTTGCTTCTGCCTTCACATCTTCTACTACTCACCCTACTCCTCTTGCTTCCCTCTTAAAAGGATCCCCATGATTACATTGGGCCCACATGGATAGTCCAGGATAATCTTCCACCTCAATATCTTAATATAATCACACCTCAAGATCTTAATGTAATCACACCTGCAAAAACCCTTTTAACATATTAACAAATTTTGGGGATTAGGACAGGGACGTCTTTAGTGTGGCCGTTATTCAGTCTACCACACCAACTGTGAGAGTGAGCTACCTTGGAGGCAGACCTACCATCACCACCCAAGCCATCAGATGATCTGCAACCTCTGCTGACAACTGAACTGCAAAAATGCCCAGCTAAGCCATTCCTAAAGTCCTGATCCACAGAAACTTTGTGAGATGATACAAAGTTTGTATTATTTTGTTGTTTGTTATAATAGTTTGTTTAATTATTTTGTTTTTTATGATTGTCATAAGCCGTTAAATTGTGGGATGACTTGTTACCCAGCAATAGATAATACAAAATGGAAAAGTTTATTAATATTTAAAAGTCTATTTACATTTTCATAGGAAATTTTAATACTAGATTTATTAAGGAGGAAATGACTTTTAGATTCTTTAGATTCTCAGATTCTATATTATAATTTTAGCTGTTGGAAATATTTGATTAGTTGTAAATAAATGAATTTACATTTTTACCTACTTAAAAGAATAAAGTTTTTATTGATGCCAAATTCCGAAAAATATAAAAAGAGATTTAAAAATCTTATTCTGGGCCTGGCATAGTGGTTTACACCTGCAATCCCAGTGCTTTGGGACACCAAAGAGGGAGAATCCCTTAAGGCCAGGAGTTCAAGACCATTCTAGGAAACATAGTGAGACCCCATCCCCCCAAAAAATTTTTTGTTTAAAGTTAGCTAGGCATGGTGGTACATACCTGTAGTCCCAGGTATTCACAAGGCTGAGGTGGGAGGATTACTTGAGCTGGGGAGTTCAAGGCTGCAATGAGCTATGAGTGCACCTTTGCTCCCTAGCCTGGGCAACTGAGTGAGACTGTCTTAGAAAAAAAAAATAAAAATCTTATTCTGGGCTGATGGAGGGCAGTGAGCGAGAACAGGGAGTGACTGCTAATGACTATGGGTTTTCTTTTGGGAATGGTGAAAATGTCCTAAAATTAGATTGTGGTTAGGGCTACATAACTCTGTGTTATCAAACTCATATTAAAAACCACTAAATTGCACAATGGACAAATTATATGACATATGAATTATATCTCAACAAAGCTGTTAAAAAATCTTATTCAGGCATAACTAATCTGAAGTTAGAAGTCAGGATAATGGTTTCCCTGTGGAGGGGAGAAGTGACTAAGGAGGCACCACGTGGGCTCTGATGAGAGTTTTATTTTATTTTATTTATTTTATTTTTGAGACACAGTCTCGCTCTGTCACACAGGCTGGAGGCTGGAGTGCAGTGGCATGATCTCAGCTCCCTGGAACCTCCGCCTCCCAGGTTCAAGCGATTTTCATGCCTCAGCTTCCCAAGTAGCTGGGATTACAGGCACATGCCTCCATGCCCAGCTAGAGAGTTTTATAAAATATCTGGCTTCTGGCAACATGGATGTATTCATTCTGTGAAAATTATTAGGTACTTATACTTTGCCTCCTCTTCTGTATGATTATTATACTTCAATAAGTTTTACCTTTAAAAAATACACAAAAAAGCTGAAATGGCATTATGCAAATCCTAGTTCTCAGTGATGTGTATAGGAGTACATAATAATCATTGTTCTATCAAACAATGAAGGACATGCATAGAAATGAAAATTGTGACAAGAACGATGACCTTCAGAGTAGGTTTACTCACCATTCCTGTATGCACATTATTCTTTCCTTACAAAATAATTTATTTTTAAAACATGAGTATATTAATGTAGTATTTATAGAAACTTATCATTCTAATAGTTATTATTAGAAAAGCCATGTTTAGAAAGTACATGGAGGCACTTCATTTCAAAAATCTGATACAAAGATTCTGTTCAAAGAAGCAAGCTCCCTTCATTTCTTACTGAATATTTTGAAAAAATTTCATTTGGAAGTTTTACAAAAATTCAATATTTAGTATCCTTTCTCATGCATTGTATTATGTTTTATCATAATATAATGGCATAATATAAAAATAATGTAATAAATTTTGTACCAGTCCCCAGAAAACCTTTAGGTTCATTCATGATGTGCCCATGACTAATATCATTTTATATGTTTATGATATATTGAGAAATCTCTAGGACACAGTTTTCAAAATGTAGATGTCAAGAACTATGAAGTATCTGAGATTTAATCTTACTGCAAACTAGTAGGTCAGCCTGGCACAGTCACAGATGCTGGCAGAAGCCATGAGATTCCTGTACAGGGACAACAGTCTATTATTCACAACCATAGCAGTAGCCAGAGTACCATCAATTTTGCACTAAGTTCATGAAAGTACATTTCCCACATAGCAACATGAAAAGTATCAGGTGATATCTCCACATGCAATGGACTGTGTTATAGGAGAGGAACCCCAAGCTTTGGGAAACAGAATCTTTTATAACGGGTATTATAGTCTTTTTTTTAATAAACTTTGTCACGCAGGGAGACATTATCTTTATTTTTATTTGACAGTAAACAAACCCGCCCTTTGCTCTGGAGGTAAGCATTGTCTACATTCCCAAGGTTGTTCACTGTATAAACATCCTTGAAAAGATAGTCTCCATCAAAAACAGTGAGCGCCTATGCTGAAAGGAGTACAGAAACATGAGAGATTAATGGAGAATTGTCTCCCAACAGTTGCTGGGGAGTTCCAAAGGTCCCTGAGACCTTTACAAGGGGAACCTATTAGGCCAAAACTTTTATGATTATGCTAAAATATTATTTTCAGTTTTCACTTTCATTCTCTCATGAATTTACAGTGGAGATTTTTAGAGGCTTACATGAAATGAGATGATGGCTACGTTTTTAAAATTTCTGTTCTAATTGCTAACACAGTAGATCTCAATAGACATGGCACACATAAACAAAAGCTCTTTGAGATCTTCAGTATTTCTTAGGATGGCAAAGGAGTCCTGAGACCAAAAAGTTTGAGAACTGCTGCCTCAAGACAATCAACAAAGAGAGAAGACCTTGGAGTGCTGTTTGTATGAGACTCTCTGAGTAGGAAGGGGCCCCTGAGACAATTGTTTCCAGAGATTGAGGGTACTCCAAAGGGAAGAAGAAGGGGAGGTCAATATTTCTTTCCTGAGCACACGCCTGCTTATGTAGTTGATTGCTGAACTGCTACTATGCTAATCTGAGCAGAAAGAGCAGAAATTCGAAGAGAAATGACAGGGTGGTGTGAAGAGCCAACAATGCAATTGTGGGCACTCCTGCCCATTGGTGTGGGAAGGTTGCATGATTTTCCTGAGCCACTCAAATGCTTTATGCAATAATCAAGCTTCAGTCTTCTTGCCAGCACCCCTTTCCCAAAGGGCTGTCCTCTGGATGAAGCTGCAAGAGACTGTGGGTAGGTCACTGGGGAAAGGAGATGAGAGCCATGGACATTCTAGTAAATGCTAGTATATGTTTAACTGACTTTCCAAGAGAAAAAAAGAAAGTAAACCAGAGTTGTAATTTTTGCTAATTTCTGTAGTGTAAATTTTCTCACCGTGGTCGATTTCAAGCTACCAATGGATTAACAACCAGCTCACAAAATTCCTGAAAATTTAACAATTGGCTGATAGGAGCCAGCTTTAGTGTACAACTGGATAAAGAGATTGGAATAAGTGAAACCGGGACAGATATCCTATACCCAAAACAATGCGGTGAGTGGGTTCTCCCACAAGAACACACTGTGCCCCAAAGTGATTTTGCACTGTGTCCCCCTAAAGAGCTAGTGTCTGGACTGCTACCACATCAAGAAAGTGTAGCCCAAAGAGAACCATGTGACAGCACTTATTAAGCAGGACTCAATTATCCCTTTACATAACTCCTATTCCTCCACCCACCCAGTCACCTAGACAGTGGGGACATCAAAAGAAAGTGAGGACCACACCTTTTCTGTCCTTCAGGTTTCAGGCCATGGGTCAAGCAGCATGAGCTCTGGGCAGAGGAGGGAACTCTATGAGAATGATGTTTTAACTGGATTAAAATAAATTAGGCTGGAAGTAACCTAAAAGTAACTGATAAGGAAGGTTTATCCTAGCACAACTGAATGCAGCAAATTGGAGGAGAAAAAAAAAACGGTTTTAGGTTTGAACCTCTTCCCAGTTCAAACTGTTTGATAAACTAATTATGTGCATGTTTTATTGATTTTAAGTTCATCATTGAAATAAACACACGAACCAAAAAAAAAAAAAATCTCCTAGATAACAGAGAGAAAGACACTCTAAATAGACTGAAATGGAGAGGTAAGTTGTGGAAAAGAACTGTGGGACTGGCTGAGGCACGAGAGGCAGGTTCTTACTGTGTCCTGGGTCAGGTGCTATGGAGACAAATTTTCAGGCATGGCCATCAAAGTTTTGGTACTTTGGAATCAGGGAATCCCACTTTTCTAACATAGGCAATAAGTAATGTGAAGAGGCCAGCACACAGAGCAAAGGCTCAATATATGGTCTTCAGGGCCTTAATTGTTCCACTTATTATGTTTCTAAGATTTACCTGTACTCAGCTGTGTATAGCTGTAGTCCACTCATTTCCCTGATGTGTCCTCTATTGGGTGAATATATTACGATTATCTGTCTATTCTTTTTTTTTTTAGACAGAGTTTCGCTCTTGTTGACCAGGCTGGAGTGCAATGGCACGATCTCGCCTCACCGCCACCTCTGCCTCCCAGGTTCAAGTGATTCTCCTGCCTCAGCCTCCAGCTAGGATTACAGGCATGCACCACCACACCCGGCTAATTTTGTATTTTTAGTAGAGACAGGGTTTCTCCATGTTGGTCAGGCTGGTCTCAAACCTCAGGTGATCCGCCCACCTCAGCCTCCTAAAGTGCTGGGATTACAGGCATGACCACCGCCCCAGCCCTGTCTATTCTTTAGTTGATGGATATTTGTATTGGTTTCAGTTTTGTGTTATAATTGTGCATACTACTGTGAATATTGTTGTGGTATATATGTCAGGGAAACTATGAAGAAGAAGATAGGTATTTAAAATGTTTTAATTCTGAAGTTGGTGGTGGACTTCGTAAGGGTTTATTTTATTGGTATGCTTTGTAGTTTTTATATATAAACACCCGTGGTCAGGAGTTTGAGACCAGCCTGACAAATATGGTGAAACCACATCTCTACTAATAATACAAAAATTAGCCGGGCTTGGTGGTGGGTGCCTGTAGTCCTAGGTACTAGGGAGGCTGAGGCAGGAGAATTGCTTGAACCTGGGAGGTGGAGGTTGCAGTGAGCCGAGATCATACCACTGCCCCCCAGCCTGGTGACAGGGCGAGACTCCACTTCAAAAAAAAAAAAAGTATGTTATTTTGTATGTATCCAATACTACATTTTAAAAGATAATAAAATAGTGCTATGGAGAAAATAAGTAGAAAGGCAGAAAACAAAATATGATATTATTTATATAAAGCTCTAAAACAAGCAAAACAATGTTATTATCACTAGCTTAGTACATTTCACATGATAAAACATATTCATCAGCTTTAACTTAGTTTATTGTCCAGACAGGACTCTTCCAACTTCAGCCTCAATGTAAATTATGTCTTCTAAATTGAGGACAAACAGCTAGAATCTACGGTCTACCTTAAAGTCTACATTTTTACGAAGTATCATACAAGGATTCCATGCTTATTTGCCATCTTCCTATGGTAGAGTTTTGGAAAGCTTAAGTTCCAGAAATAAGTATAAAGATTAACTCTTCCCTTTCCTTTTTTCTCAGGATGTTAGTTATACATGTTAGTTATATGACATATCATAATTTTTGTTATAAAAGAAATACATTTTCATTACAGTAAATTTGGAAAAGTATAAGGAAGGAAAAATCACCCACATCCCAACCATCTTAACCCGTGTTCATGGGATTCTTTCTAGTCTTGTTTCTATGAGTGTATTTATACACGTACCTGTGTGTGTATATACATGTGTATTTTAACGAAGATTGGGGATGCTCTACATACACTGGTTACATGGTCTGCTGTTTACTTAACTTGAATACTTTCCATTTACAAAGATTCTTTGAAAGCATAGTTTTCTTTTTTGTTTCGTTTTTGTTGTTGATTGTTTTTTAGATACATGATCTCACTATTTTGCTCAGGCTGGTCTTGATTGAGTTCAAGTGATCCTCTTTCCTTGGCCTCCCAAAGTGCTAGGCTTACAGGTGTGAGCCACCATGACTGGCTGAAAGCATAGTTTTTAATTGCTGCCAAGTACTTAATTGTATATAACATTTATAAATCCTCTTCAATAGTGATTTTAGTTACGTTTTTGTTATTTTGTTTTTAAATGCGTAATCACTTTGACAATCACATGGCGAAGACTAAGGTAGTAGTCAGGACTACAACTCTGAATCCAATGTTTATTTAACTATTATAAATACTTGACGCTAGGTATGATGCTTGTTTGTCCTGTTTAGTCACTAAAGATGGTCCCTTAACAAACCACACTTACATTCATAGCCTTGGGTCATCTTCTCCCACAGTGAATCTGGGCTTGTCCTGTGTAGTCAATATAATTCAGTGGAACGGAGGCTGCATGACTTTGGGCTAGGTTGTAAGAAGCCTTGCAGCTTCTGGCTTGGTCTCTGTGCTCCAGAAAAACTTGGAAGACATCTGACTACCTGAGATTGCCTTGCTTAGGGAAGCCGAAGTTGGCCAGGTGCATAGGCCATATGCACAGAGAGAGAGAGAGAGAAAGAAATGGTCTAGACAGCTCCAGATGTTCCTAGCCATCCCAGCTGCGGGCACACAAAACAACTTGGATGTCCAGACCAGTCAAGCCTTCATATGCCTCTAGCCCCAACCACTATATCTTTGTCACTACATGAGCAATGCCAAGTTGGAACTGTCCAGCTGAGTCCAGTCAACTCACTGAAAGAGCATAATGAATTGTAGTTTTAAGGCATTGAGTTCTGAGGCGGTTTGTTACACAGAAACAGAAAATCAAAACACTGCTTCACTTCTATGTCTTCAGCACCTGGCATGAGGCTGGTGTACTTGGTATATTGTAAACACTTGAAAAACATTTGTTACATAAGTAAATAAACTTACAAGATTACTTGCACACACAAATAATATGTGTATAATTGTGAAATTTCCTTATAATTAAAATGCTAAGAAAATAACTCACTTTCTAGTTTGTTATTTCTTGTTTTTCTCAGTTTCATTTTCCACTGGACTGACTGGGTCAATAAACATTGAGTTGGTATTTGTACAAACACAGTAGAGCCAAATGTCATAACTGGCTGAAATTTTTCCTTTCTTCAGAGAGTCCCACTTCTTTGATGATCTAGGCAATGTGTTACAGGAAGGTCCAGTGCAGAGCGAAGTCTCAGCAATTATTACCATTTCTTGTTGTTCAGACTTCTTGCTGCAGGAGCCTCAGTGTTTGCACAATCACACTGCACAACTTCCAGGGAGATTTCTGCACATCTGACGCATCACCTAAAATAAAGAACATTCTATGCCACTCAATATCAAAGTCTCTTTAGATGTTAGCTCAGGCCCTGAGATGCGCTCTGTCATGTTGGAGAGGGCACCCCTTCCACTCTGAACTTGTACCATCTTGCCCCAACCATTGAGAAATGTGGCAACCATAAGCAAACCTTAGAACTCCCACAAACAATTCCCATCAACACAAATCTCATTCCGAGGGAAAATTTTTGTAGAAATTACAAACACCAACTTGAGACTTCTATAAAAACGACATGAAACACATTGGAAATGGTAGGCCTACGTAGGTTACTGCCAAATTTCTAATTCACAAAGTGGTGTGCTCTTCTCAGGGTTGTTACGGAGGCCTGGCCACTTGCTGTGTACAATGGGAGATTCCTGGAGAGGCTCTTTCTCACTTTAACTTTTTTTCTAACTAATCTAATTCTGATTTCAGCTTTCAACATTTCAGTACTTAGATTATTCACTTTAAACGGGCAACCCATGGGCTCTTTTCTCTGTTCTCCCAGAAACTGTGGGAGCTGAGTGGCTTTCCATAATATGCGCTACTTGGTCTCACCCTGAAGCAGAGAAGACTTTGCCTTGTACAACTTCAAAAGGCCCTTTGATAAGTTATGTTTGGCTTCTTACTTAAATATAGAGCAATCCAGCTTATTATCACTTCCAGTTTGTTTTTAAAATAAATTCTTTCTTTATCACACCCTCAAATCCATCTAAAGAATGTTTAAGTTCTGTTTAAACAATTAAGAAAAGCCACCCAAGGTATTAGCTGCAACAAGGGTGAGACTTGTGGTGTGATGCAATGTCTTACAGTGTCCCCTCTGCTCCAGAGTCTTGTCCCTTAGTCTTAAAATTCAGAATATTCAGTTATCTGGCCACCTATGGGGTCTTACTGCATGCATGAGCCAGATCATGACAGGCTAATTCTGAATGGTCAAACCCAGCAGGCTCCTCGGTGAAACAATGGGCCAACCTGAATCATTTGCAATGAATGAAGAACTAGATCAAACTCCAGAGCAACTGCTGCTAATAGGGATACTCTGTCATCCACAGAATATTTATTGTTATTAAGCCTCATATTAGCGTTCCTTCATGTGTAGTTTGAGAAGTGCTGATTTAGACAAAATGGATTGAAACAACATTGTTAGTCTCCACTTTAAAGATTCAGCTGAGTGTCAGCTGCTCCAGGGAGCCTTGTCTGACCCTAGAGCAGTTTATCTCTATGACACCACTATTGTGCAATGCAGTGCTGTGGTTACATGTCTCTGTTCCCCCACTGCATTGCTTTCTCCTGTTCTCCTTGAATACACTAATCACAAGTTTGGCTTTGAAGAGTTCATGAATGGATGCATGAATGAATGAATGAATGAATGAATGAATGAATGAATGAAAGAAAGAGTGAATGCAGTGTCAGATGTGTAATATTGGAAAAGCACTGGCCACAATGGTAGCTGTAGAACTCCAGAACTTCTCCTGAGTAATAGTTATAGTATTATCCCTTTTGCAAGGTTGTTGAGGAGTAAAACAATGAGATAATCTGTATTATTTTATTTAGCAAATGTATAATTGAGTGTCTACTTGGAGCAAAATACTGTAAAAATATTCCAAAGTGCTTTAAAAATGATACTGTTTCTCTTTATTTTATAATAGAATTTGGTTGGCCAATTTCTCTAACTGTACATACACTACTAGGCAGGGTGGCTTTCCATTGTTCTCTAACATCCTGTTTTTAGATTTTCTTGCTAGGAATTCACATTTCCTCATAACTCACTTTTATTACTACTTTGTAATACTATAGCAGTATGAACGGTCCTGTAGGGAGCCTGAACTGTGAGTATTTTGATAACCTTTCTTTATGGTCATGCTTGGTTTAATTTGGACATGATTCAGGAAAAAGAAAAGAGAAAAAAAAAACAGAAAAAACAACACTGCAGATTTGTTTTTTTTTTTTTTAATAATTCAACATAATCCTTTAAGGATGCAATGCTATTTTATTTTAATTTTTTATTTTATTTTTTATTATGCTTGGTGTGTTTAATTAGAGTGGTTTGGATACAGAAAACAAGTTTGATAGAAATTTGAATTTAAGTTTGTTTGGCAATTGGATACCAAAGAGAAATGTAAGAAATATTTTCAAAATTTGAGAACATTTTGGTTCTTAAAAACTACATATTATGTAAGTTAATGTTTACATGGCTTTGAAATGGTACAGGCACTAATGTATGACTGAAAGGAAAACTTAGAGAAAAAGGCATCTTCACTTAGGAACAGCTGAATTTGGGAACTAACAAGAGCAAAGCAAATAATTCAGTAAGTTGTTGCATGGAATAAATTTACTATGGTAAAAAACACCATTTACTTTGAGAACATTCCGATATTTTTCAAAATAACTCATAACATCATTTTGTATAATGGATGAGTTTCTTTTAGTGGTCATGGTTTCATAATTTGTAAAACCTAAAAAATGTCTAACCTTCTAGTTAGTTTTCATTTTTGTACTTCTTTTAGAAGTACAAAATTCTATGCTATGACATATTAATTTGCTATGGGTTGAGTGTGCTAAATTCCAAGAGATATGGCTTCCAAAGGCACTCAGATAAGCAGGCAGAAAGGACAGAGTCATTGAATCCCAACAGTTATTTAAGTCTAATGGAGCGTATGCGATCACAGCTTGGATTGTGGTTCTGAACCAATGAAAAGGTTGAGTTTCAAAACTATGAAGTTTGAGCCTCAGACTCATTTTCATAGAAACCCTGATGTAAATGATACATAAATTCCCAATTTAATGGGTATGGTTGCTGGAAGGGTAACCCCAAATCTGAAGTTGGGGACAAGTCTCATTGGTGATGACTGTATTTGAAGGGTTGCTTGTGGTATTGAGTGAGTGGTCTCTGTGGTCCTCATGGAGCTGCACAGCCTCATGTGGAGGACCATGAAGGTTCGATACTGGAAAAGGTGTCTAAGGCAGCAGCTGCTTCAGGCAGCAGAAGGCTGCAGAGGGAGAGTTTTGGGGTCTGTTGCTAGGGTGTTGTGGTGGTTGTAGTCCAGAGACTTGGAGCAACACTGGGGAGGACTCAGATGGTATTAGAAGACATGCTTCTGGGAGATGCTGCCATGTCAGAGACAAGGCAGGTGTGACTGGTCTGCATATCCTTCATAAGTCCTGTCTCTAAGTCATGCATTTCTAGTTACTTGGCTGAGTAACAAATGACCCCAAATCTAGAGGTGCAAAACAACCTTTTATTATGTTCATGGATTCTTTGGACAGGGCACAGGGAGGGCAGCTTTTTTGTGTGAGGCCAGGAGCCATATGCAGAAGACTCAAAGGCTGGGGCTGGAATCATCTGAATGCTTGCTCACTCACATGTCTGGGGGTGCTTCTGGCTGTTGCTGAGGGTATTTCTAGGACTATTGCTGTGGACTGAATGTTCGTGTCTCCCACAGATTCATATGTTCAAATCTAATCCACAGTGGGATGGCATTTGGAGGTGGAGCCTCTGGCATATCATTAGGTCTGGAGCAAGGAACACTCATTAATGGGGTTAGTACCCTTATAAGAAGAGGTCAGAGAGCTAGCTCATCCTCTTTCCACCATCTGAGGACACAGCCAAATGTGGCTGTCTGTAAACCAGTAAGAGATCCCTCACTAAAACCTGACCCTGCTAGCACCATGATCTTGGAATTTCAGCCTCCAGAACTGTAGGAATAAATGTTTGTTGTTTGAGACACCCAGTTATGGTATTTTGTTAGAACTGTCCAAGTTAACTAAGCAGCTGTCAAGTGGAATAGCTACACATAACTCTTCCATTTGGGCTGGGCTTCCTGTCAACATGGTGGCTGATTTTCAAAGATAAGCATCTTAAACAGGGCTTGCTTTATGGATTTGTGTCCTGTGTAGTTACACAAGACTCACACACAGAAGAGGGCTCTGTGCTTGCCACTGTTTTGAAAGAAGAGGCTGCTCATTTTCATTTTCTCCTGGGTTCCACAAATTTTATCACTGGTCCAGATTATGACAGAGAGAGAGAGAGAGAGAGAGGAGAAAGATAGAGGGGGGTGGGGAGAGGAACTAGTCAGAAGCTATATTGCCTTCTTTTAATTCATCTAGGAAGTCAGGCAGCATCACGTCTACTACATTGTATTTGTTAAAAGCAAGTCATTGAGGTGCCCCATATTCAAAGGGGAGATAATAGATTCCACTGCTTGATGGAAGGATGTCAAGGTTCTGGGAGAGTATGTGGGAACATAAATATTGCTATGGCCATTTTTGGAAAATACAATCTGCCACACATGCTCTGCATATATTTCTGCAGGTGCCACCTACTGGGTTAGTTTTTATTTTGTTTCTTGTGTAATAGAGTGTTAAAATTAAAGTTAGAGACTGAGACACCAAGATAGAATTGATGTGATATTCCAAAGCCAGATCACAGTATGTGAAATTTACATTCCATGACTTGAATCCCCTCAACCACTTTCAGAATGGAAAGAGTTGACATAGAGGAGAATTTTGAAATGATTTATTTGGAAAGATCAGTTGCTCCATTCAGGTTTACCCCATGTTTAGTAAGGGAGACCTCCAAGAGTTCATTTGGAAAGTTTTGAATCACCTTCCTTGAAGTTAGGAGCAACTTAAGCTGTAAAAATTCAAAGAGAGTAATGGCAAGAAGATAAGGCATTATATTTATTTTTTATTAAAAATTTTGTATGTTATTAAAAGTTTGTATTTATCTTTTCATTTAAATTAATAGCTTTATTTTTATTAAAATTAGCATTTTTGTTTTCTTTCTTTCTTTATTTTTTGAGACAGAGTTTTTGCTCTGTTGCCCAGCCTGGGGTGTGGTGGCACGATCTCAGCTCATTGCAACTTCCTTCTCCCAGAAGCGATTGATTCTCCTGCCTCAGCCTCCCGAGTAGCTGGGATTACAAGTGAGCACCACTACTCCCAGCTAATTTTTTTTTGTATTTTTGGTAGAGATGAGGTTGTCTCCATGTTGAACAGGCTGGTCTTGAACTCCTGACCTCAAGTGATCTGCCCGCCTCGGCTTCCCAAAGTGCTGGGAATACAGGTATGAACCACTGCGCCCAGCCTAAAATTAGTGTTTTTAAAAGGTGATTTAATCAGTAAGGTATTTATTATCACCATATAAAACAGACCTAGATAGGGGCCTCCATGGTTAGGGAAATTTGTAATTTGTAGGCTCAGCAGATACAGCATAAGGGTGATAGCAGATTTGACCACATCTACAAATAATATGCATCTTTCCAAGAAGCCCAGACTGGGTACCCCTTGAGGCCCCTTGGCCATTGCCAAGCCTTCTCAGAGGTGATGGGAATGAATCCATTCAAATGGGCCCAGGACAATCCTGAATTCTCTCCAGAAAAGGGGAAGGGAGGCCAGCGAGCTGCTTTGCCTATGCACATGGAGATGACTTTCACAAATATTGAATTCAGGCAGGATGGAAAGCTTATACCTTCAGATTTCAAAGGCAAAGGAATATTTTCTGTGGACTAGCTATGTGTGGGGTGATTGGGCAAGTGAGTCAGTGTGGGTTTTTTATGAATTTGTACAAGGACCCTAGATGGTTGAAGGGCCAGAAGCCAGAAGTTGAAGTTAATATCAGATAATTAAGGGCTACAGAAGGACTCATGAGTAACCCCTGACTAACCATTCTGGTTTGCCCGGATCTCAGAAGTTTCACAAGATGTGGGCCCTTTAGGCTAAAATGGGAATATTCCTGGACAAGCTGGGATAGTTGGTCACCCTACCTACCTTGGGCCACCCATAATAGGATGCATTAACCCAGGACAGGACTGCAGGGCAGGGGCCCACCAGGGAACCTACAGGATGCCCGTGAAAGTGCCCATGAAAGAAAGACTCATCTGCAAACATTTGCCAGGCCTGGAAAGCCCGAAGCCAGTACAAGAAGGACATTTCCTGGCCCTTTACCATGTCTCTCTTCTAGCTCTGGCCTTAGCCCAGAAACTGGCTGGCAAGCTGCGGGGAGGGCATCAGAAGGGAGGAGGGAAAGCACTAGGTGAGGAATAGAGAATAAGCCATCCACAGCGGAGCAGCCAAGGAACAGGGACAGGAAAAGGTTTAGTGCTAAATCAGTTTCAGTTTCTGGTTATGTAAGATGTTCTGATTACTGAATTCCACTCACTTGTTACTAAAGGGATTGTAGGACGTTCTTGTCCTCACATACACACCCAAGAGTATCTAGAAAAGTCCTGGGATGCACGTGAATGTTCAACTGGGGCAAGGGAAGGTTAACTCCACTGAACACTTGAAGGGGAGTGCTGTGATTTCACAATGGGCCATGCTTGTTCAATATACTTCTTATACTGGAAATTTCAAAAATCCTGTTCCAACGAGAGTGACAAATGGCAGGTCAAGGAAATAACTTGTTTATTCCTCTACTTTGTGAGGATTATGCACTTTCCATGGACTGTTTAAAATTCCTCAAATGATGAATTTAAGAGGGAAAAAATCTATCTTTCCCATCTCTCACTCAGTCTCCAATGGCTATCAAACATCAAATATTTTCCTCTTCCCTAGGCTGGAGGCCTAACAACTCTGGGAACTAAACATCAGATTTTCCACAGAGAATTGTGGGTTCATTTATTCTTTGGGATGATTGTCAGATATTACTTGTCTTCCTCTACCTCCACTGTACCCCCTCAATCAGGTGAACCCACCTGCTAAGGCTACCTGTCTCAGCTCAGCTCAGCTCAGCTCATCTCCTTCTACTGGGATCCTGGCCTTCATAAAGTGCCCTTTACACAGACGCTGGCTTGTCAGTATTGCTACATATTTCCACCCAGCCCTGTGCCATCCATACCTGGCACCCAGTCTCAAGATCTGATGCTGATTCTCTGGTCTCTCTGGACCAAGCCATCAGATGCTTCTGACTCAGTTGCCCAGGATTTCTGTGTTAGAAAGAAACTGCCTGGGAACTGCTTCTTGATTTTTCTGGATCAGGCTTCTAGTCCCAACTCTGTTAAAATTCCTGGTATAATCTTAGACAGTTGTTTTAACCTCTGCAAGCCTCAGTTTCTTCATCTATATAATTAGGATAACAATAGTTGTGTTGCCTAGGGATACTGTGAAGAAATCAATTAATAGATGTGAAAACACTTTGTAAAAGTTAGACAGTAAATATATGCATGGTAGTACATATATATGCATTAGTACAATCTGGTTACCACGCTGAAGTTGGGATTTTTGATATTATTACCCTTATCTTTACCCTTCCCTGTCATTGCTGCATCTCTTGGCTTTTTGCTTAGATCCTTGATCTTCAGGACCTGATGTGCTGAATGTCAATATCCATCTGCTCACTGAGATGATCTTATCAGGCTCAATGTCTTCCTGTCACGTCATGCAAAGGTCATTTTCTCGCTCTCTTTCAGTCCCAAGTGAGCCACCTGAGCCTTCTCTCTTCAACTGCTTTTCTTTCTGACCTAATCTCCTAATGAATACGGAGACCTGTGCAATTCCAACCAACACTCTGCTCTTTTCTTCCTTCATAGCTGTCACACAGAGGAAACCCAAGACAGCAACATATTCTGGAAGCCAGGTGAGGAGAGTTTCTAAGAGGGAGAGAGTGAAAAATTCTGTCAAATGTCAAATTCTTTTCAAGGAAGATGAAGCCTGAGAATTGAGCACTGGATTTAGCAATGTGGAAGTTACTGGTGAGCTTGATAGGAGCAAATTGGGGGAAAAAATGAAATAAATTTCAATTAGAGTAGGTTCAACAGAGAGCAGGAACAGCTAAATTAGAGGCAATGATAAACAGCTTTTTCAAAGAGCTGTGTTTTGTTTTGTTACTTTTTTTTCTTAAGGTAAGGAAAAGAATGGGCATTAGCTACAAAGACAATAGGATGATGAAAGGTTTTACCAGACAATACAGACAAAAAAGAGAGGATACACTGATGAGAGAGGAGAGAAGAAAATGGCTGGAACAATGACTTGAGTAGGTTAGAGCAGAGGGGATCCAGGGCTGTACTGGAGGGGCTGGCCTTCAGAAATGGGGATGGCTCAACTATATCGCAGGAAGAGAGTTGGAACATGTGTACACACATGCATCAGGGGAGGACATGGAGGGTGTCTTCTGATGGCTTCAGTTTTCTTAGTTACACAGGAAGCAAAGCCATAAGCTGGGAATGAGGATGGGGGAGGAGGTGTTGGAATCTGAGAAGAGAGAAGGTAAGAAATAACCACATAGGAGAGTAGAACAGTAAATTATCTAGGGAAATACAGTACAATTGCTAGGCAGTGTTAATCGCCCTGGTAATGTTAATGATCATGAATCTATATTGATGTCGTTAGTGGATTTTTCTCTAGATATATTCATTTGTGTGAGTGTAGTCACAGTGTAGGCAGAATGTCAAATTTAACTAGGGTTTGGCTTTATCCAAGAGAGTTTGATGAACAAAAGTAAGGCAGAGAAGTTGGGGGCAAATTTAAGGGAGTGATTATAATGAGTGACCATGAAATTTAAGCAAGATAATGAGGAAGTAAGTGAGGCTGCAAGGAAAACCAGCAGGATCAATAGACTGAAGACGGCAGGATGGATTGAGCCAAGTGACTAATTAGGGAAGAGAGTTCCAGGCAGATTGTAGTTGTTTGTGAGGTTGGGGGACTATTGGAATTGGGGTTCAGGAAATGAGTTGAAAAATAGCAGTTATTGACCAGAATAGTAAGCTGCTTAAAATTGATGTTATGGAGGGTTTGCAGTTATGGTAAAAGTACAATTGTTTATCCATGGGAATAAGTGGCCAAGGTAAAGAGGAGAACAATATCTCTAGAAGTGGGGAGGCCAAGGAACTGAGAGAACAGACATTGGAAAGGATCTGCTATAGGGATACTGAACTCACTAATAAGTAGGAGAGAATTAGAGGTAGACAAAGTGAAACATAAGTTAATTATCTCCAAAGATTAACAAGCAGTAACCAGGAAGTGCTGGTGATATATGGTGGCACGAGGGTAGAGATGACCTCAACAAACCCAGTCACTTCCAGAATGCATACAGATCTGGCTTAAAATGTTCTGGTCAGGCTGGGCTCAGTGGCTCATGCCTGTAATCCCAGCACTTTGGGAGGCTGAAGCGGGCGGATCACGAGGTCAGGAGACCATCCTGGCTAACACGGTGAAATCCTGTTTCTAATAAAAATACAAAAAAATTAGCCGGGCATGGTGGCGGGCGCCTGCATCCCCAGCTTACTCAGGAGGCTGAGGCAGGAGAATGGCGTGAACCCGGGAGGCGGAGCTTGCAGTGAGCCGAGATCGCGCCACTGCACTCCAGCCTGGGCGACAGAGAGAGACTCCGTCTCAAAAAAAAAAAAGACCTTGCTGGTCATTCCACACAAGCAAGTGGGTAATGAGGGACCATTGTTTCATGCTAGTGTTCTTATTCTCGCCATTATTTTTTTTCAGTTTTAATTGAGCTCGTGAATATTAGAGAAGAAAGAAAAAAAGGAAAGAATGTGGAGTGATGATAATTCAGTTAGTTTAATCCAGCTCAGTAATTAGTTTCAAAGTGTGGTTTGGGAACCCCTGGGGTTCCCTAAGACCTTTTTTCAGGTCATAACTATTCTCCTAATGATACTAAGATGTCATTTGCTGTTTTTGCTCTTTTCGTCTTGGGAGTGTACAGTGAAGTTTTCCAGAGGCTAGATAACTTATGATAGCAAAATATGATAATAAACACTGAGTACAGAAGCAAACATGAGAATCCACCTGTCTTCTATTAAGTCATGTAAAACAATGGCATTTTTCTTGTTATTTTTCCTGTTTTGGAATACACAGTCTTTTTCATAAAAAGTATTATTTATGTTAACTTGTAATGGAACTATTCTTTTAACTTAAATCAATAAAATGAATATTTAGGACTTTCTGTTTAATTTTGGATATGTTAAATGTTAATCGATATAGCCTGGATAAACAAAAGTCCTTTGGGGATAGCCAATTTTTAAGAGGGGCCTGGAGACCAGAAAGTTTGAGAAGCTCTGATTTTTGTCACTTACTAGAAGGCGAAGACTGGGAAGCCTGAGAGGTTGGACATATCGAGAGAAGTGGAGGTGAAGGGTCCTGCATAAACACTTCTAACCACTGTGACCTGCAACATGTTATAATATCAACTCCCTGAGGCTCTAGCAGGGGACATGCACAGGTCATAAAGTTTCTCTCCTAGCTATGGAAGTTCTCCTTACTTTGAATATCACTAGATGTATTTATTGAATTAGTAATTGTTATGAAAAATTGAGCAATAAATCAATCTGTATAAGAAAATGGTATATCTTTGAAATTTCCATAAAGCTCAACTGTTTTAAAGGCTTAGAAGTTTGCCTTTCTTTTTTGATTATGAAAGTAATACATGTCAGTATAGAAAATGTAAAAAATTCTGAAAAGCATTAAGTGACTAGGAGTTAGTTATAATTTTACCTCTCAGAGAGAATAAGTTAGCTTACTACCCGTTTTCTTCTGTCTCTATTTTTTAAACAAATATGTTACCATGCTGTATATATCATTTGAAATCATTATGTTTAATGGAGCAAAATATCCCATTTGAATTATATAATAATAAATTTAGCCAATCTACCTATAGTTAGTTAGATGTGAAAATATCCCCTCCATTTTTTTCATCTTTTATAATGTATGTTTGAATATGCTTCTCTCTATATCTCTATATATTACTTTATTCTGCACATGCACACACACACACACACACACACACACACACGCCAAAAACTATGTATATGCAGTTGTCTACATCACTGTTTCAAAGCATTCATTTTGCTGAAGGAAATAAATACTGCAAAGTTGGAACTTCCTTCCAAATTGACTTATATCTATTGTTATTGCTATTTTTAAATTTATTAGCAATTCCAATACAAGTGCCATTGTAGAATTTTTTTAAAAAAACTGATTAAATAAACCTAAATTTCATTTGGATAAATTAATGGATAAAAAATATTTTGAAAACAAAAACATAATTGAAGATGAATACTGGTGACAGCAGGTTTTAGAAGGTATTGTAAAACAAAAATAATTAAAACAGCGTGGTTTTATAGTAAGGATTGACAGATAAAGGAAAGAAATTCCTAGGAAATATTGTCTAGCACACTTAAAAATTTAGTATATGGTTAAAGGCAGTATCACAAATAAGTAGTGACACTAATGAATGTTCAATAACCAGTGCGAAAATATCATTAACTCTGTGGAAAGCAATAAACAAAAACAAAAACGCAAATCCCATTTAAGTTATTGAGATAATTAGAATAAAAGATGTATGGTGCCATCTAGTGGTTAAACGTGTAATTGCATACATACTGTTCTATGTAGAGTCTAATGGCAGAAATTTAAACCTGATGGAGAATTGAAGGGAGGTAAATTATTCATTAATAAAAAGGTTTACATCTCACACTTCAGCACTAATTTAAGAAAATATTTTTAAATACTGACTGTTTCCGAGAATATTATAAACGGTAGCCTATATAGTGATCCTGCATGAACATACAAGAAATTGCAGTTCCAGACATTCACATAAACAAGCATGCCAACCTGTCAGACTTTTTTTTAGTAACACAATGAAACAAAAGAACAATTTGAGTAAAAGCATGCTGATTGGAAATTCATACATGAGAGCAGAGCCTGCCAGCAGTTATAGTTTTGAATAAAGAACACCAGGGGAGCAACCTGTCCTCTGGCCCATGGGGACTAATGGAGAGCCAGAGCTTGCCCTGGGCCAGTGGCCAGTGCAGTTGGGTAGTTCTTGGTCTCAGTGGAGACTGCACATCTCCCAACTGGCCTCAGGCACAAGCTATACACACGCAGCCATCTCCACACTGGGTCTGTGCCTCCAGTCTTCCCATCCATCAGTCCATGGAGGCTGCTGCAAGGATGCGTGGCTAATCTAGAAAGCAGCCCTGCCTTCCATCTCTGGGAACGCACTCTCCTTCCCATTCAGTGGCTGCAGCAGCAGCTGCCCCGTTGGAATGCACAGAGCTTCCTGGCCCCAGCTCCTTGGTCCAGAGATGAGCTCCTAGACTAAAGCTGGGCCTATACGTCTTCTTCCTTGGAATTTTGAATTTGGAAACAAGAGAATTGGGCCAGTCTGTCTCTGGATTGTCAAGACTGGGAGCTTAAAATTCAGAAGCTTTGGGTGTCCATTAGTGTAAGCTGGAGAAACAGAAAGAGCAAGTGGAGAGGAAGAAGCCCAAAGAAGCAGCAGCGGGCGATGAATGAGGCAGCACCACTGTGCTCCCCCTCCCTAGCTCTGTTGCTTTGCTCTTTTTGGATGCTCAGTTACTCCTTGGATTCCTTGGATTCCCAGTATTCCTCAGATAAGCCTTTCCTTTTGCTGAAGCAAATGTAAATGTTTTTCTGTCCTCTACATTTAAAAGTGTGCTAATAAATATTTTGAAAGGACAAATCTGATCTGTATCATTCAACAGCTGCTCATTACCTGCACATCAAGTGCAAATTCTTTAGCATGGCTTTTGAGGCCTCTCATGACCTCTGAAGCCTCATCTCTGACTTGCCCTTGCTTTCTCCCTTCTCCCAGCCCCCCTCCCTCCTCCCTGTCTGTCCTCCATGCTCCAGCCACATTCCAATGCTTCTCACTTTCCACACTGCTGCATTCTACCAGCTTCTCACCACACCGTTCCCTCTCCATGAAATACTTCTCCACCACTCTTCCTCCCCCAGAAGCACTGAATCATCCTTCAGATCCCAGCTTAGGCATTATTTCCTCCCAAAGTCCTCTTAGGACCCCTAAGACTGGGTTGTTTGCTCTTCATATGCTATCCCATAGCACCTTGTTCGTAACTGTGTTGTAGCTTTTATTGCTTGGCATCAAAATGGCCTGTTTATTTGGAGGAGACACTAAGCTCTGTGAGGGAAGAACAGTATTTGCCTCACTGTTGTACCCCCCGCCCCAATGCTTTATACTTTACCTAGAATACAGTTTGCGCCCAAATATTTGTTCAATAAACAAACGAATATATACAGAGAACCATGTCTCTTATCTAAGTGAGAACAACTGAGGCCCAAGTGTGCTGTAAACTTTTTTTCAGGAAAGTGTCCAATCAGCCTCATTTCTGCTTAGACTAGGGTCTGTAAATCTCTAATAATATTTTTGAGAGCTGCTGTCTCAGGCTTCACAACCAGACAAATGCTTTTAATGTATGCAACTTTCTCTTATGCTAAATCAGAGCGAAATGCACATGAATCGATATAAAGATTATCTGCATTTTGTGGACATGGGTGGTCCAGACACCCACAAGGAGATAAATAAATGTTTGAGGTGGGTCCTTCAATGATTTTTACAACGGATGCCAATTTGGCAAGCTTGACTGGGCCCTACCAGTGTGAGGAACCATGATTTTGGTATGATGTTGGGGAATTTGTGGCTTCCATCTGCTGGTTATCTCACAAAATGTAGAGCTGAGAAAAATCACATACTGATTAAATCATAGAATCCCACACTTGGAAGGGACTTCATGAGATGATCTGGGCCCGCCTCCTGAAGGTCAATGCATAAATCATCTTGTGCAGATGGCTGTTTATACTATTTTTAAAGCTCTTTAAGGATGGAGATTACACAGCTTCCCTTGGTAGTCTGATCTTCATGGTCAAGAACTTCCTTTTTTAAAAGCCCAGCTCCTCACTGCAGTTTGGCTCATTTCCTCTTTTTGTCAGCTCTCTGTGAACATGGAGAACACATGATCAACCTTTCCTGCTAATTATCTCTGGCCCACACCTGTACCCTAGCAATTAATTATTAGGATTTATGCTATTTTTCCCCTCCCAAGCTATGCAGTTGCAATTCCTTAATTTTTTTCAGAAGACTTATTTTTTTCCTCCTCAATTACTTTTGTAATTTATACTTTTTCTCCTTAGAGTCTGTCCCATAGCTCATTATATAAAACTAGTAATAGCAGCTCTCCTCAAGTCCTAATCAGCTGTAAATAAACAGCAAAGCTTTCATCTTTTCTTACTCCAGTATCATATTTGCTGTTTAGATCACAGCACTTCCTTTTTGTTTGTGGTGTAGATTAGGTTCCACAATAAACTTCAAGCCTTTTACTGTCAAACTGCTACTTTCTACATGTCATATCTGTGTAATTCGCCTTTGTTTTTTTGATAGACTGAGTAATGCTCCCCCACCCCAAAGATGTCCGTGTCCTGGTCCCCAGGACTGTGAATATGTTACCTTGCCTGGCAAAAGGGACTTTGCAGATATGAGTAAGGACCTTGAGATGGGGAGAGTATCCAGAATTATTCAGGTGGGCCCAATGTAATCACAGGGGTCCTTATCAAACAGAGGCCCGGAGGATCTGGGTAGGAGAGAAAAGATGGCCGCAGAGATGAGAGTGATGGGCTTTGAGGATGGAGGAAGGAGCCACAAGCCAAGCAATGCAGCCGCAGGAGCTGGAAAAGGCAAGGAAACGGACTTTCCCCTGGAACTCCCATGGAGAAGCATGGCCCTGACCTGCCCACACCTTGATAGTAGCTCATTGAAACCTGTTTGGGCTTCTGATTTGCGGAGATGTAAAGCAATACATTTGTGTTGTTTTAAGCAGCTAAGTTTGTGGTGATTTGTTACAGCAGCAATAAGAAACATACAATTTACTAATATAATAATCTGTGCTTGTCTTGAACGTCATGGTCTTATTCAACAGAGCATTTTTTGATTTATAGAGGTTTCTTGATACTGTGTTCTCATCATCCAAAGCCACATCAAAATGAGTGGTTATTTACTAGACTATTGATAACCTTAACTTCTTATCAACTGTTTTAAAGTAATTTATGTACTAGAGGATTCCATTTATTGAACAGGTTCTATGTACCACATATTTGAGCTTGGAATGTGCTATCTCACTTAAGCGTGACAACAAAACCACAAGGCAGAGATTATTATCGGAGCCCCATTTTACTGGGGCTTGGAGCAGTGCAGCAGTGCAGCTAGTTGCTAATGGAGCTGACAGTCAAGCTCCAGCCTGCTTGATTTTAAAGTCTATCCTCTCTCTACCATGATGACCTGCCACTGTGCTGTGCTCACTTTCTCTAGTGGAGTACAAAATTGTGAAGAATCTGAAGCATTGAATTTTCAAGGAAGATGTGTTACTATATGTAATTTTCTTGGGAAAAAAAAGCTGGTTTCCTAGAAATGCTATGTAATTATTCCAGATGTCAGATTGAAATGATTTCAAACACCCAAACCAAAATTATAATTGTTGAAAAGTGAGAGGGATCACTCAAAAACATTAGTTGGGAAAGCAAAAGCTCTCTCTGTCTTGGCAGGAACCTATACTTTCCCTGGGGAAATATCATTTCTAAGGAGCAAAACTTCTGAATTAGTTTTCAGCAAAGTATGCTTTAAATTCTTCTGTCCTATGAAAGTTTCTGACATCGTGTCATTCTTCAGTTGAATTCTGTTGCCTACATAATTTGACATGTGAGACAAGGAGGGATGCTATTTTACTTCCATGATCCTCTTCCTTTTCTCGGTTCTCTCTGTTTGGAAGAGAGGAGAGTGCAACTTTATTTTTAATACTAACCTTTTCCAGCTACGCTTTCCATGTGGTCTGCTGAGGCTGGGAGGATATATACATTTGTTTTCAAGTCATCTCATTTTAAACTGACCAGCAAATATTTAATCAGCCAACAACTATCCCTTGGTTCTGCTAACTAGTCCTCTCCCTCTCCCTTTTTACTGAACAATTAGTACATTTTCTTAGTATCATAGTAAACACTATGCAGATACAGCTTCAATTTCTGCCTCTCTTCCAACCACACTGCTTCACCTATGTCCCTGATATATAAATCTGACAGCTTCTCTCCATCCTGTACCTCCTGGCAGATCTTAAAAGACCACAATGATCTACACTGTTATCTGCATCCCTTACTTACTTGTCTCTTCTTAATGCACTATAATTCAATCTGCCGCATCATTCCTTTGTGAGACCATGAAACTTGTCTCACAAAAACTTGGGTTCTTGTGGGATGGGAGTGGGAGTAGATGTCCACTTGGCATCTTTTATGTGTCCCAAGCTAAACCTCCTATTTCCCCTCTAGCCTCTAAAACTCACTCTTTGACCTGTTTTTGCCTTTCAGTGAATGGCATAATTTAGATGTCAAGCCAGAAATCTAGGATGTAACTCTATACTGCTTTCTTTTATCCATGTCATCTTCATTACCTTAAAAGAAGTAATTCTAGGTCAGGCACAGAATCTCAGCACTTTAGGAGGCTGAGATGGGAGGATTGCTTGAGCCCAGGAGTTCAAGAACAGCTTGGGCAACATAGTGAGACCTCGTCTCTACATTAAATAGAAAAATTAGCTGGGCATGGTGGCGTGCACCTATATTCCCAGCTACTTGGGAGACTGAGGTTGGGGATGGCTTGAGCCTGGGAGGTGGAGGTTGCAGTGAGCCAAGATTGTGCCATTGAACTCCAGCCTGGGCAACAACAGAGTAAGACCCTGTCTCAAAAAAAAAAAAAAATAGTAGTTTCACTTACCTCCTCCTGCTCACTCTTGGTTTCTTAATTCAAGCCTTCATCTTTTTTAAAAAAATTAATTTTGTGGGTATATTATAGGTGTGTATATTTATGGGGTACACGAGATATTTTGATACACATTAGGGTAAATGAGATATCTGTCACCTCAAGCATTTATCCTTTGTACTGCAAGCAATTCAATTATACTCTTTTAGCTATTTTAAAATGTGCAGTTAAATTATTTTCGACTATAGTAACTCTGTTGCACTCTCAATTACTAGGTCTTATTCATTCTTTCTATTTTTTTTTGTACCCAGTAACCCACTTCCCCTCTCATTCCTCCACTGCCCTTCCCAGCCTCTGATAACCTTCCTTTTACTCTCTATCTCCATGAGTTCAATTCTTTTAATTTTCAGCACACACAAATAAGAACATGTGAAGTTTGTCTTTCTGTGCCTGGTTTATTTTACTTAACATAATGACCTCCAGTTCTATCCATATTGTTGCAAATGACAGGATCTCATTCGTTTTTATGGCTGAATAGTACCCTGTGTACATGTACCACATTTCCTTTATCCATTCATCTGTTGATGGACACAGGTTGCTTCCAAATCTTGGCAATTGTGAACAGTGCTGCAATAAACATGGGAGGGCAGAATCTCTTTGATATACTCATTTCCCTTCTTTTGAGTATGTACCCATCAGTGAGATAGCTGGATCATATGGTAGCTCTATTTTTAGTTTCTTAAGGAACCTCCAAACTGTTCTCCATAGTGCTTGTACTAATTTACATTTCCACCAACAGTGTACAAGGGTCTCTTTTCTCTATATCCTCTCTAGCATTTGTTATTGTCTGTCTTTTGGATAAAAGCCATTTTAACTGGGGTGAAATTATATCTCATTGTAGTTTTGATCTGCATTTCTCTGATGATCAGTGATGTTGAGCACCTTTTCATACACCTGTTTGCCATTTGCAAGCCTTCTTTTGAGAAATGTCTACTCAGATCTTTTGCCCATTTACAAATCAGATTACTACACTTTTTTACTAGATAGTTGTTTGGGCTCCTCATATATTTTGGTTATTAATCCCTTGTCAGATGGGATTAATATTTGCAAATTTTTCTCCCATTCTGTGGGTTACCTCTAAACTTTGTTGAGTGTTTCCTTTGCTGTGAAGAAGGTTTTTAACTTGATGTGATCTCATTTGTCCATTTTTGCTTTGGTTGCCTGTGCTTGTGGGGTATTACTCAGAAAATCATTGCCCAGACCAATGTTTTGAAGAGTTTCCCCAGTGTTTTCTTTTAGTAGTTTCATAGTTTCTGGTCTTAGATTTAAATCCTTAATCCATTTTGATTTAATTTTTGTATATGGTGGGAGATAGAGATCTAGTTTCATTCTTTTGCATACAGATGTACAGTTTTCCCAGCGTCATTTATTGAAAAGATTGTCTTCTCCCAAATGTATGTTCTTGGCACCCTTGCTAAAAATGAGTTCACTGTAGATATATGGATTTCTTTCTGGGTTCTCTATTCTGTTCCATTGGTTTATGTGTCTATTTTTAAGCCAATACCATGCTGTTTTGGTTACTACAGCTCTGTAGTATAATTTGAAGTCAGATAATGTGATTATTCCAGTTTTGCTCTTTTTGCTCATTATAGCTTTGGCTTTTCTGGGTCTTTTGCAGTTCCATATAAATTTTAGAATTTTTTTCTCTTTCTGTGAAGAATGTCATTGGTATTTTGAGCGATTACATTGAATTTGTAGATTGCTTTGGGTGTATGGAAATTTAACAATGTTTATTCTTCCAATCCATGAACATGGAATATCTTTCCACTTTTTGGTGTCCTCTTGAACAGTCTTTATCATTTTTCAGCTACATTACTGAAACATTCCCCAAACTGCTACTTTCCTTTAATTTTTAAGTTTTTGTGGTTGTTGTTGCTGTTGTTGTTTTTATGAAACCAATGGTGACTTCTTAGGTGGAGGTGACATAGATATATAAGTCCAAAGCAAAAGACACCTATAGTATTAAGGTGGCCAAAGGAATAATATTATTGTTATTATTATTATTATTTTGAGATGGAGTTTCACTCTTGTTGCCCAGGCTGGAGTGCAATGGCGTGATCTTGGCTCACTGCAAACTCTGCCTCCTGGGTTCAAGTGATTCTCCTGCCTCAGCCTTCTGAGTAGCTGGGATTACAAGCGTCCACCACAATGCCCAGCTAATGTTTTGTATTTTTAGTAGAGATAGGGTTTTGCCATGTTGGCCAGGCTGGTCTCGAACTCCCGACCTCAAGTGATCCATCTGCCTTGGCCTCCCAAAGTGCTGGGATTACAGGCGTGAGATGCCACGTCCAGCCAAGAACTTTATTTTTAATGGTGAGAGAAATTGAAATGAGATTGAAGACATGGAAATGTAGGGGACAGCTTTGAAACATATGTGGACTAGTGGGCTCCTAAATACTTACCTCTCAGAATATTATGCTATACTTGAACACCAGTAGATAAAATGTAGTCTATGCGAGCATATATCTTTCCATGAGTGTTTGTGTGGTGAGAAGAGCTGACTTTTTAGAATTGTAAACAGAATCACCAGCTATGGCTTCAAAATATTGAGTTATTACTACTCAATATTATCATTATTTTGTCTTCATGGGTATTTTATTACTAACTTGGAACATGATAGCTTTTTTACTTTTTCTCTTTATTTTTATTTCATTTGTAATTTATTATGATACACTTATGACATTCAAAAATATATAAAGAACGATTAAGCCAGACACGGTGGCTCATGCATGTAATCCCAGCACTTTGGGAGGCCAAAGCAGTCAGGTCACTTGAGGTCAGGAGTTCAAGACCAGCCTGGACAACATGGTGAAATCTCATCTCTGCCACAAAATAGAAAAATTAGCTGGGCATGGTGGCGCATGCCTGTAGTCCCAGCTACTTGGGAGGCTGAGGTAGGAGAATCGCTTGAACCTTGGAGGTGGAGGTTGCATTGAGCTGAGATCATGCCACTGCACTCCAGCCTGGGCATCATAGTGAAAGAGTGAGACCCTGTCTCAAATAAATCAATAAATAAATAAAGATAAAAGAATGATTAAATGAACACCCATATACTCACCACCAACCTTAAAATATAAAATTCCAAATACAGTAATTATTGGAGCACCTGTGCCCAGTGCCCCCTTCTCCCCTGCACTCCCACTATTCTGAAATTTGACTTCTTTCTCCTGCCCGTGTATATTTACTTTTAATGCCCCAATTTACAAGGGCTCTCACTTACCTAATGTAGGATCTCAGCTACTCTACCCCACCGTTGAAACAAAAAATTTAGGCCTAATCCTTGTTTAATCATTTTTTTTTTAAATCCTGGAGTGTGTTGGCACTGGGCTTACCTAATGAGAAGAGGCAGTTGTGCACACCTCTTCCCAAATCCACGTTCAGTTTGAGATTACCATGGTGGGAGTAGTTACATCATGGAAATTGGCAAATACTACAAATCAGGGATCTTCCCTGACCCTCCCAGGAGAATGGTGTTACCTGCACAATACTGCCCACTGCTCATCTTCCACATCCAATTTGTTCTGTTAGTTATCCCCCAGGCTGTATTTCAGTTCTGCCCATTGATCTCAGATCTATTGCTACATCCTTGGCCAAACCATTATTAGCTTTTTCTTTTTCGTTTTTCTTAAATTAAGAAGTTTCAAACACAGACAAAAATAGAAAGGATAGCATAATAAACTCCTGTACATCCATCACCCAACTTCAATAATTATCAACATTTTGCCAGTATTGTTTTATTTATTCCCCGCTCCCTGCTTTTTCTTTTTTTTTGTTATTAGAGGGAAAGGAGCTGGAGTAATTGGAAAAAATTTCTATATTATTTCACTCAAATTCTTAATATTCATCTCTAAAATAAGTCTATATCAGGACATTATTACTCACTATGAAATTAATGATTACTCCATAATATTATTTAACACCCAAATTATTTTCAAATTTCCCAAATTTTAACACAATGCCTTTCTACAGCCTTTGATTGCTATATTTTTCCTGTCTCTTGTATTCTGTAACAGATTCTTTCCTTTTTTCTTTTTTACAATTATTTGATAAACTCGATAATTTGTCCTAGAGAGTATTACACATTTTGCATTCAGTTCACAGCTTCCTCAATATTCTTTATTAACCAATATCTAGATTAAGAGTTTCCATTAGATTCCAGTTCAAGTTTTTAGGCAGCCCTAGCTCAGGGTGGTGTGTTCTATCACATCACATTATAATTAGTAGGTTCACATATTGCTAGCTTGATCCATGCACTACCCAGTTCCACATCAGTTTTTCACCTAATAGTTTTAGAATCTTCTCATGGTAATTGTCCGGATTCAGTTTTTTTTTTTTTTTTTTTTTTTTTTTGAGATTGAAAAATGGTGATTTTTCTAATTCTATAACTTTATTTTCTATTTTTAGCTGGATTTCGATAGAAAAATCTTTCTCTCACCAACTTTTTAGTTCCTCTGAATAATAATTGGTGCAGAAAAAGTATAACAAATTTCTCTTTCTTTTCCTATATCTGTCATTTTTTAGAGTAATAAGTTGGTATCTCAGCAATCATCAATGGTAATAAATAGTTTTTAAAAGAGCTTTTATACTCTGGTCACTGTGGCTCACACCTGTAATCCCAGCATGTTGGGAGGCCCAGGCGGGTGGGTCACCTGAGCTCAGGAGTTCGAGACCAGCCTGGCCACCATGGCAAAACCCCGTCTCCACTAAAAATACAAAAATTAGCCGAGGATGGTGGTGGGTGCCTGTAATCCCAGCTACTCAGGAGGCTGAGGCAGGAGAATCACTTGAACTCGGGGGGCGACGGTTGCAGTGAGCCAAGATTGCACCATTGCACTCCAGCCTGGGCGACAAGAGTGAAACTTCGTCTCAATAAATAAATAAATAAATATAAAAAAGCTTTTATAGAAAAAAAATTAAACCTGAATAAAAGTTGAAAGAATGGTATAATGAACACTTACATGCTATTCACATTCTAGCTACACCAATTGGTAGCATTGTCACATTTGTACCTCCTCCTCCATTGGCCTTTGAGCACTTCCATATTTTCTGGCACCACAAGATATTCCAAACTCACCTTGTACTTTACATATCTTGGAGGATTCAAGCATTTCTTTAAGGAGCCTTCGATTTTTTAAGAGGGATTTTAAAACCAGAATTAGTGTGTGCGTATTTGTGTGTATGTGTGTGTGTATATATATATGTACATACACACTTACATATTTATACATACACAACTACAGACATATATTCATGTATATGTATGTACACAAATACACATATATTCATGAATATGCATTTATATTAATATCACCTATTCAAATCTGCATAGCACTTACTCTCACCTTTTTTATTCATGTATGTTTCTCCCTTCTCCCTTCCTAACAAACTCAATATATTTACTTATTTGTTCTCTCCTTCACCACACATGAAGGAGGAATTTCAGAATTAGTATACAAATAATACTAGGACAAACCAAACCTATCTTTATGAACTGATATTTTTTTTTTCATTGCTACATAGTTCCCCATTTTGTGAACGCATCTCGATTCATTCAATCAGTATCCTATGGATGGAGATTTTGATTGTTTCTCAGTTTTCACAATGGATGATCAATACCCGCAAAGAATAACCTTGTGCATATGTAGTTTTGAATGTTTGGATGTGCATTTTTAGGGTGAATTTCTAGAATTGAGGCTGCTGAGTAGTTTTGGCAGACACTGTCAAATTTCCCTCCCTGAGCAGTTATTACATTTTGCATGGTCGTCTTCACTGTTTGGAAGGCTCTAGGTACTCACAGGCTAGTCAACAGAAAGTATTGTTAGGTTTTCGAATTAGAACTACTATCTCATTGTAGTTTTATTTCGTTTTATTTATATAGGGTTTACATATTTAAATTTATTTATTAAGGCACAGTTTAGTTATCTATCGTGAAGTGCACAGGTCTTAAGTGTTAATTTTGTTGCCTTTTGATAAATGTGTGGGGTTGCCTAGGTTATCCACACCCCAATCAAGAAATAGAACATTTTCATCACTCCAGAAAATTCTTTTATTCTCATTTCTACTCGGTTTCACCCTTCCTTCTCCCAGAGGCAACCATTAAACTATTCTACCACCATTGCTTAGTCTGTCCTGTTCTTAAACTTTATATATACAATCTTTTCTACCCAGTCTTCTATTGATGGACATTTGGGTTGTTTCTATTTTTTTGGCTGTTATGAAGGCCACTGAGAACATTCTTATTCAAATCATTTAATGACTATGTATTCTTCAGTTTTGTTGATGTAACTTGATTTATTCAACCGGTATCTTATAGATGGCAATTTAGGATGTTTATATAATTCTATTAGTTTATATATACAGGATAGGTGTATGTTTAACTGTATAAGAAATTGCCAATTTTCTTAAGCAGTGGTCCAATTTTATACCATCACCAGAAGTATATAAGACTTCCAGTTATTCTACATTCTTGACATCATTTAGTCTGCTGCCTTATGCTGATTTAAGTATATAATGCATTAATTCCATTTACTGACACTTTTTAATGAGGAATAGGTGTTGATTTTTGTCAGAGGTCTATGCAGTATGTGTGAAGTTAATGATAAAAAGTTTCTGTTTAGATCTCTTAATATGATAGATTACATTAATAGATTTTCTAATATTGAAACACCCTTGACAATTTTAGAATACATTACATTTGATCATAGTGGATTATTAAAAATTTTAATATGTTATTAAATTCTTTTTTTCTGAATTTTAAAAGATTTAAAAATCAATATTCATAAGTGAAATTAATCCATTTATCTTTATCAAGTTTAGGCATCAACGTTATACTCAGTTTATAAAAAGAGTTAGAACTTTTTTTTGTTCTGGCCTCTGGAAAAATTTATATAGCATAATTATCCATTCTTTAAGAGTTCGGTAGAGGTTACATGGGAAGCCATCTGGACCTGGTGCCTATTTATGAGGTAGCTCTTTGGTACTTTTCTCCATTTCTTCTATGTAAATTGGTTTATTTTTTACTTTCCACTGGTATCAATTTTTAAAAATTACATTTTGTAAAAAATTTTACCCATTTCTTCTAGGTTTTCAAATACATTTGTTCAGCATTTTCAATAGTCAATTTTTTTTATTTTTTCTGTTTCAGTGGTTGTTTCCCAATTCATTTTATTTTAAGTACTGTTGGTGTCTTTTTTTCTTGCTTAGGTTGACTAGTAATTTTCTCTTTTATTGTTTCTCTTCAGAGAATTATTTTGGTTTATTAGTGCTATTGTTTTTGTTTTGCTTTCTGCCTATTTTTTTTACTTTTATTATTTCCTTCTGAGAGTTTTAAAAATCATAAATAGGTTTTTAATTTCCACAAATGTGTTTGCTTCATTGATTAAGACAATCATATAATTTTATCCTTTTTATTTCTGTTAATTACATCACTTGTTTTGCAAATTACAAATTAGCCCAGAATTTCTAGAATACACCTTGTTTGTCCTTACTGTATTATTTCTTTTATATATTGCTGGATTTGATTCTTTGATGTTTATATAGGATTTTTCATCTATCCTCATGAGTTAGATTGGTCTGTTGTTTTTCTTTCTTGTAAAATCTGTCAGATTTTTGTATTAAGGTTATCCTGGTTTTATAAATTGAGAAGTATTCCCTTTCTTCCTCCCATGTCTTGAAGAGTTTATGTAATATTGGTATATTTTCTTCCTAAAACGTTTAAAAGAATTCACCTGGAAAGCCATCTGGTCCTGGAGCTCTTTTTGCAGAGAGACTTTTAAAATAACAGATAAAGTTTCCATAATAGATAGAGGACTATTAAAATTTTTCTATTTTTTAATTTGTTTCAGTAACATTTTTAAAATAATTTTTTTATTTCATCTAACTGTCAAATTTATCAGGCATATAATTGGTATGTAATATATTTTTATTACCCTTTTATTGTCTATAAAATTTTTAGAGAAGCCACCTTTGTTATGTAGTGATATTTTTCTTCTTTTTTTTCTTGACTAGTCTTGCTAAGAATTTATTAATTTTGTTAATCTATTCAAATAACTAACTTATAGTTTTTATTTTTATGATAGATTTTCCCTACTTTATTATTTTCTCCTCTTTTTTATTTTCTTTCTTTTACTTTCTGAGATTTGCTATCCCTTTTCTCCAACCTTTTGAGGTAGAAGTTTTGCTATTGATTTTCAAAGTTCTTTCTTTCTTACCATTGCATGTAAAGCAATACTTTTCCTTTAAAAACTGCATAAGTTTGAATTTTATTGCACCTTCATTAGCATAGAGTACAAAAGTTTTTTTTACATTTTCTTTATGATTTATTCTTTGACTCATGGGTTATTTAGAAGTGATTGTCTAATTTTAAGCAGTTGTGAATTTTAAGATATCTTCTGTTATTGAGTTCTAGCTTAATCCCATGGTGGTTAGAGAGCATAGTCTGAATGATTTCAGTCTTTGAAATTTGTTGAAATTTTTAAATCCAGCATAAAGTCAATCTTGGTAAATATTATTTGTGCACATTGAAAAAATTTTCATTTTGTTGTTATTGGGTATGATATTTATAAATATTGTTTATCTTGTTGATAGTGTTTATTGAATCTTACAGACTTTTCTGTTTTCTCTGTCAGCTATTAAACAAGTTGTTTAAGTGTTCCACTATAATTACAGATTTGTCAGCTTTAAAAAATTCAGCCATTTTAAACCTCATCTATTTTTAAAACTATGTTATTTGTTACATAAATATTTAGAATGATTATATATTACTGGTGAATTGATTCTTCTATCATTTTTAAATGCTCCTCTTCATCTGTAGAATGCTAGTTTTTAAAAAGTCTACTTTCTGATATTAATACATCCACATAAGCTTTCTTGTGTTAGTATTTGCATGTCATAAATTTTAGAATATTTTTATTTTAATTAATCTTAATTTTAATAAAGACACAAAAGGATTTTTATGTCTTTATATACATAATATATTTCTTGTAATTGTTGGTTGAATGTTTGTACTCAGGTGATGACCTTTGTCTTCAATTTGAATATTTAATCCACTTATGTTTAGTTTACAACAAAATATGTTGAGTTTTATTATATTTTGCATTATGTCTGCCACCTTGCTCTGGTTTCTGTTTGAACTGCAGTTGATCCTCATTATTTACAGATACCATATTTGCAAACTCACCTACTCACTAAAATTTATTTTTAACCCCAAATCAATACTCAGAGCACTTTCATGTTTATTCACAGACAGGTACAGAGTGGTGAAAAACTTAAGTCCCCCAATGCACACAATCCCAGCTGAGTTAGAAAAAAGGTGACACTCTGCCTTATTGTTTCAGCTCTCAGACAATAAACAAGTATCCTTTGAGCAGTCAGTTCAGTACCACTTTTTCACATTTTTTTACTTTCTTTGGTGATTTCTGTCTTTAAAAATGGCTCCTGGCTGGTTGCTGTGACTTTTGCCTGTAATCTCAGCACTTTGGAAGGTTGAGGCAGGCAGATCACTTGAACCCAGGAGTTTGAGACCAGCCAGGGCAACATGGGGGAATACAAAAAATACAAAAGTTAGCCGGGCATGGTGGTGCACACCTGTAGTCCCAGCTACTTGAGAGGCTAAGGTGGGAGGAACGCTTGGGCACAGAAAGTTAAGGCTGCAGTGAGCCATGATTACACCACTGTACTCCAGCCTGGGTAACAGAGCAAGACCCTGTCTCAAGAAAAAAAATAAAGAGACTCCTAAATGTAGTGCTGAAGTGCTGTCCAGTGTCTGTAAGTTCAAGAAGCAGCTGAATTTGTGGATTCATGAGATGACTACTAATTTATAAAAGCATAATGGACAGCACTGCTGTAAGGTTGAAAGCTAAATAACTGTATAGTCACATTACCCAAGGTCAAGAAAATGTTAAACCCTTTGTAGGTAGTGCTGGCTTGTACATTTCAAAAGGTGATACAGCATGAAAAGTGTTAAACTTGCAGGTAAATGAGGGAGCTTCTGCAGATCAGGAGGCTGCAGAAGAATTTTTAAAATACCTGTTAAGTGCTACTTGGGGAAAGGTTATGTGGAAGAGCAGGTTTTCTTTTCTTTTTTTTTTTTTTTAGTGAAAAATCTGTAATTCTTTATTTGAAACAATGCAATCAAAAGAATAAAAACACTCAGACTCTAGAACATAAAAGCAAAAAACGTGCAAAATTTGCAATAGAGAAAGTAAAAGGGTAACAGACCAGCAAATAGTGTATACTCAGTCTCAGCAGAAAGGGAATAATTTCATTTTAAAACTCTTGAGTATTCCTAATTTGACCTATCAAATAATATTTTTTTTCATGTGATTATGACAAATAATCCAAGCATGCTGACCAACAGCCTGCAATGAGCAGGTCACCCCACAGCACAAGTGTAGCAAAAATGTTAACACTGGAAAGGTTGAGGGGCTATTCTGTCCAGAATATGTCCAACCTCAATGCATATATGATTCAATTGGGGATCTTGTTCAAATGTAGATTCTGATATGGGGCCTCTAGGATGGGTCCACACATTCTGCATTTTGTAACTGTTTCCCTGTGGATATTGATGCTATCTGACCTGCTGTGTGGTCCACTCTTTGAGGATCAAGGCTGTGCTCCCATATTAGACTCACATGGAAATACTTTGAGGACATCTCCAGCAAGAATCCTATAATGTTTTATATTCAAAAATATATTTTAAATATTTTTGAATATATCTACCTCCTCATTTTCTATTAACAAAATATTATATGTTCATTCAACTTGATTCCTTTACTCCTTCATGCTCATTATTTAATCTTTGTCTATAATTAAGGATATAAAATGCTATAAAAGTTTTATGCTGAATATTCTTCAATAATTCTGTCTTTTTTTTTTTTTTTTTGAGACAGAGTTTCTCTCTTGTCGCTCAGGCTGGAGTGCATTGGGGTGATCTCAGCTCACTGCAACATCTGCCTCCCAGGTTCAAGCGATTCTCCTGCCTCAGCCTCCTGAGTAGCTGGGATTACAGGTGCCCACTACCACGCCCAACTAATTTTTGTATTTTCAGTGGAGACAGGGTTTCACCATGTTGGCCAGGCTGTTCTTGAACTCCTGACCTCAAATTATCCACCCACCTCAACCTCCCAAAGTGTTGGGATTACAGGCGTGAGCTACTGCGCCTGGCCTCTTCAATAATTCTTTGTTGGATAATTTACTTTTATTCTATTCTTAGGGAGTCCAAGGTTCCGGAAACCTGCTTGAACTTAAATCAGGCCAACACATCCCCATACTACAAACATAACAGAAAAGTGAGCCCTGGGTATTTCAACTCTGACTGTGGAAATATGCCCTTTAATTTTAATTGTCTGTATAATATTTATTCTTTCCCTTATTCTTACAATAGAATCCTGAATTTTCTATGGGACCCAATATATCCAGCTGAGAGACATTTCCCAGTCTCCCTTGTAGCCAGGATGGGTCATGGGACACATTTTTGGCCAACAAGATATAATTGAAAATCTGCTGGGTATTTTTTGGGAATGTTTTGCTTTCTCTAAATTGGTACATCACCTTCCTGATTGTCAATTCTCCTTGCCTACATTTCTTCTTCTTGTTTTTGTCTTTAGCTTCTTTTCCTGTTTCTCTTTCTTCTCCTTCTCCTTTTCCTTTTGTGTCTTACCTGGAAAGTAGGTAAGAGCTGAAGATGGAGCAGCCACACTTCAATCTGGAGTTACCATGGGAGGAAAGCCATTTGTTAGTGATGGCAGAACAGAAAGAAAAAGACCACGAGCTATCCCTGACATGTTTACCTTTGATATTCTTTCCTCTGGACTTCTGATTTTGTGAAACTTATAACCCTTTTATTAGTTTAGTCTCTGTGGTTGGGTTTATATTACACGCAGTCAAACATAACACCTAACTGATATGTTTAACTTAATTTCTGCACTTGAATGACTCCTCACTCACTTCCTTAGCTTCCTTTTTCAATGACATCCTTTCGTTTGCCTCTTGAACTTCCGGACAGACTTATCTTTTCTGTTTTTGACCCTTGGCGCTCTTTTGGGCTTGACTCACATTCACTGTCTTATGCTTTCCCTTCCATTTACCTCCGCTATGTGCCAGTTTTCTTAGTGGACCACCTCCTTTCCTTTGTATGAGTGCACCCTTTTCTGAAGGCTGATGCCTCACTGTGTGTGTCCTGAGATGTTCTCAAGGTTTTGACTTTGGTTTCATGAAAACACACACACACACGCACACATACACACACACGCATGTACGCATACATGCACACAGAGGTATATATTCAGTTTCCAAATCAAATTTTAGTTATAAATGGGACATTTTAGATCACCTGTGGATAATTGGTGTAGGGGTGGTAAAGACAACACTTTGCATAAAAGAAAACATGGTGAACATCTGAAAGTTGCCTTGAGCTCCTTTAGTGAAAACTATGAAAAATGCTACACTTTGATCTTACCAGTTGAATACTTTAACAATCAACATAGCCATCTTCTACCTAAAAAATAAGAAAATGAACAAACAAAAACCCTATGTGTGAATATGCTTTTGTGGCCTGTGAGCTGCCCTCACCGAGACGTTTTGGAGGAAGATATGATGGTTTTGGTTCTGGAGAAGCTGACAGACATAATTTTGACACATACAGTGGTACCTTCTGCCCCGAGCTGCTCCGTGACAATCATTTTAGGATGAATACTTCAGGACGCTATTTTTACTGAAACCTCGTTGTAAGGCAAAAAAACAGTTATAATCAAAGACTTAAGAAATGATGGTGACTGGACAATTTTAACTTTATATTTTCACATGACGAACTTAGTTACAGAGAGCTTATATGACATGCTCAGGATCCTACAGCTAGCAGTAACCTTAATTAGACAATTCTGGTCTTAAGATTTCTATCCATTTCAGGAAATGCTTATCAGTATGTAAACGAGTAAGAGTGATCATTACAGGTATTAGTTCAAATTTACTACCGCTGATCAAAGTATATAAGTAATCTGTAAACGTTAGAATCTTATTGGTGGGTAAGTCTACCCTATGGGAGCACTATAGAGATAGAGAAAGAGAGTTGGCAATGCTAAATCCAGCAAAGAAAAGTCTCAGGCTTGGCAATCACTATCAGACTGTCCCAAGGTATTGGCCATTGCAGGACAAGGAGAACGGCTACAAGGCATGATGGGCAAACTCAAATGCCTGCAGGTGCAGTATGCAAGTAAAGTGGGCCAGAAGTAAATTCCTTGATGTCCCCATTATGTAGGTGGGGTGTGTGAGCACGCCTGGGCATGTGCTGGGGCCCTACACAAGCTGGGGAGCACCTGATCCTTTGGTAAGAGGCAGCTGTTACTTAGCTACAGAATAAACTTGCCTTTTGGGTCTAATATTGCCTCATGACCTACTTTTTCAGGAGACACTACAAATCAATAGTTTTCTATGAAAGACCCTGATTTTTCATTGTTGGTTCAAAATGTTAAAAGTTCTGTGCAGCCATCTGAAGCATGAAGTCATGCCTATACACCAAATTTGACTTGTGGACTGCAGCTTAGAAAACAGGGGTGCTTGGAAGGAGTGGGGCATGACAAAGGGGGACGTAAAGAGAAATCAGACAATGGTAAAGAAGCTTGAAAATTTTATTTAATTGTATCTTTGATACATTGAAAGCTGAGTATTTTTAAGACAAAGGTTTCAGGAAGAAAGTTCTCTTTCCAATTTCACCACTGTGGCTACCAGTTCTTCTATTCTCCTATTATTATAATGCAGATATGTCAGATCGGAATAATTTACATTTACAAATTATATCATAGAAAAATAATTTTATCGCTAAATGTAAACAGGTTGGGGTACTTCATCCAAAATAAGAAGAAAATAACAGAATCTAGCACTTTCATATTTTAAAGCTGATATTTTAGCAATATTTTGATAAAACTTTATTCCATTTGTAATTTTTGGCTACACAACACTAAAAGAAAATTTATTTATTGGCATGCAAAGCAATGTGGCCTCAGAATACACCTCTTAAATTTACAGGACTTAACATTTCAAACATCCCACGTGGCTAGCAGGTGATGTTGTGAAGATGATCTTGAATAGTGATATAGTTATTTCCTAGAGATTAAAAAAAGAAAATGATTTAACATAATTATAATAAGATGATATCATTAACTTATCCAGAAAATATTTCAATGATTTATTTTGATAAAAGTTGTTTATTAATCCCTTTGTCCATAAATCCCTCCATCCTTTGGACTCTTAAAATATTTTCATTTAAAGATTATTTATCCTAAAGTCTGCTCATCAATGCTATCAAACAATTATGAATAATTATTAAAAAATCAAAATTCATCAAGATAAGTATTTTTCGGTGTCCAGTTCTCACTACTCTTCTTATTAAATTAAGTATGTAATATTGTATATGCTGCATTTCACCTTTGTGCTGAAATTTCAACATAGCAATTTTTAATGTGACAATATGTGAATGATGTAACATTTCCCATGTTTCATTTCTATCTGTGTTTCTAGCTTCTTGACTCTAATAGACACTCAGTAAATGTTTCTGGAATAAATGAATAAATAGATACAAACTGTAATGATACAAAACAAACATAATGATGTACTCTTATATGACTTAAACATGCATAATTATTTCCTATATAATAAGAGATTATAGACTTTCCCCCTACATGGGGAACAGCTTGCAGCAGTATGACAATCAGTACTTATGAGAATTTGATGGTTTTCAGAATTAACTAAAAAGCAGTCACCTGTCAGTGATTTTGGTCTGAATCAACCAGTTTATAAAGTCCCTGGCGGCAAGATTATCAAGAATGGTGTTCATCTCATCAGAGAAAGAACCATCAGCATGTCTGCGGCCAAGTTCTTCAACAATGGCGACCTCTTCTGGGAAACTAAGAAAATAAGTGTTAAAATTAGCGTTTGATTAGATATTTTCAATAAATGATCACAGATTGTCTACCACTGGTAACATGCACAAGTGTCTTGAGGAAACAGTAAAGGATTCTGTTTTTAAAGGGTGTACTGTGAAATACCTGATAAAAACCCATGTGGACCAGTGACTACTGGAAAGAGAAAGTAGCAGAGCTGGGATCTAATACCAAGCCTGCATAATTTCATGCCCTTTTCAATCTTCTAGGCTGTTTTGAAGATTTTAGTATATTGACAATACAGAAACTATTGTTGAGATTATTAGTCTGTAATTCAACTAAATATATCATATCCTATAAAACCAGAGCTTGCAGGAACAGCCTTGCAAAATGCAGTATTAAGAGGTTAAAGCTTCATCTATATTAGATTTTTCTCTTTCACTGGTTTACTATTGCAGAATTTTTGGTATCCCTTTAAAACACTGCAAAATATCGTCAAGAGTGAGAAACTATTTTACCATTGGTTTTATAAGTTTAATTATTAATGTTTTAAAAACCAACCATTATTCTAGTTCTCTTTCATCTTGAGATCTCTTTAAATTTCAGTAAGCTTGTTTTAAATCTAATTTAAAAATCAGAGTTGAACATAAATTCTCCGTCTCTCATATTTCATCTCTCCAAAAAAAATCGGAAGAAAATGAGATGGTTCAGGGGTCTGTTTGGCTGTGTTAAGATCTAAGCAAGTAATTGATGGTCTTGGTTGTTTTTCAACTTAGATTATTTAGTAGATATCTATATGACAGCCCCATACAAAATTGGATATGTAGTTAAATATATGGATGTTTTTACCTATTTGTACTTTGAATATCATTTTATCAACATCTTAGGTTTGGTCACTTTCAGTCTTCATCACATTTTTATCTGAATATTTATTAATATATAAATATATGTTGATCACATATGTAAATGTTTAAAGTTAAGCTTTAAATATTATATGTTTTCTTTACATATTTGAAGTTTTCAGCACTGTTTCTTCTTTTTCCTTATCTCTAGCTCCCCTAGAACAGTCCTAGTTTAAATTTGTCTCAGCGTAGTTATTAAAAACATCCTATTTACTCTCAGAGGTGGCCTGGTTTGGCCAAAGATTTAATACCTAATTATAATGCAACTATAAGGGGATACAAATGTAACCTGTTTGGCTCTATTATTAATACTTAGTACCAAAAACAAAATGGGTTTAACTTTTATATACTGTTTTTCATCAATAGGAATTATTTCCTTACTTTGCAAGACTACTAATTGCTTCTGTAATCCAGATCCATATATAGATAACTGTAGTCTTAAATTTTCTGCATCAAGGCAAAAAATGTCAAATAAGAATGTACAGACTTACTCTCGCCTTCCTCGGCCTTTCACCAGCCAAGCAATGAATTCCTTGGCAGCTTGGCCTTCCAAATAAGAACTTACATCACTGGTAAAGGTCCCTTCAGCATGTCTCTCAAATTCATCGTGACGTTTGGCAATGTTATTCCTGAAAGAAATGTGAAAGTTAAATTGAAGATCTGTCTCTTTGGCAATATGGTTCTCACCTATAAGCAGTGGCAACTTTGGGTTCAGGATTCTATGTAGAAGGGGCTTAGGGAGTTTAGGAGATGAGGGTTGCTAGGGGATTTGTCGTGAAGCTACATTAATGTTCTGGATTGAAACTGGTGGAAGAGAGCTAATAACAATCGGTGGGCTAAAGCTCCCCCTCCCTTCCCAGCATACCCATCTGCAATCCCCTGCTTATGTATGTCATTGGTTATTAAAGCTGCCTTACCTTTGACTTCAGTCTCAATGGATACAGGCTATCCACTGCACTATGTGACTTGCAAGCAAGGCAGCTGTTTGTTATTAGTAAGTATGGGGTCAGAGTTAGTTAATTGATTTGAGGGAAAGCAAAGGACCATCTTGAATTGTTACCAAAAGGACCACTTGATAATGGATTAAAGAAAATGTGTGATCTGCTAGTAACAAGGAAAGCAAAGAAGATGACCCCATATCAACATCAAGTGTGTGCAGAGCACCGTGGAGGTGAGCCATCAGCTGCTGTCAGTCTCCCTGGCACATATTACCCCATATCACCTCATTTTAAACACATAGGCAACACTGCTTGAGTGTGAGGATTGCTTTACATCCATTTACCAAGTTGTGGCATTCCCATTCTAGAAAATGAGGACAGTTGTTTGCATTTTTATAAATTTGTGATTTCTCACCTTTCACTGTAGTCCTTAAGAGGGACCTCTCCCAGTGTCTGCTCTGACCATGATAGCCATCTTCCTGTGGCTGTACCCTCTACTTTAAGAACCTTTGATTAGCAACTCTGTTTCTCCTATTCCTCCTGCTTGCTTGTTCTCTCTCTCTCTCTCTCTCTCTCTCTCTCTCTCTCCTTTCTTACTCTCACTCTCTCTCTTCTCCAGTCTATCCAGACAAATCTATGTCCTTTTCCTGATTTTTTGATTTCTTCAGCTACTTTCTATGCATAACTCCCTTCCTCTTGTGGGCCACCCTCCAAAAAAATTGTGAAATTCCACCATCTCTGTGAAACCCTTGCGGATAATTTCCTCCAGTAGCCTAGATGCAGCAAAAAACCCAACACTCGTCAAAGAAAATCCAACATTAAAATGTATGCCTTACGATAGGCTTGTGTTCTTATTTGCTGCCTTCTCTCTCTATGCTGTGCAGCTAGGCTGTAATTTTAAATGCATGTCTTGGATTTTATTCTACAAGAAAAGGAATGCATCTGTTTCCATTCCTTACCCTTGGCTGGGGGATAATTTTAATGTTGGGTTTGAACCCCACGAAAGAATGTTATATTTGCTCTATCTTTTGGTAGAAATTAGATTGGTAACCTCGTAGGTCCACAAAAGTAAACTTTCACTTTAAGGGAAAATGAGTAAGCAAGTAAATATTGCTAGGACTACCACTGGGAAAATAATTTAAAGGCTATGTCACACTGGAGGTTGGGTAAGTGGTTTAGAGGGGTGCGGGTTAAGACATTCGGGGGCATAATACTAAGGAGAGCATCCCCAACCCTAAACATCTTCAAAATGATCAGGGCTTATGGGCACTATTTGACGAGCATAAGAACTTAATAATGTCAAGAGAAATTTTAGACCTATTTAATACATTTATAAGCAAGTTTTGAGCCAGGCTTAGACTCTTACCTGTTCCTCTTGGTATTCATCAACCACTGCACAAAATCTTGGGCACGCCTGGAGTCCAGATACTTGCTGTAGTCACTGGTGAATGTGCCCTGTGAATGGCGCTTGTCCTCGTTCATCTGATCAGGATCACTGAGTGGGTCTGCCTGGGAAGCTGAGAATGATCTGTGAAGAACAGTGATTGGTACAACATAAATCTCTCCTCAAGAGTAGACTCACTTGAGAAGCATCTTCACTACAAAATACAAGACCATATAAAACAGTAAGGCAGGCATCTAGAGTATTTCAATAGGTAGTTTAGAAAGATCTTCCTTAGCTTGTCATGAGAATCCCTTCGTTTTAGTATAGTTGCATACGCTATTATTCTGAATTCTAGAAACATGTTTCTCAACTGACTTCTTTTTTTCTGAAATAGGATTAAACAAATCTTTTTCTACTAATTAATCTACTCATGATTATGCTAATAGTGACAGAAGAGAGTAGTGACTTGAATATTTTAAAAGAGTGAAGAATCCCAAATCATTTCTTTGGGCAGCAGATTTAAGCTCCCAATTTTGTTTTGCATATATTAATATGAAAACAGCACAATTATCTAGTTATATGGTGGCTAGCAGTGGAAGGAAGACAACTAGAAGTTCAAAGAAAGGCAAGAAAAAGGATACTTGCTAATTTGAAACTGTATCAGGAATAATCCCTATGCCACTAATCAACAGTTGGTTGGCATGGTAAATACATGGGAAAATAGTCAATGTAATTAATACTCAGAAATGAGATACTATTTTTACCTATGAAATTAGCAAAGCTTGAATGCTGAGGAGGATATTATGAGGAGTATTTCTATACTGCTGATGAGAGTGTGCATGTGTATGAACTTTCTGGAAAGCAAGTTGGCAAGATATTAAAAAAGGTTTAAACTCATTCAGGCCCTTTGACACAGTATTTCTACAACTAGAAACCTATGTGCAAAAAAATAGTAAGAAATGTAGGAAAGTGTGTATATAAAATGTTGTTTGCAACATTCTTTGTGGAATAAATTTTAAGACCTCTTAAGCTTCCCAAATAAGTAGCTAAACAAATATTGTACATTTATGAGATGAAACAGTATGCTGCCATTAAATATCATGTTTAACAAATATTTTTAATAATATAATAAAAGTGTATAATAATACAATGTTAAGATATTAAGCATGATACAAAGCCATATAATGAGCCAAGAGATATTTATGTACAGTTTACGTAAAACACAGGAAAGTAATACACCAAATTTGTTTACTTTGAATAGCTTTCTTTGGACAGAGGAATTTTGAGTACTTAATATTTTTTGCATATTTTTCATACTTTCCATCATGAACATGTATGGCTTTTACATTTAGGAAGAAATAATGCTATTTTTTAAAGGAGGAAAAAAGAGAAAAGAGTTGGTGCGAATAATTGAAGTAATCTATTATGCAGTGTGTGAGTAATGAATTGATAGATAGGATCATCTGTAGATTTCAAGGAGCTATAATTTCCCCTGTAACATGTTTTTCAACATTTCTCTCCCCTTTTATTATAAAAAACACAAACTCTGATCTACACTCCAACAAAGTCTGCTTTTATCACAAGGATACTTTAAACATTTGATCATTGTGCAGAATATTTATTCTAAATTACTGAGACCTTATTCACTAATCATAGTTTTCACAGGCTTTATTCCAACCATATTGATATGTTAGTTCGAGACTACGGATTTAATACCTGGATTTCTCCTCTGTGTCTTGAAGGGAACGTTGCCAGCTGCCTTGTACCAGCATTACAAATAATCCAGCCACAAAGTAAATGCTTTTCATTTCTGCTGTCTGTCAGAACACAGAATGGGGGTAGGGTGAGGGGGGCAGGCAAGGATTTTTAAACATGTCAGGCTAAATTAATTAGATTTGACTAGATAAATATCATAAGTAGAAGGAAAAAGCTAGTGTTATCACTTTTATTCTGATTATATTTTCAGCTTAATTTTAAATAGTGGGTTATATTATTTCCCCAGATTTTTTGGAGGCAAAAAAGGACACAAAAGATGTGTTCCACCATTAAGCTTTTTCATTAATGTAGGGACACTTCTGTTTAATAATTAGAAGGCTCATTTCCAGACTGGAAATTAAAATGTCCACAATCAACATTTAAAATACCCACTGTAGATGATATGCTACATATGGTTAGCCTGAATGGCACCTTATCCATCATGCCACCCCCCTCACTATCAGTCTGGCTTTCAATTAATAGTCCTTCACTTCCAAGCATTTACATTATACTGCATTTCAACCATCTTAAAGCAGCCTCAGGCTACAACTTGGCATACCAGCTGTCGGTTCAGATGTATTATTCATTTATATTTTAAATAGTGTAACTTGGTCTAGACTTTGTAATTATAAAGCGGCCAACAGATTTGAGGTATTTTAGGGTGCTTTGACCTGTTCTAAATTAAAGGGAAAAAATCATTTTAAAGACAAGCAATTTGCAACAAGAACTAATGCTTCTGGCAACGTGAACAATCACAACTAAAAAACTAAGAGATTACTATGTAAAAAAAAATTAGAGCTTGCTTCTAAAGTCATAAAAGTCCCCAGGTTGTTTTCTAATTGGACTTAGATGAGGACATGTCATTCACTGCTGGTGACACCATAGACTTGGTTATAGGATACACCTGATTGCTTGTCCCTGTGTCACAAGCAGATGCCCTGCGAAGCCATAGTATGTTAAGGATGTGATGATGCAGTGTCGACGGGGACTGGGACCAACATGAATGTGGGACAGAATGTCCCCACAGAGCAAGCGCTTCTATTTTCTGAATGGGAACGTCAAGTCCGTCTTTGTCATGGATCTCGGCTACTTTGAAACCCAATGGTGTTTCCTTTGAGAAGCGGGCATTTCAATCCAAGTTTGACTATGCTTATCCACAAATAATTTGAATGAATATTTTTAGCAAATGACATTTGGTTTGGAATAAGGATTTCACAAATATTATCATTTTTAAACTATCAATCTTTTCCTTAATATATTAGCTGTATTTACTATCTCTGGCACTAAAACATAGACACTGTAATACCTGCAGCAGTAACTTTTTTCTTTGAAATATTAAGTTTTTTGTACATTGAATGGATGATTAGACAAAGGAACATAATAGGAATGATATATTCACCTTTCTTCATTCATCAACATCAAATTACCAATTTGACATTTTGCTATGCTTCAGTTTAACCGGTTGGCAGACTTTGGAAACCTTGCCATATATTTAGGTAGTATCTACTGATTATAACTCTCAATTGTTATATCCGTGCTTGCAGGAATATTTAAATATTAAAGTAAGCACTTCTTTTAAAAATTATACCACTGTTGAAAAGTTTCTTGTAAAAGCTTTTAGTCTTTCACAAGACTGAAAAAAAAATTCATTCCACCCAAAGTCCTAAGCGTTTTGCAATATCTCCTATTATGTTCCATTGAGGAGGATTTAGAGCAGGAGGTATCCTGCCACTTCAGGAGCTGATGGAAGAAAGAACAACCATAAACCACATAAAGAAGTGAGCGTTCCGTATCTAATAATATTACCAACAATAAATGACTTCTTCTGAAGAAAGAACTGGCTTTAAAAATCTCACTTATTTGTTTGTGAAAGTCTATCGAATTGTGAAAAAAAAAAGAATAGAGTTAATTGTTTGAATACAATTGCTGAGAAAGTAGAGATTTATGTTATTTTAGTATTAAAATCTTATTCAATAAGAAAATAATTTCCAGTTAATTTCCCCCCTCTTTAGGTAGTCTAAAGAGAGCCTGCAGTTTTGTAAGAACTACAAATTTCCACTAAAATTTAAAGGAAAGTATGGTAACAATAATAAGTAGGAAGTCTTACAGAAAGATTAACCTTAGACCTAAAAAAGAAGACATTATGTTCTATCCCCAAATGTGTTGGCATTGTAGTCCATATAAATCCTTTTTCAAACTGGTTAGCTCATTTTATGTAATAGGTCTTCAGTATGTATGGAAAAATACACCACTTAATCATTTACTCCATCAAAGATCTTTGTAAATTTGTTTTTTGTCTCTAGGAGCCTAATCTAAAAAGACAAATTAAAATTTTATTGCAGAGGGTAGCTATTTTAGATTTTATTACTATTTATCCTCAATACATAGTAAATAGTTATTAATGTATGGCTTCACTCAGATGCATCCAAAGAAAACCCCCCAAATAGATGACACTTGTTCTCTGCACCAAGTACGCTATGTTTTATTTACAAAGAGTTGCTTTAATGGACTTTGATTTTTTGATAGATGTCTGAAATTTGAATATTTGAAAGATGTTATTTAATTTGCTCTTTTGGAAAACCAGAGATTTTAATTGGTAAAAAGCAATTTCTGTTATAGGCTCCCTAATGGACACATTTCTGCTTACTTTAAAAGACGCCTTCTGTTCAAAGTAGTATACAGATCTATCAAGTCCAAGAAAAATATTTATTCTTCAAAATGTTACCAATTATTTTAAAATACAACTCTCATAACAGTTAAGTATTATAACAAGTGCATTGATTTGAATCTTTGTTTTTTTTCTGTTTTATATTTTTGCATATAATTATTTTTCCAACTCGCTTTGCGGCTTCGCTATATTAAAGTACACGTAAATGCATTTGATATAACCTTTTCCATCTCAGTTCCTCTCTGTGTACTATTAGTAATAAAGTCTAAGATGAAAGAACAACATTTTAATTTATAATATTTTGATCCCTTAAAAATACTTCACTGTCCGCCAAACAGGATTTACAATTTTATAATCATCTTACCTTCTGGTAGTGTGCTGTAGAACAGAGCAGGTGAAGAGAGAGCAAGCCCTCTTTGGGAACTTTTGATGTGCTCTGTGTCCTAAGCTCTGTACTTCTGCACCAAGGCGCACTGCTTTTATATACTCTCCAGCTCTGTTTAGCCTCACAGATATTACGCTGACAATATAAATTTCTCATCTGTAAATAATGAGTTTTTGTTACAAATGACTTCCCTCTCCCACTCACTTTGCTCATCTGCATTCTATGCTTATATTGGGTGAGAGACCTTAGAGACCTGGAAACTTTTTATGCACTCTTGTATCTTTTTTTTTTTTTTTTGGTTGGGAATGGAGAGAGCAGCTTGGAAATCCACCTTCTACTTTCAATCACGCATGAAAATCACTTAAGTTCTCTAAAGTGAATTTTGACGTTGAAGACAAAAGACCTTGAAATTACGTAGCCCATGGCCATCCCTGTTTTGTGCATGTCCTCATTTGAGGTTCTTACAAGTCTTTGGTTTGCTACCTAGCCATGATGAATTTACCTGAATATAACAATCACTTCAGTCATTCATTTATCTAAATAATGATCATTCATTCAACACATATGTATTAAAAATCCTCTCTTCCTCACAACGTGGAGTTTATTTATGTTATGTTTGTGGAAAATTTAAGGATATTGATTAAACCCCTATGTGTTCTGTTTTAATAAATGGAATTCAGGCAGAAAGGATGGAGCAAAATGAAGATTAAACATCCAAGATAGCTGATGCTAACAGGAAATTATCTGGTATTTTTTTCCTTCTAATATATATTTAAAATCTAATTTTACTGATAAGAGAGTGGGGTACTAAGTTACAAAAGAATGAGATATGAGGAAAACTGTTGAGATGAGATGCATATTTTCACGTTTCCTGAGTTTTGTGACTGGACACACAGGCTTTAATGATCTGTGACATTTAGCAGAAATGATTCTGGTCACTGTAGAGAAATAGAAAAATGGTAAATAATCTGGAAAGACAGCATAAGAAGTAGTGTTGGCATAATTTGATTTTAGTTTTGCTGTTATTGACCAGCTGTGTGACCTTGGTCAAGTCACGCATTCTCTTTGTGTCTCTGCCTCCTTATTTGTAAAATGAGAGGGGTTGGTAAATGTCTTTTCTAAAATAAAAATTTTATTCCATATTGCAAACTCATCACAACATTTCCTAACTAGATTCCAATATTCTAATATAACCAACCGCATGATGTCACTGATGACTTGTATGGAGGTAAATCATTGAGGCAACTGGAGAAATATTCCAAATGAACTTAACTGTTCAATTTGTGCATGAGACCAACGTTTGAATGTAGAGCTACTTGAAGGCCACAGAGATCACTTTCAAGTCAGACTGGAAGACATCATTGAGGGGTTTTTGTGCTGGTGATTATTGGGTGCTAGAAAGCCTTGCTTTGCAAAGTGTGGTCTAAGGACCAGCATCATCTGGGAGCTTGCTAGAAATGCAGAATCTCGTGCCTATCAGAATCTGTATTTTAACAAAATCCTAAGGAAATCTGTGTTCATATTAAAATTTGAGAAGCACAGCTGCATAAAATATCTGCCTCACTTTATCTCCTCATTGGTACTGCTGGTGTCTTGATCTGAGACCTGCTTCTTGGCACTCTACCAGCAGAGGGGGTGAAAGAGCAGAGAAAGGTGTCAAGCCTTAGGTCGGTCTAGAGAGTAATACTTATAAATACGGTAATAGCTTGAAAGAGTGGATTGATTTAATGTATGATTACATTGTCTTTCTCTCTGGCTACAATCTTCACACAACTATTCGCTATATTTTTAATCGTTTTGGCAGATTCAGTTCTACTTTTCCCATTGTCTATTTGTCTATTTGAGCAGATGTTTCTTTCTGTCTCTCTGTCTCTGTCTCTCTCTTTCCTTTTCAGACTCTACTTGTTTGTGGAGCAGCCCTAAGAAGGAAGATCTGCAGATCATATATATAAAATCTTCAACATAGCACTGGCCTTTCAGTAATTATCCTCTCCCAATATTTAACTACCAAACATTTTTCTTTCCCTCCACTCTACTTGCTTCCATTATTCTAGAAGTGACTATCCCAAGTTGTTTCAGAAAATTTCCTGTGACTTTATCTCCAGCCCACTGACACTGATTCTTGGGGCTCCCAGTACCATAAGGGTAAGCATTCTCAGGATGTATAAGCAATAAGAACCCCACTGCATTGTGTGCTGCTCTCCTCTCTAGGAGGGGCAAGTCAGGCTTCTTCATGGACACCGAATTGTCAGAAATTAAGACAGAACTCAAGTGCAATTTGGACTTGCAGATCTTCTTCCTATCACTGTTCTGGCATGAGCCTCTACTTGGCCTATTCCCATCAATACAGTTATTCAGTGATTTAGATGTGAGGCAAGGAAAGTGGTAGCCCTGTATGTCTATGACTAGTGACATATATGATTTCTTTATGATGTTTAGTCCTAAGGACAATTTCCACAGATTTACAACCTGTGCAGCTGCATGAAGCTGCATGCAGGACCTCATGCTTGCCTTAATGCTTTTACCACCTCAAAATTCTTAAAAATTTACACAAAACCATGCATTGTGGGGTTATTGTGTGTTTATTTTCTGTAGCTGCTCGGAATACTTAGGAATAGTTGAGAATGGCAAAGATCCAGGTTCACAGTGCGCTGCGATGGGAAGTCTATGGGTAGGGAGAACTCTCAGGCGTTGCTGATGGGAGTACAAAATATTAACTCCTTTGAAAGGTGGTTTGGTAATACTTATCGAAGTGACTAATACCTATAGTTCTTGGTCCAGTAAGGCTAAAGCACTATTCTGAACATTTATCCCACATATATTGCTATGTAGATATGTAATGATGTAGGTACAAGGTTGAGTAGAAGAGTAACAGGTGGGAACTAATCCAAGGGGCCAGCAATAGAGCACTGTTTAGAAAAAAAAAAAAAATGAAGACGCTGTCTATTTACCAGTAGGGAAAGACTCCAAGTTATGTTGTTAGTTGAAAACAAGAAAGTGCAGAATGGGTATGTAGTAGGCTACCTTTTGTTTTAGAAGGGAGAGGGGCAGAAATACGTGTTTATTTTTCATAATTGCGTCAAAAAATTAAAATAGACAAGAAGCTGATGAAAGTGCTTACCTGTAGGAGGCAGTGTGGATAAGTGGGGTGCATGTGGACAGGGACAGGATGCAAAGAATACTTCTTTTATATACCTGCTATGTGGTTTGGATTGTTTGACCATTTGATAGAATTACCCATTCAAAACAAACCAAAAAATGTAATTTAAAAAGGAGTGACAGTACAACTACTTTGGAAAAAGGTAAAACTTTAGAGCTAAATGTACAATTACCCTTTGACCTAGCAATCCACTCCTGGGTATTTTATCCAAGAGAAATAAAAACATATATCCACAAAATGACTTGTAAAAAAGTGTTCAGATAAGCTTTATTTACAATACTTAAAAACTAACTGAAGTATCCATCAACAAGAGAAAGAAAACAATTTGTGATACGGAATTCATACAGCAACAAAAATTAAGCAACAGCTGACTCAGGCAGCAATGTGGAAAAATTTTGCAGACATTATGCTGCATAAAAGAAGATGGACATGAACAACTATATACTGTATGAATCCATTTATAGAAGTTCAAAAACAGGCAAAATTGAAGTTAAAAATCTCAGAACTGTGGTTGTTTCTTGGAAGAGGATGGGAGAGGATTGCCTAAGAGGGAACTTTCTGGGGAGATGGAAATATTCTATATTATGATAAGGGTATGTGTTACCAGGTTTATCCGATTATCAAAATAGTACAGCTAAGATTCGTGATTTTTAATTTATGTAAATTTTACCTAAAAGGAAAAAAAAGAATAGTTACAAAAAAAAAAAAGAAGTCTGAGGTGTGGGTGGAGGTACAGATGACACAACCATGGCAAAATACTGATAATTGTTGAAGCTGGCTGATGGATAAACAGGGTTCATTGTGCAATTCTGCTTACTTTATTTATGTTTGAAATTTCCCATATTAAAAAGTTAAAGCCATAATAGAATGATCGTGGGGATTGGTCATTAGGACTAATTGGTCATTTATCACTTTGGAAGCCAAAGAGTTAGACTTTTCAGTGAGTAAGGATTAGCTAAGTAAAATAAGTGAACTTCATAGACACATGGTGGCAACAGAGCCTGGATGGAAAACAGTAGCCTAGGCCGGGCCAAGGTAACGGAAAAACAACTGCAATGAAGGCAGAGAGAGGAAGCTACCACTCAGAGGTAATGGAATCAAAATCACTGCTCCCTTCTTCTCAATGTTATTCAATACCCATCCCTAGGATTTGCCTAGCTCTGTTTGATAAAACTGCAGTAGTGACCAGTCAAGCTTTCCTGATATGCTTGAGGTTTGTTTTTTATTCTTGGACAGTATTTAATACTCTAACCTAGGAAGAGCACAGCGTATTAAGATACCATCCAAGGGTCCATAACAAGGGTCTTCTGAAAATAGGTGTGAACCTTCAAAAGATCAAAGAAAAATTATGTATAGCATTTGAGGAAAAAGTTTTTATTGATTAGTTTTAACTCTGAAGAGCCACTTAACGAGAGCATTTGAAAAGTTAAAAATTGAATACATACAATGTAATAATCAGATGTCCTTCACATCTCTGTGAGTGACTTAATGGGCTCAGGGATCCAGCGGTAATAAAAGAAGAACTTCCAGGGGAAGTTCTGAGTTTGCCAGAGGATGTGAGAAATACCCTTCCTGAGAGATATTTAAAAATCAGTTCATGACCCATCAATCTGGAAGGATTCTGAGGAAGCCTGCTGGGGTTGGGGGGAAGATTCAGTAATAAGATCAACGGACAGTCTTCCTGCCCTGAGGCTCCGAGACCCTGCAGACAGCCCGCTCACAAGTCTGTGCAGGGGACTGTGTGGCATCATGGCTTTGCATTCGTTGATTTTATCTTTTGCAAGATCCCTGGTATAATGAGATGTTTAAAACTGTTCTAAGTTTCAGTTGTTATTTTTATTCCTAAAGGGAACAAGAAAGAGAAAGAAAACAAAATCATATTTGTACAAAAGAATCTTATCTCATAATTTACAAGCAGAATATATATTTATATGTATAAATACATATATATCATTGAATACATGTGTTATGCTACTATTTTTCGCATATTGTAGCTATAAAAAACAAACCATATGTCATTACATTTATCCAACCTCTTGCTCATCTGGAAAGACTTTTTTTCTTCAAGCTTCTAAGAGTCTTTAATGTGAACCAATTAAAACATTGCAATTTTTTAAAGTCTTCTGTAAAAGGAAGTAACTTCAGCCATTAGAAAATTTAAAATTTGGAGTCTGTATACTAAGAAAATGCAGAGAATGCAAACCTGAGTTATAAATACTTTTTCTTGTTCATTATACCTTGTAGTAAGACTTACCCCCTGCCTGAAACTTACTCAGTATTGCCAATTTGTATTTTATCAGATGTATTATCAAGATATGCCCAGTGTTCTGGTGAAATTGAAATGATATAACCATAGAAGGGAGGATAATTCATAAAGCCATCTAGGCTATTACCCTATTTTAAAGCAGAGATTTATTTAATGTATTACAATTCATTGTTTGGCTATTTTATTTTTCAAACCTGGAGAATAAATTTCTACATTTCCATTTTGCAATAAATGACCAAAATAATTTATTTCTGCGGTCAGAAACATTTCTATGGCCAGAAGTATTTCATATCTGCGTTCTAGTCCTGGCTCTTACTGAAAGGTAAATCATTTCTTTGTTGCCATGTTGTCAGAAGATGTAAAAACTGACTTTTCACTTCCATCTTAATAAAAATTCTTTTCTCCTCATAAAGCACCGTCGACTAACCATAAGTCTTTTCTAAGGCTGAAGAATGATAGAGTCTCCCTTTTTTTCTTATATGTCTAGTCCATGATTGCCAGCATTCTCCTCCATAAATACTTATCAGCAAAACTCTAGAGGTCGAAGATCATGGCTTTTACACCTTTGTTTGCTTATTTATTTATTTATTTATTTATTTATTTATTTTTGAGACGGAGTCTTGTTCTGTCGCCCAGGCTGGAGTGCAGTGGCGTGATCTCGGCTCACTGCAAGCTCCGCCTCCCGAGTTCGCGCCATTCTCCTGCCTCAGCCTCCCGAGTAGCTGGGACTACAGGCGCCAGCCACCAAGCCAGGCTAAATTTTTTGTATTTTTAGTAGAGGCGGGGTTTCATCGTGTTAGCAAGGATTGTCTCGATCTCCTGACCTCATCATCTGCCCGCCTCGGCCTCCCAGTTTGTTTGCATTCTTTCCCCACAAATAATGGGCAAAACTCATAGCGGAAAAAAGGGTGATGCAAATAATATCTTAAAAATGTATTTGATTTATTAAGCATCAATTTGCCTCTAATGTTTTTATGGACACTTGTTCTAATAAATGTATTGTTGAAGACAGTTGACATTGATGAAAAGAATCAAATAAAAATTATAAATTCAGAGACACATTTGACCAAACACCCAGGGTAAAGTGTAATAGTCATTCCTTCCATTGGTTAGCACATAGCTTCAACTACTGATTAGTTCGTTACTTTTTTGATATCTCACCTGGAATTCATATACAGATTTAATTGTAGGCAAAGATTTAAAAATCATAATATGAGAGCCAGTATTTTTTACAATTCAGAAATGAGGATCAAGCCGCCTAAGAATAGAAGTAACTACCATTTCCTGAATATGTACTAAAGGCAAAGCTGAGTATATTATTCTCTAATACTCAAAATACATAACGAGTTCAATATTTTTGCCTTCATTTTACAAATAACAAGACAGGGGCTTAGAACAGGCAACCAAGTTGCTTAAAGCCATATCTGGGTCCGAATACAGGACCCCACTACTTTGTAACCTTTCTAGAGTAAGGCTTTGCAAAGTAGTCCTGGGAGGACTTGCAAAATCTCCTCAAATCAGCTTTGACTGCTGTCTAAATCTATTCAGAACTTCCAGATAGCTAAGATAGCAAGACATCTAAATGCTAAACAGTTGATGATGGAAGTATTTTTGGGCTTAGTTTTTAAAAAATGTATGATTCAGTAGTTTTTAGTATGTTCAGAATGCTGTGTCACCATTACCGTTATCTAATTTCAGAACTTTTTCATCACCCATAATAGAAACCCCATACTCATCAGCAGTCACTCCCCCTTGCCCTCTTTCCGAGCTCTTGACTACTGATCTACTTTCTCTGTATACACATTTGCCTGTTCTGTGTATTTTATATAAATGGAATCACTCAACATATAATCTTTTTTGTCTAATGTCTTTTATTTAGCATAATCTTCTCAAGGTTCATCCACGTTGTAGAAGGAATCAGTACTTCATTCTTTTTACGGTTGAAATGATTCCATTGTATGCTATTTACCACATCTAGTTTACCCATCTATCAGTAATGGACATCTGGGTGGTTTCCACTTTGGGGCCATTATGAATAATGCTGCTGGGAACATTCATGCACAAATTTTTGTCTGGACTATGTTTTTAATTCTCTTGGGTAAATACCTAGGAGTAGAATCGCTGGCTTATATGCTAACTCTATGTTTAACTTTTTGAGGAACTGCCAACTGCTTTCCAAAGCGACAGTGGAGATTCTGTTTTTTAAGAATCAGATCCACGAATTTTGGATATGTCACACGATTGACTTTTTCTTCCTTTTCAACAGCTACAGATTTCAATGAGGACAATAAAGGAGCATAAGATCGAGAGGTCAGTGGTGGGGCAGGTCTTGGCAAGGAGGAGAGACTATGCTTTTTGTTTCCTCTAGACTGAATTGGAGCGTCAATGAAGAGGCAAGATGAGGCTGGATGTTGGAAAAAGTCTCCTTGGAAGAGCTGCTCTGCTGAGTGCAGTTAAGCAGAAAACTGAAAGATGAAAATGTAGGGGTCAGAAAAGGGATTTTCTTATATGACAGGTTTAAGTGTTTTGAGTGCTCATGGGGTGTAAGATGTAGATCTGGAATAAGTGGCGGGGGTGGGGTAAATCCTATGGTTTCCTCTGTGCTTTGTACAGAGACATAGTGGTGTGAGTGGCAACTGGGTAAAATAAGTGTAACTTCAATTTTAATTTTTTTCTTTCATTGAGAATAAAAATATTCCTCTTATTGGCAACAACAATGGATCAAAATAGATTTTTCTAAAGCACCTAAGAGCCTAATATCCTGGACTAGTATATTCTCTTATATCAGATATATCAGTAGGAATATCATATTATTCCTACGATCTAGGGATAATGCAATAATTATTATGGATTATTTATTCTGAAAATTATTACCAATAAAATTTTTAAAAGCATTTTTTAAAAAATTATTGAGGTGACATTTACATAATAAAATAAATCCTTTTAAAGTGAACAATTAAGTGACATTTAGTACATTTATGTGTGCAACCACCACCTCTATTAGGTACCAAAACAATTCCATAATTTCAAAATAAAAACCCATATTCAGTAAGAAGTTTCTCCTCACATCTCTCTCCCCACACCCAGTGGCAACCACTACTTTGAACTCTGTCTCTATGGATTTACGTGTTCTGAACATGTCACGTAAATTGAATCATACGGTAGGTTTTTGGGTCAATGCATTAGAGATTCATCCATGTGGTAGTACATGTCAGTACGTCATTACTTTCATGGTGCAATAATATTCTGCTGTATGTATATACTACAATTTGTTCATCCATTCACCCATTGACGGACATTTGGGCTATTTCCGCTCTTTGACTATGGTGAATAATACTGCTGTGAACATGTTTGTACATGCATTTGTTTGAGTACTTCTTTTCAATTCTTTTAAGTATATATATATATATATATATATATATATATATATATATATATATGTAGGAGTGGAACTGCTGAGTTATATGGTAATTCTATGTTTAACTTTTTAAGGAGCTGCTAAAGTGTTTCCCACAGTGGCTGAAGCATTTTACATTCCCACCTGCGATGCACAAGAGTTCCAGTTTCTCCACATTCTTGCCAATATTTATTTTTTGTTTTTTTCTGGAATTGTTATAGCCATTTTTGTTGGCATAAAGTTGTACCTCATTGTGGTTTTGATTGGTATTATCCTCATGACCAAGGATGCTGAGCATCTTTTCATGTGCTTGTTGGACATTTGTATGTTTTCTTTGGAGAGATGTCTCTTCAAATCCTTTGCCCATTTTGAAATTGTGCTGTCTGTTTTCTTATTGTTGAATTGTATGTGTTTTTAATATATTCTGGATACAGAACCCTACGAATAAGTTTATATTTGTATATATGTAAATATGTATGTATTTTAATGATAAATTATGTAATTTAATGATAAATTTTAATGATAAAAATTATTCATTTCAATAAATTATAAATTTTAATAATTACACTCATAGTTTCCATGACTTTACTTTCTTTCTGGAAAATATGACACAAGGATGATTTGAATATTGAGTTGCTATTTATAAAGTTTATTATAAAATTTTAATACTTTGATAGTGATAGATTCCTAATTTTTGTTAAGAGAAAAACACATGCAGAAGGCTCTAAGTGTACATCAAGAAACTGATAGTAGGATTTCCTCTAGCAGGTTTCACTGAGCACGGCTTCTTCATCAAAGAAGATTATGTCAACAATATTTTATGACTCCTGATACTGTAACTTGAAAAAGTAAATAGTGAAAGTACTCCGGATATGTTGGAAGTTCTTTTGCAACCTGGAGGTACGTGTGTGACTCTCTGAAACCATAAATTGATAGCCAGTAACTAAAAATGTGGGGGGGGGAGACATAAAAGGCTTTGTTTTTGTTTTTGTTTTTTAAGACAGAGTCTCGCTCTGTGGCCCAGGCTGGAGTGCAATGGCGTGATCTCAGCTTACTACAACCTCCACCTCCCAGGTTCAAGTGATTCTCCTGCCTCAGTCTCCCGAGTAGCTGGGATTACAGGCATGCGCCACCATGCCCGGCTAGTTTTTGTTGTTTTTTTTTTTAGTGGAGATGGGGTTTCACCATGTTGGCCAGGCTGGTCTTGAACTCCTGATCTCAAGTGATCCACCTGCCTTAGCTTCCCAAAGTGCTGGGATTACAGGCATGAGCCACTGTGCCTGGCCATAAAAGACATTTTACCGGTAATCTTCTAAATTGTAATTTTTTGTTCTTCTAAAGACTTAGTCTAGAGGAATAAAGCCTCAGGTTTACACACTCGTTGTTCCTTATTTCTGGAGCCTCTGCTTTGGCAGCCTGGGTGCAGCTGGCATGACACACTCAATGCCAATTTGGGGACCATCCCTATGTGATATCTTGCAAGTGTCCCCCACCACCCTGCCCCATCTGTAGTTCCACGGTCATGGTGTGGAAGCTGGCAGGAGAGCAAGTGTGGGAAGACACAGTGCAGGGGTGACATTGGTGAGAAGACATCAAGAAGCAGCAGCAACAAGTGGAGGAGAGTCCATGGGAAGACTGGAAAGCCAACGCCATTTAGAGTTCAGTCATGAACTGGATTTCCATATTGATTGGCTTGTCTGGACATACACACAATTTTGCTGGGGCCAGAAACAAGATGTAGACCCTGTAGAAGTTATTAAGTTACAGAGGGAGGCACAAAACTTCAGCTTCAAAAGCAACCTTCAAATGTTTGTTTAGCAGTCACTTAATGGTGACTTCATTATGTGTACTTGAATTCTAATAATGGCTTATAAGGGCCTGCTATTAGGGTTGTGTTTACTTATACTCCATTATATATTCATTATTTGATTAGTGACATTAATAGGTAACAAACCTATCTGAAAAGGCATTCCACATATTTCTTCTAGAATACCTGAGAAGAGTCACTGCCACTGTGGTACAGAAACTGTATGCCAATTCAGTTGGCATGCAGGGAGTAATTGAATTGACCTGGATATATGGAATCTTGGGTGAGTACTATAACTTAAACCTCATTTTCCTAGTCAGAAATACATATATTTTAATTTCTAATTTACAGAGTTTCAAAAATTAAATGGAAGAATATATACGGAGCACCTGGTATACAATTCACATCCAAAAGAAAGCAATCAAATTATTCCTTAAAATAGAAATTGATACACACAGCCCAAATCTGGCATCCAGATGAGTTTCCTTTACTCATAAATTAGTGGTCAAGGGTTCAAAATTAAGAGGGAATTTCCATTTAAAAATCCAGTTTTCCGGTTTCTCTTGACAAAAATCACAATGTCTGGCAACACCATATTTCCAGTGGCAGCAGTTTGAGCCAGTAGTTGTTATCCCTTTAGTGCAGTCACCAGCTCATTAGAGTCCCAGCCTTATTTTACCAGGAATCTCCTTGACCCGTTTCTTGGTTTGCTTCATTCGTTCTGATCACCTGCCTGGACTCAGTGGTTCTTGAGATTGGGAACTCTACTCTAAGACTCCTGTTACATTTATCCAATGCAAGATCTTCAGCTATAAATTTAACTCATATAAAATACGTTTTATGAAATAAGATGTTGGATGGTGATGGTGATGGCAATCCCTTTGAAAATGTTATTTCCGGGCATGGTGACTCACTCCTGTAATTCCAGCACTTTGGAGGCCGAGGCAGGTGAATCACTTGAGGTCAAGATTCGAGACCAGCCTGTGCAACATGGTGAAACCCTGTCTCTACTAAAAATACAAAAATTAGCTGGGCGTCGTGGTGGGCACCTGCAATCCCAGCTACTTGGGAGGCTGAGGCAGGAGAATCGATTGAACCTGGGAGGTGGAGGTTGCAGTGAGCCGAGATCATGCCATTGCACTCCAGCCTGGGTGATGACAGCAAAACTCTGTCTCAATAAAATAAAATAAAATAAAATAAAATACAATACAATACAATACAATAAAATAAAATAAAATAAACTTTTATCATATGACCATCAAACAAGGTGCCATGATGGGTCCCTGCCCTCACTTTTACTGCCTAAATAGTTAGAGACAACACTTCAACCTCAGTGTTTCTAAGGGATCTATGGTTGCCATCCAACCAAATATTTCCCACACCAACCCCATAAATCTGGCCTCAAAAGAGATCCATGAGACCTCCATATTGAGAGAAACCACTGTAATCCCAGCAGATGTTGAGATCCAGGGGAGAAAATAGTAAATGAAAACACAGGATTGACTCCTATTATTTAACCTACAGGCCTCCAATTGTGGAAGATGATTTAAGGATCAGGAATTGCGTTGCACTATGCCCTAAAGGGACACAGAAGAATTCTTAGGGCTTGCAAATGTGATTTGAAAGCCAAGGATCTAGCCTAGTACCTGTGGCATGCAGGGAGTAATTGAATCTCAGGAAGAGAAGGTGCTTGCCCGAATTACAAGAATTAGAACTCAGTTCTCTTGAATCTGTTTGGCAACTTTGCAGGTGCACAGGACTACATTCAGTTGCATCAATGGGATACTAGGAAGTTCAGTTCACCCATGTTGAATGATCAACTAAAAAATATGATCTAAAATGCACAGCCTTGACAAGAGATATTTCACTGATTTATTTTTCATGAGTCCAAGTTTACAATACAATCTGAATTTAAAAGAACCAACCAAACCAACCAACCAAACTTTCAGGGTTTGAACATATAATCTGATCAGGAGACAGAAACAGAATAAGCATGGGTATCCTTGTTTTATAATGTAAAAGAAACCACTACTACTTGAAACATACTTATTAAGCAAAATGTATTTTTAAAAACTAGTGTTGTTTTTAAAATAAAAGCTGCTAGAGTAATCAATCACATTCCAGATATTTATTTGTCATTTTCCAGCCTGAACATTTGTGCCAAACTTCCTCAGCCTGCAGTGTCCCGGTGGTGATTCATCTAGAGGCAGCAAGTATCTAAGTTAGGACAGTGAAGTAGGCTGTGTTTCCATTTCCTAATCCAAATTATTTTTGTTTCAAAGACAAACTTCTTTTAGATCTCTGGCTAAAATTCTTGTCCTCCCTAACCTTATTCTCCTGACCGGGACACCTGCTGCTCAGGGATTTTTCTTTCTCTTTGCTTTGAGGAGGACAACAGCAAGTTCCTATTATATACTAAGTTTCAGAAAGGGCATGATCTGTACCCACTGCCAGATTACACATCAGGATTCCAGTTTCATGGGCTCTCTCATCCACAGAATGTGAGGATACATTCAGCAAATATTGATTGAGGTCCTCCTACATTATTCTAGGTACTGTCTAGATCCTGGAGGCAGAGAGGTGAAAAAAAATAGACAAGCTCTCTGCTCAGAGGGAGCTTGTACTTGAATGGGAGAAATAGGGAACAACCAACACAAACGTAAATCAAAGAATTTCTGATGCTTCTAAGTGCTATCAAGGAAACAAGATTAAATAATGTGGTTGGAAGTCTCTGGCTGTGGCAGAAGCAATGTGAAATCCAATGATCAGGGAAATTCCCTCTGAGGCAATGACACCTGAGCTGAAACCAAATGAGGAGACAGCCAAGTGAAAAGCTGAGAAAAGATGTTCCAGACCCTGGCACAGAAATAAGTTTGGCCTACACAAAATCCACAGATGAGACCAGGGTGGCTGTAGTTTGATAGGTGATGAGAGAGCGGTGGAGACAGGGCCAGAGAGGACGGCCACTGTGGTGCTTTGCAGGCTTCACAGGAAGGTGGGTAAATTTACTGCCCATGTCCTTCAACTACACATTGCCCTGGCAGTTTGTCTTTCTCAAAGGTGTTTCAATCACTGCTATCAAATATTAGACTCCTTAGACAGGTGTTGAGTGAGACACAAGGATGAACAACTCATTTAAGATAAGTACCAAGGAAGATGAACTTCCTTGGACATGCACGACTTCAATATTGGTTATTCCTAAAAGGCCACCTTGTTTTAGAAATAAAGACTCATGTATAAATGATCGAGGACACTTATACTACATTCCATGATATGGGAAAGAAACTATTGGCTTCCGACTGAGGCTATTAATTTCTTGAGAATTAGTTTATTGAAAAAACCATTAAAAAGTAGTTCATTTTATGCATCTAACAAACAGCTACAAAAGACTGTGTCAGACACTGCTCTACAAGTGATAACTACTTTAAAACAACAATCAATTCCATGGGGTAAGAACTGTTATTATCTCAATTTCACATATAAGGAAACTGAAACAGAGATAACTTATGAAAATTTATCAAAGTTGCATAGCTTATATATTACTGAACTGGGATTCAAACCAGATAGTTTCACTTTAACCTCCATTCCTTTACCCACTACAGTGCTGCCCCTAAAATGAGCTGTAGTGAACATGTTCTGTTTACAAGATTGACAAGTGAGCTATGTTGTATTTCATTTGAAAGAAAGAAATTTATAACATTGCAAAGTATTGCTTTAATCTTCTGAAAGAAATTAGAGAGCAGCATTGTTTCCTGTGTATGTACAAAGCATTTTATATATTAAAGCATCTTCACTTTTTAATGATCATTTCTCAAATTTGGAAATATAGTGTAGTATCAGTGGCGTATAAGGAAATTTTATCACATATCTAAAATGTTCTGTTGTTTTCATAGATATCTAAAAGGATGTTTCAATAACAAGCTTAATTTTGCAAATGGGTAGTAGTTTTTTTAACATACAAATCGCTTCTTAATATTCTACTGTTTCATTACGACACTTATTTCAAAAATTCACCTTCTGTAGCAGTGACAAAAGTTCCTGGCCCTAAAAATGAGTGACTAACAAAGATGTTCCTATCTTTGCTTGTCAACAAACAGTAAATATGAAAGAGGGAAGATGAGTTGTCAAGCCATTGTGGCATGACCTTACCTTGATTGTACCTCTCTCTTGTTCACACAATACTGATTCTCTATAACCACAGAGCAAAAGATGGAATGCTATACCAACGAGTATCTGTTAAAATATATACGTCAATACAATGTTTTAAGTAAGTAAAAATGGAGTATTAATTAGAAACCAATGGAATAAAATCAGACTGTTTTAGCTTGCCAAAGATGTTACCTGTGTGTCAAAAGAAGTGTTTATGACCAGCATGTTAGTATTGCATGCCAGTAATCTGAGCAGGTGGTCATTAGAGGCTTATGCTAGAAGCCAGATCGTTTTCCCCATGAATAGCTTGGTAAGGTCTAAGCACTTATTTCTTCCTGAATTAAAAATTATTCCACTTAGAATTGCCAAAGTACCTGTCCATAATGCCAAGGAAGTGTTTTAGCAGTTCCCCTTCACAGACTGAGAATGATTTACTGTGTTCAGAATTTTTCAATCTGTCTTATTGGATAAACTCAAAATATCTGCTTTATTGGATAAATTCAAAATCTCTGTTAGGTGCCTCCTTTCTTCTTTACAAACAGCATAATTGAAAGCATTGTTTTGGTAGAATCTTCTCAGAAGACCACATTATCACCATTTAAATTAGCCCCAATTCATTTTACATTTGCTTATTTTACTGTTAACTTTCCCAGAACTATTTTTTTTTTTACAATTAGAACATCTGAATTTTAATTACATTACCATCAAGAAGCTCATTAAAGTCACTTAATTGGCAACATTTCCAAAAAAACCTTAGCTGGGTTTAATATATTTTAAAGAGTTACTGTCAAAGTATAATTTCACCATTACAAACAGCTTGGCAACAACATTTGCATAAAGATCTGTCAGTTTCTGAAAAATGCTCAAATGTTGGGAAAATCAGATTCGTTAAGTCGCCTTTACTGATACAGTCTAGAAATGGAGAAATTGTCATATATATTCATCGTTGTAACCCCTCCAGTACCCAGAATACTACTGTGCACAGCATAGGTATTCAATAAATGTTTTCTTAAGGAAATAAATAATGCATTTTATAAATAAGGGTAGGTTTTAAAAAAAAATTTTTAAACTCCAATAAAAGTTCTCTCATTTGTGTTAAATTTAACCAAATACTCATTTGCTTGCTGCTTTTTTTCTTATTTACTCTAAGAAATATTTGATGGTCATCTAGAATTTTGAAACCTTTAAAAATAGCTCTCAGGCCAGCCGTGTGGGACTAAAATTTGAAATAATGTTTAGAAATTAATTGTTTTATGGCTTCCCTCTTACACTAGACTTTTTTTGAGGGGAGGTCTTACCTACAGTACCTAAAATAGTGGCTTGCAATTGCAGTCACTGAATGAGTGAATGAATGAATGAAAATCTTGTTTGTCATGTGTGAAGGATAATTATACTTTGCAGCTTTAATTAGGCTATTGGGATACCCCCTTTTCCATGTCTCATATCCAATAATAAAATGTGGTAAATGATAATTATTATTATACTCCAGCTTCCTAAAGATAGAAAAGGCAAGATATTTTTAAATCTTTCTTTTAGCTTGGCATTTTCTACTTAAAATCTCTCCCTTTTGTACTTCATGTACCTTTTATCTTTCTAGACAAAATAAGAATCTAATAAAGCTTTATGAAAGGTGAACACTTAAAAAACTGCCATGCAAGTTGCTGCCTTGCTCTTACTACATCCTCAAAGTCTTGCACAGTGTTTGATATACAATCAGACTCAGTAAATGTTTGTTGAATGAATGAATGAATAAATAACTGAAAACATATTTACAGTTTTGAGGAAGACCTGGGAAATTCTACCTGAGGGGGTCAGGGAAGGCTTCATCAACAGTAATGTAGAAAACCTGAATCTTCCATGAACACAAAGGTATTCATTAATTCAACAATTGGTGAATTTCTGTGATATGCCACATTCCAAGACAAGGGTGGTGAAGATTTCTCTAGGGTAGCATTAGGAAGATTTTCTCTAAGGTAGCACTAGTGTGTTCAGCAGCACTTTCTGTGATGATGAAAATGTTCTACATCGACATTGTCCAATATGGTGCTGACTAACCATGTGGCTACTGAGCAGAGAAATGTGGCAAGTAGGACTGAAGAGCTGAATTGTAATTTTATCTAATTTTAATCTAAGGGTCTATAGAAGCTGGTGTCAGGAAAAGGGTTTGGAAAATATGCATGGGGACGGATCGTCAAGGGCTCTCTCTGTCATGCTGATTTTGAATATTATTTTTTAGGCAACGGAGAATCATCGAAGGGTTCTAAGTGGGAAAATGACACTATTAGTTTTGTCTCAGCAGTTCCCTCTGTGGCAGTGGGAGCAAAGGCCTGAGGCTGGAGACAACTTACTGCAGATCAATATTAGAATCCAGTTTTGCAAATGTCACAAAGGCAGAAAATAAGTTGGAGAAATAAGATTTTTGTTCTTTCTATTTGTAATGACCCTGTGGTATCCCTAGATAAAGTATTAGAAAATGACTGGTTATTTTTCTCTCCCTAGGTGGAGAGAGTGAATGATGAGAAAACTATGAGAAAATCTCTTGGGCTTGCTTCAGAGGCTGCTGTGTGCAGAACAGAGAGAGAAGGTGGTAGCTTACTCTGGTCCTCAGGGCAACAGCCATTGCATGGAGGAAGAAAAGAGGGGCTGTGGCCAGTCCTGAATCTGGGAAGGTGTTGTCCAGAATTCCTGACCACCACAGAACATCCCTTCCTGATGTGTGAGGTGGAGCTATGTGGCCTGAGTTAGGGGCAATGGTTTCAGAAAGCTGAAGTGGAAACAATGCTGGATTGGAAAAAGTCAGAAAACTCTAGAGAAGACTGCATTTGTGCTCTCTGTGGTCTTCCTGCTGTAATGTTCCAGGCCAGGATTGGTTCTTCTGGGTATAAGTCATGAGGGGATTCAACCTGCACCTGGAAAGAAGGTATCAAGCTAGGGATGGGGAGAAATTACCCAGGGCAATCCAGTGCTGGGGATTACACAATGAAAAGTCCCTTAGACAGCAGTGTGGTGGATACTTCCACCAACATTCATTCAGTAAATATCTTCTGGTGACCTGGTATGGATCTTTTAATTCTGAGGCAATCACAGAGATGGCAGGTCACCAGTAGTTTCTAACTGAAGGTGGTAGTAACTGGCAATGCATTGCTTTAGGACTGTAGGCATTACAGCTATTTTTTTCAATATGAACTTTATAATGTAGAACTAAGACCCCAGAAAAACCTCATAGATATAAAATTTTCCTCTCTAGCTATTGATGTCATTTTATTTACTTATTTATTTTTGTTTGGTTTGATTTGGTTATGGGTTAGCAATCTGAAAGCAGTTACCATTACTAATTCTAAAAATGGATTCAAAATAGGAACACTTCCAAATTAGAAGCATTTTTTTAAAAGGAGTCTGAATTCAAAAGTCTGACTTTATCTTTATCAAATGCTTTTGGCAATGTTGAAGAAATCTTCTGGGAGAAATGTAATAAACATTTCTTGGAGGGACAGCATAGAGTGCAAACATCTCAAACGTGATTCACTTGCATTTTCTGAACAATGCTTTTGCCTACTCTGAGCTGTTGGTTCCAGTATTTGGAGTTCTCATGACAGAAATCCAAAACCACTTCTAGATTCTTCTCCTCCATGACCACCCTAATGTTATTCATGCACTTGCTTTGCACAAACACCTCTTTCTGTGATAAAACCTGGAACCTGAAATCAATGAATACAGACAACACAATAGCACTTGAACTTCTGACTTTATTATTTTTCTTCAAATGAACAGGTGATAAAACACTGTGTCCAAAGCAAAATGCATGACTCCCTTTTCTCTTCTTTCACAGAGTACCAGAAAATGTAAACAATATTTAGCTTGAACTTCTGAGTCCTCATCTTTTTTTTAACAGCCTTTAGAACAACATTAATTTGTTTGTTTATACTAGCATTTTACAACATAAAAAATAAAATAAGCAAACTGTCTGAGGGGTTTATATAAGGTTTTCAGATTCTGATACAGGCTTGCATCTGCATCGTTTTTAGTCTGACAAAGAGAAACACTGCTTTAGGAAGTGGGTCATGTGGGTGTATAAGTGGTTCGTGGACAGGCCGGATAAGCCGTGGTTCTGGTCAGAGTACCACTGAAACACAAAGAAAAAAGCTTGTTTTATTCCTGCAGTCATCAAATGCATTTAGCTTGGACTTTTTTGTGCTCTCAGGACCTGATAATCTTTCTATTATGGGGAAACTGTACCTAAGAACACTCAAATAAGTAAAATAGCTTACATGTAAATATTTACAGCAGGAAGAGCTTTCGTTAACCTCCACTACTGTTTCACATGCTTTAAACATATTTTAGATCTCAGTGGCTGAGATCTCGCATCATCCAGCATCCTGGAAGATCAGGATCAGGCATCAGAGTTGCCAGAAGTGATGCACTGGGTCTGTTAATTTTGCTTCTTTGGAGTCTGGTTTCTTCATTTGAAAAACAAAGGGGTTGGAGTTGATTTTCCCTAAGATTCCTTGTAGCTCAAAAATTCCATGAGGCTTTCAGCCTGTGAATCTAATTCCTCTCTGTTGCAGAAAATCCACAATATAATGTATTCATATATAGCCATAAACACCCTTTATAGGAGTTAAAAATAGCATTTTTAAAAAGTGAAAGATAGTATTTTAACTTTAAACTTCACTCTTGGAGAGATACCACTAAGATTATTGCTTTCACTGAATAAAGGTATCAGTGGTCACGATGTAATAATATATATTTACTAAGTTGAATTTACTTTGGGGATCACAATAAAAAAGGTCAGAAAAAGCTCACCTCCCTCTTTGTATATTTTTAAAAATTTGATATATAATAGTTGTGTATCTTTTTGGGGGTACAGTGATATTTTGATAGCTGAATACAATGTGTAATGATCAAATCAAGATAACTGAAATACCCATCACCTCAAACAAATTTCCTTTTATGTTGGGAAAATTATAATTATTCTCTTCCAGCTATTTTGAATTATACAATCAATTATCATTGACCATAATTTCCCTACTGTACTTTCAAATACTAGAACTTATTTTTTTCTGTCTTTTGTACCCCTTAACCAACTTCTTCTTATACCCCCTCCCCCATTTCTTTCCCAGTCAGTACATTTTTTAAAAACAAATGTTGAAAAGATGGGGGTCTCCTTTTCGGGGTTCTTGTTCAACTTAAGCAATTGAGGGAGCATTTGTGAGAGGAAAAGGTAGCTACCAAGAATGCTGCCCCGCCCCCAACTTTGGCTTTCACTTTATTTTCTTTTCTGGTTCAATTTCTCATTCCTCAAGCAACCTGGATTTTACATTTAGCTAATTCATTCATTCACTCAGTAAGAAGCTGAGCATCTGTGATAAGCCAGGTGTATGCCAGGGGATGAGAATACATAGGTGAAAAGTTCTCTAACCACAAATGGAGCCATATGATTTCAGGGAGCCTTGGAGGTTTGTGATGACATTCTGCAACTGCTTCTTACTGAACAAACAGAATCTTCTAGCTGTTTAAGGATGCTCAGGTTTTGCAGGGACTCTAAGCATATAATTGCACTTATTCACATAGGATTTCAGAACTACTGGATGTTTGAACTAGAAGATCATTTAATCTTGTGAACTCCTTTATTTTACATGACTCAACTGGGAACACGAGAGGTGATCTGGTTTGCCTCGGGTCCTTCAGTAGTTAAAGAAAGATCCAAGATTCATTTGCTAATGTTCTGCCTACTCTATCCTGCAGCCTCTTTGTCAGATTTTACTTTAAAAGTTAAAAAAAATAAAAATATGAACCCCTCCTTTTAGCTTGAGGGTCTAAGGCCATGAACATGAGTAAAACAAAATTATGTACCATTGCCTGGAAATCCACTTGTGCATTAACCAGAGCTTTAGCAATCTGTGCTGAGTTTTGAAAGTGCACATTATCTGCAACAAAGAGAGAGAGAGTTAAAGTGCTGCTAAATACCAGAAAGCATAGAGTGACAATGTACTGCCTGGAAATGAACACCAACAATTATCTAGTCATGCATTTGACATTGTCAGCAGTGAGTAATCACACTCAGATATGGAAATGTCCCTGACTCTTAGGTACTGACCCTGAGCATAGGCATAGGAGGATGCTTAATGTTTCTTAAACAAAGTGATGCTGGCTCAGTATTTTTATGTGTAAGAGTCTTGCTTAAACCTCACCATCTGCTGTTCCGTGGATGAGAAGATAGTCTACATTTCTGAAATATTCTGCTCTTGCCATCACAGTTGAATTCTGGAAAAGAGAAAAAAATTAACATTTTAGTTGCTGCAAGTTCTAATAGAAAACTAGCTAAATCATTGTGCAATGGACTTAGCACCAATACTGAAATTATGTATTGCTTTGCTTGATAAATATTTAAGAGTCAGAGCAACACATTTTCATCATCATTTGCATTACTTCCATCTGATTCTTAGTTTGAAAAACTGAAAGTTTATGTGTCATATGTTACATATGAGTGAGACCTTAGGCATAAATGATGCCCGCTCAAGCTGTGTAGGGGTTGGGGGTGGGGAGGAAGATTGGGAAAAGAGAGGTTAGGGAAGGGAGGATGGGAAAAGAAAGAACAGAATCCAAAAGGAGTAAAACCCTTTCTAGTGATGTGTTTTGCAATTAACAAAAGATGATATTTGCTTGGGGGCCCAGAATTAAAACTGTAAATTCTGAACTACTGCTTTTAAGTTATTTAGCATATTAGAAATTAATTATTAACCTAAATAAAATGGAAACACTTACCTTATAGTGCTCAAGATTATCATCCTTTGTTGGGAGACCCATGAATCTCTCTGTGTAGACAGACGCTATAAAATATATGAGAATATGCATTGTTTGCATGTGATGAATGTCATTTCATTAACCAACAAGACCTTCTAGTTTAATAACTGTTTCTCAATTTTCCCATCTTGAGCTCTTGAGGTAAATTCTTGCTTTACTTTGCTATAATGGTTGGCCTCAAAGAATATGTGTCATCTCTGCAATTAGCCTCAATAGAGCTAGAGAAGTATGAAGGAAGAGATTATGGAAACAGGAGCATCTAAACATTTTCTTTCTATGACTATTCTTAATATTTTTCACTTCTACCCTCCTAGGGAAGAATGTTGAAGTAGGAATGACCTGTAGAATGGTCTCAATATATTTTAAAGAAAATCACAAATCCAGCCATCTTTAGGACTTTTACTGGTGTCTTATTTCATCTGGGATGAAAATATGTCCCTCAAATCTATTCCCCCTACACACGTACATAGATGCACACACTTTTTTTCTTAATCAAGATCCCCTACAAGTCACAATTGTTTTATTTCTGCCCCAATATAGAGGAGAGAATCTGATGAAGCTAATTTTTGTAAAATTATTAGAGTTATTTTGTATAATTATTAGAATTCCTTCCAAATAATCATCCTGCATTGATGTAATGATAAAAATAGGCACAAACAGGAGTATTTCTCCAACAAAGTTTTTGTTTCTTTGATTTCTGGAGCAATGGAACTGGCAATTGCTAACTGTGGCGTGGAGGTGAACTGCTTGGCCTCTGGCCTGACCGTGCTGAAGATGTGCTTAAAAGCCAATTATGCTGTAGCTGTGTGCCTGCAAAAACAGAGTTAGCTCTGATTTTAAAGATTTGGTTCGGCAGGGGCTCAAGGTTTCTGGGAGAAAATAAGATATAGTGGATTATGGATGAGCCTTTCCTCACTCTTGAGATTTCATTGATTGTTACAACATGTTTATAATAAATGATATAAACAACTTTGTTTATAAATTATATTTTCCCCAGTGATGCTGGGGTGAATTTTACTGCATAATCCATTTTTCTAGCAACATCAGATATAGAGTAATTACGTGTTAAATGCTTTCACAGTAACATTAATGAATGTTTCCATACCGTAATATTCCCAGCTGGAGACTGGAGCCACTGCTATACCACATTTGAAAAGACCAGTTCCAGATGCAAGGGCCAGTGATGAAACGTATCCTCCATAGGACTGTAGAGACATTGTTATGAGTCAGACTCAGATTTACTTTCATAAGCTTTCCTCCATATGTTTATAGCAACTCTACTCACAATCCGGACTGAAGGGAGCTGGAGAATATGGCTAAGGGTGGATTACATGTCTATCTTGCATCCTCGGCAGCAAGCTTCAGATAAATGACCAGACATAATGGTAATTTCTTCCCTAATTCATTAGAAATACTTGGTGTGCTGATCAGAACAGACCCTCTTAAAACATGGTAGGAGCAGTTTAAGAGATAGACAGAATTTCAATTTTCTTTTGCAAAAAAAAAATTCTCATTTTTTTCTCTATATCTTTCCAACTAGGACCATGCTGGAACAAAAACAAGATTTTACTTGAAAGAGATGCACAGAAAAAAAATTACCAAAATTTAAATGTAAGATACATCCTCGCAGTTTGCAAAAGTTCTGTGAGGCAGAACATGTATCTTTGTATTTACTTATTTATTTTCACAACAGAATACCAAAGGAAGGCCATAAGAACTTTTTGGATAATTTAAGACATGGCCATAGTTTGTGTATGTTGTAGTGGTACATGTTCTAAGGATTTCTGACATAGCAGCTCAAAGGAGGAAAAGTCATTGGTGTCTTTAAAAACCTTATATTTCTTCCTGCAAATTTAAGGAAAAGGAAATAAATACAAAACAGGATGCAATTTGCAGAGTCAGGAGTAAGTTTAGCTCTCATAGATTTTCTTCTCCAAGGAATCAAGAGGTGATTCAGAAATGGGATCCTGTTAAGAGAAAGAGATCTCTGCCCATGTCACATGGAAATTTGAACCTTTTCTTAAATATGAAGAAATGAACAGGGCATCCAAATAAGGTTGCACTGCCTCGTGAGAAGCAAGTTTGGTCTGTACAAACATGCTGTGAGAGAGGTGCTTCTCCTGGGAACGTGGACTAAGCAGTTGTCTGGGACATGGACCAAAAAAAAATGTGTGCACTAGATTAGGAAGTGACTCTCTGTGTTTATTCTTGCCCTGATGCAAGAACGTCCCTAAAAATCATAAGGGGACAGTGTGACTCTCCAGCTAAAGCCATACCATGTTTTTAGGACCTTATGACCACAGATTTCTGGGAATCACTTCCCTCAGATCAGGATAGATCATATCATCTTTACCAGAGAAAGTCATTCTTTAGACAGGGAGAATGAGTGACAGTGTGAGAAAGAGAGAGAGAGAGAGGTAGACAGACATGGTGCTGGTAATAGGTCAGTGGCAGAGGTCTATTTTTAATTCATGAAATGCATGGAATGGGAGAATCAGCTAAATAATCTTGCTGAATCTAACAGTTAAATGAAGAATTCTCAAACTAATTTACAGTTCTTTGTTTTTAGCTCTGGGGTATTTTATTGAAGACCTTTAGCTACAAAACACAGAATAAAAGAGGGGGCTCAGATTGTACCATGGCCTCTTTTTATTATACTTGGAGGAGAACTGAACCATGTTTTAATAGGGAAAAAGTATATTTTAAAAACAGAAGATACATTTGGGTTTGAAAATCCTTATTGCAAGTGAAAATTCTCTGTCTGGTTTAAACTTTCACTTATAATTTAAAAAAATGACTTATTTTGATTAGCAGGTTTGCAGCAACTCCTGCTGAAATGGGAAGGCTTTCCTTCCTTCTGAATTTCAAGTTCAAATGAGAGCAGAGTAAGCCAGAGACCTTTAGAAAAAAATTATTATCATTTATGGTTTTATTGGCAAAGTGTGTTTACTGCAAGTAAAAATACTGGGTCCTGCTTCTCCTTTCCTATGCCCCAGAGAAGGAAATAAAGTGAGACTTGACATTAAAATAAAAGCCTTTGTATATCATGAAAAGGTTTTTGAATATTTCTGCTAAAAATCTTAGGAATTATTAATCTGTATCTATTCAGTCATTGGGTGATAGTGTTGTATTTAAATAAAGCTTTCCTGTTTTCAGAATGAATATAAATTTTCTCTGGGAATTTGTAAGAGCAAAAGCGACTGTATCAGCAGCACAACAAAAGAAGGTGTACTTTAAATTCTCGGGCAGCTTGGAAAAGCTATTCCTATTGTAGAAATGAAGAGGGGGAAAAAAGAAAACCCGAGTTGACTTTTTCCTGCCCCCCCTCCATGAGTGGGGCTCCCAGGCAGAGTGGGTGGCTGTTGCAAGAAAAGAACCCACAGAGCAGATTGGCCATGAGAATTCTGGAATTTTGTCCTTTGCACTTAGACGCCTTGCCATTTTGTTTAAATGAGGGATATCTTTAAAAACATTCTTAGAAGGGCACAGGATTTTGAAGGAGGGTTTACGAAACACTCTTATTTGAGGCATAATGCACACTGGAACATTTTACCTATAGGCAATAATAATAACTAGCTAACATTTATGTGGTCAGGGTTATTGCAATGGCCTTTATGGTCTCACACAATCTGTCTCCATTCTCCCACCTCACTTCTCCCCTTCCTTTCTCTTCCCCTTGCTCACTGGCTCTCTTGACGTTCTTTGAACTCTCCAAGCATGATCTGGCCTCAGGACGTTTGCAAATGCTGTGACCTTCTGCCTGGAATGCTCTTTCCACAGACACTGGCATGCCTCACTTCCTCTCCTCTTCAAAGTCAAATGTCATCTCAAATGAGCCTTCTTTGCCATTCTGATTTAAAATTGTACCAACTTGCACCATTCCTCTTTCTTGTTTTGTCTTTTTCCATAGCGCTTAACGTCATTTAACACTCTCTATATTTTACTTATTTATCTTGTTTATTGTCTTTCTCTCCAACCATTCCCAACTCCATAAGGGTAGATATTTTTGTCTGTCCTGTCAATGAATGTAGCCCAGCACTGAAAATATGGCCTGACACACAATAGGAATAGAATAAATATTTGTTGAGTATATGACTTTGCTATTACTTTGTGCAATCCTCACGGTGTCTTGGTGAGGAAATTATTGCTGCATTTCACAATGAGGAAACTGAGGCTCAGAGTAAACTTATAGTGGCTATGGAGTCAGTAAGCAGCAGAGCTGGGACTCAAACTCAGGACACTTGTCTCAGCAACCCATGCCCCTTCCTCTGTATCCCTATACTTAGGGCAACCTCTTTCGGGGAAACTGTAAGTTCAGAGTCTAATATAGTCTCATTAGAGGTGCATTTGTCCTACTTTTACATCGTTGATCACACATAGCAATTCAAATTACTTATAATTAGTCACTGGGAGAGAAAGGAACTAAGATTAAATCATGAACTAATGCTTATTCAACACCACCTGGCTAGGCCTATATTAACAAAGCGAAGCCCAGAAATGAGGCTGTTATTCTAATAATTTAAGCAAAACCCTCGCTGCTCTTCAATTGTCAGAATAATTGTGTTGAGTTTTCATTGCATATCAGGGTTTTGCAACTCTGACACTATTGACAGTTTGGGATGGATAATTCTTTGTTATAGGGGGCTGTCCTATGTATCACAGGATGTTTAACAGCATCCCTGGCCTCTACCCACTAGATGCCAGTAGCACTCCCCCAGCGTGACAATTAAAAATGCCTCCAGACGTTGTCAAATGTCCCAAGGAGCAAAATCGCCCGGTTAACAACCACTGCCATAAACTGATACTTCTTAGGCACTGTGGTGGGCACATAGTGAATATTTATCAAGGGACTAAAACCAGGGCTAGTGGGCTTTGTTTTATGTGAGCCAGAAAATGAAAGGGGAAGATAAAAGGGTTTATTCCCCATTTCTTGAACTCGATAATGGAGAGTAATGTGGGATTTGGAGCTTATTGACCAATTGACTCCAAAAAATTTTGTTGGGTGCGATGTATTTCCCAAACTCCTATACTGTCTAATACTTCATGGAAACACATATATTCTTCCCTAATACAAAACGCAATAAGAGCTAAGTAAACCTCATGGTAATTTTCAATGTCTTTCTCTTTTCCATCTCCAATTTCCCACAGGTCCCTGCTTATTATATTGTATAAGAGCACACACAGATATGACCTCTTCCAACTGCTACTTCACTGACTAATTCAGGCCTTTGATATCTGTCCCTGGTATTACTACTCTCCTAGCCCCTTGGCCCATCCTCTCCCCAAATCTCAGATTATCCTCCACTTTGCAGCCAAGATTATCTTTCTAAGACACCAATACCTTGCCCTATTGACTTCAAGAGCACTTTAAAAATTGATGTCCATAGAAAACATTGTCAATATGTGTTCTGGGATGGTGGAGGAATAAGGAATTGTGGAATCAAATACTTTTTGGTAATACTGTGTTAAACAAAACTTGACAGGTTTTTTTTTTTTTTTTTTTGCTAGTCTTTCTAGAGCCTATATACACTATTACATAGAATTTGTGATTTGCCAAATTATTAGACTATAGGACATTTTCCTGAAAAATCTCCTGGTACTAGTGGGACACATTTGAGGGGAGACATTGATTTATAGGATTAAAGTCAGTTTAAACAACATCATAGATGCTTGCTGTGGCCAAGCATTGTGCTAAACAAACACAATTCTAGCTTTGGGCTCAGAAACAAAGCTAAAATGAGACACAGTCCATTCCTTTGATGAACTTACATTCTTATGAGAGAAACTAACAGACAGACAAGACACAACATGGTAATTCCTATAAGAGAAATGCAAAGAGCTACTGGAGCACAAAGAAAATAATATGTAAGTTGAATCTTAAAGAGCAAGTGTGAGTTATCCATTTGGGAGTGAGGAAAAGGTGGGGAATGGAAGAAGAGAATGGACATTGCAGATGCGAGAAATAGCATGTACAAAACATGGGAACAAGGAAGCACAGATCTATCTATCTATCTATCTATCTATCTATCTATATATATATATATATATATATTTTTTTTTTTTTTGAGATGGAGTCTCGCTCTGTTGCCCAGGCTGGAGTACAATGGTGCAATCTCAGCTTACTGCAACCTCTACCTCCCGGGTTCAAGCAATTCTCCTGCCTCAGCTTCCTGAGTAGCTGGGATTACAGGCACATGCCACCATGCCTGGCTAAGTTTTGTATTTTTAGTAGAGACGGGGTTTCGTCATGTTGGTCAGGCTGGTCTCGAACTCCTGACCTCGTGATCTGCCTGCCTCGGTCTCACAAAGTACTGGGATTACAGGCATGAGGCACCACTCCTGGCCATAATTTAAATTACTTAAGGTACAGGGAGAAGTGGCAAGAGATGAGATTGGAAAACTAAGCTGGAGTCAGACTGCCAAAGGCCTTGCATGCCAGGAAAGGTATCTGGGCTTTGTGTTGCAGGCAATGCAGAGTCCTATAAAATACATAAGCAGAAAAGCCACACAGTAAAAATTGTTTTGGAACGATAACTTCATTAACCACATTGGAGCTTGTGAAGCCAAAGCAGGAGGACAGGTAAGAAGCAATTAGAATAAATTGAAGTGCGAAACCTGTGGTCCATGGACCCAAACATCAGCATTACCTGGGGTCTTGTTGGAAATGCACTCTCAGGCCCCACCCCAGAAGCACAGACTCAGAATCTCTGGTGTCTTAACAAGCTCTCCAGGTGATGTTTGTGCAAGCTAAAGTTTGAGAATTTCTGGCTTAAATTACAAATGGAGAAACTCAAACTAAGGCAGTGTCAGTAGGGATGATGAGAACAGACTTTGATGTTTAAAGGTAGAATTGACAGAACTTACTAATCAATGGAATGTTGAAGTCAGGAACAGGAACAGGGGGAGGTTGAAAACAGCTCTCAGATTTCGAATTTGGGTGAATAAGTGTGTGGAGAAGCCTTAATGAAGATTAAGACTTGTTTTAAAATAGGCTTTAACAAGTTTACCTTAGGCGTAAGTTAAGTTTGAGGTCCATGTGAGACATGTGGGAGAGATGATCAGCAGGCATTTGAAACATGGAGCACAGAAGAGAGGTGTGTGCTGGTGCCAGGGATCTGGAAGTCATCATCATCTTTGACACCACAAGGGTTTGCCGAAGGAAAGGAAGACTAATGAGGGTCAAGGCGAGATCCAGACCCAGAAAAACACCAATACTTAAATAATAAATGGAGGCCGGATGCGGTAGCTCATGCCTGTAATCCCAGCATTTTGGGAGGCTGAGGTAAGTGAATTGCTTGAGCCTAGGGGTTTGAGACCAGCCTGGGCAACATGACAAAATCTTGTCTCAAAAACGAAAAAAGGAATATTAGCCAGGCGTGGTGGGATGTGCCTGTAATCCCAGCTACTCAGGAGGCTGAGGCGGGAGAATCGCTTGAACCTGGGAGGCAGAGGTTGCAGTGAGCCGAGATCGTACCACTGCACTCCAGCCTGGGCAACAGAGAGCAATTCTGTCTCAAAAAAGAAAAAAAATAAAAAAGGTGTAACAATCATAGAGGCACAGAAGAATGAAGAGAAAGGTGTCACAGGCATGCACAAATCCCTCTCCTTTAGGTGGCCTAAAGACTATTATCTGTATACTTGCTTATTCAGACTCATTTTCTATACTTTCCTCAAGATACTTTAGACTTTTGAAGTTTCAGGCATCCCTGGCCAGCTCAGTCTCCCTGTGTGCACCATGCTCTTTAACTCAGGTCCTGGGCAATGTGGTTTTCACTCTGCCTGGAATGCTCCGTTCCTCAGCTATCTTCACCAATCTCAAATGCTAACTTATTTTGGAATCCTCCCTTAGCTCCCACAGCCATAATTATCCACTCTTGTCCCCCTGTACTCCACAGCGAGTTGCATCTCTCTTAACACTTGGAAGATTGCTGAGCCATTGCTTATTTTGTTGTCTGTTTCCCCCACAAGAGGGCCAGGACTACGACTTACTCATCTTTTCATCCCCTAAGGAACCTAGTACAAGACCTTGTAGAAAATGTACTATGTAGATGAAAGAATGAACAAGTCAGTGATTAGACAGATGGATTAATAAGCATCTTAAACCTGAAGAGCTGATTTTAAAACCCAGTATAGTATTAATGTCTTTATCCACATACTAGTTCCTTCTGCTCAGATGTTATATCACGTGGCAGCCCATTTCTTACTTTCTTTGCTCAAATTTGCTCTGAGTCGACCTCACAGTCATTACCATGTTGGAAAGTAAGCAATTGACGGGTGGGGGTTCTAATGTACTATTTCAGTGGCATTTGCCCAACTAGATGTGGTGAGAATCTATTATTGAAGAATTTCAGGCTGATAGGGATGTATTTTTGGGTGATGAGTGGGTTTTTAGAAAATCATCCCACGTAGATGGTTTTCTACCAAACTAATACCTAGAATGTTCTATAAATAAAATAAAAAGTTCTACTTTATGGTTATTTCAAAGCCTGCAGCAAAAGCAAAGTCCAACTCTAAGAGAAATGTTAATGATTACATGTACATGTTCAACTTAAAATTAGAATCTTTCAAGGATTTGCTTTAGGAAACTTTATAAAAATGGATGATAGGGAAGGTATTATCTGGAATATTTCACTATAGAAATATTTCATTTATTTCTACTCATTTGAATTTCATTCTGTTTAGATATTTAACATTTGATAGTTTTAAGAAGGACCAAATGGCTTGAAGTAACAACTTTCTTCAAATTCCTAACAGCTCTTCATCTGGTCACTGAGCTGAGTGGAGCTGAATCTTGCAGATTCCCTTCAATATTGGGTTTCATTCCCTTCTTCTCGTGCAGGCCGCTCTCAGAGAAAACAGCCAAGAAAAACAACCCAGGCACAAATGGCTGCAAATTGACTTGCAAATGTACAAATTCAGACCAAAAAGTGAAACAGGAAATCTTCTTTGAAGGGTAATTATCATAATTTATAATGGGCAAATCTCAACTCTTTCCAATATTTCTCTAAACTTTCCAGTGACTTCATTGCCCATAAACGATAAGTTTTGCCACTTTCTTTAAATGTGTATTTTCAAAATAGCTCCTCAAGTGTGAGAAGTTATCTCCATGACCTATAATTAGGAAACTAAATAGTACTTTTCTCCAGTTAGCACAAACGAACATTCGGTCTACTAAAATAATTTGATTGCCAAATAAAAAGAAACAAAATTAAACAGCTAAGATATGACTGCTAGGCTAGGTACTAAGGAATTTATATTCTGAAAGTCCCTGTGATTTCAAATTGTAGCTCCAATTTTTATAAAATAGAAATATAAAATAAAAGGTATATATTTAACTTTAAAATAACAAAGGCAATTCACCCTCTGACGGATATGGTTCAGTTCAGTATGCTATAATCTAGTAACAAAGACTTAAGTAAAAATATGTCAATTATGAGTTAACTTACTGTACAGGGAAGAAAAGATTGAAAAAAAGGAACAAACACTTAAAACCACCATTTTGAAGCCCAGATTATCCAAACTGACTGTTTCCATTGACAGATTAAATTATGTTGCAACATTAACATTTCATGAGAAACCTTCTAAACGAACACTTCAGAAAATGATGATTGCTGAACTGAATAACAGGCATAAAAAATATAAAACAACTCACCCAGCCCCATATGGCTATTCTTTTTTCATCAATGAAACCCATTTCTATGAATTTTCTAAAGTAAAAGAAACAAATTTTTAGAATGTTAAGTGTATACACATGACATTTACTTCATTACACAACCATATTTAATCCAAAGATTTAATAGAAACGCTACATTTTCTTTGTTTAAACACATGCATAATAAGCCTGCATTTACAAATAATTAAAATAATATTATCATGTTTTCTGCAAAGAGATAAAAGGATTCCCTTAGACTCTGTTGTACAGTTATTGACTGGTAATGTCAGAGCGGTATAAGGCCTTGTAGTCTAATCGTGGGGGTGTACCTGAGACTCAGAGAGGCCAAAAGATGGGTTCATAGTGACACAAGAAGTAGCAGCAGCATTGAGCAGGACCAAGTTTCCAAATCCCCAGCTATCGGAAAGAAGGATTTTGTTCTTGCTGCTTTAAATTATATTAATTTCTTATCACATTGTTGTTAATGATAATCATCACTTCATTTTCAGAGACATTTGAGAGAAATATACAACCGTCTTCCATTTCATACTTAGGCATCCTCAATTCATCATTAATTAATATGGAAATAATTCCTTTTTAGCTCCATCACAGAAGAGCATCCATTTGAAAACTATTTTGAAAATAAATCTTTCCTTAGGAGCAAGGGGCTACACTGAAGGACAACGTTTAAAAAGTCATGGGAAACCCTCAAAATTGAGGGTTTCAAGCTAATTTCTAACATGTTACCCTGAGGGCTGGTGTTCTAGAGCAATTGTGATTTATCTGGGGATTGGTTTGATAAAAACTCAAGAAAATCTCAGAGAAACAGCAGCCGGAGTGGAATGTGGCAAACTGGATCAGCCATTGCAGAAACCACCGTATGCAACAGTGACAGGAAGGAGGGGAGAAGACCAAAGGAGACACACAGTCCCAGAAAAATACTATCTTCTTGTTCCATTCAATTACTGTTAAAGACCTTTCTCATCAGTTCTTCTCTGGAAGTAGAACTGAGTGATTTTCATTACTTGAATAATGTAGTTTCTTAAAGGGATTTCACAGCAACCATTTCGCTCTTGCATTGATTCAACATGCACGTTTCCGATGCATAGAGAAGTTGGGCAAATGCCCGGGACAAACAGATGGGAAGAGGCCCCGTTAGTCACAGCTTACCCGACACTGATTCTGAAGGACACTGAGGAGTCTACAGAGAAGAAATGCAGTAGCAAATGGAAAGTTGCTACCTGTGTGGATGCTGCTCATGGTATAGAGGAGAAAATGTGCAGCAAATTGTGACACTTGAGCAATTCTTGCACAAACTTCAAAAATCAAATGAAAGAAGAGAAGGTTCACTTTCTTGTTAAAAAAAAAATAACCTTGCTACTGGTGCTTGAAGACAGTTCTGAGCCATAAAATCAATTGTGATTTTATGATCTCCCAGAAGCCAACAATCATACTACCTTACATCTGGGGTAAAGAGCAAATAACAGGTGATACATGGGAACAGGAAACTCTTAACAGCTCTCTTCCTAGGTTTATTCTGAAAGGATGACATTTACAGGAAATGATAGTGCAATAGTTAACATGGAAATGAAACATTAACACTGAATGTTGCAGGACTAGGTTAAAGGTTAGCTAGATAATCTTAGCACTTCCAGACCAACGAGGCACTATAAAATTCACCTTCAAATTCTGAAGAGTTTCCCAGAGGGTTGTAAATACTGTTGATAATGTGGTTATATCAACAAAATGTCAGTAACAAATGAAAAGGATGTTTTTCTAATCTTGGAGTCTGGATTGAACTTTATAACTTTTCTCTCATAAAGTTGGCCCAAGGCCAAGGTAAACTTGGAATCATAGCGATCAATTATTATCCTATTTTAGAAATATTCTTATTCATGCCATCTATAAAAGCATGATAGAAAATTTCATCTCATGTAATTCTTCCCCACCACTAACCCTCAAGTTATATCAAATTTTAAAGTTGTGGGAATATCAAAAGTGCCAAATATACTCCAAATGAGCAAAGTTGCCCTTATAACCACCAAAGTTTTAAGGGTCTCACATATGTACCATTTGAAGAGACACCTAAAGAAAGCGGGTTCCAGTCTCCCTTATGTCTGTAGCTTCACAAACATCTCTTCTGACGCATTTTCTTTCACATAGATAGAAGTTATAAGACGATATGACTTCTTTTTTTCCCCTACTTTGCTTTGTTTAAATCTATTTGTTGGCCTTGAGTAGTATTTACTGTTGTTTCCAAATATGTACGTACGATTTTCTTTTGGTATGTCAAAAGCTTAGCCAGATTGCATTTTGTAAAAGATTCAGGGGAGAAATTTTATTCTCTGAGAGGCAATTTAAGGGCTACAGTAGAAGTATTATAATCTCAATTCCCCAGGTCAGGCATTTAGTGTCTGATTCCTAAAACACTTCCTTAGGAGGTATATTGAATCATCCCTAGGATTATTATTCTGAGTCTATCCTATTTAGCTTTTGTTTTCTCAAAGCATTGGATTATAAGGCTTCCTTTTCACAGTTGCATAAGAACAATTTCAAGCAAAAACCAAGGCCAGCTCTGGCTGTCATCTCCACTGTTGTTTATAGACTTTGCATGGGGCCACGCAGCTGCCCATATTCTCTGGGGTGTTTACTAAAAGTTTGATCTAACAACAATTTTGTCCCTTCAGAGTGTAGGTGGCTTATTTACTTTTACCAGATTGCAAGCACACTGAAAACAGAAATTGCAAATTGCACAATTTTATACAGAGTGTACTGCAATGGCATGTATTAATATTAATATTTGCTATGTTGTTGAATGGCTGAGTATATGGGTGAACATATGTTTTCCCTATAGCAGGAAGACTTTCTTCAGATTCCATCCTAAAAATGGCTCAGAGAAAGTAGAGGTATCCAATTACCACCTCTAGTCCATCTTCAATTCTAAATGCCAAAGACAAATTGGTATTACTGCGAAAATCAGTAGAAGGTAGAATTTATGGCTTTGTGTCCTGTATGTTGAATATCATGGCTCAGGTTTAAATTTTCATTTCATCCAAGGAAAATATTAAGAAGCTATTTCTTCTTAGGTTCAAATGGTGCATCTGTGGTGGTAAATAAACCCATAAAAGTATAATGACATATTTTGTTGTTACTGGTGGGTTGCGATGATGACGATGATGAAGACAATGATTTTTTAACCAATGCCAAAATAAACAACTTTTTAGCTCTTTCAGCTTTGGAAAAGATCTAAATAAATTATAAATGAGGCATAATTTTCATCTCTGTTTTCATGTAGTCCCAGGATTACATGTCCTTGATGTTTATTGCATGGTTTAAATGCAAATAGATGTGAGCCATGGTGCTAAAAAAAGTCCCCCATGGAATTAAGCTATAATTCTGAGGATGGCGTTAATATTCTCATTAAGGCACACTACAGTCTTTATAGGAGAAACTGATGTCTCAGTGGGGTTTTTCTTTGAACTATCTCCTCCAAACAAGTGAATAGTTGAAAGGCCAAAAGTCTGAGTCCATAAGAAAGAGGGAGCTTCCAGAAATTGAGTGATAGCTACAGATTTTAGTGTTAGTAACCTACTTACTAATTTGTCGTATTGTACTCAGATAGACTTTTTTTTTAATTGAACATTTTGTTTGTTCCCAGAATGAAAGAAGCACTTGAAAATGTATGGGTTATGGACACCTTTCTATTTTTAAAAATAATTACTTGTGAGTCTAAACTCTTCTGCTTTGATTAGAGACAAAAATATAGAAAAGTGTTGTCTAGGCCTGGCTCCAGGCTGTTAAATACAATCTTTATTCTGCATGTTGCAGTGAAATCATTAAGTATTAATAACATTAAGGGGATAAAAAATGTACTAAAGAAATTTCTAAATTTCTCTTTGCCTGTGAAACAGTGTTTGACCTTTAGCTCCTCACATGCACATATATTCACGACTGAGAGTGCAATTAGCCTGCTACCTTTTAAATTTACGAACTATTATTCTTAGCTTCACCTATTCATAACATAATAATGAAACCCAACAACTATAGAGACATGGCAAGAATTATTTGCACAGTGTTTCTAAAAAAGCCACAATTTTGGTGCCTATATAGTCCTGTTTCAGGAAAAGATGATTGAACCATAAATCATGGTTGAAAATATATATAGTTGAGAAGAAGAAATCAGATTATGAATCTGTGTTTTCCCTAAATGTTTTCATAATATAATTTCTGTTGTGTAAAATGACTATGTTTTTGTCAAACGAAAATAGGCAAACACTTTCATGCTACCATGGCCGACTGATAGCTAGTTTAACCACAAATGAAGGCCTAACATCTAAAAGTATGTAGTGCTGATAAAATCTTGAGCCATTTCTAAACTTAAGAGGCAGAATCCACAATGCTTGAGCAAATTCAGATATTTGTTTTCCTGAAGATCATCATTAGAGTTCAAAGTTTTTCTATCAATTGTAAGAAATGGAACTAAATTAAAAGATATTGGAATGAATGACAACACATCAAAAGAGGGTATTTGTCATTTAGCACTTGAAATCATTTTTCTACACATTCGTTAGCTCTCTTCCATAAATACTTTTTTTTCATATTTGGCAGAAATACCTCTTTAAGATTAGTGATAGTTTTAGACCAAGTTAGAAAAAGAAAAACAAAAGAATTAAGTCATGAAGAATGGAGAAACACAATAGTGATTGCATGACTTTTGTTGCATGTTGACATCTGCTTGAATGAGAAGGTGCTCACCTGACAGCTGTAATCTGGTCTTCAACTTCATAAACACCCAGCTTTCGATACACTGCATAGAGGAGTTTGTCACCTTGGAAAGCTGTTCCTCGACCATCCACCAAGGCAATGACCATCCCTTCCTTACTTGCAAGATAAGATATCCAATTAACAGCAAATACAGACCTTACACTCTGACTGCAGGGACCACCATACCTAAAGGAAAAACAAAAAAAACAAGAATCTTTGATTGCTTTGTAAAACTCAATTTCCCATCCTGGCCAAGCATTGCTTCTAGTAATTCCAGTACAATTATGTGATAAAATAACAATGGCGTTAGAACTGGCTCAAAATCAAGAGGAGTCCAGGCTTTTCCCAGAGGTTTGCTACAAGGAAGTTGTTTTGGGACACAGCCTCTCCTATTCCCCAAAACGGATACATCTAGGGTTGGCATTTCAAGGAATATGTGTGGGTTTTTCGTCATTTCTGCCACCTGCCACTTGCTAAAAGCAGACATAAGATATACTAAAAAAAATGCATGGTGTTTTAAGCAAATTGTGTGTAGGTCAGCACTGATTTTGGGTGTGATTCCACTAAATGTATTCTATTCCTTTATTTCATTTCTAACTCAATTACATAAGATGTGAAGATGATTTACAATATTTTTTTTGGCTGCAATTTCTCTATCTCAAAGGTATTCTGACACATTCGGCAAATTGCCATACAAAGGAAATTTAACACAGCAAATGCAAGCAAGTCCAGCTAAAATCTCAAAACTTCCTCAATCTATTTTAAATAGCCATATTTTATTTACTCTGATTAGTTGAAGAATATATAAAAACAGCATCAATAGGCACTGTTACCAAGGAGAATGGTTCATTCTATTTCATAAATGTGTATTTCATCTAACATATTTTCAGTAAATAGTTTTTACACCAAAGAAAATATTACATACACTTGAATTAGCAAGGGATACTTCTTTGATCTGTCAAATTGAGGAGGAAGAATCATCTTGTACCATAAAGCTTTGAGGAAAAAAAAAGGAGAAAAATCTTCATTCCACAGCACTAGTAGCATCATTTATTGTCTTTAATAACAATATATGCAATAAAATCAATTTTCAACTACTAAATTGTTAAGAATTTAGGATATATTTAAAAGTAACTTTTATTAAATTTTTGTGTTAAATGTATAAATGACTAGAAACCTTGAATTACTATTTGTTCTAGAAGGATACATTTTAAAATTAAAATTAGATAAGCTCTTTTTAAAAAAACGTCAGTGTGGAAAGGAAGCTATTGAAAAGGTATAAGATCAACCATGTTCACAAACATATTAAAGATATTTAGTAAAACTAAGAATTGTTACAGTAAGATTATTTTAAATGAAATCCTGTAATATTAATAGATCGCAGAATTTGCACTGTAACATTCACTCTATGCTTTTTTAAAAGCAAGAAAATTGCTCAGCTTCATATCTATAAATGAGAAGTTTTTAAAAGATCTTACTAATTTCATCTACTTCAAGTTTCTTAATTTCCTCTTTAGGCAGCTGGATATTTTTCAAAGCATTTTCCAATTCCTTGTTTTCTTCCAGGATTTTAATTTCTGAAAAATGTTAAATGTTCATTTTTAATCAATAGTATTTCCATAAACAATTTTTTTCCTTAAAATTCCTTTGACTTCAATATGGGTGAAACTGAAACTGTGAAAAGCTCGCTTAAGAAGTGAAGTTTCATATTGACAAATGTATTTATAATCCAGCCTTTAGAGCAGATATAAGCTTATGAAGGACATCACATTTTAATCACTGTGTCTTTAACTAATTCTAATAGCATCAGAACACATTTTGAGCAAAAATCACAGGAGCAACAATGTTTATTCAATCACGTTTTCCCATCTAAAGCTGTTTTGTTTTTAAGTTTAAAGCCATGACCTAAGCAGGTGATATTTCTTTTATCATATACTTAAAAAAATGTAGTGGAAATACAATCTGGATTGCTGGGGCCTCAAATTTAAAATAATTAATTGTGTATTTCCAAAATTTGCTTTTTAATTTTTAATGTGTAAAGTTGAATATTATTTCTGTGATTTTTAAAATCTTTCTTTCTTACGCTTTCCTGTTGTACTTGATTAATAAAGGATATTCTCCTGTTTTTGGTAATTGAATTAGTTGTATGCTATTCTTTCAGATCCTTTCTCTCAAGGTAGTGATATATCTGAGTAAGACAACAATATATATTGTGTATACACACACACACACACACAAACACACACTATGCTCTTTCTCTGTCTTAAATCTTTAAAAAATCTAAAACCTGCTATTTATACTTGAGCTCAGTTATATTTCACACCTTAATATTTGAAAAGGAACAAATCCATTGATCTCTTGAATCTGTAGATTGGTAATACATGCAAATAGGTTTCTAGCAATAGCGGGCTTTTTATAGACCTTATTTTGAACCTGGGATTGATATCAGCATCTTCTAGAGAAAAGTTAGCCTTTCAAATAATATGTGGAGTTTTAGCTTTATATTTTAAAAGAGGGGCTGGATGACTTGTGAGGTATATCTATTGCTACAAAAGATGTCCATGGACTTCTTGTTTTTATGCCTTTTTGAAAGAGTGGTCTCTGAAGAGAGAGAGCTGGAGGAGTGCTTGTAACTATACTAAGTTTGCCAAACCACTTCTCTTGTAACTCTCAGTTTTCATATACTCATGGCATTTTGCTCCAACATGTTATATTTAATCTTAGCACAAGTATAGATGTTTTGGGTATGATTTGTATAAGATACATAATGAATTTCACATTAACTTTGGGTAATCCATCAGGGAAGAGATACTTGTGACACCTTAAAAGTTAAAACCAAAAAAGTAAAATGAATACACAATTCTAAGTACAGTAGAGCCAACCCTTCATTCTTGCGTGGATTCTGTTTGTGGAGCTGCCATCGATAAAGAGACTCCTGTGTGGATCAAGCACACAGACTGGCTGATTGATTGACTGATTACTATTTGTATTATTTTACCACAAGCACTGGAAGTGGGAGACAGTATCCGGGTGTTGTCACGTGGTTATGGCTTTGACTCCTTCTTCATTCTATTCTTAGCTATCGAACTTTTCTGATACATGACTTAATGAAATGCAAAATTTAATCTAAATGCTTTTATGGTTCAGAGTTGCATTTTTTATGGATAGTGACTGGGCAATTTTTCCACCTCTTGGAGCACAAACAGAATCTCACAGGGGGCAGTGGCAAGAGTGAGAGGTGGCAGCTGGGCTTCTCAATAAGGCTGTGCATTAAAAACCCATAACCTAGCAAAGGGAGTACAGGTCAGACCACACATTTTACTTTCTTTCTCCCATCACCGTATACTCAGTACCAAGCACACACAGCACCTAGTATCTGGCATGTAGTATCTGCTTCCACATGTATTTGTAGGCTCTTCATTGTGATGAAATTGAGTTGTAACAATGATGGATCTTATACTTGATTTCTGTTTGAATCGTTTTAAAATCCCATATTGCTGATTAAATTATGGGGAGAATCCATAGAAAGGCTGATTAATAAGGGCATGTCATGAATTGATTAATTTTAATGAGCATTTTCTGTGCCCAAAGCAACTAAGCTTTAACTGGGCCCTCCCTGACAATTCCAGCTCTTCTGGATTCCCACGGAATCTGGTTCAAGTACTACCTGCTGTTTTCAAATAAACTTCCCCCTCTTTGCAGGGAAAATGAAGCCACTTCACTGTGTTCCAACTTTCATGCAATTCTACCAACAATTTCTTTATTCTGTCTCATCACATCACAAGAGATTAATCCATTTACCTGTCTCTGATCTTCATCCTCTCTCAACTTCTTAGGGACCTCCCTCCTCTATGTTTTCCTTCCATTTTTTCTGCTGATTTCCTCTATCACATCCACTCATACTCAAATGTTTATCCTCTTTCAAAAACAAAATTAAACCTACATCAATCTTTTACAGCCATCGTCCCACCAATCCCCTCTTCTCATCACACTCAGACCAACTGGAAATACTGTCTTTTTAAACTTACTTATGCAGACCTAATTTTGCTTTAATCTGGCTTCCACCTCCACTGCTCCACTGAAATGGCTCTGACCAAGCTAATGTCAATCTCCCTCTTGCTAAGTCCATTAATTTAGAGCAAGCCTTCCCTCACTCTCTGCAGCATCTGGTACAGCTGATTATTTCCTCCTCCTTGAGCTCTTCTCCTCCCCTGCTTTCCACAATACCATACTCTCAAGTTTATCCCCCTCCTTCTGTTCCTTCTTGGTCTCCTCTCCAGGCTCATTTTTCTCCTTCCATTTCTCAAGTGTTGATGTTCCACACAGTTTCGTTGTAGGCTCACTCCCCACTAACCCTATCCACTCTTGTTTTGTCCACTCGGCTCATATCATCCACTTCCAAGGCCTGAGTTACCACATGCTCCATAAATTAATGACTTTCATCGTTATCTTCAGTCCAAACTGATCTTCTGGCATCCAGATCCAAAATGATGTCACTACAGAGCAGCTCCACTTAGGTATCTCATCAGTGCCTCAAGCTCAACATTTAAAACAAAATTCATCATCCTCCCAAAACCTGATCTCCACAATGACTCCTCTATTTCAGTAAAAAACCATTAGTATCAAGCCAATCATCCAAATAGCATTATCACCTACTTCATATTCATGAGTCTCGGGTTTGTGGTAGTTATCATTAGTAAACATTTCCTAACCCCCCAAACCCAGATGAGCTGCTCTTCCTGTGTGCTTCCAGGCTTTCTGCAGTTCCCCTATCTTAGAACTTACCCCACTGTATTGTAACTGCCCATTTCCATGTTCATATTCCCCACTCATCTATAACCTCCTTGAGGACAAGGACATCGTCTAACCCAGTATCTCTTTATTTTATAGATAGATCCAGGACCTAGCACAGTGCCTGGCTTAATGTGGTAGAAGTTCCATAAATATTTGTTGAATGAGATTGCTGACACCAAATGCAATGTAAATAAGAGACACAGCATCTGCTCCAAAACAGCAGCTGAACATTTACTATTAAAAATACAAATTTCCAAGCATAACTTAAGACGTACCACATTAAAATCTTTGGGGAAGTCCTGGGAATCCGTATTTATAATGAACATAGGAGAATAATTTCACATTAGGTAAGTTGTGGAACTGTGCTCTGAAAGAATTTGATTTTTTCTGTTGGTACTTATTTAATTACATCTGACATATCTGAGGGCGTACCTATTTTGTAAATAGTGAGTGAAGTAATAGAGCTTCAAAATCAGTACACAGATCTGCCAGGAATCTAACAAGGATCTCAAGAAAGTAGAAATTCATGCTATGGAAAAAGAAAGGCTGGCTATTATTTTGCAGTCTTGAAAAGATGAGAATTATATGCTAATAGTGATTTCTATTAAAACAAAACCTTGTCGACTTGAAATCAATCTCACTGACTGAGATGGTCAAATTAAGAAATATAATCTGTTATTCTTAAAAGTATTTCCTTATTAGACACAAGGTTTCAAAAAAAACCTTAAAATGAAACTAAATTCACAGTCCCATTATCACAATGCCTGTCCTGTCCAGAGTTCCCAAATTGATTCTGTTTTTGTTTTTTTTTCTTGTTATTTTCACCTACACTTGAGCCATTGAGCTGACAGCCAAAGTAATCCCAAGGCAGTCTCCTGACTTGTCACCAAAGCTGTCCAGGGACAATCGCAGGCATGAGTGCTGAAGAAAGTGGCATCTGCCTCATTGTCCCTGGCCTCCAACAACTCCAACCCTATAATGTTGTTTAATAGTAAATCAAAAGATAATGGAGAGCCAGCAGGAAGAGTATCAGAGCAATTAGATACTTGGACAACTCTGCTGCGAGCAAAACTGGTCGTCTTTGAGATGTGAACTATTTTGAACCAATATCACAAATACAGGATAGAGGAGGACTGTCTTGATAGCAGTTGAAAATGGAAAGAGCCTCCAAATTTCAGGGCGTTCATACGTGGCAACAATGTGATGTAGCTGTTAAAACAAAAAAAGCTGGTGTGACAGTCACCCTCTGCTCTGAACTGAAGAAGTTACATGTAGAATTTGTTTCCAGTTTGGGATGTTACCACACACACACACACACACACACACACATGCAAACAACCCCCTACCCCCAATCCCTGAGGAAAAAAAAAAAAAAACACCCTAGGGATTCTATTTTGGAAGGAAGATCGTACTGAATGTGCTAAGTTTTTTCCCAATTCTAATCTGTGCTTTTTATAAGGCTGATTGGAGAAGATAGAATTAAACCCTCTGATATAACTCATCTATCTGTGTTATGCCAGGTTCTCACTGCAAAGAATTATTAAATTTCATAGGATCATATTTGACCCAAATAATATCCAAATCTGTGCAATAATAAGTGATGTGATAACAGGATTCCATCGCAGTTCCCCTTGGTGGTGTGGAGAAACTGTCCTGCTTTCTCTAGCGGAGCATCACAGAGAGTTCAGGATTACTTGAGACAAGATAGATAACATGCAAGAGAGAGTACCTTGATCAGTGCGTCCATCATGAAGGGTGGAAATGGGGATGCCTGGGCCTGTGGGCAGGATGAAAACAAAATCATGGCTTAGTGTTAAAATAACAATTCCTTTTCAAGACGGGCTGCTGGTAGTATTTGTGATTAGTGTCAAGTGCCAGTACATCTTTTAATTCTGCAGCTATTTTTTTCCCCATAGAGAAGAAAACATCACTTCTAAGTCACATTTAAACAATACATGAGATCAAAGCCCACTCAAAGAACAGCTGTGAAAGAAGCCTTGCCTGTGCACTTTTCCAAGACTAATCCTGAATCATTAATATCGAATTACACAAATGCACCCCAGAAGCTGCAGTGACAAATGGCCTTCTGGGAAGATGTCATGCTGTATTGGGCCAGTTTTGGCTGTGTCTTTATTATCAAACAACCTTCACCAGTACCCAGATTGTATTTTCAATCTGGCTTCTTGGTTCAATGTTCAGCTTATTTAGATGGGTAAAATCGAGTATTTTTTCCATGGAATAATACATGCAGAAATCTACATGGGATATACTTCCTTTTAAAATATGCTGTGGCAGGTCCCTGGGAAGCAGTCTTGGAAGGAGGTTTGTGGGGGTGGTATTGGGATGCACACTTGTGGGGGAAAGGGAGGAAGAATAGGGCAGGGAAGAAAGGTGGATGTCATTGCTGTCACATAGAGACCCCTAGATAGCTTGTAGAGTTGTCTCCAATGGGGCAACAAGGCTGACTTTTACCCCCTAGCATGGAGCTTTACCCCCCTAGCATTGGATGTGGCCCGGGAGAAGAGAAAACTCTTCTCTTCTCCCGGGTTGGGGGGAGGTAGGGTTGGGGGGCGTGCTCAGCTGTAAGTTGTCAGCCACTAGCACTCTCAGTAGCTGAAGAAATGACTGAGTCAGTCCTGAAGATGGGGATGAAGGGATCTGGCTGGCACACCAGTGTCCACTACATATTCCAACATGCATTCAGCTTCTCTATGCAGAAACTGGCCATTTTTAGCAAGATCTACAAATAATTAAAAACAAATTATTCCTTATTTGAAATACAGGATCAAATAATGTCTGGAAATATACCTTTTAAGCATAAATTTGCTCAGTCAGTAGGTTAAAAGCAACAAATGTGGAGGTTGGAGGTACATGTTCATTTGCCACCCCACCCCCCCCAGATAGGGTGAGGATGCTACCTTCTATGTGGAGGGAACCCATTAAAGTAGCATGCTTGGCTCATGCTAAGCAGAGGAGAAATGATTTTTTTGTAGAGTTCTGAGAAGACTTGGGTATGAGTAGCTCCTTCTGTCTTTCTTCTGGCATCTTTCTGCCTGCAGAGAACATGCTTTTGATCCGTTCCTCAGTGCTGTACCTGTGCCAGTGCCAAGCCCCATGGAGGAAGATGGTGGCTGCCCTGTCATACCTATATTTGTGTAAGTATAATTCTGGGATGCAATATTGGGAAACCACACAGCTTTACCACATTTTCCAACTAGCCTTTACAAGTAAAGATAATATTTTGGTTTCCTGCCTGAATCCTAGTCTAATTTGGAAATGAGGAAAAAGGATAGTATTTATTAGGCTCCCTCAAGACTCAAAACTTCCTGTGTGGAATCTCAGAATTTTATAGAATGTTATTGCAGAGATTTTCATTTTGGCCAGTTTTTCATCAAAGTTATGAAAAAGGACAAATACACATATTACATTTTCAGCCAGCATGCAAAGAAATGAGACATGAATATAAATTTCTAGACTCTAATCAACCAGCATCTACCCTGTGGAATTTTCATGAGTGTGTAGTTTCAATAATGGAAACTTGCATATCTTTTTTTTTTTTTTTTTGCCTAAAAAATGAGACAGATAAATGACTGACTGTATTTGACACTGGATGAAGGTGTGATCCTAGTGGCCTAAACATCAGACCTTGAGAAGCCTACCTTGCATGCTTTTGTTCCATCAGCATCATCGATATAATTTTACCTGTTTTGATCCTATCATCTGGGACTTACTAACCATCCCTCGGGAGAGTTTGAAGTTACATAATGAGGCTTTACTCTTAGTCCTGAAGGGAAAGATTTCAAGGTTTTTCCTATGATGGCGCAGTGACTCATTTTACTGGAGCTTCAAAAACACCAGACGATGTGATGCTTCCCACACAGTATATTTTTTGCTAAATGGGAAATTACCATACTGCCGAGGAAGAGTGAGTGGTGGAAAAGTCAGGCGATTCAAGTTCTAGAAAGGACTCTTCCACCAACTTTTGATGAGAGCTTAGGCTTTTATTCTTCATCTCTTCAGTGGGCACACAGGCTCAAGTAGATATTAGGAAGACAACGTAATACAAAATGTGAGATAGTGCCTTCCAAAAACATTAAAGCATTATACAAATGCAGAATGCATACATATATAAATGCATGGATGTAAATGTAGTGTCACTGATGCATTCATCAGCAAATGCATCAGCATAAAACCAGCTTTTTTGGTAGACTGCAAGGGACAGCAATGTTACCTCATATCTATGTTAATTCCACAAACATTGAATGTCTATTATGTATTAGACATTCTTCTTGGTCTTAGAAATACAAAGATTAAAAGAATGTAGCCCCTGCCTTCCAGGAGAAAAAGATAGATAAACAGATGACTCAGTATAGTTAGCTCAATGATACTATGTGCCTGGCATGTAAGCTTTCAATCTATGTTGCATAAATATATAGCTTAGGTTGAAAAATGTTGCATATAACTTGAGAGGGACATTTAATGTATACCTTTAAATGCCAGTAACCACAATCAGCACATATGGTCATGAACAACAATCTCTTGACATTTCAAAGATGCCATTGACCAAACATTTTATGAAAGTGTTATTTCAAACTGACATCTTTGTGCTATCTTCAAGGGAGAATTTGGGTTAAAATGCTTATTCATGTCCACGTAGTCAAATGAGCTGCAGCTCAGGTTCCGGGGCCAGGTGGCTGGACTGAGGGAAGTGGCATGTTAGGGTAGCCTTCATTCTGGTTCCCTTTATGAGATCTTCAGGGCCTCTGCAACTGAATAGGGATATCAAGCAGTCAAAGATTCCATTTGTTCTTTAAGCCACATACCCCTACCAGGGGAGCTGATACCAAAACAGGAGGGTAGCATACATTTTGTAATACCTTTTTCCAAGTACTCTAACTCTCAGCCCCAAATTAGGAATAAGCTGGAGGGAGGTGACAGAGATTGGAGAATTAGAGATTCCCGAGTCAGTTTTCCAAATCTCCATAATGACTACTTAGACCCCAATATATTTCATTGATCTATATTGGCCTCTTAACCTAACCTGTTTTATTGTTTGCCACATGCTCAAGATATAGATAAAAGGTTGCACATAAAATAAAATTATATGGGTAGAAATTATTCATTAAATGTACGTATGTCCTAAACAACCAGGAAATGTTTTGTAGATTTTATTACTTATGGTTTGTTATATTTGATGCATTACTTACGATGTTTTCCAAATTTAGAAAGGACAAAGGTTCATCTTCTATCCCCATTGAAACTACAGTTTGAGGAATGATTGACCTCCGACGTGGGCATCTCGGGTTTCCAAGCCGTTGTTCATTCCCCTGGATGTGAGAGTTTGATATTTCTCTGGGCAAAGGGGGCCAAAAGTCCAGCAACCATTTTATCAGAGAACATTTCTTTTTCTGCGATTGCTCAGGTCTTGCGAAGCCTAGCTGACGGGTTGCCTCTGCACGCAGTCTTAGTGCTGTGGAATGTGGTGGTTAAGAGCATGGGACTTAGAGGCAACAGCACTTGCTTCAGTCCTGGCTGATGCTTAGCTGCAGTGCGGACCTTTTGGCAAGTTACCCTGTTTCCCCAAACTCTGTTTCCTCAGTTGCAAAAAAGTAAAGATAATAATACCTTCCTATCCTCCTTTAATTTTTTTTCTATAAGCACAAGATAAGATTCTTACATATAACAAATGCTCATTAACTGTAGCTACGAATTGATCAGATAGAGGTGAGGAGGATGACAACCATGCCTGTGGGGATGCTGTGCTTATGTGAGGTCCGTTACCTACCGTAGCAGACAAGTGCATAGTACTTGGCGTAGTCGCTGAAACTTGCTGTGTAATATTGGCACCTTTCTTTCCTTAGATGGCAAGTAACACACTTCTTGCTTGGAGGATAGCTTCCAATGCTAATTCTAGAGGGAAATGAAAATAAAACTAAGCTGAAATTTTGAGATTGTATTTATCAAAATGTACTACTCCATGTAAAGTGACTAATTTACATATTGACATCAAACCCACTCTATTTTTCTGTTGCCAATATCATTTAAAGTAAAGGGGAATCACAGTATTTTGATGTAGCTTGATTTTTGATCCATCTTTGCCTTAATAGGCACAAACCTTGAGGAAGAAGCCCTATGTGGTTTCCCTGGAGTGGGAGAAATATCTAACACCTCAAATGGCAGTGAGGTAGTCACTTCCCATAACCATTCATCTCTTACACTTCACAAAGTGCTTGGGAATGCATAGTTCTTCGTCTTTCTATCTCTCTGTTTCCACCCCATGGCAAAACATAGCAAGAAAATCTGGCAGTATCACCAAGAAAGAGTCCCTGTTCTTACCATATATCAGGATGGGGAAATTAATAATAAGCAAATTGGAAATAAGAAATTACAGTTCTAAGTGCCTTCTGCGCCTTCATTCCTTTCAGCAGGAAATTTGGGCTCATGGAAGCTCAGGCTGGGAATGCCCCCTCCACACAGTCTACACAAGCCAATCTGCACTGCCCACATTGGCCCTACACTCACCCTGCAGAGTCATCTGTGTGGTTCCTGAGCAGGGTGATTGGCTTCAATACACAGACTCAGGGACCTTATCCGACACCCTCAGAATCAGAATTCCATGTGGAGGAGTTTAGAGGATGTCATGCCAGGGTCTGGACAGGTCAGGACCCCATGGTGCCTGTCAGGGTCTCCTGTGCCAACCTGTGAGTTTCTTCTGCTGCTGTCCCTGACTTTGCCTTGGGCATGGCAGAGAATGGCCAGGCCAGAGACACTGCTGGACCCAGAGAGTGATTCTTTTTAACACATAAAGTAAGATCACGATCCAGGAGGGAACAGGGGAATATGACAGAGGGAAAATTTCTTATTTCCTCTGTTAGGGTTAGTATGTTAACATATGTCCCTATTCGGGTGGAACTTTGGAAACATTAGGGAGGCAGTTAACAGCAAGGGCTCAGAGATCAGCATGCCCAGGTACAAATCCTGGCTCCAACAACATTACCTGCTTCATAGTGCTGTTGGAATTAAATGAAATTACATATGTAAGTCAGATTAAAAGGTGCCTGGCATATAATAGACTACCAGCATGTAGTAACTATTGCTTTCCTTTCCACACCCAGAAAGGGCTGTCGAGGGCACCATTTCAGTCCTCAAGGGAACAACTGGACTGAATGTAAACACTAATATAGGAACAGACATGGGTGGTGCCAAAGTGAGACAGAGTGAAGGAAATCACATATTATCAGAATAAAAACAATGCCTGGTTCATACTAGGTACTCAACAAATGTGTGTTAAATAAAGAAATGTCCTCAATTACCTCTATATGTACTTAAAGTGTTTAGTACCAGAATAGTATTTAGTATTCATGTAAACATTAGAATTTCTTGTTTTTTCCTTTTGAAAACAAATATTTTGAATTGGCTAACATTTTGCGAGTGTGTGTTTTTTATACCCATTCTCCAAATGTTTTCTCTAAATTCATAAATGATTTTTATTATGTGCCATACTTTAAAAATATTTTGCATCTCCTGGGGATGATGACTTTTTATATTAAAATATCAACACATAGAAATACCAGAATGAATGGACATAAATTACCTGTAGATGTTTCTTCTTCCAGGGTATTCTTCAAATTCATTGCTAGAATAAAACCTGAAAATATATTCAGAAATTATTAAGTATTGATAAATAAGTGATAATAGGATTGTTAGTATTAATACTAATATAGTATCAATATAGGTAAGCATTTATCTAATGAAACAATTAATTGGTGCTTAAGTACACAAATAACTGCTGTTCATAACTGAACTTTGCACATTTATCCTGGCTTCCAAATCATCAGAGGAAGATTAAATTATGCTGAATACTGTTTTTATTATATTATATTCTGATTCATTATGAGTCATGCAAAATCAACTAGGAAATTTTATTAATATCATACCTTGACTTTTTTATGATTAAGAACAGTTTACCTGTTTCTCTGTACTACGTTATTTAATTTTATCTGGGATTCTGAACACACCTTGAATTTATTTTATAGAAGCCCTGTCAATAGATGGGTTTGCTACAAATTGAGGATATCACACTGGATACCACACACAGGGCATGTCAATTTAGCCAGATGCAAAAGAAGTCATAAGAGAACATGCTTTTACTTAAGTATCCAGGTTCTGATTCCAACCTGTCTTAAAATAGCCATGAAGTGGGAAATTCAGTTTCATGACATGGTTTTCACTCTGCTGTATGTTCATCTGAGTATCAGAAACTGTCATTATTTTTCCCCCACGAATGTGAAAAGTTTGGGATAACCGAAGTTTGGTTGAATTCTTAGGACAATTAGGCAGTCCAGTTCTCACTATGTCCCAGGTATCATGAAAATCTTATTAGCACCAAGTAGAAGAAAAAAGCAATGGAATACAACTCGTTTTTAGCACGAAATTTATTTCCTAAACTAACACCTTTCTATGCATCTTTATAACTTTGCATGACTCCCATCATCCCTTTTCCTTGCCCTCCCCACATCATCTAAAACTATCTGTGAATAAAGGACTCAGGATCTTTCCCCAACAGCCCCCGGCCACTTCCTTGTTATGTGGAAGCTTCCCTGATTGTCTCCCTCTCTAACCCTTGCAGCCAGGTCCAGTTTGTCTCTTTTCTCTCTCTTTTTCCTGACAGTCTCCCTTCACCAGTCCTGTTTAGCCTCCATCTGTTTTTACCATCTACTCTGTTCTCTCTTCCATTTAGAGAATGTGTATTGAACTACTCTGTGTCAGGCGCTGTGCTAAGTGCTAAGGACGCAAACAAAGAAGGAGGTGCAGTTTTGTCCTCAGAGCATCTATTACATTGCCACTCTTCTAGTTCAGGCCTCTTATGACCAGAGCTAGGGACCTCCGCCTTCAGTTTTTCCCCACCTCCTCAACACATCATGCCTGAAATGAATCTCCCACCTGTTTTGAACATGTCACTCCCCTTTACTCTAGTGATTTTAATGACTGCTCCAAAGAAAGTCCAAACACCTTTGCCCTCCATTCAAAGAATTCCAAAGATTCGTAATAGATTTCCGACAGGCTTTTATTCCATGAGCCTGGACTAATGGTCCTCATCTTTTTGCTCCTAGAATTTCAGCTAATAGCTGGCAGATTTTCAGCACTAAGAGAGGATCCCTAGATGCAGACTGTATTAGAAATTATAGAAAGAAAGTATACTTTTGTGATTAGATCAGTTTTATCATAAATGATTATTTGAAGATGGTTTATTTAAATAGTATGCAGAATGGACTGAAGAGGAAAGAACTGTAAGAAAGCAGTCCCATGTTCAGGTTGATAATAACAGCCTTAGATTTAATGCTTTAGGATTGAATCCTAGTCTGCTACTAACTAACTGTGGCCTTTGGCCAAGTTAATTAAATTTTATGAGTATCCCTTTTCTCATCTGCAAACTTAGGATAATCATTTCTACTTTACAGTATCTGGTACACAGTAATTGCTCCATAAATGACAGTTGTTATAAATAATAATGTTAAACTTATATAACAATGAATCACTACAAAAGATGCTCCATATCTATGGGCTGCCCTCCAGGGAATTTTGAAACTTGTTCATTGCTTCAAGTGCTGAAGGGTAAAATTTGCCTTTAGAACGAGTTATTATCTTAAAATTTGTATACTTTTTATATAATTGCCTACCAAATATCAGAAGAGAAATTATCACCTACTGAAGGCTTTTTTCCAAAAGGAAATCATTTTGACTAGTTATTAAAAATGTGCAATCGTAAATGAACTCACAACTGTCTGAATTATAGAGTAACAAAAATCTTCTTAACTAAGAGAGTTGGTACAGTATCATTTATGTCCATCGGTGCCAATTAAAACCTGAATGGTGCATCGTGCTTCGTGCAATACTTACAGTGAATCCTGTGTTACTCTGAATATATTTATGGCCTCCCACTTGCCACTTGTAATTTGAATAGCATTTTCCTATAAAAAGACAAACATTATGTTGTGTGAAACTGAGCGTTATTTGAGCAACCTCAAGTGAATGATCTTTGAGGAGATAAATCTTGGAAGGAACGTACCACAGTGTCTTTGATATAGTGAATATGTTTGTAGCCATCCTTGTCACTAAATATTTTGTAGTACGAAATGGCATCATAGCTGAAAACTGGTGTTGAAACAAAGAACTGAAAAAAATTAGCAGAGGTTATGTTCAAAAGACAAACCAAACTAAAACCATAGATTTTGTTTTAATATATAAAAGCGACGTATGGTCATAGTTATAGGAATCAGAATGTCTCGCCTCCTCTGTCTTCTGTCATTCACATCTGAAATCCCATTCTTTCAGATAAACAGCTTATGTAGTGATTCTGACAGGCACTTGAACATTCCGACCACTGCTTGGCTGCTACTGCATACCCCTGGATTTACAATGCTTAATTTGATTAAATTCCTAAGTCGAAGGTTATGTGGTTTGAAACGGAGTTAAAAGAATCACAAACGCATGTTGATATTTAACGAAACCAAACCTAAAATGAGGTATTTGACCAAAGTCTGATGCTCATTGACTATACCTCTTTTAATTCTTGATTTGTCTGATGCCAAGCATGCAATATCAATGATTCAATGAAGACATTTAAAAGATGAAAAGATCATGGCTTGCTAGCCACAGTTTTTAATGGTGAGGAGGGGCTTCTGGACTTGAGAGAAAAAAGTTGCCTATGTTGGGGGAGGTTTACTCCTTGAGCACAGGAAGCCGACTGCAGACTGACCTCAATGCCCTGGTTTGACCTCTAACAGGTAACCCCATGCAGAACTTGCTGGGAACCAATTAACTACCTAAGGTACGCTAGGCTCTTTAGTGTGCCTTGAAACAGAACAAGCCACACCTCAACATTCTAAATGATAGATATAACTGAAATTCTGCAAATGTTCTTACACCAAATTTTAGAAAATAGTTTCGTATTTTTCCCATTAAAAAATTAATTGACTTGTCTTACATTTGCTGACTTTTTTTCCCCATTGGTCATTGTTTGGTGAAATGATGGCAAATCATTAAAAGAATTCCATGAGGAAAGAGCTACTCTACATCATGCAGAGCAGATTTAAAGCCAGCTCTCTCTAGTTGGTGTCCCTCCACATGAGAACTGCATCAAGCAACAACAACAAAAAGCTACTAGTATCTTTTAGCTACAAAGACCTATCCTGGTGAGACCTAATGTGAGACCCATTGTAGAGCAAGAAAAGAGTGGAGGAAGTCACTGTAGGCTCCTTTAATGATGACCTCATATTTGATGCCTTTTTGATGCAACCGATCATTATTTCTCATGAAATAATTATAACTGTGTGACATTAAAATGCAACTAATTTGATGTGATGTCTTTAGTGGACTGAGTTCCCCAAAAATTCATGTCCACGTGGAGCCACAGAATGTGACCCTTTTGGAAATGGGGTCTTCGCAGATGTAATCAAGGGAGAAAGTAAAGATGTGTATTAAAGAGGGCCCTAACTCTAATGACTGCTGTCCTCATAGGTGGGGAGGACACAAAGAGACACTGAGAGATACAGGGAAGAAGACTATGTGAAGACAGAAGCAGGGATTAAAGTGATACGGCTGTTAAACAAACAATGCTCAGGGATTTCTAGGAGCCATGAGAAGCTGGAAGAGACAGGGAGGATTCTTCTCTTGAGTCTTCATAGGGAGCACGACTCTGCTGACACCATGATTTCCGACTTCCAGCTTTCAGAATGGCGAGAGAATAAATTTCTGTTGTTTTAAGCCACAAAGTTTGCCATAACTTATAGCAGCCCTAGGAAACTAATACAGTGCCCTAAGTCTCACCACATTTACCTAGAATCAATAAATCAGTCAAATCAAATAAGCAGAAGGCCATTAACCTGAGGCTGTCTCTATAATTTGAGTTCCTATATAATGAAACACAACCTTAGTACATATACAAACCAAAACCTAACTACGAGTCCAGCAAAAGGGTTTCAGCCAATCATAGGCAGCCATCATATCACACCACATCCAAATAAGGTAGATGCCTCATCACTCTATGACCCAATGAGGCCGACTCCTAGTGTAGCCAACCAGTGGTTTATCTACCTTGCTTCTGCGTTTGGCCTATAAAAGGTGGCTGCTCACATTGCTGGGCAGAACTCTCAGAACATCTTCTGGTTCTGAGTGCTGCCTGATTTATGAATTGTTTTTGTTCAAATAAACTCTACTACTTTTAACTTGTCTAAAGTTTTCTTTAAAATGAAAAAATGGAATAATGAGAAACAGCTGCCTCTACATGATTCCTACATTAGTTTCATTAATAATAAGACCAACCTTGGTAGGATTTTGCATATTGAGACTAATGCTTCCAAGTGAAATTAATAACCAAGAGGCCCAGGAATAGGAAACTCTGATTAACAATTTTGTGGGTAAAATTTTATTACTATAAGTCTTTGACAAAATCCTTCTTTCATTTCAGAATGAAGTTTCACCCTCTTAGCTAAATGATAATATACATACTTAATAGTAACCTCTTATAATGTCTCCCTTTTTTTTATTTTTTTATTTTTTATGGAGTTTCGTTCTTGTTGCCCAGGCTGGAGTGCAAATAGCGTGGTCTTGGCTCATCACAACCTCTGTCGCCCGGGCACAAGTGATTCTCCTGCCTCAGCCTCCCAAGTAGCTGGGATTACAGGCATGCACCACCACCCCCGGCTAGTTTTATATTTTTAGTAGAGATGAGGTTTCACCATGTTGGTCAGGCTGGTCTCGAACTCCTGACCTCAGGTGATCCACCCGCCTTGGCCTCCCAAAGTGCTAGGATTAAGGTGTGAGCCACTGTACCCGGCCTATGTCTCCTTCTTATTCCTCATTGTGAAACACAAAAATTGGTTCTACATTGCCTTAATCACTAAAATAAAACCTGAATCACAACATTTTTAAGGTACCACAGTAAAAAGAAAAATTGTCTGCAAGCTGCAGTCAGTTAGATAAGGGACTTTTTAAAGGGCTTTGTTCTAGATTAAAACTTAGCATCTCATTTTTATTGAAAATAAAAAAAACAGGGCAGAGTGTTATGTTTTAAGATATTAGAATCAGGCAAACAGGAAGAATATTTCTGATAAGCAAAGACTGTTATCTTCTCCCCTTTCATTGCACACATTGAAGACAGCTGCTTTAGATGAACAGGTAACTTGGGTGAGGTAAAGAGAGTGTGAAATATGTCCACATTCATTTTGCTAGAGTTAGGCCCATAAAGTGTTCTGAGTTAAGTGCTTCTTGCAAGTCACACCTGGACCCTAGATAAGCACCCACACCAAGTTGTCCTCAGTTTTAATGAGGCCCTTACACTGGTTTCTTTATTATGCTTAGATTTTCTGATAGATTACTCATCTCTATATGAAGTGCAAAGCCATTTAAAATATTTTACCTGGAAGGTGACATTATTTACCGCCATGTAATATCTTGCCATAGCTGTTAAATGACCTAAAGCGGATGCCCTAAACTGAGTGCACATTCGGTCAAAAGCACAAGCTTTCAAGCATCAAGAAGAAAATTCATTTTTTTTTGAACCAAGGGATTTTGCCAGCCGCCTAAAGACGGTGTAGTGTGTTGCTTAAATTATTTTAAAATAATTGATGTGACTTTGCAGTCTAAGCATGATGCCTTCAGTGCTTGTTCTCCAAATTTAAGGAATGAAGCACTAGTTTCCTTTGATTAACTCTTCACTTTTCTGTCCTCTACAGAGCAAAACAAAACAAACATGTTTTAAAAGCAATTTTGTTATTTTTTCTGATTAATACCAAAAAAGAAGTTAGGTTATTAATCCTAACTTAAAGGACTGGATGTGTCAGTGCTGGAGGAAAAAAGTGGTAAGTAAAGTTCGCAGGAAACCTATTTTCTAGTTCTGTGCCTGCAACTAACAGATCATTTACTTTTAGCAAGTCATTTAATCTCCCTTTTCTAATTCATAGGTGATTTCTGAGAGTCTTTTTCCATTTTAAATATCTCTGACAAACTCAAAAGAAACCATATATCAAAAATAGCTTTTAAAATTTATACTAATACGACTAGCTTGTATACTTTATCTAAAGACCCTATAAATGTTACTTGAATGAATGTCTGAAATACATACACATTTCTAGTTTTTTCTGGTTAATTTTATTAAGTCACTAGTTTCATTATAGGTCAAAGGAAGCTATTAAATATACAATATATTATGAAATATGAGTTATGGCTATATAAAATTGTGGCCAGACTTTTTCAAAAGGCATGTCAGAACTTACAAAAGCTAATTAATAATCCATTTAAAGCAGGTGCCTTGGGAGAGTGTAAACTGACTCTTGAAAACAATCATTGCAAATAATTTTTGATAATTTCTCTTCTGGAATTTAGAAGTTTTACTGACTACTGAATACATGTTAAGAGATTGAGATTAGTACATAAAAATAAGTTGTTCCCAATAGAATTATAAAACTATGAATATTAAAATGATCTGGCACAAAATCACATGTCCCAGATAAGTAACTCATTTACTCTCTAGATTTAGTTGGGAATGACTTTTGATTTAATATAAGGACCTCATCTTCTCCCAAAGGAGAGGTATGTGCCTCAACTGAGGGTATTTTTTTAAAAAAGTTCTACAGCTGGGCTGGGCGCGGTGGCTCATGCCATTTAGTTGGGAATGATTTTTGATTTAATGTAAGGACCTCATCTTCTCTCAAAGGAGACATATGTGCCTCCACTGAGGGCATTTTTTTTTTTTTTGAGACAGAGTCTCGCTCTGTCGCCCAAGCCAGAGTGCAGTGGCGCGATCTCTGCTCACTGCAAGCTCCGCCTCCCAGGTTCACGCCATTCTCTTGCCTCAGCCTCCTGAGTAGCTGGGACTACAGGCGCCCGCCACCATGCCCGGCTAATTTTTTTGTATTTTTAGTAGACGGGGTTTCACAGTGTTAGCCAGGATGGTCTCGATCTCCTGACACTGAGGGTGTTTTTTAAAAAAGTTCTACAGCTGGGCCAGGGGCGGTGGCTCATGCCTGTAATCCCAACTCTTTGGGAGGCCGAGGCAGGCGGATCACGAGGTCAAGAGATTGAGACCATCTTGGCTAACACGGTGAAACCCCGTCTCTATTAAAAATACAAAAATTAGCTGGGCGTGATGGTGGGCGCCTGCAATCCCGGCTACTAAGGAGGCTGAGGCAGGAGAATCGCTTGAACCCGGGAGGCGGAGCTTGCAGTGAGCCGAGATCGCGCCACTGCACTCCAGCCTGGCAACAGAGTGAGATTCCGTCTTAAAAAAAAAAAAAAGGTCTAAAGCTTTGCAGGCAATTCATTCATTCATTCAGCTCAATTTGATGGGAATGCAAGTTTAGTGCAATACAGATTTTTTAAATTATTAAGATACTGAAGATGCTTATAAATATGAGCTTTCAAAAGATGCATTCTAAAGTGTTTCAGTGTTTTGAACACTGCAGCATTGTCAAAATAAATGTTTATAGATGCTCAAGATAATGTCTTTGAAAGGGTTGTTGGTATCATTGTTGATATAAAAGTACATTATTCATATAACTGTATAGTAAATCTAGTTATAGTATCATCTTGGAGAACATGACTAAATAATATTTTCAAGCATTCTTTCTTCCCTTCGTTCTTTACTAGAAATATTTGTAATGGGAGTGAATTGGTAGATTTTTTTTCCTCAAAATTTCAAATACCGATCTAAGAATTACCTTTCTGAAAGGTGAGATTCAGATTGATTAAGAATACATAAAATTTAGAGAATACTTTTCTTTCACTGAATACTACTACTCTTTTTTTCCTGTGATATTTAGGACAGTAGGAAAAGTGAGTTCAAATAGGAGGGTTTTTTTTTTTTTCTGAATTACATACTTATCTTTATTATCTTGTTACCTCAGAGTGTAATTTACATTTATTGTATATAATAAATAAAGTAACTATTCCCTAGTTAATGAATAAAACTGCAGTATCTTTAATTAACGGCAGAGTATAAATTAAACAGCATGTAAGCCAAAATCAACTGGATCCAGAAAAGTGTACAATGAAGAGTTTTTAATATTTGAAGATTATCACTTTACAGTTTATCTTCTTCCCAGCCAATTTGAGTTTAAATTTTTATATAATTTATCATCTTAGAATCGATTTCTGACTTTTTTTTGTCCTTGGATCATGGGCTAATGTGTTAAACCAGGTCCTAAGAGTTTCCTTTTTCATTGCATAATGCGTCCAAATCTTAGAGAAGTAGCCTTTCCTCTTCAAATACTAATTGAATTGAATTATGTGTTTGTGGTAAGTGGCAGCATCTACCAACCTTCACTTATTCTCTTGTATTAATTTTTATTCTTCATATACGATATAAAATACAATTGCTATTTACCTCAAGCGTTATTTTACATTAAAAATCCTCATAAATTATTGAATAAACCTATCCTAAACTTCCAAATATAAATGATCACAAGTAACAAACACACATTTTCCTATTTGATACCAAATCATTACTTAAATACTGGAAGGAGTATACATACATGAAATTTAGTACATGTTATATGAAATTTAATAAGAGGTAGATTGTCTTTAAATTACAAGGATACCCAATGTATTTTTTTTTGGATTTAAATGGCTAGTAATTATTAAGATGATTTTAACAGATCAGGGATTTTGTCTCCTTTTGAACAATGATCTATATTGTATTTGTTTAAAAAGTAATATTAGTTATAGATACCAAGGATTCAGTTGACAAACTTAAAATTGGGACATGAGGAGTATGAGTTATTTTCAATAGAATTCTAAAAAGGACATTGAAATTGTCCGGCACAAAATCACTCAAGAGATCACTACCTATGTGTTTTATACCTTGCTACTTTTTCTATGAAAATAAGTAGTGCCAGTTTGGGTACATTGCAAATAGTCCTTTGATAGCTGAGAATCTGTCAAGTTTCATTAAAACATAAGAAAAAGATAGCAAAATCATACTCCACCAGCCCATCCAGTTCTGCTTTCTTCTATATGCTCCTGGGTCTAAAAGACAAAAGATCACATCGAACATAGTATTAGGAGAACATTTTTTTCCTAAATGTAATCTGGACATTTGGAAACAGTTAAGCTGCCTGATCAGAGTATACCATTACTAGTCAACTAACTTCAAATTTGAGTTTAAAAGGACAATATTAAAAATCTCATATAACAGCACTGTTGTATATACATGGGTAATTTTATTGCAGATCCTTAATAATTATGCCTAAATCTTCCATGAGGCAGTGACTTGGAATTATCACAACATCTATGGAGGCCCAGCACAATCCACTTGATGTGGTGTAGGTAAAACAGTGGAGTTTGAGTTAAATTCTTTCTTTTCTGGGTCCTATGAAGTAGCTAAAATTTTAAAATTTGCACTGAATCTTATTTTGGGTTATATTTTAGCATAATGTAATTGATCATTTACTGAACAAACATTTAGTAATCCTAAAAGAATGAATAGACTTTTCTAGACAAATAATTAGAAAAAGAAGAACATTCTAGGTAAAATAAATAGCATAGAGACCAGACCTGCTTAGTCACCCAACAGATGGTTCAGTATGGCTGAGTGGAGAGTGACTACAGGAAAGAGTTAGAAGATGAAGGAGAATGCATGTTTATGAGCAAGATTTTGGAGAAACTTTATGGCACCCTAAGAAGTTTCAATTTCTCCTGTTTGGTAAGTCTTTTGAAGGTCTTCCAATTCACAATTTGGAACATATAATTATGAACATGATGCAGAGGATATACTAGAAGTGGGTAAGAGGGAAGGAGGCAGAGAGACCAACTGGAAGGCTATTATAATGTTTGGGAAAAGAATGATAAAGACTCTAATCAAGCTCATGGCAGTGAGAATAGAACAGAGAAAATGAAGCCACACATATTGAAAAGTTCAAATCCTCAGAAATAAGTCTGAGAGTTATTGGCAAGTATACCAAAAAGCTCTGGTATAGATTAAAATTACCCAAAGTGAGTAAGTACAGAGTTGAGACAGACAGCAGGATAATCAGCAGACCATTTCCTCTTTTTGCTAGGGATACGGGCAGGAAATGTATTTCCCAGCCTTCCTTCAGTTGACCGTGGTTATTTGATAAGTTCTAGTCAATGGTGTGTGAACAGAAATAACTCATGCTACTTTTAGGCCTAGCCCATAAAAGCCTCTCTTACATTACCCTTCATTCTTTTCTCCATCCCTCAGCTGGATGTTGATGCTCAGGTTTGACCAACTTTGGAATAGTGTTGGAAGCTAGTTAGCAGAAATGCCATCACCTAGGTTCCCGAATGACTATATGAAGCAGAGTGCACCATTCCCCAACCCCCACCATACCCCACTTACCTGGACTCACTATTGGATGGTTACATGAATGTGCAATAAATTTCTACTGTATTAACCCACTGAATTATTGGAGGTTTTTATGTTGTTGTTATAGCAGTTAGCCTACCTTGCAAATACATTAACTTGGAGAATAATAAGATTTCTAGAGAAGTCAGAAGAAGAGCTGGAAAGGAAAAGAACAGTCAATGAAGCAGAAGGAGAACCATGAGAGGGTGTACTGTCATAAAAGGCAGGGGAATAACAAATTTTAAGAACACAGTCTGGATTTTCTCTTACAGGGATAGACCAATGCCTCAGAGAGAACAAGTAAGATAAGACTCGGAAAAAATAGTGAAATTTTTGGATTTATTATTTTTAGCCATAAAAGTAAAATTAATTTTAATTCCCTTTTCAGAGGAGGAAGCATAATATAAAAGATGTTTCTTCCCCTAACTATAAATTTCTTAATAAATCTCACTAATATAATTTTATTACAAGTCATTTTTGCCAGTTTCCTTTGCCTCTTTGTTTGGGGCATGACTCTCAGCATGAATAAAATGTTGCCGGGTCACTTAACCTTAAATATTGTTTTCAAAGTGTGTGCGCACACACACACACACATCAGTCATGAGGATGGTTTCTGGGAAATTCGACACTGTTGTTCTCAAATCTCAAAATGTGTTGCATGTATTTATCAAACTATTTTGAAACAGAGGTGTTTAGAAATTCTAAGGTTATTCAAACATGATATTCTAAATTTAAGCACTGTTTTCTGGCTGTAAAACTAAAGTTTATATTCCAGGGACTTCCACACCTCATTGAATGAGCATCTTAAATGTTCTGTCAGTTTGGATTAAAGTTGTCTCAGATTTTGATAAATTAGAATTTCAGATTTCAAAGCAATCACAGTTTTAAAATTCCTAGTTTTAGGAGCTAAAAATTGTGTCTAAATTATAAATCTCATTATGTTCAAACTAATAAAATTAAAGCAATAGTCCCTAATAGCTAGATTCATTGAAAAGTTTAAAGATATAGTCACCCAAAGCTGACTAACCAGACCAATTGTTTCTAATTAACTAGCATAATCAAGATTAGTCTATCCTTTCTTTGCCTATGATACTGTATTAAAGCCAAAATCATCCTGCTTTGTATATCAAAATATATATAAGATAAAAATACGCTTCTAGCATATTCCATCAAAATTAGTCGAGCCTCTCACAGACACAGTAGTGATTTAAAGAAATATTTTTAGCCTGAGTAATGTTGACTATTATAGTCCTGATATATTTCCAAACAGACTCATATGACTTTTTTCTTGCAAAACATAATGTCCTAATTTCTAGATGAAATTTAGTGATTTACTTTGTTTGTTCTGTGCTTTTCTTTTTACTTTATAAAATATGATTATTCTATATTTGTTTTAATGAAACATTTCTTCATAATTAGAAGACTCACAAAATGTACCCATCAAATATCCTATTTAAAGAAAATATTTTGTATCTCTTAGATTCTAATGTGAGTAATTAAGAACAGGCTTATTTTAAAGCTTATACATTGGTTAAGTGGTTTTTCTGACTCATTAATTCAACAGATTATGTTTGAGTTTGAGTAATAGAAACAATTAAAACTCAACAATAAATCTGTGCTTAGTTTTAAAGGCTTTTTCTGCCCAAAATTAGTACATGTCGGGTACTGTCCTAAGATAACCAGGTAACAGAATAATTTGATCTAATATCTTATGTCACATTCTCAGTAATTCTCATTTGATTTTAAAATAAAAATATTTGGGCTGGGTGCAGTGGCTCATGCCTGTAATCCCAGTACTTTGGGAGGCTGAGGCGGGTGGATCATGAGGTCAAGAGATTGAGACCATCCTGGCCAACATGGTGAAACCCCGTGTCTACTAAAAATAAAAAAATTAGCTGGGCCTAGTGGTGCACACCTGTAGTCCCAGCTACTCAGGAGACTGAGGCAGGAGAATCGCCTGAACCTGGGAGACGGAGGTTGCAGTGAGTCCAGATTGCGCCACTGCACTCCAGCCTGGCGACAGAGCGAGACGCCATCTCAAAAAAAAAACAAAAAACAAAAAAACAAACAAAAAAAACAAAAAACAAACAAAAAAAAAAACAGAATATCTGGCTTTCTTTTGATAATATCCATTTCCTTTAGAATTTTTAATTTTTAATTTTTAACATTGAATAGAACATGCCCCATTTGCATTTCTTCTCTGGTTCTTTTGTTTAAAACATATATATTTATCTAGTAGACCCATGTTTCGGTTTCATCTGCATTATTTTGCTTTTTATTGGACTGCCAATGTTATAATCTCAAAGGGCTGGTTTACCATTATAATTGAGAACCAGATATCTGATTTTCCCAATGTCATGTTGTCCCATTTTTTCTTTTTGGCTATTCAATTTCAAGGTTTACGTCATTCAAGAAAATAAAAGGTATCCTATTTATTTAATAAAATGATGGACCCATGAATACTGAGTGTGTTTTTGCAAAGCAGTTGGCAGTTGAATGCAGTAATCCTGGCTTTACAACATAAAATGTTAGCTATGGATGAGTCCCCACTATTGTGCCTTGATCTTCAGAAATACGTATCTGTGATCTTAATATACCCTACCTTTGGACAATCCCATGTCTGCCAGTCTTCCCTGAAGTCACATATAGACAGGACCGAAACATTCTGGACTCTTTTTAGCCACTGCAAACATACTCGTTCATCAGTAACCCACGTGAGCCAACTGAAATAATAATCACTGCAAATAAAATAGAAACAGGTAGTCACAACCATAAACCAGTTTCACACACAAATAATTTCTTAATTTTTGTTTTCTAAAGGATATATGTCATTATTATACATTACTTATTTAATAGGTAAGCAAGACAAAACATTCCTTTCTCTGGAGAGAAAGTTTAAATATCTCTACTTACTTAAAAAAATATCTATGAGAGTTTCTTCATCTAATGAAATCATTTCATATGTGAGTTTTCTCCCCGTTTCTGGATTTTAACATTTTAGAAAAGAATTTAAAACATAATGTCAAAGCTACTGATCAATCTAGAGGGGAAAAAAAGCATTAAACTTGCATTTTGCACAAGTAAACTCAATTTTTCACCTTATAATTAGTTGAGAGAGAGACAAGTGTGATAAAAGGATAATCTTTGTCTCTCAGCAGATTCATGTTGGAAGCTAAGTTTTAGCTGTGACTGTGGTCAGGTATTGAAATTCAGACTTGTGGAATAAATCACAGATGATGTATGCGAAATAACTCAAATAATGTTTGGCACATACTAGATGTCAGTGAATGGCAACGATGATTCCATGACTCTGAGCATGAACTAGTAGGTAGAGAACATCAACATAAAATGAATCACAAACTTCTGGAAAATTAATGTAAAGGAAATCACAAAGCTGGAAGGGACCTCAGGCTCAAATCCTGGCTTTATGTCCTAATAGTTATATACCTTTAGGCCAGTTACTTAACTCTTCTATTTTTATATAAAATCAGAATAATAATATTACCTATTTTAAAGAGTGCTGTAAAGATTGGCCGCGTGCTTAAACCGCTTAAGAACTATGTCTGCTACATGATGAGTGTTCAGAATACGTTTGCTACTACTATTTTATTGTTAGTATTTTACAGCTGTTCAAACAAGCCTCTGGACTCCTTGTGTTATGCTCATTTCATCTGCCACCTGTGGAGAATGACACTTTAAAAAAAAATGATGTATTGAGTCAAGTTTTCATCGACTCGATCAGGGTGGGGAATAGCAGATAATTCAAAAATATAAAGTCATGTTTGATTATACAAGAGTGGACTCAGCAAGGCCCAGTAGAAGCCTCTCATGGGGTTCTTTTCCCTATTAGTGATCAGTCATTTGAGCTTGGCTCTTCTTCGTGAAGCAGAAGGGGAAGACCCAAGATTGGCCCGCTAGGCATGGGGAACTGTTAAGAAAGCCCAACAGGCAGGGCCTGGGCACCTCTTCCCCTTAGCCACTTCAACCAGAAAGACCACAGAGGACTGACTGAAGGTCACTGTATTCTGGACTAGTCAGACAATCAGACATAGGGCATCATGCTGGGGAAGTGAGAATCCTTCACGTCCCTGCCTGCCTACAGTTCATCTCTAGACAATTCTAAAACCAGATAAATGAGAATAGCCTGCTTCATTGTGAAAAATGCTAATTTTTGGAGAGGGTCAGCTTATCTTCTCTTATTTATCATACACATGTGATCCACATAGATCCACAAACCCTGGCTTGAGATAAAGTCAGCCAAACTTGAAAGAAGCCAGGGTGAGGACGTACATGAATTTTACTGTCTGCTTGTTGGTCCCAAGTTCACATCTGTACATCTGAGGCAAGTTTCACTGAGATTGATCACCGAGGTCACGTTTATATGTGTAAAAGGGCTAATTTTGAAAAACCAATTAAGGAAACTTATTTGTCAATTTTAATTTTGTATGTCTTTAGCTTTGTGTGCAACTCTTATCTACTTATTTGTTTTTGCTTCTAGCATGCACAGCATAAATGCACTAGAATATAGGATAGAAAGATGGGAGGGATCTGAGATGAACTACCTTGAGGCTATCATTGCTGGAACAGGCACTTCCTGGGGACCTACATACGCAGGGTAAGTGGTATCGATAATAAATATCCGAACAACGGGATTCTTAGCTCCAGCCTGCCAAGAAAATTGAGATATATAAGCTCATAAAATTCCAATTATCACCAACATTTTAAAGAAACTTTAGGAATTTAGATATATTTTTCTAAGCGAACAATCTTATGTATATCACTGTGGAATACATTCTATTTATAACACGACAAGGAATCTCATTTCAATTTTACCTGCAGGGCAATTACAAATGTTGTGTCAACCAGAGCAAAACTATGTGTTTTAACTGCCTAATGAGAGAGCTTTAAAATTTATAGGGAAAATCATTTTGGATATGAAAATGCAGTTCTGTGAACCATATTCTGTTTTCTGATTTCCAAGACAGATCTCTCTCATTTTTATTATTGGGATAATTATAATAATCTGTATACCAAGGAGAGTTCAGAGGGTGATTAATTTGAGAGGAGAATGGAAAGAAAAATAAATGAAAGACACTTTTTGCTTTTGCCATATGATTTGGTCTAGGACAATCACCAAATGCTCAGTCTCCTACCTGCTTGCATTATTACTGCCACCATCTCCAAAAGGTTAGGGAAATTTCACCTCCAAATGAAGTATCCATGAGATTTATACTTTTCTTGTTTTGTGCTTTCTATACTACTGTATGCTTAAAATTTACATGACAGTATAGCTCATACCTAGACAGTTTCTTAGAGTTCCTCTGTTATTTTGCTGTAGAAAGAGAGAATCTTGGAGTTGTAATAAAATTTAAATTCATGAAATGTAGGTGCACAGTATGTAATGACTCAGTGCTGTTTGAATTCATCCAAAGAACTGTTCAACGTCTCTTAGGACCTCCGTTTCACTCCCAAGTTTATCAGAAACTCCCTTAGTTTTTGGGATGGTCTCACGTCTCCACCTAACGCCAGATGTTTTAGCAACCTTAAGCCTCAAGGAAATATGAGAATGTGGGTCCCAACTTCCCAATCAGTGTCAGTCACTCTTCAGTTCTGGGTTCCCCGTCTCTTCCTGCTCCCATAGGTCCTCCCAAAGATCTGAGTTCTTTTACATCTTGGGTTCCCCCAAAATGTGAGGCCTGTCCCAAACATCTCCAGCTTTTAGAGTTTTTACACAGCTTTTAGACTTTTAACATAAATATTACACTGTCTGCAATTCTATTTCTTTCTCTATGGCCACTTTGGCTTGCTTAGAATTCACTTGTGTGTATACCACATCCAACCGTCTTTGTCACCCAGGGACCCACTGTGTCCAGCCACGACAATATTCCCCTTGGCAAGTAAAAGCAATAGCATCCAAAGAACAAAGAAGTGAATTCTAAAATCGCATCCGATTCCTTGTGCAAGAGGTAAATTTGTACTTTGATTCCATTTTTTCTGATATCATTTTTACATTGAAATTAGGATATAATGCTTCTTCACTGAGACCTGACCATTCTCCTACTGCACACTCAGGTCTCCTCCCTCCAGATGTGAAACTCAATAAAAAGAATGTATAACAACTCTACAATGTTAAATATCCAAAAACTATGGGTTCACACCATGTCTACTTCCTTCAAGGGAGAAATTGAGACTTATAAATTTAACCTATCTTGTACATCCAGAAAGGACCATAACCCATGCCTGCTTCTACCTGACAGGAACATCAAATTCAGCATTTGTATTTCATATTCTAGTTTGCATTTACATGAGAATTCAAGAGAGAATTGCAAAACAGAACTTTACCCTGAATTTGGAGCATGAAATATGAAAAAAATTAAAATTAAGTTAAGCTTGTTTTTCCTCCATGATCAAGACCATATGTTTTTCAAAGATTCTGCAATAGATTTTGCAAAGACTACTTCATCCAGCACAACCAGATGTCCAAAGCAACAGATGTCCACATAAATAATAGAGCACAGTACAATGTTTGCCTTACAATGCTCAAGGATAAGAAGCTCTCCAAACTTGTTGATCCCACCTTTACTCATGGTAAATCATTGCTCATTTTGATACCAGGAAAATGAAAGCATCGCTGAAAGTATTCAACATACCTTTGGGTATGGAATATTTATTGTTCTAGGATATTGTTCATCGCCATAATAGGAATAGGCAATAACTGGTATATCCGTATCATTAAATTCCGCATATGCCAAAAATTTTCCATTAGGAGACCACCAGAGAGCATATTTTGTAGCAAGCATTTCCTCTGAAAAATAAGTACTAGGATATTAACTATAATTACATCTTACTCTTAAAATCATTGTAAATACTTCTAAATAGCTATTTATCAACTGAAATAATTTATTTAATGTGGATGTGACATATGTCATACTTTGGTTATTAAAAAATTACATAATCTGAGTTAAGAGGAATAGTTTACCCTTTCACTCTATATCAAACATCAATTAGCCTTGTTAGAAAATGACATTAATCAGAAATGTAATTTTTTAAATAAATAATAAACATGTTGGCACTAATTAATTTTTTCTTTCAGGGCAGTTTCAGGTTTTTTAGTCACCTAAGATAGCCAAAACAGAAAGAACTATAATTGTACTAGAGAGTGACATAAACATTGAAAGTTACATTTCCCTCCTAAGAGTTAAAAAAAACCAAAAACACAGTTAGTTTAGATAGATAGATAGATAGATAGATAGATAGATAGATAGATAAATAGATAGAGACTAGAAGTCTCTTTAAAGTCCAATTAAGTCCTGAATTCTACATGACCTAGAATGAGAACAAAATCAACAGAGTATCAGAAAGTAAAAATATGTTCCCATAAGATAACATAGTCAGTTGTTTAGTTTTGAAAAAAAAAAATTTCTAAAGAAAAAGTAAACATGAGAAAATGTACTAATGCGGCACCTGAGGACCATATACTTTTTTGGATTATAAATCATTACTACCACTTCATAGTGATGTTATTGAGAATCAATTCTACCAGTTTTCTGATAACAAGAATTTGTTCTTTTAAAATACGTATGCCCTATTCGTAACCTAGAGACAATTTTCAGCAATGCTACCCTTCATGGAAATAAGATACTACTCATCTAAATCTTACTAAATATATGAAATTATTTTAAATTAAAAGCCTAAAGCATTAGCAGTAGAAAAGGAATACAGCTTACCTTCATAAACCCAGTCTGGGATTCCATTAAATATTTTATTTTCTCTTCCATTAAATGTTATTTGAAAAGGTGGATCTCCTGGTCTTTGTTTCAAATAGATATTGTTTTGATAGACATATGCCTAAAAGTGGTGGTAAGGGGAAATTCCACAACAAATTAAATGAAGGCTGTATATTTGTTTTAATTATTCCTCTAATACCTTTAAACAGAGTGGTAATAAAGATACAAAAAAGATTCACAACTAAAATACCATTTTAATAGGTCAAAAAATCCAACCAACTCACATTAACATCAATTATGAATTTTAAAGTCTGAATCAAATAAAAAATAAAGCCTATTATTTTCTTAGTTGTTTCATTAACCCCAAATAAATAATTATGTATATTGACAGAAAGTCGAATAAATCTCTGAATATTAATAGCTAGCCAGATCTAATCTTTATTTAGAGTCCTTAAATAAGAGCTTGGACCAAATTTCATGTTGTCTGAAGCTAGTCTGGGAAACTTGTGAAAACCATATTTTTCCTGAGCTTTCTGGCACAACGCATTCTGGCTGAGTATAAGGATAAAGTTTTTGACTGCTATATTTAAAGAAGTCTATCCATGAGCTTGAGATTTTGCGGAATTCTCAGATGGGTTTCAATTTATCAAAACTCTTCCCGTTTTTAACCACTAAAATAGTCATGAATGTATTTTTTTTTCTTTCAGGCAGGGAAATTTAACAAAGGCCAAAATCAAATGGCTCCTCTTTTATTTACATGATTAAACACTTCAAAAATTTAAACACTTACTAATTTACTCCCAACAGGCGACCAGCATAAATACTGAATTGGACGAGGAAGCTCATTTCCTCTTACAAATTCTCTAGAAGGAAAGAAAGAAAGAAAAACAACAAACCTTGCTGTTTAATGCAAAAAAATAATAATCTGTATGAACAGAAAAAATAAACAAACAATGAAAATTAAGGATCATTCCCTCTGCACCCACAAACCTAATGAAAAGAATGCAGGAATGAAGAACTGGAGACATAGGTGTTGATTGCTGTTCTTCCAGTAGTTACTTAAAAGTCACTTAACTTTACTGGGTGTCAGTTTTCTGACCTTTATAGTGAGGTGAATGGATTAAATACTTACAGACTGTCAAAGTGGAGAAGATCTCTAGAAATTATCTAATACAGTCCTCTCATTTTATAGAAAGTAAATATGAGGTTTAGAGAGCTGATAGAACTTTTTAAGACCACATTGCTAGTTCTTGGCAGACCTTGAATTAAACTCAAGTCCTTTTAACCCCTGGGATTGTAAAATTTGCACACACTAGACTGAAATGGTCACTGAAGTGCCTTCCAGCTCTGAAATTCTATAATTGTGCTGAAGTTTAGTATGTGCTCTTCTACATTCTCATTCACAACCCCCATCTCTGTGAATGCATATGCATTTCAAATTTTTGAAAATAAGATGCCATTTGACAATCTCCCCAGGGATCTGACTTGAAATCAGAAAAGGAAAGGAACATCTGATCTCAAGCTAAACTGAAAAACGGATTGTATACTGGGCAGTATGCCTTAAGCTTGTAAAGTCCTCCACCCATGGGGAAATTTCAAATAGTCTATTGGCCAAAACTCTCACTTTGATGCTTAGAGTCACTCTGCAAGCACTCAAGTGACTTGCATTGTGGAGCTTTTGTAGTTCTTCAGCAAGAATGCATTCAGACTTTTATAAGTGTTGCAGAGTCGTAGGATGTCATGCTTACTTTTTGACTTTTGTCATCTTGAAGATTGTATTAACAGTTTCATCGAGACTGCCTTCGTGGGAAAGCAGAGCAAGACCTGCCGCCCAAGCACAATTTGAAGAGCCTCAAAAAAGACTCCTGCCCAACCCCTCCAAAAAAAGCTCTCCAACCTGGAGCTAACATGTGCCTGACATTTCTGCCTTTCCCATTCTTTTAATATTTGGGCAATTGTGAAGATCTGTAACACACACTGCCTTGATGTAACTTTTTAGGTGCCTGCATGAGACCTAGCAAGTAGCAAGGGAACATGGCATAGTTTTGAGTGGGGAGAGTGATTCCCATGGAAAGTGACCATTGGTGCTGCAATGAGAGTCCTGGCCGCCAGAGGGCAGTACATGAGCACCAGGCCCCTGGGTGATCGGGAACATGTTGAAAGGGATGCAAGAGCCCAGTTAAAAGATTGACCCAGGCCTGGCCGGCTCGCTCACGCCAGTAATCCCAGCACTTTGGGCGGCGGATTTCTTGAGGCCAGGAGTTCGAGACCAGCCTGGCCAATATGGAGAAACCCCGTCCCCACAGAAACACAAAAATTAGCAGTGGTGGCACAAGCCTGTAATCCTAGCTACTTAGGAGGCTGAGGCGGGAGAATTGCTTAAACCCGGGAGGAGGAGGTTGCAGTGAGCCGAGATCACACCACTGCACTCCAGCTTGGGCGACAGAACGAGACCCTGTCTCAAAAAAAAAAATAAGAAGACATTCTTCACCTGGTTCACAATTTGTTCTCAAGCTAGTGCTCATGTTACCTTTCATACTGTAACATTGTCTCAGTTTTCTACATACAGTGGAATTATCTATGCAATCACACAAGCAGCACTAAGCTAAAAATCTCAGCGCATGTCTCAAGCCATCACAGCTGCCATTTTCTGTTTTCTGAGTCACTAAAGGTATGAGAAAAGGCGAGGGAGGATGCTTTACAAAGGCGTTCATCTCCTCAGTTTTGCCTACCTAGCTTGAAACCAGTAGTTTTGTTTTCTCTATGCTAGATTTTTATAGAGTCTTCAAAGGCATATAAAAGACTTGAAATTGGTGGTATTCAGCGATGCCTAGAATCTCAAACAAGTTTGCCATCCATCCTTCACTTCCTAAATTATGCTGTATTTACCTGACCACCCCCCCACCAAAAAATCTGAAATACTAGATAGTTGTGCAGAAAACAAAGAAACAAACAAAACCAGTGATTTGATTAAATTCACTGCAGAGAATCTAAATGTTTAATGTGATTTTAGGCCATAAAGTTTACATAACCCATGATTAAAATATTAGGATTATCATCTTTTTGAATGCTGTTCAATTTGGCGAGCCTCACAAAAGAATTTCAAAATGATTAAAAGAAAAACAAAGACATGATGAGAGCTTTGAGAAACTGGACTGAAAGACTAAGATTCCCCACTCACTAATCGAACGTTTCTTAAGAGTAGAGCTGGTGCCCCAAGCTCATTTGCATCTCATTGTTATATGTGTTTCACATAGAAGGGGCTCAATAAATATTTCTTAAATTTGGTGATGATATGGATTCGGAGACAAGAAGGACTCAGAATGCATTAGATGGATTTTAGATTCTACTTTAAAAAGCAGTTCCTGTTTCTTAATTTGACAGTTTATCAGAGTAATTCTTTTCTGAAAATTTGAAAGAAGTAGATAGATAATTTTTTAAAAAATTTTTGTGCTCTTGCTAGACAAAAGGGGAAATAGACCAGAAGATTTTTTTTCAATACCTCTTCAAGCCATATAATTATTTCCCCTTTTATATAACAGCAAACAAGATATCATATTAAGATGAGTAGCTAAGGCAATTCATTGTCCACACTTAGCCAGGGTGATTTTTCTAAAGTGCTAATCTGATCATGTCATTTTCCATTTAAAACCTTTGAATGAATCCTTATTGTCATCAGAAAGAAAGATCTAAACTCATTTTAATTATTTCCTCATTATTATTTGGCCTATGCTTCCTGGCCTTGGCTGTTCCCCAACCTTACACCACCTCCTACTAGTCAGCAGGCCCCTCCCTCAATTTCAAACAAATTGACCTACTTTGCATTTCTCAAACGCACAATGCTCTCCCTCCCCATTTTAGGCCTTTACATATTCTTCTTGCTGCCAGAAATTCTCTTCGTCAATGCTTCGCCTATCTGCACATTCATTTAATTTTTTCTTTTAAATGGTAAATGTTTCAAACAGTTTATATGTATATATATATATGGAAAATGGTACTTGTCTGACAATTTATCTACCAACTAAATTCAAAAGAACATTTAGTATTTTACACGTCAGATATTTTTCTATTTTAAAAATAATGTTAACATTTTGTCATTTTTATAATAATTAATTTTAAAACAGTTAATGGAGTACGTGTTCAGACACAACTAATGCTACATCTCTCTCCCGCCCTTCCTCCTCCCATCAGTGAAATAGCCACTCTCCTAAAAATAGTGTCTCATTTCCAAGAATGTTTTTGTGCTTTCCTATATATGTTTTTTCCATAAATAGCACATGTTTAATCTGATCTTCAAAAACAGAAAATCCAAAACTATATTGTGAATAAAAATATAAAATATTAGTCAAATAAAGAGGTGGGTATCCCATATAAGTATTTTCTTGAATTTTGTAAGCTTTATGGGTACATACATACTGTATTACTAAAAAGTAAGAAACAAAGATCATTAAGAAGATAAAGTCTTCTTAACCCCAAATCATAGTTTGGAATGAAAACATTCTAGGTATTAGATTTAAGTAGTATTAATAAACAGAGGTGATTTACCCATTGCTAAGGTCATAGATGTAATATGTTGCTGTGTAAGAGTATCTCCAAAGCTGTCAGAAAGAAGAAAGACAAAAAACAAATTGCAGTTGTTAAAAAGCTTATATCAATAATGTATAATCATATAGCATCCAATTCAAAGTTCAGAATTATAAAAGGACTACTTTCACAAGGCACTAGGAAGAATATGTTTCAATTCCAAATGAGTCTTCATTTAAAGAGTCTTACTGTGGACTTTTGTGCCGTTTGTGCAAGTTCCAGAACTAATCTCAGCAGTGATTCAACCCTCACTCCATAAAAAGCATATCCAAAGAAATTTCCTAACATAAAAAGCTTATCTTTGCATACTCTACCCCAGAAATTTTCCTTTCATGTTTTACCTGTATTGAAGTAAAACCACAATGATTTCCACAGCCTATAAGGATTACCCTGCATCTGGATAATTCATTCTAATTATACCCTTTAAAATTGGGTAAAGAGAATTTCATTCAACATGTATTTTTGATGCAAAATGCTTGCCTTTCTTTGAGTACAGTTTTAAAAATAATAATTGAAAAATAAATAAGAATATTTAGCTTATAATTCTTCTTAAAGCTCTTTGTTTTCTTGTTAAGTATGTTTGTGCTGTTGTTAATAAATGATGCAAGTATTATTTTGGACTCTGTTCCTTAAAGCACTTTCACGCTTAAAACAAACAAGCTCCATAAGATTGAAACATATCATGCTGAAGATTATTGGTGACGAGGGCCTGAATATTTAGAGATAAAGACAGACTCTTGCTTTCTCTCACTTTTTTTAAACCACCTTGTGGATTAGTAGGAGATACAATTGGATATAACCAAATTAAATAGTTGATACCTTTGAATAATCACTTTCTAGATATACAAATTGCCGATCAGGTGATAAGCCGTAATTTGAAGCATTCACACTTTTCTGAAATTATGAAGAGGTTGATTAGAATACAGAAAAGATAACAAAGAACCATGTAAATTTGTAGTTTTAAAAGAATATTATATTATCAACATACTCCTACATGCATAGACTTTCAATGCAATTGAAAAAAATATTTTGTGGAACTTAACTATAATTCAAAGAAATTTACTAGATACTATGGGAGAAGGATGCAAGAGATAATATATACTTTGTGATTTCAAGAAACATAAACTTTCTAAGGAGTAACATACTACAAATTAGGATGTTCTATAAAAGAGATTCAATATAGCAATTGCAAAATTATTAAGAAAGAAATGATTGAATTCAAATGAGAGGATTATTGATTGCAAAGAGAAAGAGAGTATTATCTAAACTTGGTTTCAAAAGAATAGTAGGTTTTTCAGGGTGGAGAAAGTTGGAGGACTGGGAGCCCAGTGGGACAGAACAGTTAAGTGCCCATACTTTATAGCTACCACTTATTAAGCACTTATTCTATGTTAGGCACTGCCCTAAGCACTTGCAAATGTTATTTCATTTAATTCTTTTATTAACCAAAAGAGGCATTATTATTCCTACTTTACCAAGGAAAATACCGAGGCATAGTAAGATTGCTGTAGTGAAACCCCTTACCTAACCTTTCACGACCAGTAAGGGACTGAGCCAGGATTTGAACCTCAATTGGCTGACACTAAGGACTGAGTTCTTAACTCCTATCTTATGCTATACTATATTCAAAGAGGAGGAAAGATGCTAGTTGATTTACAAGAAGGCAAAGACAGTAGTCTAATGGGACTAGCAGACAGAACGGGAAGACTCTAGTGGAGTATGGAGCTGGGAAGGCAAGTTGTGTCCAGATCAGGTGCTAAGACTTTGAACTCTGTTTCTTGGTCAATGAAGAGTGGGCAAAGGTTTCTGAGGGGGAAGATGATGTTGGATACATACCATGGTTCTATTACTCAAAATGGTATATGATTGTCCTGTTTCAATATTATAAAGTACTATATTGTTATCTGCAGATTGATGAAGATATTCTTGTCCTTTAAACAAGAAAGAAAACAAAATGTAAATGATCTCTCTTAACATGAAATACATTCCTAACAAAAGAAACCTCTCTATTTCACAGACCTACTTTGTTTTTCCTCTCTGTCCAGTACATATTGCTTTGTGATATGTAAAATAGTAAGTTGGTGGTAGAGGAAGAAGGTAGAATGCTTTGTTCTACTTCACACAAAGATGCCACATTTGCAAACAGCAGCCCTATTTTAGCCGATTCAGGGTGCTTAGGAACACAATTTTGTTTTCTCTGGGTTACAAAGGGGATAAACTAGTTTGAAGTGTATATTTCTTTTGCAGTAATAAACATAAATTACATTTAAGTTGTGTTTGGTTCAACTTAAAACTCACTTTGTATTAATTTTATTTTCTAAAGAGAAAAAATTAAAATATTCCATTTTGTTCAGTGACACTTAAGATACTCAACTAAAATGTCATAGACTATTTAGTTGATCTCACTATTTATTTGATTAGATTTGCTTTATAACATCCTATTTTGAAAAGCTGTATGAAAATACCGATTTCATGACCCTTAAAGGGTTCATTGTCAGATTGAGATTTGTCTGTTTTCCAGATTATCCAGATTAATAATGGAATTTCTCTTTTGGTAAAATTTTTGTGACTTCTCCTAAATAGGAATATATCTACCATTCTCAAAAGTGATTACAGAAGTTCAAATTATTTCAACAATGCATTTTCAACTTTTCCTTCTCTATTTAAAACTCTATTGGCCTCATTACTATGGCGCAAATCCAGTATGAATGGTTTTGTCAAAAGCGCTTTTTTGAGCACTTGAATCATTCAGATAATTGTTCTTTTTGTACATTTCAACTGATACGGCTTCAGTTACTATAGAGATGTATTGGCACTAAAATAAAAACCAAACAAAATACATAAAAAAAACCCCTAAAGATAAATAATGCACTTACCTGAAATCCAGTTTGGAAAAAATGTTTTATAAGAAAATGTTCCATTTAAAATATCCTTCAGTGTGAGTGCTCTCATTGTATTTTCTTCAGAGTTATGAACTTTGGGGGAAGAGCAAATACATCCTTATTAAAAAGAAGGTTAACAACTCAAATAAATTCTAAGCCTGGCCTTCATCTGTTCTTTCTTATATAGTAATAAGATCTGCTGTTTGCTAAGTGGTTGTTGAACTCCTATCATCATAACTATTATTATTAATAGTAGTATCTCCTTTTTTGTAGATACAGTAATTAAGAATTAGGGAGGTAGTTTCACTGCCTGGAAGGGAAAACTGGCTGGAAACTGTAGAGGAAGATAAAGATTACAGAGGAAGGCCATGCAGAGTAGCTGGGGCATGATTCTTCAGGCAGTGAAGAGTTGTCAAGGTTTTCCAGAAGGAAGATGAGATGAGGTTCCAACAACTCTAGTCCTTGCAGAGCTGGGATTACAGACCATGTAGGTTTGGCTAAAATCCCAGTCTCTTATGCAGCTCACTGTATTTCCTCATATAGGTTTGGTTCAGATTTCAACTGATTTATCAATGATGTATTTTAGCATCCCAGTTGGTCAAATGAGATTGGCCAGAACCCTTACCTTCAGAAATCTCAAGAAAGACATTATGAATGTAGGTAATTTTCTCATACTATGGATTTTTATATAAAGAAAGTAGACCAAAAGAAAAGAAAACCCCTTGATCTATGCAAAATATCTTAGAAATTCCAAGAGTAGAGGGTTTTCTGTAGAAAAACTAATCTAATGCAGCTCACAAACCACAAACAAATTCAATCTATATTTGAATACTTCAAAACCATTGTGTTTTTCAAACATGATCTTATTCTCAGAACAAACATTCATTACAGAGCCCTGAAGCAGTCAGATACACCAGACAGATAATAAGGCAACCAAAGCCCAATGCCCTTTTTTATCAATATTGCCATTCTCCATCTCTCCCACCTTACCCCTTCCACAGGCCACTAAAACTTATAGGAAGATCCTATACCTTGAATGCCATTTATGAATCTGGTATTTGCCCAGGTGAGAACAAAACTGTCAAAGATGGGAGCTGTTTAACTTTATCCTGCTATAAAACTCGTAGCCCTCCATGACTCTTCCAGTAAAGACCACAGATGATGATCTGGTTGGACTACAGACACCGGCTGGTGTGGGGCAGTCTACCCTGCCAGCTCTTCTTGCTCCTCTCTCATTACTTTCTAGCCACTAACAAGCCAGTCTTTCTTTTCCTCAAATACTCTTTCTGTAGGGTGTCTACAGCCTTTTCTAGTCTCTCTCCTTTAATGCTCAATCCAAAAGCTATATACTTCCTCTGAGAAGCCCTTTCTGACCCCCTGGTTTAGATCAGGTTTCCTTTTATACATTTCCGTAGAGCATGTTCCTTGCTTTTACAACACTCCTCTTGGTTTGTAATCGTGTGTATATTTGAGTGATTATTTGATTACTGTTTTCCCACCTCCCTCTGTATAATCAAAACAGTTACCATAAGGCCAGGAATCATGTCTTGTTTTTCTCATAGCACATCCCAAGTGTCTAGCACATACAGGCATCTAATAAATAGTTGTTGAACAAATGAATGCATGAAATGAAGGCTGGCTGGATGGCTGGATGGCTGGTTGGGTGGCTGGCTGGATGAGATGTGTGCCTTTTCTGAATTCCCTGTGTGGTTTTTGGTAAGTAGATCTCTGGTGCCTAGGCTTGCTCACTCATATTATGAGGTACTGGACTAGAAGGTGTTGGCAATCTCTTCCAGCTATACCATGCTAGATTTTGAAATCTGAAACTCAACCTTCTCTATTAATCTTATAGTTACATTAAGTTCTGCTATGTATGTAGTAAGAGCAAAATAATAAAGTGGAATAATAACATCTTCTGTTGTTTTAACTGATTTACATTGATGCATGTATGCTCCACACTTTTGATTAGGACCATGAGTTTATTTCTTTCCTTAATTTGCAGCAACTTATTCCATGGCTGTAAGAATAGTGGCTGGTGAGCCCTTTTGCAACTAGACACTGAATACTTAATAGAATTGTTATTCTATTTTTTAAATAATTATCTTTCTGTGTTATCTGTGCATCCTAAACAAGGTTGTGTACACTATACAGTTATTTGTAATGAAATATCTTCTGTTTAATGAAATGGTATTATGTAGAATTCATACCATTGATTTTGTAATTCTCATTCAGTGAATAAAAGACCATTTACTACAATAGCATTAAAATAATTGCCAAGTATTGTATTTAATTCAACTTTATTTAACTTTCCTAAGAGCAAGTTGCAATCTGATTCTAATGTAATAAAGGGAAAATTATAACACTATTCATAGTGGAACTTATTTTCCACTTGAGACACATTTAGTTTGTGCCTACACAATCCTGAATATCTAGATGGAAAATTTAAAAATGTATAAAGTCCATTTACTGTAAATACCAAGATAACAATTTTTTTAAAGAATGTTTTTGATATTAATTCAATAAATGAATATAACCTTAGTTATTTTTTAAAAAGTATAAATAATGCTTCAGTTATGGCTGGTGACATAGTTTTTCCTATTTAAGCATCTTTGCATATAATTTTCCTTACTTGTGTTATGCTTAATTAAGACATTTATAGCTATAATTAATCTTCATTTTCATAGAAGTCTAAATCAAGTGAGATAATTCAACTAAAACATCTAGCTCTATGTGTGGCACATGGTAGCAGTCAATACATGTTACCTTTTAGCATTATCGTAACTCATCAGTATTTTTCAAATAAATGTTTTAGATCAATGTTTCCCAAGCAGATTTGTCCACTGGGAATTTTTGCTTCTGAATATCTACTAAAACCACAGTTTGAGAAACACAGTTCCAGACAAGGCTATTAGTATATACAATTGAGCTTTACTTTTATTCTAGTTTAATGAAGTTCATCAGTTATACTTGAACATTTTGTCTATTGCCTAGCTCCATAACTGAACTGTTACAATTAAAATCATAAGTGCAATTTGTACTAATATTGTACAATGAATAAATAAAACATAAAAAACAACAGTTTCAAATTACTTTTTAAATACCTACTCATTTTCCTTTTCGTATCATTAAAAAGCATTTTGATCTTATCAGAGTTCTCAAAAAGATTCTAAGAATTAATTATTTATTCCTTTAAACCTCTAATTTAGTTTATCCAGGAAGGTTGGACTTGATACTATATTTCATATTACTTCCTAGTTAGCAATTAATTTTATATGAGTGCATAGTAGCTATAAATGCCAACAATCGATATAGAGAACGTAGCATATGACTCAAAAAATCTGTAAAGCAATTTTAAGCATGTACTAATTGTACTACTAATTGCCATAATGAAAATAATCCTCACCACCACCCAAGAAGTGATGAATGGATGTATGAATAACATATCCAGATAAGCCAGCTACATGTATGTGGGAATGGATTTCAGGCACAGATTGGGCTGGGATGATTACTCCTAACCTCACGTTAGCTTTGAAACCGTATCATATGTCATGTATCCAGGGCTTAGAAAGTGTAATTATGTTGATGTCAGGCTGGGTACATTAAGTTCATCCCCAATATACTCAGAGAAATTCAAATTAAGCATTCTTCTCTTCCTGCTAAACATGACCACGTGTTCATAAACACAGTGAAGTAATGTGTCTCCTTTGAGATGGTGCATTAAGTCACATGTTAGAATAAGAATAAAACATAAAGATTACTTAGAATTTTCAATCCAAGCTTTGATTCTTTGTACATATGGGTTTTTGTTTTCTCAACATTTATCTAAATTTATTGAACATGAATTTTTTCACATCTCTATATTTATGTGGCAAAGAATTGTATAAGACATAGGTCTCCACCCATAAAAGTAGAAGCAGTGATTGATTTTTCTCACTATTATACGTTCAGCTGCTAGGACAGTCCTTGACATAGCATGGGAGCTCAATAAATATTTGCTGAATTAAAAAAAAAACCAACTTGACAGATTTTGTGTTCGCTTGTTTTGAATAATTCCCCCGAGAATATATCTTCCCTTACTTTCTACCCTCTATTACATGTTGTAAATTTCATATGTAGACTCTTTTGCCTTCATTTAAATATTTATAAAAATTTGGTCCTTGGAGCCCCTTGGAGTGTGCTTATATAAAAAACAGATTCCTAGTACTTATCTCAAACTTACTGAATCCAAATCTCTGGGGGGTGGGGTCCTGGTAGTTTTAGTTTTTACCCAGTCTCCTTGATGATTCTTCTGCAAAGGTTCAGAATCTCAATTTAATGATTTCACTGAATCTATTTTGCTCAATGCACTCCTGTGCCTATAGGAATCATTCCTTGACTACAAACTCACGGTAGGTGGGTGAGGCTGGCCTGCAGAGCAATCCATATGTCATGGAGAAGAGATTCCACATAACTGAGTGTTGACCATGGCTTCCAAGGAATGTAAATGGCCTCCTTTAATGTTTGTCCCCCTGTTCAATGACCTTGCTCATTGCCTTCAAATGCACTCTTCTTTAAGTATATTCCCTTTCCCAGACCTGGAAAAGTGGACAAAAGGCAAGGGGACTGATTCTACCCCAGACTAGACTTAAGTAAGATTATGGAAAAAGCACTGGGGTCATTATTTTCTAGTGTTTGGAATGTGTGTATGTGTGTGTCTGTGTGTAAATCAGTATAAAATATATCTCCACAGCATCAAATACACTAAATGTTCTAGTCACCCAGAAAATATTCCATTAATAATTATTGGATCAACAAATGAATTTTCATGTCCCCTTCCAAATAATGTTTTAATATTAAATGTAATTACTTGATGATTTTGGAAGATTAGCTTTGACATCTATAATTTTTAAATTCTAATGGTTGAACAGAAGTAAACATGAATTCTGAAAGCATATCTCTCCTCTGTATATGTTAACACTTACTTGATTAGCTCTTAATTTTTGCCAGTGCCCTTAACTTCGTTTTGGCCCATCTTTAGTATAGTTACTCATACATTGCTTAAACACTCTCATTAACTATGCTTTAATTATTTGCATTTTCAGCTTATTAAAGCAAAGCTGAAAATTATTTCAATTATGAATCCAAGAAATTACAATTCACAGAAATGATTCACAAGCAAGTAATGATTTACTATTCTCTTAATTCTTTCTTAAAACGTTGTGCTTCAATTAGGCTTCTGTGTCTGTTTCTGCCATTTGATTGTCTAGTACTGAAAAATTAGGAATGGGTGTTAGAGCAGAGACATTGGATGTTAGTTCTAACCTTCAGCATAAACCAAATGAGAAAATTAAGTGGCATACAAATGGCTGGCAGGTCCTTTTGTTCTCACTTTTGCACTTGATTTGTAATTGATGCATATGAGGTCATACCAAGGAAAGGGTCTAGGGCTCTCAGGGAAAACACATCCATCTTCCTGCTGGCTCTGCAGAGGTGCTACCTGTGGGGAGGTATCATCTCCAATTATCACACCGGGTTTTGTTTGTTTCCGGAGTGAGCACCACAGGGGCAAGGACAGGAAGTATTAGGATGGGAAATATACTATTTACAAGCTAATATGATCAAATTGGAACAAGACTGACAACTCTGAAAAAAAAAGTACATGAGGTGGCTTTAGATGAGTAATAGAAAGTGTTATAATTTATAAGTTCTTGTACATACCAAGTACTCTACATGTATAGTCCTGTTAAATCCTCACAGCAGCCATCTGAGGTAAATACTTTTGTGGACACCATTTTACAGATTAGGAAATGAAAATTAGCAAGGTGAGCTAACTTGCCTAATACATAGAAAAGCTGGGGTTTAAATTCAGCTGCATCTGGTTTTAGATACTTTGCCACTATACTATAATTAAAGTATAAGTGTACACATAATAAAACAACAACATACAACAAACACAAAAATAGGCAAGAACCAAGCAACACACAAAGGGGTAGAATAATTACACCTCAAAACCTAGGTTAAGAGAAAGTGAGGCAATTTGAGCTTTTTCAAAGCAAATAGGTTGCTAGCTATTATAAAACTACTTACTGCTACTATTATTACTGCCTACTTGAAGAATGTCTCAGCTCTAACAGCAATTTTCCATGGTTTTCTCTATGAACAATACTGAATAACATGAGTTATTCAAAGGATTTGCCGGGCTTTTAAAAATAGCCCATTTGTGTGTTATTTTATTGTTATGTTATATTATTTTAATTAGGGTTCATTTATTTTTCTGGATAACTAAGGCTTTCAAAGATCATAAGATATAATCAACCTAATGTGTAAGAACATGAATGGCAAATGACCCTCTGGTGACTCTGAAGATGAAAGCAAGCCTTGTTTATTTTTGAAGACATCAGTCTCCTTTGCCAGCTCATTTTCCTCTAATCTCTACTTGACATTTTGGCATGGCTGTTACTGCTTCTACATGGGGCTGGAGGAAGAGCAACTTTCCTAGGTCATTTCGTTCTCCCAAGGTTTCTACTACATATCCCTGGGCTGACCCACCCCCTCACCCCACTACCACACCTGACTTTCACTGGATTGTCTTTTGAACTCCAGACACGTACATTAAACTTCCTCTTTAAAATCCCCACTTACATATCTCACAAGCACTTCAAAATCAATATGTTTAATGCTAAGAAAAAAAATTCTGTGCTCCTCTTCCAAATTTCTCCAAGTAAATGGCACTACCTACCATTCATGTAGTTTCTCAATACAAACATTTTGGTGTGATCCTTGACCTTCCTCTTCCTTAACCAACACCCAGGCCTGCCAACCCTGTCTACTGCTTGTCTCTATTTCTACTGCACCCCCAGGGACAAGCCATTTCACAATCTTTAGGCTTTAACGGATGCCTAATTGCTCCTCTGCAATTTCATTCCTGGTATTTTGTTGTGGTTTTGTTTTGCATTTTGCAGTGACTGATAGCATTGAGCATCATTCATGTGCTTATTAGTCATTTGTATATCTTCCTTAGCAAAATGTCTGTCCTTTGTCCATTTTTTAATGGAGTTATTTATCTTTTTATTATTGAGCTGCCAGAATTCTTTGTATATTCTAGATGCATGGCCTTTATCGAATATATATTTGCAAATATTTTTTCTCATTTTCTAGGTAGTCTTTTCACTCTTTAAATGGTATTCTTGGCCACCCTAAAATGTTAAATTTTGATGAAGTCCAATTTATGTATGTTTTCTTTTGTTTCTTGCATTTTTGGTCATATCTTAGAAAATTTGCCTAACTCAAAAACATAAAAATGTATCTGTATGTTTTAAGAGTTTTATAGTTTTTAGCTCTTACATTTAAGTCTTTGATCCATTTTGAGTTAATTTTTGTGTGTGGTGTGAGGAATTGGGTCCAACATCTTTTTTTGCACATAGATATCCAATTGTTTCACCATCATTTGTTGAAAAGACTTTTCCCGTTGAATTGTCTTGGCATCCTCATCAAAAATCAATTAACTAAGTAAAAGACTTTATTTCTGGACACTCAATTCTATTCCATTGATCTATATATCTATCCTTATGCCAGTAACACACTGTCTTGACTACGGAGCTTTGTAGTAAGTTTTAAAATAAGGAAGTGTGATTCCTCTAAGTTTATTATTCTTTTTCAATATTGTTTTAGCTATTTTGGGTCCCTTGCATTTTTGTATGAATTTTAGGATCAGCTAGTCACTTTCTGCAAAAAAAGAAAGCTATCCAGGATTTGGATAGAGATTACATTTAATCTGTTGATAAATTTAGGCAGTATTGCCATCTTAAAAATATTGTTTTATGATCCATAAACATGGGATGTCTTTCCACTTATTTAGATCTTTTTGGATTGCTCATTGAGAGTGTATAGAAATACTATTGATCTTTATACATGGATCTCGTATCCTGCAACCCTACTGAACTGTATTGTTAGTTCTAATAGTTTTTTAGTGAATTCCTTAGGATTTCTACAAACAAGATTGTGTTATCTGTCAGTAGAAAGAGTTTTACTTCTTCCTTTCAAATCTGGATACTTTATATATTTTTTTCTTGCCTAATTGCCTTGGCTAGAACCACTGATAAAATGTTGAACAGAAGCGATGAGAGAGGACATCAAGTCCTCTTATTGATCTTAGCAGGAAAACAGTGTTGAGAGGTGACAGCATGCTGGCAGCCCTCTCAGCCCTCACTCGCTCTGGGTGCCTCCTCGGCCTCGGCACCCATTCTGGCCGCACTTCAGGAGCCCTTCAGCCCGCCGCTGCACCGTAGGAGCCTTTCTCTGGGCTGGCCGAGGCTGGAGCCGGCTCCCTTGGCTTGCGGGGAGGTGTGGAGGGAGAGGCAGGGAGGGGAACCCGGGCTGCACCCCACGCTTGCCGGCCAGCTAGAGTTCTGGGTGGGCGTGGGCTTGGTGGGCCCCACACTCCCAGCGGCCCGGGCAGTGAGGGACTTAGCACCCAGGCCAGCAGCTGCGGAGGGCGAACCGGGTCCCCTAGCAGTGCTGGCCCACCGAGGCTGCCCTCAGTTTCTCGCCAGGCTTTAGCTGCCTCCCTGCGGGGCAGGGCTCGGGACCTGCAGCCAACCATGCCTGAGTCTCTCCCACTCCCCCCACTCCCCCAGTCCCCCGTCACCCCCTCCGCACCGCCCGCCCCCTGTCACCTCCTGCCCCTCCCCCTCCGCCATGGGCTCCTGCACGGCCTGAGCCTCCCCAACAAGCACTTCCCCCTGCTCCACAGTGCCCGGTCCCATGGATGGCCCAAGGGCTGAGGAGTGCCAGCGCATGGCGCGGGACTGGCGGGCAGCTCCACCTGCGGCTCCGGTGCGAGATCCACTGGGTGAGGCCAGCTGGGCTCCTGAGGTTAGTGGGGACTTGGAGAACCTTTGTGTCTAGCTAAGGGATTGTGAGTGCACCAATCAGCACTCTGTGTCTAGCTCAAGGTTTGTGAACACACCAATCAGCACCCTGTGTCTAGCTCAGGGTTTGTAAATACACCCATTGACACTCTGTATCTAGGCAATAGGTGGAGAACTTTTGTGTCTGGCTCAGGGATTGTAAACGCACCAATCAGCACCCTATCAAAACAGACCAATCAGCTCTCTGTAAAACAGACCAATCAGTTCTCTGTAAAATGGACCAATCAGCAGGATGTGGGTGGGGCCAGATAAGAGAATAAAGCAGGCTGCCTGAGCCAGCAGTGGCACTCTGCTGGGGTCTCCTTCCACACTGTGGAAGTCTTGTTCTTTCGCTCTTTGCAATAAATCTTGCTAGTGCTCACTCATTGGGTCCATACTGCCTTTATGAGCTGTAACACTCACTGTGAAGGTCTGCAGCTTCACTCCTGAAGCCAGCAAGACCAAGAACCCACCAATTCCGGACACAGTGTGACATTAGCTTTCATTAAGTGTGATGTTAACTATGGTTTTTTTTTGTAGGTGTCTTTGATAAGGTTGGGGAATTCCTTCTACTCCTAATCCGTTAAGTGTTTTTATCATGAAAGGGTGCTGCATTTTGTCAAATCCTTTTTCTGTGTCTATTATGACTATGAGGTTTTTGTCCTTTTTTCTATTAATAAAGTTTATTAATTGATTTTCAAATGATAAACCAACCTTGTATTCTTGGGCTAAATCCCAATTTGTCATGGTGTGTAATCCTTTTTATATATTGCTGGATTTGGCATGCTGGTATTTTGTGGGAAATTTTTGCATCCATATTCATAAGAGATACCGATTTATAATTTTCTCTTCTTGTGACATCTTTGGTTTTGGCATTATAGTAATGCGGGTAATACCTTATAGAATGAGTTGGGAAGTGTTTTCTTTCATTTTTTGAAAACGTTTGTGAAGAATTTGTGATAATTCTTCTTTAAGTGTTTGGTAGAATTTGTCAGTGAAGCCATCTGAGCTTAGGAAGTTTTTATGTTTTTGTTTTTTTTTTTTTGTGGGAAGTTTTAAAATGACTAATTCAATCTTTTTTGGTGTTATAGCACCACTCATGTTTTCTGTTTCTTCTTAAGTATTGGTAGTTAGTATCTTTCTGTGTGCCTATTTCAATGTGCCTATTTCATTTGTTATCTGATTTTGTTTTGTTTTTGGTGGGGGGGCAGGGAGACAGAGTCTTGCTCTGTTGCCCAGGCTGGAGTGCAATGGCACAATCTCGGCTCACTGCAACCTCTGTCTCCCAGATTCAGGCAATTCTGCCTCAGCCTCCTGAGTAGCAGAGGTTACAGGTGTCAGCCACCACTGCTAATTTTTGTGTTTTTGTAGGGAGGGAGTTTCTCCATGTTGGCTAGGCTGGTCTTGAACTCCTGGCCTCAAGTGATCCATCATCTCAGCCTCCCAAAGTGCTGCAATTACCACCACGCCTGGCCTGTTATCTGTTTTCTTTTTTAACATACAATTGTTATATCCTGTTCCTTAAAAGGTCCTAACATCTGTTTTTCCACCAAGTATAAATCATAACCTGTATTTAAAATTTTAATTTTGATACTAAATAATACTGTTTTTATTATTAATGGGAATAAATATTAATAAGTATTGTAAGTTATTCTGTTCTTACTGCATATTAGTCAATTAAAAAGGATACTGGAAATGAAAAATAAGTTCTTGGTTCTCTATACAATGAGAAATAAAAAGAGACTGGTTAGTATTTGACTGTCTTATGAGATCGTTTTATTACATGCTACTGTATTAATTATTGCAATTTTTTAAATTATACTTTAAGTTCTAGGATACATTTGCAGGACGTGCAGGTTTGTTACATAGATATTATATGTGCCATGGTGGTTTGCTGCACCCATCAACCCGTCATCTACATTAGGTATTTCTTCTAATGCTATCCCTCCCCTAGTCCCCCGACCCCCCAACAGGCCCTGTGTGTGATGTTCCCCTCTCTTTATCCATGTGTTCTCATTGTTCAACTCCCACTTATAAGTGAGAACATGCAGTGTTCGGTTTTCTGTTTCTGTGTTAGTTTGCTGAGAATGATGGTTTCCAGCTTCAGCCACGTCCCTGCATGTCCCATGGCTGCATAGTATTCCATGGTGTATATGTGCCACATTTTCTTTATCCAGTCTATCATTGATGGGCATTTGGGTTGGTTCCAAGTTTTTGCTATTGTGAACAGTGCTGCAATAAACATACATGTGCATGTGTCTTTTTAGCAGAATGATTTATAATCCTTTGGGGATATACCCAGTAATGGGATGGCTGGGTCAAATGGTATTTCTGGTTCTAGATCCTTGAGGAATCACAAGGATTCCACAATGGTTGAACTAATTTACACTCCCACCAACAGTGTAAAAGCATTCCTATTTCTCCACATCCTCTCCAGCATCTGTTGTTTCCTAACTTTTTAATGATCACCATTCTAACTGGCATGAGATGGTATCTCATTTTGGTTTTGATTTGCATTTCTCTAATTACCAGTGATGATGAGCTTTTTTTCATAAGTTTGTTGGTTGCATAAATGCCTTTTTTTGAGAAATGTCTGTTCATGTCGTTTGCCCACTTTTTGATGGGATTGTTTTTTTTTTCTTGTAAATTTGTTTAAGTTCTTTGTAGATTCTGGATATTAGCCCTTTGTCAGGTGGAGAGATTGGAAAAATTTTCTCTCATTCTGTAGGTTGCCTGTTCACTCTAATGCTAGTTTCTTTTGCTGTGCAGAAGCTCTTTAGTTTAATTAGATCCCATTTGTCAATTATTGCTATATTTTATGGCTCAGTTTGACTGTCTGTGGTTCTTAAAAACTTTTAGTCCTGATTGCACACCTCTGGCTCAGACTTTTGAATCTGGTTTTCAAGGTATATCTATGACTGGATGTTCTCGTTGAAGTTGTAACTCAATTTGCTTTGGAAATCTGAGACAGGTAAACGCCTCTCCATTGTGAGAATCATACAAAGATTTGGTTTTCTTTTTAAATTATTTAGAATTTGGCGAAACTCAAAGGGAGTTTGCCAAGATTCATCTGTGATTTTAAAATTCACGTGCAAATTAGAGAACTATAAACTGCAAACTTGATTTCTTTATCTTGACTAAAAAGCTCTTTTATATTCATGAACTTTCTGAAACTTTTCCTTAACCTTTTAGACTTTCCCATATTTTCTCCATAAGAATAGTGAAAAAATAAGCTTAAAACTCTTAAGATGTTTGAGGGACTCTGTTTCATAGACTGAATGTTAGTCCTGGGAAAATATTTTAACTTTACTACTAACATATTTATATCTCCTTTGAAGATGATTTTATCTCACGTATATCTTATTTTACCAAAGGTGATTGTTGAAGTTACAGTAGTAATAGAATACTAATTAGTAATACTAATAATAACAACAACAACGGATTTCTGACTAAAATTCAGACTTTCCAAATGATATTTCTTCTTAAAAAATATTGATCTCTGTGCTATACAAATTATCTGTGGCCTTCACATATTTTCTTCAATGCATTATAAAAGGCAAGACTCAGCTAAATAATCACTACATATTATATATATATGTGTATGTATGTAGAATCACAATTACATATGTATATACATATTCTCTTTGTTGGTTTGTTTAAATGATTTTGGTCTCATAGCTCTGTCAGTTTCCTTTTGGTTTCCTGAACTTCCCAAACACTTTTCTGATATTCAGCCTCCTAAATAGCTGGGACGAAAGGTGCATGCCACCATGCCCAGCTAATTTTTGTATTTTTTTTTTAATAGAGAAAGGGTTTCGCCATGTTGCCCAGCCTGGTCTCAAACTCCTGGGCTCAAGAAATCCTCCTGTCTTGGCCTCCTGACGTTCTGGGATTACAGCCATAAGCCAACACAGCCACCCACCCTTTCCTTTTTTACTCTCACTCAGCCTTATTCTCCATTCCTCCACCCTTCAGCTTCTTATATCTTTCTTCTTTCCTTTTGTTTTGCTTTTGCCCTAGAGCCATCAGTGTTCTGTATGAGTGCTTCAGACACAAAAGTTTCTGAAACATTTGTTGTTTTTGGTTAAAAAAAAAAAGTTGGGGATAGGAACAGGGATGATATTCTGGGATAAAGGCTCTCTACTCTCGGAATTAAGACATTTTTGAAATTGAAATACATCACACAGAATGGAATAGTTGCTATTGTTGAGTGTAGAAGTACATATTCTCAACAATGGAAGAACACAGACACAAAATGCTATCATTTATGAAGTATTTACTACATGTTAGAAATTTTAGAAAAAAAATAACTAACATTTGTTGAGTATTTGTTCATCACCATGTGGGGCACTCTATACTCAAAAGAATCTGAAACGAGGTCAAATAGTTCCTATGATTTCTTTCTATAAGCCAAGGAGGAATGGTCCAGGTATTCAGAAAATATAAATCATGAATCAAGTTTGTGTAGAATTTACCTGCAAAATTCTGCAACCTCTGTAACTTTTCACTTCTAGTTTTTTGCTTTTGTAACCTCTGTTAAATCTCTTGAAGCAAGAAGGTCTTTATGTTTGTCTTTGGGGTGAACAAAAATAAGGGGAAGTCAAGGAGCTTAGTTTCCACTCTCAGCCTTGTTGCATATTCACAGACGAAGAGGGGTGATGCTTGTGAAGAAGAACCTCAAAAGAAAAAGTGAATGGAGGTAGGAGAGAGGAAAGGAGTCAGTTGAAGGGGTGTAAGCTGAAGGCAAGGACAACCTGGGAGTAAGGGGTAGAAATTCATGTGTGCTTCACACTTTGGCAAAACTAAAAAGGGAATATTTTACAAGTTTCGAAAAAAGTTTTTCCTTATAGTTAATATTTTGTAAGTGAGCTAAATGGATTTTCTCATTTCACTACTACATTTCATATTTGTTCTTATAATCCAGTTTAATTATTCCTAAACCCTTTTAATCCTGAAGCTGGTTCTCCTGGGATGGAAGAGCCTTTCTCTTTTTTCTTTCCTTTAGACGTGATGTGAAATAACACAAATCCTTCTCTGGTATCTGTGGTGCTGACCATGCATCTTTGGGTGCAGAAAGCACTGGATTCTTACTCCCCAACTTGCAGAGGGAATTCTAGACTGCTGCACCTCCATATCCTCAGCAACTGGCATGATGATGAGCAGGGAGTTAGTAGAACTAATACACTAATATGTAAATGAATGAATGAATGTTTCCTGAGTGTGGCTTTAAGTTTCTCAGAAGAAGACAGTTCATACACTGGTGCATAAAATTCTGGGCTGAGGATATGAGGGCACCTAAGGCAAATGTGAAGTAATGGGATTTCTGATGAATGTGAGAAAGAGGCTAAGTAGGAGCTCGCTTAGCTTTGAATTCTCTGTTCTTTTTACCCCTTCCTCCTTCCCTTTCCTGCCTTGCCATCTCAGATCCTATTCTCATAGGCACTGGGCAGATGTGAGAGTGAGGACTGGACCTGGCACTCCAGACGGGAGATGATTGATTGACCAGTGAGATGTGAGAAGAAAGGAGGAAAATTAGGAGGCCACCACGCCTAACTTCAGGGCTGCCTGTGGCACTGACTTCCCCGGGTCCTGCTCAGGAAAGTAGGGTAATGACTAGTGCCATTCACAAGCTGTTTAGCTGACATTCTGAGAAGTTATTCAGCAAATTTAGAAGAGAAAGAGAATGATATAATGAACCAAAAAACAACAGTTCTCACCTTATTTATGATTTTTCTATTTCTGAATGAGTACTCAAATTTCACTGAGTACTTGAGTTTAATTTGATTATTTCACCCTATCAAGAAATCACTTTATTCTTAGAATTTTCCTGTTAGTTGAAAATAGAATTGTATTATAAATTACATAGGACTTTTATACTATATATAGTTTACGACGTATATTTATATGTAAGCTATACATAACTAAACTTGGAAAGAGGGTAGGGATTGAGATTATATGTGATCACACAAATATCTGTGTATGTGTATCTCTATACATCATTTGTAAATATGTAAATATAATGCATTTCTTATTAGAAATTATAGCTTGAATTCCATAGTGAAATTCATCCTTCCCTATGGACATGGAGGCAAGTGCCCTATAAAATTAACAAACTTTTGTTCCAAGAACATTTATTTCTGAGGGTGCAGAGTATCAATTTCAAGGTTGAGTTTCTTTAAAAATCAGGAGCTAATTTTTAATGAATTAACATTCAAAGGATCTATATGACCTAATCCACTACCTGACAATTGCTGGTATGAGGGAAATGTGGCCCCAAGACCACTGAGTTCAGAGATGAGTCTGAAAACAATTTTAACATGAAAATTTATGAAAGATATGTACACACACTACATACCTCTCAACAGCCTAAGAAGAATCTTGTGCTGGCAGAGAGCAGAAACAAAGACTGAAATTAACACTGAAGATATCAGCTGACTTCATCTTATGGGTTAACCTATTCTATTTTGTAATTCTGTGAAAATCTCATGATTATTTTTAATTTTCGAAAACATTTTTCTATGTTCTTTTTAATAGCAACAGTCCAGTCATTCAGGACTCATACATTCTTTAGCTGAAGTTATTTTATTGATCTTCATTTACTATCAGTTAACTTTTAACCAAGATATTTCCCACATTTGTTATCATAAACTTTTAGTATTTATTAGTACAAATTTTTCCCCTTTCCTAGACACAAAGACATAAGACCTGTTATTACTGGATTTTTTTTCCATTTCAGAAGCTTGAGTTTCTCTTCATAAATATTTTCATAAAAAGCTATTTCCCTAATATCACTAGATTATCTATCAACATAGTCCTACTTTATATTTAAACTAGCTCTGATATCAGCCCATAGTACCTTCCAATTTTTAGCAAAGTGAGATCAGTGTCAATCTAAGCCTTTTTTGTAAAAGGATCCAATTTATGACTGATCAAAATGCTTGCTTAACAATGTTTGGTTTTCTAATTTGATGTGCAGTGCTACTACATCTAAAACAACAACTTTGCTTTTTCTATACAGCTATTCCTGAGATCTGTATTCTCAACTTCCTCCCTAAATTTTTGGAAAGACTATTTAGTAATAAAAAAAGTCCATAGATTCTGTTTTAACTTTTCCATTCTTACTCATTTTTACTTTCCACGAGACAAACCTAATAATGAAAAGCAATGTTAGTTAAAAATGTTGTTTCTAAAGGCCTGTCAAAGCTTGTATTTAGCATATATTTTTGGGGGTTGTGGGGGTGATGCAGCATAGTTCTTAGGTTTTTCTATTGCTGAAATAACACTGTAAATCTCTTCCTACCCATGCCTTAAATTCCTCAGTATTTCTGGTCTTGCACAACAACATATCTGTGAGCTTATATGTCTTCTTAGAAATAACAGACTTACTTTGGAACATAAGCACTTAGGAAATGTTCAACCACTTGTGATCTTGCATTAGTACATTTTCCAAGCTATTCTAGGCAGATAGAGCAAATCAGAGAAAGTTCTTACCTCTTGAAGGGCGTAAGACAATGCACATCACCAATAAGGCAAGCACAGCAGAGGTGGCAACTCCAAATACGATTTTTACCCAAGTCTACATAAAATAAAGAGAATTAGGCATACACACAGTTCCTGCTAAATAGTAGAAATGGCAAGATTTTGTTTACACCTAAATCCTTTTTCTCTCGCCCCACAAAGCTTTTGATTGTTTTCCACTGATCCGGCTATAATTGCTGGAATTCTTCCAGCTCTGCAAGGACAAATGTTTCTACAGTATATTTAGAACAATTTTCCAATCCCAACCCATTGAGGAAGTAAATACTTATGTACAAATCTTCACCTTCTAAACAATAGAAAACTCTGATCACGTTCAATCCAGCCAACCCTAATTTTTTAAGAATACTTGAGGTTGCTTATACTAACCTTCATTTTTCCAGATGTTTTTGAAAGTTAGCTAATTCTGTCTTCAGAGCGTGGGTCACTGGATCTGTGAAAACCGTTGAAAAGGACCAAGTCTGTCTTTGTAGTTGGAAGCTGAAGCCAGGACAAGGTTTTTTTCTTTCCACGGACTTTTGAATACCGTGCCAAGTTTCAAAAGATTTCTGTAAAATTAGAAACAGATTTTGGGGGCGTTCTTGGCCCTCAAATGAACTGTGAGTGACTCAAGGGAAGTTTTATAGCCTTCTCATCCTTGTAACTACACCAACATCTGCTTACGTTGACATACAGAGGTTTTTATTTTTTCTTTTTTACCAGTTCAGGTTTATGTTGCATTTTCTTCTAGAATTCACTGAAGGATCACTTTAGCAAGTCATTGGGTTTTGCATAACATTTTTATTTGCCACTAAAAGATGAATTTAAAATAATGAAACTTGCAGGTCTGTACATTAAACATATATCTACTTTTTAACAGAGGAAGAACATTGAAGCCACATAAGATTTTGTGAGAAATGTGCCATATAACTGCACTTTTTTTTCCTCTGGAAGATTATGAGGTATTGCAGACAGAAATGTTTTTCTTTCAGCACAATTTCTTTGTCCATATAGCACCATATGCACTTTCAGTAAATACAGAAGTTTAAAAATTCAACTGTCTAAACCCACGGCTGCTTTACTTTAAAGAAATAAAATGCCATCTGGTGAAATTTAGTATGGGTTAGGTGTGTATGCACAGGCTAGAAAGATGGAAAGATCAGTAAGAATAATTTACCAGCAGACCTTTGGAAGAATGGAAATGGCTTTACAAGAGTGGTATTTTTGCTTTCCTCTCAGAATATCTTCTGAGAGAGGAGAACATCTAGTAATTATAAAGATTTAAAAATAAATAAAAAAGCATCTGAAAAGAAAAGTAAATCTTATGTATAATTTCATTTTGGCTAAATCTACATAATTCCAAAGAAATTGGTCATCTTGACAGATTAGTAAAATGGTTGACTGAATTAAAAAAAATACACATACAACAGTTTCTTGGAGTGTTCTGTCTGTTTTAATGCAATTCACTTGGATAGATTTTGTGGTTCCACGTAAACACAGTTGTTAAATCTACTGTGTCCTTAATTTTTCCACTAATGGTTTTCTTTTTTCGAAGTTTATAATGTTCCCAACCTGATTAAAACACTTCATGGCAACCTTTCTTGGATTGTACATGAAAGGTAATGGGGAAATGTTACCAAAACATGTTGCTGTTTGCCTTAGTCAACTTCTCTGGCTACCACGGGACACTTTCTCCAGCAAAGAGCAGGACAGTGGCTTGTGAACTTCCTTTCAGACATTCTCCAGACATCCCTCCCTGAATTCCAGCCTTATGAAAATTCTGTTGAGGAAAATGAGTCATTAGGCACTTACTGGCAGAGAACTGTATTCCTGGTGGCTGGGGCTGGGCCCTCTCCTTTGCTGTTGGTGGAGTCACCTCTTTACAAAATGAAGTAATCATTAAGAGTAATATCCAAGGTGTGCTATACACTTGTAGGTATCTCCAAGTGATTGTGAAATCCTCAGATCTCAGATAAAAGCCAGCAGCCAGGTCCTGAATGAACTGTTTCTGTGTAAGTCCTCTCAGATTGATTGTCTTCTCTGGAACACACCGTGTTCTCAGAAGTTCTGCCCTAGCCTGCCAAAGCCCCAGAGTACACAGGCACTTTTTAGTGGGTGATTTCCAAGACTTTACATTGTAGAGAGAAACTATAATAAATTATTAGGGTGTAATTAAAAGACCATGCTGAGAGCATGTTAGCTCTAGCAATTAAGAATGCACTGACATGTGACTGGTCTGAGCACCACTTAGGATTCTATGACTGTGTGTGGGTGTCCACAAGATACTCATTTAATAGGCTCTATGAAGAGGTTGGAGTGCTTTAAGATACACTTAAGTTGCCACTATTAGTAAGGGTGGGAAATGATGAGAGTGAAACAATGTCTGTTTAAGTTTTTTTGTTTTTTCCTTGGAAGGTTGGGTGAGTCAAGCTGTAACTTCTGGAAAATTCTTACTAGTTTGAACTGTTTTAAGAAAAATGAGACTGACTGCAGAAATAAAGATGTCGAGTTTTTCCATCTGAATTCATGGTTTAGGGAGGTATTGTTTTTATAAAGTCACACATGTTCATTCGTTTGAGATAATGTGAATGTATTCTAATTTTCATCCAGACAAGAACTCTCATAAAATTTGGATTTTTAAAATATTGTAATATCTTTATTAGCTTTTTTTAATTTTGGAATCAAAATGAAAATACTTTTGTCAACTTTTAAAAAACATTTACGAAACTGACTCTTATTCCTACTTTATACAATTAGTTAACACCCCATCAACATTTTTGTTGAGAAAACAAAAATGAATCAGACACAGTCTGTGCCCTTAAGGAACTTACATTCTAGTATAAGTATGGCAGGTATGTTCTTAATGTTCTTACATACTTGTTTCCTTTTGCTTCCTAAAGCTCTTGTTCAGAAATAGCCTGAAGCTGAGTTTGTGTTCTGTAGAAAGAGTGTTCTCACTGGTTGGTGATTTCTTCATGGACCTGGGAAGAGGACTGGAAAGGGCACATACCACATGCATGTCATCCTTAGTTCAACCTTTGTTAGTTCTAACCTTTGTTAGTACTGAGACTTTTCTCAGAAAGCAACTCTGGGTCTATTAAAATGCTGCAAAACCAGAAAGGATGATGATTTGTCATGTAAAAATGTAAGGGCAGCAATTAGGAGAGTAGAGGCTCATCAACTGAGTTCTTTCCAGAGAGGGACCTTGTAAGGCTGACTTTGGAATATGACTGCATTCTGGTAAGCCCACTGGATAAGTGAGCTATAACATAAATCCTTAGGTTATAAGGAGGAGAGCTTACTAGAACTATTTATTAGTAGCCAATGTTTACCTGCCAAAAATGATTTTAATTTATATGTTTTCCCAGAAAACACATCCAGCTATGTATTTCTAGAGTCTGAAGGTAAGACCATGCTGAGAGCATAAGGATGTTATCTTTTTATTTTATGGTGGGGAGATGAAAGAGAGATGTGTTTATTAACCAAAAGCCATGACAAATTATTTAAGGACAAGTTACAAGGGGAATAAGGATACAAGTGCAGTAAACATAAGCCTGATTTTATACTCTTTAAAGTAAAAATTTGCTTCTAGAGAGCCTAACAGCTCCTAACATCCTACCCATTTGATTCCTCAGATTCAATAAACATTTATTGTTTACTGTTATCTACAAAGTGATTTTAATGCATTATTTCATCTGATCCATACCAAAACTCATTTTGATGATTAGGAAACAGCCTAGAAAAACTGGATAACTTGCCCAAGATTTTAACAGGACCCAGTGTTACCACCTTACATTGCTTCTTTGTGATACTTCCTAAAGTTTTATTCCAAAGTGATAAATTTTTTTTAAAATTATAATTGACATTTCACTGATTTGCTGTTGGGGGACACTTAAGGTTGTGAGGGTAAAATAATTAAGGCTAAAATATTAATGATGTTCACATCCTCAAAGTACTTTGTTACACATATCTCAAAAGAACACAATTTCACTCTACAAGGACTGTGTTCAAAATATTAATTTGTTTACAGTTTTTTTTTAATCGGGGTCTATTAATCCGATGATTATTTATATAGTGCCTGGGTTAAAAGCTCTTCCTCCAGGGACTTGCTTAAATGAAAGGATTCAACAAAATACCCATCGTCAAAGAGATTTTTGAGTTCCAAGCTAGAAAGAGTCCTGAGGTCTTCAAAGCTCAAAATAACTATCACATAGTTATAGATCTGGAAGAAGTGGCATAATATAGCATCAGTGGGAAATGATATAGCTCAAACTATTTTTTGAATCTGATCTCTTTTCTAAAACCACAATTGTTACATAAGGAAGAATATAAAGCCACATGCCTCCTAGTTTGTAATTGGCATCTACTACCTTCATAAATGTTATAATTAGATGTCAGTGTTTCATTATCCTATCATAATTAGGGCAAGTGCTCCTTGGAGACCCAAAGGGTTAACTATCAAAATGGGGTTAGAAAAGAAACAGAACAGAGACACAACCCATTTCTTTGAGTGCTGAGGACACAAAGACTCAGAAGATAAATCAGTGCTTCATTGTCATTTAAATAGGGAAATACTACATCTTTTTAGAAGTGGTTAACCAACAAGAAGACTGTTTAAATAGTATAAATAGAATGTGTAAGCACCTATAGACTAACATAACTTGTTAACACATATTGTTTTTTCACTAGCATTTTTAGATTAGAGAATATTACTACTACTAGTTCATGTCTATTGAATACTCTTATTGATCATGACGTTTTTTTCTCAGCACTTGCACGTGCTATCTCCTTTTATCCCCAGAACATTCGTACTATTATTATCCTCATTTTACAGATGAGGACATGGATGCACACAAAATCTAAATAACTTCCCCAAAGTCCCATAACTTTTGAGTGGTAGGGATGGGATAAACCCAGATAGTCTTACATTATAACACAATTTAACCTATGTTTAGGGCTCTCAGAGGAGGGTATATATTGGCACAGTGATTGGCATGTGTGATCCAGCTGGAACTAGGAGGAGTTGAAGATGGAAGGAAAAAATACATGGGCTAAAAAACTGGACATTTTGATGAGTTCAAAGTATGAGTCCTAGTAGTAACTAGTAATAAGGTGGGAAATAAAAGAGGTTTTTACCAGATAGCAGCAGGTTGTATTTAAGATTTCAGTTCAAGTTACAACGAGGCCTAAGGTATGGTCACAGAAGTAAGTAGCTGAGATAGAAGAAAGAAGTGAAGGTCCTTAGAGATATAGTTGGCAAAGCAGTGAGAGGCTAAGATATCCTTTGGGATGTTCATCTGGGAACTTAATTCACCTCAAATTATGGCAATAATTAAGGGCAGCAGATAAATGCCTTGAGTTATATCCCCAATTCTTTATAAAACAGATGGAGAGATTTCCAGTTTAAGATGCCATACTGAACATATACACTGATCTCTTTGCCTTTGGAAACTCCATTAAGCTGATTGTAAAGGAGGAAAAGGATTCTCACATGACAATGAAGAGACTGAAGAAGTATCATCAATGGATAAAGCAGAATAGAAATAGCAGCCGCCTGGACCATACCTAGAAAGGAATCATTTTGCCTGGCAGAAGCATGAAACAGTTCCATATTTGAGATGGCATTTACCACTGAGGGTAAGAAAGGGAGATGGGGCTGAAAAAAGAGAACTGGTTGGAAATCCATACATGGACTCTTCACCTCTGGGTGCAAAAAAAAAAAAAAAAAAAAAAAAAAAATCTGCAACTAAGCATTTATCCTAGGAGCATGTATGGGAGTCAGTGCATCAAAGTCAATCCAGTCCTCCAGTTTAATGGCTTTCTGACCTTTATCCTTAAACCCACCAACTGTATACCGGGATCTCTCCAGTCTCACCTCATTCTTAATCTGCAACAAAAATAAGAATCAGTAGACAAGAATAATATTTTTAAAAAAGAAAAAAGAAAAAGAATCAAAACCCCAAAACATGAAAGAAAAAACAATTTTTTAAGCAAGATGAATAAATTTTGAAAATGACCATAGAGATAATTCTGGGAACAGAAGCCTTTTAAAAACTTTGAATTAGCATTCTCAGTGAGATTCAACAAGATACTGCCACAATTTGGAGACCAAGTTTAAAAAATGTAACATTCAAAAAAACTTTCTGTGATAGATAAGTTTATGTGTCAACTTGCTGGGATAAGGAATGCCCAGATAGTGGGTAAAACATTATTTCTGAGTTTATCTTTGAGGGTGTTCCTCGAAGAAATTAGCATTTGAATCAGTATTGAGCAAAGAAGATCAGTCCTTATCAATGTGGGTGGAAATCACCCAATCTATTGAAGGTCTAGATAGAACAAATGGGCAAAGGAAAGATGATTCTCTCTCTCTTCTTGAGCTGGAACATCTGTCTTGTCCTGCCCTAGGATCCTGGTTCTCAGACCTTCTGACTCTGAAACTTACACCAGGGCCCTTCCCCATTTTTAACCTCTATAATTGCATAAGCCAACCCATAATAAGTCTCCTCTTATCTACCTATCTAACATCTATCTATCTATCATCTATCTATCTATCTATCTATCTATCTACCTACCTACCTGTCTATCTCCCATTAGTTCTTTTCTCTGAAGAACCTTGATGAATATGCTCTAATGTATTGAAAATATGATCACCAAAATTTATTTAAATCAAAATAGGTTTTGTGAAATAAAATTGAGGAAGCCTCTCAGAACAGAAAGGCAAAGTTGGATAATATAATGGAAAGTTAAGAGACATAACATATAAACTCAGGAAGTTTGAGGAATAAAGGGCAGAGAAGGCAGAGGGGAAGAGGTTCTTACAGAATGAATGCAAGGGAATTTCCCCAAACTGTAAAAGAAAATACATTTTTCAGGGCCCACAAAATGTCCAGCACAAAATATGAGAAAAGACTTTTACCTAAACACATAATTGTGAAATTCTATAATATTGATTATAAAGATAAATTTTATATTCTTCCTTAGGAAAAAAAAAGTATCATGTGAAAGAAGCAAGAATTGGACTGACCACACACTTGTCATTGCCAATCAGATGCTGCAAAACAATGGATCTGTTTTTCAGAGTTCTGAAATAAAATGCTAATCAAACTAGAATCTGCTTAGCTAAGACACTGCCAAATATGAAGACCAAATAAAAGATTTTCAGATGTGTCATAATTCAGAGTTTATACTCCAAGCATTCTTTTGTAGAAAGGAACTCAAGGGTGTATTTCAGCAAAATAAAGAAGTAAAGTACTAGAGCCATCACTCAGAGAGCAAATGACCAGACCAGATGCTAACAACAAACATTGTGTGACTTCCTATCTCCAGCCACTTCTGAAGTCAGATCTATTTTCTTGAGTAAGTAATTTTTTTCCAAGTTTGGGTTGTTTTTCATACCATTTGGAACCAAGAGTTCTGGTAGTCACAATAATGTTTGGAGATACTAGATGGACTGTAAAAGCAGAATCTCTATGTACGTTCTCCGCTGAACAGCACGGGAATTGGTGCCACAGAGAAAGAAATGTGATCCTACCAAACCAGTTAGCTCAAGAGCAATGCTTAGGTAGCCATAGCAATTTAAACTGTTTATTGATTTAAAATTTTTAGAAGTCACTGAGACCTTTATAGTCAGAGAAATTGTCAACCTTGACAAGTATAAAGGTAAATGTACATGTAACCAAAGTCGGGAAGTGAAAGAGAGTGAAGAAAGGTAGGTAAGGTAGACAGAGGGCAGGAAAGCCCATGTCCTCATCTCCCAAAGCAGGTAGTGAAGAGATCTGCCCTGTGAAGACCAGAATAAGAATTGGAGGTACACTTAACAGTCCCTGCCATGTCATCAACAAATGGTGTTGAGAACACATTGTAGGAAGGGAAATGCTTACATTCATAGAAATACAGAAGCCATATGATTTTTAAATATCATTTCAGAAGTTCAAAAATAAGTCTACAAACTCATGTGATGGATATTAGGTCTATTCCTAAGTAGTCTCATACTATAGATGGAATTTGTGCTTGGCGTCTTTTTCCCTTTTTAGGAACATTTGGTCCACAGTGCAGTTCAAAAAAAAAAAAAAATGGGTAAAGGACCAAAGCAGGCAGTTCATGCAGGCAAACCCACACATTCACAAAAGGTGAAAATATAAAAATAAAAATGTTAAATATTACCAGGAATCAAAGAAATGCAAAATAAAATATCAAAATAGGATCATTTTAATTTGGATTATCAGAGATTAAAAAGATTGGAGAACCACACTGGTAGCAAGGCTGTAGAGAAGTTGGCACTTTCATAATCAGCTGGTGGTAGAAGAAGGACTGAAAACTTTCTGGAGGGAAGTTTACGAGTAAATGTCAAAATTATGCATATTTTTTGGTATAGCAAATCTAACTCTAGGAATGTACTTTAAGGTTAACATTGGATAAATGTACAAAGATGCAAGTTCAAGAATACTTTTTGAAACTTTGTTTACAATATCCAGAAATTAAAACTATTTAAGAATTCATCCAGACAAAATTAGATAAATAAATTATGTAACACATAAAAATGAATGGTGCAGGTCTAAATTGGTTGACATGGAAAATGTCTACATTCTGTTGCTTAGTATATATAATACGACTTTATTTTTGTGGAGGGGAAGAAGGAAATGTTTATGTAGCTGTGTACATAGTGAAAACTCTGGAAATACATGTCTCAGAGCCATGAGTACCAAGGTGGGGCTTGGTGCCATGGTCTGCCCTGGAAGCAGATAAAAAAAGCGGTGCAATGTCTACGGTATATTTGTAAATAGTAGTAATTCTCACTAAAAGTTGGTCTTCTCTTTATTATCACCATGTCCAGAAAATCTAAACTATTTTCAAGATAGAACATTTTTTCCTGCTGAGGCAGATGACTCTACTCCTACCATACCCCTTCCTTGGTGTGCTATTCCATCAGAGGTAAAAAATATGGTATCCCAGTGAGAAAATAAAATTAGGTGAGAGGGCCAGCTAATCAAGAAAGTTATAGAACATATTTCTTTGTGTAAGTAAAAAATATCAGGGTCAAGTATAGGACCTTCCAGTCCTTGCCTGGTCTCCGCTGTGGACTTCCTGGACTCCGTGTCCTCTAGTTTGGCCGCTGGCCCATCAGAGGGAGCCATGCCACAAATGCAGCCTTTTTCTTTCATGAGCTTGAATGATTTTTTTTAAAGTCTTATTCCCATGGCAAGTTTGAATTTTAAAAGAGAATCACTAAAAATGCCATGCTTTAATCTAAAGTAATGAATATCTTAACGGTGGTGAATTTAGGCAGCATGGCTGGCTGATGGGAAAGTTATGTAACTATTTCAGGAAGTAGATTTTAAGGCAGTAAAGAGACTAGGAAAGGAGAAGACAGAAATTTGTGTAGCATATCTTACATCATATCGTCATATCATACTGTTACAATGTGTAAGGCCAGGCCTCAGGTTTTCCAGATATAAATCAGATGCTATCATGAAAAAATTAACTGGCCCTGACTCAAGGTCTGTGTAGTTTTAAGCCCATGCATACATAATGTTTCTTATGTGTCTGGTAGAAGGCACTGGGAAAGAAAAAGAGAATGATAGGAACATAAGATTTATGGATGAAAAAATAATAAAGACATTACCAAAATGGGCTAAGTCCTTGCTCAAATGTTACCTTCTAAATTAGGCCCAATTCCCCATTTAAAATCAGCTCCCCTTAGCTTCCCATTTTTCTGATCTTACTTTCTTCCCCCCCATAGATCTTACCACCATCCAACATCTTAAAACATTTATTATTTTTATTGCTTATTGCCTCTTTTCCCTGCATGGAGCTCCATGAGGGCAAGTACTTTTGTTTGTTTTGCTCATATATCCCAAGAGCTGAGGAACAATGCTTGGCATAAAATAAGTATTTAATCAATATCGTTGCCTGAATGAATTAATGAATGAATGACAGAGAGGATACGGAGCTGTCCTGCGGCCCTCCATGGCCCAGGCTAGACAACACCAAGAGGGAGCACTTCCAGGTGTTACCAGGAAAGGGTCAAGCTCCTTTTTTTTATTAAACAATTAGACGTTAACTATTGTTATCTAAAAATGGGCATTTAATCCTTGTGCTACTGCTTCAGGGTGCCTTTCAAGATAAATTGTAGGTTTTAAAAAAATTGTAATGTGGAGAATTAGTAATAGGAGAGTTTACTGCAGCTATTCAGTTATTTTTCCTGAGAACTGAGGAAAGATTACCAGCTATTTATGAGAAGTATCTGTTTTATGGATTAGTAAATTGAGAATTAGTTGAACTCCATGTCTACTTCCTTTTGACATTTTAATTAGTGAAATTTGAATGAATGCATTATCTAATAATACTGTGTTCCACTGTGATTCTTTTCAGCAATTGTAATTTTTATAAAAATATATAATAGTACTAGAATACTATAATTAATTATAAGAACAATCATTTGATTAAATTCTGGAAATGCTAGAAATCTCGAAAAATCCTTGTGAGGTTCATGTGCCAAAACTGTGGGACTCTTTTTTTATAACAAGTGATTTACCATGCTTTTGGGGGATGACTTGGTATAACATCAATTTTAGTGGCAATGCTAAGCTGATGTAGACAAGGAGTTGTCTGGGGGCCTCTGAGCTCTGCAAAGCCTTTGGGGCCATCTGGACCATCAGGCTGCTGAGGGATTGCGCTTTCCCTCCAATTGGCACAAACTCTGATGCAGCAAGTTCTCCCTTTCATGCTGCCTCCTCCTCCAGACTCATCCTCTGGAAGAAAGCGTCACAGGGGAGGGAGTTGTGAAGAAGGATGGAGGAAGCAGTAGGCAGGAGAAAGGAAAGCCGGGGAAGGTGGACTCTGTGGAACTGCACAATCTGTTCAGGCATTAATTTACTGTCCTATTATGTGACTGCCACTACCATGGGCAGGACTTTGTGTAGCAGACAAGCCCAAGTTTTAAGACAAAGAGTATTTGATCTCCCCACACCCCATCTTTTAAAGCGTTAAAAGACTACTAGTCTGGACTAGACTACCAGTCTAAGGCAGTGAAGAGAGTGTTCTGGGAAAGCAGAGACCCACAGACACCAGCATGGGGTCATAAATATAAAGCCTAGAAGGGTGGAATTTCCCTGAGGAAGAAGAAAGAAAATGAAGGCAATGATTGCATTAGAAGATGAAGCTACTAATGTCAATGGCAGAACTGCTCAGCATCTCTACCCATGCAGATCAGCCCTGGAGAGTCAGGAAAAGTAAAGACAAGACAGTATTCTAATGGTGTCAATACATGTATGGGCTACCATATTGTGCCATTGATATCTTTTTCATTTGGGGTTATGTTTCTCATGTTTTGACCAATGCAGTTGCTGAACCTGAGTTTTGACTATACCCTTTACTCAGTTGTCACTTTGATCTTTGGGAAAAATATAGGAAAAGAAAGGCAATGGGAGTGAACAGACATGAAGAGCCAGAGGGTCAGAGTACGTCCTAGCCTTGCTCGCATGTGGGGAAGTATAAGACACAAAAATGAATCAGAGCCTTGTTCTGCTTTTCCTCCCTTACTTCAAACACTGCTAATGATTTTGCCTTGGTAAAAAAGAGACTACTTTATATTCTCTTTTAAACTGAGTTCCCTGGAAACAGATTTTGAGATGAAGAGATGCAAACAGAGTCAGCTTATTTTTTTGGAAGGAGTAAGGGGGAGTTGCTCTTACAAGAGACACCTGTAGGAAAGTGAAGGAAACAGCATGGGGCAGAGTGAAATGCTGAACTGCAGTACAGTGTCAAAGGAGGCCTCAGCCAGCCCTTCAGAGACTTCAGGATTTGGACTGTCCCTTCAGAGTTGTCTCAAGTGGAGTAAATGAAACAGACTTATGCCCCTCATCAGTCATTATTTGGCTTCAGGCTACCCTCCAGAGGGCATAGCCTGAGAGGAAATAGTTCCCCACAGCCTAGGACAATACTCGTTAAGAGAGGCAGCTGTGAGCTGTCAGCAGCCATATTCATAGCCCCAGGAAGGTGAGTACCTTGGCCCTGAAGAGGGAATCTTCACAAAGAATCTGTTTTGGTCCATTCCTCTGCTATAACAAAATACCTAAGACTGGGTAATTTATAAACAATAGCAATTTATTTCTCACAGTTCCAAAGGATGCAAAGTCCAAGATTAAAGCACTGGCATTTGGGTGTCTGGTGAGGGCCTTCTTGCTGTGTCTTCATATGACAAAGAGTGGAAGGGCGAAAGGAGCCTAATAGCTGACTCCCGTAAGCCTTTTTATAAGGGCACTAATTCCACACATGAGGACAGAGCCCTCATAGTCTGATAACCTCCTACAGACCCTTCTTAATACTATCACATTGGGTCTTAGGTTCCAACATGTGAATCTTTAGGGGACACACACTTTCAAACCATAGCAGGACCACAGTGTCCATTACGTGGTCTTATAATTAATTGTTTTATGATACAAAGATGGGCGCAACCAGAAAGAGAAGACTTCAAAGAGTTAAGAGAAAAATAAGGGACTTTAAAGCCAGGTAATAACCCTCAAGAAGAAAACTGGGACTTCATATTTAAACAAACTGTGTCTATGTCTTTCTTAAAAAAATGAAATGTCTAGAACACTATCTGGTACAGTAGCCACTAGCCACATGTATCTATTGAGCACTTGAAATGTGGCATGTCCAAATTGAGATGTGCTATAAGAGTAAAATAGCACATCACAACAATTTTTAAAGACTTAGTAGGAAAAAAATTTGAACTATCTTATTAATAATTTTATATTGGTAGCATGTCTATAATATTTTGACTATATTGAATTGAGTTATTAAATTTAATTTTACCTACTTCTTGTGACTTTTTAAAATGTAGCTATTAAAAATTTTTAAATTAGTTGTGTGTATCTCACTATAGTTTTATTGGACAGAGCTGGTCCAGGATAATCTTAAAGTCTGATAAAGTTGTTATCTCAGGCCACAGACTATAGCAGAGTAGAAATGGAAAAAACAACATAATGGACATTCTCGTTATGCAACATTCTCAGTAACACATTTCCCTGGCCTTTCTAAATTGGTAACCTTTTGGGCTCCTCATTTAGCTATTGAGAGGCTGTATTAGCTCAGGCTGCCATGCAAAATGCCAAAGACTGGGTGGCCTGAACAACAGAAATTAATTTTCTCCTCACAGTTCTGGAGGCTGTAAGTCTGAGATCAGGGTGTCAGCATGGTCAGGTTCTGGTGAGGGCTCTCTTCCTGGCCTGCAGACAGCCACCTTCCTACTATATAATCACAAGGTAGAGGGGTGGGGGAGTGGGAGGAGCTCTCTGGTTTCTTCTTCTGCAAGGGCACTAATCCCATCAAAAGGGCCACACCTCATTACCTCATCTAAACCTAATTAACTCTCAAAGGACCCATCTCCAAATACCATCACAGTGGGAGTTAAGACTTCAATATACAAATTTGGAGTTCATAAAAAAAATTCAGTTCAAAACAGAGACCAAAATAGCACCTAGGTCATACCACTAGTTTGCCCTCATTGACAGAGTGGAAATGAGCATAGTAAGTACTCAAGACTCATTATGTTCACTCTTCTAGGAAACCAGAATCTCTGGGAAGTTAAAAGGTTTGCTCTATTCCTATTCAAAAGAGATTCTGACTTGCTTTAAACATTTTCCTCAGGACAAGAGAATTGTATCTGCCATGGCTCAGTGTGGATAGACTATGAAACAGCTGGAGCCCAGTGAGCAAATTTTTGGGTACAATAAAATAGTTATTCCGTATGCCAGGAATATGACTACATGTGGCACTAGTTGATGACCAAGCAGAACTATGAGTCATATTTAGGGCAAAAATAAGGTGATGCGAATAAATTACTTGCATTTGTTTCTATCACCAACTGTGCTATACTTTCATATTTATTTTATTTATTGCCATCAATGTCATGCTAGCCTGCTTTCCCTAGCTCATGATTTTATTTGAACATCATCCAGAGCCACTCATTCCTCCCATTCCCCCTCCCACTGCCAATGACCAAATCCAGATTTTTGTTAACCTCAGCCAGAATGACTGCAACCAGCTTTTTCCTTGATCTTTTTCCTTCCACTTTTTTTCTTCAATCTTTGATTTAGCCCATTAACTCCTTGTAGGTCATCTTTTCTAAAACATGCCATTTCCCTGCTCAAGAATAACTTCATATTAGTTATCAATCAAACCCAGATACAGTATAGCATTCTAGTACACAAGCAAAATGTATTAGGCTTTCTTCTTCTTTCTTGATCTTTATCTCTTTTTGGAAAAAACTTCTTACTCTTTTCCTGTCTTTAAATTATATTAAATATGGATCTAACACCTCATATATGTAAGACATTATTTGAATTATTTATTTATTCTAATTCAGAATCTTTTCTAAAATAATCCAGAACTTCTCTGATTGATCCCTGACTTTTATAAACTCTACAGTGCCTATAATTTGTATACCATGTTGTTGTTGTATGCTTATATTTCTTCTAATAGTTTTATGCCTATAATCATTGGACTCTCAACCAATTTGTTAACTCTCCAAGGTCAGAGATTACATTTTATATCACAAATCAGAAAACGAAATTAATATTTATTGAATGCTTCCTCTGTGCCAGTAACTGTAACATGTGTTCAACATTTGTTATTGAGAAATCTCTGAGTCCACTTTTTTGTGTGTATGCATGCTCTGCCTTCATCATTTCCACATTGCCCTACCAGAGAGCCCTGACTACTCATGCCAGATAACACCAACCCAAGTAAGTAGCAGGTTTACTAGTGTTTTAGGACAATGATGGTGGAATTTCCACTAGTAATTTCTTCTACTTGGGTTCCAGCCTCCTGCCTGTTCCAAGGACTTTGTCTTTCTTCAACATTTTCTTGCTTCCTTTCTAGCTCTTTCTAAATGATCCTGTTTTGTGCAAAACAGTTAAGCTATTTCCTTGATTCATTCCCAGTAGAGTCACAACAAGGTCTCATCTTAAAAAATAAATCCACCCATTAGGGGTTTCTAAAGCAAAGACAGTTTCTCTTTCTGTCTCTCTCTTTCTCTCTCTCTCTAAAACAAAGGCAGTTTAGTTTTTTGCAAGCTATAATTTTTTTATCTACTATGCAAACATTTTCTCATTTAATCCCCCCAACAATCCATTTCACAGCAGCTAGTGATATACATTTATTGCTTACTATGCACCAGGCACTGTTCTAAATGCATTATTCATATTATTTCATTTAACCTGCACTATAAACACAAGACACAGGTCTTGTTATTATTCACATTTTACAGACTGGGATGAAGATAAGCAATTTGTCTAAGAGTAAGCAAAAGAGCTGGAATAAAAACCTAGGCAGTCTGATTCCAGAGCGCAAACCCTTGATGTTGCTGTCCTGGCCCACAGAGAAGGAAACAGACATAAGAGGTTAAGTGATCTTCTGTGGTCACTCAGATGGTGACTAATGTTACTGAAGTCCTTGCTGTGTCCGCCAGGGTCTCATGTACCATTCTTTGCTTTGTTAGGGAAAGCATTGCTGTCCTTCCCTTGTTGCCCTCACTTGGCTTCCCCAACAGGTACTTAACGTAACTTAATTGTGTATATTAAATTCACGGAGATCTGAAGGGGAGGTCAGTACTTTTATAAGACTTATCCTCAATTTCTCCTTTTGTTTGATTTCCTCATATCTTGTCTATCAACAAATCTGCCACCAATATGCCTCTTTTCTAGTCCATTCCATCACTATCGCCCTATTCCACACAATAGACTTGCTTAGTGCCATCTAACTGCTCTCTCTGCTTCTATTTTGTCCCTTTCAACCAATTTGTCAGAGTAGCTGGAGTGTATATCAATTCTTGTCACTCCCTGGATGAAAATCTCCAGCAGCTTCTGATTATCTTCAGACTGAAATCCAGCTCCAGACAGTGGCCAACGGGGCCCTGTGTGAGCTGGCTCTGCCCTTTTTTCCAACCTCATTTTAGGTCATTCTCCTTACTCATCACTCTTCAACCACCCTGGCCTTTTTGCAGTTCCTTGAACATTCCAGGCTTTCTTCACATGGGACTCATGCTATGCAGTTGTTTTTGTCCGGGAAGTCTCTTCCCTCCACCCTTTAAGGTGGTCCTTTTCTTGTTTTCCTCTTCTTGTTTTCCAAGTGACCCTCTAAAATGTCACCTCCATTCAGAGTCCATCCTTAACCTTTATATTCGCTACATGCCATGTCTGTTTCTTATGTAATAGATGGGTAAATAAATGGTGAGTAGATCCACTGGAGAATGGGTATATAAAATAGATGATATTGAACAGATAAATAAGTGCAATGGCTACTAGATCCATTGGAGACATAAAGCAAAAATACATACAATGACTAGAAAACAAGTCTAAGGTAATATGTAAACAATGTTTGCCAGTGTGTACAGATTAAAAGCATGATGTGTGAGGGAAGCTAAAATAAAAGAGAGAAGATTAACATAGGGGCTTACTCAGAGATGATTTATTAGAGGTTGTGAGACTTTGCTGTGAAATACTGCATGGTTTTGGACTGGAGGAAATTTTTATGCATAGAGGGAAACTGTAAGAAATCTAACTTGATAGGCTCAGAGAGGTTATGCTGGAGGGTAATAATAATAACAATGTGGGGTCAATTTGTGATGGACACAAAAAGTGACGTGTTCATATAGCAATTGTAAATTTATGTTAGTAATTGATTTTTTTTTTCTCTCTGTTGCCAGGTTGGAGGGCGGTGGCACGGTATTGGCTCACTGCAACCTCCGTCTCCCAGGTTCAAGTGATTCTCCTGCCTCAGCCTCCCAAGTAGCTGGGACTACAGGCAAGCACCACCATGCCCAGCTAATTTTTGTATTTTTAGTAGAGACGGGGTTTCACCGTGTTGGCCAGGATGGTCTCGATCTCTTGACCTCGTGATCTGCCTGCCTTGGCCTCCTAAAGTGCTGGGATTACAGGCATGAGCCACCACATCTGGCTTAGTGATTGATTTTTTTTAAAGTGTGGTAGAAATTTCAGTCTAATACTGCCCTTGTTGCTCAAAAGATTTTTGAATATTTCCTATGAAATGGCCCAGAGAGTACAATATGAATTTTTTTCTTCAATTTTTTTCTCATTTATTTCTTCTAGCAAATTTCTGCTCTTTTGCATTAATATCATTTTTGAAAATAGATAAAAGTTATGTAGTGCCAAACCCACTGAATGAAATGGTGATATGCTATTACTATTATCTAGGGTCAAATGTAATATCTCACTCTAATTATATTAATATCTTTATCTATATCTAGCTAGTTTTCCATCTATCTAGCTAGCTAGCTAGCTAGCTACTCAATATGTCAATCTGTTTAATATGTCAATAGTATGCTCAGAAGGGCTTACAACTGAAGACATTCCAAGACTTAGTGAGGAAGTGCAGCATAACTGGAATTTGAATACACCTCCCAAGAGGGGAAAAAAAATTCATTTACAAATGTGGGTTCTGGTGGTTTCTTAAAAAAAAAAACATAAAAAAAAACTCTTCCTGCTTTTTTTAAGCTCCATATTTTACCTAGATCATAAGATTCTAAACACTTGTATTGCACGCAAATAGGCAGATTTTATAAAAAGAAAAGTGTCATTTTAAAGAATTGGCTACGTTGGTCAAGTCAGAGCTCCCTAAGGGATTTCTGTCCTCAAAGTCACAATACAGTGATTCTTTATAAGATACTCAATGCTTGCTTTGGGATTCTAAAGGGAACATTAATATGTCTCGTAAAAATAAGGAATCCTTAAATGAGTAATTTGTGTACAACACTGCAGATAGTGCCTGGCACATATGGTATATTTAGTAAAAGTTGGTTCCTTTTCCACTAATCATGTTTTGAGAATTCAGTATCCTCTATAGTTTTATTTTACCTTTATCAGTGGTAACCTGCATGTTTTGAACAGGAGCAGGTATAGAAGTTCAGTAACAGGGGGGCAGGGGAGGGAGAGCATCCAGATAAATAGCTAATGCATGCTGGGCTTAATACCTAGGTGATGGGTTGACAGGTGCAACAAACCACCATGGCACACATTTTACCTGTGTAACAAACCTGCACATCCCACAAGTGTATCCTGGAACTTAAAAAAAATTAAACACAATTTTTAAAAAAACAAGAAGTTCAGTAATATTGTCTTTTATAGGAGATAGAAATTTTTGTTTCCGTTACTAGTATTGCAAAAGGGTTGTTTGGATTCAGAAAATTAAACTATCTAGTTATAAAATCCATTCTGTGCTGTTTCTAAATTATTTGGTTAGAGAATTGGTCAGATGTGTTTGAGTCATTTCCTGTGTGAAACTGAATGCTCATACATAAGAGCAATTGGCTCTTTGGAAATTATAACTTCTTATGAAGTAATTCTCATATTTCATTAGTTATGATTGAATCAGTCTGAGTCCAGTCTGAAGGGAGAAACCACATAGTAATATGGACAGGTAAAGTTTGATATAAATAATTATGAACTGTATCAGTATTGAAGTAACAGAGGATTACCTAATAAGAAGTAAAAATAATTCTAAAGAACATAGAAATAGCAGATATATGAAGGAGCCACCACTGTTAGACCTGACAGAGAGCATGCAAGGCTGAGATCAAGGCGTTACTGGAGAAGGCAATCATGGGTGTGGGTCACTCAATGGTGGAGAAGTTGCTGTGGCGCCAATGGAACTTGCTGGAAATGTTCCCCCTAGGGTGCCAGGGAAAGCTGTTCATAAGAGGTGTCACTTGAGGCACTCTACACAAAACTGCCTGAGGAGGTGCCAGCAGAGTTGCTGGCCACTGAACACTGCTGGCTGCAGTGCACTGTAATAGCTTGCTGCTGGAGAAAGCCACATAGACTACAGGAACTGGACGCTGGAGAAGCCACCCACACTGCAGGAACTGGCTAAGCAAGCACACAAGAAGCAGGAAGCAAAACCTAACCCTTTTTTCCTGCAATGTCTCTCCAGTCCCTCCCACTTGCAAAGCTTAATATCATGCCAGGAGGCAAAGAAAAAATATTTAAAGGGTCCAGATACATTTTCAGAGAGCTAACAAAAAAGTTGAATTTGGAGATAAGAGTCAACAAATTGATAATTGGCACTGTTGTTTTCTGATATTGTAGGGACTAAAAATATTAATATGAATATTCACAGAAACTCCCCCTCCCTCTATTCCCATTTCTAAGGTATAAAAACCATTTGTGGTTCAGGCATCCATCAAGTCTGGGATAATGAACAGAGCGACGCAAAGAAATAAACATAGTAAAACCATATTGATTTACATTATAAAGGAAGTCATCAGGGAGACCTTGGGAAAAGGGGCCAGGGAGATAAAGAGCTACACATGATGATTTTAGGAACATAATTTTAAGAAGTACAGTAATAAGTAGCGTTCATGCTATACTAAATGGTTCTTTGGGAAATACAGAGTTAAAATAATTTATTTAAAATATTGTATAATATATAATTTCTCTTTGGAACTTTTTCATTTGCATGTCAGGAATAAACCTTTAAGTTGGTTTTATATTAATTTAGACGCTGATGTTGAGTTTCTTCTAAATACAACTCCATGCTGAGAGAAACCACAAAGAGGCCCAGCTTCAATTGGGTTACACTGATCACAACATTTTAAAGCTTTGCAGATATACTTGAAGGTGAGATGTGGAAAGTGCTGAGCCCTATTTATTTAATTAATAACTTTTAAATCCAAGTTAAAGCCCACATGCTAGATGGGGCTATGGGAAGAAGACTATTTTTAGAAAGTAATACTTATGGGCCGGGCGCGGTGGCTCACGCCTGTAATCCCAGCACTTTGGGAGGCCAAGGCGGGAGGATCACGAGGTCAGGAGATCGAGACCATCCTGGCTAACACAGTGAAACCCCGTCTGTACTAAAAATACAAAAAATTAGCCGGGCGTGGCGGCGGGCGCCTGTAGTTCCAGATGCTGGGGAGGCTGAGGCAGGAGAATGGCGTGAACCCGGGAGGCGGAGCTTGCGGTGAGCCGCCGAGATTGCACCACTGCACTCCAGCCTCGGCGACAGAGCGAGACTCCATTTCAAAAAAAAAAAAAAAGTAATGTAATACTTATACGTATATATTTATGATATGTATCTTTTTGTTATGTCCATAGAAGATCTGGACGTTAAATTGCCCCCCATCTACACTGAATAGCATATTCATAGCAACCATGTTTCATTACAGATACTATTTACTTTTTTGGGATGAGTCTTTTGAGCTAACCATTGATGAAGTGGAGAGGGCCCCAATCTTGTTTATATCCTACTTAAACGTTAAACATAGATCTAAAATTCACTAATAGTATGCCATACCATTACCCTATTCCACACAACAGACTTGCCTAGTGTCATCTAACTGCTCTCTTTGCTTCTATTTTGTACTACTGTAACTTATGTAGACTGTTTTTGAGGTGTCAACAAATATCACGTTTTTTCATCTATGTTTCTCATAGTAGTAGCTCAGGCTACTACAGCTGCTGGTACTCTTCTGGCAACTCCTGCTCCTGTATTCTGTACATTAATTCCTATGAGGTGACAACAGCTAAACATGTTCCATGAAATATCCAAATTTTCATTATAGTCCCTCAAGGTTGATATTATTATAGTTCCCTATGGTCTCAGAGAGATTAAGTGGCTTGCCGAAGTCACAAATCCAGTGAGGATCCAAACCCAAGTTTGTCTCACTCTCTGCTGTCCCCATAAAAAGGCTGTCCCTATAAAATATATAAAACCGTGTATCTAGTAAGACTAAAGAGAAATGCACAAACTGAAGAATGCAGAAATTTCAAATTAACTTCATAAGTCTTAGAAGGAAATAAACTAATTTTCTTGTTTCTTTATTGTTATGAGTCACATAATTGTTAGCCAGATTTTGGGAGTGAGCATTTTATCATGCTCAGGAGGAGTGAGAGATACCTTACATACATTTCTCTCCATTCCAGTTTAGAAAATGTGAATGTGCTAGATTCTGGGAAGTGACATTTGGGTTTTGTGTTTGAAGACCATAAAGGGTGTCTGCTGAAGAGTTGGCAAAGAACAACTTCTAACCATGTGCAGAGGCACTCATTTGAGAAAGGATAAGGGAGACCAGAAAAGACTATAGCAAGAACATTTGGTAGAATGTATCAGTAATACCCAATAAGCAATTTATTTTGGAGTTGGACAATGCTAATATTTTATCACTCTCTAGTATTCTTCCCCATTGGCACATATGTGTGTTTGAGTCTCTTAAATCTTAAAAGCAACAATGTTAAGAGAAACTCCAATCCTCTTTGGCTTTATGGTCAACTGAATTAAAAACCCCAGAATTCTTTTCTCTAAGGCATAACACTCTGCTGTAGGGACTATTAGACTGCAGAGAGGAATCTATAGCATTACTCACTTTCAACAATTACTTGTGAACTGTACTAATTAATCATCCTTTGGAAAATCATTTCTTATTTATGTTTGTGTTGCCATAATCAATGCCTTACATTCAAGATACTTACATAAACTCTAAGTTGCTGTATTTTAATTTCATATGGTCTGAAATGATATCAAACTTTTAGGATTATGCTTTATATTTCTTATCCACCAGGTCTGCCAATAATCTGTTGGTTTGAAAATACTTGTTGTATAATTTCCTGACACTTTTGGGCCTTTTGAAACTGCCTTAAGACACATGACTCCAGACGGGGTACCTGTTCTGTGAGATCCTTACAATGCCTTTTAACATACGTGAGCTACATTTCAATATGTATTGCACTGAGCAGGTATTTAGCCCACGGTTGATATTACAAGTCATTGGGCAAGGTCTTAAAATGAAAGCAGGAAGCATGGAACTATGAGGATGCTATAGTTGTAATGGACCTTTGATATTATCTAATCCAATCTCTCATTTTCCAGGAGAGGGAACACTGTGAACTAAGGTTGCTCAAAGTCACCCACTGGTTGAAGGTCTTTCTTTTTTTTTTTTTTTGAGGCGGAGTCTCCTTCTTTCACCCAGGCTGGAATGCAGTGGCACGATTTCGGCTCACCACCACCTCTGCCTCCTGGGTTCAAGCAATTCTTCTGCCTCAGCCTCCTGATTAGCTGGGTTTACAGGTGCCTGCTACCACTAATTTTTGTATTTTAGTAGAGATGGCTTTTCACCATGTTGGCCAGCTGGTGTTGAACTCCCGACCTCAAGTGATCCATCCGTCTCGGCCTCCCAAAGTGTTGGGATTACAGGCGTAAGCCACTGGGTCTGGCCGAAGGTCTTATGGAGACTAAAACTCAGGCATTCTAACTCACAGGCTGATGTCTAACATATTCTGTAAGTGACCCTAAAATATGGGTATTGAACTGTTCAGTAACAATCAGCTGAAACGCTACAATAATCATCGCTATTTTTTGAATGAAACATATGCACCATAGTTCAAGTTTTCAGGTACCATCACATATTAAGTTTCACACTATTTTAAACATGTATTTTAAAACTTTAAAGTAGAAATAACACTTTTTTAATTGAAAAAAGTTACTGAAAAACATAGATGAAAAAACCTGATATTTGTTGACACCTCAAAAACAGTCTACATATGTTACAGTAGTACATTTAGCTATTTTATGCATTTGGTTTCTTGCATAGTTTCCAAAACATTCTAGAAGACAGCAATACTTTAAATGGAGTCAGCTGGAGTTTAAAAAAGTATTTTAAGAAAACCATCAATTATGTGTGTCTTCTTTTGTCCTCCTGTATACCCAAGAGATCTCATTGGTTAATATTCATCTCTGATTAGGCATTATCAAGGAAAGATTCAAAACTACTGTAATATCAACTCAACTAATCCATCAAAGCTTCAGAAGAATGTTCTTTTCACACCCTCCAACATTTTGTTTCTTCTTAGTCACAGGAGGTAAATGTTCCCTTGGAGCAAGCCATCTGTGAGACTTGCTAAGTTTTGGTTAAAATGGTCAATTGTGGCTTCTGTCTGAATCATGCGGCTCTTCCTTGTCAAAAGAGGCTGCTTTTCTACTGGGAGAATTGTCCGTAGTGTTCTGTTGGGGGCAGAGGCAGACATTTTTCTCTTTATTCTCTAATAACACTCAGCATCTGCTCCCTGCTAACTCCAGTGTGAATCCTAGAGTGGGAGGTGAACGGCTGTCCAGGGACACGTGTAATCTTGTTGGCATTAATGGTCAGCCTGGATTTAGCCACTACTCTGTCATTAGGTAGTTCTGCAACATAGTGTTATGTTTGTGGAAGGGAAGGCCTAGGAAGGAAGCCTTAAGCTACTTGATGCTGCTTCTTAACTGGTCTTTAATGGTACTTCACAGTTTTTAAAGTACTTTCCTATGATATCATTTAGTTGCAAAGACTGGGCAAGTGATGTAGGAGGCAAAGCTCTAAGATGGTCCCCACGATTCCCACTGGCTGGGGTGATTCCCTGAATAATCCCTTTGCGGTGAGTGTGGGCAGGACCTACGGATATGATGAGACAGTCACTTCTATGGTTACAGTTAACCTATCTAAGACTCCATCTGAGCAGACTTGAGAGAGAGATTCTTCTTCTGACCATGAAGAAGCAAATATCTGTGCTGGGAAAGAGGCTTGAGCATGCTGTGTGGTAGGGGCATTGCTGGAGCTGGGAGCGATCCCCAGTGGACAGACAGCAAAACAGCCATCTTAGTCAGACAGCTGCAAGGAAACAAACTCTGCCAAAACTCTGAATGAACTTGGAAGTGGATTCTTTCCCCAGTGCCTCCAGATGAGAACACAGTCTGGCTGACACCTCAATTTCAATTTTGTGAGACCCTGAGCAAAGAACCCTGCCTTTCTGACCAACAGGACATGTGTTATAATTAATGATTGTTGATTTAAGCCACTACCTTTGTGGCAATCTGTTATAGAGCAATAGAAAATTAATAAAAAGTAAAACTAGAGAATGTTATGACCATTTCATCGATAAGGAGACTGGTTCAGAAAGATGAACTGATTTGCCTAATTTTATTCTGAAAATTAGTGACAGAACTGAGACTGGTACTTTGGATTCTCATTTGTACTTCAGCATTCTTTCCACAGGACTATAATGCTCCACACTAATGAGAATTATTGGTAGATTTTCCTTACCTCTGCCCAACAATAAGATGGATAATGCATAATATATTGTGTTCTTAAAAAGAGTTCAATGCAGAGTAAAACAATCATTTTATTGATTCTTATGTCAGTTCTGTAGCATAATGAATACATTAATCATAATCATATTAAATGTTTAACTGATAGTATTTTAAAAGAATCTTCAATCAAGTGCTAATCCTCATCACTAAATAAACAGCATTCTGAATAGTCAAGATTGGGAAATGTGATAGGTAATTCTACCCACTTTTTGTATTGTTTCTTTGTTGAATTATTTTTGAAAACCACTACAAAATTCCTTATTTTGAGACAAGGCAAATCTAAGCCTTTGTGCACCATCATTGTTCCCCAAGCCTGGAAAACAAAAGAGAGAGCAAGAGGAAAATTAAATGTACATGCAATTAAACATTCCTGTTGGCTAAAGTAAAATCTGGCCCACAGCAATTTACTCACCTGGCCACATTTGCAGATGATTTCACCATTTATTTGATAGTCGGCACACTTCTTTTGCAGTGCTTTGTTTTCTCTTACAATGTAAAGTTCCCTATAAGTATCAAAGGGAAAGAATCATCATGGAGAACTGACAAAATACCAGTGTGTAGTTCATGGGTTATTGGACCTGGAGCTCATCCGCATGCCTGCGGTATTCTACACGGCATTCCTTCCTTCCCTCCTGCTTCCCAGGCTTGTTATTGCAACTAAGGCAATGCTTCTCTTCTACACATACCTCTCAAGGGGCATGTTGCCTTTCATAACTTCTTTCAAGTCTGTTGGTTATATTAACTTGACTTTAGTTGTTCAAAAATTTGAGAACAAATGATGAGCATACAAAAATACGTGCCTTGGATCAAAATGGCTTTGGTTCTTACACTTCTCTTTTCCTGCCCCAGTGCAGTTTATTTAAAACATAGACATTTAAAATAGGAATATAATTGAGAGGCTAAAGGAGAGGAAGTTGTAAAATAAATGAATCTCATTTGCACTATTTTGAAAGAACATTTACAATGCAACCTGCTTCACCCCTTGTGGAAAAATGTAAAAATGGGTCTTTCTGGACTCACTTGAATTCTGGGGTCATATTGACGTGATGCATTTTCTCAATTACATGGATATCTTCCCCAGAACAGGCTAGCACACTGCAGTTTTTGCAAAGGAAAGTTATTAGTGATGGGTTATTCTTGTAATGCTTGGCAATATTTCTCTTGGTTTTCATTTTCTTTTCCATTATACTTTGCATCTGTAATTCCAAAATCTGGACAGAGAAAGGAATAGTTAGTGGTTTCAGGTTTGTTTTCTTTTTTCAGTTTCATAGAAGTAAGTCTCCTGAAATTTGGAGGTCTTAGTTGTGAAAATATACCCTTAGCTTATGGTCTAGGAAATAAAAATAATGAGGTAATGACCCCCCAAAGAATTTGGTATATAATCATCTCCTGTAACCATGAAAATGTGCAGTCTTCAGGTATTCAAAAAGTAGCCCATTCCATTTCAGAAAAGTTCTATTGTGAGAAAGTCCTTAGCAATATTCAACAAAAATTCTCTGTCTAGCCTACCCATTTGTTATTTATTTATTTATTTATTTATTGAGATGGAGTCTTGCTCTGCTGCCCAGGCTGGAGTGTGTTGGTACTATCTCGGGTCACTGCAACCTCCATCTCCTGGGTTCAAGGGATTCTTCTGCCTTAGACTCCCAAGTAGCTGGGATTCCAGGCACCTGCCACCATGCTCAGCTAATTTTCATATTTTTAGTAGAGATGGAGTTTTGCCATGTTGCCCAGGCTGATCTCAAATTCTTGATCTCAGTGATCCACCTGCCTCAGCCTCTCAAAGTGCTGGGATTGCAGGTGTGAGCCACTGCGCCAGCCTACCCATTTGTTTTAATTCTGTTCCATAAAATAGGTCTAAACTTCCTTCCACATGGAATCTCTTTACTAAACACTGTTATTACATTACCAAGTCTTCTCTAATCTATGCTAAGCACCCAAATGCCTTTAATCTTTTTTCATGCTTTATAATTTTCAGACCCTTCACCATCTTAATCAGTCTACTCTTTACACATTTGTAGCAGAAACCACTAGTTTTTCATTCAGTGTCCATTTTTCCTAACAGAACCATAATTTTATTCTGGGTGGAAATATGCTAGCTAAATGACTACATTTCCAAACCAGCAGTCAATGACATGTAAAAAGCTGTTGAGTGGAATTTTCAGAAAATCTTCTTAAAAATTAGATAGCTGGCATGTGTACCTTTCGCCCTTTCCATTCTCCTCTTACTTCCTGCCTAGAATGAGGATGTGGCAGCTGAAATTCTAAAAGCCATCTTCGACCATGAGAATGAAAGCCCAATGCTATAACAGCATAAAAAGGAGAGAAAAGGCCTGGATTCCTCATAACTTCATGGAGCCAATACTGCCTAGATTCCTTCTGTGAGAGAATATGCCCATCAACCTCTTTATTCTATGCTCTGTGACTAGCAGCAGCACTTATTTTATAATGGAAATAATCTAGTTTATGTAACATATGAAAGTTGACATAGGGACTGAACAGTGTTTATACCAACACAACTTCACGGTAGAAAAATCTGGTTCTTGAATAATTTACCGCCAAACTGACCTCTCATAGATGACATATTTATATTAAATTATGGAAGAATTAATTGTTTTCTTTAAGACCGAGGGAGAAATTTTCAGTAAAAGTAAGTCATCAGTGCAGTTGAACAAAGCCCATCTCTTTGGCTTCTAACTCTACATTTTAGATCTCCCTTCAAGGCAGCCATATATAGCATAGAAAAGAGAATAAAACCTTGCAAGCAAGCCTGGAGGCTATATAATAGATTAATCAGACAAGTACCAAGATTAATTTCCTATGTAAATTATAGCAAAATAATACACTGAAATATTTTTCCCTAAAAGTTTTAATAGGTTACTTTTATAAGACATTTACAGTTCAATGAGCTGATAAGGTAATTATAGGATCACATACATGTGGGAATTAAGAAATGTGTATGAATGAGTCAGAAAAAAAATAAAGCCAAGGTAAGTGTATGGATTTGTAATCAGGACATCAGAAGCTAAAAGACTAACTCTAAAATAGTAAAGGAATTTGAAGTAACTAGAGGGGTAAACAAACAAAAAAAAGAACTCATAATAAATATACAGGAGGCACAGCTACAATCAGCCTAAGTCCAAATAAAGTGTAATAATGTAGCAAAAAAATTGAATCAATGCTAGAGAAAAACATTTATGATGATCAACTTGCTCCTAGAAGTCTGATTTAATTTTAAGAAGCTCTGTTATGTTTAAACTGTGTTTATGACATGGAAGAAAGATTTCATCTTATCTGTCAATTCTCATCATTCATTAGTGGTTGTCTGAAGATTGTGTTGAGAAAGATGCTCAAATTAGAAGAAAGTAAACATCTTCCCAGTAGCAATGTTTTCTACAGGCTTTGAACAGATTACTGGTGGCATGTAGCCCTCCTTCCCCATTGCCACTCCTACTCTAAGTTCATCTACCTGAAGTAGTTTTAGGAGGGCAGGTTTCTTGGCCAAAGGAGACCTAAAAATATAGTCCATTCTGGGGCACCCAAAGGGACAGAGTCTTATTCTAAAGAATGTCTGGAAGAATTTGACCCTTAAACTCCAGAGATTGTCCTAGTGTTGACCCCCAAAAAACTACTCTTAAAACATCAGTCTTTGTAAACATCTACTTGATTAATTCTCTTAGGACATTAACTGGGAGGCAGTAACTTTCCAGTGGCATAATTTGGTGACAAAAGTTTGATTTGATACTCTAAAATATTTGCTTTGCCTTGTATTTAAAGGGGTTTTAAAATAAAGTTTTGTGCAGAAACCTGGTCAGGAAACCTTGGAGTTGGTAATAGCAATGCACACCAATTTGAAAGCATCCCTTTAGTGAAACTCTATTTAAGGTAGAGCCAATTCCAATGTTAAGAAACTAACATTCACACCCATATGCAAGGGTGTGAATTTTCTTCTAAATGGATTGTTTGCTATTATAGTAGTTACAGTTTTTAATTCAGTGGTATGGGGGATTTCCTGAAATACTATAGAAATACATTCTTTCTTCACTGCATTCCTTTGCACAACTCAAATAACTGTGTGTTAGTAAATTGAGATGTAGCTAGATGACATATTCTGTATTTTCTTATCATTCAGATGCAGCTTCCCTGTCACTCCTTCTAAGAGACCTTCCTCAACCACCCAGTTGAAAGTATCCATCTAGTCTATGCAGCCATAAAAAAGGATGAGTTCATGTCCTTTGTAGGGACATGGATGAAACTGAAAACCATCATTCTGAGCAAACTATCACAAGGACAGAAAACCAAACCCCGCATGTTCTCACTCATAGGTGGAAATTGAACAATGAGAACACTTGGACACAGGGCTGGGAACATTACACACCAGGGCCTGTCGTGGGGTGGGGGGAGGGGAGAGGGATAGCATTAAGAGAAATACCTAATGTAAATGACAAGTAAATGGGTACAGCACACCAACATGGCACATGTATACATATGTAACAGACCTGCACGTTGTGCACATGTACGCTAGAACTTAAAGTATAATAAGAAAAAAAAGAATTTCAAAAACTACTAAAAACAAGAAAGTATCCATCTAGTCAGTTGTTTCATATCATCCTATTCTAATTCTCTTCACTTATCTTGATATATTATATTTCTTGTCTTTTAATGTTTGTTTACTGTTTCTGTCCTCCAAACTTCACCAGGCACACACTAGAAATATAAACTTCGTGCAGCAGGAGTCTTATGTGTTTTGTTTCCTCTGTTGGCTGTTCCTATAAGGTTACCTGGCACACAGTAGGCGTTTCATCTACATTTCTGAAATTAAAAAACTGTGCCTTTACAAACAAATTGGATCAAACCAAAATTACCATGTTGGATTGAATCAGTGAGTTGCAGCAGTCTTTCTGGAACAAGGCAGGCTAAATTTATATTATCCAAATTTATGGTTGGTTTTACTGGAATGAGGAATGGCTCCCTGATAATTTCCTGCCCACCATGGATCTTGATTCTCTGCATGTGAATCTGGATTAAGCACAGTTCACTAAACAGAAACTTATAATTCAGCACAATTTTTGTCTGGAGAATGAGTCACAGAGATATCAATGGCAACCACATGCCGCCATTTTTAAATGAAAATCAAATTCAGAGGTGACCAACAATACCTTATGAGCATACTCCTCTGGTTTCATATTTTGAACACAATGTATAGCTTTATACATCATCTTCTCTCGGAAATCATTAACTGTCTCATGTTCGATAACTCCTGAACCACTGTGAGCAACCAGGACGTAGGTGCTCTCATCAGCTCTGGCTCGACCACGGGCCTGAAAACACAAATAAATCAAGTAAATGAAAGGGTACGTTGTGATACAAATCCTCCTGGTTTTTTCTGGGAATGATATTCTTGCTCAGAATGAAATGATATTGGGTTGTTCAGCATGCCAGTCTTCAAATGGGTAAAGTTAGTAAAGTTAGTTATTAATCCATTACTTGTAAGTCAGCTCTTTGAAACTTATAATATGCTTTAATACAGAAAAAGTGTTCTAGAGTGATGATGGTTAGGCCTCAATGACATAATATCATCCTGTCCAGGCTTTTTGCTCTCAGAACTTCTCTCTCAAACTATGAGAACCACGATCAATGACTTGGACTGAGGAGTCGTCTTTCTTGGTAGGAAGCTGGGAGGAATGAATGGAGAGAAGGGTCATCTCTGACCTTGACACTAGGGCTGGTGAGAAGGCAGGTCAGTTTCTGGCATCCTACATTACATTCTTAGCACATTTTCCCATGGGAACATATTTAACATGGTGATAACTTTCTACAAGCCTCTTTATGAAAGTGATATTCAGGTATATTTTGATTAATAGAAACTTCTGTGGCCTGGCCCAGGAGCCTATCAACTATAAAAGTATCCTCAAGGAAAAATGTATTCTAAGTTTGATTACTAAGCTTATCACTGACTTACAAATAGACTCCTGAAATAAAATTATTTGCTAATTTGATGGCAGTCTGGTTATCTTAGTCTTCTATGACTTGCCTTTTATTCAAGGATGCAATTTAAGTTATTTAAAAATCCCTTTAGTTAATTTTATAGGAAGAATAGTGTATCTATTAATCAGCATAACACCTATGCCTACTCAACAGGTTACAATAATGCCATTAACATAGGTGGGTAAGAGATAAAGTGAAATCTGAATGAAAACAGAACATTTCACTCTTTTATTTATTTTTACATTTATAAGTCTGCCCCCAACCAACATTTTATCATGAAAACTTCTAAACACACAGAAAATTGGAAAGGATAAGGGAAGAAAATGCAGAAACAGCAGGGCTCCCTCAGGTTTGGGCATGTTACTTCATCAGACATTTGTGGGACAGTGTACTTTAGATTCCTGGTCCAGCTGGGGGCTCACAGACATCCTAGGAAAGAGGAGGCTGCTTTTGACTCTTACAAATGGGGCTAGTGTCATGGTCCTGGAAAGCCTTAGGGTACAGAAATAGCTAAAGAGGAGTTGTTGTTTAAACATACAACAGGTATCTGGTTATTATATGAATTGACAGCAATATGAAAGGCAACAGTGCACAGCATTTTAAAAATGCTCTTTTAACAGGAAAAAGGCTTTGTTTTAAAAACTAAAAAGATGTTTTTGCTGTTTAACTAAAAGAAAGCAATTAAAATAGGAACACAACAAATAAAAATTAACATAGTAAGTAGAGGTATTTGAATGTACCTGGACCATGGCTATTTCATTGGTGACGAGACCATAACGGATAACAATGTTACATTCTTTAATATCCAGACCTTCTTCTGCCACTGTGGTAGCGATAAGCAGATTTATTTTTCCAGTGCGAAATTTACTAATGACTTCTTTTTGTTCATTCTGTAGAAACATTTTAATAAATTAAATTTTGTGATGCTAAACACATTAAAATCTTCTAATTAGAGGAAGAAATAATAAATTGCAACTGGTCAGTGTAAATCAAAGGATTAGATCATACATGGATTTGTTGCCATCTGTTTTTGGCATTGAACAAAGACATAATGGTGAGACAACATTTGATTTCCAATCTGGGATTACCACACAATAACAAAAATATTTCCATCATCCAGTCTGGAGGTGGGAAGACCACATTTTATGCCAAGGAAATAAATTGATGGGTGACTCCAGAGGAAGAAAGGAGGAGCTGTCGGTTGAGAAGAGGATATGACAATCAGAAGCTAAAATGGGCTTTTTTCCCCCACTACATTAACTTCAGAATCTTTGCTATTTAGAGGATAAGATGCAGAGATGCTTTGATATATTGTTTTCAGTCACAGAGAAAATGCACACTGTATATGCATTTGGTCACTTTAAGAATCATTTGAGTTAGAAGCTATGGAATATTCCCAAAAGGACACAAGAGAAACTGAAAACATCAGCTGCATCTAGGGAGGGGAGCTGGAAGACTAGAGGTCAGTGGTATGCCTTGTGCCTCATTAATTTTGAATGAGGTAAATATATTATCAATTCAAAGGGACAATATAAATAAAAATGAAAGAAGAGGTTATGCAACTGTAAATAAAACTATTTTCAAATGAAAAAACTCTGAATTTTGAAAGTCAATATAAATAAATTAAAATATGACCTCTCATCCTTACATGGGAGAAATGAGTGAGCACAAACCTAGCTTGATATGGACAATGTGGTTTTATTTTCATAACCACTCTCATCAAAGCTGTTGGTCCAGTTGGCATTTGGTGCACATCCACACTGTCTATTGCCCCCATACATTAAACAAAAATAAAGCTGCCAGACCAAAAGTATGTTCTTCCATCCCCTTCCCTTTCTTCTCAGAGGCAGTGTGAGTCCTTATTTGACTCCTACTCCTAACTGTCGGAGAACCCTGTAGAAAGGCCTCTCTTGAGTCTTCTCTGAAAATTTCTCCCTCCGGCCCTCACATCTCCCGATAAAAACTTACATGTTCTTGGATTTTAGCAGAAGATGCCTGTGTCTTAATTTGAAGGAGTAACTTTAATAACAAAAATTCCAGACAGTGTCAGATCTTCAAGTCACATCACATAGATGCCTAACACCATTGCTAAGGAGTTTGTCCACCCCAGTTTACAAGGTGAGGATACAAGGAGTGGGGAAGGAAGGGAATATGTTCTGTATTTTGGCACACAGCCCCTTGGTTTGAAATGAATAAGGAGCAGAAAGTAGCTTGAACATAGGCTTTTCATTTGCACTCTACCTCTTTTTACAGAGAAGCTTAGCCCTCTTACAATAAAAGTCACAACGCTAAAGTTAATATAATAGAAATTTAAAAACAGAACTCATAAGAATCAACACAGAGGCTGTGAGACTGAACTTGAGTTTTTCCTGCTAGCTTTCTGGAAGCTAAGGCAAAAAGAAAAACATATAAAGCAAACTACATCTCATCAAAAAGAAGGAAGCAAACTTGTTACCCAAGGAAAACAGTACTTTCTCTGGCATTAATTTTATTGGCAATGCTCACAGGAGTGCATGTAGAGGGTATATAAAGAGTTATAGTGAACCATTTCAAGAATTTTTTTCCAGCAAACACTGAAACAGAATTAATTTGCTCCATTGGCTTGAATAGTGATAACTATAATAGAAAGGAAGTATCCATTTGTCCAGAAAGACTCAGGGTCAATGTGATTTTAGCCCTCAGAAGAATATTTTACTCTAACAAGGCATCATTGCTTCATGCATGCTTGTAATGTCTACTAGTGCCTTTTTTTCTTACCCAAGTGTTTTTTTACTATGCCCACAGTAAGCAACATGTAAACAAAGTAAAACAAAACACCTTAAAATGGAACAGAAAACCTACTTACCAGAATCCCAAATCTCTAATATATCAAATTCTTTAGTTTTTTCAAGTTTCCCTAGAGGTCTCATTCTATGTAAATATATTTTGCATAGTTCTAGTTATAACGAACACATTTTTGTGGGAGTTTGAATTTTCCACTTGATACTACATGGCAATCATTTCTGAACTTTGTTGTTAAGCTTACATGTCACTTATTTTTGCAAGGGAAACTTAGAAAGTTCTTCCAATTATTATGTGGGAAAAATGACTCCTAAAACAACACTTAACCTCTCAAAAACCACAGATTTGATTGCTATTAGCCTTAGATTTTATTTCAAGAACAGGTGTTTTATCCTGTAAATGTATTCATGGGTGGTGAGAGGATTGGTAGAAAAAGACTAAAAACAATTTGAGAAGAGTAATAACAGCATAAGAAAAGAAGTCCAGGCTGAGCGCAGTGGCTCGTGCCTATAATCTCAATACTTTGGAAGGCAGAGGCAGAAGGATGGCTTGAGCCCAGGAGTTTAAGACAAGCCAGGACAACATAGTGGGACACCTTTTCTACAAAAAAGATAAAAAAATTAGTTGGGTGTGGTGGTGCACACCTAGAGTCCCAGCTGCTCAGGAGGCTGGGGCTGGAGGATTGCTTGAGCCTAGGAGGTCAAGGGTGCAGTGAATCTTGATCATGCCACTGCTCTTCAGCCTGAGTGACAGAGCGAGGCCTCGTCTGAAAGAAAAGAAGAAGAGAAGAAGAGAAGAGAAGAAGAAAAGAGAAAGAAAAGAAAAGAAGTCGTCCAAAAGGATATTTATACCTGTGTCATGGGTTTGAACTCACTGCTGTGTCCAGCTCCAATCAGATGGTGGGCTTTGACTCCTACTTCAGCAAATTTTTCATTTTCAGTAATCCACTGGGAAAGCGCATATGCACTCTGTCGTGTTTTTGTAAAGATTATTCCTCGTGCTGATTCCTCAGTCCTAGTATATTGCTCCATTATGGTATTTCTTAATTTGGTCAGCTTTTCATTTTCATATTCTGGGTTTTCAGCCAGCCTTTTCAACATTTTATTGTTTTCTTTAAGAAATAATTAGAGTTGATATGTTAACAAGCTTGATTTAGCCACTCCACAATGTACAGATATATCAAACATTTTGTACACCAAAAATATACAGTTTTATTGATTAAAAATTAATTAATTTAAAAACTATTTGGAAGTATAAATTAGTAAAACATACAACGAATTACACTAGAAGGTTTCATGAATTGTGGCTCATCTACAATCTTGCGCTATATCTAATAATTAGGATGGTTTAATAAATAAATTCATTACAATTGTCTTGACAATAAAACTGAATGACCAAATGACTGACTGTGATCATACAACTGGTAGCTAATCTGGTCATATCATTAGAAATAGTTCCAATCTGAGTGGGATTTCTTCTTTCAAAAGATATTTCTCTTTTTGGAGAGCTTATGAGAAGCAGTAAGTTCATGTTGAAAAGGTAAATGAATGACACCAGTATATGTTACTTTGAATCTTACCAAAAAATAAAGTCATGAGAAATCTATCTGTTTCATCCAGTTTCAAAGGTTTCTTTAAATCATCCTCATCTTCATCACCATCACAATACTCATCATCACCACCCTCATCACTATCATCTTCTATGACTGCAAACTTCTTATCTTTCTCTTCATTATAGAAAGTTTCAAGATGAGTATACGCATCTATCATTCGAATTGTGTCATTAATTTGTAGGGCCTCATTGTACTTCCTCAAATGTTCTGCACAAACACGTTCTTTGCGATTTCCTTCTTTTGCAGCTGTGAAAAAATATATTATGTAAGTGAAATAATAAGCATATAAACCCCCTAAAATTGTGCCATGGACTTGAATATATGTTACTAACTGCAAAACTGGCTTCACCTTGGTTTTAAAATGGGCAAGTTAAGGCTCAAAATGTGTCCTGAGCTCTGAAACAGGGCAAGTTTTCCAACTCCTAGACTTGCTGCTTGAGTTCTGCCTCAGCAAAAACATGTAGCTGATGCACAGAGAAATGGCATGAAAATATATTAGTTGAGTTTGCCTTTGGAGACAGAGCTATTAAAGTTTATCTCAAGACTCTGGAGACAAAGAGAAAATTGGATAGCATTGGAATCTCTCTCCTTAGAAAAGGAATTAGAACATGTTTATTATGCTTGTCCTACAGAGAACACAGAAATTCTATTTGGAACTACTTTTGCTTTCCATTTTTTGGGGAATCTGTGATATAGTCATCTAAAATCTTGGTATAAACATGGGATAAACTAAGTGTTAGGTCCAAACCTAAATTACCTTTTTTTTCCATTTGAATGGCCCATTGTTCATAGGGTTGAGTTCCAAAATCTGACATTGGACTCATTTGACAATAAGTTTGAATCCTTGTCATTATTTCTAGAAGTTTCTCTTTAAATGGATCCTAAAAATAAAGTACACACTTATTCTTATGTATTCTTATTGTTAAAGGAATAACATTATCTTTGTTAGAATAATTTCTAGGTTATAATAAATCTGATTCATCTTTGTTTAGACAAAGTAACAGGTTAGTGTCCCATCACTTGTCTGTACATTTATTTTTGTCAGCTTCTCTTTTAAGCCTGCCATCAAGCCACACCCACACCAACACCCTGTTACCTCTGCTGGAATCTCCAACTTAAAAGGTTAACAAAAGTAAAGTTAATGAATTATATAAACCTTGTATGTTAAAGGTAACTTAGAAAACACATATTGCATTAATGCCACAATTATTTAGAAAGCTTACAGTGTAATTTAAGAAACATTCCTCCTTTGTAAAACTGGTTTCAGTATTATTTCGACCAAAATAAAAAGTTGAAGTAGAGTCTGAATAAAGCCAGAAATAAAGGAGTGCATGCTATATGATTCCATTTATATAAAGTTCAGAATCAGTGAAAACTCATTTTTTGTTTTAGAAGTCAAGATAGTAGTGATTCCTGGGGCATGGTGACTGGAAGGGGGAGCCAGGAGCTTTTAGGATACTGGCAGTGTGCTGTCTCTTGATTTGGATTTTGTTTACATATGTGTATTCAGTTTAGGAAAATTCAGCAATCAGTACACATATGAATTTGTACTTTTCTGTATGTATGTTATGCTTCAAGGTATATAAAAAAATTAAAGTAAGTTTAAAAAATGGCAAATTCTTTTAAAAAATGTACCTGAGAAATTTAGTTTTAAAAATCTTTATGAGTAGAAACATGCATTTAAAATTATCAAGTAAAACCAAATAAGTAACAAAAAAAGGAAAGTGAATAAAATATATTCAACTGTGCTAGTGCAGCTGGAGTAGATAGCAGTCTTTTTCAGAATTTAAAAAAAGAGATATACGGAGGCTAGTTACTAACATTGGTTTAGTGCCTACTATATTTCAAGCATTGTTTTATCTACTATGCATATTTCATATCATTTGATCCCAACATTCTTATTTTCAATGGTATTATCAAGTACATATGGCCAGAATTTGTAATGCTTTCTAAATTTTACAAAATAAAGTATTGACATAATTTACTGGCCATAATGTCCAAATTGACTCTCAGTTTATTCTTATAATTCCTGAAAAATTCATCAGAAAAGCATCATTAAAGTAAATATTTCACTTCTTTACCATTGCACTGTTTTCCTAAGAAAGTAAATATGCAAGTATGCAAATTAGATAGGATTCCCATTATCATTGCCAAATGTAATTTGATAGCAACAAAATGGCTCTGTGGAATGTCAGAAAATCAATCCTGGAATTCACGAAGAAAATTAAAAAGGCTAAAACGAACTGTCATAACCCCTCCAGCTTAGTTACACATCCCTCTGCCCATGGCCCCTCACTGTCCCTTTTAACTCATATGTACAAACAATGAATAAGCTATTCCTCATGTAAATTAGAAAACTAAAAGAGGTCTAGAGGCGAGAATTCACTGTAGTGCTTTACTGCCTAACATCAATTAAAAAAAAACCTGAAACTTGTTTGCTAAAATTTTTAAATAATATTTTTCAGATGGTCAGTATAAAATAGCCTTTGCCATCTTTCTACTGAATGTAGTATTGTCAATCAATAGATATAAAACATTAAGCCCATACTTCTCTGGTTGCATCTGCAATGGCAAACTTCTTGCATGGCTCCTGTATTTGGTTTTTCAGTTGATCAAGGTTTTCTTTAACAGTTTTAATAGTAAATGCATCAAGATTGGCACATAGCTGGAAAAGAGACATTTTTCAATATTTATGCAATTATTTTTCCCTTTCACTTTATTCAACGTAGAACTCTTTTTCATGTAAAAAATATGTAGCATTAAATTGTAGCATAAATATGTGGTATAAAATTTCATGAAAGTAATATGTAGCATTGCTTGCTAAATATAGCATTTTAACATTGTTTTATTATGGATCTCATTAACCCACAATCAGCAACATTTGTCCTAATATAGGAAAAAGGAGCTTCTAAATCAAGTTGGTGTAATAACAGAGAAAAAGGTGTATTGATATTCATTCCTTAAATTCCATTTTCCAAGTGGAAAACTGACATGGAAAGAGTATAACAATTTACCATCATTGACAGAGAATGATTTTGAGATAACCATGTTACATGAGGCATATCAAAGGTCAACTTGACATCCGTGGATCATACTACCACCTTCTTCTACACATAAAGCAGGCATCTACACATAAAGCTGGGAGCATCCTTAGTCATGTTCCTTGATTATTAGATTGGAATTAGTCCTTAATCCCAGTAATAAATTATATTTTGGAGCCTATAATTGCATCTCTGAATGTTGTGTCTACTCTACATAATTTGTATTGAATTCAACTTAAAGTAAGGGACTTAAAATTCAAATGCAATTGCCTTGGTACCAAAATACTTCTTGGGCTACTCTGATTTACTTAACACTCAAGATTAACAGTAGCACTGTATGTGGTGTTACCATTAGGGGGCAGCTGACAAGCTCATCTTTAAAGATCTTCATATCCCTATTTCCCTTTAATTTGAATTACCTAGATTCCTAGAATAACATATGAAGGACAGAAAATACGCAGTTTTGAAACTCATGGAGTAAGACTTTATTATGTGTGACAACTAGAAACTTTCATAGTTTATGCATATTTCTATATCAGGTAGATCATTAAATTTAACCATAAGAGTAGATGTTCAAAAGAAGGCATTCTATTTATCTCAACTTCCCATTAATTATATCACTCTCCATCATTTTTATGATATGATTTTGTGTTATTGATATTTATTAAGGCATATTAGTATTCTGTAGAAGACTGAGTATATTTATTGTACTAAAGCAAACAGATTTCACTTAACTGATGATCACAGCACTTGAACTCAATCTTATTTAATAAGACCAAGAAGTCCTGGCATTTGTTTTAGCTTTGCTTTCATTGGTTATACATAAAATTATGACTTACTTTTAAAATGTGTTCTTCAGCTTTGGCTTGCTTCGTGGCCCCTCCAACACCAGGTGAAGCTGTTAGTCCCAGTATCTGAGGAAGGGGAATCACTGGTTTGTTTTCTTTCTTGAGTCTATTGTTTTTCAACTTCTGCATCAAATAATGCCTCATGATGTTATTATACACTGCTTCTTTGTTGGTGTGATGACATTCATCAATGATAATGAGGGAAAAGTCTTAAAAGAAAATTCAAAGAGTTCATTTCTCCATATCAGCACACTACAGTGAGAAAATAGCTTTAGACCAGTAATTGAGCTGCCTTGGGGATGCCTTCTCTTGGGCACGACACAAGAGCAGTCCACTTTCAGTTTTTAGGAGGGAAATCTAACTATACTAGCACCTGTACACACAGACGTTCGTATATACTAATCATGAAACTCCCTGTTAGACATTCTCCTTCTTTAATAGATAAGATTCAGAAAGTTTACAGAGCTAAAAAGCGTTAGATGTGGAATTCACACCCTGGCTTATTACAAAACAAATCTCAGGATTTTACTTTTGTTCTTTAATAAAATATTTAATTTTAGGTTGGTGAATTTTATTTTTATTACATCAAGTGAAAAACACACTATTTAAAGAGGGAAAATTTTGCCTTGTTTTAACATTGCATTTAGTTATTATAAATTATTTTTATTTTTTTCCATTCTTTCTCCTACCTTCTCATCCTATACCCCATAAAAGACAAGATTTGTATTTTTATTCTATGGGAAAGGGAAGCAGATCTAACAACATTCAATAGCAAATAAAGGAACTTGTCAGAATAAATGGAAAGTCCAGCGAGTGCTTGCCTTAATAATGGTATTCTTATGCAGAATAAAGTGGTCTAATTAAAAACTTACTTTTTTTGTTTCCTCCAGGAAGTAGAAGGATTTTAATAAAACCATAAGCAATAAAAGACAATTTAAGCCACGAACATTTAAAAAATTAACAAATACAGCCTTTGTTATCATCAATATTACTATTAATTTTTTTAAAAAAATAAACACTTAAACTGACCTGACAATTGAACACCAGCATCTTCTCCATTTTCCAAGTTTAAGAGGGAGTTTTCAAGGATTTGAGCTGTACTGATAATAATATCACAGGACTTGACAACTTCTGGAAATGATATTTTCAGTTGGGTATCACCACTTAATCCAATAACACGATACCATTTCTTCAAAAATGGTTGGAACTCCTTGCGGAAGAGCTGTTCAACTAGCAGTACCTTAAAAAAATGTGAAGATTTTTTAAAAGAGAGAAAGTTAGTCGAAGCCAAAAGAGTGTTGATCAAAGGCCTGTTTGGCATCCAGCATGAAAAGAGGTGTTTACATTATCAGTGAATCAGGCATAACAACGTTCCCATCACTCCTTTCATTCATCTGTCAATAAGCACTGATTATACCCTTGTTAGGTGTGGGCATTTATGTCTGGGACACAAAGATATTTAACATATGGTTGACAACTCTGAGGAACTCTGTCTAGCTGATCATACAGACCAAGACTAAACAAAGCAAGACAAATTATTACAACACAATGTAATAATGCTCACCTAGAAACACACACAAAGTGACAGTTAAGAGAAGAAGCAACTGACGACTCAAAAAAGGGGAATTTGAAGGAATTTGAATCTAGTAAGCCATGAGTCAGTGAAAAGATAAACTGAAGCTAAGGTTGAATAAGAAATACATTTTTAAATTTGTAGAGCAGTGCCAGGTTATAAAGGGCTGCAAACATCAAGCAGAGTATTTTACATGTAGTATAACAGTTTACAGGATCCCTACAAGTTGTACTGTTGAAGTGATTTATTCCTGTTGTTTGTTTTGGATTAGACCAGAAGCAACAGGCCCACAGGACCGGAAGAATCAGGGAACCACAAGTGAGGAGTTAGGGCATTGACTAGGAGAACAGATGTGAAGTGAAGAAATGAGCTGCTGGAATAGCTGTGGTGGCTGAGAAAGAACAAACCCGAAAGTAGACCTGGCAAAAGAAGTGGAAACTTCGGGTCCTTCTCAGCTGATTCTGTATGTTATAACATCTGCTGAAGGTAGCTGGGTTGACACCTCAATGCTACACATTACTAGTCACTCAAAATACCTTCTGGATTAGGAGAAAAAATATAAGGCCATCTTGAAGGTCATATCCTAGGAAGATTTATGCAATGGAAGCCCAGCAGTGTACAATATGGGAAACAGAGAGTTGGCAGGAAGAGTTTCAAGGGCAAGCTTCAAAGAATGCCCATTATATTATTCACTCTCCATAATTCTACCAGAAATGCAATCAGTGGTTACCTTTCTCCTAGTCTGTAGGGTTTGTGTTATTCATCTTTTTACTTGAGGTAAGTCCCACTTAGGTGTTAAATAAGGAATGGCTGATCCCCCTGGCTAAAGGGAACAGCTACCTTATGAAGAACACTGGTTTACTTTATTATTTAGTGGAAATGATGGAGGCTTCCAAAAGTAGGTGTCTGGGGGGCTGGAAGAAGGGGTGGGGAAGAGTTAAAATGAAATCCATAAATTCTAAGGAAGCAAAGTGGACTTAAAATCAGTAATCAAGTTGGTGAGTGAAAGAACATTACCTTACCACAAGGTGGAAAGGGTAGAAAGAGTAAGAAGAGAAACTTTCATTTAGTTCTTTTTTTTTTTCAAAGTAAAGTCTCTCTAATCTACCTGTTACAAACACGCTTGAGAAGTTTAGAAAATGCAGACTCCTAAGTCCCACTCAAGAATTACTGAATCTAGGGACAATCTCTGGGGGGCAGAGGCTTGAAACCTTCACTTTAATGACATTTAAGCCTTTAAAATTTGAGAGTCACAGCTCTGCTCTTCTCTCTCTCTTCCACAAAGCCGTTCTTGAATCATTTTCTAGAAGTATTCTTTCCATTTCATTTATGCAAGACAGAAGGCTTCTGAGGAAAAGAATGGAAATTAAGTTTAGTGGAAAGAGACAGCATGATGCAGAGGGAAGAAAGCCCTGAAAACAGCTACTCCAGCCACTTACTTCTTTGTACCTTGGACAAGGTCTCAATCATCTTAATGCTCTCAATTTCCAGATTAATAAAATGAGGATAATGTTAACCTATTATAGGGTTGTGAAAATTAAATGAAATAGAGGATGCTGTATTGTCAGTACTAAAACTTCCACGATATTTCACCAATCCTTTTATTCTAGAAGGAGGGTGCAGTGGCAAAGGAAGACCAGTGGACTCAGAAGATAAAAGTTCGTGTCTCATTTCTGCTGTTTCTTGGCTGGATGATCCCTGAATTGCCAATTAAAGTCTTGAAACTTCAGTTTTCTGATGGGAAAAAATGAGAATAATAAAGACTACCTTATGGGGTTGCTGTGTAGATTTAATGAGATAATATATCTGAGAGTGCTTTATAAAGTGCAATAAAATATTAATTATCATATTATCAACATATATCTCTCATCTTTCTTCTAGACTGTATATTTCGTGAGGACAAGATCTACATTTGATTTGTCTTTAAATACACTCATGCTGAATGATTTAATTAAGAATCTCTGTATTATGGAGTGACATTGCACCACAAAATTCTGCCCATAAAAGGTGAGTCAAAAATCTTCAAAAGAAGCCGCACCTTCTGATGTACAGAACAAAAAGAAGTTGTCACAGGAGATAGCAGATGCTGGAAATCCTGATACTCGCTCTGGGTGGTGTTGACTTCCTACTGAAGGACACAGAGAAAGCCAGATGCAAGTCTGACATGGCTAATTGGGAGGTGTGTGGTCCTCTTGGAGCCTTTTCTTGAGATGTGACAGAGTGCCTGCCAAGACTAATCAAACCCAACTGCTACCCACTTCTGCTGAATCATATGGGGCTGCATTGCAGCATCTGAAGGAACCTGGGATTTATCTCTCATGATGTTGAAGCCCTAGATAGGAAATGGAAAGTCTGGGAACACAGGTGGTGTTTTCATTTCTCTCTGCATTCGAAGGCTATAACTTTGGAAAGGACGGAGGAAGGGAGATGAAAGTAAATGGTGTTAGAGAACAGGATTTCTTTTTTCTAGATCAAGGGTAACAATACCTTGTTGTTGGGCCAAACACAAGATTCAGGTTACTTAGACTTACTGGGCCAGAGGTGTTCTGACTCAATCAAAAAGAATTAAAACTGAAATTAATTTAAAATTCAAAAAGATGGTATAGTAAACAATTATGACATAGATGGAAGAATTAGTGGAGGGATTTCTAGTAATTCTAAGGAGAAAAACAATAGAAAAGCAATAAGGAATTAGAGTCAAGTCCCCAGGTGTCCACACAACAATGCAGTGAATGTGAATAATTAATGAGGATAAATTAATATTTAAACATAGCCATAAATGTGCATTCCGAAGAATCATGTAGATCCAATGCAATGAAAGATTCCTGGCTAGAATATAGCATTGAGAAGAGAAGGGAATATTATAGAAAGGAAGATGCATCAGACACATACAAAAATATGAGACTTGAAAAGATCAATAGTTAAAGAAATAAACCTAAGTATTTGAATTTAGGCTCAGAAACTGACTGCACAAAAATAAATTAAGAATGTTCTAGTTTAAGAGATTTTCAAATAAAAAGGAACTGAGGATTTTGATTCTATGACAAGGTCCAGATAAGTCTGTGGATGCCAGAGGCAAATGCGGTCATAAGCTGGGTGTCATATCTCATGTCTCCTACGCTCTGCACTGGTATGATCTTATCTGTAGTATTTTGCCCAACTCTGGACACCGCATTTAAGAGTGTCCCAGAAAAATGTCTGAAGGAGTATGAGCACTAGGAATGATGACAGGTTTAGAAACCATGTTATATGGAAAACAGTTAAAGGAACTGTGGACATTTATTCCAAGGAACAACAAAAAAAAGTAACTTAGGAGCCACATGATGCTGCCTTGTCTATGTGAAGGGCTGTCATTAGGCTGGAGAATTAGGACTTCGTGTGGTTGCAGAGGAAGGAACTCTAACCGGTGATTGTGGGATTCCAGAGAAACAGATTTGGATGAATACAAATAGGGCTTTCTAAGAGTGTCAGTGTCTTGTTAGTAGGGGGACCTCCTTGATATTAGGAAGTTACCCTGCAGAAGTGAGAGAACCACTCTGCAAAGGAAGAAAGCTGAATCTCGAAGCCCCTTTTCAACTCTATTAGCCTATGTCCCTGTGACCAGATAAGGGAAATAAAGGAAGTAGATGAATTAAAACTAACTCCTAGGTGTGGGGGCTGCATGCTTTGGAGGAGGTGGTATTACTCACAAAGAGACAGGTAAATGGGGAAGAGGAGCCTTTGGGAGGGTAGATGGTGAGGCTGAGTTTGAGAAAATGGCAGATGCTCAAATGGTTTCAAAATTATCAGTTTAAGTAGCTTTGAATCCAGTTAACTTGGTTCTTTTCTTTGGATTTGGCACTTAAAAGCCTCCCTGGTTATGTTACTTAGTTTCATGAGTTATGAAGGTGAAGAGAAAGGAGCAGGAGAAAGCTAGTATTTAAGAGTAAAAGCAGGAGTCATTACTAGGCCATATATAATCCAATTGAAATTTCAGAGCAGGGTAGTTATTATTTTGTTCATTTTGCAGATGAAGAAATTAAAGTTAGAGAAGTTACTAATTTGTCTAATTCAAAGTACCGGTAGGTAGAAATAGGATTCAAACCTATTTCATTTAAAAAAATAATATCCTGTACAAAGGGAATACATATGCAAGTCTATCGGCAAACAAATTTGAATGTGTCACCATTACCAGCAAAATAAATAAAAGTGTTTTAATAGTAAGTATACAAGTATAAAGGAGAGCTCTTTGGACTTAGCAGATGCACACAAAATGCATTTGGAACTACATGATAGGAATCATTCAAATCATGGATTCTAAGTACTGAAAAACAGGATGTAACTAAAACTTTTAGCATAATAGAAATAAAAAATAGAATATTTTACAGTCTACTGCTTTTTTTTATAAAGGAATAGATAAGAACAGAAAAAAGACTTTCTGATCAAGGAAAAGTATGCTCATTTTTATTCCATAAAATAGTAAATATTCATATCCCCAATTTGTATATTTATAAATTAATAAACTGTCATTTATCTGAATAAAGCTCAAATGACTAGATTTTGTTTTACGGTGAAGCAGACATATTTACTTATGAAGATGGCCTTCAAATACCCTAAGATATAAATTATTGAAGGAAAACTTCAGTTGCATTTAATGTAATATGTGTATATTTTATATATATATATGTATACTTCTTGAGCATTTTAAAATCTATTTAACTTGATGTAGATACCAAACCTTCACTTAATTTTATCTCCAAACCACATTATATGTATTCTGGAGAAAGAGGACTTGCCATCTTTGACTAAGGGTCAACAGCTAAAGAGAAAGTAAAAAACAATATTTGATCCTTGATTCCAGTGATATTTTGGGGTCATTCATATTCATTTGCAATGATAAATTAGCTAGTTAACCTTAAAGTATATCTGGGTAAATATAACCTGTGACCAGATAAGGGAAATAAAGGAAGCAGATGAATCAAAACTAACTCCCAGGTGTTGGGGCTACATAAGTTATAGCTATTTGGTATAATGTCCTAGTTTTATTGAAAAATTTCTATTTTCAGGTTCATCACTTAGATATTACATATACCTAAAAAAGATTAAAGATAAAATAAAGAGCTTATTTTGACATTACTCTTAATTAAACTAAACATGTGTGAGTCAATGACACAAATGCCATCATATAAAAGTTTCAGAATAATACAATGAAAATGATCAACTAGTGTTATGTGTTCTTTGAATACCTTATTGACAAGAACTATAACTTTTCCAGGCTCAGATGCTTTTTTCTTCTTGTCTAAGTGATCCTTGGCAATGTAAACAGCCACTCTGGTTTTTCCACTCCCTGTAGGGAGGCAGATGATGATATTCTTCCCTTCCAAGGCTGGCTGGGCAACTTCCATTTGGTAAGGCCTGAGCTGGAGTTCTGGCTCCGGGGATGCTCTTGCTGCCACATTCTCTTCATCTGAAGAAGGTTGAAAAGAAAAATAAGAGAAGGGACAACAAAATAACAGAGCTTAGGAAGCCTGAAACTGAACGTAGGCCTCTTGTGCTTTAAACTCCTTTTCACATGTGGTCCAAACCAATTCATTTTCTCTTTTCTGTACCAATTAATGTCTGCTCTCTGCATCTGCAGAATACAACACAGGCTCCCTCTCACAGAAGGAGTCTGGGGGTGTGGGGGTGCAGAGGGAGTCAACTAATTAAGAGGACTGGAAGGAGCAACATGGGGGAGTGTTTTCACAGAGTGGGTGAAGCCAAGGCGAATTTGTAGAAAGGGCTGTGGTGCGGGATTGGCAGGTCTAGTTGTTAAGGCATCAGACTTCCCATTTCTTTGTGGAGCCACTATGCCCTGCTTGTTTCACTTAGCCCTTCCACCTACAAAATCAAGAGGAGCTGAGAAAGTTGGAATCATTAGTCCTCCCAATTCCGTATTTCCCCTTTTTTTAATTGCAAAGAAGGTATTATGGCTGATACTATTTTCTTTCGTTTGTAGAAACTTTATCTGACAACCAAATACCAAAAAGCACACACACACACACACACACACACACACACACACACACAGACACCCTATCTATCTCAAGTTCCTTTTTCCATCTGAGGCAACTACGTTGTACAGAAGTGTTATTTAGAGAGTAGAGGAAAAAACTCTTCCTATGCTAGCCTTTAATTGGTAGGTTTTCCTTGAAAGGTAAAAATAATTTTGTTGGTTTAAACTAAATCATGACTACTTTTGCCATTTATTTGTGAATTGTTATCTTTATTACTTCCTTATGTTTATGGCTCCACATATTCCAACTTTTTCTAAAATCCAAAGTATAATATATTAAAAATATTTTCAATTAACATGGATTTTAAATTTAAAATACTGATAAAATAAGTTCTAACATAAACTTTATGTATATTAAAATAAAATTATTATAATATGTCTTGTTTTAGATAGAATATATTTTATTTAGAAGTGACCATATTGACCTATATTACCAGGGGAAAAAGATCAAAAAATGCATAGCTTATAATGTGAAATGAAGTAACATAAATATTATACCAATTTAAAAGCCCATTTTATGACTTATATAATAAGAAGAAAAAATGAAATAACAGTATTTATCCATATTTCATCACACATGAAATAACTTCTTTTTCTTATCAATGTTTGCAATAAAACTAAACTAACATAATCCCATTAACTTCAAAAAACTTGCTGATGGCTCCATTTCAGCCCCTGGATAATTCTATTTGAGTGAGTTTTAACTTGTTGTGATAGTACTATCTGAACAGGTAGGAAAATTCACACCAAATACCACTTAGGATCATCTACTAACCTGGCAGGAAATTTGCCTTTTGTATGGATGAGTAAAAACAGATGCAATACATTTAAGCTATCGTTGGATCATCTGCTGATTCATTCAATATGATTTTTATGAAAAACTCATTTAAAATCACCAGCATTTAAAATATACCTTTATAAGTTTCCATGCTTGTTTTGAACTCTACAATATTTACAATAGTTCATCTTGTATTATATTTATGTAAGGCTCTGATTTATTTAAGAACAATGTTAGCCCTCTGTAGCTTTCATAGACTATCAAAACCATGATATTTCACCTCTATTAGGATAGTTTGTCATCTAACTTTTCCAAAAGAGCCAGTATATTTGCAAAGGAAGATGCATTATAAAGTGTCTAAACAAAGACCCAGAAATTTACTACTGCTAAATTTTTGTTTGATCTAGGAAGTTTGTTAAAATATAGGAATAAATCCTCTTTGTTTAATTTCATCTGAGTTTCATTTTTGCGTAGATTTTAAGAATACTAATAAAATGCTCCTTCCTTCATAATAGTTGCAGAATAAACTATTAAAAGAGTACATTTTAATAATAATTTCCCCCATTTTTCATGCTTACTACTATATCCTTGAATAAGAAATATTACAAAGAGAAAGATATAGCAATTTCCTAAGTCTCTTTCCCGAGAATCCAGAACCAAATCAAATGAGTAAAATATTAATATTACTCATGCATTCTAATCATTTATTAAGCTGATACATTTAAGAAGAGCGAGAATGTTAAAAGGACTATTGTGTTTACAATTTAACTTCAGAACTGAAGTCATGAGGTTTTACTGCTACTTAAGTAGGCATGTACCACAAATTTATTCTTCAGTCAATATTGACTGGACACCTATTATATGCCAGGCACTCTCAATAATATAGTTGTTGTCCTGAAGGACTTTAGAGTCTAGGACACTATACCGCTGTTATGCACACAAAAATACCTGGTTAGACAGATAGCTCAATAATCTTCCATATTTTTGATTTAAGACTAGGAGATTTGATAGGTGGCCCTAAGTTTAAAAAGAAGCACAGTGTGGATACAGGAAAAAATTAGAGTTGGATTCAATGTGAGACTAGCATCCAAAGAATAAAAGCTGGGTGAGTGCTAAATATTCAGCCTGATTCTTGCCTTATCACATCCTCTGACACAGGGATGGAAGAATTTATCCACAGAAGCAATGAAAAGAGAGTTTTCTCTTCTGTGTCAGCAGAAGGAGAGAACTGGGCTGGTATCAATGAGCCAGGAGCCAATTTCCTTTATAAAAGAAATGTTTGGGTTTTTGATTGTTTGTTGTTTGTTTGTTTTTGGCTTTCTCTGAAAAGCATAATCAATTAAATGAAAATAGCAGTTAAAATATGCACAAGCTTTGAATAACACTGTGCCCTCCCTCTACAACAAGTATTGATTAAAGACCTTAAAATTATATTCTACCATATAAATGGTCAAAAAAGAAAATCAAATAAGGCTTAAATAATAATATTCTATTGGAACTACACCATGTGGCAAATTTCATTCTCACATTGATTTTGACAGCTGAGTTATTCTTGGAGAGAAAAGGTCTGTCACTGCATGTGTTTGAAATCTACAAAGTATTCCTTTACCTATGGTATGTAACCACAGAAAAATACACCATTCCAGCTGGACAAATATTAATAGGCATTATCTTGAAATAGTAAGGAAACACTTTCTACATATCAGGCCAATATGTATTGCCAAAAACATTGCCACTTTTTGAGAGGCAATATATCTTTCTGAAAATGGGAAACAGAAAAAAAAAAGCCTCTCATAATATAATTAGAATATTTATACTTTAAAAGTACCGGTAATCATGTCTACTATGGCATAACACTTCCACAAAGGAATATAATATGATTGTTTTGGGTCACACCTTATGGCCCATATATGACCTCTGGAGGAGGAGGAAGGACATATAGAATGAAGTCCCTTTTGATGTCAACTTCAAAGATTAAAACACAATTGCAAATTCTATAATACTTTTCAGTGCCTCAATATGTGTTTAACAGTTCACCAATTTATCTAAACCTCCTTTTGAATTGGTTTCTATTTTAGCTTATACCAGGCACTTGTGGGCAAGGAATTTCATAATTTTACCATTTCGGAAATTGACTACCCACTAGGCAAAGTAATTCTTTGCTCCTAAGTACTGATCCATCTAGAACTTCAAGTGGTGTTCGTTCTGATGTGTTTGTCTTCAAATATGTATTTGCCTTTGAAAATGTATTTGCTTTTCAAAAGTAGATTGCGTTCAGACTTATCATGTGTTTCATGCCACATTGAGGACTAAAAATCAGCAAATACATTTGTTAACAGCTCTAAATAGGCAAGATGCCCTGCACATAGAAGGTACACATTAAATATTTATTGAATGAATGGATATTATTGAAAAGCCCTTACTTAGACAAATGAAAATTAGCATGATCTCCAAAAACTTAAAACAACCTATAATGATGTTAAATATTAGCTAGATTATCTATTTTGAGTTCTAGCATAGCATGTAATAGAAATGTTAATTATTAAATTGAACAATTTTATGACAAGGATAGAAAAAACAAATATAATCCACAGAAATAAGCACATGGCAAGAACTCAATAAACACTGACTGAATTGAACAGAAAATGAATTCACCCTTTTAAATGAAGATTAAAGTTGTGAATGACATTTGGTGAATTGGGTTTCCTCAAACTAATTTGTTCTAAGGGATTCAGGAGTGTCATTGTGATAAAAGGATATATGAAAAAAGAGGTGCTACAATCTAATTTGGAAAGCATTTAGGATTGATGACAATCTTTCTATAAACTATTTTGCCACCTTAGGCCTCTTGTGGATATCAATTTTTATAATTCTTCTGACAATGCAGGATAATCTGAATTATATAATATATTCTTAGGGGAAACAACTCAATCACAAATGAAGAATAAAGTAATGTGTTTCTTAATTTATCATTTTTCCAATGCTTCTTAGCTGGCCCCTTGCAAAGCATTTTATTTTTGTTTGTGATTTGTTCATTTTAATTGTGAAATACTTCAAACAGGTAGGCAAATATAGAAAGGTATGTAATAGAAACCCACTAACCCATCACCTACATTTAATAATGTTAACATTTTAGCTTAGTAGTCATCATGGAAATATACACTCAAAGAAAAGAAAGAAACAATTTGAAATCTATCAGACTAACAAATTGGAAAACTGATAACAGGAAGTAATAATTAAGGTGTGGGGAATTAGGAAGAGGCACTCTCATTTATTGCTGGTGGAATATACAACTGATATTGAAAGTAATTTGGGAAAAACCTGGTAAAATTTTCATTTAGTGACCGAAATATTTTGCCAACTCTACTCCTATTCAAAAGATACTTATACAAACTTGACTTCTTTTACTTACATATGTAATTTCTAGTTAGTCATACTTCTCTTATTGATAGTATCAATTTTTTATTTAAAAAGTATTTTAATTTAAAAAGTAGAATTTGGAAGTAAATAAATGTACCAAATTGAATACAGTCTATTTAAATGCAGTCAAATTAATTGAAACAGATCCCATAAATAAAATAGATGACATGACTCTATGGAATGTGGCATATGCCAGACCAGAAAGATATGTACTGGATCAAAATTAGAGAGTTTGGTTCTAAGAGTTTGTAAGTTACACTTTTAAAGAAAGTGAATGGCAAAGTTCCAAAACTATTTCACTGTAGAAAAGAATTGCTTTAATTGCATAAATACATTAGGGAGGGTATGAACAGCCCCCATGCTTCCACTATATGGCGTCTTATTTCACACTTTTTAAGGTTTACACAACAGTTAGGCAGTACCTGAATCACTTCCCATGGTGCCTGAATCACTGCCCATGTTGCTGTTATGTCCAAGACTTTCATCTAAGCAGCTGACACTTCCTTCTGCCAAACTTGTGTCTGATTCTGCAAAGGAAAACATTTTAAAATATTTTTAAAATATTTCTGAGAATAAACGTATTTTAACTGCACACCTCTACAGCACACAGTACATACAGTTCAATTCAAGTGGGGAAGGCACACCCAGACAATTATGAATAAAAGGTAAGCGCTTCTGGCAGGCTACATTAAGAAAAATCCACTATGGATGAGCAGCTGCTGGGTAGTGATTCAAATACATATTACCTACTTAAAGTACTACACATCCAGTATGAGAGCTAAAGCAAATTCCTAAGGGTTTATAACTTTTATTGCCCTTCTACATGTAAATGTTGCCCAAGAAAACACTATTTAGGTTTGATATGTCTTTTAAACAAAAAATAATACATAGAAACCTTTGAGGTCTTTTCATTTAAAATGATAGGGAATTAATAAAGTACAAAAATTAATAAAGTACCTGGATCTACTGATCAGTTATGAAAATGATAGTTTGGTGATAAACATAGATGTAAAATCTCAAAGAGAATTTGTTCAAAAAGAATATCACTAAAGCCTGGCATCACAGTTGTACTAGAAGCTCATGTGAGGTTGGAAATAACTGTTTTTCTTTACTATAATTAGATTAAGCCTCTATCAAAGAGTTATGGTTAATATGGATGAATAGCAGTGCACATCCTTCATTTATGAATCCTGACATTCTGTTTTCAGAACTCAGGATCAATTCTTTTTGAAAACCTTCTTTCCCTCAGAGAAGAATTCTTTTCTTACAGTTTATTTCCAAACACTTACACAACCTCATCCTCAAGCACCAGAACTATCGTTAAACTGGTAAAAATAAAGCAATGGTGGTTACTAATATTGGCTTTGGAATCAGAAGGACTTGCAAAATTTGCTATTCACTTTGCTCTGAACCTAACAAGTTCCCCTTGTTTTAAAGTGAGGCTAATCCCACTTACTTCACAGCCCTTGATAATCTTTAAGTAATATTAGGTACAACAAGCTCTTGGCACAGGACTTTAATTGCTGGCAATTAGAAAATGAAATAAAAATCAAGAAATGATATATTCTTAGGATAGGAGTTCCATTAGATAATGTTCTTCTTTTAATTAAAAATATTTTATAATATTTATACTTAGATAATATTTCATCCTAAAGCCTCTTAACACACCAATGAGGTAGCTCTTAGCTATTTAAAACTAGTCTGAGTGTCATATTTATGGCTGGAAATAAAAATGGATGAAAAAATAGACACATAGTATGTTTTAATAAAACTTCTCTGAAAAGAGATGATATACAACTCAAAACTGCAAATATTTCCTTTTTCCTTAAGTAGTTAATTTTTTCAAGTCAGCTATATTAAGATATAATTTACTTACTAAAAAGATTACTTTTTATGTTTATAGTTTGAGAAGTTTGACAAATGTATACAGTTTTGCAACTTTGAAGAGGTTGACATATGTATACAGTTACGCAACTACCATCACAGTTAAGGTATTTCCAGCACCCCAAAAGTCTCCTCAAGCCTCTTTGTAGTAAATCCCTCTGGTTATCTAATCTGGTTTCTGTTCCACATCAGACAACCAGTGGCAACCACTGATCTGGTTTCTGTTCCAATAGTTTTTCCTTTTCCAGGATGTCATATGAATGGATTCATGCAATATGTAGCCTTTATGTCTGTCTTTTAAAACTTAGTTTATAGTAATTGTGATTCATCTACGTTGTTGTGTGTATTACTAATTTGTTCCTTTTTATTGCTGACTAGTATTCCACTGAGAATCTGTGACATTTACATCTCCCATCCAATTTGGATGAGCCTATTTAGTTTAAGAGCTATAACAGAATTACAGCCAATGCCAATCAAATATGTAAGGTATCTTTCTTAAAAATTAAAAGTAAGCTGATAAGAAATTTGTAGAAAAATTCTCAATGGACATACATACTGTTTAAGTATATTAGCACAACATAAATATACTAATGTGAAAATACTGTGCTTATCAGTTGTCGCAGATTAGTTCTAAAACTCAGATTTGAGGAATCCCTTATGATCACACGGGAAAACCTGTATATCTCACTGAGAGATTTAAAATATGGCACCTCGCAATTCCCAGAGGTATGTCTTGTTAGAAGCTCAGAGGCGAATGTGGGATAGAACTGTCAAGTAGAAGAGCGTTTTGGGCAGATGTACTGATGAAAAGAGAATATGATTTGTAAGGAAAAGGCAAGGTGTAAAATGAGATGGGGAAAATGTCATTGCAAGAGTAATTCTAGATCTAGAAATATAGGCTAAGATTTTTGAGGCAAAAAAGTGAATTTTGACATGCTTTTCATTTGCTGTTTTAAATGTAATATTGAGAACTGAAGAGAATACCAAAATTACTGAAAAAATACTAACAAATATCTAAAATCTAAGACTGTATCATTAAATTTTCCAAGTATAATAAAAATGAAAATTATATTTGATTTCCACTTCATTTTCTAATCACTAGCAGTTAAACTTTAATCTTAAACCTACTTCATCTACATGTAGAGTCAAGATTTCTCCCAAGCTTTGTTCTAACATCCGTAAGTTTTGGGAGGGAGCTATTTATGCAATGTGCACGAATAATTGATGAATTGTTTTAAAAGTTGCTACCCAAAATAGGGTATTATTAATAAAGTCTATTATCTGGATTATTTTGATCTAACAAACCAATCACCAATGTGTCAGGAAGACACTGAACTCAGAGTTTTCACAGATGTAATGTAAATTTCATTTTAATCTCTCAACATTCTGTGTGGTAGATACATATTATCTCCTGTTTCATAGGTGAGAAACCAAGGCGCTGAGAGGTTAACTGATATATCCAGATCACACAGCTACAGTGGGGCAGAATCCTCATTTCTGAATCCAAGTCCAGTGTTCCAGTGCTTTTTCCGCTAACACTAAGCATGGCTGATGATTTGGGTGAAGTTTTGTAAACACAGTGTTAACTGAATTAAGAGCTGTGGTGGTGGTGTTTTTCAACAGCAAGAGACATTTTCATTGTATTGTCACATTTCTATCCATCTTGAAACAGAGCTTATCTTTCCAAGAAAAGAACTTAGAGAGATGATTTTGCTTTGCTAACATTTCTGGTTTCATTGATAGATTTTCACTAACTTTACATTTAAGTGTCCACACCTCTTTTTAAACTTTTTTCTGCACTCAAATAAAAAGAACACCTCTGTTCTCGTTACATAAAATTAATTGCAGTAATCCTGTAGAGATTATTATGAAAATGAAAGTGAATATATGGAGCTCGATTTCTTTGTCATTTTAAGGGTATATAAATCTTCAGTTTCTCCACATAAAAATAATTTTGTTTCCTAGGCAGCAAATTCTTATGCATTTTGATATACGTTTTTGCTTTCATAGAAATATAAGTAAAATTTAATAATAAAAGAAAATATATTGTATTTCTTATAATAGGGAGAATGCCTTCCCCAGAGATCTTCCTCCTGCATTCACTTTAAAAACCGTATTACACACAAACACACACACACTCCCAAAAAAGTGAGATCAAGAAAGTGTTTGCGTGAAGCCAAAATTAAACCGACCTATTGAGTTTAAATGCCAAGAATTTCTGAAATTGATTTATTTAGGTTTATCTTGTTTTGTTCTTTGTATTTTTCAAACTATGTCAGTCTGGATTTAAGTCCTAATGAATAAAGTCCTGCGTTTATGATTTTATAAGTAGATCGCATGGAGTTAATTGGAGGCAGGCCTTGCTATGAAAAAAATTTGTGCTTTGGAGTCCAACAGATAAGTCTCCAGATCGAACGTAGCCACGACTTACAAGCAAATTAACCTTCTGTTTTAAAAAATATATAGAGAGAGATAGTAGTCTCTATTTTCTCACTTATTGTGAGAATGATTCGGTTAGACCAAGAAAATGAAACTCGAAGAGAAACAAATTTTAAATTCTCATTAAAAGGGCTTTGAATATTGAAGTTATATTGTATAATAAGTTTAGTTAAGTTTTATATAGGTGTCATTTCCTCTAGGGAAAATATCAAAGCTAACTATGAAACAGATTAGAAGATGGTAGTAATTGAACTGTTAAAGAAAAGCAGTTATTTATATCAAAAGCTATTGGAATGAATGAAAATTATAACCATCCAGTTAAGAGATAGGATTTTCTTTCATAATTTTGTAAACAACACAAAAAAGAACAGCCTTGCCTACAATGACAGCAAGTGCCTAAGACCAGCCCAAAAGCCATGGAAAAAAAAAGCCTTATTTTGCAATCACATCTTGAGTATTTTGCTAATAAGGCAGAAATATTAACTGAAATCCAAGAAATTTCTTATTTAACATACTCTAGACCTTAAATACTTTAAAATATTTTTAAATCATTTAGAAACCAAAAATATTGAACTTTAAAATATTCAAACCAAAAAAAATAAATAAATAAAGCAAGAGGTTGAAGGCCTTTTTAGATCTATTTCAATGTAAAGTCTGCCCTCTGCTGGAAAAAGCTAACATGGCAAGTAGTGGACAAGTAGGCATTCTTTATTCAAAGAGCTAAGCTCCATTAGGTAAAATTCAAATTGATTCTTGCTTCTATTCCTACCAGGTAGTACCTCTTCTATTTTTGGCCTAGAGGCATTTATCACCCCACAGAATATCTTTCGTTTCTTTCCCCTGGCTTCAGTCTGCCACACACTATTTTTCCCGAAAAGTGGTTTTGCATTACAGCAGGAAACGCGAGGGGAAAGGGCCTCTGTGCATATTGAGAAAGAACAGCACCAACTGCTCCTGTTCTCCTGCGAGTCAGTGGTGACAAGGTCTTTAGTCCAATTTCACTTTTCATGGTAATTTCATGTTTATTCTAGTTCTGACCTTGTGATGCATTTTAGCTTCACCTTTGCAGCTATCCCCACCTTCCCTCCAGTTTCATAATCCTCACGCCTGGAAGGTCCAAGCTACCCCGAAAGCTTGAAACATGTGTGCACGTTTGGGCACACACACAAAGACTGCATGGGCTTCTCAAGTGGGCTTACACTCATACTGCTAATAATATATATTTCCTTTCCTTTTGAAATAACTTAATCTTTTTTGAGAGGAAATAGATCACTTTTATTTTCAGCTCTATGTATATGGATCTACACACACACGCACGCGCGCGCGCACACACACACACACACACACTCACATTTTGGTCTGTCAGATTTTCCTCTCCGTGCCAGGGAACATGTGTTCCCACAGAATGGAGAGAAGCCACCTCCACCCACCTTGCATATTCTCTCCTGGATCCAAGCTTCTAGGAAATGAGTTCCCCAACGAGAAAAATCACTCTCCTAGAGCCACAGGCCCACATGGCTATCCATGGAGCTCCTCTGCTCCTGTTTATAGAATTTCTACTGCTGAAATGTTTCTAACAGAATTAAATTTGAATTGTGTGTAATGAGGTTGGCTTAGATTGTATCATCTATGCCCTTTAGCCTTTGCACTTAGGTTCTAATAAAGAGAGGTAGTTATTAAAGCACAGGTTGCAAGGATAACAACACACACCAGAATGACCCATTCATTCACTGCCAGTCAGTAATGGAGGCAAAAAGTCCTAGAGTAGAGTCAGTTAATAGTGAGAAGCCAGGTAACCACATGGGAAGTAAATCTTGGCAATAACAAGGTTTGGAGACGGCAAGGTAGAATGTGAATTAGAAACCTCTTTGGCTGGTAAGCACTTTTCAGGAAAGGCTGTAGGAGTTAAGCAAACTTAAGCAGACATGAAAGAATGGAGGGAGATACGAATACACTAAGGGTGCCCAGGTAAATGTTCAACAACTGGCCCTTTGGTGGGGGGAGACAGGATTTTTAAAAGGTTTGTCAATTTCCATGGTGTAAATATTCACACCGTGGCCAATTTCCAGCATGATGTCCTGTGTGGAGCTGGAAAGAGATGTGCACACTGGGGTCTTACAAGCCAGTAAGATCCAGTTCCAGCGCTCTGCTAGATATATTCCTCTACCTAAGGACTTTCCTACAATCATCATCTGAGATGATGCTTGTACACACATGCATTGTGCTGGCATTGTATAATTATCCAAATGATAAATGGTGTACTTTTAAAAGTGTGTGTGTGTGAGAAAAAGCATTGTAAAAATTACTGTTAGAGAAACTCGTTAACTTTCACTGATCTTAGAAGTCTTAAATCCTACCGCCCTCCTCCACAAATGCTCCTCTCTCATCAGACTGTTCCTCTGAACACATTTTGAGCTCTCTTGTGCTTGTGCTTTTGCTCATGATGCCTCTGAAACCTGAAATGTTGCCTGCCACTTCTATTTACAAATCCAGCATAGTGCTCTCAAGGCTCAGATGAAATATCTGATATTCCTCATCTGGTAAGCTTTCTCTCGTCAGTCTTCCTTCTTTTACAGATCTTCTCTCTTCATCCTGTAATATAGATCTTGCATCTCTTTTACCATGGCTAGATTACAGTTTCTTTGTGGAGGCATGTCACTTGTTTTCCTTCATTAGAGTATAAACTTTTTGAGAGTGAACGCAATTCCTCAGTGCTTGGTTCTCTCAATGATACTGTATTATCTGACCAACTCACCTCCTTCTTCCTATTTCTCTGGCTTCTGACCTCATTCACATCCTAAAATTGTGAAGGGAAGATCTGATAGTCAAAATTAAAATCACTGCTTTTGTTAAAACTCTGCTAAAAAAACAGCTTTATGTTTGTAGTCATAAACAGATATCATGAAAATAAATCCAACATGTATTAACTGCACACTGGGGAGATTTCTTTCTGTCTTTCTGTCATAATATTTATGTCCCCATTCCTGAGGTATGAATGGTAATCCTCCTAGGACTATTATGCAACTGTAAGCCATATAACTGACCCAGATACCTCATGCTAGGTTTCAAATAAAATACAAACTTACATAATCCTTTAACAAGTACCAATATCAGTGTCAGCATCAGCATCTCTCTCTTTCTCTCAGCTCAAATTAATATGTGTCTTTTGGATTGCCTCAGTAGTACTGCTAGTTCTCAATAATTAATGATAACTAAGTTTAGAAAAATTAAAAAGTAAAGGAGTGCTCTTACTTCAAACCAGTCCTGATATAGCATGAATGATTCTGAAACAGTCTTATTGTAAACTACTGTATCAATTATTTTTTTCCACTTAGGTTTCAAATGCTATGGTTTTATTTCTAGAGATTCTAAAAATCTCTAGATTTCTAGAGGTTAGTGCTACAGAACATTATTCTGGTCCTCAAGTGCAAGGATAAATTTTGTGGCACTTTTACAGAAATTAGTATAGACCAAATCTAAGATTGGACTTTAGTCTATAAAAAGGCAAAACAAAACAACAACAAAAAAAGTGCTATAACAGATTGGACCAGGGAGAAGAAGGCTGTTTTGTAAAGGTCAATTTTTAAACCCCTCCTACAGAACATGATCTATGCAAAATATATCCACAATATATTCCAAAGCATAATGTCACCGGATAAACCTAAGGAGTGGAACATATGGGGAAATATGAGAAAGAAGGTATTAAAGTCTGAAAACAAGCAGGTTGGTAAGCTCATTAGCTGGGGTGGAATTTTAAAATCTTCACGTGAACGAATATATAAATCAAAATATACACATGCAATCACAGTCATGCGCACTGTATATTCACACATGGCACACTCTACAGTTACATTATAATCTTTCACGCTGAAACAGTGAAATTCCATTGGCTTTATAAATGTAAAGGCGCCCTCTGCTGGCCAATCTGAGGCATTTGCATTTTCTAGTTTTCACAATAGGGCAGCTGTAACACAATGATTAAAGAAGTTTGGGGGGATTTTCTGCTCCATTCTGCATAAAAGTTTATACCAAATGCAATAAAGTTGACTTAGTTTTAAATGTCACTTAATTTCCTTTGATTTTATTGTAATGCATTAATTCCTAAAATAGTATAATGAAAAAAGGTTAATGTGAAGTAACTATTCACTTGTTTTGACAAAGCAGCAGTAGCAGACAAAGACTGACTGCACAACTAATTTAACTGTTCGCTTTTAGAAGTAAAATATTTGCTATATAGAAGTCAATTATTTGCTATAATTAAAATGCTTTTAATAGAAAATGAAAGCAGGCTTAGTGTCTCTCTGATGTTTCCTAGGGAAATCTGATCTAGAGAAACACCAAAGTTTTGCAGTTATCTTTTGTTATAAGACGACCAGTGACTTCAGAAAGCAGAACTATAGCATCCAGCATTAAATTGCCATTAATAGTCTGAGAACTGTTCAAATTTTGTTTAGAAATTGTTTTGGTAATTTGGAAAAGGGCAAATAAAAAATTGATATATCAATTACTAACCACTTTTTTAATGAGAAGCAATTGATTTGTAAACATAGGTGGGAGGAGGAAAAAGGACACATATCAACCCGCAAGTTTGGAGATATGATGAAATCACTCTCTAGAACAATCCACTAGAGAACTCTGATATGTCACCTCTAGTGCCAAAGGGATATGTGTTTAAAATTAGTTTCAAGGTGGGCCACTGTTACTGATGGTAGTGTGTCTTATCCATCAGATGTGTTAAGGGGTAAAAGGTGCTAAAACACACACACACACATAATCTTTGCATTAAAGCTATAAATAATTAATATTTGCATGCACTAAGACTACTATGCACTGAGAAAATATTTGATAAACTGGTTCAGAAATAATAATTATAAATATCTTAATTTAAAATTACAAATAATTTGAGTCTTTTCTTTATACACATAAAAATCATATTTACAGACTTTGTGACAAGTTTTTTTCAGTGCTATCTTGGCAACTATTTGAAACTTTAACCTAATATAATGGAATTCAAAATAAAGACTAAACATTATCAATATCAAGAAGATACACAAAACAAAACTACACAAATGCATATTAGAAGCTATGGAGCACTTTCACATTTACCTTGATTGTTACTTCTGTCAGAAAATGCCTATGCAGGCAAAACCCTTCCATAGTAAATTCTGCAACAAAAACTTCAATCAAAAGAACTCAATAATTTCTCTGGACTAATGGTACTTTATAAGTTATTAATATCAGTAATTCTTAGTCCTTAAGATAACAAGGAAACAAACAGATACCTGGAATGACAGCAGCAGTCTAAAGCAAAGGTCTGAAGCAAACACACTACATTTTCATAAATAAGTGACTCTTTGCTAGTGCTCTGGAAAGGGCCAGAATGGATTAAACTAACCTGCTTTCAAATCCACATGAGAAATCCAGATATCATAAAGAACCTATGGACTAGAAGACCATTAAGATGTTTGTGAATTGGATGGATCCTCGGATTACTGTGCAGTTTACTGTATACTCTTACATGCTCTCAGACTATTATATATTTTAATACTCTGTACTACTCTTTCATGGCACTTACTAAAAGTGTAGCTATACAGTTACTACTGCTGGGCCGACACCTCCCTCAGTGGAAAGCTCCATGGGGGCTGAAGTCATTTCTTTTTTTTTGAGACGGAGTTTTTTTGTTCTTATTGCTCAGGCTGGAGTGCAATGGTGCAATCTTGGCTCACTGCAACCTCTGCCTCTTGGGTTCAAGTGATTCCCCTGCCTCAGCCTTCCAAGTAGCTGGGATTACAGGCATCTGCCACCATGCTCGGCTAAGTTTTTGTATTTTTAATACAGATAGGGCTTCACCATGGTGGTCAGGCTGGTCTTGAACTCCTGGCCTCAGGTGATCCACCCGCCTCGTCCTCCCAAAGTCCTGGGATTACAGGTGTGAGCCACCACGCCTGGCCTGACTCATTTACTCTTAATTATCTCTTACCATCACAATCTCCAGATAGAGTCATATTAGGCTCCATGGCCATGAAGCCATTTCTGTTATGTTCCTGAGTTCACAGTATACAACAAGGTGCCTGGCACATGATAGGAGTTTGGAAAATAGTTGTTAAATGAAAGAAGTGAAAGGAAGAGAGGGAAGGAAGTTAGGGTGAAAGGAAGGGAAGGGAAGGAGGGAGATAGAGAGGAAGGAACCCAAGAGGAAAAAAAAAAATAAAAAGCTTTTCTGTCCCCTAATATCATTATTAAAATTTTTTTCACAAGATACATCTTTAAGTTTTATACTAAGAAGTAAAAATTTAAAAAAATTTAAAACTTTGCCTTTAATTTTGTTCACTAGAAGTTCAGAGCAGATTAACTACAAGCTAATGCAATGCATTAGTCTGGTAATCTTTGATGATAAACCCTCATTTAAGATGCAGGGTCATCTCTCAGCAGTAGCTCCATCTTCCCTTCTTTCTAGTGTGGATTTACAGAAAATGGCCAGTAACTCATAGAGATGTCGAGTAGCTTGTAAAGGACATTTATTAAAACATGAAAACTCCACACTCAGATAGTGAATTTTGGCATTCCTATAGAATCATGATTTCTAAAGGAAGGTGCAGCTGCTCAAATGAAAAACAACAACAACAACAAAAAAAACTATCCTGTATAAGCTTTGCTATTAGCAGCAGCAGCAGCACCAGAGTTTATGAGAAAGGTGGAATCGCATTACATTAAAAAACAAACAGCAGCTCAAGCCTATAATCCCAGCACTTTGGGAGGCCAAGGCAGGAGGATTCCTTGAGCCCAGGAGTTTCCAGACAAGTCTTGACAACATGGTGAAACCCCATTCTCTAAAAAAAATACAAAAATTAGCTGGGTATGGTGGCGCACGCCCGTGATGCCAGCTACTTGGGAGACTGAGGTGGGAGGATCACTTGCGCCTGGGAGGTCAAGGCTGCAGTGAGCTGTGTTTGTGCCACTGTACTCCAGCCTGGGCGACAGAGAGACAGAGCAAGACCCTGTCCCCGCCTGCCCCCAGAACCCCCAAAAAAAGAAAAAGAGAAAAATCCACAAACAGGCTAAAAAGCAAGCCAACTGTGAAAAAAATTGGTACTATTTATGACAATGAATTGATATCTTATATACTTAGATAGTTCATATAAGTCAGCAAAAAGAAGATGAATACCCTAATAGAAAAGTGAATTTTAAAAGTATTGATAATTAACAAAACAAAGAGAATGAATTTGTGAAATTCTTTTTCAGCAGAAATATGAAAATGTAAATTCAAATAACGAAATACCATTTTTAATAGCAGCCAAATTGAAAAGATTGAACATGATAATATTATTCATTCTCGTAGAAGAGAATTCAGGGAAATAAGCACTCATATCCCATACTCTTGGAGAACATGTAAATTGGTACAAGTTCCTGGAGTGAGATTTGACATTAAGTATCAAATGTGTTAAAATAGTATAAATCATTTGACCCAGAAATTCCAATTATATAATATGTTTTTAAAAAGCAAACTGTGACATAAGTACAAAGAGAGCTATCGAGGCATTATTTAAATGTTCAACAATTGGTCAATTAATCATACTGCATCCAAATGGTGGGACCATTATTTAGTCATTAAAAACCAGGCTGTAGAAGAATATTTAATGAACATAAGAGAAATGACACTATATATACACATTCAGGTATGTAAAAAGCCCAGAAGCACACATACCCAAATGTTAAGTGTAATATCCACATTCTGGGAATATTGGTGACTTCTTTGTGTGTTTCTGTGTATTACAGATTTCTTGCAATGCATGCATATTACTTATCTAAGTACAAAATAACAAGGCCAGGCGGAGTGGCTCATGCCTGTAATCCCAGCACTTTGGGAGGCCGAGTGGGGGGGATCACCTGAGGTCAGGAGTTCAAGACAATCCTGGCCAACATGGTGAAACCCTGTCTCTACTAAAAATACAAAAATTAGCCGGGCATGGTGGTGGGTGCCTGTAATCCCAGCTACTTGGGAGGCTGAGGCAGGAGAATCACTTGAACCCGGGAGGTGAAGGATGCAGTGAGCCAAGAGCATGCCACTGCACTCCAGCCTGTGTGACTGAGTGAGATTCCATCTCCAAAAATAAAATAAAATAAAATAAAATGAAATTAAAAAAATAAAAATAATAAACTTTGCAGTGGTGTGCTAGAGTTAGTTTATATGGGCTCACAGGAGCTAACTGGTAACTTTTCAGGAATTTTCTGAGTTTTTAACCACAGCCATTACAAAAATTAAATTGTATAAACTTACCATAAAAGAAATTATTTTCAGGCAAAGGTTGTAAGTATTTAAAACTCATCACCTAATCATTTAACTATCATCTTTGATCTGGAGGCTATCTCCGTCTTTTGCATCTGTACGGTGGGAATGCTGTATAAAGATGTGCCACTGCACAGCTCTTCCCAGCTTTGTGTTCAGTGATCTTATGTTGGAAGCTTGAAATAAGCCTGAATGAGAATATTTAAACCACAGAGACTAGCAAATGCTACAAACTAGGGCTTTTTCTTTTCCCCAGAGTTACTTGTTACATTCACCAGCACACCACAGGCTTTAAGCAACTATTTCTTGTGAAAACAGAATAAGTCCTTTTGGCAGAGAAGGGGAGAGGTGGATTCTCCTATCACGAGCAGATTAGAAAGGGAAAAAATAATTAAATAATTTGTTTCTGCCAGGGCTGTTTCAGTATCAAAAAGGTGGACATGGTAGTCTTCAGTCCTCACCGATTAGTTAATGCAATTCAAGCCAACCCTAGTTCAGCATCTGTTCATCTTCCTTTTTATAGCTTTGATTTTAATTTTTACGACACAGTTGAACCTCTCTGAGCCATCCCAGTTTAAACCAGAGAAAAAAAGCAATGAATCTATTTTATTTTCAGGGTTTTGGGTGAATTAAATTGACTGATCTATTTATAAGTACTTTGAAAACCAGGAAATATAAGGCATTCTTATACTTATCTTACAATGACTATGGATTTCTTATAAATTAAAATTAGATGCAATTGTGTTCATATTTATAACACATCGATATTGGATTAGTTTTAGAAAGCATTTTGGCCAAGAATTATTTTAATTTAATCTCCTCTAAAAATATTATTTTAATATAAATGTTTACTAACCTTAATGCCCACATTTTCTCCCTCTGATTAATAGGTTCTGCCCAGTTGGTTTTTCTGGAAGTAGTAATTACTGTATTAAAGTACGTATGTGTTTCAAGTACCTGAAACTACAGAAGAATCTGCAAAAGATGATTCTGATGAGTTATTCTCCATGCCCCAGACCTCCTTCTCCAGATTTGGCTGAACTGTGGTTGAAAGAAGTTGCTCTTCCACTTGAGGACCATCAACTTGTGATAAATTCTCAATCTCTGTGAATAACAGTATTAGAATGCAAATCATAGTGCCATACAAGTTTTTGTAGAGCATACATAACTGTTATTGTTATTTTGAAAACAAACTAGAGGTTCCTAATAGAGATTGCCTGAATATATTTAAATACTTTGAAGTTCTGAATAGAATGTAAATTGTATTGCAATGCAAGATTTTATACAATATAAATAGCTGTTATTGTTATTTTGAAAACAAAATGGAGAGCCCGCAATAGAGATTGCTTTAATATATTTTAATATGTTGACATTTCGAAAGGCTTAGAATGTGCTTTTGTTATGGCAAGGTACTTTTAATTTTAATATGGACACAACGAGTAGTTCTTTGTAATGATTAGACTGTAGCTAAAAAAACAATATAAGCATTATGCTAATCACAAGAAAAGTGATTTCCTGTCTGACCGTCATGTTTAGGAAGTAAGTCACTTATTCAGTGACACAAAGTTACATTTAAGGCTGAATTAATGAAAATGCAAATTTGGTAGTTTTCTTTAGCTTTGCTCTTGCCATTTTGTTTCCTCACTGTGTGTTCTGCACGAGACGTACATCTGCTTTAATGTCAGCCTATATTCATGTATTCTGAATTTCTGGGGATTTTTAAAACATTTAATGAAATATTTTGTGCCCCTCTTTTCTTCTTTCCTCCATTCCTCACTTCCAGCTTTTCTTACTTCAACTACATGTAATGGGTATTTTATTAAGGGCTTATGTGGGTTAAAAAGAAAATCAAGAGTTTTTGCCTTTATGAAGCTGCAATCTGTCAGAGAAGACTGATGCCATAAGGAAAATTTTCTAACGTATCATTTTTTATTATCTCATCTTAAAGAACCCAGTGAAAATGTGCCCCACTTTGTATGGAAAATTTCCTAAAGAAAACTGTTGTGACTTTGGACAAGAAGAAAACTTGGCAATGTTTGCAGTTAGATATTAAGTACATTAGGGACTATTATAATAGTTAATTTATTTTGCACTCACAATATAAATACTTTACATACATTAAGTTATTTAAGTCTCAAAATAAACCTAGATGGTAAGTAATATTATTGTCTCCATTTTACTGAGGTGATAAGTAATATTATTATCTCCATTTTACTGAGGAGTAAACTGAGGCATAGAGAAGTCGAGAACCTGGCCAAAGGTCACACATTCAAGGAAGGAGCCTGGATTTGATAAGCATCAGGATCCGATATGTATCAGGACCCAGAGTCTAAGCTCCTACAGTAGTCTGTTTATGCTGCCATAATAAAACACCATCAACTGAGTGGCTGAAACAACAGACACTTCTTTTCTCACAGTTCTGGGCACTGGAAGTCCAAGATCAAGGTGACAGCAGGGTCAATGTCTGATGAGGACTCTCTCCTTGATTTGCAGATGGCCACGTTCTCCCTGCGTCCTCACACGGTTAAGAGAGAGAAAGAGACAGATGTTTCTCTTTTTCTCTTTCTTCCTCTTCTTAAAAGGCCACAATTCTATCAGATTAAGGCCCCATTCTTATGATTCATTTAATCTTTTTTTTTTTTTTTTGAGACGGAGTCTTGCTCTGACACCCAGGCCAGAGTGCAGTGGCATGATCTCGGCTCACTGCAACCTCAGCCTCCTGGTTCAAGTGATTCTTCTGCCTCAGCCTTCCAAGTAGCTGGGATTATAGCTGCATGCCACCACCCCAGCTAATTTTTGTATTCTTAGTAGAGATGCGGTTTCGCCATGTTGGCCAGGCTGGTCTCAAACTCCTGACCTCAGGTGATCCACCCGTCTTGGCCTCCCAAAGTGCTGGGATTACAGGCGTGAGCCACCACGCTTGGCCTGGCTCATTTAATCTTAACTATCTCCTACTATCACTGTCTCCAGATAGAGTCATATTAGGTTCCAACATATGAGTATTAGGAGGACAAAATTCCATCTGTAGCATTTTACCATTGGCTTCCCAAAATTCATATCTTTACTACATACAAAATACATTCATCTCATCTCATCAGCCCAAGTGCCTTAACTCACTGAAGCATGAACTCTAAGTCTAAAGTCAAAAGTCTCACCTAAACATTGTCCAAATCAGACGTAGATGAGACTAGAGGTGTGATTCATGATAAGGCAAATTCATCACCAGCTGTGAACTTGTGAAACCAGTTGAGCTACATGTTTCTTTTCCATAATACAATGGTGGGACAGGCATAGGATGGACGTCTTATTCCAAAAAGGAGATATAGGAAAGAAAGCAAGGGTGATGGGTCCCAAGCAAATCCAAAACTTATTAAGGTAAATTCTGTCACATCTTAAGGCTTATAAGGCTTGAGAATAGCTCTGTTTGGTTTGATGCTCTGCCTTCCAGGTCCACGGAATGGCAGGTTCTAGGGCTCTGCAAGACAGCCTGCTCTCTCTAAGGGCTCCATCCACACAGCTTTCTGTGAGGATAGCTCTGCTTCTGAGACACTAGGCAGGGTCATCCTGAGGGCTCACTAAAACCAGAGAGACAGTTTTGCCCTTTGAAACCAAAAAGGAAACTGCCTTGGCCTCTGGGTCTGTGGTGGAAGTGGCAACCCTGATGACTTCTGTATCACTTTTGGGGGCATTCTTTCCTTTCCCTGAAGAATAGTACACATTCACAGCCAAATAGCTCTATGGTCTGGTTCTGTAGAATCCAGAAAGTCCAGTATCCTTTTCTCATTCTGTCCTGCTTTCTCTGTCTCCTTCAGTTCAAACTGGAAGTGTATTTGCTGGTATAATATATCTCTACTCCTACCTTCTGCTGAAATGGCTGATTAAGTCCATCAGTAGCACCCATGATCTTGTTATCAATTGGTTGTTCTCTTTATAACACAATTTCTCATTTTTTGCCATATGGATAGGCTGAGAATTTTCCAGATATTTAAATTTTGGTTCCTTTTTGCATAACAACTCCTTCAATTAATTTCTCTTCTTTTGCATTTTACTATAAGCAGTTAGGGGAAATCAAGCTGCTCCTTCAGCATTTTGCTAAGAAATTTTCTCAGCCAAATATCCAAATCCATTACTTGTGAGATCAAGTTTTATCCCATTTTATAACAAGGATCACCTTTCTTCCAGTTTCCAATGACATTTTTCTCATTTCTCTCTGTGACCTCACCAGAATCACCCTGAACACCCATATTTCTACCATTCACCCAAAACTCTTACAGTCTCTATCAATTACCCAGTTCCAAAGCCACTTCCACACGTTTAGGTGTTTGTTACAGCAGCACCCCACTTTTTACAGCAAAGTTTTCATTAGTTAGGGTCACCAGAACAAAACTGCAATGATTATAATTAATTAATAGTTAACTTTCAATTTGTCTTTCATATGATATTTTTGGAAACATAGGATGCATACTACGAAAAGAAAAATAAGATAGCAGTTTAAGTGAGATTTACAAATAATGTAGGAGAAGGAGCTATAAAATGTTATGTTATTACTATTATTGAATGCTGTTTAAAATCTCACATTAGGTAAGGTTGAGATATATTGACAAAACAATCCTTTTATCAAATGCTTAATACATTGCTTAAAATGTATAAAAATGTTCAGAAGAATATGCAGCAGATTTTTTATAACCACTAAAATACTTTCTTCCAATGTATTTGTGTATATTTAATGTTACATAATCTTGATAAAATTTCTGGTAGTCATATTGTTTTTAAAATAAGGTAGTAGAAAGAGTGTTGGTTGGATGAAAAATGGTCTTTGATCAGTTGATATTTTCCCAGGCATCAATTTCCTCATTTGTTAAGGTGATAAAATAGATGATCTATCACATATGTTCCACTCTTAAAATTTTGATTCTAAAAATCTTGGTGTTTAGCATTGTGTCTTTCTGCTTTATTGAATTCTCAATCACTAGGCAGAATTTGAAGAATCTTCCTCAGTAAAATTACAAATACCTGCATTGCTTTCTGAGCAATCAGAGCCTGTTAACTCTTGGACAAGTTCATTGTTTCCTGTTTGACGAAGAACATTCAGAAATGCAGAGAACCAGTTTTCTTTCTGCACAATCCTTTTTAGTAGCTCTCTTACACCTGATTCATTTCCATTGTTTTCTGCAGCAGCAATCTGTTGTAAGAGAAAATTAGAATTAAGTAAGATCAAACATCTTCTGAATAACCTTAAACAGGAAATACCCTTTAGAAAAACTGAGCAATTAAGCATAAGTATAAATAAAGGCTTACATTGAAACATTGAAGAAAATAGCAATGTTACCTGTAGCAATTCTGAAGTCGGCAGGGAAAAAAATCTCCGGGACAACAACAACAACAACAACAAAAATCTCTGGACCAAGTGTCCTTTTAAATATGAACCATTTTTTTTAAAAGCTATTGAATTATTCAAACCTGACACCTAGAAAATAAATTTTACCTCAGCCATTCCTGAATAAAGGATAGAAGAGAAAGTATCTTTAGTCTGCAGCCATGTTATGTCTATTTTCACCAATTTCTTTCTGTATATCTAGGGCTGGCTATATTTTTTCAATCTATGGAGTCTGTAAATGGGAAATCAAACATTTCTTATCTCCTTTCTTCATGATTATCATTATGAAATAAGTAATTACTACTGCAGATTTATATTTTTTCCTATGTAATATTTGCATAGTTGATTATTACTATAATCAATTTTTCTCAAATTTGTGTTTTTTTAATGTTATGGGAAATTTATTGTTATATCTTTTTTTTGGAAATATGGGGCAGAATTATTTTTATATCCATTCATTAGAGTCTTTAGCCTTCTTTTATTTTCTCTTTTAGATTAGTAAATTTCTTTTAAATGTGGATCTTTTGTGTAATCATTGTCACAGTGCATTTCCCTAGGTCCTAATATAGCAATAAGGATTTGGAGGAAAGAGTAACTCAAGCCATGTTTAGACATGAAAGAAGTTAGGCAGGACATCATTAGCTTTCTGTGGCATTAGGCAATTTACTTCATCTCCCTAGACCTTGGTTACAATATGTGGTTACAAGGCAGCTGAAAAGAAATTTCAGAGTTTCTATATCTTAGCTGCATGTTAGAAACAACCGTAAAGCCTTAAAAAATACTGATGTCTAGGAAACACCCCTAAAAGATTATGATTTATTTTGTCTATGTTAGGAACTCAGATATTAAAGAAAAAGTAAAACATCTCATGTGATTCTATCAGCCTCCCAGATAAGAAATATTGACTTTGATATTATCAAAGGTCCTTCTCAACATTTGCCAATCTTCCACATGTATCATTTGGATTGTTTAGTTCTTTCCTACAAATTTATGTATTTTCTAGTTCTATAAATATATTCCATAACCTTTTATGTCAGAAATTTGTTAACATTTTTGGAACAATGTCTGGCACTAATTCAGTGTTAGAACTATTATGGATGATTGGGAAGAGTTATTGTTACAAACACCTCACCTGCACAAGCACATACAGCATGGTCTCTACCCAAGGGATATTTCCGTCTTAGCATCTAGTAGTTAAGCATGCTGTTCTAGGGAACTTGAATATATTAACCCAGCAGCCCAGAAATAGGTACCAATATTAACTCATTTACAGATCAGAAATCCGAGGCACAGAGATGTTTAGGTACCTCTCTGAGGTCACAAAGTGAGTAAGTGGCAGAAGTAGAATTTGATCCCAGGCAGTTGAATTTAGAGGCTGAATCCTGCCTTCTTGAACTATAATTATAGCTTATAATTTTCTCCAATTTTAAATTCATTTTCTGGCAAGAAGTGGTTAAAAATAACTATTTGAACTCAGTAAATTTCAAGTGAATTCAGTCCATGTCACCCACAACATTTTCTAAGCAGATTTTTGCTCATTTTTTACCATTTTTTTCTAGCTCTCTTAGTCTCCTAATGGAAATTCTTTGGCTTCCCTGATGTTGTAACATCTTTATTATCATCTGCTAATTTAACAAGTAATTGCTATAGATGTAAATAAGACTGGTTTCAGTGTCTTCTTTTAACTCAGCCATTCTCATATTTTATTACCCCATCCTTTAATCAGCTTTAAATATATTTGACTGAAGCAATCAGGAAGGATTTCCTTAAAAAGAACCAGTGAGGCAACAAATGCTGTTATTAAAAATCCCTAAGCATATTCTATCCACAAAATTTTCTTCAACCACTATTCTATTAAGTCAACTTTTACTGTGGAATCATATTTTTCAAGCTTTCTTTGCCGTTATTGAGTCCAAGCATATAAGGATCATGATGTCATTATTTCCTAAACATATTCTTACAATTTGAATGTGGAACTACATATATCTGTGCAATTTTAGCAGCCTCATCAAGATGCTGAATTTTTAAGAAATCTTCTCAGTTTTGGTGCTGGAAAGTACATCAGCTCCCTTTGAAGCAATTATATAATTTTAAAAATTTAATATGTTCTCCTAAAACATTGTAAAGATATTGATCCCAATATGTAAACACAATTACAGAAATTCGTGGGAGGTGAATATTTACATTTGAGACTGCAACAAGTCATAAAACAATTCTCACCCATGCCCCTCCCCCACTCGAAGTTTTCTCTGTGAAGTTAAAAATGGATGGATGTTTTCACTATGTAGTCTATTAATACATTGTTAACTAATTTATGAAATACGAAATAAAATTAATTTGGTAATAATACAACTCAATGCTTTCATATTCTAAATTCTTTGATATGTTTTTTCTTTCCAACAGAAATCAGTGAAGAAACCAATGACATTTCCATAAAGCACTGGCTTACCAACACAATTGTACAGTTTAATGAAAATGTTTTCTTCCCTTTATAATAACCTTAGATAGCTATTTAAATATAATGGTGATTTTTTTAACCCAGCAGAGTTCAACTCTCAGATAAAAGTAAATCAGGAGGCAAAACCTGTATGTTAAAAAAGAATTTTAAAGAACCAGTTTCCCACAAAAAGTTAATGTCTTAACCCAATGAATATTTATTGTCACATTGACATAGCTAATTTCTTATTCATACTTTTTTTTTTGCAGATGAAATTCTTATCTTTCCTAATTTGCCAGACAATACAATGTTCCTGGGGAGATTGACTTGGGTGCTCAACTTCATGTTGGGAGAACTGGACTGTTCTTAGGTGGACTAGTCATGGCATCTCTGGTTCTTCTGTGTAAATGGAAGGTGTGTGGAGTCTCCAGGACTACAGATGCATTGTGTTCTGAACTGGCCAGGGATGAAACATGCATCTCTCTTTAGCTGTTCAGCTTGATTATTAAGACACTATGGAAATGTTTATATGATCACTTTCGTTCCCAGAGTTCATGACTGCCTAAATTGATGGGTGTGCCAAGTTGTAACTTAGTTATAACTAAGATGTAACAATGCCAAATTGTAACTTAGCATCCTAAAAGAGGAGCAAGGCAGTACAGGGGTACCCCCTTACCATTAAGGATTGCTTTATTATAATGATTGATAAAATGGCATATATTTATTGCTGAAACTCTAGTATTTAGAATAGTCCCTTGTATACAGTAGACATTCTTCTTTCCTTCCTTCCTTTCTTCCTTCCTTCCCTCCCTCCCTCCCTCCCTCCCTCCCTCCTTTCTTTCTTTCTTTCTTTTCTTTCTTTCTTTCTTTCTTTCTTTCTTTCTTTCTTTCTTTCTTTCTTTCTTTCTTTCTTTCTTTCTTTTTCTTTCTCTCTTTCTTATTAGATGGAGTCTCGCTCTGTCACCAGGGTGGAGTGCAGTGGCGCCATCTCAGCTCACTGCAAGCTCCGCCTCCCAGGTTCATGCCATTCTCCTGCCTCAGCCTCCCGAGTAACTGGGACTACAGGCTCCCACCACCACACCCAGCTAATTTTTTTGTATTTTTAGTAGAGACGGAGTTTTACCGTGTTAGCCAGGATGGTCTCCATCTCCTGACCTCGAGAGCCACCCTCCTCGGCCTCCCAAAGTGCTGGGATTACAGGCGTAAGCCACCATGACTGGCCTACAGTAGACATTCTTTTATCAACACTAATTAACACTACAACACAACTTCACGAAAGGACAAAACAGTCTCTGTGTTTTTCTCCTATCTTTTCACCACTAGCATGGCATCCGGCACAAAGATGCCACTCAATAAATTCAAACTGAATGAATGAGTGAATGAATGAATAAGTTTTTGGGTACTTGCTGGACACAAACCTATGTATAAAGTCATTTTCAGAAGGCCTGCTGTAATTACGGGCAGGGGCTAGGAAATGGGGTGGGAATCCTAAATTAAAATAATAGATCAAGTAGAAAATGTCTATGGGGAAACAGAAAAAGAATGAAAATACAAGACCATTTTATAGAAGTCTTGATTACTTAGTTAAATGCTATTTTAAGCCTTCAAAAAAGCAAATTTGGAAATCTTATTTTCATCATTCATCCATTCTCTAACGCCTGGCAACACAATTCAATACGTCATGTGTTTTCAACGCTTATTCCAGACACTTTCAGAAATAAATTCAATTAGTCTATCAATCAAGTAATCAATGCTTACTAAACACCAACCCTCTACCTAATCCTAGTTAGGTTCTGGGATGAAAGAGGTAATTTCTTTTTCAAATCAGTATAATCTAGGGACTTTAAGAAGTATATCTCAATTGCGACATGGGGAATTTACCTCAATCTCTCAAACTTAAATTTACACAGAAATGTAACCAGATGAATGGTTACAAAAGTCAACACCATTATCATATCAAATAGCTCTGATTTATAAGCTTTTTCATAAACACTATTTCTGATTTGATGTTGACTAAAATACTGTGAGAAATTTTATGATGTCCATTTTCACAGGTAAATGTAGCATCAGGGAACTTCAGTAATTTGGCCCAAAGTAACGCATATAGTAAGAAGCCAAGATGGACCTCAAATCCATGTGTTCCCCTTCTACAGTCTTATCACACTTTGCTGCTGTAAGATAAACATTTGTCAATGACCACCACCTCAATATAGATTATTCTACCAAACTTAATGCTTCCGTCTCATTGTCCACCATATCTTAGTTTTGGAACTGATAATACATGTAAATGATGCACACAAAAATTATTCCACACTCTCACAGAGAAACTATTGCTTCCTAGAGAGCCTCAAATTTATAGCTGCTCAGTCTTTTGGGGCCTCCTTTGAAATGTGAATCAGAGGGAGAATTTGGGTTGTTTTGGCCTTAACTGCTACCAGTACACAAAAGTCCCGTTACTCTATATCTTCTTTGTGTCAAATCCCTTGCATTACTGCTAGCTGCCTCCAAGCTTGCCAGAATCAAGAACTTGGATAAAATCTAGCTGGCGGAAATTCAATCCAGGCAAGACAAAAGTGATGCTGATAGGCAGAAGTATTTAGAGTAAATAGGGAGAAGTGCTGTTTCGCTGGCAATCGGGACATCATACCCACCAAACATAAACAGCTTTGTGGTGTTACTGGACTCTGTTGCTTCTGGACTTCTAACAGCTACTGTGGCTGGAAATGCCATCTTCCATCTCCAGCTGGCTTGAAGGCTGCATACTTTCTTCCAAATTAAGATTCTGCCACAGTGATGTACACATTTGTCATATCCAGCTGGACTACTATAATGCGTTCTAGCTGGTTCTCAATACACAAAACGACATAAACATTACAGACAACAGTGCAAAGTAATTTACTTGTTGGGAAAACTGGCCATCAAAATTAGATGCATGTTTGGGTCTTTGGACAGGCCCTGTGTCTGTCAAGTCTACAAAAGATCACTAACTTTATTCACTAAAGACTAAATTGCATCATAGGCTATAGCAAATCAATCAAATGCCCAGAAGTTTGTATGAATATACAAACAATGGATGACCCAAAAGAGAGAGAGAGAAAAAAACCATGTGAAAATCATAGAGTGGTGTAGACAAAGCCTTTGACTTTTAGTCATGGCTTTATTTGTCTACATGTCTTCCAAAACAAGACTTTTGACTTACGAGCCTGAATAAGTCACATTCAAACAGGTCAGCATTTATACACATCACAGTACATCTTCACTTATCAAAAAATAATTCATATCACATTCAATGTAAAGTCATCAGTAAAATTCGCCCTGTCAAAATGCTACCTTAAGAAAAATGAGTTTCTTCACTAACATGAAAAACTGAAACTAGCAACACATTCTTTCAATGAATTGTTTCTAAATTTTGATTCTCAAAGAATGTTGAAACTTTGATTAAAGAAAAAGGGTGTGTGTGTGTGTGTGTGTGTGTGTGTGTGTGTGATTGCAATTTACCCATTTGGGCTAAGACTAAATGGCACAAAGTGTAATGTAGGGCAAAGATTGGAAAACTTTTTCTCTAAAATGCCAGATAATAAATATTTTTGGCTTTAAGGGCACACAGTCTCCATCCAATTGCCTTTGGAGTAGAAAAGCAGCCACAAGCAATATGTAAACAAACGAGCATGACTGTGTTCCAATAAAACTTTATGAACACTGAAAATTAAAAATTGAAAAATCTGAAGACCATTCTTAGCCTGTGGGCCTGAAAAAAACAGTAGCAGGCTTGATTTAGCCCATGGGCCGTAGTTTACTAACCCCTGCTCCATGGAACTACATTAAATAAGAAAAACATTCAACACTATCACAAGCTAAATTCTTAGCTCTGCCACTGTTTTTCCTGGGAGACCTTGGACAAATTATTTAACCTGCCTCAGGTTTCTCATCTGTAAAATGGAGTTAATAACATTAGGAGCCTCAGTGGGTTACTCTGAACATGAACTGTAGTAATACATTTTGAAAATGATACCAACTGCACATAGTAAGTGTTCAATAAAAGTTACCTGTTAATACACATTACGATTCTAGAGTTAACTCCTTTTTACTTCAGTGAAAACATTAGAAAAGTAGTTCTTTTGTGTTTAAATTTTTAAAATTGTCTTAAAGTGCCTAGATGTTGTCTTCTCAAAGGAAGAAACTAGATTTGCCCAAAGAGGTCAAGCACATTTGGAAAGGGGCAAACGCACAAGGAAGCCTGCTTTGCAAAATCTGCCTAAAAGGCTAGCTCCATCTGAACAGACACCTACCCGGTTTCTGTCTTCAATTGTCAACAGTTCCTCCTCCATGCACTTATCCAAGACGTCTCTAACTAGAAGCTTGTCCACCAGAGTGGGCTGAAGGAGGTTCAGCAGTTGGAGATATTCATCATGAGCGTTCTCAAACGATGGAGAGGGCAAGTCCGTGAGCTCAGGGTTCATGTAGCGGGCGGCCAGAGGGCTGCCGGTTCTCCGGAGGGCCTCCACGAATTCCCGAGTCCAACCAAGGTGCCAGACTCCCTTCTCCAAGGTGCTCAGCAGCAGTTCAACTGCCTGCATGTTCCCGGAGGTGGCGACTGTCCTCTGAATCTGCTCCTTCACCTCTGCAGGCAGAAAGGTCAGGTAGTCCAGCACAGGCTCCACCTGGATGTACATTTTCACCCTGGCCCTGAAGCACGAGATGAGATAGCGGAAATTCTCGTCTGTGGAATACCCATTCGACATCTTTCTTTCTCAGAGAAGGGAGAGGGTTCTCCCAAGCAGATGGTGCTGTTGTCTGCGGGACAGGTGAAATGTGCGTGCCGCTGTCCGCTGCCCACTTAGAGAAGCAGGGTCTACCGCTCTGTGCCTGACAATGACGAGGTTGTCCACAGGGCTCTCAGGCCGGCGCGCGGGGCTGCACTCGCACCTGGGCAGGTGGGCAGGCGGGCAGGTGGGCAGCGGGGCGGCGCGCGGGGCCGCGGCAGGCAGGTGCGGCCGGCAGGCGCGGCACTTTGGACTCTGCGGTGTGCGCCTGGGGTCCCGGACCGGGGCGATCCTGCTGCACACTCGGGTAGGAGCTTTGAGTCCAGCTTTCTGTCAGGCAGTTCTTACAGAGTTTGCCTGACTTTGGTTTCTGTTTCGATTCTCTTCTCAGGACTTTGTAAACGTAATCTGCCTGGCGGGGAGGGAGTTTCCTCAGGGAGACGCCACCTTTTGGTCGGGGCGGGTGAAGAGAGGAGGCCTTTGGTTAAGGACACCGCGGGAAACAGAAAAGGAAAGCGAATTCTCTCTGACACCAAGACCAACGCTCTAGCAAAGCTCCTCCGGCGGATATTTTGTTTTCCCAGCAGGTTCTGCCTTAACAATAAGGTCCTTTGTAGGCCAAAATGTGCAGGGCATAAAAGCATGTGATTTGGGACTTTCCAAAGGGGAAGTGAACAGAAACTGCCACAGACCCGGACGTGAACAGGGAGTTACCCTCGGCTGGTGAATGTAGGCAGGCCTGGCTGAGGGTGGTGAGACTGCGAGGGACAGGTGAGAGATGAAGCTCAGAAGACATCTTTGCAGAGATGTGGAGAAGACAGGAGGAAGTCCTTCCTAAAATAAACCTGACCTCCTGTGGGTTCCCAAACACTAACTTGTTTCCCTGGGAATTTGGAGGTGGGTTCGAAAAAGTGAGTAACAATAAACAGTTAACTTTACTGCCTCATATTTAGATTGCTGGTATTTATGCAGCTTTGACCAGGACCTGGTAACAGATGTGGATGGACTTGAACCACCAACTCAGCTTAGAAGGAAGCCAAGACTTAAAGTTTCCTAGATCCCAGCTTGTAAGTTCCCTATATTCTTTAATATACAACTTTCCTTTAATAAAACAAAACAAAAAAATCCCCCAACAACTTATTTTTGATATAGCTGCCATTCTTTTCTTGGATTCAATACAGCAAGTTTTGGCTGGAGCAGCTAGGAACTTAATTAGCAACTAATGTACCAACTTGTAGTAAACATCAACATTTGTCTATGTCATGAGAGAAAAAAAACATATTCACACTGAAAAATGGCAGCTTCATTTTGGTACAGAAGCCACATAAATGTGAGTCCTTAAGGTTACTACTCATTCTGAAGGCATTCTGTAGCCACATGTGACTGTGGGTGGTAGGCACATACGCACCATAACTAGAATCTCATGGTCCAGAATTATATAAAGGATGGAGAGATCATTTAGGTTATCAAAGAGACATATTTAGGAAAAATAATCTGTTAGCAAAGTACATTCAATAAAGTCTGTGTAGGCCAGGAAAACCTGATAGTGCTTTGAACAGGATAATAGAAGTACAGAGTCTTGGTGAGTGTTTACTAGGGGCATACAAAATATCCAAATGAGCACTTTATGGTAACATGTCTTATTTTATTCTCTAATTATCTTATGTAGCAAGGCTTTTTCTACCCCTGAAGGATTGTAAGCTGCTTGAAGAAGGGATATATTTACATAGTAACTAGTACACTACTCACAACTGGTGGGCTCTTGATGACATCTCTCCTGGGAGTTGTATTTGAGTTGACCATAGCAGCTGGCATAATGTTAAATACACTGAAAGTTGAAGTAAATGAAACCTTGGGCTTGCAGGTAGGCCTGATTTATACTGTTCTTTTCTGTTTCTTCACAGAACCCTACTCCTTTTTCACTTAATTTTGGGAGATGACCTTGTACCCAGATAGAGGATAATCCAATTAGATGTTTCTACAAAAGCACTCAAATTATTAATTTTAAGTATTGGGTCTATGAAAATATCTTTTAAGGCTGTTGCAAAAACATACTCCTATCCCCCAGCTGCCAGTGGGTTTTATTCAACATGTTAAAGCACAAACTAACAAACCAAAAAACATTCTTTTTCCTGGCACTTATCCTTCTGTTTCTTGGTTTCAAACATGGGGGAATGAGAAGGGGTTGCTGACTGAATATGGGGAACCAGTTAATGTTATTTTCTTCATACCACTTAATTGTTGCTCTGGAAGAGAAAGGATCAAATGTTTGGTATTTGACCTGTTCTCAAATAATAAACATTTAAACCAAAGATATTTAAATATTTGGCATTCAAATTATATCATTCATTGTATCATCTAGTCATTTAAAATATGTTTATTAAGTATCTATTACATGACCAGCACTGATCTAGGTGCAGTTAATAAAATTAACAAAGCTCCTACTTTTATGGAGTTCACATTCTAATGGGAGTGGGAAGATAGATGGTAAGTAATGACTAAAAAATATGCAATGTGCAGGTGAGGATAAATGCCCTGAAGACCATAGTAAATCTACATAATAATGTATATTACAGTTTCACAGGTTGATTTCCCAAATAGTCATCCTCCTCTAACCCTATTAGCATCACATAATACCCAACAATAACAATTCATATTTTCTCACAAGTAGGAGTCTCTCTGCTGGATGAGGTCTGAGTGATGAGGATTAGGTGTGGGTGGAAGGGACTTCTTTTTTAGGAATCTCCCATAGTCTTGATGGGACCCTTTTTGGAGAAAGGAGGTTAAGGAAACAAAAGCCAAGACACAATCTCTCACAATGTATCCTTTTTTCATCTATATTTTTTGCATCATGATTTAGTTTATTTTCTGTTTTTCACTTGAGTAATTAATTGTTTTCCTCTGTCAAGTTTCTTCTACTAGGTTTCATTTTAATCCTTTTCACCAGTTCCCAAATGTAAGTTTCTTTTTCCTTTCTCTTTTGAGGCAGGAGATCCTGCTGAACTATGTATTTTCCCATTGTTATGCAACTTTTCATTTGAGTTTTTAAGAAGTAGTAACAATATGAGCTGCCACTACAATTTAACGACCATGCATAGCAATAATGTCTTTTTCAAAGAAAATGACAATAATTTTAGTTTAGTGAGAAACCCTGGAATTGTTGTTCTGTTCCTTTACTTGTTTGCTCATTTGTATCAATAATGAGCCTGCTTTGTGTAATTTAAAGTGTTAGATGCTCTTAACCTGGCAGTGTGGGGTATGGTTAAGCACAGAGACTCTGAGTTCAGGCTGTCTGAGTTCACATCTCAATACTATTTCTTAATTGCTGTGCTTTGAAAAATCACCTCAAATACATCAGTTGTAAAATGGAAAGATTCTGGTATCATGTCAGAAGTTTGTTCTAAGGATAGACTGTAACACACTAGCACCAGCCTGGCATGTTTATGTGCCCAATATGTGACTCCAGCCCACTACGCTTATATAAAAATTAAAGAAGAGATGGTGCGGTGCTAGTCTTCAAAGAATGCACAATTTATAAAGGAAAAATTTAGTTACATATATATATATATATATATATATATATATATATATATATATATATATATACACACATACATATAAACACTATATAATAGCTAGCCATTTAACTGAGACTTTAAGCAAGACTTTCAGCCATTTAACTGAAACTGATAGGCTGATTTAGCAGGAAAGTTTATTAAAAGGATACTGTCGTAGCTTTTTATTTCAAAAATAGTAGTAAGCCTAAAATAGAAAAAAAATTATGGCTAAGTTCACTAAATCTTGATAATAATTTCCTAATCACTTTCACCAATTCAATTAAAATTCTGGTTTTTAAGTTTTCACATATAAAAACTTTTCTACATAGCAGTTTTGGCAAAAAATGAAAGTCACGTATCAATAGATAAGTTTTGGAACATTCATTTTTCAAGTACTCCTTCCATAGCTTAAAGTCTTTTCAAAAACAGTTACCTGCAAATGTTTTTGTGAAAAACAGTACTTTTACCTCAAAGGCTAGATTGTAATTGTTTTATTTTACTTTATTTATTTATTTATTTATTTATTTATTTATTATTATACTTTAAGTTTTAGGGTACATGTGCACAATGTGCAGGTTGGTTACATATGTATACATGTGTCATGCTGGTGCGCTGCACCCACTAACTCGTCATCTAGCATTAGGTATATCTACCAATGCTATCCCTCCCCCCTCCCCCCACCCCACAACAGTCCCCAGAGTGTGATGTTCTCCTTCCTGTGTCCATGTGTTCGCATTGTTCAATTCCCACCTATGAGTGAGAATATGCGGTGTTTGGTTTTTTGTTCTTGCGATAGTTTACTGAGAATGATGATTTCCAATTTCATCCATGTCCCTACAAAGGACATGAACTCATCATTTTTTATGGCTGCATAGTATTCCATGGTGTATGTGTGCCACATTTTCTTAATCCAGTCTATCACTGTTGGACATTTGGGTTGGTTCCAAGTCTTTGCTATTGTGAATAATGCCACAATAAACATACATGTGCATGTGTCTTTATAGCAGCAAGATTTATAGTCCTTTGAGTATATACCCAGTAATGGGATGGCTGGGTCAAATGGTATTTCTAGTTCTAGATCCCTGAGGAATCACCACACTGACTTCCACAATGGTTGAACTAGTTTACAGTCCCACCAACAGTGCAAAAGTGTTCCTATTTCTCCACATCCTCTCCATCACCTGTTGTTTCCTGACTTTTTAATGATTGCCATTCTAACTGGTGTGAGATGGTATCTCATTGTGGTTTTGATTTGCATTTCTCTGATGGCCAGTGATGGTGAGCATTTTTTCATGTGTTTTTTGGCTGCATAAATGTCTTCTTTTGACAAGTGTCTGTTCATGTCCTTCACCCACTTTTTGATGGGGTTGTTTGTTTTTTTCTTGTAAATTTGTTTGAGTTCATTGTAGATTCTGGATATTAGCCCTTTGTCGGATGAGTAGGTTGCGAAAATTTTCTCCCATTTTGTAGGTTGCCTGTTCACTCTAATGGTAGTTTCTTTTGCTGTGCAGAAGCTCTTTAGTTTAATTAGATACCGTTTGTCAATTTTGGCTTTTGTTGCCATTGCTTTTGGTGTTTTAGACATGAAGTCCTTGCCCATGCGTATGTCCTGAATGGTAATGCCTAGGTTTTCTTCTAGGGTTTTTATGGTTTTAGGTCTAACGTTTAAGTCTTTAATCCATCTTGAATTGATTTTTGTATAAGGTGTAAGGAAGGAACCCAGTTTCAGCTTTCTACATATGGCTAGCCAGTTTTCCCAGCACCATTTATTAAATAGGGAATACTTTCCCCATTGCTTGTTTTTCTCAGGTTTGTCAAAGATCAGATAGTTGTAGATATGTGGCATTATTTCTGAGGGCTCTGTTCTGTTCCATTGATCTATATCTCTGTTTTGGTACCAGTACCATGCTGTTTTGGTTACTGTAGCCTTGTAGTATTGTTTGAAGTCAGGTAGGGTGATGCCTCCAGCTTTGTTCTTTTGGCTTAGGATTGACTTGGCGATGCGGGCTCTTTTTTGGTTCCATATGAACTTTAAAGTAGTTTTTTCCAATTCTGTGAAGAAAGTCATTGGTAGCTTGATGGGGATGGCATTGAATCTGTAAATTACCTTGGGCAGTATGGGGGTGTGGCTCGCTTCTTCAGTGCCCCACTGCTCAAACCTCTAGGGGAGCCTGCAGATGGGCAGGCTGTGGGGCTCCGACCCACGGCAGTGTCTAGGGGTGGATGTTTACAGCTTCTGAAGCCTCAGTGGGCGTGTGTTACAGGGTGATCTTTTAGTTTTGCTGTCTATAGGTGGCTTGTGTTAACAAGCTCAGTTAGACCCTCTACATTGTCTCAAGGACAGAGGGCTTTCTGTATCCCAGGTTCTTGACTTGGTATACTGGAAGAATCGGATCACACCTGGGCTTGGAGAATGAGTGCAAGCTTTATATTGAGTGGAGGTAGCTCAGGGGAAGTCAGAAGGGGATGGAGTGGAAAGGTTTTCCCCTGGAATCAGGCCACTCAGCGGCCTGGGCTCCCCTCAACTGCCCCAGCCAAACTCTGCGACGTTCTACTTCTGCCAGATGGTGGCCTGCCAGTGTGCTGGTGCCTTTTGGTGTGTTCCTCTCAACCTTCAGCCTCCTATGTGTTTTTCTACTGATGTGCTCCCCTTGAGTCCAGCTGCCTCTGTGTCTGCCTGCTGGGGTCTTGGAGGTTTTTATAGGTACAGGATGGGGGCATGGCAGGCTACGGTGGTCTTGGGAAATGCAACATTTGGCAGGAAATGCCTGTCCTCACCTAGGTCTGTGAGGGTAAAGCCCTAGCTAGGGATCACACCCTCCTCTACCCAGCACTTCCCTTTCCCCTTTCTGTATCATTTACAGGGACCACGCTCTTCCCTTCTCAGCACTTCCATATCATTTATCCCCTCTGAAGAGGTACAACTAACTGCTGTTAGAATATGGACGATGACCGGTTTTAACTGCTTCCTGCTGACAGGGGGCATTGTTTTGGTAAAAATGGCACAGACTCCTCCCAGAGGTTTATCTAAGGGTTCCTGGCAAAGGAGAGCCATCGTCCGAGGCTCCGATTGCCTGACCATTTGGAGTTTGATGGCTTCTAGGCATGGGAGAAAAAAAAAACAAGTTCTATAAGGTTAAGTATGCATGGGTTAAATGTGTATTACACAAAGAAAGAATTTGGTGCCAAAGACTACAGAGATAAGAAATGAAATATACTAACAACAACAACATTGTACCCTGACCTGTTTCAGCCTGGTGAAAGAAATTAAACCTCTTATGGGAGCAGTTAAACTTTAGAAGGGAGGTAACTGTTGTTGCCATATCCTTAGCAATTAACAGGTGCACCCTGGGAATTCTGGGGTTTGTGAGCTTGCCTGGTGGCCACTAAAGCTTCTGTCTCTTTCCTGTGTTTTCTCTCTCCTTCCTGGGCTTCCCTGTCTCTATTATAAAAGACCAAGGTGTCCATTTTCAGGAGGTCCTCTAACATACTGTCTGCTCCTGGGGCCCATTTCTGCAACTTCCTCCTGATATCAGGAGCTGACTGAGTAATAAATTTATCCATTAGGATTAGTTGCCCCTTGACTGAATCAGGAGATAGAGAGGTGTGTTTTATCAAGGCCTCTCCAGGAAGGCAGTGGGATTTTCATCAAATTCCTGTCCTACACAAGCCCTCCATTATGCACACCTGAAAGTGTTTCCTCTTCCAGTTTCCCATGTCATCACTGGGATCCCATTTAGGGTCATCCATTGGTACTGCTTCTCTTCCGGTTGGATAATGTTTGCCCCCTTCCCTGACACTATATGTGATACAAAACTCATCCCCAAATCTGTCTGCACTTGCTGAACGGCGTGTTTCTCAGTGTCTGTCAGGGTCTGATTCAAAAGTAATATAACATCTCTCCAGGAGAGTTCAAATATTTAGGTGAAATTCTGGAAAGCCTCTATATATCTATCAGGGTCATCTGAAAACTTGCCAAGGTCCCCCTTCATTTGCGTTAAGTCCTGTAGGGAGACGGGGACCTGGACCTTACTGGGCCCAAATTCACTTGGCATCTATTGGAGAGGCAAGAGTAAGACGGGTTTGTTTAGGGTGAGGATTTCTAGGAGGGGGCAAGTGAGAGGCTGAAACTGGATGGGGAGGTCGGGGTGGACCCAGAGGAGCAGGGCTTGAGGGAGTTGGCTCCTCTGCTGGGTGTGCCTCTGAGACTTGTGTCTTTAGTTTGCTGGGCTTGCCCCTTGCAGCCTTCCCTGAGACAGGAAACAGAAGGGTTGGATCAATCCTACATTGTCAGCAAAGGTCTGGATTGCCTTACAAGGTATAGAAAGCTTGCACATATGGGACCTCAGACCATCTGTCCTCAAGTCTACAGAAAAGTTCCAATTGCCAGATGGTATTGAAATGAATGGTCCCTTCCAGAGGCCAAGCCAGTCCTTCCTGTAAATCATAATTTGGCCAAACTTTTGTGCAGAGGGCTACAAGGCATTTTTCCTCCAGATTCTGAGGGTCAAAGTAGTCCCAATGGTTCAGCATACACTCCAGAGGAGTATAAGCTGAGGGTGGTGAAGAGAACTAGTTGCCCATTCTGAAAGACAGGGAATAGAGGCATCCCTCATTTCCCTTCTTTCTTTTTTCTTTTCTTTTTTTTTGAGATGGAATCTTGTTCTGTCACCCAGGCTGGAGTGCAATGGCACGATCTTGGTTCACTGTAGTCTCCGCCTCCTGGGTTCCAGCAATTTTCCTGCCTCCACCTCCCAAGTAGCTGGGACTACAGGCAAGCCCCACCATGCCCAACTAATTTTTTGTATTTTTAGTAGACATGAGGTTTCACCATGTTGGCCAGGCTGGTCTCAAACTCCTGACCTCAGGTGATCTGCCTGCCTTGGCCTCCCAAAGTGCTGGGATTACAGGCATGAGCCACCACACCTGGCCTTCCTTTCCTTCTTTCCACAAAAAACTCAGGGTATGATGGAGAGAGAAAGCAAGCGTCCTCCCTCCACTCTCCACCCCTTATCCCTGAGCCCCAGAGACCTTGGCAGGTGCCAGCCATAGGTAAAAATGAGGTATGTACCCATGAGGTAGGGAAAACCTGGAGAATGGGAATTAACTGCCCTCACCTATGCCTCCCTTTCTCCTTGCTATTGGCAAACTTTGAGTTCCCTGGGCCTGTTTATTCCAGGAACCATGGCCTCCTTCTGTGGGGTGGCAGGAATTGGTTCTGCCCAATTGGTCGGCAGGAATTGGTTCTGCCCATTTACACTGTGCCTGTCACCTGGCTTTGGATTCCTTAGGCCCAGTTTTTCTTTCTGGGGCCTCAGTCTGAAGCTTAAATCGAGTTTGGGACCAAAAAGGTATGTTAGTGGCTATTTGTATCTGTTTAGAGTATCTCAAACGTGCCTTGCTGAATTTGCAGTTATCAGCCAGCAGGGGTCGCTCCTCTGTTAACTTCCCTATCAGAAACATTGTGGGGGGCAGGGGGAGCCCTCTCACTTGGTAAAAAACAGAAAAAACAGTAAAAGGGGCAAAAAAGGGGGGATGCTAGGAGAAGAACCTCTCACTTAGTGCAAGTGGGCCCTTTTAATCCTTATAATTATCTTTCCCATCCTTCCCCTAGTTCAGACCAGGTTGAATTCCCTGGCCAGGGGAGGTTCTGTTGACATATTAAGCAAGAAGCACCCTGTAGGGTCCTGGATATTGCCTGTTTGCTCCTGCTCCCCCTATTGGCTTTTGGGGTCAGCCTTTGGCTGCTGCAGGCACGCCTAGGCAGCTGAGCTGAGAGGGGAAAGGGTAAGGAGAGATTCCCTGAGCCATGCATGCCTGTGGCTGTCGAGGTGGAGGCATACCTGGCACCTCCAGGAACAGTTGGTCTGATTTGCACCTTTGGTGGCTGGGCCAAATACTCATTTTACTTAGTAACATTGACGCAGCCTGTAGCAAAACACTTAACATTATAAAGAGATTAGAGCCATTTCAAACTGCGCGAGAGAAAAAGTGACAAAAAGACAACAGAGGCTTGCTGGGCATGGTGGCTCCACCTGTAATTCCAATGAGAGGGGACCGCGTGCTGGCAGTCCTCACAGCCCTCGCTGGCTCTTGGCGCCTCGTCTGCCTGGGCTCCCACTTTGGCGGCACTTGAGGAGCCCTTTAGCCCGTCGCTGCACTGTGGGAGCCCCTTTCTGGGCTGGCCAAGGCCGGAGCTGTCTCCCTCAGCTTGCAAGGAGGTGTGGAGGGAGTCCGGACACACCAGTACTTTGGTAGGCCGAGGTGAGTGGATCACCTGAAGTCAGGAGTTCGAGATCAGCCTGGCCAACATGGTGAAACCCTGTTTCTACCAAAAAAAAAAAAAAAAAAAAAAAATTAGCCGAGAATGGTGGCATGTGCCTGTAATCACAGCTACTCGGGAGGCTGAGGCAGGAGAATTGCTTGAACCTGGTAGGTGGAGGTTGTAGTGAGCAAGATTGTGCCACTGCACTCCAGCCTGGGTGACAGAGCAAGATCCTGTCTCAAAAAAGAAAAGAAAACAGAGCCTCTTACTCATAGGAAAGAGAGAGAGATGGCAGGGTTTTGGAAGAAAGGCAAACCTGACAGCATTCACTCACACTCACCTTCTAAGATCCCGGGTGAGCCCCCAGTTGAGACAGGAAAAGTTGCCCCACTGCTCAAACCTCTAGGGGAGCATACACACGGGCAGGCTGTGGGGCTCCGACCTCATGGCGGTGTCTAGGGCTGAATATTTACAGCTCCTGAAGCCTCGGTGGGAGTGTATTACAGGGTACTCTTTTAGTTTTGCTTTTAGTTTTGCTATCTATAGATGGCTTGTGTTAACCAGCTCAATTAAACCCTCTACCTTGTTGCAAGGACAGAGGGCTTTCTGTATCTTGCGTTCTTGCCTTGGTGTACTGGAAAAATCGGAATCAATCACATCTGGGCTTGGAGAATGAGTGCAAGGTTTTATTGAGTGGAGGTGGCTTGGAGGAAGTCAGAAGGGAATTGAATGGGAAGGTTTACCCCTGGAGTTGGGCCTCTCAGTGGCCTGGGCTCTCCACTGACTATCCCAGCCAAACTCCGCATCATTCTGCTTCTGCTGGTCAGTGGCCTGGCAGCATTCTGGTGCCTGTCAGTGCATTCCTCTCCACATCCAGCCGCCTGTGTATTCTTCTGCTGATGTTCTCCTCTTGATGTCCAGCTCCTTCTATGTCTGCCTGCTACGGTCTCGGGGGTTTTTTTATAGGCACAGGATGGGGGCGTGGCAGGCCAGTGTGGTCTTGGGAAATGCAACATTTGGGCAGGAAATGCCTGTCCTCACCTAGGTCCATGGGGATGGAGCCCTAGCTAGGGATCATGCCCTCCTCTACTTAACACTTTCCTATCATTTAAAGGGACCAGATTCTTCCCTTCCCAGCACTTCTATATCTATATTATAATTGAAAAAGTCTTAAAGTAAGAGAGTAGGAAGGCTGTAGAATTAATTATTGAAATATTGAGATAAATTGAATCAAACTTTTGAGCTGCTAAATCACGAAGGGTTAAACTAAGATTTTAAAATATAAGCATTATCAACTACAAATTTTTTTATTATCAGTGCACTGAGTTATATAAATTACATTTTAAAATCTTAATTAGCTCATCTCATTCCTTTTTAGTTTTTGTTGTATTTTATGATAAATTATTATAGTTGTACATGTGAAGATTTTCTAAATGAATACCCATATATTTACTGGGGTCCATCTTCAAATATTTTTAATGATAGGGATCAAAATTTTTTATTTTTATTTTATTATAATAATAATAATTATTGTTATTTTTAACTTTTAAGTTCAGGGGTACATGTGCAGGTTTATTACATAGGTAAACTTGTGTCATGGGGGTTTGTTGTACAGATTATTTCATCACCCAGATATTAAGCCTAGTACCCATTCGTTATTTTTCATGATCTTTTCCCTCCTCGCACCCTTCACTATCCAGTAGGCCACAGCGTGTGTCGTTCCCCCATGTGTTCTCATCATTTAGCTCCGACTTATAAGTGAGAACATGCAGTATTTGGTTTTTTGTTCCTGTGTTAGTTTGCTAAAAATAATGGCCTCTAGCTCCATCCACGTCCGTGCACAGGATATGATCTCATTCTTTTTTATGGCTGCATGGTTTTCAATGGTATATATGTACTATATTTTCTTTATCCAGTCTGTCACTGATGGGCATTTAGGTTGATTCCATATCTTTGCTATTGTGAATAGTGCTGCAATGAATGCATGCACACAGGTGTCTTTACAATAGAACAACTTTTATTCCTTTGGGTATATACCCAGTAATGGGATTGCTGGGTCAAATGGTATTTCTGTCTTTAGGTCTTGGAGGAATCACCACACTGTCTTCCACAATAGCTGAACTAATTTACACTCCCACCAACAGTATGTAAGCATTCCTTTTTCTCCGTAACCTTGCCAGCATGCGTTACTTTTTGACTTTTTAGTAATAGCCAATAATTTTGATTTTTAATAGTAAGGCAACGCTGCAGTAGGTCAAACCATTTTGTATGAATATTAAAATAAAAGAATGACCCAAAGGATGCTACAAACTTGCTTTCCAGTTGTTTTATGTACCTGAATACACACATTGGCCTTGACGAATATCTCCAATAGGTAGTGCTGATGTGGCCAATTCAGTCCCTTTTTGTGAGCCAAGTGACCACTTAGGAAGTTGTTCTGAACCTATGTCCAGATTAGACTTACATGGAAACCTGTGTAAAATTATCCATTGCCTCACAGTCTCCATGGTTAGAACTTTAGTGTCAGTTATTTTTCTTTTCAAACCCACTTGTAATTTCATTCTTCCATCAGAGGTGAGAACTAGGGATTAGGGCTTCTGTTAGCCTAGGGCCAACTGAGGATACCATCAATTCTCATTTTTGGTGGCAGTTATATTCTATAAAGTCACTATAAGCACTGAATTAGTGAATACTGAGCCATTGCTTCTAGAGAAAATGCAGGGTTAGGTTCCTATGAGCCCCAGTCACATTTTTGTCAACTGATCAATACATAACTTTGTTTTGAATGTATTTCTGTTTAAAGACATTTTATTTAGTATATATTGTTGATTCATCAACATTGAATTCACAACCAATTGCACTATGACTCATACCTGAACAAAGCTTACCTAACATACTTATTTTCTTTTGTGCTCAGGAGTATTAGACCGCACTTCAGCACTGTGCTGGGAGGCCATTTTAAACAGTGAAATCACTAACAAAGAACACAAAAATGTGAAAAATGTGGCACTAAATATACTACAAAAAGGATACTTATTTATAGTATAACAGCTGCAACAAGAAGGCAGAGCACTGCCTTGTTTGACCTCAGTTAGGAATCTGTGCATCAGGTGATTCAAATGTTTCACTGTTCTGCACTTTGCAAATGACTGTGAAAGGGCCACAAGTATTGATTATTTAGGGGTTACAAATAAGTATCAGCAAGTAACTGAATTCACACATATGAAACCCATGAATAGTGAGTATCAACTATCCTATGGTTTGAATTATTGTGTCCCCTTCAATATTTATGCTGAGATATCATCCCCAATGCAACAGTGTTAAGAGGTGGGGCCTTTAGGAGGAGGTTAGACCATGAGGGCTGTGGCCTAGTGGGCAGGATTAGCACCCTTTTAAAAGTGAGTGAGTTGAGCACATTTTGCCCTTCTGACCCACTATGTCAAGAAATAGCATTCATGGTGCCATCTTGGAAGCAGAGGCTGGGGACCTCACCAGATGCTGAACCTATCTGTACCCTTGATCTTGGACTTCCCATCCTTCAGAACTGTGAGGAAATAAATTTCTGTTCTTTATATTACCCAGTCTCAGGTATTTTGTTGTAGCAGAACTAACAGACTGAGACAAACTGTATATATATAGCTTGCTGGCCTGAGCAGGAGAATTTGGAAACTGGATTATGTTTTTTAGATATCTTCCTGAATCATTCATAATTCATTTTGGCTAAAGCTGTGATATAAGTGGACACATATTTTCAGCAATTTATGAAAGGACATGTAGTCTGGAACATTCATCTGCTAAATTCATTGGCCTGGGCATTGTCACATAATTGCTTAGAACAAATAAAACCTATTAGGCATTATATAAAATACACAACTTCTGCTGGGTGTGGTGGCTCACGCCTGTAATCCCAGCACTTTGGCAGGCCGAGGCAGGCAGATCATGAGGTCAGGAGATCGAGACCATCCTGGCTAACATGGTGAAACCCTGTCTCTACTAAAAATACAAAAAATTAGCCGAGCATGGTGGCGGGCACCTGTAGTCCCAGCTACTCGGGAGGCTGAGGCAGAAAAATGGCATGAACCCAGGAGGCGGAGCTTGCAGTGAGCCAAGATCGCATCACTGCACTCCAGCCTGGGCGACAGAGCAAGACTCCATCTCAAAAAAAAAAAAAAATATATATATATATATAATATATAATATTATTTATATATTATATGATATATAAATTATATAATATATATAAAAATATATAACTTCATGGCAGTAGCCCCCTGGACACTTTGGAGCATAAATCCTTAGCTAATATTTGGAAGAATCAAATTACATATGAATTCAACTGAAAAGTCCACAATGTCTTTAAACTGGAGACAAAGTAACAAGTGCAGGAAATCTGAATCAGAATTACTTCGAAGGATTTTTGCATAACTCATGCCTACTAACAAGGCCCATAGCAGGGCTTCAACTTGTGGTTCAGGAAAGAGAATGAGGGACTGAAGAAGGAAGTCCTAGATCATTGAAAAAACTGTCTTGCTTATAGTAACTGGAGTTTCTTATACTTTTACCAAAAAGGAAGAGGGAAGTTATGGAGAACATAAGGAAATTCAACTTCCACACAAAAATAATACACAGTCACATTTATTGCAAGTTTATCATGGCCTAGGTGACTAATATTTAAACTGAGAAGATTTAATGTGACTTAGTGATACATCCCTAAGATGTGATGGAGAGAGGCTCAATGGGTGGATCACTGGGCCCCATCTGTACTCCAAAAAGAGTACACTTTTTTTAAAAAGTTCATATTTTGTGATTATGCATTTTTGGAAAGGCGTTTGAAAGTCTCTGCTGGGGGATCAAAACATGACGTACAAAGAACTCTCACAAAAATAGAAATATGGTATCAGGGCTTTCTTAGACTGCCTCATATTTATATACACCCAAAAAGTTGCAAGATTAATTCAGAGCCAGCAGCTGCCTTTACCAACAGTTTTTCATAGAATCAAATGCTAAAAAAGTTGAGCAAGTTCTGGAACCTGTATACCATTTTGTTGAAGGTGGGAAAGGGACTTCAATTATATTATGCTAGTACTGTTATAAATGAAAGAATGGATGAGTAAAGCCAGTAACGAAGAGATGAGACACCTATTTATTAAGATCACAAATTATACCATATTTTATAATGTAAATGTATACTGCATATTAAAATACATTTTCTGATTATTCCTTAAATAATTAACTTTTTTTCCCTCTGAATTCCCAATAAATAGGCTGTGTGTTTCATTTATCTATCTGAGTATTTGTGTTGAGGGTATATAGATTTAGCAGCTTTGGGGAGCTTGCAGAGTCCCTCTTCATCCTTAGAACTCATTCAGAATTTTAGAACTTATTTAGCATAGATGATTTCATTTCATTCATCCTTTCTCCCTGAAAGGCAGTAAGAGTCTCAAGGGACATATTCATACTATGTGAGAGATTTTTAAATTATCAAGTGATTCAAATTATTTTGATACTACAAATAATCTATATAAAAATACTTTAAGATGAAGGATTTATGATTTTTAATAGAGAAAAATAAATAAGGCAGCATGCATGGACTGTGAGTGATCCCTGATAGACATCTCAGAAATGTTTCATTCATCTCAGGAACAGACTGCTTATGTGCTCACAAATGTGCTGCATGCTGTTAATTACCAATTAAGCATAATGTTAACATTTAATAATTGTGGAACACCCACAGTGAACCCTAGAGATAGCCTGAAACTTATCTCGAAAAAGGAATTCTGGAGGTTGACCAAAGTTCTCAGATGAGGCCAATTACTGCCTAAGGCTCATCTTATTCCCTGGAACCTTGATGATATGGTGTCTCCTTTGAAGAGGTGGCAGGGACAAAGCAGCCCAGGCCAAATCCTAGACATCGTCTTATCCATGCCTTTCTCAGAAAGGTGTAAGTGGGAAAGCCTTCCCTTGCTTCCTTCCTGAGACTTCTCCACACTGCGACTCACAGATGATGTTTCCTCTGCCGCCACCTTGTGGGGCTTTAACTGTGAGATCTTAACTGCATTGGAACAAATTAAGCTGATTCAGTTAAACAAAATTGTAACTATGTACAATTATAGATTTTTTTTTTTGCTGGTTAACAGAAAAGGGAGATAATCTATATTTCCCACTAGGGAGGTAAAATCATGGCTATAATTTCAACTTAAAAAACATGTTATAAAGGCAGAGAAGATAACCTTCTACTTCATTACCTCTACTGCTAATGTTCTCTCCAATCTTCAGAAAAAAATCATTTAAAATTAAGCTGCTCAGGGCCCAAGATACTTCTGCTACAGAATCAGGGAAAAGGGTATAAATATCTATAGGTAAGGGACAAGGTAACATGTATTGAGGATATTTATAGGGATCGTTTTCATGACTGTGCCTATGTTACACCTCCCTGCACCTTTCTTTTGTGATTCTATGGCATCCTGAGCTAACCTCTAGCCACAGCACTCATCTCACTTTGTTACAATTGCATTTTGACTTATCTGCCATTCCTAGTAAGCTATAAGCTTCACAAGGACAGGCAACATGTCTTCATTATTTTTGAATCCTCAATAGTAGTGTAGAGCTTGGCACACAGGAGGTACTCGATGCATATTTAGTGAATAAATGAACATCAAATGCCTACCATGTGCTAGGAGGTGTGAGGAAAACAAAGATCTAGACCTATGCTTTTCCTGAGCTTTCTATATGTTACCACATTTAATCTTCACAACTCCATGAGTTTATGAGTGGGCCTATTGTTTTCTCTCGCTCAGTATTCATTCCTTCTGTTTTTGGTAAAACTGCTCCTAGATTTTCTTCTGGAGAAACCACCCATTTCCTCATCCTCAAACTATCTTTGGGTAGGACTGACCCCTTTCCCAGCTATTGAGCTGGAGCCTTATTAGTTTAACCTACTCAACATATCCCACTCCCTAGCTATAGTGATTAAGTGTGAACACGGAACCCAATTAAAACCAGAGAAATCCTAGCACTTTGGGAGGCCAAGGTGGGTGGATCACTTGAGGTCAGGAGTTCAAGGCCACCCTGGCCAACACAGTGAAACCTCGTCTCTACTAAAAATACAAAAAAATTTAGCCAGACATGGTGGCAGGCACCTGTAATCCCAGCTACTGGGGAGGCTGAGGCAGGAGAATCTCTTGAACCCAGGAGGTGAAGGTTGCAGTGAGCTGAGATCACACCGCTGCACTCCAGCCTGGATGACAGAGTGAGACTCTGTCTCAAAAAAAAAAAAAAAAAAAGGACCAGAGAAATAAAAGTGGAGATTCCCTGTAGCTATTTGTAACAGTGAGTTAAGGTTGGGTTAAGGGTTGGGAGGGGGCATCCCTCTATGTCCTAAGAATGGAGGCAGAAGGGACAGCTGGAGAAATGTGGGTCCTTGGAGAAACTGTCTATATGCCAGATGAAACTTAATCTAAAGCTAGCCCAGGACTTTGAATTACATGAGCCAATAAATTCTCTTGTTTAGATATATTGAGTTGGATTTTCTGTCATAATATTAAGAGGACTTATTGATCTTCTAATAGGGAGTATCCCCATTTTGCAAAGGAGAAACTGAGATTTAAAGAAGTTGCATTATATATTCCAATGTCATACTGTCAACAAATGAACTTGGAGTCAATTGTCAACCCCTTCGTTATTTATTGCACAGTTTCTTCCAGAGTTAGCATGGATGATAATGACTAGAACCAATTAACCTAGTCTCTTGAAATCAGAATGTGTGTGTGAATTAATGAAATCAGTATTAACAAAGTTAAAAAAATAAAATGTTAATAAAGAGAAATTGTCCCAACTCTGACATTGGTATTAACTTATTATCTGCATAATGTGCTTAGCTGATAGGTAGTTTCCTACATGGATGTTTCCTACATATTAATGAGGGAAAATATCAAAATTTAAGAACTGAATATCAGCTGATTTTTTTTTGTTATTGTAATACTACGATAGACTTATAGGCTGAAGCTACATGTTTTGCTTAGTTAACAGTTGAAAGTTGAGTTCAATAATAATTTAGTTTTTCAAATTTATACATGAAAAGCTATATTTTAGGCAATGCTTTCCAAGGGAAATTAGTTTTGTTTCCTTCTAAACATGTATTTATTGATGTGTAGATTTATTTAAAATAATGTACAGAAAGATATTTCACATAGGAAATCAAATACATAATTATTTGATCTTTGTTATCTATATGCTCAAATGGTTTCTATGTCCTCACTCAGACATTTTTTGTATCTTCTTTTCATTTTATTTTTTTGATATCAGTAACAACCATTTTCTTAGACACTTTATGAGCAAACTCTAGCCTAAAGATTCTGTTGCTAGGTAACATCCTCCTTTCTCCTCCCATCTCCTCTCCCTTTCTTTTCTGCTGGTTGCCATAGTGCCTCTCTTAATGGGTGGCTCAAGTCCTTACTATAATCCTGGAAGTTGAATAAAAACCTAAGTATATCTCTCTCTCTCTTTCTGTCTTCTATATAGCCTAGTTGCTCAGTGAAATATTTGGATTTAATTAAGTATCAATTAATCATTCAGTATAATTACTCTATAAATATGTACTTTACAATTTATCTGGATTTTTGGTTTACCTTACAGAACAATTTCATGGGTTGAAACTCTAATTGAAGAGTTGTTTAATTTGGGCAGGGTTGGGAATTTAAGTTCTGGAATTTCATTTGGATTTAATTAAATACAGATTAATCATTCAATATAATTACTCTATAAATATCTATTTTATGCAATTTATCTGGATTTTTGGTTTACCTTACAGAACAATTTCATGGGTTGAAACGCTAACTGAGATTTGTTTAATTTGAGCAGGGTTGGGAATTTAAGTTCTGGAATTTCTTTTTCTTCAGAGTGCTTGACATTTTCCACCTGCCCATAAAGATCTACTTTTCACTCTTCTCTACATTGCTCTGTGCCAGGGAGCCTAACCTCTGTGGACTGCGTCAATGAGCTCTCTTTTCCTCTAGCTTCTGATCAGATTCAGCCAATGGAAGCAATAGCAGGAAAGCAGAGGTAGGGAGAAGAGTGAGGTTTTGGTATTTATTCCCTAGGCTAATCTTAATGCAGGTCATGGTGCATCCGTGTGCTAAAAGTCATGTGTCAGGGGACCCTCTTCATACAATAATTCTATCCATGTTTTGATAACTGCTTTCTTGCCTCGCACCTTCTGCCTAAGGGTGGTAATGGGTCCTCAACACTGCTTGCACTGGGACGCTGTATCAGGCCTGATTGGTTTATCTTACCTATGTCAACACTTTTGTAAATAGTGACTTTATTACAATCCCTCAATTACTGTGTCTGAATGTGCCATCTGCTTTTTTCTGGTGGAAGTGGCAGCAGCAGCAACTGAGCTTTATGGCTAAAAGACAGAAAACAAGGAAAGCGTTTAAGGTAAGGTGAGCTGAGAAGATCTTGGGTGGTGCATTAATTGGGCTCATTATACCCACCCATAACTGATCATGGGTCGTCATCTACATTAGTACCTATCACAATTCTTACCCCTCTTTGTACCAGGAGAGTACTAAGTTTTTTTCTCTTTCTTTTACTTCAGTTCCTAATTTTGGATAACTCAAGCAATGAAGTGTTTTATAGCTTGATTCTTAGGTTTTAAGTAACATTAAAGGCTCTAAGAATGGGACTTTATTCTCTCACACTCATTCAAAACTACACAAGCACTGGTGATTGTGTAGTGAAAGGTGACAGCACAACAGTGAACATTATGATCGGGGTCTCCTGTTTTCAGCTTTCAGATTTTGTGTGCTATTTCCTGAACATGAAAAATAATCAGTTCATGTTTTATTTTAAAAATATTTTGCAACTGCTTTGATCTGTGTCTACATCCACAATGCAAGTTATTACTACGTTTCCTCTGAAGATGTAATTGGTGCTACTTATTTCACAAGATTGTTGTGAAAGTCAAATGTGATAATGTGCAAAATAGCTGTGAAAAATATCAAGTGTTATATAAAAGAATAAATTGTAATTTTTAAATTTTTATTACCAGGTTTTATTTCCACCAATAATTGTACATAAATATGAAGGGGGGCACTCTTATTTTACACATACACAAAACACCTGAGGATTAATGTGGAAATGAGATGATCTCAGCTTTTAGTTGGCCAAGAATATATTTAAGAATTGGGCCACTTTTATGTTTTTGATGAAACGATTTTTAATTTTTTGTAACAGGACTACTCTAACTTAACTGACACTACACAGAAGCGAGTTACTAACCAATGGGATAAGCATCAACATAAAAGAATTTAACTGACATATTTAATTTATATATTTCTAGAGAGTCAGCTTTGTGGGTGTATCAAACCCATGTTATTACAGAAGCGGGTTACTAACCAGTGGGATAAACACCAACATAACAGAATTTAACTGACATATTTAATTTATATATTTCTAGAAAGGCAGCTTTGTGGGTATATCATCCCATGTTATCTAGGTAGAATCTAAATGATATTCATAAGCACGCAACTTGGATTTAAAATTTAAGGTAGGTATTTTTCTGATCTTACCTGAAAAGCAGATGACTTTATTGAGGATTTTAATCATACTGTTGCTGTTCTTATTCAGCATTAGTTGTGGACACATACTGTGATCAACATTATCTACATATATATAATTTCTCAAGAAGTTTTCATTGAGTCCAAATTGCTTAATAGACTTAATAATCAAAGTGAGGATGTATATATGCAGAAAGTATACCAATCATCACCTTTCTGAAGAGCCTTGTTAACAATTTTATGCTAAAATGCACTATTATTAAATTGCTTTAGAGTTTGTACTCCTGCCAAAAGAGTACTAGTATTTTCAGAATTAAAAACAGAAAACTGTGTTATTGAGAGCTTAGCTGAAGAAAGGTCAGTTTGCCAAGTGGCTGCTTGAGGTAATAAATGGTAAATAATATTTATTTTTGTCTTATTTGGCATGCTTATTATTTTTCTTCTGTCCTCACTGGTGGGCAGTAACCCTTAGAAAGATACTGAAAGGAACAACTTCGGGCTTAAAATAAAATTATGACTGGATGGCTTCACTTGATAGTGTCATATTTTTATGTCTTATGCAAATAACACATATATATCTTCATTATTCCATATTAAAAAAATGAATAATTTCTGGAAAAGTATGATAATTATTGCATGTAGATCAATTAAGGAAATCTATGTTAAGGAATATTGGAAATCCAATTAAGGAATACATTTTAGCATAAAATAGATAAATACTAGGGTAGATCAATGTGACAGAACAACAGTGAACATTATGATCAAGTGTCTCTTTTTTCAACTTTCAGATTTTGTGTGCTATGAATGAAATGCTTCCCTCTCCAAATTTGCATGCTGCAACCCCAACCACCAATGGGATGATATTTGGAGATAGATCTTTAGGAGACAATTCAGTTAGGTGAGGTCATGAGAGTGGGGTCCTCATGATGGGAATTGTGCCCTTATAAAAAGAGACCCCAGAAAGTTTGCCCCCTCTCTGGCTATCCTCATGCACCAAGCAAAGGTCATGTGAGGACACAGGGAGAAGGCAGCCATCTGTAACCAAGGAGAGAGGCCTCACCAGGCACTGACCTTGTGGGCAGCTTGATCTTGGACTTCTAGTCTTCAGAACTGTATGAAATAAATTCCTTTTGTTTAAGCCACACAGCCTATGGTATTTTGTTATGGCAGCCTGAGCTAACAGACACTGTGTACGTACTTTCTTAAGTGTTATATGGATTTAGAAGTCGTCAGAATTATTTTCCATATGCAATTGGCTATACCTTTAATCCTCTAAGTCATAAAACTATTTATATTATTAATTAATTTTTATAATCAATGATGCCCAAAGAGGCCTTAATTTCTTAGTCCCCTTTCACTTTCATTATCAGCATCAGCAATTTGTTAGGGCCATTTTGGAGGAATCCTCCCTCTCTAAAAATAAATTCTTTGCCACTTGTCATCAGTGTATCAATTGGAGAAAGGTCTGTTAAGATGCAAATGCTGAGTGGTTGGTAGGCACCCTCACCAGAAGCTGTTCACTCTAGGCAACCTCTTAGATAAACAGCCTGACATAGTCACTTAGTATCACAGGCGTCTCAAATTTAACATCTCCAATATTAATTCTTGATTTGGCACTATCCCAAACTGCTCCTTCCCCAGTCTTCACCATGTAATTTAAGGGCAAATCCAAAACACCAGTAAACCCTGCTGGCTATACCTTAAAAACAGAATAATCATCTCACTACTTCTCACCATCTCAACTGCTATACCCTAGTAGGTCACCATCATCTCTAGATTACCAACAGATTGCTAACAGATCTTGTTTCTACACTAACCTCCTTCTGTCTGTTGTCAACAGCTGAAAGAGTGAGCCTTCCTAAATCGTATCATGTCCCACTTAGATTTCAAACTCTTCGGTGGCTCCGTATCACAACCAGAGTATAAAAGCAAGTACTTAAAATGGTCTGTGAAGCCCTGCATGATCTGCTCCAATGTCCCCGCTTCTGCAACCACTTCCACTACTCTCCCTCTTGCTCAATCTATTCCAGGCTCACTGGCCTCCTTGTTATTCTTCAAATAGGTCAGGCAGGGTTTTGCTTTAGGACCTTAACTCTAGTTCTTCATGGAAATGTCTTCCTACAGATACCTCCAGAATGTCTAACTCATTCATGACCTCTAAGTTTTTGCTCAAATCTTGCCTTTTCAATAAAGCTACCCAAGTACTCCATTTAGAGCTACAACCTACTCTGTCATCTCCCTACCCCTTAACCTTGACTTAGGTTTCCTTATTTTTCAATAGCATTTATCATCTTCTCACATGGTTTATAATTTACTTACTCATCATTTTTACTTACTATTGTCTGTTCTCCCTGCTAGAATGTAAGCTCCAAAAAAGCAAGGACATTCCTCCCCTCCTATTGATGTATGTTTTCCACATCTAAAATAGTGTTACATTATACATGCTCAATAAATAATTATTGAGTAAATGAATTGTTCTATCTAAATGAAATTTCTTAGTGATATAAAATAAACTCCATTAATGTTGGTTTCCATTAGCTGGTATGTCTTATTTATTTTATATATATATATATATATATATATATATATATGATTTATATGAGGCAAGTAGGCTCTGGGTTTGTGATTGAAATTTGCTGAGGAGCTGTGACTCTTTTCTCTCCCTCATTCATATAGTGGGAAAGAGAAAATGAGGTGGCAACAGATAGGAAAAAGAACTGCAGTTAATTTATTGTTTACATTTTACTGGTAAATGTGCTGGTTAATTGAATATCTAAACTTATGATAAGACCAATGCCACCAAGATTCAGAAGAAATTCCATAGTTAGACATAATCCTGTAAGCTTTATAGTCACCAGAAAGGATGTACCCTGTGTAAGAGAAGTAATTAAATTGGCTAATCTTGGTCAAAACAATGTGTTTCCTTGGCTATTTCTCTAGTTATATTTTCTACTGCCATTTAAAAACTTTTAAAGCCTTTTTTCTTTTATGGTGTAAACAATTTTATTATATTCTGAAATACAGCACTATGGTTGGGGATGGAGAGAAAAGGGGACATACAATGTTTAAGAAACCACATTCTGCAGCCATACTCTCAGATTTGCTAGTCACTATGCAACTGCATTTGTGGGTAGTGAAATACAATTATCCACCTTACTTTTCACATTTGTAAAGTGGGAATAATAACATATACCTGATGGAGTTGTTTTGAGAAATAACACTTCACAACACACAATGCCTAGTACGTCGTATTCACTCTATAACTATTTTTATAAAGTAAAGAAGGATTTTATTAAAAGAAAAATATTTAAAAAGCAAATTTTTTAAATAGACATGACATTTTCATAAAATGCTATTGTTCATACAGTATTAACTTGACTCATGGAGGCAAATTAACATTACTGTTATTTAAAAAAAACTCTATGGCCTTATTTGAATTTTTATACTAGAATATTTAAAATTTGAAACACTAGTTTTAGAGAGAGAGATGCTGTGTTGTTCAAAGTCCTCCTCTGCATCTTCATGGTAGGAACTTTCTTTGGTAGCCCTTTCTCTAAGTTAAGAGATATATTGGCAGGAACTATGAAGGATCTGATATTTTACCCTAGTTATAAGCAAACAAGTAGAGTGCCACAGTTTCATGGAAGTTGGCAGAATGTGTGAGATTCCTGAGTCTGAGACAAATAACTTTATTACTCAAAGCACAACAGGCACCATGAGCTTCATACTTCCATAGATTCCCCTCGTTCTGAAGTCCCACAAGGCGAAGAGGAGCTGCCAGATGGGTGTTGTACATGCACTGTGTTTGTTATGCAACTGGAAGAACTCCAAGCTTAGGAAAGTCCTAAGAAGGCTGCTAGCAAACGTACCCAAACTTTGCCCTGGCAGGAAATACTATCTTTGCAATTAAATGTGCAGAAAGGCAAGAAACCCATGGGGCCTTAACTCCCAACTGCACAAATGCAGCTGCATCAATAAGGCTATTTTGATGAAAACAAGATGCACAAAAATTTTGACCACAGAATCAGACTAACATTGTAAATGTAAACACTCAATCCTTCCTAAGCAGTTCTTTGAATATGTAGTTAATCCGTTGGAATAAAATTTTGCAATGGTTTGTTCTTTCTAGCGCTTTATCATTTGATACCTTCATAAGCCATGCATTTTTCCCTTTTGCCACGTAGGTTTTACCCTTCCCCTCTATTTATTTATGCCAATAATTTAACCTTAGTGGCTTAAGTATTTCTTACAGCATTGAAGGAACTTACAGACACTTTCCCAAGAGTAGCTAGGACATCGGCAATCTTCCTTTCTCTCTGCTGTTTCCTCTGAGAATTGTTTCACAAGGTCCAACATCCTCTTCTGTAGCATAGCTGAACAACAGATACTCAGCTCTGCAAGGCTGATTTCCTTTGTGAATAGTTAACATTTTTTTGATAGCCTTATTTTTAAGAAACATGTTAGCCCTTCTCTTGTTCTTCAGAGATAACTCAAAATAATATCATTTGGTTTTTTCATTTGTTCATAAGCCAAAGCTACAGCTGCCTTGTCCTTTTAAAGTCAGAGCTACAAAATTCATTTGAGTTCCAGAGATAAATCAGACTTGTCCATTGCTATTACTTAATAAGCCAAAGTAATTGAACATTTAACAAGAGTTTGCCCAAAGGCTGAGTCAGATTATATACAGGACACCGTCTATATTATCAGTGTATAAACAGCAAATAAGTTTTTAGTGTATGTTCACGTCCTGTGCAATATTTGGGACATACTTACACTAAAAAAGTTTATTTGGAAATCAACTTTAACTAGATATCCTGTTTATTTGCCAACATGCCACAATTCAGGTCACCATTTATCTACCAAACAGAATCAATAACCTGTTCGTCCAATGTGGCCTCAAGTGGGTTTTGGCGCAGAAGCACTCCTCCTGGACCACAGGTGTGGTCCTGGTTGCAAAGTTTTGATGTGACATCAACACTACACAAAAGTAAATGTAACTGCAAAATTTTGAAATTCACAGATGGGTCTTTGAAGTCCAGCTCAAAAGCGTGGAGGGCTGGTTAAAATAAGTCACAGACTTGCCGGTTTGGGGTTTCTAGAAAGAAAAGTAACTTGAGGAGTTGAAGGCTTGTAGAAGACCTTTCCACAGAGAGTGGGAATTCCGTTGCAGCAGCCAAGGCTTCTTCGGGATTTAGAAGGAGAGCGCGCGAGAACCTGAGGGAGCCAGTAAGAGTCGAGCAGGGACTGGAGGGCTCCCGATGGGGTGTAGCCAATCAGGGCAGAGATGGGTGGGGCTAGGCTGCGGGAAGGGGCGGACTGCAGCTGAGTTGGCTCCAAAGTGTGGGACTCAGCCAATCGGAACCGTGCAGGGCGGGGCTGGCCTGCGGAAGGGGGCGGGTTCGGAGGAGTGAACTGTGCGGTTAGTGCGCCTTTCAGCCTCACCTGCAGCTGCGCCTCCTTGCACCTGCGCCTGTGCTTTTTCTCCCAGCACTGCGGACGCGACTCGAGGGTGACGCTCGCTCCGCTCGTCCCGCTCGTCATGGCCTACCCGGGATACGGAGGAGGGGTGAGTCCCAGCCGCTTGGTCGTGTCCCTCTTCCTCGCGGGGTGTGGCGCCCCCGGGGGCGGTGCCAACGTGCGGGTCCGCCCTTGGCTCCTGCTCCCTGCGTCCGCGCCTGGTACTCGGCGGCGCCGGATTCCGGGGCTGTTGGGGGCCAGGGCCTGGGCGAGCATTGATCCTGGGCTGACTTGGAGCCGCAGGTTTTCTGGTCGTTGAGGACCCTCGAGGAGCGTCCTGGTGGAGCCGAGGGAGTAATGTGTGTTTGGAAATTTATTTCCTGGAATGGAGGAACAAGCCACCCTCTTCTTGTTCCAGTAATCGTTTGTGGTACTTCCCTCCCCCGCCCCCCACTCAGTGTTGCTAGAGATCCTCTTTTTGAATTTCCTGACCACTTCTTGTTCTTTAAGTTCCTTATGAATAAATTAAGGTGTACGGTAAATAACTCCTAATCTTTACTGTTATACGAAGGGCAATCTGTTCTAGACTCCCCCGCTCGCCCCCAGGCGGGGGGAAGTTACTCTTTGTTATAACTTTTATCCTGCATCACCTTTGGGAGTTGCAAGTTATAATCGTAGAGTCCTGGTGGCTAGCCCCTTCTTTTCAGAAAGGAGCCCAAACCTTTAGTATCGATGTCAGTGATCTACACGCTGTGTTAACAGAGTTAACAGTAGTTTGATCCATTGCGGTGTGGGTAGAATATAATATATTTTCTATTTGTTTTTTACCTAAAAAGAGAAATTGTGTTTTACTGATTTTAATATAGGACTTGACTTTGGGCTATGGTTGTGGTCTTCAAAAGAGTTACTCCTACCCCTTGGAGTTCATGGTGGTGGTGGTGGTGGTGGTGGTGGTGGTGGTGGTGGTGGTTGTGGTTGTGGTTGTTGTTGTTGTTTTAGGATATGAATTTCCAGGTCCTCAACTTCCACACATACTTGTTCCTAAAATTGATTTGCTTTCCTTAAGACTTGCCTCAATCCCCTCTGGCACCGTCCACTTTGTAATGCCTATGCCTCCTCAGTCCTTAAATTTAGGAAGGAAGTTTAAGGTACCTAAGGAAAGTAAAGCCCCTTCGAAGATTAATCAAGATAGCATAAACCTGTGGGTCTTTAAAAACGTCCCTAGCGTATACGTATTTTCATTTGGTTGAAGCTATCTGTTAGAAGTTTGTATATTTACTCCTCTTGGTATGCTCTGAATTCATATATGTATGGTAGAGTGAGGTGGCAAGAGTAATACATTTTCATTCAAATAATTTGGTGCTTCCTTACCCACTTTTGTCAGAGTGCTTGAATTTGATGGAGAGTTCCACGACACAATAAAGAGAACGTCTGTATGTGTTTTGAATATTTAAATCCCCTTTTCCATGAATTTAAAATAAACAACTCTTTTCAGCTGTTGTCATGCTCATTATTAATCGCCGGAAAGAGAAGTACCCTCAATAGCTGAAGCAATATATAGATTAGAGGCACTGATTTTAAAAAATGTAATTGAAATATTTTAAGATACATTGGATAAAATTTTGGGATAAAACTTACATGATTTCTTTAGTAGGAGAATATTAATAAGATAGTTGAGACGTTTATAAATCCTGTTAAAGGAAACCCATGCCTTATTAATGTTTCTTATATTCTTTTAACAAAATATAAAATGTCAGCTGCTAGACCTAATTGTTTTGATAGTATACTTTTATCTAATTAAGTGCATGATTTATCTCTGTAGGAGATGCATTTCCAATAGATTTTTACTTTCTTCTTTTAAGAATTGTTTATAAAAATTGTATTATTTTCTTTTTTTTACTAATTGTATACGAATAAAAATTATAACTCAATGTAAAGGACTTTTTTCTTTGTTTCTCACTTTGGTCACAGGAAATGAAACAATCTAAAACTTCGTTACATGTTTTTGTTTGTACATGTTGTATTATACAAGCTTCAGTGTTTTCAATAATAAAAAAACATTTTAAGCACAGAAAACTTAAACAGATTAGATTTTCACACAAGAAATAGCATACAAAATCAATTCAAAGATGAAGAATCTGTCCTTAGGAATAACTTTTAATCTGTTTTCCCTTCCCAATTTGCAGCATTAGCTTTCCCCAGTCCCATAATTTGAGAACCTGGTGGTCAGATTAATGATGGTTACCAATTCTTTACCACTCCCCTTATCGAAAGGCACAGACTATTTCTCCACTTTCTTCAATCTGGATTGGGCCTGTTTCACCTTCATCTGGTAGAATACAGTAGAAAAGACACCATGGCAGTTCCAGACTCAATATTTTAAGAGGACTGGCAGCTTCTCTTTCTCTCTCTTAGAAGCTGACTGCCAAGCTATGAAAAAGTGGAAGAGCCATGTGAAAGGGCCCATGTGGAGGAGAACTGGGGCCCCTGGCCAACAAGGTTCATCCCTAAACACGGTTTACATAAATTTATATTTCAAGTTGTCCTCTTGACAGTTTCAAATGAGTCAAAATTGATCATTATTATTATTACTACATAATGTGGGTAAGGAAAGGCTTAGACAATATTTTCATGTCCAAGCCTTTCATGTTGCTTTGCATGTTTTTGAATCTTTACTATTGCCATTTTGTTATGGCTTTAGTTAAAACTAGATCACATAATCTGTAACATCAGAGAATCCCACATATATAAACTGTAATAAGTCACAATAGGCTGAAAAGAAACAAGTGGGAGGCCAGCATACAGAACTCTATGTCATCCCTCAGGATACTACCAGAACCACAGCAGTTTCTTTAAACATTTTGCTTCCCGCCCCTTAAAAGATTTTTGAAAAACTATATACCCTTTTCCCATATTTTATATTGACATATAAAGTTTTTATTTTAAGTTTAAATAGTTGTAAAGAATACAATACCCAACATATTGTAAATGTTGACACTTAAAGTTTCATTGTATTTACACATATATTCTTCTAAGTATGTGTCTTGAGGTTTACTTCTTAGTTTTACTTTAGGTAAAATCTTGCATTGTTTTACTTTTTGTTTACTTCAGTGATGTTGGTAAACATTTTTTAAAATTGTACATGTTCCTCTTAGATTAAGTTCTTAGAGGCTAGTAACTTTCTTTTTTCTTTTATACTTCTTTTAATGCTGGGTAATATATGTTGATGAATTGAATTATGTCTTAATGTAGGACATCTAACATTTTGTAGTTAAAATTTTTGTGATAAGATTATAAGCTTTTGGTAACTGTTTACTTTTTGACGGACTTCTAATAATTTCTTTTAATCCAACTTTCATAGATAATAGGTAGTATTTATATTACTAACCTTCTCCCCTTTCACTATTATAGTTTGGAAATTTTAGCATTCAGGTGCCAGGAATGCAGATGGGACAGCCAGTGCCAGAAACAGGCCCAGCTATACTCCTCGATGGATACTCTGGGCCAGCATATTCAGACACTTATTCCTCAGCTGGTGACTCCGTGTATACTTACTTCAGTGCTGTTGCTGGACAGGTGAGATGCTAAATTTATTGCATAAATATGTCTTTAAAATTATTGTTTAAGAGAAATGTCAGCTATTTAGAGTATCATTTTAAATGTATATGAAATTTATATTTTATATGTATCTAGACTAATTTTTTTCCTGAGATCAGAGATGAGCATAGTCATAATTATTTCATTTTAAAAGTCTGTTGATGTGATGCTTGATACATTGTTCATTTGACTAAAAGAGGAAACATTGTTTTCCATAGTGCGGAAATCTGATTCTTTCTTACCTAGTATGCTTGCGTTACTGAAATTCTTCTACAAGGGGCTCCTCTTACTAGTCACTAAACACCCCACCAAAACTTAGATATATCTTCTTATGAGTTATAATTTTTCTGTCACTTAAATCTTTTTATTTCCTTCACTCTGTTTGACATTTAGGAGCATCATACTCTCCCTGAGTGATAGATAACACAAAGCTAAGTAGGTTTAGCCTGCACATTCTTTTATAGCATGCAAAAATGACTATTGGAAATTTTAGGAAAGTAGGAAGCACTTTAAAAAATTATAAGGAACAATATTTCTAACTTGGGCCTCACTCCCATTTTTTAAAAAAAACTCAGTTAAAACCTAAGTATGTCAAACAATATGATTGGAAATCACTTCAGAGTCTCGTAAATTTATTCAGGTTGAGAAATTACATTTTTTTCACAGGTGAAGTTATATCATTTATAGTAATTTTGATTTGATATGGCTGGTAAATTTTCCAGGTTATCAAAATAATCATGTCAGGATTTATTAATTAAAAATTAAAGGAAATAGTATGTTACGATGTGGTATGGTTTTAGGATGTTATTTGTTTCCAGTAAATTTGAGTGATTATTTAAAGGACTGACTTTATTATGACCAATAGGGACGTGTGAAACTGCCAGTTCAAGTACATGAATTCTGTGGGTGAATTGTTACTGATGATATGTGAATACTGTGGTCAACGGAAGCTTTTCTTTTACTCCTACATAACTGTAACACCATACCACAGTTTATTCTTTTCCAAGTGATTTTATATATATTTTTCATGTGAAATTTCAAGGAAAATTAAGCAAATAGGATATGTATTATACCCCTTTGTATCAGTTATTAGTTGTATTTGACAGAAGTATTGAGTAAATATTCAAGATCGGAAGGAATACAATATTATAAGATGCCAATGTCTTCCAAATTAATTGATAAATAATATAATATTATATGAGTCAAATTCCTAAAGGTTTCTTTTTCTTTTTTCTTTTTGGCACTTGCTGCAATGATTCTAAAGTCTGTCTTGTATACTATGTTGTTGAGAATAAATATTAAATTATAATATATCATATAAATGTATTATTAATAATTGTGATAGTGTGGTCCTAATGTAAAAACAAACATAATACTGAAGAGCCCAGAAGCTTACCTGTGAATTCAGTATATGGTAGAGGTAGCATTTCATATCAGTGGGGAAAGAATGATTCCTGAATTAACTATCCTGAAATAATTAACAGTTTATCTAAAAGTAAATGTAAATCTTCAGCCTGTACCATATAGTAGCATGAATTCCAGATATATTAAAGGATTGAAAAGAGGGTGTATTGATGTTTATCTCCTGTTGTTGAAATAAATGAGCTTGTCTTTTTTTTTTTGCTGCTGCTTCAGCATGTATTGCAGCACCTGCTATATTTGTGTTTTTGTCTACAAAACTTCTTAGAAGAGTGATGAACTAAGATAGTTGCATGTGTTAATGAAACATTTGGGAACATCTTTTTAAGATGTGTGTTTTTTTTTCTTGATATGTTTCATTCACTTGTTTAACAATTTGGGGGGAAAGTTGAAAGCTCTTCTGTGGTTATGGAATACAGTGGATTGGTGCATGGAGACTGGGGGCCAGAGAGGATTTGGAAAAAGAGATCTACATGAAAATCATCTTGAAGGAGTTGGGGCAATGTATCAAAGAGGAGATTTGTAAATTGTGGATGGTTCTGGGACAGGCTCGATGATAAAACAGATTAGGAAAAGGCAAAGAAACTGGCAGAATGGATGTTCTAATACCATACTAATGGGCAGAAACAGAAATTCACTCTAGAGTCTTAGCTGTAGTCCATATCTCTTTTCTTTTATAATGGTCAAGAAAGATTTATTGATGTAGGTAGAATTTTATAGAACTTTAATAACATTTTATTCATTCCCTTGAGTGTTCACTAGGTCTAATGTGCTTTTCTAGGATTAGACAATATACACAGAATTAATATACGTGGCAGACATTCTGTTTTGGCTACCCCAATTTCATTTAAAACCCCCTTTTACCTTTTATTATGTAATAGAGGCTGGGGAACTATAATAGTCACCATCCCAGATACCTTTGTAGCTATTAAAGGCAGCCATGTGCCGTAGGACTGACCATTGACATGTAGGTGCAGTATCTTTGGAAAATCTTTCTACCCCAAATGAAAAAAGCCTTACTGGGAGCAAGCCTTGGCTGTGGCTGTTTTTGCCCCTTCATTCTTCCTGCCTGGAAAGGGGACTTGAGGTATGGAGGTGCAGTAGCCATCTCGTGACCCTGAGACAACAGGCTTGAGATAAAGACCTATAGATAGGGAATGTGGAAAAATGTAGAGACTGATGACATGTCTAAGTTGCCATACAGCCCTGTTCTGCCTAGCCTCAGACCTATTGTATGAAACAATAAACCCCTATTGGTTTAAGCATCTTCAATAATATTTTCTCCTGTTTGCAGCTAAATGGTACCTTAACTGTTCTACTCATTATACCATTGCCATTTTAAAGGATTATACTGGGAATAAGTAGTATTATACTGAGAATAATTCTATTATCTCTGTTTGACTATATAATACATTCATCATATAAAATTACAACTTAAAGTATATGAACTGGACATATATTTGGAAACTCTTTTTGACTGCTGAACTATTTCAGCATTTTAATTGTCAGCAATAAATTCGCTATGTTTGAACTATTTGATACTTTCCTTAAATTTCCCAGTCTTGTGCTTTTGAATAAATAAACTCCATAAAGACAGGGTTCTGGTCATATTTTCCCTACTTGACAGGTAGATATTAGGAATATATAAACATTTGATAAATGTTTCGTATGGATGAATTAACTATCCCATTTTCAATTTTTAGTCTAAATATTTAGACTGTATTTTTTCATATATTGAGTTCTACCTAGCTTTGAGGGATCAGGTGCAACATCTGACTTAGGTATACTGCTCCTGGAACCCAACTACTGAACTTACATCTACAGCCATATCCTTTTTTGATGGGCCTCATAATTAATAATGCTCTATGAAAAACACCTGATTAAAGGTTTCTGCAGTGTTCTTATTTATAGGATGAAGTATTCTAAACAGTAAGGATTAAATCATCAATTAATTTGGGGAAATTCTGGTTTCTGTCTTCATACATACAGACACATGCATCACAGTAATACCAACAACTTTAACTTTTGTATGCACACTGCTTCTACTTTTCCACACAGCAACTGTGATGTGGGCATGACACAGCTACCTTTGTATTATAGATAAGTAAGTGGAGACTCAAATTGAGTAACTGAACAAATAGGACTTGAAGTTGGATATCATTTTAAAATCTTGCTGCCTAACGAAGGGCAATTGATTTTTGTTAATTCTCTACCTGATGCTCTTGTAATTTAATTAGGACATTCAGCTTTCTACCGCTAATGCTACCTAATTCAGTTAAGGGAAGAATGCTGCTTAGTATTTTGTAATTTCTATTAGAACAGCTGCAGTTTTGTAAGGGGTTCTTTTGCCAAAAATCCATTAGAATGTGAGTGTTAATAATATTTCTTAGAAGTAGTTTAGAAAAGTTTTTTGTTTTGTTGTTTCTTGGATCTCTTATGAAGAGTAGGTTTTAAATTTGCCTCCTTGATCCTTCATCATAGCTACATTTTGCATTTGTGCCAATGTTTGTGATGGTTCCAAAGGAATTACTTATTTTTGTCAAAAACAGGATGAGGTACTAAATCATAATGAGAATACTCAACCTATTTCATTTCCATTGTGATTTCTTGTTTGCATTTTAAAACTTTATTTTCTGTAGTAAGTTCAGGCAAGACTTGTTTGGGCAGTAATCAGAAGAATAGCAGCAAGATACAGGGGGACTCTAGAATTTTGCTAGGGGTAATGGTGGGGGAAAATATATTTTCCCCTTCCAGTTAAAGCTTCAGTATTATTTATAAATAATCTCCTCCCAAAACAGCATGAGTGGGGATGTTTTCGAGACTTTTCTGAACACATTTTAGGCATTTTTCTAACTGTTTAACTGTTTTTCTAACTGTTTAAAATAGAAGTACAATGACTCTTATGAGATTGTCTTGAACCATTATAGAACAGGGTAATTGTGCTATTCTTCAGAAGTGGAAGAAATTATTTCTGTGGTATGATATTTTGTAATATGCCTTTGTTGTCAGTAATTATCTCTAGAATTTTGTAGTTAATTATAGAGTAATGTTTCAAAGAATGCATATGTCTTGATTGGCCTAGAACAGTCAATTGACATTTTAATATGCTTTTATACAACTGCACATTAAATTAGGTCATAATTATTTTTAAACAGGATGGTGAAGTGGATGCTGAAGAACTTCAGAGATGTTTGACACAGTCTGGAATTAATGGAACTTACTCTCGTGAGATCTTTTTTCCCCTTTTGTTGAAATTATAATAGGAAGTTTATTTTCTTACTTTTTTTGTCCCTGTAATTAAAATGTTTAAAAAATTATCACAGTTATACATGCACATAGTTTAAGGAGTCAAATAACTGTAAAACTCGTTATGAAAATAACTGTTCATTGTGTATTCCTGTCTCCTTAACATTAACTGCTCATAGAGGACACTTCTTTTGACTTTTAAAAATCTGATTCTTTTGAAATTTGCTTCCAGATTTCAAGATAGAATATTTTTTTCACGATTGATTTTTGGATTTTATGATTATCTATTGATATCCTGCTATGAAAGATGAGGATTTCACTTTATTTTAACCTTAAACTCTCCCCTGTCTCTGCACTCCACAGAGGAACATTTCCCATCCTCCTGTCCTTCCAATGTAGTTATAATATATAGTAACTTTTGTTAGGTATGTTAGTCTTTACCTTATTTTTACTATCTGAATGCTGCTTATAGCTGTATCTTATGATAATGTATGATTACTTTTCCTTTTTATATAATGTTTTGCTTTTCTTGAAATCACTAGTTGTCAGGTATTATCCTAGAACTCTGGGATATGCAGTTTTTTATGTGTAGCTGTCATACTGGGATTCTTTCACCATCATTCTGAAGCTGGTTTCCCCGTTTCTCTTGAGTTAGATCTCCTTTTTACTCCATCTCTTGTTGTCCTCTTTTAAAAAATTCATTATCTTATTTTAGTGAAATGTATAGTTAAGCAGCTTCTTAATATAAAAAAAAAATACGGCCAGGCGCCGTGGCTCATGCCTGCAATCCCAGCACTTTGGGAGGCTGAGGTGGGCGAATCATGAGGTTAAGAGATCGAGAGCACCCTGGCCACCATGGTGAAACCCCGTCTCTACTAAAAATACAAAAATTAACTGGGCGTGGTGGCACGCACCTGTAGTCCCAGCTACTCGGGAGACTGAGGCAGGAGAATTACTTGAACCCAGGAGGCAGAGGTTCCAGTGAGCTGAGATTGGGCCACTGCACTCCAGCCTGGTGACAGAGTGAGACATCATCTCAAAAACAAACAAAAGAATATATGGGAGATAAATTTTTGAGAGCTTATGTATCTAAAAATGCTTTCATTCTACCTTCAGAATTGATTGGCCAGGTATAGAATTCTAGGTTACAAATGATTCTCAAGTAGAATTTTAAAGGTATTGCTCCATTGTTTCTAGCGTCCCTTGTTGCATTATCTTTCTCTTTCCTGCCTGGATGTGATGTGATTTGTTATTCCTCTCTGGAAACTTGTGAGATCTTTGTCTTTAGTATTCTGCGATTTGATGGTAAAGTACCTAGTTGTGTTGTGTGGGGAACTCAGATGGTATTCTCAGCCTGGAAACTCCTTTGCTTTAGATGTAGGACGTTTTCTTCAATGATATTTTCTGTTTCTTGGAATGCTTTTTGTTTTCACTGGGTTTTCTACTTTTATCATCTTTTTCCTCCTATCATTTTTTTTTGCTGAACTTTTTGGGAATTTTCCTCAACTTTATTTCCTAAACCTTCTATTGAGTCTTTCATTTCTGCTTTTCATTAATATCCAAGAGCTTCTGTTCTATTTTCATGAATGTGATATTGTCCCTTATCTCTCTGAGACTATTAATATATTTTTAAAGTTTTTTCTTCCTATATAACCTTTGTTTTTTCCAGATTGTTTTTTCTCCTCATTTTGCTTGTTTTGGTTGTCTTTCATGTTAGGTGCTTTTCTCAGTTATCTGATGATACTGCTTTGCTCTTATTTTAACTAAATTGCTGATTAGAAGCCCTGAGATCATGGTTAGGCATTGATTGTGGGCTTCACTGTATGGTGATTTGGCTGGGCAGTTTTGTCTTGGAACTCTGGGTGTCAGTATCTTTAGGGATTCCCTTTTGGACTGGGTTTTCAGTTGACCTTCTGCCTGGAAAGGAGAGGTGGACTCAGAAGGGTTCTCAAATCTTTTGTAAATTGTCCTTTAATTGCCTTGCTTTTAGAAGATAGCCCTGTCTCAGCTCTGGTATCTTACATTTCAGAGACTCCTCCAGAGAATAAAATTCCAGATTTCTGCTGGGTTGGAAGTAGGTGTAGCATCCATCCAACTGAACCGAGGCAGGGAGGGGATATGAGGCTTAGAATGCTCCTTAGGTAGACATTCAGCCAATTCTTCTGTTTTTATCTCCACTTTCACACCCACTTTCAGAAGTACTGCCAATTCTTTGGCATTTGGGGTCTTCTCCAAGGGTTGCTTCTCAGCTTTTCTCATTACAAGTTCAGGAATCCATTTTCTCAGATCTAGGTTGGTTAACTCACATCCATCAGCTCTTCAACTTGCAAAATTTTGTTACTTTGTTTCCTGTCTAATTCTCTTTTTCTCTAAAGTTTTATGCCTTAAATCAGTTTACTCTCCATTCTAATGGGCTATGGGGAGGAAGTGAAAAATCTGTCAACTTTCCTGAAAAGTCTGTCTCTCCACTCTTTGTCCTAAATATTTCTTCTTATACATACACATTCCTATTCTGAGATTGAAGATCTGCTCATTTGCTGATTCAGTTTTAGCGATCTATTATCATTAATTCGGATTCTCCCACTTTATGAATGTGTGCCAAGTTAATTGTAAAGCAAAATAGATATTATTTACTTGCCCAAAAGAGGAAATACCATTCCAGAAATTTCTCATGTAATCCCCTCACTCTGACAGTTGTATAGCCTTAGCTTTGTAAACGTGGGGAACTGCCTTTCTGGGTCCCAGTTTCTTCCTTTTTTACAATTGGAACTATTATACGTTTAGCATGTTTATGTGAAATCATGTAACACACGCCACCTTACTCATGCTAAGAACACATTGAGTATCTATTGAGTTGTCAATTTGAAAATACTACAACCAACAATTCTAACATTGATACTATATTAAACATTTAAAGAAAATCAGCAATTTTAACTCTTGGAATGTCTTATAATTTTTTCTTTAGTGGGTCTAAAATTTAGCTGAAATAATTTTCTGCTTTTATAAAATGTTAAGATGTTATGGATAAAATAATTTTGAAAATTTTCATTCATTCATATTAACAAGCTGCTATTAAGCACTTTGTAAATTTAAACTGTACTAACGTGATGTTTTCTTTATCAGGGCATGAAATTAGTCTTGAGATATGTCAGCATACAAATTGAATGTAATTGGATTAGAAAAATTAGAAAAGGATTAGAAAAATTGAATTTTATCAATAGGTCATCAGTTGTAGTTCTATAAATATGAAAGTGTTAATATTTCAAATCACCCCTGGTTTTAAGATAGCTTGTATTGATTTTTTCTTCCTTTTTTCTCCCCCCAACCCCCGAGAAAAACCAGTTGCTTCAATTCAGATGCTCATTTTTTCTTACTTGGTCTATTACAATAAATTACCAATGGACTTACCTATTTCCAATATCATCTCACTTTATATTTTATTCATTGTAAACTAAGTTTCTAAAATGGAAATTTTAGAATTTCCCTTCTGCTTCTGAAAACACTTCAGTGGCTTTTCATTGGCCCAAACTTTTTGGGGGTAGTATTCAAAAGTTTCATGATTTGGCCCTCATTTGCCTTTCTGATGTCATCATATGTCACTCTCTCCCATATACTTTAATGCAAGTTTTGTGATCTCTGAGTACATGTCAAACTTCTACTTTAACTCCACTTGTCATTTGTGTTATGAAGACTGGAAGCCTTCCTTTTCCCCAGGCTTGGGTGAAGCCAAGTGCTTTACATACCTGGAATGTCTTTGTCACAGTAATTTTCAGTTAGTTTGTAATTGCTCATTTAATTAACTTAGTCCCCTCACTAGATGTGAGTACTTTGAAGGCAGTAATTTTTTTTAAACAATGGGTGCTTAACATTCAATAATAGCTTGTTGATTGTGGTGATTTTATATATTTTGGCAGTTTTTTAATGTTTTATTTTGAAACTGGAGATTGTCATAATTTTACATAGATAAAGTTGGGCATACTCTAATTTAAATATTGAATATGTTTTACAGCCTTCAGTTTGGAAACCTGCAGAATTATGATTGCCATGTTGGATGTATCCTTGAATAGAAATAGAAAATACTAGAATAAAGAGTAATTGCTTTCTGACTATCAAGCCAGTGGTTAGATTTCAGTGCCTGTAGTAAACTAGTGAATTTAAAAATACTTTGTAAGATCCTGTTTAAATTCTAGGCTTTCTAGTTTTTATGCAGAAGTCTGTTCATATAATGAGTTTGGCTAAGTCTACAGAAGCATACTCATGTTTTAGTCAATGATTTAGAGTCAGATAAACTCAGGTATCAGAATTTATTTTTGTTAATAAAACTATCAGAGAGATCACACAGGAAAAATGGGATTTAATGCATTCAAAGAGCTATGGGCAGCTCTTAATGCCTGGAAGGAAAACTTCATGACTGTTGATCAAGATGGAAGTGGCACAGTAGAACATCATGAGTTGCGTCAAGCCATTGGTCTTATGGGTAAGAACATTAACATTCTTTAGAATCTATAAAGCTAATCTTTGTTCTTTGATTAGATGAACTTAATTGCTTCAATTTACTAACTAATAAAGGGATGTATTTTTTTGCCAGCAAGTTCCTTTGTTTGTTTTCAAGGTTGTAGGTAAATTCTGACCAAAGACCTCAACAAAACCATTTTAATTATGATTTTTTTCAAAAGATGATCTTCCATACATGCATACATTCTGAATTTCTTCTGTTGTGTTTAAATTTATTTCTTTGTTAGTACTTACCAGTTAGATTGTATTCTTTTATAACTTGGCAGGATATCTAATTGGGAGCCAAAGCTTGCCTCAGTCAGTCAAAAGTCTGTACAAAATAGGTTTTCAGTGGTAGAAACCATGTTTTTGTCTTTTTTTTCTTAGATAGTGCAGAACACATAGCAGGTGCCAAAATACATCAGGATGGAAAGGTTGCATTTTAGAGTAATTTAGAAGTATATAACTTTATTCTTATACCTCTGATAAGCTGATGTTCCTAGTGTACTTTTAAAATGGATAACATACAATGGTGTTTAATTTGCTTAAACTTAATGCAGTTTTAAGTAGCTTTATGAATTGTTCTTATGCTTGTGATTTACACTCTTCTAAACAAAATCTATTTGTATGAAAATTAATTTTTTGGAAGTTAAAATCTGAACCCAATGGAAGTGGGCTTATCTCAAATTGCAATTTAAATAAGTCAAATTAGTGATTTGTTTGGTTTTGTTTTATAAATAGACATTTTAATTTAGTAGTAGGGACAGTCCAGCCCATATAAACATATGTAGTTCAATTATAGATCCTTAATACCTAATGGATTAAACCTGGACCTTAATTCAGCCTAATGTTGGGAAATTAATGTAATCTTTGGCAGAAAAGAAAACCTCCAGAGTTCCCGTTAGGCAGTGGAATGTAAAAAGGGTATTCTGGATTATCCAAATTTAAGATCTTCATGTATATTTTAAAATATTCAAATTATTTTTCTGAGAATACTATGGGAAAATCTAGGAATTTTATCAGTACCACATTTAGCTCATAACTCTCTAATATGAAGTTCAAAATATATTTGCATATAATTACATTAGTTTGCATGTTTTACTGCTTCTTTCAATTTATACCTTTCCCACATTACATTCTATTATAGCTGCATGTATAATTTTCTCCTGTTACATTTATTTTGGTTGTTTTCACCTTTGAATTGATTAGTGTCATTTGTTCAAGTCTACAAATCCAGTAATGTATGGGCAATAATACTGGGCTACCATTCTTCTTAGTAAAATGTATACATCTCATTAAATGCATAGGACCATCTATAAGGGTACAGCAAGTAGAATATATTAATTTATGTTTTTATTCAGTTGTATTCGTTTTAAATTTTAGATTTTATGTATTTTTTAAAATAGGAGTAATCAAACAATAATACATGTATAGAATTTAAAATTAATTTAAACATACTGGGAGTGAATGATCAAAAACTTCTTTCTCATTGATATAAGTAAAAATCAAAGATTTTGGACATCACAGGACTACTGAACAAAGAACCAAGGAAATCAGTGAAATAGCGAGAAAGCTGTTATTATTATTACAGTGTATGAAGAAACACTAAGAATTCCAGGACAAAAAAGAATGTTTTTCTGTTTTTTTCCCCTGTAGAGTAATCATGTTGATCCTCAAATTTCTCTTAGTTATAAAAGATACTTGCAAGTAATATGTTCAGTGGGAAATATCATTTGAATAACAAAGATCATTAGTAATCTTTGCATTTATATTCTTTAAGAACTATACAAAGTTACATACTTGAAATATTGAAGCATTAAAACCCATGAAATTAGACATTATTTCAAAATAACAATATATGATAAATTCATAAGAAGAGAATTATTTTCTTTTCCTTAGCTTTGACTTTATTACAAAGTTAGAATTGTGATATTTATATACCGATTAACAGGATTAACAGTGAAGCCTTTGTCTGATGAATTTCAATATTCATGTGTTTTGTTTCTAATTATATTTTTGTGGAATGAATTTTGAAAGTTATTTTATGACTTAATGAGAAAGCAATCTTGCAGTGTTCTTATGTTATTTACATTTAGAAGTTTTAATTTATCTCTTTTTTAGGTTATAGGTTGAGTCCTCAAACATTAACTACTATTGTTAAACGTTATAGCAAGAATGGCAGAATTTTCTTTGATGATTATGTTGCTTGCTGTGTGAAGCTTCGAGCATTGACAGGTATTGACTATTTAAAACTAAGTGCACAGTGTTATGTAGCTATTTTTCTTGAATAATGTGTCTCATTTCCTCCAGCAAGTTTATAATAATATGTGTTTTCTCCCTTTATTCACTGTTAAATCTAATTAGTTTAAAGGCTTCAAATATTAAGGAATATAAATGATAAAAACGTTATGTTATTTTTGGAAGTTTTTCTCATATCTCTGTTGCCAGGGCTATTCAATCACTTAATATTTAATTGAATATGAAATTATTCTTTTTGTGTACCTGGGTGCACTAAATATTTGAAACTATGTATTTTAAATTACAATAAAAAAGTAATTTCTTTGTTTAAAGATTTCTTTAGGAAAAGAGACCACTTGCAACAAGGGTCTGCGAATTTCATATATGACGATGTGAGTATCCTGCTTTTGATATTTATACTGCATTCTAGATAGTTCTCAGTTAGTAAAAAAATTTAAGTGATCCCAAGTACCAGTACTGGAAATAATATATTTGGTATGCCACATACTTTTCCATATTTTTCAGTGTAACACAAATATAAGATTAATATTGGTATAGGTGCCAAACAATTTGACTTCATGTTAAATTGTAAATATGCTTTTCAATTTTTATGACAGGTTTTTTGAATTAAAAAAAAAATGATCTTTCAAATCACTTTTAAGGGCCAAAACCACCATTATTTTTAAAAAGGGTAGTTTACTGTAGTGATATTTTTTCTCAGGGAGGGAAAAATTTTAATCCGTGACGGATTATGAAGCTGTTCATTTCTCATTTCAAATGGTTACTATTAACCTGATATTCAGGGTTTTTTAAAATTCAAGGTATAAGACAGTTATATTTACCTGTGCTTTAATGTTTCAGGGTTTTTGTTTTGTTTTTCTTATATTTACTGATGGAAGTTATGGGGTCAACATTACTGATATTTATTGGCTTGAATTATAAGCCTTGGAAACAAACTTTTCTCTCTTAAGAAAATGCTCTTATGGAATATAATTAGTCAAAAATAATTAAAAACCATTTTATTCTTAATAGATAATAATTTCACTTATGTATTAGTTTTTGCAGGGCACTATGGCAATTTGAATGCTTAGAATTTTAAACCTGAAGAGACACTGTGAATTCTTTTGTTTGGAAGAAGTGAACTGGACTACTTTAAAACTTTTAAGGGTTTTCTATGTTCTTCCTACCTGTTAAACCTCTTCCCTTTCTGTGTGTTTTTATTTTAGCAGATAGTTCAAAGCAATAAAAGATTTCTTTTTTAATTTGAGGTATTACTGCTTTTGGAAAAGTTATTTTATAAATATGTGCATATTGTCATAAAATATTGTATGATTAATTGATTTAAATAATGCTTAGCCTTAATTTTAGATAATGTAAATTTAGAGGAATGTACTTTACAAGATAGATTGTATAAGAAGCCAAATAATGAAAGCCTAGAAAAAACTAATTTATACTTATCTGAAGGTTACAAATTAGACTTTTAAATTTTCTTTGTAGTTGGTGGTGTTTGAGGGTTGGCTAGAAATGAAAGCCTGGATTTTGTGCCATGTTTGTAATATAGTTTGTTCCTTGATCAAATAATCAGAGAAAAGAAACTTAAAGATCTTTGTCTGTGAAGAAGAAAATTATCTCCCTAGTTCAATCTGTAGTGAAATAAGACTACAGAAGGCATTGTTTTTTCCTTTTTTATTTTTTGTATTATATATTTTTCTTAAATATGTTTTATTGTCTTCTCTAAGCAAAAAGTTCTTAATAAACATAGTATTTCTCTCTGCGTCCTATTTCATTAGTGAAGACATAGTTCACCTAAAATGGCATCCTGCTCTGAATCTAGACTTTTTAGAAATGGCATATGTTTTTGATGATATGTCAACATTCAAAATTGTCCTAATTAAATTGTTGTTTAAATGTAATGTCAACTCTTTATAAACTTAAAAATAAACAAGTAATTAACCACTCTAATTGTTCAGAAATTTTACATTTGACTTATTTGACAACATTAACATTAGTGGTGGCTTTGCCATTAAAAACCCAGTAAGTATTTTGAGTGCATCTATGTGATGTGGTGTTTTGAGCATAGTAGGCACCACAGCAACTTTTCTGCGTGGTACTAAAACTGCCGAAAATGCGACGTAGAATCACCAGATCTTTAGTGTTTAATATCCCTGGTATAAGATGTTATAATTAATGTAATTTCTTTCTTGGCAAACACCTCATGTCTGTCTTAGTGAAGATTTAATAAACCACTTATTTTTCTTATGCTTTAAATGTGTATTTTCTAACCTAACAGTGAGTGACATAATTTTATGACTGCTGACCAAATTAATTTATAGATTTTATAAAATCCCATGTTTCTTAATGGATGGAGGATAGATGGCAATATCTTGAACAAAATCTTTTATAAACTTACAGAATTTTAAATCAGCCTTCACTTAAAAAAATCCTGGAAAGGAAGTAACGCATAGTCACTTGACACTGATAATTTTATATAATTTGCTGTCAAATTCACTTGGTCAGTTTTATAAAAATGTGTGAATAGGTAATACACATAATTTTGTTCTCTGGCTTTTTTATGAACATATATTTGATAATGTGAGAGGACATTAACTGAGCTGGGAAATTAAAGAAACAGAATTCTAATTAGAAGTGTTGTAGGAAAAAGCAAATGTGAAAACACTAAGTGTCGTTCACATCGAATGGTGATAATGTCGCTCAGCAACCTGTAATCTTAACATCCAGGTTATACAGATGGTCGTTACTGAACTATTCTGCGGTCGATTATGATTATCTCTCTTACTTGGAGGCTCACAGTTGAGGTAAAACTTTTAAAATGACAAATGGTATTATTCATGTAAGCTTCTGCCAGGTGACACTCTATATTAGAACTCTTTAACACAATTTTCATTTAAAAATGTTCTTATGACTTTTGGTCATAGAAGGTCTATGAAGGAGCTTCCATGGCCAAACATATTTAGAAACTCTCACTTTCTAAAGCTTGACAAGGTATATTAGCATCTGAAACCCCAAGGTTAATAAAATCAGTCATGTTTAATTTTATTTGACCCAGTTTTTTCCAAACTTTTTGACCACAGAACCCCTTTCTCTAGCAAAACCTAACATTCTATGCCGATCCAACTTAATTGCCAGGCAACTCTTCTGCACTTTACATTAAACAGACAAACTTATGTTAACAAAAACATTAGGCCTAGAGAATATTTTACCAGAATTTTTATACTGAAATACAGTTCACTTTTTCGATGCTTTAAAAATAACTGATATTTTTATGATGAACATGACTGTAATATGAATATAGTATAGTAGTTTGCACTGGTTAACTTACACCCCAGTTCTTTTACGATGATGTAAATTATTGAATAATGTACACTCTTAATGTATAAGTGCTTTTATTTATACAGTAAACATGTTTCCATGTCATTTTGAGAATTTTTTTAATAAACATTCAAATAGCTTGCTGTAAAGTTTTGTATCATACAAAATCTGTTACATATATATATATTATGAGATGCTTCAGTTCAAATAACAGTGCAGTAATTCACCTATATCTAAAAGACTGCCAAATTATTAAATGTCAGGTATTGCACTTCTATTCTGAGTGGCAGTTTACACATTTTAAATTACATCAAGGGTAAATCAATAGTATGGAAATCTTAATTTGGTCCACTTTAAATGTAATTTCAAGGATTTCTCATTTGACCTATTTACACATGCATCCAGAAAAAAGTAACAAAAAATGTAGTCAAGTTATGTTTATTTCCAAAAAAGGCATTTACCCTAGAAGAAAGTAGAATCTGTTAATACAGTTTAAAGTCTGTGGAGTTAAAAAAAATAACAAAAAATCAATTTGTGATTATTTCTTTAAGTAAAATATAAGACATTAAGTTTGCCTGTAATCTTATGGCATTACTAAACTGGACAAACAAAATAAATACTCTTTGTCGGAAATGTGCTCTTTGTCTTTTTACGTTTGACAAACTCTTAAATGATATGTTTTCTTCTGCTTTTCTAGTTTTCTGGGTAATTAATAGAAATAAATTTGTTAATATCTGGTGAATTAAATCTGATGAGTAAATTCCAAGATTTCTTTCAGGCAGGCATATTCTGTCCCATAAGCTTTAAAATGCAACCATGGGTGTTTTATTACTTTGAAACTTGTGTTAGAAGATCCCAATTTTTGGGTTGCAATTCAATCATTTACATAGTGAATTAAGCACATCTGAATAAATACATAATGCTAAAATATCATCCAAGAATATGTCTAGAGTTTATACATAATACTAGATGATACAAATTAAAATATTTAGAACTGGTAAATATTTAGAAGTTATGAGTGCAGACAGGATTTTAAATGAATATTGCTCAGGTAATTTGAAGTCTAGAATGAGGTCATCATATAGTACATATATTAAACTTTTCCTGTAATTTAGAATTCTGAGCAGAAAACTACTTTCCAGCAAAACACTGGGAAACTTAGGAAAAATATTTCTGACTCACTATCAGCTCATTATTTGAATGCTGGGAAATCTGTGCTTTTAATCATTTCCTGCCATATCTCTTTCTACTTGTTTTTAAAAATATGTTTTTCTGGCATATAAAGAAAGAGTCTTATATACTTAGCATTCCTTTTTTCCAAGTAGGTTGGTAATATGCAGCTTTGTGTATTATTTTGCGAGTATTCAGGACTCAGGTGTGCTTCTGTGTATCTGAATAGTGAGTAGACATTGGCAACACTTCTACATCACTATGATGTGCCATACAGTAAGAAAATGAGGAAGCTGTTTCCCTATGTGCTAATTATGTTTTCAGATGTGCCCCTTCTGTAACATCAGAGATGGTGGCAATTTGCAAAGCTTACCGGGAGTGAGAATTGGCCTAGATCATCATTTAATAGCAATATTTGGGAACACTTAGGAGTGATTAGGTCCTAATTCTGACATATTGTGAGAGGTACCCCAATGTTTTCCCTTAACCATAAAAATGTAAGTATGTACAGATACGTACATACAGATATTTGCATTCTAGTTGACTGTATTATTGAATCAAATTTCATTTTGTTGTAATTATTGAATTTTCAAAGGATAACCTGAAGAGTGCTAGTATGAATATCCCAGAAACATACTTATTAAATATTCATTTTTTTGAAAATAATAAGCCATTTTCAAATGATTATAAGATTTTTCTGAACTTTTGGATGCATATTTAATTTCCCATAGCTATCTATTTGTGGTACCCTCAGATTTATATTATGGCAAGAGATAATTTACGGTAAGTTCTAAAATATGTAGTTTCTTCATATTTAGATTCTCATTTTCTGATCAGCCTTGGTTGTAGATACCAATACAATTTTTTCTGCTATTTGTGTTTGGTTTTTCTTTTGTCAAAGGGAAATGTTCTCTTGGTGTTCTAAACCCTTAAGATGAAGGTTGGGAAATCTAAGCCACTAAACAGACTCAATAGTCCTTAGCTTACATGCCACATTATGGCCAACACATTTTATTTACAAGTTTTCTTGAAGGTAGTTTGATATTTTTCCCCTTAAATAATAGAGAAGCAACAGGGGGAGGAATTAAGAAAGTATGAAACTCGGGCAAAAGAAAATATCTGGATATTTTCATTCTTGCTTAAAAAAATGAAGCAAACGTATGTTATAAAAAGTTATTTGCACATGAGTTAAAGCCTGTTTATCCACCAGAAATTTTAAGTAAACAATAAATGTTTTAGTCAATCACTGTTGTGGTCTTAACAGGCAATAATAGGTGAAATATTATGCTTCTTTAATTTTAGATTTAATGCTTTTTGCCACTCAGTCTATCTTACTAGTGTCCTGATGGAACTCAGTAAAACTGTAGCACTGTTACATGTGATTTCATGAAATAACATCAGCACCACCATGCCTATATCTAGTACTGTTCCTAGTAAAATGTTGGAAAAAGTTGGCTTCTCTAGTAAAAGTATCCTACTTAGCTAATGAGATTTACTTTCTTTTTCCCCAAAATAATTTCTTTTACAAATTCTTGAATTTTTCATGTATAAATAGATCAGAAATTATATGCTTCATTCTTAAATTATGTATATATACTATATTTTCAATACAACTTGTACATTTCTCTTAGCTACCAAAAATTTGCAACCATTTTTTACATGAAATGTACATTTTTCTTATTTACAGTTATCTGTAGAAGCTTATTGCAAAACTAGTTGTGCAAGTAGATTACACTGTCAATACCACATACCAATCTTTGAAGAAAATATTTACTAAAAAATAAATATTTCTGCACAGAATATTTCAAAAGCGTTATGATTTCATGCTACATTATGTGCATAAAAACTAGGAAATAGTATGTGTTTTGGTAGATTGTTTCATTTTGTTTAAAGCATTCCAAGGTACTTACTACTTAGCCAGATGTAAGTGAGCTGCTTTGTATCAGATGACTGACATTTTCAAGTGACTACACACATTCTTTTTTGAAATGTATTATTATTTAACTGGTAAACATTCTGGTGTAATACATTTTCCCATCAAAATTATAAAATGCAAATTTCAGCTAAAAAGCGTTAATGTGCCTTTAATTGAAATCACTAGGTGGCTAGGAGATAAAAACTAGAGATTCCTCAATATTTCTAATCTTATACAACATTTGGAAGAAAGATGCCATATCATTTCAGTGCTATTATAAATAAAGGGGCATTTGAGGAGACTACGTGAGGGAGTTAATTATAAGATTACTGATCCTTTAATTTTACCCCTAAATAAGAATGATGAAAATGTGGAATTTCTTATATATCCAAACAATATATGTCAGTATAAATAATACAGTTTAAATGCTAACAGTTGTGATTACTTTCAATATAAAAACATTAAAATACACAAGAGGAAATACAAAGGATAGAGGTTAAACATAGTGCTTTAAAACCACAGGTATACCAAATTATTTTACATCTTTCAAAACATAAATTAATGGAAGTCACAGATGTAGTGACTATCATTCAGGGGATTCATCTAATTTTTGACATTAGCTTTTCAAGAATAACTATGTTAATATTGCCACTTCTCATAATAAGTACTATTTTACTGGCAGTATTTCTTTAATCTTGCTATTCTCATTTAAAAGTTTGATCATGAATGGTACAGCAATGAAATTTGTCAATTGATATGGTTCCGTGTTCTTAACATTGCATTTCTATAGATGTTTTGATGTATTCGTAGTAATAACATGTTTTAAATAACTTGTTAGTCATCTCTCAATCTCCACTTAATAGTTTATATACATAAGCCTCACGGTAATTTCCTTTCATGCTTTTGCTTATTAATAATTCATGTCTTTCTGTTAATTTTCTGTATTTGACATTTAACCGAAGTGTGTTTGTACCACAAATGCATGTGAGGAATTATTCTACTGTTGGGCACTGATCAATCACAACACCTAATACTTTACATTTGAAACATGATCCTTTTAGTTTGTAAAGTGGTTTAACATCACATCGTAAGTAGAACCACAAGAAAAAACTTTGGGAACATTTGAGGCATGAGGGAGAGAGGGATGAGCTATTGCAAAGCTAGAAAACAATTGCAATGCAAATGTATAAGTTTATGAATGGTGGACAAAAGCAATATTTAACAAATATAAGGATGCTATCTATACTGGCTTTCGCCTGCTCTGAGCAACTAGATCTTTGGGAGGCATGTGAAAATGACTTCATAAGTTTTTGTTATACAGTATGAATGTGCATGTTGGGTAAAGGAAAGAGCAACAGAAAGTGTTTTAGAAGACCTTAAGTAGTGCTACTGCACTACCCCATATTCCACTATCTTTATGATGATGCACAAATCACACACAGATTTACTGTAAGAAATAACGTCCTTTATGGTTTACAAAGCATTTCTACTTATATTTTCAGAGGATCCTCAACACACCCCTTCAAGATATGTTAGATGCTAACACCATTTTTTATCATTTTGGATACTGGGGCTTACTCTGGGTTTGTCCCAAGAATAAATGGAGAAGGTAGAATTTGAATTCAGGTTTACCACATTGAGTCCCCTGCCATTTCCACCGTTCCGCACAAGAGCTTAGCCAGTTTAAGACTGTGTAACATATCTGTGCAATGAGAGAGTGGCCTAGGGGTCTGAAAACCATTGCAACTGTAAAATTATATTTTCTGTAAAAATGGAAAATTATATACTTTCAAAATTGTATTTTGTAAATGTATTTTCAGATATCCATCTAAGGACTATATCATAGATCTAAAGAAGGACTTCCACAGTGAGCCAGCCTTTATAGAATACATTCTAGTAGTACTGATCGACAGATTACTTTACATACTTGGCATGTATAACATCGATTCAGAGTAGATATGTTTATAACAAGGAGATTGACACTCTCACTATTATTGTAAATAGTATTACTTTAAAGCTATAAACCTAATAGTGCAAAATACAATTAAGAGAGATAAAACAATAGTTACATGTAGGTTTTTCTGAATCAAAAACTTTCATCTTGGCAACAGCTATGTTGTTGGAGACGTTGCACATTGTGCAAAATCTAAATCTTGGGAAATTGTTCTCCTGATTGTTTTAATGCCATGTTTCTGGACGAGAAACAAGGAACTCAGCATTTTTTGAGCACCTAGTATATGCCAGGCACTTTACTATATTTTATCTCATTTCTTTCTCAAGCTTCTGTGAGACAGATACCATTGCCTTATTTTTAGAGATTCAAGAAAAAGACTGGGGGAGGTTAACTTGCTCAAGGTCACACAGCTATTGATGAAAAAACTGGTATTGGAACCCAAGTTGGTCTGATGCAGAATCTATGCTTGCTCTTCTACATTAGTAATTCTCAAATTTTTAGTGTGTGTAAGGATCACGTGAGGGAGGGCTTGTTAAAAGATGATTGCTGGGTCCCACCCCTAAATTTTCTGATTTACTAGATCTGGGGTGAGGCCAAGAATATGCATTTCTGCCAAGTCTCCAGGTGATGCTAGTAGTGTTGGTTGGAGGACCACTCTTTGAGGACCACTGTCCTGTATCATCCTGTCTTCAAGTGCCTCTTCAAACTCACATGATAGAAACATATTTGTTTTACTGTAAAAATATAACTTGATTTTTTGATAACATAAAAATTTTGATTTTCATAGATAAGTAATTTACATATATTTATCTATTTTTGGTTTTAGCCATAGATAAGCAATTTAGACACTCTGTTATGCAATTCATTTCTAATAACATCTACAGAATATTTTTTTAAATCATGAAAGTCATTTAGAGGAATGATACTGTTGTTAAATAACAGTATCTAAAATAATATCTAAAATAATAATAATTTTAGATATGCCAATAAGGTGATACATTTTATCCTTAGACAATATATGATGGGGTTTTAAAATGACATTTCGATAAGAACTTTACTTTTCTGGTCATTTTGGAACCATTTCTAAAGTTCACCCTCCAAAAGGACCTTGTAAGCAATTCTTACACAAACATATTAAACCTGACCTCAAATGCCCTGACCTACTTCCCATACTTCCTGACTAGAAGAGTAGGATAGTTGTGCTCTGATGACCAATACATTATAATGGACTTAAGAAACTATTCTGTCCCAAATCTGCCCCCTGCCTTCCTATGTTTGTTGACTGAGTGATTATTAATTTAAAAACCCCATGAGAATTGTGCTTCATCATTTCTTATTCCTGGTTTTCTCAACTGATTAAATAATGTGACTCCCCTATGGAGGAGAATGATAAGTCTGTTTCAGCTCTTTGCCCAGCAATTAATAACAGCAGGAGATCATTGGATTCAAATAAACTTTAGATTTTAAATGACATTTTATTTAGGCCAGGGGACCAGGTAACATTATTTTTAGGAGGAGAGCAAAAGGTGTTATATTACTGCTTCTAATTACCTAGAAGGAAAGCATTTGCTACACTGCCATTATGATTGGCTGCAGCAGTTCAACCTGGCTCTCGGCATGATCCCTGGATGGAGAGGTCAGACTGTTTTTGCAATAGCCAACAGGGGGGATGATGGTACATTTAGGCATTAGATCTTTGGCTGGGGAAAGGGATGAATTTTGTACATCAAGATAATTGCTTTGGTCATCTGTAAGTCACTTTAGCCATTGAGTCTTCTGACATTTATGCCCAACTAATCACGTCTTTATATTGCTCAGTCTCTTTTTAAGCTAATATCCTGTAGGAAGGGACGTTCCTAATCCTGTCCAACTCTCTGAGGGTTAAGATTTTAATATAAGCAATGATGTCAAGGAATTAAGAAAAAGGTTTGTGTTGTGCTAGAATTTAAATAAACTGGATGCTTGCACACCATTCCCCATCTTCCTATTTCTTCATGCTCAGGTTTCACAAAGAAATATAAACAAGTTTTATGTGGGAGGCTGGATTTTATGCATGTCATACCAAATGTTGCAGCTGAGGCATTCACTAATCAATCAGATCTCCATTCCTCACCTGCCAAATCCTCTCTCCCTACAAATGAACATTCTCTGGTGAATTCATTCTGAATGTTCCTGAACTTAGGCCGGCAATCCTTATGAAATTTGTTGCAGCTGCAAAAATGTGTCCCAATATGGAAATAAAATCCCAAAATAGTCCTCTGAATCAGAGTTGGCCATTTATAGGACTTTCTCTTCCCTGCTAGGCACCATGGAATGTTGAGTGAGGAAGTGAAAGCATCAGTTAGCCCCTAAGTTTGTATCTGCATAACACCAAATAGTTTGGGAAGCTGGTTATAATTATTGCACTTTTGTATAATAGTATATGTTGGAATTGACTGGTCATTTTGAATAATGCACTTGAACATTTGTGTTTTGGTTTTTCAAAAATTAAGCAGGAATAAGAACATGCTTTTGCTTACAGATTGCCTTCCACATGGATTACCAATTTATGTGACCATTTAAAAATACATAGGGAGCAATCTAAGGTCACTTTAATCACATTTTAAACAGTGCAATAGTTTTAGTAACTTGAAATAGCTTGCATTTGAAGCTGATTAACAGATCAGTGTCAAAGTTTGAATATCCTGAAGGGATAGAAATTAACCCATTTAGTAATGTGCACTGATAAAATGTTCTTAATGGACTAACAAACTTTCAATAAATTTCAATATTTTTGTTCAGCAAGAAAAGATATAATGGATCAGAGTTCATAATTTTAAAATTGTACTTGAATTGAAAAATAACATTTCTTAACTAGAACTTGACTGATCAGAATCTTAAATTGTAATGTTTTTCTTTACCCCAATTTTATGAGATACATATGTCCCCCACAAAAAATCTAACAGTTGAAGATATTTTAATTGAAAGATATATTTCATTGTATGTTCTGATATTCTGAGGTCAATATATATTCATTCCAATCATGTATAATAGATTTTTATTTAATTTTCAATTGGCAAAAGTGTTGGAATAACTAAACACAACTGAAATTTTACTGCTGGTATGTGCATTTTCTTTCTAGGCCCATTGCTTTCCCGCAGCTGCAATTAGACATGGAATAACATATACTTAATGGAAACTAGTTTTGCCATGCAAATCCACTGAAATTGCACATTTTTTGAAAACTGTGTCGACTATTTTTTATTTATTTTTTGAGATAGGGTCTTACTGTATTGTCAGGCAGGAGTGCAGTGGTGTGATCAAGGCCTGCTGCACTCTTGACCTCCCAAGCTCAACCCATCCTCCCACCTCAGTCTCTCAAGTAGCTGGGTTTACAGGTGTGAATTACCACACCCTGCTAATTTTTAAACATTTTTTGTAGAGGTGGGGTTTTGCCATGTTGCCCAGGCTGTATGTCCGCTCAGGATTGCTTTAAAATGTGAATCACAAGAAAGCTGTGGATATCAGTTTGTGTTAATCACAGTTTAGCAGTACTTAAGGAGACCACACCATCCCCCGCCTCCAGAAAAAAAGCAAAATGAGAGAAATTTGTTTTTAAGCCTTCTAGGAAATGTGCCAGTGGAAAATACTTTAGATGGTTTGTAAATGCAATTGGTGACATAATTTTAAATAGAAAGACCTTTGTTCTCATTACTGTTGGCCTATGTTTAGTTTTTGGATATGGCTTCCTATACTGTCAGAGGTTTACAACTCAAACTTTGTATTTTTTCTTCCAGTGTGGAGGAATGAACGTAATTAACTTTGAACATCTTGATACAGAAAGACCTGAATCTGTGTGCAAAAGTGACTAAGTTCCCTTTATCCCCCTGGAATTCCCATGAGTTGAGGATCATCTGAATTTGAGTTGCATCCATGAACAGTTTTATCCCTTGGTTTCTTATTTGCGTGGAAGGCATTTTCATAACGAAGTACTGGTTTAGTAAAAGCAGTAAATAGGAGTCTCCATGCAAGAGAAATTGGAGTTTCCTAACATGCATGTGATTTAAAAAATAAAAATAAAAAATAAGGTGCCGTGAGATGCTGGCAGTTTTAACATTTGGAACCAAAAGTTCTTATGTATATTTACATCCTAACTGCTCAGTTTTACCTTACAAGCTTCAATTTAGGAAAATATACAGTACTTTTGCATATAATGGTACCTTGTGAGCCCCTGAGTCAAGTAGAGAGGATTTAAATAGAAAAAGGAAAACAGCCATTAAAAGCACTTACATTGTATGTGGAGTAAATAGTACAAAATGATTATTTCCCTGGAAGACCAGGATCAGAAACATGCCTATGAAGACCCACGATTCCTACAGTGCTTAGGGATGAATCTGGCAAAGAAGGATGCCTAATTGGATGAACGTAAGTTTTTCTTTGCCGCAGGTGAAGCTCTAAAGAGAGATCACTGTCTTGTTTTAAAAGTGAAGTCAAGTTGTCTTCTGAAGCTGTGTTCAGATGCACCCCACTTGAAAGGGATTCTTTGGATTTAAGTTTAGATTTTTCAAGGTCTAGAAATTCAGGACACTGATGGAAAAAGAACAAAACAAGTTTTTATAATTCACATTGATAGATAGTCATTGAAAATTACACTAATAAAAACTTAAGCATTTTCTTTCCTCATTAATCTATATTTGATTAGTGATATTAGCCAACATTTCCCTCCTAAAATGAGTCAGGACGTCGGAGATTGGTTATCAGTACAGATAATCCTAAACAACCATTCCAAGAACTTTTATTTAACCCTGGAACCAGATTTTAAAAATCAGATTTAAAAAAATATATATTATTTTACATTGAGTTTTCCAGATGAATTAAATTCGAAATTTAAGACAAATTGGGATGAGGAATGGGATCACTTGATGAATAAGAGGGTATAAGGAGGAAAGAAAAGATGGGAAGATGGGAAGTAAAATCCGTCATCCCTAGTCAGATAATATTACCTAAATCCACTGAAAACAAAGAACAAAATAGATGGTTTTACATGTTTCCCAGTCATTCAAAACTAGTTAAATTAATTTCTACTTTCAGATTTTTAGAAGTATTGCGTTATTTTCCTTCTGACACATTACCTTCTCTTATTAGTGTAATTTCATTTTCCAGAACGTCTTAAATTAAATTCCCGAACATCTAAAAAAGTTTTATGAGATTGTTCTACAAATCTTTATTTAAATCATTGTTCTTAGGTCCAATTTCACCATAATGTTTAACTAATTAAGACTAATTCCCAAAATAGAATTGCAAGGAAAGCTAGACTACTTACATTAACATAATTCAAAAGGACCCCTTTGAGGGCTTCAGAAGCAGGATAAAGGACTCTTTAAATTGCTTCTCTTACCATGTTTATCATCCAAGTAAAAAAATTTAGAGATCTCTGGTGATGGGTGGGGTACAGACAAGATTACTAGTCTGATGGCATTTGAACCTCAGGTCTAATCTGGCCAGCCTACTATTTCTCCTCCCCTTCCTTCCTGAGACCTCTCCCAGCCTTTGGCACTGTAGAAAATTACAGATTTTTCTTTGAAGCTCTTTTGGGACCCAGATTTTTCCTTAAAGCCCTTTTAAGAGCCAGGAAGACTATTCCTTAGATTTCAAAGCTCTACCACATGTAAATTTAAGCAGGTTGATTCTGGAAGAAAGGTTTTCCTTTTAAAAAAAATGCTAATGTTTAAAATTATTATTCTAGCTTCATTGTTCTCAAACTTTAAATGAACATAAAAATCAGCGTGGGCTTGTTTAAAATGCAGATTACAGGGCCCATTTCCAGAAATTCTATTTGAGTAGAAACAGAGATAGGGACAGAAATCTGCCTTTTCCACAGCACCCCAAGTGATTCTGATTAGGTGACCCCTGGAAACACACTGTGAGAGACACTCTTGGTTGGATGGTATCCACACTTACTTGTGAGGAAGGGCTGAAACTTCGGTCAGTTTTGATGGATGCTTCCGGTTGACTGGTTCTCATCAGCTGGATGATGGGTCTCTGATATTCTGATCCTGCTGTTACCATACTGTAGGCTGGGGGGACCACAGTGGTTTGTTTCTGCAGCAACTGTAAGATGGTCTGGATGTCAGTGGTCATTTGGGATTCAAGCCTACAGAACAGACAGAAGTAGGAAAAGACAGTCTAAAATAGTCCAGAATTTCAGGAGCATTTAAAAAAATTTCAGCACTACCAAGAAACAGAATTATGGCCTTGCTTTAAACAAGAAGGACAGGAGAGGGAGCACAGAGATTCTTTCCTGACGGATACTTACTGTGTATGTCTCACTAATTATTCTGATAAAGACTATTGCTTTCCTGTTCATATTAAGAGTTAACAGAAAATCAAATGAACAAAATAGACTACATGTTTACTAACCTTCATTGATTTCAAAATGTAAAACACACTGACAATTTATTTTTAATCAGTAATTGTCTTTGCTTTTTAATTAGGTTTTACTCAGTTTCTTGTGAACATTTTATTTGCTCTTAAAAAATAGATTGGTAGCACATTTCTTTCATAACTGTAGCATCCCAGGATAATTTCTTATGTGTTTTTACATTTATATTAACACTTTTTAACCTTACCTCTGTCCTATTCATATTAAGTATTGTATATTATTCATTGTATTCTTTCTTTAATGTTTAATGCTGTTAAATGTTAAATTCTTTTTCCCTCTTAATATGTCATGGCCTTTGGTATGTAAGAAGCAGACCAAACTTGACTTCACTTGCTTCTAATGACCCATCTGGCCTGCAAAATACCAGTTTATTTTTTCCCTAAAGCTCACAAGTAGCCAACTGGCCTGTTAATTTCATTCTCATTTTAAATTAAAATTTAAGGGAAAATAGCAAAATATAATTGGTCAGATTCCCCTCCTTTGCATGTGTTAACAACAGCATTAAATACAGAGGAAATTTTGTGGACATAAGAACAGAAAATTTGGACCATATGCCTCTTTAGAAAATTCTTCTAACTCTTCACTTATTTGCGCTGACTGTTTTGCCTCTGAATAAAAAATGGAAATAAAACAAAAAAAGGAAAATCATAGGATTAATTTTGCCCAATTAAATTCATGCTATATTTGTAGAATTCAAAGTAGAAATTAGCTTTTGATTTGATAGAGAACATAATAAACCTGGAAAACATGAGAAAATATCTTCTTTTTTTTTTAGTTTTTGATATTAACACTCCAAATCTTCCTTCTAAGAATCACAATAACACATTATTCTTGCAGTTTTTCTATAGTTAGTAAATATAGCCATATAGCTTTGTGTCTTCTAAACCAATAGCTATGAATGATACATGACTTTGCAAATGTCATTTTTGCAAATGTCAAAACCACTCTGAAAAGGGAAAAATTGAGTTATCAACTGGTTTATTTATCTACTCTTGATACCTGAAGGTCTGATCTAATTTTTATGCTTCCAACTAAACTAAGCAGACCCATTATTTCACTGTTATGTGTTATACATATTTTTCTTTCATTTCACTCTTCAAGTCCCAGCTTATATGTTATCTGTATCCCAAAATCTTTCCTTATTTACCCCATTCAGAATTACTTTCTCCTCTGAGCCTCCAAAGAAAATTATACATTCAGATTTATCATAAATATTTCTGTACAAATGTATTCCATTACTAACAGCATTCAGTTGTGAGTGGCTTACAACAATGTTTATTACATTGAATGTAAAAGGATTTGGGGGGAAAGACTGGAAGAAGAACTGCATCAACAAGGGAGATTCAAGATCCAAAAATGAGTCAAAAATTATCGTGATGTTTTTGTCATATAAATCCTTTGCCAAACAGCAGCTGTCTCTGAGAAATAAAATCTCTTTATCATGGATTCTACCTATTTGAATAGTGTCTATGAGGAAAAAATCTATTGGAAGGTGAGGCTTCAGCATCCATACATCCAGTAATTGCAGCACACTGCCATGAGTGGGACTTAATTTTGTTTTATTAACTAGTTGTTAGATATCTTGGGTAGTTCAACAAAGGGCAGCAGTTTGCTGATAGGTTTTTTTATATGCATAGGGTTGTATTTCAGTGTTTTATGACAAGGGTCTGTTAGCTTAATAAGAATGGACTCTTGGGCCAGTCACGATGGTTCATGCCTGTAATTCCAGCACTTTGAGATGCCAAGGTGGGTGGATCACTTGACCTCAGGAGTTTGAGACCAGCCTGGGAAGCATGGCAAAATCCTCAATAATTAGCCAGGTGTGGTGGTGTGCACCTGTGGTCCCGGCTACTCAGGAGGCTGAAGTGGGAGGAAGGCTTGAGCCTGGGAGATTGCACCACTGCACTCCAGCCTGGGTGACAGAGGACAGAGCCAGACCCTATCTAAAAAAAAAAAAAAAAGAAAAAAAAGAGGACTCTTATACTGAGACTAAATAGCCTGCTTTACTCAGGAGGAATTACAGAGAATTTAAAATAAATCCAGCTTGGTATTTAAAACAGAAAATAACATAGTTTTAGAACTTTTTCTTCTGTCAGCATAATTATAAAGCTGCGTGAAGTTAATATTTTCATTCATTCACTCAGAGACCCACAATGTAGCAGGCACAATGTTAGGTAGGAAGGTGAGGGAACAACATGATAATGAATAAATATGAAATCTGATTTCACAGTGCTAACAGGAACTAACCACTTAGGAAAGACAAATGAAGGAGGTGCATAAATAACCACAACACTAGGCAAAGCAAGTGCTCAATGCCATACTAGAGGCATGCAGATAAATTGCTCTGTGTGCAATGGAAGGAATCATTACTAACAATTTTTACATGTTCTAGGGCTTCCCTACTCAAAGTGTGGTTTGTTTTTTTTTTTTTTTTAGATGGAGTCTTGCTCTGTCGCCCAGGCTGGAGTGCAGTAGCATGATCTCGGCTCGCTGCAACCTCTTTCTCCCGGGTTCAAGCAATTCTCTGCCTCAGCCTCCTGAGTAGCTGGCATTACAGGCGCCCGCCACCACTCCCAGCTAATTTTTGTATTTCAGTAGAGATGGGGGTTCACCATCTTGGCCAGGCTGGTCTCGAACTCCTGACCTTGTGATCTACCTGCCTCGGCCTTTCAAAGTGCTGGGATTACAGGTGTGAGCCACCGCGCCTGGCCAAGGTGTGGTCTTTATATCAGCAACACTGGACATTACTGGGAGCTTTTTAGAATGTGGAATCTCTGTCAACTAGACCTATTAACTTGGAGTCTGCATTTTAATAAGACCCCCAAGTGATTCAAATACACATTGAAATGTGAGAAGCACTGGTCTAGAATCAAGTCTTAATGATTTACCTAAATAGATGTATCTGCAGGCATAATATATAAATACAGAATAACATTTCTTATGTAAACCTTTAACCCTATCTATAGGTTAATCAGTCATTAAAGCAGAAAAGAAGTGGTAGCAAGGACCATTCAAGATAGACCATTTTATTTGTTTTTATTGTGTTTTGTACTTAATATGTGTATTTGAATGAGACAAATGGTGTAGGAATTCACAGTTCTACATTTGAACAAATGCCGAAGCTAAACAGGGTAGACTCCACTATAGAACGTGTCCTGGGATTCTCGCTCTGCAAAGTAGAAGTCTGAGTTGAGCTTCCCCCTTCAAATTTTTTTGTATACATGTAACTTCTAGAATAAAGTGGAGGTGAAAGGTTGTTAAAAACCGCAGTGGAGTAAAAATGTAATATTTTGGATTTTAAATCCCAAACGAGCAAAAAAAAAAAAAGTGTGAAAATATCACAGATAATTAGAAACAAATGTCAAAGGAGATATAGTATTGGTGGTAGTGTCATCCTAAATAATAAATAGAGGCACTCTAAAAGGAAAAGATATTTATATGGGAATACGCAACACAATGGGAATATTCATGCCATAGTAAAGTATGCACTCATTCTGAGAGGTAAAGGTGGAGATTTTTAAAGGAAAGATGAGGAGGACTACATAATTGTTTTGAAATGATTATCCTTGGCTACAAAGATCAATAACAAGGGTGACGCTGGTTCGAGATTGGACAGGCAGTTGCTGGTCAGATGTCCTTGCAGAAGTATGTTTTGTGTTAGGTTACAGTGGCTTCTGTGCAAGGTTGTGGATCTTATAGAGTCTTTGTGATAGTTTTTGTTATCAGGCATACATCCCTCTCTTCCTGGCCCTCCCCAGCTCTATTTTTCAGGGTTTTTCTAACATTAACAACTCCATTTTGATTTTGACTACTTTCACAGCAGCAATTCAAAACATCTTCAGGAAACACATACCGATATTGGGAACACATCAAAAGAGATTTAATTGCATTTTGTGGAAAAGTTTTATATAGTAATAATAACATACTAATGTAATAAAATAACAACAACAATTTTTATTACTATTGGGTGATTGCACGCCAAATGGATCATAAATGTGCCCTTAGAACAAATGTTTTAAGCAATCATTGACTTATCCTAGCAGCAATGATTGGCACCCATGACAGAGCAACCAGGTGATGCTAAAAATCTCAATTTTAGTTCTGATGAAAGGTCCAAGTCAGGAATTATACGTAGAGTAGGAGAATATACTCAAATGAACACCAGTAATAGAAGTGAAGTTCCTTGTTAATCAATTTTTACCTATCTGCAAGTAGAACAACTTCCATTTTGTATAGCATATGTAGTTCCCATTTACATTACTTTAGTCCTTACAGTAGCATCATGGGTAGGTATGAGTCAAAGTAGGAAATGGAGGGAAATTTAAATGATTTGACCCAGTAATCCTGTAACTCATTAAGTAGCAGACTTAAGACCTTTTCCTATGCTCACCAATTGCAAGTACAGTGATAGCATTTTGCTGAATAAATAACTGCTGCTTCTGTCATTCAGTCATTCACTTGTGTGTTCAACAACAATAAACGGCATGGACAAAATGCACACAAAAATTTAAGCATAAATAGTGAATAAATCAGTAGTTTGTGATATAGGCAAAACTCATAGATGTGTTAAGTACAGATGAGTAAGCAAGCAGCTTGTTAAACATGGCAGAATTCATAAGATACATTAAATAGCATGCTAGTAACCTGCCAGGCATATCAACGATAGAAATATGTAACAAACAAGAGTGTTGCTTATACATAGAGATGGAAAGAACAAATTATTCTCAGGTCACCTCTAGGTAAACAACCGTCATCCCAAAATGTGGTCACCCATTGGTGATATCAGTATCATCGCATCTTGGCTCCATGTGTGCTGTACCTACGAAAGGCTAATGAAACACATGGCTGTTGAGCTGGCTAGTTGGAAAGTCACAGCTGAGGTCAGGTATACTATACCTTGTATCCTTGTTATGGAGCAAGTGTGTGCCACTGGCACAGGAGATTATTTTTGTCTGCAGACCTGCAAACCTCCACTCTGGTCTTGGTAACTTCGTTACATTATGGCAAATGCATGAACATTGTGTAAGTCAGAATTGGGGTAGTGCAATCCTTTTACCATGCTTGTGCGTGTTCGAAATGTGTTAATTGCCCCATATGGTTTCCCTCTTCTCTCACTTGTGTTTTAAATTGATTTAATAAATCTTGTGATTAGAGCATTTTAATTTAGTCAGTGCAGTTTTCTGTCTGGGACCACTGGAATATCTTGCCTGGTGGTGAACTAAAAGGCTACTATTGGATCAAGACAAATTCCCAAGTGAAACACAACTAAAGCATCTGTGTCATACCCACTCATAGATTCTTTTCAATCTTTTTGACCACTTTAATTTTAAAGAAACCACGCAGACTTAGGGGAAGGGATTACCTCCTCCCTAAACTAAGATTTATTCATCATGTTAAGTGGTTTAGATCAACGGTGAAGGAAACAAGAAACTCTGTGAGAATTTCAAGTCAATTACATTTTTTGATAAGCTGACTGAATAACTAAAAGTTTAAATCACTTTGTCAGTATTTTTTAAATGCCCTAACACATAGCTATGCTATCGGGAACATCCGAAAAAGTGTAAAAGGAGGATTAAAAGAGGAAGGGTGTCAGTTAACAAATTAATTAGGAATTATTTTGAGGGGAGAGAAGGGGGTTTTCTAAGATAGCCAGTGCTGGTGAAATACTAACTGGATGACAAAGAAAAAAATAGGATTTTTGCTGCCAGAAGTATGAAGTGTTCTAAATAAATGCTCCTTTCAACACAAATTATTCTGTCAACTTCTAGTCTTATTTTAAATAAGTAAATGTATAAGGAAATTATGAGATCATGGCAAGGAGAATTTTCCATTTGTAAGGAGTAAAACTGGACCCATGTAAGGGGTTGGGTTATGTTCTCCTTTTGCCCATCACTGCTTATACCTGTTAAGTTGCTCCTGGAGCAGATCTAATCTTTGTTCCACTTCCCCGTAGGTGAGGTCGCTTTCGGTTTCAGAGATACCCCAGGCAGCTCGCTGAAGTGCAGATGGACTGGAGTCTTCAGGCTGGGGATGTGCATTTTCTCGTTCCCAGCTTCGCATGTCAGTGATATCTGTGGAAAATAGCAAGATGGATGTCAACACTCTTAGGTGCCCCTTTGCGTCAATAATTCATAGATATCCACAAGACAAGCTGGAAAGGATCGGAGTATAACCTGAGAGACAGAGAACCAAAAGTATTCAGTGATGTGTCCAGGGGCCACGGCCAGTTGGTAGCAGAGTCCCACTTTCACCCTGCTGGCCCTACCTCCCATATCCGTTTCCATGTGAACAAAAACATGTAGCAGGTCCTGAGTGTTTAGGATTTTGTTTTCTTTCTGTTTGTGCTAGGAGAAGATAAGAACAGCAGAACCAAAACTGATTAGAGAACAATGAGTCTGTGCTTTTATATCTAGAAGGAAGCAGCATATGTTGTTTGCACCGCATTATCTAGGGTTTAAGATTTTTAGGGCTCTTTCCCACAGGATAACTTGCATACGTTATGACTTAGAGTGGGCCCAAGAAGAGAGCCTTAGAGAAGTGCTGATCTTCAGGGTGATTCTCTTTGGCCAACCCAATTCAAATAGAGCCAAGGAGCCATAAGCCATGAAAAATGGGAAGAATTTTACAAGTCCCCTAGTCCCCAGCTACTGTTTCATGTTTTAATGCTTTCTTGTAGCCCCTTCTGTGCTGCCCTTTACCATAATTATATTGCTTTCTAGTATGTTTTTCTTGTGGCTCTTTATTTTAAATATTGCTATGTTACTCTACTTTAAGATAAACTATTAGTTCAGGTCTACTATTTAAAATGTTCTCAGTGTCTATTATGGACCAGACACCTTGGTAAATACGGAGGAACTAAAGACAAAGGAGACCATAGACCCCGAACTTGAAGAATTCAGTCTAGCAGGGTTGTGATCCCTTTTCATATACAGATTCATTTTTCTGAACTTCTTTTAATTTCCTTTTTCTCCTACAATCTATATTTTAAGCTGTCAATATTTGGGGGAAAATATGTCCTTTCCCCCTCATTTTTGTCTATATTTTAGATGTTTTTGCTGCTCTCTTAACCTCTAAGAATAATTAACAGGTTGGAAAATGAAACTTATGAAAAAATACAACTGGAGCTGGGAGTTGACTTTGGAGATAAAGGAGAAACATTTTTCTTCACTGGGAGGGCTAGTAGGAAGGAAGGACTATCTAAAACTGGTGTTCATTTTCACAGAGAAAGAGATTTGAATTACAGAAAGTGATTTTGGTTTGATAGAAAGACTTAAAAAAAACTTGACAAGTATCTATGATTAAACACTGAGAAGAGTTATTATGTAAAGTTATGGAATTCTTGGCTATTTTAAAAAATTGGATAGAAAGTAACTGAATTGGGCAGGATTAGCTATGATTTTAGAAATAGGAAACAACACCATTGGACTCCTCAAAGTTCCTTCCTTTCCTGCAGTTTCTCCAAGGGTAGTTTAAATGCATCCTCTTTCTCCAAGTAGAAGACAGACATGTCTGTATTCTTTCTTCATGGTTTTCCTCTCACTCATTATCTTTTAACATTGAACATAAAGAAATTTCTCAAATGAGGTGTCTATAATTTCTGCCTCAGTAGGGTGAGGCTTGACAAAGGAATTAGCATATCCAAAGTCAGCATTAGAAAAATATAGGATCAGAGTTCCTTCTTCTGCAGAAATGGCTAACAGACCTCAGAGGGCTTGCTATGAATTCCAGAAAGACTCTTCCTGATTACGGCTTTTGTTCTTATTTAAAGAGGCAGTTTATAATTTCTTTTAATATTTTATGAAACATGGCAAAATATAAGTGAACCTAAAAAGATACTGCTGGAGTTTTAAGTCACTTATCTGCAGATTTTCACTGAGAAGTATGATTTGTTATTCACAGACGTTTGAACCTGTTTAAAATGCAAAACAATAATATCTTAGCAAACTGGGATTTAAAGATTGGGCCAGTAATGCTAAGCAAACTTCCGGAATACCTATATAAATGGTCTGGTGATGCTGATGCTTTTCTCTGTCTAGTCTGCTGCTAGCCAGTTAATGTAGAAATCTTTCTTTCGAGAAGGCAAGAACTGATAAGACTGAAGTTACATGTTATGCTCACACATTTTGTGCCAAGAAAGCTTACAGAATTTCTGCCTATGTTTAACAGCTCTCTTCTTTCCAAATTATATATAATAAATTGGTTTTTAAATGACAATGGTGAATCACATGCAATAAATTATGGAGGATTATATTTTTTCTTCAGGGCTCAAGAAAAAATAATTACCTTATCAGAAATGAACGAAGTGTATACTCTTAGAGGCTTCCTTGATTATAATTTACTTTTTAATTAAAATCTGAAGATACATAATTAGCTTGTTTAAACAGCAGTATAAAAAATGAGGAGTTCAAAGGGGAAATCCTGGTTAGTGGTCGTAATCAAATGAACATCCTTGTAGACACTTTCTAAATATAGCTTGGAAAGAATCTGCACTTGGTTGCCTTGGAAAATGTTGCTATAGTTGCAAGACACATTTCTGGAAATGTATGAACAGAAAGTAAACTTTCACTTTGCTCTGAGTAGACAATTTTCCTAGAGTCAACTTTTGACCTCAATCTTAGTAGGAACAGAGTCCATTTAATTTGTTCTCTTTTCATTTTAGTTTGGCCTAAATGTGCTCCTCTGTTGGATTCAGCATCACAAATGTTAGGAATATGAGTGAGTGACATGTCCTATTGATGGTGAAACTAAAATTTGTGGGGGTTTAGTAGTTTGAACTGCAGCAGCAACAAGTCACACATTGCATATTAATGCAATATATCATCTTAAAAATCATTAAGGAATGAAATTTGCAGTGAATGAAGTTTTAGAATTCCCCATTGGTTAAAGATATTAATTAGCCAGGCTAACCATGTGTTACACTGATTGAAGCTATATGATATCAATTCAATTGACATGCATATTTAGCTGTACATTTTCAAGATAATTATTATTTGAATAGAGATTGCCCTGTAAATTTTTAAAAATTAGAATATATAGATACTAAATTTGTTAGAATATAATTTTTTGTGTTTATGGAAAAGCTAATTAAAAATAATTGGAAGGCGTAGCAAAGAAAAGTATATGAAGAAGGGCATGAGAATTCATTGTCAGTGAGAGTCATTATAAAGTCAGAAAATCCCCAAATTATATATTTAATAATTCGCCACTTGAGACTCTAAAACTCAAGGGGAAAACAACAAGCATTCTTATTAGGTTCACATTATGTTGACCTTTGGAGATAGCAGAGATGGTTCAGCAAGCTCTTCAGAACTTGTGACTTCCATGATACAACCTGTTTCTATTTTTAGCACTTCCCAGAATCCATTTTCATAAATAACTAAAATGGGACATTTGGTAATCACATTTAATATTCCATTCTTCCATTGTGATAAATGAGGTACTATTTCCACTCACTTCATCAAGATTTTAGATTGTCCAGAGAACACTTGCATATATTCTTAGCTTACTTCAATGTGGGGTCATGAAAAAAGTGGGTGCTACAAGACAGGAAAAGCAACTCTGGAAAAATATAAAGCCTAAGTATCCTAGATTTAATAAAACCTTTGTAGCTGAATATGGTACTTGGGAATAATGATGATAAGTAATATTTACTTACTCTGTACTAATGTACTAATTTTGCTATCCTACCAGGCCTAGAACATCCTATTTTTCCTTTTCTGTTAATATTCTTTTGATGCTTTATTATGCCTTCCTAATCTTTACATTTTTATACATCCAGGGATATATTAAATTATTAAAACTTGAAAAATAAAACCTGTGAGAAAATACTAACAGTTGGGGATTTTATTTCAGAAAAAGTAATTTACATGTTATCTTAATAACCATAACCTCGTTGGTTAGATAATATTATTCCTCTTTTAAAGATGCATAAACTGAGTCTTGGTGGGTTTGGTCAAATCATTTACCCAAAGACATAAAGGGAGCAAGTGGCAGAGCTGCACTTGGAACCCAAGCAGTCGTTACTGGTACCACTTACTAGCTAGACCTATAGATCTAGCCTCTGGTATGCTAAAATAGTTGTTCTTCCATGTAATAGTTCTTTAAATTTTCCTGAATTTCTCATTTTTTAGCATGAAATCTGCATCTACTAATCAAGCATTATTACCCAACTCGTGCACATTTTCTACAACAAAATCTGTACATTTGGGTATTCCTTTTGGAAATAAAAATAAAAATAAAATAAAGACCATACTTTATTTCAGGGCATTTCTCCACTCTTTCTCATATTCTCTGTAAAATTAAATTTTGATTGGCATGTATTATAGTGTGATTGCATTGGCCCTTCATACTATAATATTATAGGGTTGGGGGTGAGAAATGGGTACATAAGATACATATAAAGAACCAATTGATTAACTGTCTTAAAATATTCATGGGTCCTCTCTCCCCATTGAAATTACTACAACAGACTTTCCCACAGTTTTCTACCCGACATTTTATTAAGTCTGGTTGGTCACGAAAACCTCTCACTCTATAAGTGTTTGGGAATAATTACCACTTGTTTTAGAATAGTGCAAACACTTCATGGATGATCTGAAATCTGAACGCTTCGCGAACATTTCATGAAGTTGAGAACAATTAGATTAACATGTGTCAGTACAGTTCTTAATTTGTAAAAAGTCACCATTTTGTGATTAGCACTGAAGAGAGACCACCTGATGTCTAACTCTGGATTACCTTTGCAAGAGTGACTTCTTTTATCTATGTGCATTCTTCCTGAGGTGGGCACTGTTTCTTCAAAATCGAGCCCAGATGCTTTCCCTATTCCTGGAGAAGAGTCTACTATTCCTGAGAAGAGCGGCTTTTGTTCATCATCAATGGAGGAGATGAAAGATGAGGATCTGCTTTTTTTCTCTTCAAAGTGTCTCTTGGAACTCTGATAATGTCTTATGGTATCTGCAGAGTCTTCAGGATCATTTGTACTGTTTTCTTTGCCAAAATATATCAAAGAAAAGTTATTTTATAGCAGACAATTAAATGTGAGACGGTATGCATATTACACTACCTAGCTATATATATAAACTAGCTTTTTCCTATTGAAAATGTAGCTACTTGGGTACTCAATTTTTTAAATTCAAGGGTTATTAGATTATCTTAGTAAAGTAAATTATTCATTTCAAAATTAAAAGAATATTTACAATGGTAATAATGTTTATGTCTCAGACGAAAACTATGATAACTTACAAACTTGTTTATATGTTCAAGTTATTTGTATTCTGAGAATCTGGTACACTCTTTCTTTAGGGAAATGAAAAAGACAAGGGAAAATGTGTCCCAATTTTAAAATATCACCACTATGCAACTTGCTATTTGTTTATTTTTAATCTACATGCCCTATTATCTGTTTTAGCTGCTCATGCATTGCAAAGGTCAAAATTGGAAGCCTCCTTGTAGTAAAAGGCTGGCAGGCTGAATTTCAACCTTAGTCTGATGCATGTAATGGCCTTGGCATTCCAGGCAGTTTGGTTGTGTAGCATAATGCAAAGAATATAAAGCTTAAATACAGTAATTAAGGTAGGTTTTACCTAATTACATTAAAGCTGGTAGTGCATATTGGCTGTTTTATACTGAAATGTCAGGATAATTTCAGTCCTGAAGGTTGTGTTAGAACATATTTCAGCAGGAAAAACTCAAAGAGACAAATCCCAGAACTTGTTTCTATTAGTGTCCTGGGGAGACAGTATAATTCTCCATCTGGTTTCTGCTAATAACTAACCAACAAAACGCCAGAAGGTATATCATTTTCTGGAGAAATGGTGAAGACAGTGTCTCCATCCACTCTACGCCTCAGTGTGCTTACTTGGTTATTTATAGAAGGCCAAATGAACCGATGGAAGGCCATGCCAGAGAAACTTCCAACTGTTTTTAAAAATTCCCATATGGCATAGAAATTCAACAAAGATTTTTTCCCTTTATTTTTTTAAATCATAATTTAAAATATGAGAAGCCAGAAAGCAGCCCAAGGTAAAAGCAGATAGAGTTTAAAAATCAGTGTTATGCGAAATTGTTATTGAGGAGTTCATGTTTTGTCAATTAAAGTTGAATCTAGCAAATGCAGATTGCTTATTTTCTTTAAGATTTCACACTTGCTCAGTGATTTCATCATTGCTGAGAAAGCCATGGACCTTTCCGATCTCCAACATTACAGACATCATTGATTACTTACTGTTACTTGTATATCCCTACTCAATCACTAATCTAATTGGTTGTAAATATTCGGATCAAATCTTCTTACAAAAAGCCTTTTCTCTTCAGTGTCATTGGCACAGACCTCCTTAAACCTCTAAAATTCCATCTTGCCATCTTCTTTCCAATTTTCTTTGTTTTTAACTTCTTCCCTTCTCTAAAGCCCTCTGAAAATTTGATCAACATTCTCTACTTTTTGAACATATCATTTTATTCCTCAAAACATAATAGTTATAAAGATTAGCCTAGTAAATGTGAAAAAAACGAAAGTTTCATTTTTCTAAATTATCCTCATACCTGCTTAGTGAATTGCACCAGTTTGCTCTTCCTAAGTAAACCTTCTTGTGATCTGTCACTTGGGAACCAGAGATATTTGAATCAGCTCAGGCCTCCTATTTTCTCGAAAATGATTTTCATTTCTACACTTTTGTGGAGTGTTTTCCAGCAGCATCAAATGCAAGCTGAATTAACCATTAATTCATGTGCCTCCAATCAAGGTCTGGATAATGCTAACATGGATATTTGCAATGAATTTACATCACAAATTAATAAACCATTTTGTATCTTTGGCTGGAGAGGTCTTGGGGAATCCTTACACATGGTAGAATGTTCTGTTTTACCTACCATGCTGGGCTTCAGTCTTAGTTTACTAACTTTGGCTTGATTTTGGATGCTTATGAACAAGATTCACCAGTTAACATGTATTGTTAAGTTGAATGATAACTTGCTGATTTCACCTTGGACATGTGTTTACAAAATGTGGTCAGTGAGGAATTACTATTATTTAGTTGTATAGTAAAATGGAGAAAATTACTTCATATACATAGGACAGAATTCTTTAGCAAAAATTTCAGGTAAAAGCAGAATCAGGTAAAAGAAGAAGAAAAAAATTTGATATCCTTGAATTTTCCCCATTGGTAAGGAGAAAAAAAAACCCACCTTTATTTCTGTATTAGTTGCTACTGGACTATCACCCAAGCCATATGAACAATTTCTTTGATACAAACCCACTGAAACAGCATTTTTCCATTCCATACTAGATAAATTAAAGCTTCATTTTCTGTCACATAAAATGAAAGTTGAAATGACAATCTATTTGTAGATTAAAAATGGAAACTGTTCAGGCTTTGGCTGGAAAATTGGCTGATGTAATATGTACATGAAATTGGGCAGCTGAAATGCATTATAATTAGCCTCCAGGTACTTCTAAATTTTGATGGACTGTACTATTTTTGCCTTTTTCCAGTTAAACTGAATTATTTGATAGACATTAAATAGTATCAGGTACTTTTTTTTTCTTAATTCTATTTATATTCTATGTAGAAATAATATTCTAAGGGCAGTTATCTGATTGCATAATCTTTCCTGTTACCATCATTTTATATAAAGAAAAAGTCTTGCCTGTTTAATTCAACCACAGATTTGCTTCTGATTCAGAAGATGAAAAACTTTTTTTCTCCCTTGTTTCTTTAGGTGGACAGTTCGTCTCCTCCCGCTTTTTTACAGAACACAATTCTAAAGCATTTGTGACTTGTCTTATGGGTGTCTCTCTGAGTTTAGAATGTATTCAAGAGCATAGAATAAGTGTCCTAATGGAACGACTGACCCATTTATCTTAAGAATGATAATATAATAATCTTTTCTTTCAAAAAACCTGGAATTAACATTTGTGCTCACTCCATCTTTTATGGAGTCTTTCTCTCAGTTTACCATTTCTATTTGTCGAACCCAACAGGGAAACATAAGCTTTGGTCAAAGAGAAGCATTTAAGGTGCTCTCTCAGCATTTGAGTTTTAGATTTCCCACTGCTGACAAGAAATAAGTTGAGCAATTCCCAGCCAGATGCCTTGAAAAAATTATTACATTGGAAAATTGGAGTCTAAAATAAATTTTTTCATTTAAGATCACATACTTTAGGCCTCCTATAGCTCTAAAGGGTATTGAAAGAGGCCTAGATGAATACTTTTTTATACAAATACAAAAATTAACAATTTAAAAAATTAAAATAAAGAAAAGATGGATATTGGTTTAAAGGTAAAAAGTTTCAGATATGCAGAATGAATAAATTCTGGAGCTCTATTCTACAGTATGGTAACAATAGTAAATGTATTATATACTTAGAAGTTGCTAAGAGATTAGACCTTAAATGTTCTCCCCACATAAACACACACACACACACACACAGAGTTAACTATGTGAGTGATGAGTGTGTTAAATTAGCTTGAATATTGTAATCATTTCATAATGTATACAAATATGAAAAAAATCACTTTGTATACCATAAATATGTACAACTTTTACATGTCAATTATACTTCAATAAAGCTTGAAAAGATCAAAAGATACTTTTATAGATCACTAAAATGGATAACAAAAAGCTAATCATTGTTTGCTATTGAAGAAGATATTTCAAAGACATACCAAAGTATAATACCAATATATTGAAATAATCTAATAAAACCAGAATAGAATTATCACTATTCTATAAAAATAAGTTTATCACTGAATACATTTACCCCTTCAATAATTTTCACAGGAGCTATTTTATTTTGAAGAAACACTTTTAAAACTGACTGGCTTTTGGATGGCAATGGAAAATCACTAAACCAGTATTACAAAGTGATAGTGTTTATTGCTATCCTTTGAAATGCAAAATGTAATGAGTTCAGTACACTTCCACTCTATTTTCTAGCACATTGGATTTTTCCTGTGGAGTATATATCGAAGAGCTCATTTTAATAAAATTATATGGCTAGGGAAATGAGTAAAGTTTTCTTCCCTACTCTTAGGATGTGTGTATCTCTTGAAAAGGGTTCTTGTTTGTCATCATGCATGCAGAACCATCTGCGTCCAATCTTTCACCTTGATTTCCATCTCTTCGGTTGTTACAGGCACATCTTTAACACTGTTTGAATGTTTCACTCTGGTGGCTTTTTTTGTTTTGTTTGTCTTTTTGTTTTGTTTTGTTTTTCGTGCTTGGCAGTTTGTTCTTTAAAATGGAGCATATTGTGATAATCTATTAGCAAAAGTAAGAGGGTCTTCGGAGCTCTGAGAATTGTTTCTCAGCTTTTGGAAATCAAGAGGGTAAGAATATTTCCAGGTTAGGAAGGAAAAGCTCAGCATTCTTTAACTACACAGGCCAATGTCCCTTTTGACATTGCTAAGGCTAAGAAAAATTATTTTCTTTCTGACGCAATCATTTTTTCAAGTCCTATATAATTGAGGCTACTTGCCGACTTTATTCTTGAACATTATTCTTTATGCTTTTGGAAAAGGAAGCAGGAAAAGGTATAGAGAAGGGATATTTGGAAGAGTGGGTTCAGATACTTCTGCAGAGTTCTGATGAGGAACGGGAGGCAGAGGAATCAATGCCAAATCTGTTGTTTTGGGAGAGGTGACCTCAGGTGACATCAATGCTTTAGTTAAAAAATATACCAATAGGATTTCTCTTAAAATGTATAATATCAGCAAGAACTAATTTTCACAATATTTGAGGCGTTTCCACGCAATAAAACCAATAGAGTAAAAAGTTTCCTCTTCCAGGTCCTCTTTTTTCTACTCATGACTTGGCACAAAATAGTAAAAATAATTTCCTCAGAATTCTGTAGAAACACTTTTTTCTGCTAAATTAACTAGAAAATATAATGAAAATTGAAGAGGGAAAGTATGCAGACACTAACTACAATTCAGAGGGAATTTCTATTTGTCTCCTTGTTAACCAATGAAGAATTTTCTCTAAAACTTTAAGACAAACTTTTGAAACTAAAGTAGAAATAAACATGAAAAAACTCAGGGCACTTAGCACACAGTGGGTACTCAATGACAATGGACTCCAAATGAATGGGTGATTGTTTGTGCCTGGTTACACTGCTGTCCTCATTGGATTATTCTCTGCCAAAAGGTCATCCCCTAATTAGCTATTAATAGCCACTTTGATACTGTATTTTCTGTCAACAGAAAGCGTTGAGCAGAACACTGCAAATATTTGGTCTTATAAGCCCTGTAAGTAAACATACATAAATGTATGTGTGTAGTGTATAATCGCATTATATATATATACACACACACACACACATATTTATATATTTTATAATATATAAATTATGTATATACATATGTATATGTATATATCCTGTGCCATTATACATGCTATTTTACAAATATACCCTGTATATTATACAGTGAACACAACATAAAATTTTAGAAGAATTATTACTTCTATGACCTAATGGATCTGGCTCACACTGGAGTAGGCACAGTTCAACTTTTAAGACCAAGTAAATAGAGACGATTTTTCAGCATTTTTCTCATTTACTTCTCTTCTGCCCAGCCATCTTAACAATGCTCATGGCCACTGAGCAGGTCATTGAAGCCTCATTTTTATTCTTCACTTTCTGTAATAATATTTTACTTCCATCTCAGGAGCTGTAGCAATTCTTCCTACAATAAACATTGTCATATTGGGGAGGTCCTGGGCACCTCCATGCCAGAATTTTAGGAAGAAAAGATAACTACTTGAAGATACCTTTAAAAATACAAGGTGCTCTCAAATTTCTACCTGCACTTACAAGTCTCTCCTGTAGGGAAGTGGGATTTTTCCTTAGAAAAAAAATGTATAGCTCATGAGAACAAGCCACCGTCATCAACAAATTCATTATATATTCAATATAAGTATATATTTTGTTTTTCAGCTTTCCAGAGGCTGTACATATTTCATTGAAAAATTATATCTTATTCAATGTGAGCTCTTTAGAACCTTGTGGGAGGCATAATTGGAAGCGGAGTGGCAGGCGGCAGGTGTGGATCAAAGCCGGCAAATTTGCATTGTTCCACTCAGTGGGTAGGGAGTGGCAATCCAGGACTCAACCTCTGTCTGCTGCTAGTGCCCAGAAACACAGTCTTCTCTCTGGTTCTTGATGCCACTGCTGATTTACAGGCAACAGCACTCTTGAATGCCTGCCTTCAAGGTTTCCTTTCATATGAGCAATGAACTAACACTACAAAAATGAATGCATTTCAAGGGAAGATTTCAGTTTCTGTATCCACAAATCGTTTAGCATGAATGATCCCCTGAAAGTTCTCTGTTCTTTATATTATGTGTATTTTTCTCCTATATATTGACGCTACATCAAGAAGTATATGATGAATGCTCACCTTAAGAGAATTAGATTTGGATGACAGGGACTAAATTGCTTTCAGCAAATTTTACAATTGCCCACAGCACCCTGGCTTCCTAAAGACTTTGGAATAGGCTCTTGGGCTCTGGTTAACTGGAGTTAATTGTGTTTTCACATTGACCAACTCATGGTTACTTACTGGCACAACCAGGAAACTTCAAAGAGCTGCAGGCAGAAAATCCCTTAGCATCTACACTTTATACGAATTTGATCTCATATACCAAGCCTGTGATTAAAGGCATAGTATTCAAAATCAACAGAAATGTCTAGTTACATGAGCACAGTACAAATTGTGACATTGCTCTCAGGGCCTTATCAGGCGATAAAAACATTAGATAATTTAGCTTAAGAATGAGGAAACTGAACAAGATTGAAAGGAGATTTAATAAATCTTCAACTATGTGGAAGACATTATTATATTGACAACATTGTTAACCTGTTGTTCATTTCCAGTAAGACAAACATAAGAGATGAACTTCAGGATAAGGGATTTAGATTAACTCTGTGGAAGAACAGCTTAATAGTAGTGGTTCTGATTTTAGAAAAAGTCACCAAGAAAATAATTAAAGACATTGCAGAACAAAATTATCAACTATCTATGAGTAGTCTATTGTTCTACAGTCAGCCAGAGGAATCAATAATTAGTCCAATTCAAGAAATATTTATCAACCATTCTTTGCTAAAGTTATCTACAGTTTGGCAAAGGCAAAGGAAAAAAATACACCAGTAGCCATCATATTTTGACAATATTATAAGAAGTAAGTGCTTTGAGAATTCATAAGAGAAAGAGAAGCTTTACATTTGAGGAGCTCAAGAAACAATTCACATTAAATATATCATTTGAGATTGACTTTGATAAAAAAAGTAATTTTAGTGGATGAAACTGGTGTGGTATGAATTCGTGTGTGTGTGTGTGTGCGCATGTGTGTGTATGTGTGTGTTTTTGAGGACAAGGAAGCAAATTAATTAAGGGAATATTATAAGGAAAACCACAGAAACAATGTACATGGAGGAGTGGGCAGTTTGTTTCAATTGAAATGTGGAGCAAGATAAAGCTAGTAGATGATCTCTTCTAGAAAGAGTATTCATTGAGGAGAAAAGAGAGTGAAAAAAAGAACTTGGCATAAGAAGGCAAGAAAAGGGAAAAGAATAAAAAGGAAGATGCTCAAATTCTATTTCAGTTACTCTTTCCACAGATACTTGTTGAGCATCTGCTGTGCAGCAAGCACTAAAACTACAGGGGGCCAAATATTTTCCACTTTCACGGAACTTATGATCTAGAGGCAGACAACATTGATTAAATAATGATGCAAATAAACCCAGAAGTACAACTGGAGTAAATGTTGCTGAAGAGATGAACTGATGGGGGAAGATGGAGTGATGGGAGTAGTTAAGGGAAGGATATTATGAAATAAGACTGAAGAGGTAAGTTAAGACCCACCCTAATAAGGATTTAGGGCACAGGATGTCCTTAGAGGGCTTTGAACATGTAGGTGACATAAACATAGCTGCATTTAGAAAAAAAAAATCAACAGAAGTCCAGTGTGGAATAGATGAGAGAGGGGCAAGTTGCATGTGGGAAGGCAAGTTGGAAGGCTGTTTCAATATTCCAGGTGGCAGATTATGGTAGCTTGGCCCAGAGCTGTGGCTAAGTAGATGGAGAGAAGTTAACCAAAAGGAGACCTAATTTGAAGACTAAATGGAGATTTATTGGAGGTAGCAATAATAGGAGTTGTTGCCAGAGTTGATGGAGAGGTTGTGAGAAGGTTGGCTCCAAGATATCTGGCTTGTACAATTGATGAATAGAGTCACCATCTGCAGAGGCATGGGAATTGAAGAGGAGACAGGTTTCCAGGGTGCACCATGAGTTCAATTTAGGAAATGTTGAGTTCGAGCTGCCTTTGAGATTTCAGGTAGATGATTTTATAGGCAGTTGGATATGTGGGACTGAAGCTCAGGTGGTCTGGGATTAACATGTAATCATGAACATCTCCTATGTGAGGATATACTTAAATGATGGGCATAAATGGGATCACCCAGAGAAAGAGTATGATATAGAACAAGAAGAAAAAGGAGCCTAGGACTATGCCTCAAAACTCTTAACAAATTGACACTGGTATAGAATATAATAATCTTGAAATTATCTTCAGGGAGTTCATGAAGGTAGGAGGAAAATAGGAAGATTGAAGTATTACAGACGCAAAGAAAAGAGTATTCAAGAAAAAGAGGGGACCTTGTTCATAGTGAAAGATGCAGCTATGGGGCCAAATAAGGTAAAGACTAGAATGTTTGTTGGATCAGCATGAGGCAAGAGTCAAAGCTTCTTCAGGAAAACTTTTTCCCATCTGCCAAGAACAATTAAATGTACACTCACTTGGGCTCCCACTGAGGAATACCTATTCCTGTTACAGAGCCTACTATTTGAGGGCGTGTCTATCTCCCTCTCTAGGGAAGATGAGGGATATTGAAGCACAGCTTATTTCTCAGAATATTGAGTAGCTGCTCGAAAATGTGAAATGTTAAATGAATATTTGTTGACTATATAAGCAAAGCATAAAGAATAGTCAGAGAGGCAGAAAAACCTGGAGAAAACAAGAAGTGACAAGTGCCACAGAATCTGAGGATGAGAAGGACTAACAAATGTGGCCTTCATCCATGTCATGCATGCTTGTGGGGCATGTAAGAGGATTGACCTCTTGGCTTGAAATGACAGCCCTCTTTCCAGAAAACTGTGCTCCGAACGAATTGACCTGAACGTCTTTTAAAAATCAATCCACTCTATTTCTTAATCTGCGATGTCCTTGTGAATATTAGATGGGTTTGTTGAATGATATCATTGAGAGCTATCAATCAGAAACTGGAAACCAGATCATTAGCTACTGAATAAAGCAAAGGATCTGCCCTCCTAAAGCCTGAGTAAAATATACTCTTGAAGTCAGAAGTAAAATGAACATTTAAGTAAGAAGGCTAATTACCACATGCTCTACATTTAAACTTTAGGAATGGAATGAATTACCTTTCTCTCCTTCACTTTCAAATGACAATTTCCTTCTTCTTAGTTTACAGTTGTCTCCTTCTGAATCATTCATGGATTGTGATCGTAGGAGATCAGCCTTTGTTAATGGAACATGAAGATAAAATGAAAGATTACTGAATTAGAACACAATGTACTATTCAGTAAACTGTTTACTATTTCATATTGTTTCAACCATCTTGAGACTTAATTATTAGATTGCAGGCAAACAGCTAAAATACCTTGCTTAATACTTGTCTCTTTATTGTAACATACACAGATAGAATAATTTTTAGTACTTTCACCATTTGCTGGGGAAATCATAGTGTAGGAGTTATTTATGTGAAATGTTTAGGGATGATGTCAACATTTAAAGATAAAATATTTCTTTATGTGGAATGTGTTTTATGCAACTTGATAAAGTTAAAATAAGAATAATACAGTTGACCCTTGAACAATACAGGCTTTAACTGTGCAGGTTCACTTATACATGAATTTTCTTTTTCCTCTGTTACTCCTCAGACAGCAAGACCAACCATTCCTCTTCCTCCTCCTCCATAGCCTATTAAATATGAAGATGATGAGATGATGATCTTTATGATAATCTACTCCCACTTAATTAATGGTAAATATATATCCTCATCCTTATGATTTTTTAATAATATTTTCTTTTCTATAGCTTACTTTATTGTAAGAATACATTTTATAAAAATATACAAAATATGTGTTCATTGACTGATTACATTATTGGTAAGGCTTCTAATAAATAGTAGGCTATCAGTAATTTAGTTTTTGTGGAGTCAAAAGTTATTTGCAGATTTTCAACTATACAAGGATTGGTGTTCTGAATTCCCATGTTGTTCAAAAGTCAATTGTAGTAATTTAAAGAACTTTGCATAACTAATAGTACTGCAAAGAAAAATGTGTAAAATAGTTAAAATTAGCTATGGTGTTTAAATGACATGGTAATTATCGTAAGGTTAAATTTCACAACAATAAATATAAGGTTAAATTCCATAAACATTACACTTTGAACCCTTTATTATTTTGCTCCCAGATCCTCCTTCTTCCCTCTCTGGTTCACTCTGTCTAATATTGTCTACCTTGTAAATAAAAATGGAAGCTCTTGTTTATTTGAGTACTGACTAAACTTTTATATAAAGAAGTTATGAGAGGTAGATATTTGTTACTTTTCAAGGCAAAGTCAGAATGAGGGTGGTGACATAAAACTAAGATTGGGACAAATTACTGAATTAAAACCATTACAAAAACATATGTTCTTAATAACTAGAATCTTTTTCCACTTCAATTAAAAAAAACTTTTCAGAGTTTTAAAAAGAAATAATTATCTGAACTGGTGTATCAGGGTATTAAATGGCATCTAGGGGCCCTTAAAATTCCTCTTTCTCTTTTAAGCCTCTCATGGTACTTGGGAATGTCTATAACTACAGCAAGTGTTAAATCTACCCCCTCTTACCTAACTATTGACTTTAGGGTTTTTTTCCCCAGAGAATATATTACTTAGCATTTAAATACACTGGCAAGTATCAATCACTCAATATTTGATTTCTGATTTAAAAAAGCATTTAGAATTAGAGTGGAGTTGTGAAATTTTGGGGGAAAAGGGATGGAAGAGGAATAACCTAGTAATAAATTTTTGGTTACAACGTAAGTTTTATAGCCATAGAACAGTAATAGCTCATAAGGGCACATTTTCACAGTAGAAAAGAGTAAGGAACATAAGAGCTACACTCGAAGTTCATTCTGGGTTAACTTACATATATAATTATTTAAACTATTATTTCTGTTAGACTACATATTCATTCTGCACCATTAAAACTGACAATACTGTAAAACCTGACTAATTTGTACTTCTGTGATTTGGAAATTGTATTAAATAGGAAACTAAACTTGAATGAGGTTAATTTTTTCATTATTATTGTGAAGACACTGATAACCAATGTACAGTGTAAATAATAGCTGAGAGAATATTCTAACCTCTGTATAAGATAAACTCAAGTAATTTTCAACAGCCTAAAATCACCCATTTCTAGCAAATAATTGGCACACTATAAACAAAGGCTATTTTAACTCAAGTGTGGCACCTAAGGGCTTCTACAAGGTCAAACCTAATTGAACTACTTGAAATTATTCAACGTATTGGAAAGCAATTAGGCTAAATTTCTTTCCTATAATTCAGAAATTTTAATATTCAGTTGGCCTTTCCTTCCAAATATTCAGAATTGGTAAAGTCTTGCTGCAATATTTTGCTTGATTTTTCAGAAGTATTTGTGCAATTCAAGAATAAAATAAAATGTCAGAAATACAGACATAAGCAAACAGTTAACATATACCTTTGCGCTCTCATGCCTTAGGTTGAAAGTCAACTCTAGGTTTGTTAGAAAGTGATCAGAAAACTCAGGATACATATCCAAAACCTCTAACAAGTCTTCTCGCTGAATCTTATGCAAGTCACAGTATGTGAGGGCTCTTACATCTGCATTAGACTTTCCAGGTTTGGCATAAAGATGAACCATTTCTCCAAATATATCATTTTTTCCTAAGAAAATATAAAGAAAAAGAGGCGGGGAAAGGGAATCCAAACTCAATGTTCTCCTTCTAAAAGTAGAAGGGGGTCATTAAACAATTGATCAATCCCTGAACCAGACTTGGTGAGCAATGTTCCAGCACCTTAACTAAATGCCCATACCATGTTTGGTGAGTGGAAATTTGTCTCTAAGGGTGATTGGTCCTTTTATTTCCTTGCTTTGGTTACTTGACTAAGCATCTAGAATGTAGCGAACATTATCTTCAGTCCTGTATACCCCACTTTGCTAGCAAAGGGTCGTACCATAGAGTATTTTAAATATACTTTCAGGTAGGTGTACTCTGATTTTTTCAATTCAGGAATATGAGAAAGGCTGCAGTGAGTCAGATTCATGATCTTTCTGTCTCGGGATGGTCTCTGCAGGTGGTGCTCAGCAAGGGGTTGTGGTGGAGCTGTTTTAACACTTAGTGGATTGGAGGAACAATTGGAACACACCTTGTTTCCTAATAACCACTTTTGAATCTGCCCTTAAAAAATATGCCCAATTGCTTAATAAATCTAGTTATAATTCTCAACATATGTAGTCCTGCTTTTTGTTATATGGCCTTTGTTAGGGAAATTTGTCCTTCTTGCTCTTCTGTAAAATCTAGGGTTATTTCAGTGTCTCGCTTCTAACAGGACTTCCCCATCACCTCTGTGTAGCCACATACTACCTGCTTTTCAAGGTCTTATTCCATGACAAAGATAAGAACTACAGCAACAATAACAAATATTTATTGAGGACTAGTAGGTGCCAGGCACTGTGTCAAATGCTTAGGTGCATTGCCTCAATTTGTTCCTAAAATAACTTCATGAAGGAATTACTAATAATTATCCACATTTTATGAATACAGAAAGAGCATTAAAGAGATAAACTGATTAGCCTAACATCACCTTCTTAGTTGAATGAAGTGGAGGGAGGGAGAGAACAGCCAGAACTAAATCCCATGCATCCTGATTCCAGATGCATCCAGAGTCAAAGTTCTTGCACACCTGATACTGTGTATCTAAGTATCTAATCTCTTTCCAGTGATTTCCCTGAATGTCATGGCCACTTAGATTTTTCTGTTTCTGACTATCAAAGTACTTAAAAACTGTACTTGTGGTATATATACTTAATACATACTGATATATTACTTGATTATGTAACTTCTAAAGATAATCAATGGCAATGTAAAATAGTACTCTCCTGTGTCTATCCTGAAGCTTCTTTTCATTTTTAGAAAAAACTCCTTGGGTATATTATTTTAGATTTTGGTAGACAAGTTCTTGTACACCTCACTGTAGAAGCTATCAAAGACTTTTAAGTAATAAGGTTCTAATTAGTCAAAAATGCTATAATATTCTTGTTTTACAAAGGAATTCAATAGTGAGAAATCAAACACTGTATCTTAACTACGTAAGAAAAATCGACATTAGAAAGGATACATTAACCACAGTTTAAATAAATATGTATCAGCCTTCCAAAAATAGGATAAATGATCATAATTTGTAAGGATTTTAGGGGCTGACTTATATGGAAGTAGGGACAGAAAAGGGTAATTTCCTGACATTCTTTATAGTTTTGGTAGCTCAGTATAGATATTATTGTTTTTAAAAAAGACCTGAATTAAATTAAGCATGGGCTTTGTATTTCAATTACCAACATGACTGTAAATGAGCCAGGAGCAAGCCAGTCCATGGATATGTCTTAGCAACACTCTAAAATTACTACTTGATAAAGCAAGAAAGCTTATTACCTTCTTGTAGAAGCTAGGACTGGCTGACTTGAAGATCAGAAATGCAATGAAGCATCCTCCTTCCCTGGCAACATAGCAGGGCAAACTGTCTATGCCAAATTTAGTGAAAACCTAACTTGATTGTGTGGCCTTAAAATGATTTAGAATATGTGTTTATTCTTTGTCAGCTTATTGGTTAGAAAACCAAATTTGGGAAATGTAAAAAAAAACTAATATAATAAAATTATCAAAATATATAAGAAAATCATGTGAGCATCTTTATTCATGTATTTGAGTCTGTGCCATGCCATACTCTGGTTCTACACAGCAGCAGGGAAAACAGACAACATCCCTGTCCTGTTGGAGAGAACCATCATATGTGAACATCAAAAGCTAAGTGAGAGAAAATCATTGAATTACATGCCCATTATTTAAGTGGAGCTGGATAATCCACAGGAGAAAAATGCAAATTTTTACAGAAACTAAGGATAGGCGTTATCATAGGGAGAGTGAGGCTTAAACCTACCGGCTATGTGGTAGGAGAAAAGAAGAATTGACTGCATTTTTCTCTGTTTCCTTGCTCTTCCCCAGTGTCCTAATATTCTAAAGAAGTACTACAAGTTCACATGGCCTAAATTTATTTTTATTTTTATTATTTATTATTTTTATTTTTTTAAGTTTTTAAAATTTTTTTATTATACTTTAAGTTCTAGGGTACATGTGCACAACGTGCAGGTTTGTTACATATGTATACGTGTGCCATGTTGGTGTGCTGCACCCATTAACTCATCATTTACATTAGGTATATCTCCTAATGCTATCCCTCCCCTCTCTCCACACCTCACGACAGGCCCCAGTGTGTGTACATGGCCTAAATTTATTTTTAAAGAGGCAGATTAAACATGTGTTTTCTTTTGCACCCAAACCAGTTGAAGTTATGACTAATTTAATCTCTTCATCACTTCTATCACTGGTTGTTAAGTTTATAGGTCTATATTAATTACCTAGTTAAGGACTGTATGATTCCATTTAATCCGACGCGGCAGGTAAAAATGCACAATGAATAAATGAAATTCATCAAAACATAAACCCAGTTCATGACAGGGCTTTGGCACATGCTAGCAAGTATTTCCTACAACACATATATTTTATTTTAAGGTGTTGAGGGATCAAGCATGAAGCTAAGATCTTCTAACATAAAAAAAGAATATGCTTACTATTTTCCTATATTTGGCCTCAAATGTCTAGGTAGCTGCCAAGAACTGAAGAGAATCATCGAAGCATTTACACTTCGGAGAAAAAGTGAGACAGTTAAGAAAACATATTTTCTGAAAGGTTAATTTGGTTTGAACTGAATTTTAAATGCAGCTTTCAAATTACCCACCATCTTAAACTGTTCTTATGAATACATACATCAGTCTTTTTTTCCTAATCATTTTAAACTATGCATTACAAGCTAATAACTGAATCTGTCACCATGCACTTCTAAAACACTCACCCAGAATAGCCACCACAATGTCATCTTTGAGAATTTCAATGGAGCCTCTGGATAAGAAATAAAGTGCAGTGAGGACATCCCCACAGTGAACGAGGGTGTCTCCTGGAGGTGCATGGGTGGTTTTGAACTTCATTGCCAAAGCTCTAAGGCAACCTTTACTTGCCCCCCGAAAGGCTTTGCAGTTTTGCAGCAATGTCTGGTTGAGATGTAGACAAATGTCTGCTTGTAAGCATTCTGGGAAACCCTTTAGGACCTGAGGAAAAAAAGAAAGAGTTTCATACTACCAGTGTTCTGGGTATCTCTGCCTGAAATACAGTCAATTTCTTGCTCACAGAACTGCAGGTGTAGTCATTGCCACGCAGGAGTTCCTACTACTCTTCTACCTCGCCTACCTTAATGAATACTTGATTTGCTAAACATGTCAAAATTTTTAACTCAAATACTTGTTCTCTGAATTAACTGCAGGCATTCAGACTCAATACAAATGCTGTCTCATTAAAATATAATGCCTACAACTTTTCACACTGCTTCTCTTTCCCTGCATTATGTTATGTGGCATACTGTGCACAGATATAATGCAATGTGACAATTAATAAGACGTAACTAATGAAAGGTGGTACAACTAGAAAGACAATCAACCTTTTGAAAGAATCTCAAGTCAATTTAGGTTGCCATTTCTGGTATACATCTAAGTTATAATTAGTAAAAATGTTGACCCTGAAATAGTCATGGTATTGGTAAATGTCATGTAACAGAGTGTGCTATTAGTTTACAGTATTTGGAATATTTATGTTTCATATGCACATTATTAATACTAAATATTTTGATAAGCACTGAAAATAGAGAAAGGCGAGGAGAACAGCAAAGACACTTTAAAAGTGTAGTCCGATATTCAGAAATGGAAATTGCACCAGAATTTGCAGTGCATACATAAGCTTCTAAAGTGCTACTGTTTTGACAACCTATTCAGGGCTAATTTAAAACTTGTTGAACAGATTAAACAATAGCTTGTGACAACTGCTACTCAATCTGAACTGAATAAAATTATTTGCTATTTTCATACAATTCTCAATATACAATGATTCAAAGGCATTCAACTCTTGCTTCTCTGTGTCTTGCTATTTTGGGTGGCGTATGTAGATTTTAATTTTTATGTTGACATTCTCCTACCAGTACAAGCAGACTCATTTAAATACACTTTGAGGTGGAGGAATGGGGCATTATATAGTGCAATTTACAGTGCAATGATGCAATTTGGGCATTTCCTATCTTTTTGGATCAACCTTGTTATGCCATCCAATATAGCTAAAAGTAACCATGAATTGTTTGTAAGGCAATTTCAATGTATTTGGCTCACAGAGGAACTTCAAATTAAATCATATGAGAAAAAAACATACAATTATTACTATTTTTAAATATTCAAGTAAGCACAAGGATCCTACTGTGTATAGGATCACTGTGTAATGCAAGTGGTCAGACTGATATATTATAAAGAGGACCAATAGGATACCTGAAGCATAATAGTCATGATTTTCTGCTCTTGTTTTCTTCACTGTATGGAATCACTCACAGAAATGAATAGGGAGCATTTTAGATAAAAATTGATAGAACTGAATTCTGGTCATGGATTTGCCACAGGTTGACTCTTGTACAAGTCACTTCACCAATCTGTGTTTCTCTACCGTAGAATGAGAATCTTTGCAATATTGAATTTAGCCATAATTTCAATAAACTACTCATAAATAGTGTGCCAATTGTTAGACACAGCTCATCCAGCTCGGTGCTGCTACAGGAACTCAGGTTTTCATCCTGAAGAGTCTGTATTTCCTTGCTCAGGTCCAAACAAAATATGCCTCCCTTTGATAAGAGTTTCTGGGCACTCATCTGTAATCTCTCCCCTTAACTGTAACTGTTGGGCTTGGTCTACATGACTGGACTCCTTCCAGGTTCCCTGCTTGATGGAAGACCTCTCCTACATGATAACTTGCCTAGTCTGTGCCTGTTTCTGCCTCCAGGTCCTGGAGGCCCTTTCTACTCTTTGTTGGAATCTTATATCAACTCAGCTTTTCACATGGAAGCAATTATCTGGGTCATTGATCCCTTCTACCATTTAAACCACTTCATTGGACTCTTTGGCAAGTGATGCCAAACTGGAGTTGAACTAAATTTGGACACAGCATTCTAAAATGCTGGCCACTTTGCTTGGGGGCCAGCATTTTAGAGTGTTGTGGCCAAATTTAGTTCAACTCCAGTTTGGAGGTTGTATAGAATAAAAATACCCTAGTTTACACAGGCCTCTGCATATGAATTACCTCTCCTCCCTGAAGCCCACTGCTGTGGTCTCTGAATAATTCTAAGTAGCCCCATGCAGATAAAGATGTATAAAGCATTACACCAAGTAACAAAACAAATGAATTCATCTGTCTTTTAAGATTCACCTGTAATAAGGTACATAAAGGCATTTTAGATTTCACATGAAGAAGATATTGCTATGATTATAGTAGTTAGCATAAGAATACTGAGCTACTGAGCCTGTAGCTGCATTTCTGGCATTTTCCCTTAAGTATCCTTAAGTAAAACTTGGTATAGAAAAAAATTGCGTGTGTGTGTGTGTGCATGTCTGTGTGTGTGCATGCACATACACATACATGTGTATTCACACATGCTTTGAGTTGGAAGAGAGAAAAGAGATAGAGATGAGATTCTCCATTTCCCTGAATGTGTTATATGAGCTATGGAATCAGACAGGCTTGATCCAGAGTTCTAGCTCCATCATTTACTAGTTTGACTTTGGTCAAATTACTTAACTTCTCTGAAAATCAGTTTCTTTTTTTGGGAAAGCTAAATTAATAACATGTATTTCACAGAGTTGTGGCCACAATTTAAATAAGAATGTGCGTAAACCCTTTGATTCACAAAAGATTTTTAATAGACAATATACTTTGGACTTCCTCTGTCTTTTGGTCCAAATTTATTGTTTCTGAAAAATTAGTATAATCTTTTTAGTTAGGAATAGAAAGCCAAAAATCTATTATGTTTTGTCTTTGGTCTGCCTGATAGGGTATTCTCCACTAAGTTTTGTGTTCTATTGCCTCAGCAGAGTTTAAATGTTTTGTGCATCATTGCATCACCGCTTTAAGAATTCTTTTTCCTTGCATCTCGCTATAATTCTTGTTTCCTGTTTCTGGCTTGTTATATGTCCTGCAGTATTTGCACTTAGGTTGTCACTGTGAGTAGCCCTAAATCCCTTTTGAAATTAGGCAGTTACTAAAATCAATGTACAGATATGTTATCGGAATTCCAACAGTTTTAGAATCACCCACAGAACTTTAAGGATGCTTCAGAAAGTTTTTTCTTATTAACTGTCCTCTGCCCCCAACATTCATTCTATTGGAAGTGACACCCATTGGAAAGGATAACATCAAGTTGGAGCTGCTGTTGTTGCATGGAGAAGATACAATGTTGGCATGAACTTGCCTAGGTTAAGGACTTCTCATATGATGTTAGCCCTTAACAGATTTTCTTAATTTTCTTAAGTCAGTCACATAGATCACTGAAGTAAAACTCGATAAAATTAAGAGCCAGTTGTTGAATGTCTGATTAGTTCTATAGTTTTAATGTCCCAAATAAGTTAGCAGCTCTAGGATCTGGGTTCTGTCTAAGTAAAGAAACTTTAAAAGGGAGAGTTAAGAGTGGGAGCTATAGTGGAATAGAGGTAGAAGTACATTGAAAAAAGTCTGAAATAAGAGGTAGGCTTAAGAAGATATTTATCCAGGGCACCCCTTTTCATTGGCCTCAGCTATATTGCCTTCTTGGCTTCCTGTTCATTGCACTTTTTTGTTTCTTTGTTTTCAGGGTTGGTTCCCTTGTTAAACTCTCTGACATAGGACCTCCTCATTTATGACTCAGATACTGGCATTTTACCAGTCCTGGCAGATCTGGCTACAAAGAGTTGCTATGTCAGGACGCATGCTGATTTGGTGATTGTTATATCTATTTCCACTATACTATACACAGCTTTCTTGACTGTCCATGCTTGAAGTTTTGAAGGAACATATCACCTTCCACTGTGTATTTGAAGCCATGGTTTTATTGAGGCAATCTAATTTTAAAGACCAAGAAACACCACCCAGAATCAGTTTCACTGTCTGCAGCTTGAAACAGAAGTTATCATTCTTTTAGCAAATACTTATTATTTGCTAAAAGAATGCTAGATATGGTTTGGATATTTGTCCCATCCATCTCATGTTGAAATATTACCCATAATGTCAGAGACGAAGCCTGATGTGAGGTGTTTGGTCATGGGGGTTGATTCCCCATGGTTTGGTGCTGTCTTCATGATAGCAAGTGAGCTCTCATGAAATCTGGTTGTTTAAAAGTGTGTAACACCTCCTTCCACTCTCTCTCTTGCTCCTGCTCCTGCCATGTGACATATCTGCTCCCTTTTCACCTTCTGCCATGACCGTAAGTTCCTGAGGCCTCTGCAGGAGCCGAGCAGATGCTAGCACCATGCTTGTACAGCCTGCAGAACCATAAGCCAATTAAACTTCTTTTATTTATAAATTACCCAGTCTCAGGTACTTCTTTATAGCAATGCAAGAACAGCTGAATACACTGCTATATGCTAGGCACTATGCTAAGCATGGGAGCATAACAATGAATTAAACATGTCTGAAATTATATCTGGACTTAAAGCCTTTCTCTAAATGCCCAAATTAAAACAAAAAATTACAGGGATAACCTGAATTTCCCACACTCTACTTTCACATCAAATTTGGACATTTATATTGTACATTTATAATACTAATGATTGTTCAAAGAAATTCTCAAGGTAAGAATTCATTTAAGGTAAATAAAAAGCTCTAATTTCATTTCTCAAATACTGGCTTGTATGGGGAAAGATTTTAAAAATTTCAAGTTCCAGAAAATTTTTTCAAGGCTGCTACAGATCCTTTATCTTTATTTTGATATAAGGTCACTGGAATATTTTACACATGTATTAACTTCCCTTTACTTGAATTTATATGAATACAACTCTTTGGGACTTTCAAAGTTACTTCGTGACTTACAAATGAGAATTTGTTCTTTTAAGTGAATATGAAATGCTTTCTGTGATTGTTAAATCAATCCTGTAGTTAAGTATTTGAGGACCCCAAATTTAAAGACATTCAAACACAAATAACCCAACAACAACAAAACATAATAACATTATTAAATCAGAGTAAAACTCATAAAAGATATCACACAAAACAAAGAGAGAGCAAAAATGAAAGTAGTATTTCATACTAAACATCTATCAAATATGACCAGACATTAATTCAGAAGTATTCAAATTTATGTAAAACTTCTCTAAAATGTATATGTGCTGACATGCACTTAATGGCATACAATTATAATATTGTTAATATTCATAATTAAGTAGTATGTGGATTCAAATTTTCTTGTGCCGAGTAATGAATGCAAAAATGAATGTGTGCCAAAGTTAATATAAGCCTGAACTTCTGATTTGATGTATGTGCTTATCAAAATGACATGTCTTATTAACTTTTAATAAGTAATTCTTTAAATTTAAACTTATACATTTATACCAGTAAAATAATTATAGTATCTATTTTATGTGTTGGAGCACAAATGGAAAACAAGTTTAGCTCAGGCCTGTGACAGATTATAATTAAAGAAATATGTCCTAGGCTTCAGCCAGTGGAGTCAGAAGGGAGCAATATCCTAATAAATGAAGTTATTTTTCCTATTTTTATATGTCACTCTTCTGTCACCTTTCAAGGAGAAAAGATAGATATTCATCTACTTAATCAAATTTTACCTGGCTGCTGATAAAAGATAGCCAAATAGATTTAAATATTCATAATGTATTGACAATAAACTATTACTCTTTCCTCAAATTAAAAGTACAAGATTCAATATTTGCTGTTTCTAAGCCCAAGTTCCAAAACACTCTTATGGTGGTTATACTTTCTCGATTCTGTTTGGATAAGTGTCAACAATTGAGCTGGTTCCTTTTTTTTTAAACGCCAGAACAAGTCTCTCCAGGCTCCTTCCGTAGGATTGTAAACTCCTGTATTTGCTTTCTGAAAAGAATCAAAATGTATTCTCTAATAGATACCCCACATCTAGATAGTATGAGAAGGTTTATCTATGTTGTAATGAATGGTTTTTGATTTATTTCACTTAGTATAGTTGCAGGGGGTAGCATTCCCAAAGGCAGCCTGAATAAGGCACATTTAGGAAGTCTGAGTGTGGCAAATGACTCCTCTAAATAGCACATTAATCATATGGATGACTTTGGCGGCTGTGATAACTGACATTAGGAAATTTTCTAGGGAAATTTTCTGGGTCATTAAATATACTTAAATCTTGACAAATTAGGATTAATTAAAACACAAATTAACACTCCCTATGAAACACTAAACCTCAAGCATGATTATCAAATAGATGAGTAATATATTAAAAACTTAAATCTCTGTCCTAGCATACAGCTTTAATATTTTATAGCCTTTCCTGATTCTGGTAAAATTATTGTTTTCAATGTAAGCATTCAGCATCTAAAAAATCTTTAGCACTTGTAAGATACTAAACCCTGCTTTTTGTTGTTTGTAAAAGCTAACGTCCCAACATAATGGATTCTGTAATTTCTAGGTCGTTTAAGATCATTTTATTCCTGTGGGTTAGCCATTGAGAAATAGGAAACATACATATTTCCTGTTTGGCAATTACATGTTTAATATTCCATTGTAACCACTGATCATGATAGGTGAACTCTTATAGGTGTTTTAATCTTACAAATATGTATTGTCTAGTTTGAAGCCCAAATTGTTTCATCATCTAATTTCTTATTTTACTTTCATGTGGCTGAAGAAAAAATAAGGAAAGATTTTCTTGTATAAACATCACATAAGGCCAGATTGTTGTCAAAGCAGAGCATTATGGAATCCACAACTGTGGGAATATTTATCAGCGTTGAGAGAATAAACTAAATTTCTTCATGTAGCTTTTCAACATTTGGCATATGATTTATATCCCTTAGGGAAAAAAATATGGGCAGAATAAAAACCTGTCACACACGGACAGAGATGACAATGTTGTAAATCCCGAACCAGTTTTGATAATGTAAAGAGTCCTTGAAAAATGAAACAGAATTATCCTTCCTACTTCTCCTGCAATTCCAGTTAACAGCATAACTATGAGATGTTGCACTGCTTTCAGAAGGAAACTTAAACTTTATCCTGATCCAAATTAAGTCAGGGCCAAGGATGGGTAGAAGTGTGGGTGATGATGTGTAGGCAGAGGGGATTTATTGCTTTCATACACATGTCCTTGTTACCCAGGCTCTGGAGTCCTTGTGTTAATTCCGCAAAAGGCTGACTTAAAAAGGGTGTCTCTGGATTTCTAAAATGAGGTCTCAGGGGAAAACTTGGAACCCATTAAGGTTTCTAAGGGCAACAGGAGGGATCTGCATCCTGAGGAGCAGTGTCAGGACCTCTCCTCCTTGCCCCTGCTCAATTATTTGAGAGAGGTAGTGGGGGAAGGGATGAACAGAACATAACCATAGTGGATTCTGTTGGATGCTCTACAAATAGTTCTTCCCAAATGGATTGATTGTAGATGACCTTAGCTTGCCTATAAAATAAGGAAAAAGGAGGTACAGTCTACCAGGTGATGAAAAGAATAATTTAAAAACCAACATGTACTTAAAATACCATCTTGAACTTGAATCAAGTTTTATGGTTTCGGAAACATTTATCACGTATCGTATTTTAGCATCAAATTTTTTATTGAGTTGTCAACATCATGTGGGGAATATACATTGGCAATCACCCCAGTTTTCAAATTTGAAAGCAGAGACAATGCATTAGGAATTTTATTTGTAGAAGGACAAAGACTCCAAACTTACTCCAGGGCTCCTTCAACCATTTTGACTCGCCATTGCTGTCCATCAAATTGGCTTTCTAAAGTTGCTAAAAGAATAGTTAGACATAAAATGTTTCCCATTCATCTAATTTTTTGGTTTTATAGAAAAGTAATAAAGGATAGAAATCTAGCACAGATGATCTTTTCATTTTTTACCAATTGGGTATTGTTTCTTGGGAATTTTAAGACTGGACAACAATTGTTTTTGAGGGAAAGCAGATGGCTGTATTAGTAGTTATCCAACATTTTGTAAAATATTGGAAGCTTTCAAAATAGCGGAAGTTATCTTCCTCTACCTAACAAATTCCCCTCCTATAAAATGTATTGACTGTTAACTTGGCACTCCGAATGTTCCAAATACCAATGTATCTACATACATTTTTGCTTCTAACACTCGAGTCATAAAACAGCTGTGTGTGCTCCAAACCTATTTATGCCAGCTGAACTTGTTAATGGAATTACATCATTCAATCATATCATACATAAAAGAATAAAATTTTGTGTAAAGAAGGAAAACACTATCTCCCCCTGCCTATCCCAACTATAAAAATAAAGATGAATGTTTCAGAAATCTTTTATAAAGGTGGGTCATTAAGAAAAATGCAACCAGATTGTTAGATTAGGTGTGGGATCTTAAATATCTGAAAAGTAGAAATTTTATAGTCACTAAACTCTGATTATAATCCAAGAAATAAGGAAAAACAATTAAAAAGTAACCATAAAAAAGGAGTGCTTAGAAATTAAGAACAATACTCGATGATAATTTTGTGATAAAAAATGAAACAATTTAGAAAACAATAAAAATGATAATATTTCATTTTAATACCTGTAGAACCACAGAAAAACTTGTATTAAAAGAAATATGTATACTCAATGCCTTCATTATCAAAAATAAAGACTCAAACAATAGCATAATACAAATGTTAAGAATAGTAAAGTTATCAAAAAAATAAGAAAAAGGTAATTAATGGAGGCAAATGCTGAAAATGAAAAGAACAGTAGCAAGCTAGCTTAAATACATCTAAGGGCTAATTCCGTGAATAAAATCAAATAGAATATATAAATCTTTCAAAGATCTGCTGAAGGAAAGAAGAGAGAGAGAAAAAATATGCAAGTTCAGGAATAAGAAAAGCAGAGGCATGGGCTGATACAGAAAATATTATTTTATAAAAGAAGCTTATGTGGAATTGTGGAACTGTGGAAACCTAAATAACACACATGAATTCTTGATAAAATGGAAATTATTATATTGACTAAAGAAGAAGTAGAACAAATAATTACCGAGTAGGAGAGGTGATTAAAGATACACTATTGAAACAACCAGATGATTTTACAACTGATTTCTTTCTAACACTTGAAGAGCATATAACCACCAATGAATATAATTATAAAATAGATGCAAAATACTAAACAATTGACTAACCAATAATATCAACAATGTATCAAAAAATCTATAACCAGAAGTCCTACCCAGAGGAATTAGATAAGAAAGAGAAATAAAAGGCATCCAAATAATAAGTCAAACTATCTGTCTTTGCAGACGATATGATTCTGTATCTAGAAAATGCTATACACTCCAACAGAATACTTCTAGGTTTAATAAACAGATATGGTAAACTTTCAGGATACAAAATCAATGTACAAAAATCAGTAGCATTTCTATACACCGATAACACCCAAGTTCAGAGACAAATTAAGAATGCAATCTCATTTGCAATAGCCACATAAAGAATAAAATATCTAGAAATACAGCTTTCAAGGAGGTGAAAGCTGTCTACAATAAGAATTACAAAATACTGCTGGAAGAAATGAGAGACGACACAGAAAAATTGAAAAACATTTCATGCTCATGGATAGGAAGTATAAATATTGTTAAAATGACCACACGGCCCAAAGCAATGTACAGATTCAATGCCATTCCTGTCAATGTACCAAAGTCACTTTTCACAGAATTAGAAAAAATTATTCTAAAATCATATGAAACCAGAAATACTCCTGAATTGCCAAAGGAATTCGAGGCAAAAAGAACAAAGCTGGAGCCATCACACTACCCAACTTCAAACTATACTACAAGGTTACAGTAACCAAAACAATGTGGAACTGGTACAAAAACAAACATAGACTAATGGAATAGCATAGAGAAACCAGAAATAAAGCCACACACATACAGCCACCTGATTTTCAACAAAGCTGACAATAACAAACAATGAAGAAAAGATTCCTTATTCAATAAATGATGTTTGGATAACTGGCTAGCCATATGCAGAAGATTGAAACTGGACCCTTATGTTTTTCCATCAACAAAAATTAGCTCAAGATGGATTAAAGACTTAAATACAAGACCTAAAAACAATAAAAACTCTAGAAGAAAGCCTATGAAATGACATTCCAGGCCATATCATTACCAACACCTCTTCAACCTTGGCAAAAATTTATGACTAAATCCCCAAAAGCAATTGCAACCAAAACCACAATTGAGAAGTGGAACCTAATTAAATGAAAGAGATTCTGCACAGCAAAAGAAACTACCAACAGAGTAAACAGAAAACCTACAGAATGGGAGAAAATATTTGCACACTGTGCATCTGATAAAGATCCAATAACCAGAATCCATAAGGAACTTAAGCAAACCAACAAGCAAAAATCAAAGAACTCCAATAAAAAGTGGGCAAAGGACATGAACAGATACTTCTCAAAAAAAGGCATACCAGTGGCCAAGAAACATATGAAAAAATGTTTATCATCAATAATTATCAGAGAAATGCAAATCACAACTCCAATGAGATACCATCTCACACCAGTCAGAATGGCTAATATTAAAAAATCTGAAAACAATAGATATTGGTGAGGTTGTGGAGAAGAGTGAACACTTGTACACTGCGGGTGGAAAATGTAAATTAGTTAAATCACTATGGAAAGCAATGTAGAGATTTCTCAAAGAACTTAAAAGAGAACTATTCCATTCAACCCAGCAGTCCCACTGTTGGGCAAATACTCAAAGGAAATTAAATTATTCTACCAAAAGGACACATGCACTTGTATGTTTATTGCAGAACTATTCAAAGTAGCAAAGACATGAAACCAACCAATATAAGATGCCTATCAACGGTGGACTGGATAAAGAAAATGTGGCACATATATGCAATGGAATACTATGCAACCATAAAAAAGAATGAAATTATGTCCTTTGCAGCAACATGGATGCAGCTGGAAGCCATTACTCTAAACAAACTAATGCAGGAACAGGAAACCAAATACTACATGTTCTCACTTATAAGTGGCAGCTAGACATTGAATACACATGGACATAAAGATGGGAACAATAGACATTGAGGACTGCTTGAGGAGGGAGGGTGAAAAGGAAGAGTGGTAAGAAAGGGTACCACTGGGCACTATGTTCACTACCTTGGGATCATTTGTACATCAAGCCTCAGTGACACACAATTTACCTATGTAACAAACCTGCATAGGTACCCCCAAACCTAAAATAAAAGTGGAAGAAAGAAAAAATTTAAAAATAATTACAAAAATCTACGATCAAGTAGGATTCATTTCATGAGTGCAAGGATATTATAGTAGTATTAGTCTTAACACTTCTTTAATTAAATCAACTATTAAGATATTTATTAAAATAATAATTTTATTATTTTTAATTAAATTTTTAAAATTGAAATCAACTTTTTTTTCAAAATTATTTTGGAAATTCTAGTGAATCAAAAACACCCCAATAAGTAGTTGCTATTAAAAATAGAAAATGAATTTATCTCTTCTTGCTGCTGATGATTGTATGCTTAGAACATCCAATATTAAATCCTCAAGAGGACCACCTACCATTCAAACAGACCAGAACAAACCAAATTAAATCAAACTACAAAGTACTATCAGAATGAGGTCAAATTGAACCAAACCAAAAAGAAGTCCTTCAGAATTTGTTAAAGAAAAATAAATTAACCCAAAACTTGGTTACAGAGAAAACAAATTAAACCAAACAAAAACAAATTCTATCAGAATTTGCTAAATTGGCTGGATAGAAGATAAATAGTTTTATTCTTTATTATCTATAAGCAGGTAAAAATGGAAATGCTTAATATATTTTATTTGACTCACTATGCTATATAAAATTAATAAAGATATTTCACAATAAAGGTAAAACTTTTTAAGAAGAAAATGATAAAATCTTATTGAACTGGATTTTGTTTTTTAAGATATAAACCAGTGATTCTCAACTTTGTCTACGTATTAGATTTATAAAAATACTGACACAGACTTTAAGCAATTCTTATTTAACTATTATAAAAATTTCAGATGATTTTAATGTGAAGCATGGATGACAACTTAATATTTAAATACCAAAGTTATATTTAAATAAGAGTTAGAATAGACCTACAATCTGTTTTCTATATTTCCCAAGAAATAACAGAGAAGAAAAATGGCCAGCTACTGACAAACATTAGTGACCTGCTCCTGGCAAACACAGTAAGGGCACTTATTAGTGGAATAGTGCCCATTTATGGAGTATTTTTAGCAGGATGTATCTAGATAATCATCTATGACAGGCCAATCTTTCATTAATAGAACATGACTTTCTGGAAAATGTCATATAAGCTGTGTAATGTCCAGAATATAAAATGTAACTGTTTAATGACCGAAAGAGATTCTGTTTAAGTGTCGTATAATCACATATATCATTTACAGTCCTCCTGAACTCATACTAACATGGCAAGGAAGATCTCCGTGCCTATGCTCATAATTCCTAAATCCTTGAAATTATTAGTAAATCTTGATAGTGGCTATGATTTCTCACTCTTGGGAGCCATATTTAACAATCTGATCTTTGGTTTATTTCAAAAGCCTAACATGAAGTAAGTTGTAACTGAATTTAAAAAGTCATATATTTTTTATGGAAGAATAAAGGTTCTTAAATAGCCAGGAGAAATGAGCAAAATAAGATTAGTAAGTGTCCACCTACCTTACCAGATATTAAAATATTATATAAAACTGCTAAACACAAACCATTTTTTTTGTTTTTTTTAAGATGGAGTCCTGCTCTTGTCCCCCAGGGTGGAGTGCAATGGCATGATTTGGCTCACCTTAACCTCCACCTCCTGGCTTCAGGACATTCTCCTGCCTCAGCCTCCCAGATAGCTGGGATTGCAGGTGCCTGCCACCACGACCAGCTAATTTTTGTATTTTTAGTACATGGGGTTTCACCACGTTGGCCAGGCTAGTCTCGAACTCCTGACCTCAGGTGATCCACCCGCTTTGGCCTCCCAAAGTGCTGGAATTACAGGGGTGAGCCACTGTGCCCAGCCAAACCATTCTTATACTACACTGAGTGGACAAATAGAGCAGCCTTTAGAGTCTAGATATGTATCCCAATTATACCCAATGATGTAATGTGTAACACAGGTGTTATTTTAATTAAATGAAAAAAGAATGGCTTATTTAATAAATTCTACCACGACTATTTTCTATTCATGTGAAGGAAATCATTTACAAAACTAGATTTCAAACAGATTGTGGAGTTTTCTTTCTAATCATATACCAAATCGTATAAAAAAATTTAGGAAATGACTCATATATTCCAAAAGTTTAGTAGGGCCTTTTTAAAACAGGAAAGGATCTGTGAACTATAAAATAAAAGTTGACCAATTAGATAATATTAAAAAAAAACAGCAATGTTAAGGACTATTTTGTATCCAAAATAGTCCTTAAACAAACGAACATATTGAAAATATATTAGGATCATATTACAATATAAAAAGCATTAATATCTACAAAGTTCTTATAAAATAAAATAATACGGAAAAAATAATGGAAAATATGCAAAAAATGCTACGAATGGGCAATTCATAGAATAAAAAAGCCAAATAATATGTGTGTATGTATATATGAATGAATGAAAAAGGTGCTTACATTTAACAGTACTCAGAAAATGTCATTAGAGTAAAAACAAATTTTCATATATCCATTAAACTGGCAAAAATTGAAAAGAACCATAACACCCAGCGCTAGTAAAGGGAAGGGGGAAAAGTACCAACATTGTTAATAGAAATGTAAATTGTTAAGCATTTTTGGAATGTAATCTTACAATAGCTATTAAAATTAAAATTACATATAATCTTTAACTCAAAAATCCCTTATCTGAGAATCTACCCATAAATATAAAAGTATAAGTAAGGGAAAATATGTAAGTGGGTTTATTGCAGTATTGTTTGAAGTGGCATGAAATTAGAAGTCAAATGAATGCCCAGCAATGAAGCCATTAATACAAGAGAAGAAACCATTAGTATAAGTATAATATGTAGTTATATATTATTATATTATGCATTATATAGTTATAGTATATAAAATAAACTACTATGGAATGTACATGCCATTAAAAGGAATGAATTAGTTGTATTAGCCAAGTTGGAGATATTTTCACGAGATATTAAGGGAGAAACATGGACTGCACATAATTAAATGTTTTTTAGATTAAATTATGCAACTATATGTGTGTGTAAATATGTATATATGTCTGTATACATGCAAATATAAGTATAATTATATTAGCATATTAAAAGTTATGGAAGTTTACACACATAGGTAATAGATAATGGGATGAGTAAAGTATAAAAATTGAAGTATAAAAAAATCTTAAAAATGTTGCATTTTAAAAATCCCTTTCATAAAAAAGTAGAGATGTTGCAATTTTATTTAAGTAAAATTTGTGTATATGAGAAGGCAAATAACTTTTTATCTAAGGAATGCAAGTCCCTTTAAATTATGAGGCCTATAGAGGTAATGACATGTGAGAGCAGTCATGTCTTACTCCCTACCTTAAGCTAAGTAATCCACCTGCTATCCAGACTCTAGAGTCCCACCAATTGATAGAAATTGACCTAACAATGCCATATGCTGGATACCATAAATCATGCCGTATATTTAACAATGTATAGCTAATCACTAACCAATGCTATTTCTGTAAACCAATGAGAGTTCCTGACAAACAACTTTTCTAATTGCCCACTCTCCTGATTTGTCCTTTTTTTAAAAAAAAAAACAAAAAACAAAAAAACAGCAAAACAAAACCAAAAAACCTTTGAGCCTCTCCTTTGTTCTCTGGAGCATTTCCCAGTGTTTCCCAGCTGCAAGTCCTCAACCTTGGTCTAAATAAACTCTCTATATAAATTTTGCTTCAGTTTCTTTCTTTAGATTGACATATCTATGAAATGCACCAGCACAGAAGATGCTTCCCAATTTAAAAACAAATTCTTATCAGGCTATGATAAGTCTGTAAGAGAAAAAAATGTATGTATATGATATGCCACAAGTATGGTTGCAAGGTGATGTTATATTAGGGTGTTGTCTGTAAGTGAAAAGATATAAAGTACTTTTTAATCACTGTAAAACAAATTATTTTACTGTTTGATAATTTACAATGATTCTATACTTTAATTTGAAAAAAGTTAGGTCTTCCTAATGTTTCCTTTAACTTTGCTTCAGTGATTGGTTAAGATATTTTTTCTCTTTAAGAATTGCCAATATAAAACCATAAACTTATGACAACCAATCATTAATGTTTAATAACAATTTTTTTAAAAAAATTTATAAATCTCAATTCTGTATGCTAAGATGGGTGAGAATGAAAGGAAAGGGAATAAAGCAAGGTGCAGATTTAAACTTCCATTTAATGTTATTCTCATATTTAGAAAGCATGGGATATAAATGTTATGTAACCTAGTCCTTTTCTTCATTCTGACCACTGTCTACATGCTTCCACTCTGCTTTTACTCCAAGAATGTCTCCACCCATGATTTCTCTAGGCCAGCCTATATATTTTTGTTTGTCTTTTAGAAGTCCGGCTTGTAAAATTTTGCACCATGTAGCTGTTTTCCTGGCATTATACTCTCCTTTGTTCTTTAGATATCTAGTCAAAGGGAATTGCTTTATTATAATACTCTGACCTCAGTGTGGTGTTGCCTGCTATTAAATATTAAGAATAGCTCATAGGCTGGGCGTAGTGGCTCACGCCTGTAATCCCACCACTTTGGGAGTCCAAGGAGGGCGGATCACAAGGTCAGGAGTTCGTATGGTGAAACTCCGTCTCTACTAAAAATACAAAAATTAGCCCAGCATCATGGTGGGCGCCTGTAGTACCAGCTACTGGGGAGGCTGAGACAGGAGAATCGCTTGAACCCAGGAGGTGGAAGTTGCAGTGAGCTGAGATCTTGCCACTGCACTCCATCCTGAGCAACAGTGTGAGACTCCGTCTCTAGAAAAAAAAAAAAAAAAAGAATAGCTCATAGACAAAACAGATAAAATCATAGTTAGGCTCTGGGCTAAATCCCTATCTTGGAAAACACATTTTCCTAGCACTCACACCTTGCAATTCACCACACAGAATCAGATGATAGCTTGAGATGCACCTCTATGATCCAAATAAAATAATTTCGCCTTTGTGGAGAGTGAGTATTTGGCTTATTTTCCCACTATGGTAGGTTTTCCTAACCACAGACATGTTTTAGCTTTGTGTGGGTTGCACAGCATACTGATCTAAGAAGATTAACAGAAGAGAGGGAAGAATGAATGACAGCATATATGGAAATGATTCAGCATAGCTCTGGAGTGTTAAAAATGCATCATCAGAGGTGATGCCCCCTACCCAACCCAATAAAGAAAGCTCTTATGAGATGGTCCCTAAGGTGAACGTAGAGTTATGCTGGGGGTGGCTCACCTGGATAATAGGACCCCAAGATGCAAAGTAAAGGAGATTTCTTTTTAGGTATATCTGGCATGAAACGTAATGATTATGTATTTTTTCCATCCACACTCATCCACATGGATTGCAATATGTCTAAACTGAGAAAAACAATTAAAATATATCTAAATTTCTTGAGCTATTGCTGCTTTAAGGCTATATGATAATTTGGGCTAAGATGAACTACATCTGAATGTTTTCACTTTTAAAAAAACAATGATTATGAAATATGACATATTGGGTGGACCATTTTCATATCCATTTATAACATCAATCCCAGTCCACTGGATATGACTTCTACTAAAGAAAATATAGGACTTTTATTTTGGAAAAAAATATTGTGGATGCTTTGATTCCATTAGGTTTAAGAAATGCTGAGTTATTCTAGCATTTGAATGAAAAGAGACTTAAAATCATATTTCCAAAGAATCTGTTATAACTGAACTTTGATGATCTCTATTTTTTATTAATGGCTTCACCTGTGTTGATTATCAAGTGATCTGAAACTGAATTGAGTTGAATTATTCCTATGCTCCTACCAGTCCAAAGTTTTTTGAAACACATCATACCCTTCAGCATAAGAAATTCCACTCTACAGTTCTATTCAAATAGGAACATTATTTTAAGAATTTCAAAAAACAATTTGAGACATCATTTCCACTTTCTAACTACTGTAAGAGTAACATTATTAATAAATGGAGAAACTGAAGCATCAAAGTAGGTTCACCACCTCAGTGTAATGTTTCTGTAGACTTTTTGTAATATGGAAAGCTCTAGGGCATACTGTCATTATTTTTCTTGACTTAAGATGGGCTAAAGGTCAGATCCTACCACTGAAGAACTCACTTTGCATAGAAGCAGCATCATTCCAACTGTAAATAAGTCCTCCTTGATGATGGTTGGAGACCAGGATGAAGTGACCATCATCACTTGTGCAAGATGAACATGTACCATTTGTGACCTGAAAACATTAGATGCCTGTCTTAAGCTTGACATTGTTCATGTCAGCGGGCTCCAGATGGTGTTTTCTTGTTCTTTGTAATATTTTGAAGAACTGTAGGGTAAGTAGCCTTGGTGTAAAATAGGAAAGGCAAGTGAACTTTGCCTTTTAAAAGCACCTGCTGTTCAGGGGCTGGCTACAGTAGGTGATCATGAGTGATAAATTTGTGTGTTCATAGTAGTAGACTTCTTGCCAGTGTGAAATTTTAGTACATTCCCAGTTTCTGCAGAGCCAGGCAATTCCTATCAACTAATCTACATGCAGATGACAACATCTTTTCAAGTGCATTGTGCAAAACTATTATTTTAATTCAACTCCTAAATGGTAACTATGTATTTATAGAAAACCAAAAGGTGTTGCCAGTCCTGTGGGTCATTATCATTTAAATGTAGGTTTTGGCCAATCTTTATACCCCCTTTTAAATGCATGGAGGATTATCTGGATATGAGGGCATCATATTTCTGAAATTTTATTATAGCTGTATGATATACATATCAGTCTAGGTCATGGACTGTATTTATCAACTTCAGTAGATAAAAAATCATTAGAAAAAAGTAAGGGAGATGAAAGCTATACAGTGAAGGCAAGCCACGCTACTTTGCAAATTTTGCTTTTACATTTTTGATGGGGTATATTGTCACAAGAATTGTTTTCATCGGAGTTGCTGAATTGAACATAACTGAAAGAGTTCACCATTATACTTCGCTATGGTGTATCAAAACACTCCACAATCTAAATATAAAGGTCTGGCCCAGATGAAGTCTTTTAAATAAGTTTAGAGAATGAGTGTAACAAAGTTTCTGATGGAGTAGGATTAGACTGTAGGTGCAGAGATAAGCTCTGTGTTAATAGTGGAGACTGCTCTGACAGATCATAGAGAAACTAAAAGAGTTGTGAAGGTAAAGAAAGTCAAGTTTTCATTAAAATGTTCCTTGGAAGTCACATCAGCCCCAAGCAATATAAATTTATATTAAACAGCATATCATTCTTTATTATTCTCTGTTCCACTTTTGACTGGCTTTGTTCATAGGGTCCATTACAGGTCTATGCTGTGTCACTCAGCATCTCACTATGATCCTAAGATTTTTTTAGCTTATTAAGCTAACTCGATTAAAAGCTCCAAAAGCTCTCCCTGTCTTGAGCTACACTTCTATCTTGCACTTCCTCCTTTATCAGGATTCATCTAGTCTCTGCTTGACCTAGGAAACTGAACGATGCAATGGAAGTGCTATCAAGTTCCCTTTTAAACCTGCAAGCTAATACCTTCACCCCTTCTCTTTTCTTTCCTGCCTGTCTTTAAGAAAAACTTACCTATCCCCTATCCACCCAGCTGAGAGTTTATACCTCTTCCTAGGCTCTTATTCCAACTACTTTCTATGTCTGTCTCTCAAAATTTCCTCCATTAATGTCCCAGGCTAAAAAAAAAAAAAAAAAAAAAAAGCAACTATTCCCTTTTCTTACTAAAATAAATGAAAACTGTTTCTGGATTACCTGAGTTGGGGGATAGGCAGCAAATAGGTTAGAATTGCCATCCTCAAGCAGAAAAGCTCCCATAATAACGTTTCTGCACATTTAGCATATTTGAGTTCCAGTGCTTTAAAAAATATTGGAAAACAACAAATTTAATGAAATTGCAGAGAGGTTAAGTGACTTGTCCAAGAGTAGTGGCAGACTGAGAGTTAGTTTTTAGGTCTTCTGAATCCCTATTCTGCATTTTTTATATTATTTGGGCATTATTTGGTGGGGGAGGAGGTGCTATTTTCAGGTAAGGAGTAAATTCTCCATTAAATGCTCATACAGGCATTTTTTCCATGCAATTATAATATGAAATTTAGGAGTAGCCTCTGCCCTAAATAGTTTATTTCTCTTCATCCAGAAAGATATATGGACCATGGTCATTGGAGTCCTTCTTCATTCAAGCCAGGCTCCTGTGTGTGATGTGAGGCCACTTGATTCTATGCTGATATGAAAGATGATTTTCATTACTGTGGTAGTGTTGTAACTAAAACAGTGTTAGGTAACCTCAGAAAGTTTCAGAGTAGATCAGAAGACAGCTTTGATTTGGAGAAATTCATTGAGATGCTATCAGTTCTACTCTGAAAAAAAATATCTCTTCACTCCTAACTAAAAATGTTGGAGGTAGAGGGAAGACAGTTTTCCAGAATTAACTTCTGCACATCTTTCAAATACTTTTTGCTATTCCTAATATGAGATCATACTCAAAAAAACACAATCTAGGCCAGGCATGGTGGCTCTCACCTGTAATCCCAGCACTTTGGGAGGCCAAGGCGGCAGATCACTTGAGATCAGGAGGCCAAGACCATCCTGGCCAACATGGTGAAAGCCTATCTCTACTAAAAATACAAAAATTAGCCAGGCGTGGTGGCATGTGCCTCTAATCCCAGCTACTCAGGAGGCTGAGGCAGGAGAATTGCTTGAACCCAGGAGGTGGAGGTTGCAGTGAGCCTAGATGGCACTGCTGCACTCTAGGCTGGGAAATAGAGCAAGACTCCATCTCAAAAACAAAAACAAAAACAAAAACAATACAAAACAAAACAAAACACCATGATTCTTTCACTGGCTTCATTATTCTGGCCCATTTCCTTTTGTACTCTGAACCATTTGGCTCAATTAAAAGGGAGTCCATACTTGTTCCCACAGTGCTTTAAGTTTTGAAACATTCTGGCAATAGCTTTTACACAAAAAGCAAAAGATGCAGGGATTAAAGGATATGGCCACTCTTTTTAGGTCAATTATTTCTTATTTTTTGTGGTCTATCAAACAATCGAATGGTTTTGTTCGTAAAAATAATTTTAGGTCAATTAATACAGTGTGATTGAATATCTCGTACTTCATTTGGACATGGTTGAACAGTGAAAATGACCTGAAATGTTTCGTGAGAAATTATATTTAAGGTTATACGTAAAATATCATGGAATGCTGATGCGAAATACAAGTTTAATATGCTTTTATGTGTGACGATACATAAATTTGAATGATTTTAAACTGCGATTAAATTACAATTTAGTTGACAATACACAGGGATTTCAAGTGTGGTTTTGGAGGTAAAAAAAATCCATTTTGATTTTTTTTTTAAACTCTCAATAGTCTAAGGCTACAGTTGCTTTTTCTCTAATCAACTTTGTTTCATAAGTAGTGCTTAACAAGTAAGCATCTTCCATTTGCTGAGTGTTCAGAGTTATCTTGCAGTTTGCTTACTCACTTTGCAGTCACAAAATGAGAAATGTAGACACTGTACACAAACAAGAAGTCCGTGCAAAGTCAAGCTCTCAAAACCACATGCAAGACTCAGCGGCACATGGTTTAGAGCTCACACACTCCAGGACGATGTAATACAGGCATGCAGATGAGAGGAAAGAAAAGCACCTACATCATGAAAATAGAAGATAATGAAAGAGAATGACATTTTATTTATGACAATTGTCTAATGCAAACCGTATACCCATAGCCTTTACCAGAGTCGGGATAGGGGCAGAGAAGTGAATTTTTATGGGGACTGGGAAATTGTATATAAATATTGTTAGAGGTCAAGTCATTGTTAAAGTTAAGGATTTCTATTCTGTACTTGGCCTCTTCCAGGTTATCTTCCCCAGTTTCTTGCTTTGTATTTCCTCAGCTACATCATGCAAAAAAGTTCAGAACTAACACTGGAAATCATTTAACAAGCTCTAAACCTGACAGATAACAAGGGTGTTCTCCACAATTTACACGATAATTAAATTGGATATAAATACCTCCTGTTCTTACCGGTGGGTGTTGTGATTCCATTTATTAAGGTGTGAAGCAGACAGGAAAGAGATAAATCTTTCATAAGTACATTGTAAATAGGCAAGTGGTATATAAACCATATTCATAGGTAATAGAGTCAAACAATGAAAGGTAAATAGTTGTCACAAAATAGACTTTATCACAAAAAATGGTCACAAAACTAGAGTTACATGGAGGGGGGTAAAATAATTGTTTTGCTACTGTTTTTGAAATAATCTGGCAGTATGGAACAACAAAAAATGAGTGACATGTTTTGATTAAGAATTCTTGACACTGCTTCAGCCAACCCAGCAGCAGAGAGTCCCCAAAAGATTTTGAATGCTGATACCTTTGTTAAACAATAATAGTGATGGAAATATAGAAAAGTGATCTCTTTCTTGTGAGATTAAAGTGTTCTTTTGGGGGATTAATTTACAAAAGAATTTTTCACAAGGAACTTTGGAATGATTAGAAATGACTCATGGAGTTTTGTGTGAAAAGTGTTCATTTGATTAGCTCTTCAAATTAACATTTTTGTCATGGCATGTCCTTCTCAATCAAATACATCACACACAGCTATGATAAACTTATCCATATATAAATATTACTTTCAAATTGGGCAATATTTGCAGTGCTTTCTGCACCATTCCTGCTAATTTTGAACCCTTCTTTCTCCATTAGAATATTAGTGGTCAAGCAGAAAGTACCAATTTAAATTGTACAGGCTCACTTACACAAAAATTGTTTCATGCAATTGACATAATTAAATATGAGTGCTTTTATTTTCTTAGAAATTCTTAGAAACAGGGTCCTTGCCCAGTGGAGGAGTAGCCATATGGGAAGCCACCATATTTTTATTCTTTTTTTTCTGATGCTCTACGATATGTCATAGAATTTGGATTTGTTGTATAATTTATTTAGCAATCAGCCTTTAGAGCCAAATTGCAAGGTAAAAGAATGTGGGCAATTCTCCTAATAATAAAAAGAGGTCTTTGGACAACATTAATATTATTAATAGTGTTGATTTTTGAGCAGTGATACAGGAAGGGAGGTTATGACAGGTGATTGCTGATGCTGAATTTGCTTAAAAGTTGAAGGAAAAATATGAAGGGATCCATATTTCCCCTTGAAAGGAAAGACGCATTAAACCAGGTACAGTAAAAGGGCACAGCGTAGATTGTTTAAAATATAGAAAAAAAATTCTTAAAAGTGTGAAACTTCCTATCATAAAGTGCTTATGTATACTTAAGCTTCCTGACCTCTCCTATAAGTTTTCAATTTCCTGTCTTTTAAAGTGTGTTAACCTGGGATCTCTGTTTGGGGGCATCATAATTATTACTGTTTACTTGCCAAATGTTATTGCAACTGGATTCAACTATTTTTTGGGGGTGTTGGCAATGAGGCCATGCAGTAAAAACCCAAGTCCCAGCTAAAGCAATGCTCTCTCTCACCAGAAGTGGGAACTCTACTACACACAGTTATATCAGTTTGCATCATGTTATAATGCCTTTGCCACACAGTATAACTAGATATAGCACCATGCAATGCCATGAATTGAGAATGAGAGACTATCTCCAGGGGAGAAAATACACATCCGAGAGAAGAAAACAAAAGCAAGGGGTTCAAAGCTGGTGATTCCGGCTTTTATTCCATTTTGGCTATCACTATAATGCCTGCGGCACTTTCATTTTGGAAAACAGACATACATACCATGTTCATGTCAATGCCATTGGTGTAAGTCCATGCGTGCTGGAAATATTCTTCAAGACGTTGCCTCAGAGGGTTGGGGATTTGGTGAAAGCGAATGAACTCTTTTACTCGCAGCATCTGCATGTGGTACCTGGCAGTTCCCGAGTATAGTCTTTGGATAATTGCAGATACATTCCCAAAAATGCTTGCATACATTAGTGCTGGATTGGATAAAAAACAAAGTTATCGGGGAAACTGCACATAGGTGTGTTATATATTGTTAGAGTATCAAGCATGTGGATTTTGATTATCTCAATCTAGTGGGGATTTACCATTGGATCACGGGGAAAAAAAGAAGTTAAACTAAAACTGCTTTACATTTCATAATTTTAGTGATAAAGCTGGAGAGGGAAAGTATCCAAATTCATCATGGATTCTAAATGAAAGTGAAAACTCAGATTGTTTATTACATCAGCTTGTGGCTGGGAGCACTGACTAGGGAGAAAATGCATTTGAAATAAACCCTTTCACTTGAAAAAGAAGGCATCTCATGGCTCACCATAAATACATTTTCTTGAAAAAAATATGAGGCAAAAGCATCTTTTAGGGATTTAAAAACCCTTTTTGAATTGGAGTTAACACATTAGTTTTAAATTGTGACTTATTTCTGCCTTTCAGCCTCAAATCTAACCTTGTAGAATAAAAATCTATTATTAAATTTGAGATTATTTTGAATACATTAGGTTTGTTAAGGGATAGCAAATTCTTTTAAGAAACCAGTTTCCTTAGAGTGTTAATTTGTATACAGTTTTTATCCTATTCCAATTCATTTTCATAGTATTTTTGCATAAGAAACATATCTCTGGCTTAGAAAATTCACATAGCTTTATTTTTGTAGGGAAAAAATAGAACACATTTTTGTTCTTTCATCTATGGGAAGAAACCGCTATGAGATCCCTTGCAACATAATCAGCATTTAGGTAGAATATCTGTATTGGTGCTTCTTACACTAAATCTTCATGATTTAAAATAAGCTCTTTAAGCACTTTCTCTCTTGTTTATATTTGTATTTATTTCTAATAATTCTAAAAATAAATGCTATTCTCTGTACAGAAAGTCACATCACGATATATATTCTGAATATTGATCTTTGGGCATCTATCAGAAACTGAGAGATATGGTAACATATGTTTAAATCACTGGAATAGCTATATACCAGGGTGGGGAAAGCAGCAACAAGAATTTGAAGTGTTTAATTAAAGTAAATTCAAACAACACATTTTTTTCCCTCAAACAAATTTTATAAACAATTGCTTCTATAATCCACTTAATCATTTTCAAAGTAAGCTTTGGCCAGATTCTGGCCATGTTTTAAACTAATATGCTTTCCTGGGCACTTGCTTGCTTTTCCATCTTACCTTGTTTGCTTATCTTGTCATGATTGGTTATCAAGATCCTTATGTACCATAGATATCCCAAGTAAGAGAAAGTCCCAGGGAAAGCAGTGACCCCTTGTTTTTATCTATTTAAGGGGATGAAAGTTGGGGAGATGTGGTGGTTAATTTTATATCAACTTGACTGGGCCACAGTGTGCCTGGATATTTGGTTACACAAATATTCTGGGTGTGTCTGTAAGGGGTTTGCAGAGGAGATTAGCATTTGGTTCAGTAAACAAGTAAAGCAGATTGTCCTCCCCACTGTGGGTGGGCTGCATCCAACTCATTGAAGGCCTGAATAGAAGAAAAAGGGGAAGTAAAGGAGAATGAACTCTGTGCTTGACTGTCTGAGCAGGAATATCAGTCTACTCCAGCCTTTGGACTTGCGCTCCGACTCAGACTGAAAACACATCATGGGCTCTCCGTGGTCTAGACCCAGTTACTGAGTACAGATCTTGAGACTTTTCAGCCTCTATAACTGTGCGAGCCAATTTCTTCGAATAAATCTCTTTATATCTTTATCTATATTCAAACATATATGTCTATCTAGTATCTACCTATCTTTTGGTTCTGCTTCTCTGGACTTCCAGACTAATACAGGAGATCTCTAGTGAGGCTGAATTGGCATGTATGAGACATTAATTCTCTGTAAGGTAGAGCAGATGTTTAGATTGTATCTTCTACATGAAGAAAAGGTGAGCCTAAATTGTTTTTGAGTAAATGAATCATTCTTTAAAAAGAGAATTAACAATATTTGCCAGAAATTGATTGCTGTGATCCAAGGAGATTCATGTGAAAAATACGTTTTACTCATCCTAAATGTAGTGGGGAAACAATTACGTGTGATGCTATGTTTCCAAAATACCTATCATGTGCTCAGGAAGTAGATTCAGTCAGAGGGCACAAAATCAATGCTGTTTGTTTTACCTAAACCACACGTGATCAGGAAACACATGTTTTACCTAAACCATCACATGATCAAGAAAGATCAGGAAAAATTCTTATTTATTAAATAGATTTTAGCAAATTAGATGTTATTTGGATGGTAGAGTTTTATCTCTACCATCAAAATTAACCAAAATGTTAGTTTAGGTCATAAACAAGCATTTCCCACTTGCTGTCAAGATGAAACAAAATCTGGATTATAAGTACATAGTTGAATAGATAAGAGACTAATTTATGGTCAGGCGCGGTGGCTCATGCCTGTAATCCCAGCACTTTGGGAGGCTGAGGCAGGTGGATCACCTGAGCTCAGCGGTTCGAGACCAGTCTGGGCAAGATGGCAAAACCCCATCTCTACAACAAATACAAACATTAGCCAGGTATGGTGGTGTGCGCCTGTAGCACCAGCTATTCCGGAAGCTGAGGCACGAGAATTGCTTGATCCAGGGAGGCTCAGGTTGCAGTGAGCCAAGTTCACGCCACTGCACTCCAGCCTGGGTGACAGAGTGAGACCCTATCTTTAAAAAAAAAAAAAAAAAAAAAGTGACCTGAAATACTTATTTTTAGGAAATTCTGTGATTATGACTTTTAAATTATCATAAAGACATTAATCTTTTTCCTATTTTTTAGGAAGGAAATGGAGCTAGAGGTTGTAAGCTAGAGAGAAGAATAAAATACTTATGTTCTGTACATATTATTTAGTTGATGCCCAACTGGCAAAAATATCAATCAAAAGCAAGTTGACAGACTATGGATATCTAGGCATCTCTCCTTAACTCAGTATTTTTAGTTTTATAAAATAGGGAGTTCTTTTTTCATCCAAATGGTTTGCTTTAGTTTAGGTATTATAGAAATCAAACAGGGTTCTCTTAAAAATTCCTTCAGCACACCACGCCTTAATTCTGATATGCTGACCATACTAATATATTTGGTTGGTCAGAAGATATTAGCTGAAACATGTTGACAAATACACCTGCATTTCTACTACATAAATTTAAACAACTCTGTAACTTAATAAAATAAATTTTATTGATGTGTAATTTATATGTAAGATGCATCTATTTTAAGTGTATAGTTCAATTAGTTTTGACAAATGTATACACCTCTGTAAACATGATCATGATATAGAACATTTTCTTCACTCTAAAAGTCTCCTTGTGTTCTTTGGCTGCTTGTAACCACTCACTTCAGACCTTAGACAACCACCGAGCTCCTTTATGTCATTACAGATTAGTTTGCATTTTCTAGGATTTTATATAAGTGGAATTATAATGTACATATTCATTATGTACATTTGTGACTGACTTCTTTTGCTCAACATAATGTTTTTGAGAATCATTCTGTTGTGTGTATCAGTAATTTGTTTTTTTTTTAACTGCTGAATTGATGTGCATCATATGGCTATACCACAGTTTGTTTATCTCTTCTCCTGTTGATGGAAACCTTGCTGTTTCTAGTTTTTGGCTATTATGAATAAAACTGCCATGAACACTTGTATACAAGTCTTTGTGTGGGCTTATATTTTCATTTCCCTTTTAAACACCTAAGAGTGGAATTGCTGAGTTGTGTGGTACATTTAACTTTATAAGAAACTGCCAAACTGTTTTTCAAAGTTGTATCATTTTACATTCTCCCCAGCAATGTATGAAAATACTATTTGTTCCATATCCTCTCCAACACTTGGTTTCATCAGTCTTTAATTTTAACCATTGTAGTGTGTACATGTAATATCTCATTAGAGTTTTAATGTGCATTTTCCTGATGATTAATGACATCTTTTCATGACTTTATTCATCATTCATATATATTTTGTGAACTGTCTTTTCAAATACTTCACCCATTTTTAAATTGAGTTGTCTTCTTATTATGGATTTGTAAGAATTATTGATATATTCTGGATATAAGCCCTTTTATGATCTCGGTATTGAAAATATTTTCTTCCAGTCTACCATTTGTCCATTCCTTTTCTTAATGGTGTGTTTTGAAGAGCAGAAGTTATTAATTTTGATGAAATCCAATTTATCAATTTTTCTTTTATGATTCAGAGTTAATTTTGTTTGTTTCAGTTTTGGTAATGTGTATAATTCAAATAATTTTTTCATTTGATCTAAATTGTCAAGTTTATTGTTCTTTATAATGTTCTTTTCTTATCCTTTTAATGTCCATAAGACTTGTGTTATTATCTTTCTTTCATACAGGACAGTAACTTATGTTCTCTCTTTTAGTCTAGTTGGAGGCTTATCAGTTTGACTGATTTTAAAAATTACTTCCATTAACTTTCTCTCTTGTTTGTTTTCTATTTTTATTGACTTCTGCTCTTATATCTATTATTTCTTTTCTTCCAGTTGTATTAGGTTTTAATTTGCTTGCCTTTTACTAGCTTCTTAAAATACAAGCTTAGATTTTTGATTTTAGATCTCCTTTTTAAATAAAAACACTTAAAGCTATAGATTTATCACTAAAAAATGCCTTAGGTGCCCTATACAAATTTTGATACATTTTATTTTCATTTTTATTAAGTTAAAAATAGTTTGTAATTTTCCATGTGATTTCTTCTTTGAACTGTGAGCTATTTGGAACCTATTTCTAAACATTTGGGGACTTTCTAAACATCTATCAGTTTTTTCTCCTACTCCTTGCCCTCTTCCTCCTTCTCCCCTTCTTTCTTTTATTGTTGATTTCTGGTTTCTCTATGGTCAGATAAATACTTTGTATGATTTTAGCATTTTCAAATTTATTGAGACTTGTTTTGTAGCCCAGCATATGGCTTGTCTACTGGTAAATGTTCCATACATGCTAGAAAAGAGCGTGTATTCTGCTAGTATTTTATAATTGTCAATATGTCAAGTTTAGCTGTTAGTATTATTTAAGTTTTCTATATTTTTATTCATTTGGTCTATTTATTCTATAAAACGCTGAGAGAGGAGTGTTAACATTGCAAACTATAATTATGAATTTGTCTTGTGAATTTGTCAATTTCTCCTTTCAGTTACATCAGTTTTTCCTTCATGTAATTTAAAGTTCTGTAATTGAGTGCATACACATTTAGGATTGCTATATTTGTCTATTTTATCTTTGGTAATAGTACCTGTCCTGAAGTTAATAACGCTACATTGTCTGAAGTTAATACTGTTCTTCAGATTTTCTTATGATTAGGATTTGTATGAACATTCTTTTTAATTTTTTTTACTCTTTATAAGTATGTTTTCTTTAGACAGCATATGGCTGTCTTATTTTTAAAAATGCTTTCTGATAATTTCTCCATTTCAATGAAAGCATTTAGATCATTTATATTTAATGCAATTATTGATATATTTGGGTTTAAATATACTATCTTGCTATTTGTTTTCTGCATTTCCCTTTTCACTTATTTCCTACAATATTTTACATTTGTTATTTTGTTATTATTTCATTTTGTCTTTCCTGTTGGCTTGTTAGCTATAGTTGTAGGATTTATAACATGCATTTTAAATTGGTCAACATCTGCTTTAAATAGCATAATACCATCTCAAGAATGATGTAGGAATCTTACAGCAATATATACTTCTATTTCTTCTTCCCACTTTTTGGTACTATCATTGTCATAATTTCTCCTTCTACATATGTTATAAAACCTGCACATTCATTGACATTATTTTTTGCTTTAAGGAGTCAATTATTTTTTAAGACATTTAGAAATGAGGAAAAAGTCTTTTTTTTTTTTTTTTTTTTTTACTCACACATTTACCACTTCTAGTTTTTCGTTCCTTTGTGTTGATCCAAATTTTCATCTGGTATAATTTTCTTTAACCTGAAGAACTTTATCATTTCTTGTAGACTGCTCATGAAGAATTATGTCAGGTTTTGTCATTTTTGAAGAGTAGTTTAATTAAACACAGATTCCTATGTTGAGAGATTTTGTTTTTCTTTCAGCAATATAACGATTTTGTTCCATTGTCTTTTGGCTTTCATTGTTCTAATAAGAAATCTATCAACATTATCTTTTTCCTTTGTATATGATGTGTCATTTTTCTATAGCAGCATTTAATATTTGATTATGATGTGCACCAGTGTATTTTATTCATACTTAACTTGTTTGGGATTCACTGGACTTCTTGGATATGTGGTTTTATAGTTTTCATTAATTTTGGAAAAATTTCTGCCATTATTTTTAAAGTTAAAAATTTCTATCATTAAAAAAACAGATTTTTTTTTTTGCTTGCCTTCATCATCTTTGTAAATTCTGGTCCCATTTTACTTGATTTTTTTTTCCTGTTAAGAATCACATTTTTCTGTTTCTTATAATAGCTCTTAAATTTTAAATAGATATTGGGCACTATACATTTAACCTTCTTCAATGCTTGTAACTTTTTTTTTGTCTTAAAAAAAGTTAGATGTTCTTGCAGGAGTTAAACCACTTGAGGATCTGCTTGTTCCTTTTGAAGCTTGCTGTTTAAGCTTTTTTGAGGGACAGATTAGCCCTAGTACGACAGCACTATTTTTTTCTGAGATTTCTACCAAATACCCTGGATGTTAATAAGGGTTTTCCTTTCTGCTGGTTAAAATTTGAAAATCTCCCACATCTATGTGAGCTCTGGAAATTGTTTAGCTTATAGTACTTCTGGAATTTCTTTGCTGGGTTTTTGGGAGTTTTACCCCATGCATTTGTGACTTAGTATTCATAAGTAGATTCAAAAGGATACCTATGTAGGTTTCTGGAGCTTTTCTTTTCCATAACTACATCTCCTGTTGCCTGTCTTGCAAATTGCAGCACCTTAGTCTCCATGACCTCTGATCTTGTTTTCTTAACTCCGTAAGACTGCTGGGGTCTGCTTAGGTTATTTCTCCCTTCTGTGTTCACTGTGGTCCAGGAAGTGCCTCCAGGCAAAAAGCCAAGATAACACGTGGCCCATATTGTTTGCTTTCCTTCTTTCAGGGATCAAACTTCCCTATTAATTTTCCAGTGCCTGAAAACAATTGCCTTATATATTTTGTTCAGTTTTCTGTATGTTTTTAATAGAAGGAGAGTAAGGTTTTAGTAACTCCATCATAACTGGAAGCAGAACTCCAGTAACTTTTTTTTTTACATGCTACAAAAATAAGAAATTCTCCCAATCAAGATGCTTGTCAAGCAGGTCAGAAATGGAATACATTTGCCTTTATTTTTCTGGTTTACGTGTTTTTAAAAATTAAATATATACATGTTATTTATAATATTTAAGATATAAAATTATGCTATATGTTAGAAAACAGGTATAAACATATGAGCATCACTTATATTTACAATTATTTAATGACTTCACAGTCTTCCTTTTTTATTTTGAATTATACACACTTTTAAAATGTATTATCTGGTTACTGTACTCTGTACACAGTCAGCAGTACAAAAACTGTCTTTGCAAATAGCAGCTTTTAAAAATGCATATAACAATCTATATGCATTAGATATTTACTATTTGCATTTAATGTTTTATTTTTAGTTTCCTTCAATTATATCGCTATAAGATAGAAGGCTGATTGCCTTGTTTTCTACAACTTGGCTTCAATTTTTCTTTTAGAATAAAGATTAGAGTTAAACACAGGATGCTGAGAAAGTTCAACCTGATAACCACAATAGTTGTAATTAGCACATATACGATCTTTTATCACATTTTTTGTTATTTTATTTTTTTCAGGCTAAAATAAGGCCACTAATGGGTCTGAGGAGTATGTGCATAGATAAAACCATATCATTTTTGAATATAGTTAGATTTAACTGGGAATATCATGTGCATATACACCTATATACATCAAAATGGGTACATAAATTTCAGTATTCTTATTATTGCCAAATTTCAAGTCTTAATTTTACTCTTTTCCTTATTTATGACATAATATGTCATGGTGCAGTTCTCCAGGAGTACCTATAAAGTATTTCCTGTGTGACATAAAGCTTTACATAATCCCATTTGGATTAAGGTGTATAGAACCAAGTCTTATATTCAAATAAATGATGGTATGTGAAATGTGGGTGTATCTTACTGTAATCAATTTGATTAGAGTGTTTTCTTTTTTCTTGAAAGATACAATTCATCTGCAGAAAACATGTATTATTCTTAATAAATTAATAGAAATAGTCTAGTGCTATATTTAAAAGGAAAAAAAGGAAGGAAAGAAAAAAGGAAGGAAGGAAGGACAAAGGAAGAAAATTGCCTAAAATTCCCTGATTGAGGGAATGGAGATCAGGTGTAGAGCAAGTAAAGAACTGAGCTATCTTCAATTTTAAAAAATCCACATGATAAATAGCACTACGTATTTTACTTAATCCTCACAAGTGGTGTGGATTACTGAGTGGTGAACTGGCTAAACTTAAGTGCATTTTTAAAAGTCTTTCTTAAAAATTCTAAGTTTCAAAATACAGGTTCTATTTTCTTAAAAGGATATTTCTGCTATATATGTGTTTAATTAAGATCAATTATTTCCTTGTTTGATACCTATGCCACTAAAGCAGATGACCCCTATAAAGTGTTTACTATTAGTTTTAATCGCAAAATGGTTGGAACTGTGTTTGCTCTGTGTTCTGTCTCTCTGGAATACATATTTCTATTATTCTAGGAGATTCAACTTCCATTTCTTTCTGGGTACAATGTTACTTCTGTGTTTGCAGCCTAGACTTGGACTGAATTTGTAGAATGTCTTAATAGTTATTGAAATGTAATGTTATTTGTTTATACAAATGCTACTAAAATAACACTAAAAATATGAAAAGTACATTTTATATAAAGTAGACAATAAACTTGGTGAATTTATTTAAATTTCATTAATAGGGATTTATCTAAGCACATTTTATTATCATGTTGACATTTAAAAATCAACGATCAGGATCTATTTTCAACTTTCTATGCATTCTAAGGATGATGTTCTTTTTGAATCTTTAGAAATAAACCATGCTTAAAATCCAAAATTTTCCTGATTAAAAACGCTCAACAAACTAGGCATTGAAAGATCATACTTTGAAATAATAAAAGCAATCTGTTGCAAACCCACAGCCAATATCATGAATGGGAAAAAACTGGAAGCATTCCCATTAAGCAGGAGCAACACAAGGATGCCCACTCTCACTACTCCTATTCAACTTAGCACTGGAAGTCCTAGCTAGAACAAGCAGGCAAGAGAAAGAAATAGAAGGCCTCCAAACAGGAAAAGAAGTCAAATTATCCCTCTTTGCTGATAATATTATTCTCTTCCTATAAACAACCAAAAATATTCTAGAAATGATAAATGTCTTCAGTAAAGTTTCGAGATACAGAATCAATGTGCAAAAATTAGTAGCATTTCATGAACCAATAATGTTCCAAATCAAGAATGCAATCCCATTTACAACAGTCAAAAAATAAAATAGCGGGGAATACATCTAACCAAGGAGGTGAAAGGTCTCTACAAGGAGACCTACAAAACACTGCTGAAAGAAATCATAGATGACACAAACAAATGGACAAACATTCCATGCTCATGAATAAAAAGAGGCAATATTGTTAAAATGTCCATACTCCCCAAAGCAATTTACAGATTCAATGCTATTCCTACCAAACTACCAATGTCATTTTCCACAGAATTAGAAAAAACGATTATGAAATTTATAGAAAGTGAAACAGAGCCTGAATAGTCAAAGCAATCCTGAACAAAAAGAGCAAAGCTGGAGGCATCACATTACCCGACTTCAAACTATACTATAAGGTCACAGTAACCAAAACAGCATGGTACTGGTACAAAAACAGACACATAGGCCAATAGAATAGAATAGAAAACCCAGAAATAAAGCTGCACACCTACAGCCATCTGATCTTCAACAAAGTTGATGAAAATAAGCAATGTATAAAGGACTCCCTATTCAATAAATGGTGCTGAGACAGCTGGCTAGCCATATGCAGAAGTGCTGAACTGGACCCCTATCTTTCACCATCTACAAAAATTAAATCAAGATGGATTTAAGATTGGAATGTAAGACCTCAAACCATAAGAATCCTAGAAGAAAACCTAGGAAATACCATCTGGATAACAGATGCTGGTGAGGCTGTGGAGAAAATGGAATGCTTATATTGGGGAATATAAGCATTTATTGCTTGAGGGAAATATAAATTAGTTCAGCAACTGTGGAATGCAGTTTGAAGGTTTCTCAAACAACTTAAAACAGAATTATCATTCGACCCAACAATTCCATTACTGGGTATATACCTGAAGAAAAATAAATCGTTCTACCAAAAAGACACATGTACTTATATGTTCATTGCAGCAGTATTCACACTGAAGAAGACATGGAATCAACCTAGATGTCCATCAGCAGTAAACCGGATAAATAAAACGTAGTACATATACAATATGGACTACTATGCAGCCATAAAAAAGAAAAAAAAGCATGTCCTTTGCAGCAACATGGCGGCAGCTGGAGGCCATTATCCTAAGTGAATTAATACAGGAACAGAAAACCAAAGACCACATGTTCTCACTTATAAGTGGAGGCTAAGCATTACGTACGCATGGACATAAAGATGAGAACAATAGACATGGAGGACTAGTAGAGTGAGATAAAGGGATGGGGGCAAGGACTGAAAAACTACCTATTGGGTACTATGCTCATGATCTGGGTGATGGGAATCATTCATACCCCAAACTTCAGCATCACACAATATACCCATGTAACAAACCTGTGCACATACCCCCTGAATCTAAAATAAAAGTTGAAATTATTTTTTAAAATACGGTGAAAAAATGAAAACAAAAATCCATCATGCTTTTATGCTTTTGCTGATTGCTGCCTGGAAACAGCAAGTTCACCTTCAGTGGCTCCGCAGCGTTATTAAAAAATACATGTTAATATTAAAACATCTTTTAACAAAGCTTTTTTAATTCCAAAGAATATCTGTTATGAATGATGCTCATGACATTAACCAATCACTTAGATCTTGACATAATGCCACAGGAAAAGAAATTTTTAGTCAATGACAGGGAAAATTACATGTATATTATGTATAAATTGGTATGTGTATGTTGCATGTATATATATATATATATACACATACATACATATGTATATGAAAGATCAGTTTACAGAATAATTGTTGTAATGATATATATGGTTAACATTTTTTATGTTTGTACATTTTTTATATCTATCTATCTATCATCATGTAGTGTAAATGAGTATTTCCCATTCTAATCTAGCCTCAGCTTGAAATAGAAAATAACCATTGGTAATAAATTACAGATACTCTTTGTATAGCAGTAAAACTGGACTGCAAGTTTCAATTCCTGAAACCATGTTGCTCCAATTTTATGCCCATAGTTCCCTAAGGTTCAAAAAGACCTTTTGGTGTCTCTACTTCACAGAGAGAATCAGATTTGATGGAATACAGTACCCATATATGTAATCCCATTATCTCCTCAATTTTCTGTAATCTTTTTCTTTGCCTTACTCTAAATATTGTAGAAATATTAATTTCAAGGTATTATTCTATCCTAATAGACAACAGAAGAGAAAGCTACTTACAGCCAATCAACATGACACAAATTGAAAAGATTTTCTCCGAATTCGTGTTAGGAGACACATTCCCGAATCCTACACTGGTTAAACTGCTGAAGGTAAAATAAAGTGCTGTGACGTATTTGTCTTTAATGGATGGTCCAGAACTTGAGTCACTGTCATTGTAACGTTTCCCAATTTGCTGTCCTAAGGAATCCAACCATCCGATTTTGTCAGTCAGGTAAGGCCTTTCTACATTCCCAATCGCATACCAAATGCAAGCCAGCCAGTGAGCAATCAGGGCAAAGATGCACATTAAGAGCATTAGAACAGCAGCGCCATATTCTGAATATCGATCCAGTTTCCTGGCCACGCGCACAAGACGGAGGAGTCGGGCAGTCTTCAAAAGACCAATTAATGTTGTTGTCTGTAGAAATAAATGTACACAGTCAGAAACGGTCGGCAAACAATTCAAAGTACATTCATATGAAGCAAAGTGGACAAAAACAGGTTAAGACAATAGGGTAGCATTAAGGATAACTGCCTATTTAAATTCAGTATTAAACTTGGTTCTTTTTTTTTTATGTGATACCTGCTTTGGAAAATACTTTGAAAGTGCATGACACATTAATTCAGTATTGTGGCATGCAAGACATGGGGCACAGAATCTGTCTTGTTTTATGTTCTAAGTGCCTTGCATAAGTCCTCAGTGACTCATTCATTCACCAACATACATTCTAGTGTGTTACTGTGTGCCTACTAACGCCACAGGCTGATATTATAGTGTTAAACAAACAGACATGGTTACTTTCCTAATAGAGACAGCTATTTAACAGACAAAGTGTCTAATCTAATGAAGAGAAAACAAGATCCTAGTCTACTGAGGAGAGAGAGATTTTTTAAAAACAAACAAATAATTAATTTCAGAGAGAACAAAGTGCCATGATGATAGTAAGCAGAGAAATATGACAGAGGGTATTTGGAGGCATGGATTGGGGTAGAAACTGCTTTAAAAATGAAGACCAAGAAGGGCCTTGCTGAGGAGCTGACATTTGAGTTGCAAACCATCTGTATAATGAGAAGGAGCCAGTCAAGCCCCTTCTTCCCATAACTGTGGGAACACTTATTGGATGATTGCATGCATGAATTAGGCACTACATTTAAATGCATTTTTTATTCCTAAGTGTGCTAAATTGAGAAATTATTTCTTGATGTCCCAGTGATATTATAATTGCATTTTGCTTTTGGCTATGATATGTGTAACTAATTGGGTGATTATTACTGACCGGGTATCTAATGATAGGCTACTTCTATATAATAACAGGATACTTAACTGGTTGTTTGGACTTCAAATCTGATAAGTACAAATTACAAGTTCATTTCTTAGGTTTCCTAAATAATGTCAACTATAAGTACTATATAATTCACAGGGCATATAATTATTCCATAGTTACATGGTGTTTACCAATCAATTATTGAGTTATTTTATCTGTTCATTGTTGCTGCTTATTTCCCAAAGCACATCCAACTACATTAAGAACACTTATATCTTAATGGAAGAAATAGCACATGGAATAACTACCACACCCTATGTATTAATATTGATGATGAAAAAGGAGCACTAAATATTAAAAAAGCTTTTTCATTAAAATGTTCTTGCTGGTTGTGGTGGCTTGTGCCTATAATCCCAGTACTTTGGCAGGCTGAAGCAGTAGGATCACTTGAGCCCAGGTATTTGAGACCAGCCTGGGCAATATAGTGAGACTCGGCCTATACAAAAAATTAAAATAAAATAAAATAAATTAGCTGGGTATGGTGGTGGATGCCTGTAGTCCCAGCTATTCTAGAGGCTGAGGTGGAGGATCACTTGAGCCCAGGAATTTGAGATTGCAGTGAGCTATTATTGTGCCACTGCACTCAAGCCTGGGCAACAGAGCAAGACCCTGTCTTTAAAAGAATGTTCTAATAAGTGTTCTACAGTTTCTTGTTTTTCCCTTGTGCCATAGCAATCACAAGGGAAAGGGGATCCCTTAGTCTCCCCTGAATTATTCTCTGTTAGTATTGGAACCCTTTAAAGTTGAGAGGAACTTGTGTAGTTGACATGTATTTATCATAACTAGACTCTGGTCTCTGCTCATTTGGGGATGTTTAGAGAGGTGAGTCTTCTCTGTCTCCAGTACTGAGTTGTTTTTCAGAGTGGAATGAAGGTGCTTGCTTTTTTTCTTCTTTATAGGTTTAAAAGTATATTTCTTCCCTATGAATGAATATAGGTTTTAAATTATTATTGGCTGGATCCCTGAGAGAAAAGCAAACTTTCTAATATATGTATTATCAATATTTTAGCTTAGCAGTTATGTGCTACGACTTTGGAACAGACAAACTTATGTTTGAATTCTGCCTCCATAGAATGTCCCCTTGGATAAGTTATTCATTTAATCTTACACTTCATCTGTATATGAAGTGTAGTTTCTTCATCTGTGAATACAAATAATAAGGCCAACCTTACAGAGTTATAGATAATACCCAATAAACAGGAACTCTATGTTTCTATTTAAACATCCTTTACATTTTTCTTTCCATCAATAAGCAGGAACTTTATGTTGTGAAATGGGTTGAAAGAGCTTCCACCCTTTTTAAACGCAATACTTAGATATCTGGAATCACAAGTGGGGGCCTTTCCGTACTGGCCTTGCAGCTCGCCTCAAGAAATGGCAGGGGCATTGAAACAAAGGGACTTCATGAGGCACACTGACTGCTCAGACTCTGGTAGGAGTCACCCTGGTTCAACATTTCACCATTTCTACACAGCTCAGCTTCCTATGTTTATTTTTCCTCTTAATTCTACTTTCTGTTTATTTGTCCTGAGAAATCAGAAATATTTGAGAATTATGGTTAAAATTTTCTTGTTTTTGGAGCCAAATTTCTTTCTGATCCTCAAAATAAATGAAGTATAATAAAAATTCTCCAAATAGTTGGTTAAATGAAGTGAAAAGCTTTAAAATAAATGAGCTGTTTTTATAACATATTGTGATAATAAGTACTAATGACTCTGCTGGTTGTAAAGACGGTAGAGTAAAAATGATGTTATGATAAGAAGAGCAATGAAATCTGCTGTGCATGCAACCTTCCTTTTTGCCTTCCTTCCAAAGAAATCTCTGATGTTTCTTCTAGCATTCTATCAAAATGAAGTCAAAATCTATATGACAGTAAGTTCTCTAAGCAGATAAATCAATATAATGTGCATAGTAACATACAAGTGACATCATTTCTGGAAAAAGAAAGTTTAAGATATATGGGACATGTTGAAGTCTCAACATGTATGACAGTATTCATGTTAAATAATTGCAGAAGTAATGAGAGAGCCACAAAGTAGGGGGAAGGGGAAGAAATTACTAAGTAGTAATTATGTCTCTCAGTTGCATTATAAGGATGAGTGAATATTGACTTCAACAGTCAAAGCTATTCTCTTGTAATTCTGTAACATGTACTGCAGAATAACTACATATGCTGGCTTGACAATGTAACAGATGCCTTGCCTTACTTCTATTGTTATCAAATTGCGGCTAACACATCTGGGCATTCTTTGTTAGCTACAGTTGTGTATAACACATCTTGTAGATGATGCTTAGGATTGTAATAACTCTTTCCTGCTTATTATTTTAATATTTCTTTAAAAACTTAAGGTGTCTTGCCCCAGATTGCAGAATAGAGAGAAGTGATTGCATTAAAATCTAAGAGAGAGTAGATTTAATAATTATTAATCTTCTCCTGCCAATTTGTTATGAACCCTTAGCCCCATTGTTTAGTTTAATGGGCCATCTTTATGTTACCTGCAAGTGAAACAGGACCAACAACTACTCTATTATATTGTGCTAAGATCAGAATTTGACTGAGTATAATTGTTTTCAGAATGCATAATTATCTCCCAGCACATCTAATTTCATGTAATATCCAGACATGATGGAAATCCCAATTTTTTGATTTTTGAAAATATAATAAATGTAACTATCCATAAATTTGTTCACAATTTTAAAAACTAGAGTAAAAAACTGTCTCTTAGATGGTATTTCTTAAACTTTTCACTGGTATTAGAAAAATATTGTCTGTTTATTGTTATTCTTGAAAGCAACTAAAAAGAGCATAAAAGCTCACTAGATGGCAAAATGTGGTTATTGTTATAAAATACAAACACATAATGAAAATAAGATACAAAAACAGGTGAGTCATTTTGCAGTACATTGAAGCAAGGCACTTTGTTTTCCAGTCCTGCCACTAACTATAGCAAAGGGGACATAATGAACTCTTAACAAGTCAAGACTTCACCCACCAGCACCCATGCTATCTCAGAACTCAACTTATTTATTGTGATTGAATAATTTTCCAACTCTTTTTTCCAAAATGTCACAGTAAAGTCAGTCTCTGTGAGATTTTTATTTTTAATGTATCTTGTCAATATTATTGTTTTTAATCTAAAGTAACTCTCTTTCCAAAAATTCAATTATTCATTTTGCTGGGTGGCTGATTAATATCATTCAATTTCAAAACTTTAAAAACACATCCACATCCACTGTTTACTAAAGCCCTAGATGCCTTCTTATATTGAGGTAGAAGTTAGTTCCCTTTATTAGGTACATTAATTTTTAAACTAAGCACTATTTAAAAAATATATATATATATTCTAAACAATGAAGTTTTGTATGTATGTTAGATACTAAGTCCAGACTCAAGAAGACTGTGTGGTTGTTTTTTGTAGATATTTTACAATAAATCAGGCAAGATTCTCTCTTCATGCCAGTGGAATTCTTTTTGAAGGCTTGAAATTAGAATAAGTAACTTCTTGTCAGTATTAAACAACTCTCTACTCAAGAATAAATTGTCTACAGTTAAATGAAGAGAGACTCATTAATAAGAAAAAATATTTTGTTCAAAAATATTAAAAAATTTTTGAAAAATAATTGTACCTTATTTTTTAGTAAACATTTTTAAGAATCTTATATTTAAAATATATTATTTCAGAAATTTACTCTCTAAAACCTTTGCCTATAAATAAGTGATACAATTATTCTTCTATAAATAAAAATATGTAAGTATGTGATCTTTGGTTTCATATGCAGGGTTGATAGAATGAATGATCACTGAAACTTTCTACTTAATCCATCACTTGTCCTTTTTGTCAATAAATATTTGGGTGCAAGTGGGGAAATGTTAACACGAGATAAGTAATAAATTTCATTACTCCACACTCATATTTTGCTTTAGATTTCATTTCAGCTAATCCCCTCTAAGTTCTGGTATTTATATACATCATTCAATTATTTATCCAATAAAGCTCAACAATATCAGAAACTAGTTTCTAGTCCTTTGTTCAGCTTAACCACATCATTGCAATATTTCTAAGGATGCATTTACTAATACAATCAAAGAAATATATTTTGAATGTGTCTAAAATCTTGGGGAATTACCTAGATTGTAATTTATTTATATCAGACCTCACAAATACTTCTAAAGTATGGCTTTTAAAGAGGAGATTTTTACAATTTCACTGGGAAACTCATTTCAATATTTAATAACCTTTATTATTGAGACATTTATTTTTGTTTTGTTTTATAATTAACATTTTATTTTTCTGCAATTTGAACTCACTTTGGCTTTCTGTACAGTAGCAGACAACTGACCATCAAGTGATTCTAAACAGTAGTATGCAAATGTTACAACAAATAAATAACTAGGGATGTCATATTTTTTAAATGATAATTTGACTTGTCCTGAGAAATATTTTACCAAGGGTTATACTTTATGCCATCTCTAGCAAAATGTAGACAATCAATCACATACAAACGAACAAATGATCAACTAAAAGCAAAATAATTTTTCCACTGGGGATCTCATATCTCTTAAAAGTCATGCCATACATTTTTAGAGGCATGACCAATAGCTCCAAATATAAGCCAATAGAAACTTCTGTCTAAACTCCCAAAAACCATCTAAGGAGACTTAGCAACTTTATGTGTAGAAATGTATATGTATATGTGTCTGCAAAATATGATTTGTTCCTAAAAGTTGAACATGATTATATTGGATGTTTTAGAAATAAACTAATGATATCTATTATAAAGATCAAGTTCAGCTGTCGAAATGCTCAGAGTTTGCATATAGATACCTGCTAATGTTTTCCTTGCATCAATTTCACAATTCATCTATCAGACTAATAAATCAAACATATTATTATGATCAGAATCCCTCTTTTCTATTGGAATTTTCCCTCAAAGAGCACAGTAGTTACTTAGGTTTCAAAGGCCTTCTTTGCTTGTATTCAGGATTCAGAAAAAATAACGGTAAAGTGTGAAAGGAAAGGGGTCAATGAAGCAAATAATTAATTGCAAGAATCCTAATTTTCTGGGGAGTAAGAGGTTAATGAAGCATGTAATTGAGCAGAGTTTCGTAGATTTCAGCTGCTAATATCTCTGAAATTAAGATTTGCCATAGATGAGCTAAATACCGGAAAATATGAGGCGGATAATCAAAAGTTAACTTTCTGGAGACTGAGCCAATAACATTATTCCTTTGAACCAATGACACAGAAAAAATTTGCCAATGATTGACATAATGGGTGGTATGATGTTTGCTGATGCAGAAATTAGGAAATAGAGAATCTTTTTATTGTCTCTCTGGATGGCATTATCATCAGGGAGATATTAATGACATAGGCAAGCCCAGTTATTGCCAGTATTTATTTTCTTCAACATGTTTTTTAACATTATAGAATATCCTCTACTTATTGTAGGTGATTTGTAACCATGTGAGAAAAAAATTAAATAGTTAGGTCTTCTTTTTTTTTTTTTTTTTTTTTTTTTTTTTTTTTTTGAGATGGAGTCTCGCTCTTTCGCCCAGGCTGGAGTGCAGTGGTGCGATCTCTGCTATCTCTGCTCACTGCAAGCTCCGCCTCCCAGGTTCACACCATTCTCCTGCCTCAGACTCCCGAGTAGCTGGGACTACAGGCGCCCGCCACCACGCCCAGCTAATTTTTTTGTATTTTTAGTAGAGATGGGGTTTCACCGTGTTAGACAGGATGGTCTCGATCTCCTGACCTCATGATCCGCCAGTCTTGGCCTCCCAAAGTGCTGGGATTACAGGCGTGAGCCACTGCGCCCGGCCGTGACATGTCTTCTTTAGTAAAAACGTATACGCCAATATATCCTCTTAGCATTTATTAACACCTGTTACATAGATTACATAATATAGATACAAAGTTGATTTTTTTTCTAGGGTTGAATGTAAATAAAAGTGTTACAGTATCTTAACATTTAGGGAAATTGGCAAAGAAGATATTAATGTTTAATTGACATTGACAAAATTATGTTTTCTAAGCTCATCTATGATGCTTTGATGGATAGAAAACATTTTAGGGCCGGGCACACTGGCTCACGCCTGTAATTCCAGCACTTTGGGAGGCTGAGGCAAGCAGATCACTTGAGCTCAGAGTTCAAGATCAGCCTGGACAACATAGTGAAACTCTCTCTGCAAAAAAATATGAAAATTAGCCGGGTATGGTGGTGTCTGCCTGTAGTCCCAGCTCCTCAGGGGGGTGAGGCAGAGGATCACTTGAGCCCAGGAGGCAGAGGCTGCATTGAGCTGAGATCACACCACTGCACACTAGCTTGGGTGACAGAATGAGACCGTGTCTTAAAATTAAGCAATTAAGAAATTACGACTGTTCTTATAATTTGTTGAAAATCACTCTTAATTTGTTTATTTATGTACTTATGCATTTATTTATGTACTTATGCATTTACTGTGTAGAAATATTCATCTATGAACATATGAAAGCCCTCTCCTGGGATTCCTCTTTATCCCAGATATGGCTACTGGATCTTGTATATCTAAACAACAAAATCCCTGCCACTTTAAAAAGTGTAGGTTTTAAGGCTTTATTTTTGACCTGTCAAATATGTGTCTCCAGACCCTTAACAGATCCACACAGAAAACTGACACATGGTTCTTGTCTAGAAGCTGATCCAAACCAATCTTTGTCAGGATTCTATCTAACATTTAATTTAATGGATCTCATTTCTCTTCTTATACTGACATATTATTTTTCTAGATGCTCATGGGGTGCTTGACTTGCCTACATGTCACCTGTAGTTCAATAACCAATAGTCATCACAAACTTAAGTTGGCTAAAACAGGAATTTCTTCCCCACAACACACTTTTTCTCCCTAAGGTTTTTTCATCTGAATAAATGCATTACCATTTATAATTCTGCTTCAGCAACCCTCCTGCCCTTCACCAAAGAAATGTTTCAATAAGAATAAACAAGCAACAAAAAATGTTTGCACCACCCTTAATTCTGCTTTTTCTCCTACTCTTCCATTCAATACTTAATCCATCAACAAGCCTTGGCAGCTCACCTCCAAAATATATCCCAAATTTCTTTACTTTTCTTCATTTCTGTTGCTACCAAGCTGTTGTTTTGTCCTGCATCACAACATGTGGTCTGAACTAGTTCCCTGCTCCTAGCCTGACTCTCCAGTCTGCAGATGACAGCCTTTGCAGTCTTCAAAATGTCCATCGGATAGTATCATTCCTGTTCCAAAGACTCCATTGCAGCCAGAATAAGTAAGAAATCCCACATATCTAGGTGATTTGGTCTCTGTCTCTGCCTTCTCAAACCTTAGCATTCCACCTCTTACTGTGTGGTTCAGCCTGGCAGCCACCAGCCATCTTTCTGTTCCTCTACCATAACAAACTTGTTCCCCAAATGCGACATTTTCACTAGTGTTTCCTTCTGTGTGAAATGCTCTGCACGGTGGTCTCATGTGGATGGTTGCTTCCTATCAAGTCTCAACTCAAATGGCCTCTCCTTACTGGCCTTTTGTAATTTCCAATTCAAATTAGCCATCCATCCAGGTCATTCTCTATCACATCCACCTGCTTTGCTATCATCACAGCATTTACTCTTTCCTGAAACCTTTCTGCACTGTGTTTGTTGGTTTGTTTATTAATGGTCTTTTGCCCTCTGCCATCCCCTACCCCTCTTCCTCAATTCTAGAATGTAAGTTCCTGGACAACACAAACTTTGTCTGATTTACTTCTGAATCTCTAAACCTAGGACAGTGGCTGTCACTTTGAAGGGTACCTAACAAAAAATTTTTGAATAAATAAAGTATTATATTAGTAATTAAGAGTAATGCAGAAAATAGAACTGAGAGCATCACTGAACAATTCTAGGTTTCAACAGTCTCATTCTGTAAATAGTACTTTAGCTTCCTAGGCAGAGGATTGAACTAGATAATTTCCTGTGGTTACTTCTAGTTCTAAGATCTACATTGGCAGCAGTACTAGATTTTAATTTGGGGGTAACACTTACATTATGTCCAGAATTTTTAGTGCATTTTAAAATTCAGACTTTAAAATTTAAAAGACACAAACTTCTTACAACTTCTCCCATTATACTTCTAAGCTTGTCTACAAATCACTAATGTTTGCTGTTGGTGCATATATTTTAACTTTTGAAAGAATGAGGTTTTATTTTATTGTTCATCAACATAAGCTTATTTGGTGCAATGATGTGAACCACCCATTATAAGAAACTCAAAGATATATATTAATAAAGAAATATTTCACTCTCTTTTAGTTAAAACCCAAAGTTAGGAGTAGCTAATATTAAAAGTTCAGCTAATTAAGAACAGCTGATTTTTAAAAAGTATTTTGCTGAGTCACATGTACTATCTCATTAGAGTCTCAAATTAGAAAAAAAAAAGCAAGAGGAGAAGGTAATATTATTATCATCCTTTTACAGATGAGGAAAGTCAGGTTGGGACTTTGTTTAAAATTGTAGAACCCAGGAAAAATGTATTGTTTCATTGCCCTGCTCTTAACTGACTCACAGTTCGATCAGAGTTTATTTCTAACAAATAAATAGATTTAGAAATAAAATCTTTTGGTTCCCCTTGGTCGAGGAGGATTATGTTGTTCTAAAGCCTTCATTGGCTAGGAAGCAGCCATCTGCCAAGAGGAGGTGGTCTCCTCTTTGTTGGGGAGAGAAGGAAGTTGGTGCAGGGCAGGGTTCTTATGTAGAAAAAGACACAATTTTTAAAAATCCAACATATCGAGGATTTTTTCAACCTATTCCCTTGGAACTACTTTCAAGCATTCTATAAATCTTTCTGTTACAGAATTCAGAAAGTTTATAAATGGTAAAAATAATGGAAATTAGATGAAGTGAACTGTAGGAAAACTTAACTTCTTTTGGATCAAAGAGTCTTTTGAGGAGCTGATTAAAGTTCTGGACTCTCTATCCAGAAAATGCACAATACATACACTTCTCGTATTTTCTTAGTTTCCAACTTTATTAGGCATTGGGATACACAAAAAGTACTTTCCAAGCTGAATATTATTTAAGAGAAAGCATATTTGAATAAGACATTTCGGAAGGTGCCCTCTTCACATAATTTGAACAAAAAACAAATCTCTGCTGTCTCAAACCTTAACAATGAGTTAAGAAAAACAGAGACATACTTAATATTTGAGAGTTTTACACCCGTGAAGTTAATAAGTAGAGATTTTAAATCCTGGGAATGTGCTGTGTGCTATGGACCACTTGTTTCCAAGTTTAATTTGGTGGGTAAAGAATGGAGAATCTTTTGCATCTCTTAGCAAAAAGAGAAAGAATTTGATTTGCAATGGCAAAATGGTTTCATTTCATTCTGTAGTATCCCCAATTGAAAATGAATTTTATCAGTGAGATACAAGAAGCTTGCAAAGCAACTCTTCTTTTTGCAGTTAAAATAGATTCACTTTTATAATTGCAATCTTTCAGAAAATAAGAATCTTAAGCAGTTCTTACCTCATCAGAACCTGATCCAAAAATCAGCAAGTCAAAAGGAATTGCTGCAACCATGTCAATCAGGAACCAGCCTTTGAAGTAGTGTATTGCTATTTTGGCGGGATCACTTACCACTTCTTCATTCTGATTTACATATGTTGTTCTGAAGTTTATTAAAATATCTATGATAAACATAATATCCACAATCAAGTCTACCACATTCAAAGGGCTACAAGAATAGCCACATTCTCGTCTTTTCTGTTCTTCTCTGTCATTGAGGAGGAAGGCTGCAGAGTAGGGAGTAAATATAGCAGTGTATATGACCAACAGCAGGATAAGCCAGTCCCAGACTGCCTTGAAAGGGCTGTAGTGCAATATCGTAAACTTGTTGATGCGTGGTGTCTGCAGTTTGTATTCAGGTAGGACATCTGCTCCTAAAGAGAGAACCTGAATGTGCAAAAGAAAATCATACACTACATAAATATGCCATTTTTAATCTGGTAAACCTATCAAATATTAAGGGAACTAATTATACAGTAAAATTTATTAGAGAGAATTCATGTAATTTGGAAGTATTTATGAAACACACACATACATTACATAAACCCATATAAACTTATACAGTGTATTTGGCTCAAGAAAATCACAATGGCATTTCTTGATAAATATGAATTTCACTGAAAAAATAATAAATATTGCCACTGAGATACTGAGGAATGTTACTGTTTCCTTTGGAACGTAGTACATCTCAGATGTAAAAATACATGGCTGTTTTTAGAAAATCACAAAGTTGGTTTTGATATATTAGTAATGCAGTTTTCAAATCTAGGAAAGGATTAGTTGTTATGAATAGAAGCAGTCTACTTGGATCCATGGTCACATTTAATTTACATATATTTAATTTATAATTACACCTTGATAAATTAAACCCAACTCATTCAAATTTTAATTAAGCAGAATTTCCCACCTGCAATCTGTTTTTAACATTAGGGGAAAAAAGGCAAATGAGATTAAAATGAACACAAAAGAGGCTTTTCCTTAAAAGGTTGAGAGAGTATTTGATATTCCGGGACAAATACACTTGCATTCCAACCCTTCCATCACATTTAGAGAACTGCAAAAAGAAAATGCTACAAGGAGATGTTCAGAATATTGACCTGGAAATGTTGCAAGGTGTTTAGACACCAAGTGGTACTTCACCTCCAAGATTTATTCTCCTTATAAGGCATCAGATAAACTAAAACAGTTCACCTTTTAGAGTTTTAGTTTACCTGAAAAAAATGAAAGCTAAAGTACAGTTTTGTCTCTACCAAGTAGAAAAGTCCATGATTTAGTGATTTAAGACTAAGTTTTAAAAACAAAAGTCAAAACAAAAAGGTTACTTAGCTACCCAGTAAGTGTAATTTATTGGGTAAAATGTAAGCCTTAATATATGGGTTTTAAAAAGCTGAAATTTTGTAATGGCTCCACAAATGGCATAAAAAGAGCAATTTAAAAAGGGAAATGTGGGTTCTAATTTAATGCTATGAATATCCCACACATATACAATGGCTCTATTTCAAAGTTAATTTCACTGAGTACATTTCCATAGACTAGATTGTTCTAAACACAATTAATACATCATCAGCTTTGCAGCATGGATCTCAGGTAATCCTCCATTGGTTAGTCAGAGAGTGTTATTTCTGTGTTTTTGGCAATTCTATTCATGTTGTTTTAACTTGACTGTAGTAATGAATTATGTCACGTGTACTTGAAATTTAAATCTTATATTTATTGTCATATCTCGTACCTTTTTATCCCCACATAATGAGTTACCATCCCTAGTTTTAAAAGGACTTTGAAAGTTAAATAACCCCAAATGAGACACAATATAACTTTTAAATATAACAAAAGATTCAGCTAAAATAGGCAAAGCTGCTTTTTGATAACTGCTAAACTACTTTAACTAGTTTTCAAAAAATAATAAAGAATCTGACCTGACCACTTAATCAGTCCACTGTAAATTTGAACCAGCCAGTTTATAGAGAGAACAGGGTTTTATTTTAAGCTATTATGAGAAATGATGGCAGCTAATTATTAGCAAAAGAGCAATCTGGAAAATAAAGTGATTTTGTTATCTGTGAAATATTGAAAGTCCAAGATACACACATATATAAGTATATGACTTTCAAAATCCAAACGGGAGTAATTAAATTATCTGTCATTTTAGAAGTACAGATTAATAGAACTCTGATCCCATTATGCTTAGTATAGAGAACCAGTGTGTGACATTTTGGTCTGTACAAAAGGAAATATGTCATGTTCCTTTCTAGAAAAGCAGAACTACTCAGTATATAGAAAGCAAAATACACAGCTTTATTTTGGCTTTCAAAGTCATTAAAGTCATTTAAAATATGGACCCATTCCATCTTTCTAGTCCTTTCTTCCATTAGATTCCTGTGTACCCAGGGCACTCCAGCAAAACAAGACTAAAATTTTTGAGCTGCTGAGATCTTTCCATATCCTTAAATCCACAAATCTTTTTCATAAAAAAGGCGTGTAGTCAATCAAAGAGGAAAAATAAGTCACTTTTAATGACAGGTATATTTGTGTGAGTTTGCTCACTGCTTAGGTGACAAACTTCCGATACTAACCTCCCACATGGGGCAATTGCAATACCTCTTTTAGCAGAAGTATGAATTAGAATGCAAACAGCAATCTTGGAACTGTGGCTGAAACTCTTTCCATCCCACATAGGCACACAGGCACACCTTCATTTAACATTCAGATGACCACTGTGCTAAGAGCTGGAGATTGAAAGATGGGGAAGACACTGTCCCTGAGATCTTGGAGTTTGTAGTCTGTTTGGAGACAGATGTGTGGGAAAATGGGAGTCCCCTTGAGGTCCACTTCACTCAGGGCCTGGGATTGGTGATGGTGCTGATGGAGTAGGTGGGTAGTCTTCACAGAGGATTTTTGGGAAAAGATGGCAGTTGAACTGAGACTGAATAGGAGTCAGAAAAGGACACAGCTAAGGGATGAGGAAGTTGGGAAGGGAAGGATATTACAAGCAGAGGGGACAGAATGAACAAGGGTAAGAAAGCATAAAATCATGTGTTGTGTGTTGGGGAATTGTAAGCAGCCTTATATTTTACTAAAGAATAAAATGCCAGGGAAGTAGGGTAGAGGACGGCCATGGAGAGGGCCAGTTCCAGGTTGCTGAAGGTCTAATGTGACTGGATAGGGATCTCAGGCTCTGTACTTTAGGTCAACCTTCTCATACAGGAATAATATACAGGCTCTTTTTTTAAAAGGAAAGACAATTATTGCAGGATTTATATTATTCTTATTTACAATGTTAGATAAATATGTTCAAAAATAAAAACAGATTAGAACTTCTTATGCTTATAACTCTTAATATGACTTGTGGGTTAAATTGTGTACCCTACAAGGATGTGTTGAAGTCATAATTCCCAGTACCTATGAATGTGACTTTATTTGGAAAGAGGGTTTTTGTAGATATAAATCAAGTTAAGATGAGGTCACAGTGGTTTGGGGTGGGCCTTAATCCAATAACTGGTATCCCTATAAGAAGAGAGAAGTTTGGATACAGAGACAGAAAGACACACAACCAAAATGCCATGTGTCACGGGAGCAGATACAGCTGCAAGCCAAGGAATGCTGTGGATTGTCCACAGCCACCAGAACCTCAAATAGAGACAGGCACAGGATGTATTTTCCCTCAGAACCTCCAGAAGGAAACAACCTTGCCCACATCTTGATTTCAGACTTCTAGACCACAGAATTGTGCAAAAATAAACTTCTGTTGTCTTAAGCCACTCAGCTTGTGGTAGTTTATTATGGCAGCCCTGAAAAAACTAATACAATGACAAAAAATGAAAACACTTGAAAATAAAATATTTATAAAACAGTGAATTCAAACTCTCATTACTAACTCAATATCTGACATTTCTGTAGATCAAAAATGATTGAAATTTGACTATTGTGTATGGCTTAATCTAATAGATACAACATTTTTCTCTGTTCTAATCTTAATGTATTTTTTGAAAAAGTATGTTGTCAGAGTAGTATTACCAACTTCAAAGATTTACTTGCGTTATCATGATAAACTAACCTAATTCTTAATGTGAACTCTGTTCCTATTAGGCTTCAAAAGCCAATTTAAATGGTGTTACTTGAAAACTATACAAATATTTTTCTTTACTTAAGTTTAGCTTTAGGGCATTATTGAATTCTACATTAAGTGATTATCTAAACACATTATCTCTTAGTACTGGGAGTTCATGTGTTGTATTCCAATACGCCCATTGACACAGAACCACTGCAATTTGGTATGTATAACAATGGAGTGTGTTTTGACAATGCATTTGTAGAAACTGGTATGGTATCAAATGTTATGGTACTGGTTCTTTTGATTTCTGCATCATTATGCATGTTTTATGTGACCGTTTAATTGTCTCATGACTTTTAATAGCCAAACAACTTCAAAAAGCTTTATTTATATAGCAAGCATTAGCATCATGAGGTAAATCCAAATGCAGTCATCATTACTGTAATCAGGTAGATGGCAGTACTTTGTTATTAGGTAATCATCTTAATGATTCAGAAGATTCTTATATTTATTGTTTTAAATTTTCACCAAGATACAGGAATTTTGAAGATTTTTCAGGACTCGTGGCCTTCTGAGAACATTTCTTTCTATGGATATCAGTTTGAGAATTATTAAATATTATTAGGCAGAGGAATCAAGGTGGCCAAGTTTGGTTTTTGACAGATGCATCTGGCAATGGAATGGAGGAAAAATGAAAGAGGATCAAGACCAGATACTTAGAGATCAATTAGGACTTTGGTATGCCAGGAGGGAAGTAATGGAAGCCTACACTAGGAACCAGGTGGCAGAAATTGAGAGGAGGGGATATATTTGAGAATAGATACATCTCAGGGTATAAGGATGAGGAGTGGAGAAATACTTGTTTCTTTATGGTTCCAATAATAGCAAATCTTATTAGACCCAATCAGGTAATATAAATCTTTGAAGTGTTTGGAATAAAGGAAAGAGCACTAGACCTTAAATTCTACAATCTGGGTTTGAAGTCCAGATACAATTGTTCTGATATGCCATTTAATCTCTAGACCTAGTTCTTTTTTTAAAAAAATTGTGTAATGTAGATAGTAATCTTTGCAAAAACCACCTATCTATCCAGAGCTACCATATAACATCAGATATTTTTTATAAAAGTAGTTGGTAAAATGGGAAATGTTTACAGATGCATAAAATATTTTCATTATTGTTTTGAGTTCTAGGGTTATCTGTTGAAATCCTGGTTCAAACGAACCAACTCTATCCAAAATATTTAAAAACTGATTGGATAAAGCTGTATATTGACTGAATATTGATAATATTACAGAATTGTTTTAGTTATCTATTCCTTGTATCAAATCAAACCAAAACATAGTGACCTAAAGTAGTCATTTTGTTACTTATGATTCTATGGATCCAAAATTTAGGCAGGTCTTGGCTAGTCAATTTTTCTTCTCCACAGAATGTCAACTGGGGTAATTCAGTGATGTTTAGTTGGTGGGGGAGCTTGTGTGGAGAGTCCAAGAAGGCTTCATTCACATGTCTAGTACTTTGATGAAGATAGTTGGAAGGCTGGGCTCACCCAAGATGCTGGAGTGGCTGGGTCTCTCTCTATATATGTAGATAGATAGTTTGATCAATCAATAAATAAATAGATATGTTCTCTCCTATGGTCTCTTAAGCAGGGTAGTAAGATGTGGTGGCTCAGCACTCCCAAAAGAAGTGGAAACTCCCAGGCTTCTTCAGGTCAAGGTCTAGAACTTCTATAGCCTCACTTGTGCCATATTCTATTGGGAAAAGTAGAAGCAGGCCAGCCCAGATTCATGAAAGTAGGGGAATGCTCTCTATCTCTTGACAGGGAAATGATATGCATGTGGAAAGGAAGGATTCAATCAGTTAGGGTTATCTTGGAGACAAACTATCACAGAAATTATTGACAATTATTGTTTGTAGATACGGAAATGATATTATAGTTATGTGCTTTTAAAAATAGTCTTTACCTTTTCAGAGTACAGAGTGAAATATTTATAAAGGAAATGTTATAATATTTGGGCTTTGCCTCAGAACAATCCAGAGTTGGGGGAGAAGAAGGAGAGAGAAGGTCTGAATTTTAGCTGTATATTGATTTTTATTGAAACTGAATGATGGATAGTTACTATTTATTTATAATAAACTTAAAATTTTTCAAAATAAACAGGTTAAGAAAAGAATTCTAGAATCTTATTCAGAAATGTCTAAGATAGTTAAGAATGGAGTTTCCTGATTGAAAAAAAGAAATAGGTTTACAAACATCATAGAGGCTTACCTCTGTAAGAATTGAGTTGGTTTCTTATTAGGCAAATTTAGATTCCTGTTTACACAGCAGAATGTTTACTTTGCCTTCTGCATATCTAGTTCATATTATGTAGATCTGTGTTCAGCCATACAGACTGGACACAACCCCAATTTTGCCCAACCTTGAACTCTTTGACATCAAGCTTCTGTTAAGTTGGTGGATGGGAAAATCATGTTCCAAGATACTCAGAGATGCTAACTGCAGAGGTCCATTGCTCTGAGTGTACTTAGCTACATTGCTCATTAAGTTAGATTAAAATACAGCCACATTTCAGAGACTCATCACCTTAGGTCTCTTACTGAAATACTTTTACTTTGCTAGAGTTACATATTAAACCTTCAAGCTTTCATTCTGGATTGAATATATAAGAAGTATATTTTTGCATTTTTCTCAGAAAACTGCCACTAAATGTTTACATTGTTTAATGTCATTTTAATAAATATTTGCATTACATATTTCTTTTAATATTCGTTTCTAGGAAACGGTTGGTCTCTCAAGGAATTTAAAAGTTTCCTCTCTCTCTCTTATTTTATTTCATTTTTATTTCACTTTAAGTTCCAGGATACATGTATAGAATGTGCAGGTTTGTTACATAGGTATACATGTACCATGGTGGTTTGCTGCACCTATCAACCCATCATCTAGCTTTTAAGCCCCACATGCATTAGGTATTTGTCCTAATGCTCTCCCTCCTCTTGCCCCCTACCCCAACAGGCCTCTGTGTGGGTGTGTGTTGTTCCCCTCCCTGTGTCCATGTGTTCTCATTGTTCAACTCCCACTTATAAGTGAGAACATGCAGTGTTTGGTTTTCTGTTCCTGTGTTAGTTTGCTGAGAATGATGGCTTCCAGCATTGTCCATGTCCCTGCAAAGGATATGATCTCATTCTTTTTTATGGCTGCATAGTATTCCATGGTGTACATGTGCTACATTGTCTTTATCCAGTCTATCATTGATGGGCATTTGTGTTGGTTCCAAGTCTTTGCTATTGTGAATAGTGCTGCAATGAACATACATGTGCATGTGTCTTTATAGTAGAATGATTTATAATCCTTTGGGGATATACCCAGTAATGGGATTGCTGGGTCAAATGGTATTTCTGGTTCCAGATTCTTGAGGAATTGCCACACTGTCTTCCACAATGGTTGAACTAATTTACACTCCCACCAACAGTGTAAAAGCATTCCTGTTTCTCCACAGCCTTGCCAGCGTCTTTGTTTCTTGATCTTTTAATAATCGTCATTCTGACTGTCATGAGATGGTATCTCACTGTGGTTTTAATTTGCATTTCTCTAATGATCAGTGGTGAAGAGCTTTTTTTCATATGTTTCTTGGCCACATAAATGTGTTCTTTTGAGAATGTGTGTTCATATCCTTCACCCACTTTTTGATGGGGTTGTTTTTTTCTTGTAAATTTTAAGTTCCTTGTAGATTCTAGATATTAGAACTTTGCCAGATGGGTAGATTGGAGAAATTTTCTCCCATTCTGTAGGCTGCCTGTTCAGCCTGATGCTAGTTTCTTTTTCTGTGCAGAAGCTCTTTAGTTTAATTAGATACATATGTAAATTTTGGCTTTTGTTGCAATTGCTTTTGGTGTTTCAGTCATGAAGTCTTTGCCCAAGCCTATGTCCTAAATGGTAGTGCCTAGGTTTTCTTCTAGAGTTTTTACAGTGTTGGTTTTTACATTTAAGTCTTTAATCCATTTTGAGTTAATTTTTCTATAAGGTGTATCGAAGAGGTCCAGTTTCAGTTTTCTGCATATGGCTAGCCAGTTTTCCCAGCACTATTTATGAAACAGGGAATCCTTTCCTCATTGCTTTGGTCAGGTTTGTCGAATATCAGGTTGTTGTATATGTGTGGTGATATTTCTGAGGCCTCTGTTCTGTTCCATTGGTCTGTATATCTGTTTTGGTACAAGTACCATGTTGTTTTGGTTACTGTAGCCATGTAGCATAGTTTGAAGTCAGGTAGCGTGATACCTCCAGCTTTGTTATTTTTGCTTAGGATTGTCTTGGCTATACCAGCTCTTTTTTGATTCCATATGAAATTTAAAGTAGATTTTTTCTATTTCTGTGAAGAAAGTCAATGGTAGCTTGATGGCAATAGCATTGAATCTATAAATTACTTTGGACAGTATGGCCATTTTCATGATATTGATTCTTCCCATCCATGAGCATGGAATGTTTTTCCATTTGTTTGTGTCCTCTCTTATTTTCTTGAGCAGTGATTTGTAGTTCTCCTTGAAGAAGTCCTTCACACCCCTTGTAAGTTTTATTCTCTTTGTAGCAATTGTGAACAGAAGTTCATTCATGATTTGGCCCTCTGCTTGTGTATTGTTGGTGTACAGGAATGCTTGTCGTTTTTGCACATTGATTTTGTATCCTGAGACTTTCCTGAAGTTGTTTATCAGCTTAAGAAGTGTTTCGGCTGAGAAGATGGGGTTTTCTAAATATAGAATCATGTCAGCTGCCAAAAGAGACAATCTGACTTCCTCTATTCCTATTTGAATACGCTTTATTTCTTTCTCTTGCCTGATTGCCCTGGCCAGAACTTCCAATACTATCTTGAATAGGAGTGGTGAGAGAGGGCATCCTTGTCTTGTGTCAGTTTCCAAAGGGAATGCTGCCTGCATTTGCCTACTCAGTATGATATTGGCTATGGGTTTGTCATAAATAGCTCTTATCATTTTGAGATATGTTCCATCAATGTCTAATTTATTGAGAGTTTTAAACATGTAGGGATGTTGAATTTTATCAAAGGCCTTTCCTGCATCTACTGAGATGATGTGAATTTTGTCATTGGTTCTGTTTACATGATGGCTTATGTTTATTGATTTTCATATGTTGAACCAGCCTTGCGTCCCAGGGATGAAGCCGACTTGATCATGGTGGATAAACTTTTTGATGCCCTGCTGGATTTGGTTTGCCAGTATTTTATAGAGGATCTTCACATCAATGTTCATCAGGGATATTGGTCTGAAGTTTTCTCTTTTTTGTGTGTATGTCTGCTGGGTTTTGGTATCAGGATGATTCTGGCCCCATAAAATGAGTTAGGGAGAAGTCCCTCTTTTTCTGTTGTTTGGAATAGTTTCAGAAGGAATAGTACCAGCTCCTCTTTGTACCTCTGGTAGAATTCAGCTGTAAATCCGTCTGGTCCTGGGCTTTTTTTGGTTAGTAGGCTATTAATTACTGCCTCAATTTCAGAACTTGTTATCAGTTTATTCAGGGATTTGATTTCTTACTGGTTGAGTCTTGGGATGGTGTATGTGTCCAGGAATTTATCCATTTCTTCTAGATTTTCTAGTTTATTTGCATAGAGGTGTTTATATTATTCTCTGATGGTGGTTTGTATTTCTGTAGGGTCAGTGGTGACATCCCCTTTATCATTTTTTTATTGTGTCTATTTGATTCTTCTCTTTTCTTCTTTATTAGTCTAGCTAGTGGTCTATCTATTTTGTTAATCCTTTCAAAAAGCCGGCTCCTGAATTCATTGATTTTTTGAAGGGTTTTTCGTGTCTCGATCTCCTTCAGTTCTGTTCTTATCTTAGTTATTTCTTGTCTTCTGCTAGCTTTTGAATTTGTTTGCTCTTGCTTCTCTAGTTCTTTTAATTGTGATGTTAGGGTGTTGATTTGAGATCTTCCCAGCTTTCTGATGTGGGCAATTAGTGCTATAAATTTCCCTCTTAACACTGTTTTAACTGTGTCCCAGAGATTCTGGTATGTTGTCTCTTTGTTCTCATTGGTTTCAAAGAACTTCTTGATTTCTGCCTTAATTTCTTTCTCTACTCAGCAGTCATTCAGGAGCAGGTTGTTCAATTTCCATGTAGTTGTGAGGTTTTGAGTAATTTCTTAATCCTGAGTTCTAATTTGATTGGACTGTGGTTATATTTTATAATGTTATAATTTCCATAATACATAATGGAAATTATAATTTATACATTATACAAATTATAATTTATACATTCCTTATATAATTTCCATTCTTTTGCATTTGCTGAGGAGTGTTTTACTTGCAATTATGTGGTCGATTTTAGAATAAGTGTCATGTGGCACTGAGAAGAATGTATATTCTACTGATTTGGGGTGGAGAGTTCTGTAGACATCTATTACGTCCACTTGATCCACAGCTGAGTTCAAGTCTTGAATATCCTTGTTAATTTTGTGTCTCGATCTGTCTAATATTGAGAGTGGGGTGTTAAAGTCTCCCACTATTATCACGAGGGAGTCTAAGTCTCTTTGTAGGTCTCTAAGAACTTGTTTTATGAATCTGGGTGCTCCTTTACTGGGTGCATATATATTTAGGATAGTTAGGTCTTCTTGTTACATCAGTCTCTTTACCATTATGTAATGCCCTTCTTTGTCTTTTCTGATCTTTGTTGGTTTAAAGTTTGTTTTATCAGAGACTAGGATTTCAAACCCCTGCTTTTTTTTGCTTCCATTTGCTTGTTAAATATTCCTCCATACTCTCTCTCTCTTTCCTTTTTTAATAAGACAATAGGTTATTTAGTTAATTGTCTCCTTTTTTTCTTCTTGCAGAAAACTGAGTTTAGAATTACAGAATTATTATTCCTGTTTCCCTTTAATTTGTTTGAATTGGTCAATTTTAATTTTTAATGACCTAAATGCAAATGTATTTTTATAAGGTCTACTCCTATCTCTTTGAAAGTCACAAATAAGTTAAAATTAATCAAGACAGTGCTTTGGAGCCATCCTTTCTGAAAATGAAGCACTAACAAAGTAAATGTTTTAACAACATGAATAGGATTCTAAGAAGCCAATGACTAAAAAGGAAAAAAGCTGCTACACAGTCTTACATTTCCTTAAGAAAGCCAACTTCTCCCACACATTTGAGAAATAACATACTTCAGGAAGATAAAACATGATTAATTGAACTATTACGAGGATTTTCTTTTAAGAGAGAGAGAAAAAAATAAGGAATAAAAAAAGGGAAACTCCATGGCCTCCAGAAAGATTTACATTTTCTCTTTTCTCAAACCACTAATTAAGCATACAGTTTAGTACAGCCTAAAATGTAGTTTTCTTTACCAAATACAATTTTTCTTCATGCTAGTACACTGCTATTTGTTTAACCTCTAACAGTTAAGTGTTATATAAAACCAAAACCTTTATATGAAACAGAACTATTTATTCAATGAAGATCTACTGTGAAAATTTTGTGCGAACACCAGGATTAGTAACTACTCTTCACTTTCAAAAAGTGCAATAGAGAACGATTAAGCTTTCCAAAAGATTATACAGTACTTTTGGCAGCTGTTAAACGCCATGATGAGGTGTTGGTTGAAGCTGCTCATCAGTTATTTATCCTTTACTCGGGACTTGCACTTAACTAATAGGCTAGCTGTATTTTTATCTATCACAGAGAGCACGCAGTAACAAAATGAATCAGATAGATTATATAGCATCGGGAAGGACTTAAACTCCCCAGGCTTTTCAGCATATGATTTGTGAAAAACAGCCAAACCTGAGTAATTATCACTGAAACCAGCAATCTCATTGATGATTACCTATTCAAATTATAAGATGGAAAAGCATCACACAATAAATCAAAGATGTCACATAGGAAGTCATTTTTTAATTGAATAAAATATTAAAATTAGGTAGTAGAATCACTTCAGTGTTCTGTATTTAAATGATTTTGCAAGGCTTAGATTAAAATAGATATTTGGCTATGTGCGTGTGTGTGTGTGTGTGTGTGTGTGTGTGTTGGGTGGAGTAGGGATGATTGTATAATTGCAGTCATTTAGATTCAGGTTCAGCTAAGTGTTTAGCATTTTGTTTTGTATATTAGCTATATATGCTAATATGAAAAATATCTGCTTCATAAAATATGTATGAGTCTCAGAATGTAAGAGAAATAGGTTGAATATCTTAAACAATTATAATATTTACAAATTACTTCAAATATATGCATATTAAAAAATATAGTTTCTTCCAGAGCCATAAACTTAACTCCAAGCCACCCACCAGCAACATAATGCCTCTTGGTTTTGTCTCGCAGCTCCTATGCCATATGGATTTGAGGGACTTCTGGCCCCACCATGTAGCTGATACCAGATGGTCTCTAGTCTAATGCTTGTTTCCTTGCCTCCCCTCCCCTCTTACCTGTCTCTTGGAAACTACATATGGATTCTTCCCTCCATTTTCTTTATCTTTGTCTTAAAGTTGCTTTCATTTAGAAAATAAGTAAAATTTAAGAGAAGGAACACTTAGCATACTAGCTCATGAGTAAGAGTTTTACAAATGTTTCTGAAAAGCACAGATGACAGAGGAACCACGTGAGAAATGGGAGAGGGAATTAGATGTTTGGCTGGGACGATGTGAGGTAGAGGCATAGATGCCAACAGGAGGACGTCTTCGGCAGGCAGTTAGAAGGTCTGAGCCTGGGCAACATAGTGAGACTTTGTTTCTACAAAAAATACAAAACAATTAGTTGGGCGTGATGGCATGTGCCTGTGGTCTCAGGTACTTGGGAGTCTGAGCTGGGAGGATTGCTTGAGCCCAAGGAGGTTGAGGCTGCAGTGAGCCAAGATTGCACCACTGCATTCCAGTCTGGGCAACAAGTGAGATTCTGTTTCAAAATAATAATAATAATAATAATAATAATAATAATAATAATATAAAGGAGGTCTGGGATAGAGCTCTCATGTTGTTGGAGCTAGAGATTTTAAACTTGCAGAAGCAACGGCTGAAGATCTGGAAAGTGGATTAATTTTCCAAAAGAGTACAAGAAGAGATAGTATACATGAAGAAATAACTAAAATGTGGGAAGCAGAAAAAAGGCATAACCAGTATTCCTAGGGCTTAGCACAGTACCTGGTATATACATGTAATGTATATAGTAAGCATCTCAAATTCCTGAACATGTTTGTAGCTTAAAGAGAAAGAGCCTATGCAAATAAAAGTATAGGAAATTCACAAGAGAAAAGATTATGATAGAGACAGCTGTTGTGGACCAAAATTTGTTGTTCTCCATTCCTAAAGTGTAGTTATTGCTAGAATGTGTCTGCCTTGTCGAGAACTACAGTTCCCAGCCCCATTTGCAATCAGGTATGGCCATGGGTCTGATTAGTAGCACATCTTGGCCAAAGTTTATGACAAGCAGGTGGATCTTTTCTTGCTCTGCCTTCTTCCTTCTACCTCATGAAGTCAGAAGCTTCCAAGGCCTTAGGTCTTTCAGTGTAATGGGATAGTGGAACCTCCAAATGTAGGAAAGCTGGGTCACCAAATTGAGAACTGATGTTAACAATGAACAGCATTATTAATGTATAAAATACCAATAAAGCCACATCCATATTCTGCACAATCATGTGAACCAGCTCACCCATTGGTTTGGTGGCCTTTGCAAGGAAGGGTGGGGTGAATAGCGGTAAAGAAATGCAAAGAGGCCGGGCGCAGTGGCTCACTCCTGTAACCCTACCACTTTGGGAGGCTGAGGTGGGCAGATGACGAGGTCAAGAGATTGAGACCATCCTGGCCAACATGGTGAAACCCCATCTCTACTAAAAATACAAAAATTAGCTGGGCGTGGTGGCGCATGCCTGTAGTCCCAGCTACTTGGAAGGCTGGGGCAGGAGAATTGCTTGAACCCGGGAGGTGGAGGTTACAGTGAGCTAAGATGGTGCCACAGCACTCCAGCCTAGGTGACAGAGTGAGACTCCATCTCAAAAAAAAAAAAAAAAAAAAAGCAAAGAAACAGATATGCTAAGGCTCACTTTGCTCAGCCAGGCTCCTTTGGCCTAGGTGGGTGTCCTTAGAATCATTGCCACCAAACCAAAGGGAAATGGGAGGAATGCTTCTGTGGGGAATGACATGCTTTCTCCAACACCTCCTTCCTTCGAGAGAAGAAGACCAAACTCACTCTGCTGCAGCCACCACAGATGTCTAGGAAGATGCTGAGCTGCCGTATGGTGCCCTATGTCAGCTTACTTTAGTTCTTGCTTTTAAAAAAATATTGAGGATGGATGACACTTACTTTAGTCTTTGCTTTAAAAAAATAAGAAGGATGATGACTTTTTAATATGGAGGATGAAATTAGAATTCCGCTTAGTTCATCAATGCCTTGTCTTTTAGAAGAGAAGAAATACAGAGACAGAAACCCAGGAAGAATGCTTTGTGATGCTGGAGGCAGGAATTGGAGTGATGTGTCCACAAGCCAAAGAACACCAAGATTTCTAACAACATCAGAAGCTCAGAGACCATCATAAAACACATTCTCCCCTAGAACCTTCAGAGAGACCGTATGGCTCTGCTGACACCTTGACCTTGAATTTTTATCCTCTAGAACTGCTAGAGATGAAATATCTTGTTTTAAGCCACCTAGTTCATGGTAGTTTGTTATGGAAGCCCTAAGAAAATAATGCAGTGCTATTGTTTCTTTCACTTTACAGATGTGAAGACAGGCTAGCTAACGTTCCAAGGTGGTTTGGTTCTATAGGGCCTGTGTCCTTATACAACAGAATACCAGTATGTAACTCATTTATTTGTGGGGATAAAGCCTCTGTTTTCCTAATATACATATTATTTCCAGGAGAAAAAGAAAAGATTTTAAAAGGTATGTGTGGATGTTTTCAAAATGCTTTTAATAAAGTCCTCATCACTTGTGGCAAATGGAGAATAGAGAATTATGTAGAACTACCTTTTTTTCTAGAGCCTAAATGCAGCTTGTTTGGATGGACACAAATGTGAAGAACACAGGAAGGACAAAACAGGAATGCTAGATAGCCATGGATGGGCATCAACAAAATAAAAACAAAGACAATGTACAAAAATTAGAAATTCATAATAGGTCAAATATTACTGAAGACACCAGGCTCTGGGATATATTACAGGCTCTGGGCCTTATTACATATCCCAGCTCTGCCTTGGCCATTTTTAAATCTCCCTGAGTGTCAATTTTCTTACTAGCAAAATGAGGACAACAATATACAATTCATAGGCAACTGTGAACTATGTAAGATAACAAATGTATATAGTTCCACATATAGTCCCTATCTTACCATAAATACCCAATAAGTGATGATTACTATCATAATAATACATTTTTAGGGATATTTAACCAGAATAGCTCAAAATTAAATTACAAATAACATTCAATGCTAATTATAGTTATTGAATGAACCCAGCTCTCTGGTGTGACCTTGGAGCAAGTCAATTATGCAATGATAGATAATGCAAAAGACAGATGGTTAGGCCAGTTGGCCATGTGTGTTTGCTAGTAAGATAAAAATGTTTCATTGTTTGTGTACATCTCAGTTATATCTATTGGTTTTTGGGCCACGTACAAAGTGGTATTTTAGGAAACCAACTGTTTTGTAAAAGCCCTCAAACACTTTGAAAGGACCCCATTTAAGCAAGTGATAGCATATGTCCTCATAAAAGCAACAATCCTGGAACTAGGGAACATTTAGTTGGTCTGGTTGGAATACCTGTCATAAAGAAAATGGAACATCTGATGGGTGATTGGAGGACAGAGATTGCATGACTTTCTCTATTTCCCTGCAAGTGATGAAATGGTATTTCTTTAAAATAAAGTCAGTATTTATGGAGTCTCTGTCAGTTTTAAAATTTGAGTATACTTTCCAGGGGTCCTGTAGAAATGATGTACGTGGCAAAATAAGATTCATATAGGAGATCTCTGAGATTACACAATTATTTTATTTTTCTTAACTCACATTGTTTAAACAATTGCAACGAATTAGTATGATCTTACTATGTTTGCACCATTTACAGGTCAAGGATTAATGTACGTTAAGGAAAAAAAATCAGAAACACTACCCATGGGAATTCCAGGATAATGAGGAAAAATAAATGTGTGTGTATGTATGTGAGCAAGCACATACTACTCGACCATGGTGTATTGTCCTGGGATGTACTGGTGGGCTTGAACTCCAGAAGTTATTTAAAGCAATTTAGAGTGTTTCATTGCTGTTTATTTCCCTAGGAATATGTGTTTATGTCCTTTATCGAATTTTCAGTCATCTATCACCTACAAGAAGTTAAAAATCCCTAACATAAGGCTTGGATTTCTATGGATCTCTGAATGTTTGTGTATGATCACAAACACATCTAGAATCATCAGGAGAGTGAGAGCAAGAGAGAGAGAGAGCAAGAGAGAGAGAGAGAGAGAGAGAGTCAAAAGAGTAAGATTAGGAAATAGAAAACAAAATATAAAGCAATACAGGTGGCACTAGTAGGGAATGTATTTAAAGTCACAATAGTCACAATAAAGTCAAGGATGGCAACTTGCTTGAAGCACAGTTAGATGATTCCTCATTATTGACAGGGATTTTCTGTGTATTTGCAAGGTGTATGGTCTGCAAATTCTCAGGCCTGTGTTTTGCTTTTTAATAGCTTGACTAGGTGATGGATGTGTTAATTAGCCTGATTTGGTCATTCCACAATGTTTACGTATTTCAAAACATCACATTATATCCCATAAATATACATAATTATTATTTGTGACTTTAAAATAAAATTAAACTTAAACAAAAGGAATACTAATTTCTCATTCCTGCTAAATTTTCCTATCAGGGACGGAGTAAATTCAGTTACTAAGTAGCCTTAGCAAATGTGATATCTCCATCATATTAGTAGTTGATGAGTCTTACTTGGTCGGGCCAGGTCTGATGGTTAAATCAATTAAGAGTCTGTAAAACCCGACTCTAACCACAGGAATCTACTCAAGTCATTCACTTTAGTAACAGGTTCTTGGAAGGCTGTCATTTGCCTTATGGACTTGTTCTTTTTGGAGATCTGACAAGCTTCATTAGGGACTCAGAAGTGCAAGGAATAGAAAGTGCCAGAATAGCTATAGGCCAATTCCACAGAACCATAAGAAGTAAAACAAGGTGTCTTCCACACAGTCAGGTATTAAATCATTTATTTTTTTTCTCCTTCCCTCTCTCCTTTTCCTCCTTCCTTCCCTCCCTTTCTTCCCTTTTTTTCTCCTTCCACAATAAAAAAGTTTTAACAGAAGTCAGACTTCTGCTTTATTGTTTCATCTCTATGAAAAGAGGAATTATAAATTAGGTTGTAGAGTTGGTTACTAGATTCTAAACTCCCTGATGGCCTTAACTATGTTTGCCATATTTTCTGTACCTTAAACGACCCCACATGCATTGCTGCCCATATAGTAAAAAGTCAATATATTATTTTTTTCACCAGATGGCTAAAATGTGACCCACATGGTCAAAAACATGTAAGGAGGATGAAGTTGGTTATTTGAAAAATTAATTTTTGTTGTTTTAAATTTAAAAGGTCCTTTGAAAAATATCTTTCTAGGACTCAGAAATACAGTACTCCCTAATATTGTAGGCATATTGATTACTAAGAATCTCTCTTCCATGTTCAAATAATAAAAAAAAACAACTATAACAAAAAAGTAAAAAAAAAAAAAGCATTCCCCTTTTTAAAAAGTTACCAAATAAACCTGCACAGAAACAATTAGAAAAATATTAGGTTTTAATTATGATATGTTTATCCAAGGGAGAAAACAAATCATGTATTCTACTGAAAGCCATTATGAATCTTAAAGTCTGAAGCTGATTCTATCATAGTCAAGAAAGAGCTATCCCTAAATGTTGGCCAGAAGTACTAATGATAATAACTTCCTTCTTTTGTTAACCAACTATCAACCAAAGTCTTTTAGTAGCTAATCTCATAAGTAATTTTAAACCAATGGGTACATGAATCATCTGAAATAAATGCAAAGAAATAAATATGGCATTCTTGCTTATTTAAGAGACTTGATGTAGAAGCATAATTTTGTACCAGAGATTCATTAGCTTCCTATTTTTGTGCATCATTTCACAGGGTAACTTCCTAGGAGGCAATTTCTCTTGATTCTAAATGGTCCTGAATTCCATTTTGGCTGATATTATACTATATATCTCATGAGAAATTTTTTTAGCTTTGACATTTTTAGATAAAAACTACAAGGACTTTTTATGTCTATCCATGTCTCCTAGGGGGAGGCATGAATCTCATAATACCTAACTGAAACAAAAAGTATTATGCAAGTGACAAAGAACAAATAGAAATCAAGCTAGTTTATGCCTCCTGATGGCAACTATCACTTTCTTTCTAACCTCTAGCCTAATAATTGTGTAATAATATAACTATATCCATGTCCCGGACTCCTTGATTTCCTTATTCTTACAGCATTTGACATCTTACTGTTAGATAAAATATGCCAGTTTTGTTTAAATACAGCTAAAACTGCTGCATTTACTCTCTTGTCAGACACATATAAATAACAAAAGGCAGGTATTACTCCCTTTGTGACAGTTCATCAAATTTTACGTGGTAAACAGAAGCAATGTCTTTTAACATAACTCATTTCATAAATAATCCTTCTTACTAATTTTACCTTACTGATAAATGTGTTTAACCCTCTCATATACAGATACATCAAGGGACTCTGTTCTATGTTGGCGTCTAAAGTGGTGGTTCCCCAACCCTTGGAGTTCAAAGTTTTGTAAAATTAAAAAAGAAATAAGGCATATTATAGGGTTGCCAACTTTTTACTTAACCAATTATGAATGTTAGGAAAAGCAACTATTTTTCTCTACCATGATCATTTCATAAAAGAATATGGAGATAAAACATCAGAAAGGGGAAAGTCTAGGAATAAAAGGCAATAATTTTAAATAAGCAAATTCAGCTTTACCAAGACCTTATTATACTGTTTCATCTCTATCATTTTGTTGTGGACAGTATTATCTGTGTCACCAGGAAGCACTGCTCTGAGACCAGCATATGGAAGAACTGTGAAACAAATTATCTCAAGTAGAAAATAAGTGGGTTGAGCTAAGCGATCTCTAATATCCCTTTCAGCCTTCATATACTCTGAGATTCCAATTGTTACTGCACTATTTATGCCATAAGTTATTCCACTAGTCAAGAGTAATCATTGCGTTGGTGATATTAAATGCAAGCTCTATGATCAAAGAAAATTTCCTATTAAAATAGTTTAAATTTTATTCAGATTTCCAATATAGAAATGTATTTTTAAAAGTATTCATGTGCCCTATACACTTATTATACAGGCAATTGCCGTGGCAGTACAGGACTTAATGGCAGGTTTCTGCATACAAAAATTTCTACCTGAGTATCTTTTGTGTTTAATTTAACTGTGCTAGAGTGAAAGCTGCCTCACATCAATCATTTCAGTTGCAAGGATATTGTTTTGTATAGGGACAATTCAGTGAGTCATGCTGAGTAATGGTGCGCATTGTATTCATTGAGGTTATAAGCAGAATCTGACTATAGTTAACTGGGTATATCAATATTGTACATTTACAAAAAATCCATTAAGTATCATGTAAAGGTGCATCCTGTTGTGGGGTCATGCACTCCTTTATCCCATTTTTATTTTTTCTCTATGAATTTTTAAGCAGCTATGGATCCAAAGGAGGCATCTATTTTCCCAGATGATAGACTGCCCACCATTAATTACTTTTAAACTCCATCATCAATATTCCATTTTATAGCATGTTGTTTTGAACTAAACTCAACCTGTGAAGATATTCAGAATTTACCCAGTATTGCATGGAATCAGACTTAACATCTCATCTGTGTACTGCCTTATCTCTCTTTATTTAATTGACCGCATCTACTTCCTTGCCACTATAAACAGTGTCAGGGTGTAAGATTGATAGCTGTGTTGCAAATAAGTATATAAACTTAATACACATATTTATGCTGGTATGCTATGCTAGCTAGAGTCTAAAAATGGCACAAGAGAGACACTATATATTAAATGTGTTAGGGAACCCTTGCCTGACAATATTGTATTATGAAAGAAAATTTAAAAGGTACTGTATTAGTTCATTCTCATGCTGCTATAAAGAACCGCCCAAGACTGGGTAATTTATAAAAAGAAGAGGTTTAATTCACTCACAGTTCTATACGGCTAGGGAAGCCTCAGAAAACTTACAATCAAGTAGTAAGGGGAAGTAAACACGTCCTTCTACACATGGCGGCAGGACGGAGAAGTGCCAATCAAAGGGGGAAAAGCCCCTTATAAAACCATCAGATTTCATGAGAACTCACCCACTATCATGAGAACAGCATGAGGGTAACCATGTGGGGATTATGGCAACAACAATTCAAGATGAGATTTGGGTGGGAACACAACCAAACCATATCAGGTACCAGAAACACATTTCTGTGATTTGTTGTGTTTTCCATAGATGCAGAATGATGATATCTTGAGTAAACCAAGTGCCATCTGAGGCTGCCATTTTGTGTAGTGTTACTTCACTGGTAACTTGTTTGGTTGCTTTTTTCATTTGAGGACAGGTAATGGGCTTTAAGTGACTGCCACTCAGCTAAAATACTCAAAAGTATCTGATTGTCAGTAAATTTAAGAACAATTTAATTGGACACTAACTTTATAAATAAGATGTGAAATGAGGAGAGGTGATTCAAATGTATTAAATGTAAAATAGAATAGGAAATGATTAAAAGAGAAAGACTCACTTAAAAATGAAGAGAGGCATCAATGTAGTCAACCTTTGCTTATATCTGTTCTTGAGGGAATGAGTGGATTGCTATAACCAGCATGTCATTTCCAAATAATTCTGTTTGACTTCAGGATGCATTTTAGTTCTTTCCTATGACAGTGGGAGGCTTTGTTCTGGGAATTCACAAGATATTAAAAGAAAAACCATACAGCCTGAAGGATTTCACACTGTCTGAGGCTTAGAAAGCTGTGTGAATTGCCTGTCTTTAGGAAAGAGTTCAGTCAGCAGAAGTTATCTTGTCACTGAGAAGGTGAAGTGATTCTTTCACCTAAGATTATGAAATCAATGTGTCAACTTAGTTCTCAAGGTAATTCACCATGCTTGCTATAGTTTGGATATATGATCCTCCAAATTTCTTGTTTAAATTTGATCCCCAACATTGGAGCTGAAGCCTAATAGGAGGTGTTTGGGTCATGGAGTAGATCCCTCATGAACGGCCTTGCACGGCCTCACAGAAATGAGTGAGTTATCGCTTTATTAGTTCTCTGAGGGCTGGTTGTTCAAGAGGCTGGCAATTCCCTCCTCTCTCTCTTGCCTCCTCTCTTGCCTGTACAAACCGGGCTCTCTTTTTCCTTCCACCATGAGTGGAAGCAGCCTGAACACCCTTTAGAAGCAGGTGCTGGCACCATGCTTCTTGCACAGCCTGTAAACTGTGAAGCAGGTAAACCTTTATACTTTATAAATTAACTAGGCTCAGACATTCCTTTATAGTAACAGAAACAGACTAAGACAATGCTCAATCAGCTGGTGAAATCTTACATTTATGTGCCGGAAGCTTAGTCCTTTTGGGCTGCTATAACAAAATGCCCTAGACTGGGTTGCTTATAAACCATGGGAATTTATTTCTCACAGTTGTGGAATCTGAGAAGTCCAAGATCAAGGCAACAGCAGATTCTGTATCTGGTGAGGGCCTGATTTCTGATTCACAGATGGCACCTTCTTGTTGCATCCTCAGGTGGTGGAAGGGGCAAGGCATTAATCTTGTTCATAAAGGCTCTTACCCTCATGATCTAATTACCTCCCACAGGCTGTATCTTTTAATAACATCACACTGGGAAGTAGGGTTCATCATAGGAATGTAGAAGAGATACAAACATTTAGACCACAGAACTGACTCTGTCAGAGTGTTCAGGTTTTTTTAATGCCCACTTCTCTTTGTCCTCTCCATCTGGGAGTAGTCATCCTGGCACTGGTGGGCTCAGCAGTGGCTCCACTTTTATGTGTTTGATACCTGTTTATGTTAACATGGAGGAGTCTGATTACTGGGCATCTGACACTCTCAAATTTCCAATCAGAGAAGAAAAGTTCTGCAGCATTGTTAAAACATTAAAATAATTGAGATACCAAGATCTAAATAAAAATCTCAATACAATCTGACCTATGTCTTCATACTAAAGAATATAAAGTTATCAAGAAAAAACAAATGAAATTTGCTTATGATCTAATTTCCAGGTTGTTACCTCAAATTATGCAAGGTTATCAACAAAATATCTTGGCAGAAGAATTTAATTTTCTTTTACTATTTCTATATCTTGGGCAAGGTATTTATTCTTTTCCTTTTTTTTTTTTTTTTTTTTTTTTTTCAGACGGAGTCTCAGTCTGTTGCCCAGGATGGAGTGCAGTGGTGTGATCTCAGCTCACTGCAACCTCCGCCTCCCAGGCTCAAGCGATTCTCCTGCCTCAGCCTTCCAAATAGCTGGGACTACAGGTACGTGCCACCATGCCTGACTAATTTTTTGTATTTTTAGTAGAGATAGAATTTCATTGTGTTAGCCAGGATGGCCTCAATCTCCTGACCTCCCAGGATGGTCTCGATCTACTGACCTCATGATCCGCCCGCCTAGGCCTCCCAAAGTGCTGGGATTACAGGCGTGAGCCACTGCACCCAGCCTCTTTCCCTTTTTTTTTTTTTAAAGAAAGGAGCTTGCTCTGTTGACCAGGCTGACGTGCAGTGGCATAATCATAGTTCACTGTAACCTCGAACTTCCAGGCCCAGGTGACCCTCCCTCCTCAGCTTCCCAAGTAGCTAGGACTACAGGTGCATACCACCACATCTGCCTAATTTTTTAATTTTTATTTTGTAGAAGCAGGAATCTTGCTATGTTGCACAGGCTGGTCTCAAACAATTCTCCTGCTTTAGTCTCCCAAAGTTTTGGGATTATAGGTGTGAGCAACTGTGCTTTGCCTTCATTCTTTGTTATAGTACATTTGAAAAGTTAAGGTGGTATGTAATAGCTAAATACTGTTATGAAATTTTATGCTATAATAAAAAGTAAAGCCTTGTCAATTCATATAAACCAACACATTTGAGAGCAAAATCATATTTTAGTACCATAGGTAACACTTCAGTAAACACCAATTGAACAACTATGCTTTTGACCCTGTACCAGAAGTACCGCCAGAGATGTCCTTGAACTCAAGATACTCTTGGGCTGACCTGAGTAGTTTGTATGCAAACCAATAATATTTACCATGTGACAAAGGAAGCAGGAGGAATTGACTACTGTGGGCCATCTAGGGATCTTTGACAACGGTACTAGTTGAGTGAATCTTAAAGGATATGTGCTTTTGGTTTTTGTTTGTTTTCAGTTGGAAATGATATGCTTTTTAGAAGAGTACGTTCCACTATCAAAGCCCGGTGGGGTGAGAGCTGTGGTCCTCGAGCCTTTTTTATGCATAAGGACTACCCAGAAAGCTTATTAAAAGGTAGATTTGCCCTCTCCCTCCCCCTCCCCCTCTCCCTCTCCCTCTCCCCACGGTCTCCCTCTCCTTCTCTTTCCATGGTCTCCCTCTGATGCCGAGCTGAAGCTGGACTGTGCTGCCGCCATCTCGGCTCACTGCAAACTCCCTGCCTGATTCTCCTGCCTCAGCCTACCGAGTGCCTGCGATTGCAGGCGCGCGCCGCCACGCCTGACTGGTTTTCATATTTTTTTGGTGGAGACGGGGTTTCGCTGTCTTGGCCGGGCTGGTCTCCAGCTCCTGACCGCGAGTGATCCGCCAGCCTCGGCCTCCCGAGGTGCCGGGATTGCAGACGGAGTCTCGTTCACTCAGTGCTCAATGGTGCCCAGGCTGGAGTGCAGTGGCGTGATCTCGGCTCGCTACAACCTCCATCTCCCAGCCGCCTGCCTTGGCCTCCCAAAGTGCCGAGATTGCAGCCTCTACCCGGCCGCCACCCCGTCTGGGAAGTGAGGAGTGTCTCTGCCTGGCCGCCCATCGTCTGGGATGTGAGGAGCCCCTCTGCCTGGCTGCCCAGTCTGGAAAGTGAGGAGCCTCTCTGCCCGGCCGCCATCCCATCTAGGAAGTGAGGAGCGTCTCTGCCCGCCCGCCCATCGTCTGAGATGTGGGGAGCGCCTCTGCCCTAGTGCCCTGTCTGGGATGTGAGGAGCGCCTCTGCCCGGCCGCGACCCTGTCTGGGAGGTGAGGAGCGTCTCTGCCCGGCCGCCCCGTCTGAGAAGTGAGGAGACCCTACGCCCGGCAGCCGCCCCGTCTGAGAAGTGAGGAGCCCCTCCGCCCGGCAGCCGCCCTGTCTGAGAAGTGAGGAGCCCCTCTGCCGGGCAGCCACCCCGTCTAGGAAGTGAGGAGCGTCTCCGCCCGGCAGCCACCCCGTCCGGGAGGGAGGTGGGGGTCAGCCCCCGCCAGGCCGGCCGCCCCATCCGGGAGGGAGGTGGGGGGGTCAGCCCCCCGCCCGGCCAGCCGCCCCGTCCGGGAGGTGAGGGGCGCCTCTGCCCAGCCGCCCCTACTGGGAAGTGAGGAGCTTCTCTGCTCGGCCACCACCCCGTCTGGGAGGTGTACCCAACGGCTCATTGAGAACAGGCCATGATGACAATGGTGGTTTTGTGGAATAGAGGAGGGGGAAAGGTGGGGAAAAGATTGAGAAATTGGGTGGTTGCTGTGTCTGTGTAGAAAGAAGTAGACATGGGAGACTTTTCACTTTGTTCTGTACTAAGAAAAATTCTTCTGCCTTGGGATCCTGTTGATCTCTGACCTTACCCCCAACCCTGTGCCCTCTGAAACATGTGCTGTGTCCACTCAGGGTTAAATGGATTAAGGGCGGTGCAAGATGTGCTTTGTTAAACAGATGCTTGAAGGCAGCATGCTTGTTAAGAGTCATCACCACTCCCTAATCTCAAGTACCCAGGGACACAAACACTGCGGAGGGCCGCAGGGTCCTCTGCCTAGGAAAACCAGAGACCTTTGTTCACTTGTTTATCTGCTGACCTTCCCTTCACTATTGTCCTATGACCCTGCCAAATCCCCCTCTGCGAGAAACACCCAAGAATGATCAATAAATTAAAAAAAAAAAAAAAAAGGTAGATTTCCTGCTCTTTGCCCTCTGAGACTAGGTGAAGCCCAGGAATCTGAATTTTAACAAGCATCTAAAATGAATCCGATGCACTTGGTCTCCTGTGTATATATTTGCATGTTTCTATATGTGTGCATTTGTGTGTATGTATGCTTGTGCTTGTGTGTGTGTATACACGTGTTTGAGAGCAGTCAATGAGAAAGAGCCTTGGAGATGGTGTGGGTGAAGAGGTCTGTGTGGAGCAGATTCTGTGGAGTTTTACGACCTTACAAGGGATGTGAAGGACCTCTTCAAGGAGAAATACAAACCACTGTTCAATGAAATAAAAGAGGACACAAACAAATGGAAGAACATTACATGCTCATGGATAGGAAGAATAATATCATGAAAATGGCCATACTGCCCAAGGTAATTTATAGATTCAATGCCATCCCTATTAAGCTACCAATGACTTTCTTCACAGAATTGGAAAAAACTACTTTAAAGTTCATATGGAACCAAAAAAGAGCCTGCACTGCCAAGTCAATCCTAAGCCAAAAGAACAAAACTGGAGGCATCATGCTACCTGACTTCAAACTAAACTACAAGGCTACAGTAACCAAAACAGCATGGTACTCTTACCAAAACAGAGATATAGACCAATGGAACAGAACAGAGCCCTCAGAAATAATACCACACATCTACAACCATCTGATCTTTGACAAACCTGACAAAAACAAGAAATGGAGAAAGGATTCCCTATTTAATAAATGGTGCTGGGAAAACTGGCTAGCCATATGTAGAAAGCTGAAACTGGATCCCTTCCTTACACCTTATACAAAAATTAATTCAAGATGGATTAAAGACTTAAATGTTAGACCTAAAACCATAAAAACCCTAGAAGAAAACCTAGGCAATACTATTCAGGACATACGCATGGGCAAGGACTTCATGTCTAAAACACCAAAAGCAATGGCAACAAAAGCCAAAATTGACAAATGGGATCTAATTAAACTAAAGAGCTTCTGCACAGCAAAAGAAACTACCATGAGAGTGAACAGGCAACCTACAGAATGGGAGAAAATTTTTGCAATCTACTCATCTGACAAAGGGCTAATACCCAGAATTTACAAAGAACTCAAACAAATTTACAAGAAAAAAACAAACAACCCCATCAACAAGTGGGTAAAGGATATGAACAGACACTTCACAAAAGAAGACATTTATGCAGCCAGCAGACACATGAAAAAATGCTCATCATCACTGGCCATCAGAGAAATGCAAATCAAAACCACAATGAGATACCATCTCACACCACTTAGAATGGCAATCATTAAAAAGTCAGGAAACGACAGGTGCTGGAGAGGATGTGGAGAAATAGGAACACTTTTACACTGTTGGTGGGACTGTAAACTAGTTCAACCATTGTGGCAGTCGGTGTGGTGATTCCTCAGGGATCTAGAACTAGAAATACCATTTGACCCAGCCATCCCATTACTGGGTATACACCCAAAGGATTATAAATCATGCTGCTATAAAGACACATGCACATGTATGTTTATTGTGGCACTATTCACAATAGCAAAAACTTGGAACCGACCCAAATGTCCATCAGTGATAGACTGGATTAAGAAAATGTGGCATATAAACACCATAAAAATGGATGATTTCATGTCCTTTGTAGGGACATGGATGAAGCTGGAAACCATCATTCTCAGCAAAGTATCGCAAGGACAAAAAACCAAACACCATATGTCCTCACTCATAGGTGGGAATTGAACAATGAGAACACTTGGACACAGGAAGGGGAACACCACACACCGGGGCCTGTTGTGGGGTAGGGGGAGAGGGGAGGGATAGCATTAGGAGATATACCTAATGTAAATGATGAGTTAATGGGTGCAGCACACCAACATGGCACACGTATACATATGTAACAAACCGGCACGTTGTGCACATGTACCCTAGAACTTAAAGTATAATTTAAAAATAAATAAAAATAAAAAATAAAAAATACTAGAATCATAAAACAAAAAAAGAGAAAAAAAATAAATGCCTGACTGAGGAGTTTGGCTTGGGAGTGAAGCAATTATTACAAAGTTGTAAATTTCAAAAGCCCAAATAACAGAAAGTCAGGGAAAGAAATATTGACCTTAATTTAATTTGTGTCTTTAGAACTGCATATGAGGAGAAACATGTTCTTTGATCTTAACAACTTGTTTGGGCAGCTTTCTCTTCAAAGCAACAGTTGAAATATCCTTATGCAATCAGGACTTGAGGTGAGGGAATGAGTAAGTGGGTGTCAGAAGTAGGATGAAGAAATGAAGAAGGAGACTACATCAAAAAACTCCCAAATCATTTATTTATTAGACCATTCTGCCCACATTCATTAAGGACATATTTATTATATGCCAGGCACTGGGCTAGGCTCTGTGGATACAGAAATAAAAGACTCCTTAGAAGAGGTCATATTCTAATAGGGACCATAGAGAAATAACAATGGCGATACAGTGTGATGAACACCATGATAGAGTTATACATAGGAGCTGAGGGAGTACAGAGAAAACCACTTTGTCCAAAATTGTATGCTTAAGTATGTGCATTTGTGTGTGTATAAAGTCTTTCTGTAGGAAAACTTAACTCTCTGAATTGAGTTTTTATGAATAAATGAAAGCTCTTCAGATAAAGACAGCTTTGTAAGAGGTCAAAATTGACTCTACTGTAGTTTGCTGTGGTTGCACAATATGGCATGAAATGGCTCAGATAAAATGGGGAATTATAATAACAACCTACCCTTCTTAAGGTCTTTCTATGTCCTAGACACTGTGCCAAGAGCTGCATAAGAATTATCTCATTGAATTTTCACAATAATCCTATAAAGTAGCTCTTATTACCATTTCAGGTTTCAATGAAGAAATTAAAGTCCCATGAGGTTAGCAAACTTTCCCAGGGGCATAAAAGTGATACATGGCAGAACCAGGATTAGAAGCCAGGCAACTTGGCTTTAGAGCCTAAGACTTTAAATACCATTTAATACTGTCTTTATGCACTGTATATAAAGGGTCATAATAAGAAGATTAGACATTCTCTTGAGGACAGTTACCAGTTGTTAAATGACATGATCAGATTAGCAGTTTTTAAAGACCACTTTGCCATAGCAAAAATAGTTTCACTGGAGTAGATCAAAATTGGAGGTTCTGAAACTAATTAGAGGTAGCTATTATAATTCCAGAGAGAAAGGCTGATGCCTTGAATTAAGATTTCTGCCTCCTGGTATTCATGTCTTTATGTAATCCCTTCCTCTTGAGTGTAGGCTGGACTTACTGACTTGCTTCATATGGATACAATATAGCAGAGGTGAAAAGATGTCATTACTATGTTAAGTTGTAAAAAGGCTGTGGCTTCTGTCTGTGTGCACTCTCATACTCTCTCTTAGGCTGTTGCTCTGGAGGAAACCAGCTGCCATGGTTGCTCTGGAGGAAACCAGCCTTGCTGGAAGGCTCACATAAGTAAGCTCAGAAGAGGATCATCTGAGGCAGCCAACAGCCTAGTAAGCAAGCTTGGAAACAGATCATCCCTTATTGATCTTTGAGACAACTGCAGCCATAACTGACAGTGTGCACTCTCACACTCTCTCTTAGGCTGTTTCTCTGGAGGAAACCAGCTGCCATGATTGCTCTGGAGGAAATCAGCCTTGCTGGAAGGCTCACGTAAGTGAGCTCAGAAGAGTCAGCTCACATTCTTCCAGCCTTGTGGAAGACCTGGAGTGAGAACACCTAGCTAAGCTTCTCTTCAATTCTCGATCCATAAAAACTGTGGGGTAACAAAGGCTTGTTGTCTTCAGACACTAAGATTTAGGTTAATTTGTCACTGAACAATAGATCACTAATTTATCAAGAACTCTTACTTTATTATTATATATACTACAAGCCCCTGGAGACATGTGGTATACATGTGGCGAATGACACTGTTTAAAGATGCCATTTATGTGCAGAATACTACTTAAAAGAATTTTTCCAGGAGGACATTACCGTGTCTAATTGACAGTAAAGCCCTAATAAATTCAAATTGCCTCACAATAATAATCAGTTGTCTCACAAAATATATTTTGGGTATTTCTAGAATAATTTTGGAAGATCTGATATTGAACCCTATGCCAAATAGCGTGGCATGAGGCCAGAGAACAGTGCTTGCCTTCCCCGTCTCCACCCAAATTGTCCCTTGCTCTGGATATTATGCCAGTTCCATATTTGGGTGTATGTAAGAAACCACACATCTTACAATGTTATGTTATTATAACACATACAGTACAGCCAAGTGACTGTTCAGATACATACAGTGAAAGCTTTTTAATAAAGATGAGGTTATTATGCCTACCTATAGCTGATTTTCACGATATAGGATATTTATACCCCTTAAATAACTGCCTTTCACTATGTATTATCCCCCAAATAGTTGACAAAGAAGAGGGCAAATTTAACATGGAGTCCTTGAAGGCCCCCACCCACCCACCAGCAGTGTGTACTTTCTCAGCCTCATGAGTCATGGGCTGTGTGCATACAGTTGGCTCAGATGAGCTGGCACCCTTGAAACTGCAGCAGCTGCACTAAACAATTACCCAGCTCTAACTGAGAAAATTTCCCATGGGGGACAAAGAGCCAGCTGGGCATTGCTGGTGCTTATCTGGTGGACGTTTGTTAGTTTGTATGAACACTGAAATTCCCAGGGCAGCAATCAATGGGTGAGATAATTCAACCTGGAATACATTAACCCAGAAAACTGCAACTGGAGAAGCCCCTTTTGTTGGGGGCACTCTATGCCTTCAGCAAAGCAAATTGCAAGCCTTGTCCGGAACATTTAGAACTCATATGAAGCCTCCCAAAGCCTGCCATCTCATTAAAGGAGTCTGGCGCCCATTAATGAAATTCATTTTACCAGTTCTCAGCTTTCTTGGTGAAACTTGCTGAAATAATGCCCTTAAACTTTCTGGTGAAAATTACACTGAAACTTTATATAGAGCAAACTTTTATAGAGCAAACTTCTAGTGTTAATATTCCAAGACATATTCATTATACCAGAGGCTGTATCAAAATATTAATATTTGCCTGGCATTACTATTGGATAAGAATACCTCGAGAGCATCTTAATACATTCAGTAATTCAGCAAAACTCATTATCCTGAAACTATCATTTAACTTCTTATGAAGACAGATGCTGAAACTAGATAATTTTTACAGCAGATATTATATTTTAATGTAACATATTTAAAATAAAGGTTATGAATCTGAAACTAATGAAATTTTCTTACCAGTTCATTTTAAATTACTTCCATTTTACTAAGCTATATGTCATTTGCTCTGTATCCTTAATATTATAGGTTCATTAGTATACTTTACTAAATATATTTTAAAACATCTTTCAATACAACTAATCTTGAGATAATTGATAAAACAGAGGTCAATCCTATACTATCTTTAGTAAATAATAATGGCAGAAAACATCATGTGTCATTCCCTAATGAACTGAAGAATGAAGGCCTTTCCAGAGAATAATTGCAAATTTGAAGCTTCAAAAACTAAGATTCTATTGTTACCTCCAGTGGAAACACAGCTTCTCAGATGTTAAAAAGTGGTTATGCACATTATTAAGTCTCATATTTGCAATACAAGCTTTTATATAATAACAATTAAAAATGCATTAGTCAGGAGCAGAAGTTGTAGCCTTGGGCATCAGATTTATTTATGTCTTAGTTACCTCAGGAATTAGGAACTAGGGCATCTAAGGGCTTAGGCTAGGCATATAAATGTTGTCATTCAGGCCACCTATTTAAACTGATTTTTAAAGATAAATTTCCTAACCGCAGTAAGAAAAACAAGAGTGAAAGAGAAGTATAAAATTCTTGCCTAGCAGTAAGTAACGATTAAAGGCAGTATCTTGAAAGCTTAGAGCCTTATGATCATTCCTGACATTCTGCAGATTTTCCTGCCATGGTATCTTTTCACTTACTAACATGGACTCACCCCAGAGGAGACTAAGGCCCTGAATGAATGCATCACCAGTGCTCAGAGCTCAACTGCCAAGGGGCAGGGAGCACAAGAGTCAAAGCCAAGACCCAGGGCTTCTGGAGCACAAAGCTGCCTGGCAGCTTCATCAGCTGCCTTCTTCCTTTGGGCTCTCTTTCCAGTTCTTAGGCAAGCCTGCTTGAGAAAAAAAGTCAACAGGGTCTTTCCTGCAGGCTTCAGAGATAGAATAGAGAAGGAGGGACTTTATATGAGGGAAGTTTTATTTATTTATTTTCCAGCAGTCAGGCCCTAAAAAAAAGCAGGTTGTCATTTCTGTCTTCACAGGGAATAACACTGATACACACAAGAAGCAAACATATTATAAATTCTACAAAAATATTTTGTTCTAATACTTATTTATTTTCAGTAATTTCATATTACTGGATGAAATACTATTCCCCTCTTAAAAGCCAAATGCCATAATTGATTTAGGAGGGGATGTGGTAGAATTCTGACTCTACCTTACCTCTTCAAATGCGTGCCTACATTTTTCTATATAGCCTTCTGCCCAAACATCTATCCATCCATCCATCCATCCATCCATCCATCCATCCATCCATTTGCCCACCCACCCAACTTTTATTGAGCAGACACTGGGAAAACTATGAGAAACAAAAAAGACACAGCCCCTGTCCTCATGGAACTTAGTCACTAGTGGGGCAAAATGGGTATGACACAAATAAGTACACAAATAAAGATTTCATCTCAATTGTGATATGTGTGATAGAAGATAAAAGGAAGGCACTGTGAAAGTGTGTGACTGGATGAATTTAACTCAGGTTAAGGAAGGCATCCTTGAGGAAATGGGCTAGGTACAGTGGTAGAAGATAGAGGTCAGACTAGACACAAGTAGAGCCCATTAGACCGGGCCTTGGAAAGGTCTTCACACACCTGGATTAACTGCTCAAGGCTCCCAATGATCTGGGTATCTCCTGCAAGAAGCTATGTCCATTTTCCATTGCCAATTGCAAGTACTCCACCTCTCCCCAGTTAATTGTTCATTATAGTACCATAGACTGTTACAGGTGGAAGTGGGCGAGCAGATTTTCCAGCAAGTATTTGTGATCTGCTTGAGGTCAGGGGGCACCATGTATTACCTCAGTGATGAGCATCTCATAGATTTAATCTACTTGTTTGGAATAAAATGTTGTAAGTGTAATAAGAACAATTTTAATTACAATATTTACTCTGTGATTCTTCTAATGTTATTCTGGAAAGTATTTTGTTTGTCTATAATCTTATAGGCTAGATATTTCCCTCATTCATTTTGCAAATTCTCTCCTTCACATCACCTCAACCCACTTCAGGGACCGCACAAAATGATTTCAAACCAAGTCCTCATCTGAATTAATGCAAATTCAAAGTTAGGAAGTCCAAATCAATGAGGTTTTGAAGGCCTTATGACACACTGTATTTCCTCACCTTTCAGTCTAATATAAAGCCATAGAATCATGATTCATTGATGTTTCTGGCACTAATTTAATTTCAAACCACCTGCTTGCCTCCCGTGTAAGGTAGGCCCTCGGGCAGTTAAAGCTTCTGACCTACTTCAGAGTTTCTTTTATGCCCTGGAATGCATCCCGTTTTAGAGAGCAGGTTAAACTCCAGAACATGTCCTTAATCATTGTGACTCCCTGGGCTTTCCTGGTGCTTTTTAGAAGGAAGCAGAACGGATCCAAATAAAACATACGGGCAATTTTTATTTTAAAGCTTCAGATCTGTTCACAGAAATCACGAGGGAGGGGAGAGAGGTACAGTACTGCACTCTAAATTTAGGTCAGTGGGAATGACTCAATTATTGAAAAATTCTACCTCTGACTGATAGAATGAGGCCCTGTAATGAGAATGGAAAAAAAAAAAGAATGTGAAAGTCTTTTTTTTTTTTCAAAAAAAGTCATTCAATAGCTTGAATATATCTTATATTCATTGATAAGTTGAATACAAATTATTTATCTTAAAAAATAATGCTAATTATTTATTTGCTAAAGGATACCCTTGTGTATTGATGAAAGGTTTTATTTTTGTTATAGAAATATCAGAGTTTAGATTTTTGGCAAAATGAAAGGCTTGTGAACTTTATATATTCTTATAGATTTCAAGCAAGCATGTTTATTTGTTTATGAGAACAAATGATCAGTACCCAAAGTACAATTCAAAACTTAACTGAATGAGCAATTGGCTTTGACAATTTAAGCATAAATCACATTTGTCCTAAATATATATTTTGGTTCTTGTTTATTTCATTTTTATAGATTAGAAATGAAATTTATATGCATACTCATAAGATGAAAAGGAAACAATAAATGATGTCTCCTAAGATAGAGGCAGATAAATTCAACTTGAGATACATTAGGAAATTGTGTGTGTGTGTGCATGTGTGTGTGTGTGTGTGTGTGTGTGTGTGTTGAGATGGCTGTATGACTGAAGTATAGAGTGAAATCAGATATCAAAAGCTGAAGAGAAATAATATTTTTACCTACCCGAGGATGCCTTTGGAGAAGCATTGTGGAGAATCCCTCCTAATGCCTTTTTTTAGTTCATTAATCCCTGCCTTTTAGTCTTTCTTAGAATGGAAAATAAATGCAGGCTGAACCTCAAAATAAGAGATGGAATTTATTTTAATTTCTACTTCATGACAATGTCATCTTAGATTTCATTTGAAGGTATTGCAAATGTAACTTGATATTCCATGAAGCATGATTTTGTCAAGAAGAACATCATTTCTTAAGAGTTTAATGAAGCTATTTTAAGACATTAGGAGAGGAAAGAAAATCTCTAGTTGAAGGCAAGCATTAGATTATGCTATAAAAAATGGAGTTCAGGTTACTTACTTTAAGAATTCTGTTTTTTTTTTAAATTTAAGCCTTATTGAAATACTGCAATTTTAAATAGACACTTGCGGTGTATGCATTTTTTTGTGGTTTTCCTGACTGATTACTACATTGTAAATGATTCAGTCTTCAGTAAACACAGGAAGCTCCTCACAATTGTACATTCATTCTCCTCCTTCAGCAGAAGGCTGTTTGACTGAACCCCTAACTCCTTCTGAAGGTGAAAAAAGAGAAATGACTATAGCAATGGGATTGGGAGGGTACCTAAGGAAGGTGAACTTGTGGGAAATTTGGGAGGGTGTAAACCAGAGAGCCTGAATCTAAAGCATATCTTTCCTTTCTCCTGCCATCCCTCACCTTCCTCCTGCATGTTTCCATCAATAAAATTCATTTGAGTTAATTAATTTCTCATTCAAGATGCAAATATATCCCAGTGAGAACAAAACTCTCAGTTTTTCATGCAGCTTTTTACATGAGATACTCTCATCAAATTGGTGGCATTCAGAAAACATGGCTTTTTATTATGATGGGAACTGAGGGGATTTATTTTTAAACAAACTCTATTTATAATTTTGTATACTACCTGAGAACATTGGGCCAGTTTATCAGATAGTCATCCATGATATGAAGGGAACATTTTGGAATGGAAAACTGGCCTGGGAGAATGGTCTAGCTTATATAGGGCAAGAAGTTACGAAGTGAGGGGGTTAAGGAAAAAGAGGTGGAAAAAGGAGGATGGTTAAGAGATCGGAGCTGTCTCATGCTACTCTTCCCACAGTTGCCTCTGGGACTTTGCCTCCCCTATTCACTGGGCTTGAAAATCACTGTGCTGCTTTTGGTGACTGCCTTGCACCTGCTACCTGAGTCTCCACCCAGCTGACATCCTTCTGGCTTCCTTCGTGTTTTAATGTCGACAATGATTCTTCTGGCTCCTCCAGACTGGGTTACGTGCCCCCTTTCTGCTCACAGATTGCCCCATTTATTACCAGTATAAATTTTGTCACACTTCGATTTTCTCTTATTCTTTCTATCTTTTCCCACTCAACTAGATGGCAGGGATGTGTCACCACTGTAACCAGAGTTTGTGAAACAGCATCCTTTTCAGATTAGGCATTCCATATACATCTGGAGAACAAAAAAAATTATTTGCAGTTTTGCCTTGGAAATGACACTAAACTTTTACTGAATGTCTACAATGAAGAAGATATTATGCCTACTTTACAAATTAGGAATCCAAGACAAGGAAGAATCAAACAATACAGTCAAGAACATTGTCAGTATTAAATGATAGGGGTGGAAATTTGAATACAAATGATATTTTCTTATCTTCCCACTTGGAAGCTAATGGAATAAGAGAGTCTCAACCTTTTACAATTCAGTTCAGGATGGTCTTATCTAAGATGTTCTATCCAGCACAGTGTCTCCCCATCATTTCCAGACTTTCCTCATCAGTAAAAAAACGAGAGAGCAAGTGCAGAGTATATAAAAGGAGGAGAAGAATTAACTTTTATGTATCTTATTTGGCTTGCCTGGAACTTAGTATAAACTCAATAAATGTCACATGAATGAATACATGAGGTTGTTACTCCCTCTCATCAAGGAAGTATTATCAGACATCATAACCTTCTCTTATGAATGCTGAGAATGTACTGCATGCATTAAATAAAATGTGCAGTTTATTTAGCCCAATTACCAATTGATGAGTTAGCAGTGTTAGGTATTTTGAGAGATATTTTAAAAAGATGTTATGATCCTACCTCTGAAGGCATAGTTAAGAAAATGAAATAAACTCATTATACAGACACATATATACACAGGTTATCTATCTATCTATCATCTATCTATCTATCTATCTATCTATCATCAATCTATCTATTATCATCTTCTCTTTCTTCTTTTTCATCATCATCATTATCATCATCTAGCTATCTAGCAAGAAACACAAAGCAGTATGGAAATAAATTGTTTAGTTGTGTAAAAATAGACTAAGTGCTCTTTGAGTTTAAGGATGGGATAGATCAGTGCAAGCTGGGGAGCCTATTAAACTTACCTGGAGATGATTTGGATCTCAGAAATGAGAAGGCTTTGATATATAGAGAAGAGGATGGCAATAGGTCTAGTCTAGGAATTGCTGCAAGCAAATTTCCAAGGCTTGTTATGAGTAGGACAAGGGGAGTTTAAAGAAGACTGACCAGAGCAGATGTGATGTGCTGATGAGGAGTAAGAATACAGTGATAGGGAAGAGGGAAAGTAGTGAAAGAGCACTTTGGGGTGAGGAGCAAATGCCAAAATGTCTTCTGTGGTGTGTGTGTGTGTATGCTTGTTTTCCAGGAAGATAAACAGCTGATTCCAAAGGATATATTAAAGCGAGTTCATGTGGGTGATAGTGCAATAAAAGAATTAACCTGTTACAATATAAAAGTTTTCTCTCTAAGACTTGGGAATAGCTGTTGCAAACAATGCTAGCACTTTAAAAAAGTTATATTAAGTTTACTGGTTGAACCAGAATCAAGGTATGTGTCAGGTCACTCAGGTTAAGCATTAAGCCAAAGCAAGAGAAGAGAATGATATTATTCATGTCTGCTGCTTCCTACAGCAATAGAACCTTGGGAAATTGAAAATGTTGCAGAAGTAGGTTCTTCAAATCTTCATAGATTAATCAAAATCTTTCCATATTTTTCTGGATAGCTATACCAAAAAAAAGTTTCATATAAAACTGAAAGTGTATACTTAATATTTTCTGGAACATAAACTGAATGTCATCTGTCAACGGAATATAATTATATGGCAGCTATTAGCAACCTACTTTTTACCTGCTGTAACTGAAAATTCTTGGAACTATTATGCACCAGTAATTATATTCTGGATTTATTCTCAAGAAGGAGAATGGGAATGAAGAAGGACCCCTATTAATAAGGAATTAACTCCTCATAAGCTAAAGAAATAAAAGTGGAATGCAGGATAAATTGCAAAGTATATTCCTGATTTTAACGTATCCTAAAACTTCACTTTTGAATTTCATAAATGTCCAAATAGCTAATTTAATATTCCATATGGTTGGGAAACAGAGGTGCATATATTAAAATAATGCATAGAAAATATTTTTAAAATCTTACCTTAGACCAATTATTTCAATATTTGTCATTATAATCCCTTTAGGATCATGTAGAATGAAGTGGGTTAATAATGGGCTATACCAACAAAATCAAGTTTCAGACTATTTCCTCCATCCACGGGACATGTATTTCCATATTTTGCTACATGGTCTTTTGAAACAGATTTCAATTTCACATAGAATGGAAGAGGGATTCTGCAGTGTGGAACTACCATTATTGGCAACATTTAGAAATCCTAATTTTCAGTGATAAAAATAATTTCCTAAGGAATGGGAGTTCACTGTATTCTTTGTTTTTTTTTTTAATATTCTTGAATATTGTGTTTCTTCTTGACAATTAGTATCAATTCTACATTTGAACCTGTTGGCACAAAAGTAGCATCAGATTCTTTTTTGCTGGGTATATTTTCAGAACAAATGAGTAATAACCCTCTAAATTTTCATTACTGTGTTAAAAAATTATTTGCTTTCCTATGGAGTTAATTTTCTTGAGTCAGGTAGTAAAATTTTCATCTTCCCAAAATATCTTGTTCAACTACTTGGTTTTAACTAGTTATGAAAACTCACTTCTGCTAGCAACCCTGTATTTCTTAAAGCATTTATCTTGTAGAGAAGAGGATTGAGACTAGGAGGAGTCAGGCTACAAAGCTGTTGAAATTTTGTCAGTCATCCACCTTAGGTGAAAAACAGAGCATACAGGGATTAAAATGGCCTTGCTTTCAAATGGAAGTGCCAAGTGGAAAGAGCACTGGAGTCAGAGTCCAGAAATTAGGGTTCCAGTCTTGGGTGTGCAGTTTACTATTTGTAGGACTCTGGAAAGTTCCCTTAACTCAAAATCACTATAAAAATAAGAACTTGGATGACTAGAATTAGTGAAAATATCTAAGCAGTTTTGATATTGGGAAGCTCAGAATAAATAGCAGAACTAGACCAAATTTATTGAGGGTGCCTGACCTAAACAAGTTGAGTCTTTCAACACACACACACACACACACACACACACAGAGAGACACACACACACAGTCTTAAGAGAAAGCCAATATATAAAGCCACATAAAATGAAGCGAGTTCGTTGAATCTGGGGAAGTGTACAGGTCTCAATGCTGTGTCTCCTTGGTCCCCATTCTCCTTTTCAGCATCCTGTATGCTAAGGAGCACAAGTTTCAAAACTATTCAAACAATTGCTTTAAGACAGTTTCATATGCTCTTAAGGAAGTTTTCCTCCAAAATTGCTACAATAATAATGTGGTGAAGAAACCAGAGAGACCGCAATAAGTCAGGATGCATCCTAACTTATTCATACAATGTGCAACAATTCATTTTTGGCAGTTAAACATGTACAGAAGATCATTACACTGTACTACAGTTTGGATATTTGTCCCCCTAAAATTCATTTTGAAATTTGATCCCCAGTGTTGAAGGTGGGGCCTAATGGGAGGTGTTTGGGTCATGGGGGCAGATCCCTCATGAATGGCCTGGTGCCAACCTCATGGTAATGAGTGAATTCTTGCTCTATTCATTCCCATGAGAGCTGATTGTTAAAAAGATCCTGGCACCTCCCTTTGTCTCTGTTGCTTCCTCTCTCACCATGTGATCTCTGTGCATGTTGGCTCCTCTTCGCCTTCCATCACGAGTGGAAGCAGCCTGAGGCCCTCACCAGATGCAGATGCCCAATCTTGAACTTTCCAGCCATCCAGAATCATGAGCGAATAAATTTTTTTAAAATAATTTACCCAGCCTCAGGTATTCCTTTAGAGCCACACGAAACAGATTAAGACACATGAAAAGAAAACAGGAACTAAGGAATCTGTGTCTCTGTTGTTTTCTCTGATTTTAAGCAAACACACAAATAAGCAAACAAAAAAGTTTAAAGATTCAGAATGGAACAAAATTACCTCAAAGGTGAGACCTTCAACTTTTCTTCATGTTAATTTTTTCGCTTCTCTACCTTAGTGATCTATAACAGTTTGCTTTCAAAATGCAAACAAATTTGGGGGAATCTACATGAGAAACATATTCAAAATCTTAAAATTACTAATCAGAAGTCCAAGCTGAGGGGTTATTTTAATTCATTATTGATATCTAAATATAAAAATGTGATAATAATCTTTCTCTTTTTAATACTCATTAGGTTTATGCCTTAGTTTTTAATTGCTTTCAAGTAATAAGTTATGTAAAGTGGAAAGAAGTAATACTTGTTATTTAGAAAATACTTTTGCTTCAGGTAACTTTATACTGAACTCTCATACTTGCAGTGTCCAGTTGCTAAAATTAAAGGAAACTCTACACGTCAGAAACTCTTCATTCATTTCTATAGAAGGAAATATAGGAAGGGAAGAGAAGTCTTTCTTTATTGAAAACACAAAGTGAGTTGGTAGATTCTGAACGTAGTAAGAAAAAGAGAGGGAGAGAGAATGTATGAGAACTAATACAGCAATCAATTTTAGCAGTAATTCAGGTGCCTGCAGGTAGGAAAATTTAAGGGCCTGAAATCATTATTTTCCAATAAAAACCCATGAATAATGGATATACCTGTGGGCATAATTTACAAATGACAGCTTATCACCCCGAAACAGGATGGTACAGCTCAACTGACAGCTGCCAGTCAACCAGGAAAGAGCAGTATAGAGCAATATTTTTCTCTATTACATCCTTTTTTTCCCTTTTGACTCAACTCACTCAATCTCACTGAACTTTATTTCCTTGATCTGAAAATTAAGACTGTGTTGCTGATAATGGCACAGAAATTTGTCAGCTTGACTCTTCAGTTCAAATGTAAAAAGGGTCAATAGGAAGCAGGAAGTAGATCTGGTTGCAGACCATTATGCGATATTTTTCCTGCCACATCAGAAAAGAACTGGATGAGCAAGAGAAAAGAGAGGAGCCAAGAAAGTGTGAAAAAGACCACGGTTATATTCTGGTTCTCCTCACACCATAGGCCACTTCACCTCTACCTGGGCCATTAAAGTGACATCCTTGCTACCAACAACCTCAGCTCATTAGGATGAGGGGGCAGAAAAGGAAGGCTCTCCATTTTCAATTCTTTGGACTATAAATGTGGTAGGGGATCAGCTTTAACTACAGTCCCTCCCAGCAGGGAGATTTGGGTTCTTTAATTCTTTTCTCCATTACTCTGCAGCCCACATTTTTCCCTTTCTAGCTAAATGATTTTTAAAAGATAGGCTTCAAAACACAGGTGGACTTGGAACAGGTATATTTAAAGTAGAAAAAGAAATATATGTGGCATTTCTTTAGTTCCTTTAAGCTAAGTTCTATATTTGGGACATGGTTGAAAAAGAAACCTATGTGAGCTTCATTAAAACAAGGAGAAAAAATAGGAAAAAATATTCCTATTACGCACTTATTCCTAATCCAGTCACTATTACCCCATGTCTATCTCAAGCTTTTCTTTTAAAGAGTTTTAAAATTTCTAACATATTCATGTTTGAGTTGCACATATAGCCCACAGTTATCTATGAAAATGTATATCCTAAAAAATCACCCCCATATTAATTCCTCAGAATATCAATGGATGTCTAGTATCAACAAACAAACATAATTAAAAATGGGTTCTGTCATGAAAAAAGTTTGAGATATATTGGTAAATCAATGTTTTATAGACTTATTTAATTCAGGAATTTTTAGAACCTTAAACATGCTAATTTTTCACATTAATTTCTGGAAGGGTTACTGTTTGAACTAAGAAAATATTTCTTCTGGGACATCCTTGGGAGACAAGTATTCTGCAAGGAAGATAGTTTAGAGGACTCTGGCCTAGGTAAGTTCTCTTAAAGGGAGATTCTTTCTTAGAGAACTTTTACAATCATTCAATATGACAGTAGCTGCCCTCTGGTCTCAGTAGCTACCCAATGAAAGTAAGCTTGTTTCTCCAGTATGATCGTGTTAATACGAATTCATATGCCTTCACTTTTAACATAAATCTTATGATTAAAATATCACAAAAACATACATCTGAACTAGTTAATCATTAAGAAATCTACAGAAAGAGACATAACTTGCAATAGCAATTAAAGAAATATAAAACACAAGTCTTTGCTGGATTATCTTTTGAGCTTCTTCAACTACAGAATGAAAAGGTTGTGCTATATTTATATTTTCCAAGTTTGCCTGATCTTAATAATGTGGCAGAAGAGGTCACAAATGGAATGGAGTTTTTAAAAACTTCAAGATTCTCAGGCTCCACTGATATATTTAATTTTGGTGGGGGGTGAGTGGGGAGGAGGGAGAGGGAGAGTGTGTTCCAGATGATTCCATTGATCAGGAAATTTTGAGAAACCCTGAGGAAGATGATATCTAAGGCTCCTTTGAATTTTAAAATCCTGTGAAGATGAAATGCTTTTTAATGAACTCTTTAGAAACAATTGAGTTCTAGAGGGTTTATTATCTAACTGCATATTTTTCCATTATAAATGAGATCTGCAAAATACAGAGAAATAGAGCTAGAGGGGGAAAATGTATTACCCACAATCTCACACCCAGATAATCAATGAGACCTTTTATGTTATTTTACCTTTCTATATGGGATTTCTTTCTAAATAAGTTCCCAAGTTGGAATTCACTTCCTAACTCAGGGAATAGCTGTAGTCAATGAAGCTTACAAGGCCTTAGGCTGCTTGGATGTGTGAAAATGCCACGTCTGCTACGGAATTTTTCTGTGATAAATGTCCTCTGCCTAATTCTTGCTCTCTGATACATGGAATATGTACTGCTTTAGCTCACTCTCATTAGGCAACCCACCTTGAACTATGTGTTTGTCCCAACCCTCAGGCCAGGAGGGCAAAGGAGCAGAGAAACTCTCTCCCTGTGCTTCTTTTCTGTTCCTGGGTCTGACTTTTATCTCAAGATTGACAACAACTGGTGAAGAAAGACCTGAGCCATCTTGACAACAGATATCAACAATCTTTCCAAGGTCTTAGTTGCCAAAGCAACCAGGCTATTACCAGGTACTCAAGCCAAGTTAAATTTTACCTAATTTTACCTCTTCTGACCATTTGTATTTTACTTCTTTACTTCAAGCAGCTACTTTCAACCTGATTTTTTGTCCAACAGAACTTTTAAAGGATATGATATTTTTTTTCTTCCCTTAGCTTTAAAATGTGTGATGTGAGAAGAGCAAAAATCACTTGGTGATCATTGAACATGCCTCAGATACAAAAACTCCTTATCTGAGGAATTTAGAAGGTAGCAAAGACCACCATCAATCAGGCCATCCAGAGGCAAAACTCCTTATCTGGGGAAAATTAGAAGTAATTAGACTTTCCCATTATCAAAAGCAGGCATCTTGTTCCAGATCTCTTTCCCTCCTAAAAGCTTATAAGTAACAAAACTTTCTATACATCTCTGGAATGCCATGCTGAAACTCATTTTACAATCCTACACTCCCACCATAAGGTCCATAAATATCCCAAAAGAAAAATCTGCGCTCAGTCCTCTCACTGAGGTGCCCCACTGCACTGTTTTGCAGTGTTCTTCCTTTCTAATAAACTTTCCCTTTTCAAACTTATACTGTTGCCAGTAATTCTTTTTACCAACCCATGAGTCGACCACTTCCCAGTGCCAGGGCTCCGACACCTTGCCCGGCATAACGAACATATAAAACCCAACAGGTGCTTTTTAACAGAATTACACATAAATGCTTCCCCTTCAAGCTACGGTGCTTAGTCAGTTGGCTACCAGGATTTCATATAGATATGTTATTCCTTCATCATCTAGAATACACAGAAGTGTGATTTTTCACACTTATTAATTACCTAGCTAATTCGGTATTTTAAACTGAAATAACATTTTAATTTAGAATATATGTCATTATGTGATTGTATTGATATGCATATAGCATTTAGTAAAAATAGAAAACTAATTTGCTGCTTAATTAAAAATTCCACACTTCTCCTTTCAAGAAACACACACTCTTATTTTGTATTTATTATATACGTAGCATACAACATGCTTGAAGTAGTCAATAGCTTGTAAAATGTTTTTATTTTTTCCTCATCATTGACCAGAATCAGGGATGTCCAATATTTTGGCTTCTCTGGGCCACACTGGAAGAAGAATAATTGTTTTGGGCCACACATTAAGTACACTAACACTAATGATAGCCGATGAGCTAAAAAAAAAATGCAAAAAAATCTCATAATGTTCTAAGAAAGTTTACAAATTTGTCTGGGTCACATTCAAAGTCATCCTGACCCACATGCAGCTCACGGGCTGAGGGCTATACAAGCTTGGACTAGATAATAGAATATATTTATTTGACCAGAGACGACTAGAAAACATAATCTAAGATCTCAAAACTCAAAGTCTCTATTTAATCAAAGGCCCTTGAAGACAATGATCTTATTTACATGTTTTT